>NC_000006.12:108820790-110070790 GCF_000001405.40 Homo sapiens | reverse complement strand
AGCCTCTCTGTGCTTTCATTTTCTCATCTGTGAAATGGGACTGCTAACAGTACCACCTCACAAGGTTGCCGTGAGGATTAAACAAGTGAATATCAAACAGGTGGCATATTGTTAATGCTCAGTACATGGTAGTTAATATTTAAAATTCTGTAATGATATAGAGGGAATTTTATTTATTTATTTTTAGCAACTAGAAAGAGAAGTCCTCTGAGAAAAGCACCTGTATTAGGATGCCTTTGTGAATGAGCTTAGGACAGGTTCCTCCTAACTCACACAGTTTGGAAGGCACAGTTTATATTTGCTCTTGGGGAGGAGGATATAGGGAGAAGACTCTTCCAGGTCTAAAATCCTACTTCTAATTCTATTCAGACTCCTCTATTAGCTACATTTCTGAAATCTCTTTTATAGAAAAGGAATGGAATAGCCATGTTTAACCCCAAATGTTAATTCTCTGGCAGTATGATTTATTTTATCACCTGATTTGTTAAAGAAACCAGACCATTTAGCAACGAAATCAAAAGAAGTTTAAAAACTGCTGCACCATTATATGTCACAGCCAATGTGTTACACAAAAATACAGTTGTTTTCTTTATGTGTGTGTTTATTCATTCATTAACAGATATTTGCTGATCACCCACCATGTGCCAGGCACCATTCATGTGTCCTAGGGGGAAGCAGTGAACAACAACAAAAAGTCCCTGTTTTTATAAACCTCACATTCTACTGAGGGAGACAAATTACCTATGATAATATAGGCAGTGACTAGTGTGGCAAAGAAAAATAAAACAGGATAAAGGAATAGAATGGAATGTAGGAGTGGGGGTTGTTAAATAAAATAGGCAGAGTGGTTCTCTCTAAGGAGAAAACAGAAACTGGGATAAAGGGAATGAGTGATTCCAGGTATTCCAAGCAGAGATAACAGCAAGTGTGAGGCTCTGCAGTCATGTTTGAAGCAGCAGAGAAGGCCCGTACATCAGGAGCAGAGTGAGCCAAGAGGAGAGGGTAGGGAATTGAAGAGGAAGCACACCTGCTCATGCTCAGTGGCTGCGGCAAGAACTCTGGTTTTTATTCCTCCTGTGACACAAAAACAAGGGAAGTTTTTGAACAAGGTAGTGATGGGATCTGATTTGTATTTTTAAAAGAACCTGGCTGTGATATGGAGAATAGACTATAGAAAAGGGCAAGGGCAAAGGCAGGGAACTCAGGAGGCCACAGGAGCAATCCAGTGTTGGCTAGGGGCAGACAGGGGCTGAGGAGCAGAGTTGGAGGGCTCCGATTTGGGAAGTACTTTCATGGTGGAACCACCTGTCTACTAAGAGAAGACAGTTTGGGGCATGCTGTGTTTGTGACGCCTGTTAGACATCCATGCGGACATAATGAGAGGGAGGTCAGCTATAGCAGTCTTGAGTCCAAGAGCTGCAGATTTTTTTGGTTTTTTTTTTTTGAGACAGAGTTTCCCTCTTGTTGCCCAATATGGAGTACAGTGGTGCAATCTCAGTTCACTACAACCTCTGCTTCCTGGGTTCAATTGATTCTCCTGCCTCAGCCCCTGAAATATCTGGGATTTCAAGTGTGTGCCACCATACCCGGCTAATTTTGTATTTTTTCAGTAGAGACAGGGTTTCACCATGTTGGTCGGCTGGTCTCGAACTCCTGACCTCAAGTGATCCACCCACTTCGGCCTCTCAAAGTGCTGGGATTACAGGCATGAGCCACCGCACCCGTCCAGAGCTACAGATATTAATAGGAGTCATCAGTATGCAGAGGTAGTGAGAACCATGACATTAAAAGAGTCCATGCAGGAAATGGAAGAGGAAGACTTCAAAGACTTAGGTCATCTAGAGTTGGGCAATAGAAGGAAGATCCTACAAACAGAAGGGAGCAAAAGCCTTGGTGGGGTCGGAGGAAAACAAGAGAGTGAGTTCTCCTGAAGTCGCACGGAGGGAATGTTTGACGAGGAGGCAGTAATCAGCTGCACTGAGTGCTGCAGCAAGATGCATGAGCTGAGCCTCAGGCCGTGTCCAATACAGTACACCAATTCAGTGTGAGAGATGCCTACCTTCTGCCAACTTCAGAGACTGGATTGCCGAAGGTCACTGAGGTTCACCTGGCATAGCAACGTTCCTCTAATTGTATTTGCTCCAGGATTTTTAATATAAAGCATTCGATGAGAAGAACTGAGATTCTTCTATGGGATCAACTATGCAGTTTACTAAGTTAAACTTAAAAAAAAAATTGCTGCCAACTACAAAATCTAACTATATATGGTGGGTAACTAGTGTTAACTCCGGTCCTCCTTTCTGTGGACTTGGTGAAGCCTTTTCTAGGAGCCTGAAGGAAATACCCGTACCCTGTCTGGGTCCTATTAATAACTCATCCTGGTTCCTGATTGTGTGCTGATCTTTTCCTGTGCTCCATGCCAGTTTATATTAGAATGGTCACAACTGGGCTGATGTAGTCATTACACATAATTGTCATT
Organism: Homo sapiens; assembly: GCF_000001405.40. NCBI lineage: Eukaryota > Metazoa > Chordata > Mammalia > Primates > Hominidae > Homo > Homo sapiens. Next base: position 110,068,311 of record NC_000006.12, on the reverse strand, counting down.
CTGTTTCAAGAGTTCAAAAATCCTCTATGTTCAGCCTTCTTCAGTTGTACTACTCGTTCTTGTTCATAATTTGCTCCCCCATAGACCCATGTAGTGCAGAAACTTAAGAAGGTTTACTTTCCTTCATGTGCCCTTTGTGTGGCTGGCCTGCTGCCTCTCTTGAATAGCTTCTGTCTCCCTGTGGTGTGTCAGTGGGAGTGCTGACAAGGCTTACCTGATTTTTGGCAGGGAAAGAACAACTTCTAAAGCAAGTTGCTATAGTTACCAAGTCTTCCCACTGCATAGCAGTCGCTGACTCTATGCTACTTTTTAATGTTGCTCTATCAGATATTCTCCTTGGGTACCGCAGCTTGGGGTTTTGTTATTTAATCATTTCATGCCCACTTATGCGTGGGTTACATAGAGAGTGAGGAGAACAGGGTCCTATTATGGGGAGCATACACATACACCCACACATGCATACATGCATATTTCAGGTTTGACATGCCTGAAACCACAGCTGTTTTTCCACTCAGATTTCTTGCACCAAATCCATTTTAGAAGGTTTTCTACAAGGATAACAGATTGTATGTGGAATCATTTTGTACATTCCAAAGAATGTTTGTTTCTATGTTTCCAGACACAAATTATGTGTGTGGAAAGTTTCCCCAATTCTTTTCTCAGTAATTATCTATTTTCTATCTCTAGGAGAAAAAAATAAAATAGAAGTTGATTATAGATGAAATCATTCATTTGTGAGCATTTTTGAAAGTTAATGTTTCAAATCAGACCCATTGTTGTGCTTTTTCTATTGTTTGTGCATGACTGTAATTACTAGAAATTGTGACATTTGGAGGCTAATTGAACTGCTGTCTTGTCTGACAGGCACAAGTGTTCTGGGTAGAAATTCAGACACTAATATAGTGGGTGATGAACATTATGTGAACATCATAGAGCCTTTCTCCCCACTGAATTGAGCTGCTCTCGAGGAAACACACACACATCACTAACCAGAATTGTAGTTAGTTCAGCATCACAATGTAGGCATGGTGGCAGAGCTTGGCATGGTCCTGGGTCTCACTTCCCATCACTTCCTCAGCCCCATCCTCTCTTGGCCTGCCGGAGCTGCCTCACCTGGCCAGGCTCCAGAATGGCTGGGAGTGAACAGCCCCTGGCCCACTCTTAGAGCTGACTTTCTGGGTGGAGATTCGGCTTTGCTTTTCCCTCCGGTCTGTGTGACTTCGTGGCTCTGTGGGCTGCTGCTGGCAGCACTAGGTCTTTGGCACCTACACCTCAGGCTCTTGGGCAGATTGATTTGGGGATCACTGCCTCTGTATAAGGATGTTGGTCCTAACTAATGACTGACACCAAAGAAAGGAGGCCTTTGGCCTGTCACCGCCTCTGAGGTATGCAAGGATGGGGTCAGCTTGGGGACTGCATAGACTAAAACAAGACACAGTGATTTGGATAACAAATGTTGGACAAAATGGTAGCCATGTCTCTCCCACAGAGCTGGACTTCCAGGCCTGGTGGGTGGGCTTCTTTCAGCTGTTTCTTACCATGAAGTTAACAAACAGGTGTGTTGAACTCCAGACAAGTTTCTCCAAAGACAAACTTGAGTAAGAGCAGCCACCAGTCGGCGGAGAAGTAGGTGACTGCCCTGGCTAGGACCCTGGCAGTCCTGAAGACCCTGAGATTCCACTCAGCCTGCATCACCCCTGTACCCAGTCCTTCCACACCTGGAAGGCTGACCCTCCTTTCCCCCATGGACCTGCACTCTCCAGGCAGAATGGGCCCCTCTATCACTTCTCCCACCTAGGCTGCCTGCCATGTTTTCACCCACTCATGAGGCTGTTTGCAGCTAGTTCCAGGCCCCAGGGACAGCTCAGTGTGATCACAGGTTTCAAAGCTCTCTGGAAGAAGACAGAGGAGAGAATAAATTGGTCTCCCCAAACTCTCACTTCTTTCTCCTTGACCCAGGAAGACCATCAAGCTCTGTTGCTCCTCCCTCCCTGGCTGGCACCTGGAAACTCTCAGACAGCTGGCTGTGTCAATTGCAGGAGACACACCTCATTTATTTCTCTTCTCTCAGGGATCACTGTCCTGTGCTGCCTGAAAACCATGGTTGAATGTCTGAGAATCATCGTTGGATATACCTTGTCTGTTTTAGTAGCTGTTTAAAGAAGGCAGGCAAATCTGGTCCCTGTTAGTCTATCATGGGCATAAGCAAAGTCCTCTTCTTCATTAAACACTTCTTTCCCATTAACTTCAGAGACCTGACGTTCTCCTGCCTTGTCTCTAATTCTCTACAAGCTCCTCTTAGCCTCTTTGGCAGGCTCATTAACTACTGGAGTTCCTCCCATCCACCATCCCGTTCTTGTCTCCTCCCATTCTGTAATTGCTGCCTGTGTGAACTCACCATGCCGAGGGCTTTGGTAGCCACCTCTACCATAAATGAGGTTTCTAGTCCAGAGCTCCTGTCACTAGGACTTCAACTAGGATTTCTTGCACCAGGTCCATTTTAGAAGGCTTTCTACCATAACAGATTGTATGTGGAATCATTTTGTACATTCTAAAGAAATGTTTGTTTCTATGTTTCTAGACACAAATTATGTGTGTGGAAAGTTTCCCCAGTTTTTTTTCTCAGTAATTATCTATTTTGTATCTCTAGCAGAAAAAAATAAAATAGAATTTGATTATAGATGAAATGATTCCCAGACATCCAACTGCCTCTGACTCCACAACCTGTATGTTTCTATGCATCTCAAACTCAACATGTCTGAACGTGTTCGTTGTCTTTCCTCAAATTTGATCCCCCTCCTACTACATAACCAGTTATGAAGCCAAAACCCACATATATTTCTTAACACCACCTTCTCCCTCCCCACCGCATCGAATCCACTGCCTAGCCTTGCTGCCTTGGTGACCCTTCTTCAGAAAGAGCTCTGATGCCTGTTTCCTTCCCCATCTGCACAGCTGCTACCTCTGGTCCAAGCAGTAACCTCTTAACCCATCTCTACCATTTCATTCTATTTTGTTCTCTGCTGCAGCCAATAGTGACTTTTTAAAAATGCAAATCTGATTATTTTGCGTGACTGCTTCAGATACTTCAAAGACTTTCCATTGTTCTACCTGATCTGTCCCCCTCTGGTCTCAGATTATAGCACACTCCCTTCAGTCTCCCATTTCTATCATCACTGGCCTTATTTCAGTTCCCTAGAGGCCCACACTCCCTCTTGCCACAGGACCTTAGCACATCTGTCCCCTCTGCCTGGAATTGGCATCTCCCCTCTTTGCCTGCTCTTCCGTGAGTCAGCTCAGTCACACTTCCTAGGGAAGCCTCACTAGGGCAGGCCCTCTGTTACATGCTTTCATGGTACCATGTGCCTCATTGCTTTGGCACGTGGCACAGTTATAATTTTACTTTGATTTGTCTAATTCTGTGATTAGTGTTGGTCTTCCTTCCTAGACTTGGTGAGCTCTGTGACAGCTGTTAAACTTCTCTTTCCCCTCACTGTCATCATGTTCCCAGCCTTGATGTAGGGTTGGGACTTGATGAAAATGCTGCTGAGCACACAAATGAAATGGTGGGCATCCAGGGAACAGGAGAGGAGCAGCCTGGCTCCTCAGCACTGGGAGGGGCCCTGGGAGGGGAAGAGGGGTCTGCACACACTGAGGGTTGCAGGGGTCACAGCTGCCCCATCACCATCAGAAGAGGAGGAGCCCCTGCTGGGGCTGGGGCACCCACAGACTTCTGTTCTTCCGACATTGGAAGTGTCCTCTGCTATCAAAATGGCAGGACTCTTCTAAGCTTTTAAAGTGATCCACTCGACTTTCTTTTCCTTTCCATATTTTAATAAAACATTTAGGGGGAAAAAAAAAACAAGCAGGACAAATGGAACTCTCACCTTAATAACCAATAGAGAAAGCTGCAACTCCAAACCATGGGTACTTGACTGTGCAGCAAGGCCCAGGGCTGCAAGCGTGAAAGCCAGATGCCAGCCTCCGTCCAGAGGCCTTCCGAGCTTCAGAGCATCTCTGACTGTGGATTTTTCCAAGGAGCAACAGCACAGCCCCACGGCCCCCGCCCTCTCCTTATCTGCCCTGACACTTGGGCACTTTCATGAGAGAAGCACCGGGAAATCATGAGAGTGAGCCCGGGGCCAGGTCTCAGGAGACCACAAAGCCACATGCAGTCCCACAGTCATTTTGGATCCCCTGCATGAAATGAGCAATATGGTTTTTGCACATGAGGACCTAGTGGTTAGAAACACAGCAGGTGGTTCTTTATAGTTTCTTCTTGATGCTTCTTGTGGCCCACAGCCCGGCAGGGCTTTGCTGTGGGGAGCAGCAGGCCCTTTGTGCAAGATGAGGTTTAGCTCACAGTCAGGGCTCCCTTCTGAATCAGGCAGGCTCTGGGTGCTTTTGCTACAGCATGAACAGGACCACCTCTTTATGAGATCCTAGGCAAAGACCAAAGTGTTTACACTTAGACAATATTTCAGCATGTGGCAGGTGAATGTGGGGATGACAGGGAGGGAGAGGGAGTGAGAGGGAGCGAATGCATTATAATGACTGCCCCAGAAGGAGAGTTATTGGCTGTGCTCTGACAGCAGATTGCATTTGTTCTTAAAGAATGCAACAACTCTTGATTCTGCCTTGGAAACTGAAAAACAGCATTCCCCTAGCTCTGGTCTTTTCAGGAATGGGGGTGGAGGGCAAGGGGTGGAGGTTGGGCCAATGAGGAGCCATGGCAGGGCAGCCATTCCTGGGACTTCGTTGTCAGCCTCTCCTCTCTGGGACCCTGTGTGGAAAACACAATCTCAGCACTGAGGGGAAGCCCCATTAGCCAGAGCCCTCCACCCCATCCCCCTGGAGCCTGGCATTGTGCTGCTGAAGTTGCAAAGGCATTTGAAGCTCACCTTAGTGGCCTAGGGCTTCCCACTCCCTTTTGGGAATTTTTGACATGAAAGCAGAAAGCCTGGCACAAAGAAGTGTGTGTGGTGTGTGTGCAGGTGTGTGTGTGTGTGTGTGTGTGTGTGTGTAATGAAACCAGGCCTGGGGCATGAAGTGACAGGCACCAGGCAGAGGGAACTGGGAGTGAACAGCCCAGGGGATGTTAATATTCCACATTCCTGCCCAAGTGAGGGTGGGAATCCCTCAGACCAAAAAGTATCCAAAGTCCTGGGAGTCAGATTTTGTAACCAAATGCCAAGTTTCCCATTTGACCAAGTTACTTCTGTTCTCAGAGCCTCGGTTTCCGTATCTATAAAGTAGGAATATTGCCATCTATCTCCTGGGGTGTGTTAGGTCCAGTTCCTGGGAAACAGACTCTGAGGCAGAGATGGGGAGTGGAGGCCAATGCCTGTAGGGGCAGGAAGGATTCAGGACTGGGCAGGGGAGTGGTTGCGACAATCACAAGGCCTCGGCCAGTTTCACAGGATGTTCTGATGGATGGCCTTTCAGAGTTGCACCGCCTTCAGTCAAGGGGGCCTGGGTCTTTGTACCTCATCTACAATTCCCCATCAGCCAGCCACTGGCCACTGTGGAGAGGGTTCCTAGGGTAAGGAGACTTAGTGTGAACCCCCAGCCACCAACACTCCATCCCCTCCTGCACCAGCCGAGGAGGGCTTGGGCCGTGCACTATAGCAACTCCTGCAGGGCTGTGGGAGGGAATCAAATGACACAGCACATGTATAGTATGGTGACAACAACAGCAAACCAACTGATTCATCTTGCCCAGGCTTATCTTTGGAAAAAGTGGACTCATGTTTTTAAAGTTCTGAGCTGTCCTTCAACTCAATGGCCCTCAGAGGAGAGAAAAAGCTTTTGTTTCCAACTTATTTAGTGGGAGGAGGCTGAATGGTCCCAGCCCAGCTGGACGGAGGCAAGGTTTGGAGTAAAAGAGATGAAAATAGCCTTGATTTTAAACTGTGTGATGGGGCTGGGTGTGGTGGCAGATGCCTGTAATCCCAACTACTAGGGAGGCTGAGGCAGGAGAATCCCTTGAACCCAGGAGGTGGAGGTTGCAGTGAGCCAAGATTGTGCCACTGCACTCCAGCCTGGGTGACAGAGCAAGACTCCATCTCAAATAAACAAATAAACATAGAGTGTGTGATGGGAAAGGAAGAAAAATTATTTAAAACTGAGAGCAGATCTGTGGACATGGATTCTGGAATTTGGGAATGTTGGACCCATCTCATTTCTAGTTAGTCCTCTAGGAGGTGGTATATGCATTTAGGGGTAGGGAGATTGTATATGATGGGTTGTTACTTTGAAAATCTCAGAGAAAAATCCCTGGGCTGGTGGTGGCTGGCGCAGAAGTAGCCGAGCAGCCTCTCTCCAGAGACTAGGGTAAGGAGACTTTGTGTGAGCCGCCAGCCACCAACGCTCCATCCCCTCTTGCACCAGCTGAGGAGGGCTTGGGCTGTGCACTATAGCAACAGTACACAACTATAGTATAGAGTCCCCCAACAGGCCAGTGGGAGCCGACAAGCAGGTGCCCTTTCAGCAAAGATCTAGGCTGCAGAAGACTCATTCTTCTGGGACTTCGGTAAGATCCAAGGAAGGGAAAGCTTCCTTCATCACCAAGACTGACTTTTCTCCTAGCCAGGTGGGTGGGGGCCCAGAGTGGTTTATCTAATTTAGTGAAGTAGATGAAAAGAAATTTATGGAGGAAATTTCATACTCAACTCACATATTTAGTATTTAACAAATGCCTGGATTTAGTGGGCACACAATAAAATAATCCATTCCTTTTTTATCCCCTTTTGTCAGGGATATACCTATACCTTTTAACCAGCTGAACCTTTTCTTGTTAAGAAAACAAACTGGAAAGAAAGACATACTTTTTTGTTAGCGTTGCCAATCAATTACAAACATTGATTAACTATTTACTATGATAGGTTGCTAGCAAGATGGTAAAACTAGCTCAAGCTGCTTGCTAATCAATGCTGTAGAAAAACAGAAGCAATGGGGAAATGTACATTTGGGAAAACAAACAAAAACAACAATGAAAGCAACAAACAAAACTCCCCAATAAACAGGAGCCATGGTGGGGCAGGCATTCCCGGGGCTTCATTGTGAGCCTCTCCTCTCGGGTACCCTGCGTGGAAAGCACCACCTCAGCACTGAGGGGAAGCCCCATCACCCAGAGCCCTCTGTCACATCCTCCTGGAGCCTGGCATTTTGCTGTTGAAGTTGCAAAGGCATTTGAAGCTCACCTTAGTGGCCTAGGGCTTCCCACTCCCCTTTGGGAATTTTTGACATGAAAGCAGAAAGCCTAGCACAAAGAAGTGTGTGGTGTGTGTGCGTGTGCGTGTGTAATGAAATTGTATGCCTGGGGCATGAAGATTTTCTTGAACTGCAGTTTGTGGAGGGGTGGCTATATCCCAAGGTGGAGAAACCCCGAAGCAGCAGTGAAGAGACTGCCTGGAGAAAGGCAGTCCTTTGCCACCTCCTCAGTGCAGAGCTCTGTGGCAGCAGCCTGGGCTATTGGTGCAGGTGTCTGCAGGGCAAGTTCATGGCAGCATCAAAGCCCTGCCAAAGGGGAAAAGTGATGAAAACAGCTGTAGACTGAACAACTAACCTCCTACATTCATCCATCACATCCTCTCCACAGCCCAAGTGATGGGGACCATCTCTTTTCTATCTTGCCTTATCCTAAAGGTTTTAAGATGAAACCTTGACCAGAGAAGTTTTCTGGCTACTCTAAGCCAACAGCCCACAGGAATCAGTCGTGATTCCACGGTGCATAGGGCTCTCCACCAAGAGCCTAAGCCATCATTGGGCTTTTCCCAATACACATCACAAAACGGAACAGAGGAAACATTACCAGGTAGGGTAAGTAGAGGAGAGGAGAGAAAAAGAAGTTCAAAAGCCGAAATGACTAGAGCAATACAACTACCAAATGAACAAGCAAACTGCACAACATGTACCATCTGGCAGAAGTATTTGAACAGGTGGACCAAGAATTTAAAATAAGCATTATAAATATGTCTCAAGAAATAAGAAATTACATTAACAAAAATAAAAATCACACAAAAGAACCAAGTAGAAATATTAGGTATGGAAAAGGCAAGCAACGAAATAACTCCATAGATGGGGTAACTAGTAGGATGGATATAGCTAAAAAGCAATTAGTTGGGAGATCAGATTGAAAAACTCTCCCAGAACACAACAGAAAAGGGTAAGAGGAGAAAGAAAATATGTAGTTTTTAAAAACAAGCTGAGATATGGAAGACAGAGAAATGTCTACATCTGCATCAGATACCTAGAAAGAAAAAAAAGGAAAAATGACAACAGGCAATATTTGAAGACATAATGGGGATAAATTTTCTGGAATTAAAGAATTATATCCCACCAATACCTTAATCAAATGTAACGACACAATAAAAATATTCCGAGGCATATACAGCTTCAGAAGTTTTTTCCACAGGAAGATCCATTCTTGAAAACACTTTGAGAAGTCCTTAAATAATAAGAGAAATAAATCCACACGGTGAAGCAAGTTATAGGAAGAAAGGGTAATCACATATCTTGGTAGAGTTTACTATTGTCTTAAAAATTAGAATGGGAGGGAATATATTTATATAGCATCCCAGAACTAAAGTTCTATCAGCATGATGTAGCAAAATGAGAGGAAGCCCAGGGGAACATGAGATTCATAGTAAAGCAAGAAAGATGATCTAGACATTGCTAAGTTTAATGAAACAATAGATATAAACATGAGTATGGAAGGTCAACCACCGTAAGGCAAAAGCAATGTATAATTTTTAGTCTTACAGAAGAAAGCTTGTTCTATTCAATGGAATTTAGGAACAGAGAAAAGAAAAAGCAGAATAAAGCAAGTGGAAAATAAGACAATGGAACAAAATCCTAATTTAGCAGCAAAAGGGTTAAACTCACCAAAGACACTGTCAGATTGGATTAAAAAACAAAATATAATACAACAATATGCTGTCTTAGAAGCACACACTGAGGACAGTAAAACAGAAAATTGAGAATAAAATTATATAGAAAAATATATACCAGGTAATCATGAAGTAAAACAAAGTGTAGCAATATTAGTATCTTACAAAATAAGAATTTAAGGCACAAAATATCACAAAGGGTAGATGATAGACAATATATATTCATAAAAGAAGTAACAAAAAGAAAAGATACATCCATTTTGATCATATATATGTGTAATTAGAATGCCTCAAAATGTTTCGACCACTGAAAGAACTGCAGAGAGAAATAGACTATCCTATAATTGTAGTTATGGAAGCAGGTTGATCAAGCAGACAAAAAAAAAAAAAAAGAACAGAGATATCAAAGACCTACCAATGAAATGAAACAAGCAAAGATTTCAAGTACACATGGAACATTGACAAAAATATCTATCAGGCAATAAACTAAAAAACATATGCAGAAGTCAGTAAGAAAAATAGAGCTAAACAATCTCTTATGTTTGGAAACAGAACAACATACTAAATAGCCTTTCAGTGAAAATCATAAATTTTAAAAATATTAGAACTATATCAAAATTGTGGTATCCAGCTGAAAATTTCAGGAAAATTTAGGTTTTTAAAAATTTTTTGTATTTCTTTTTGAGACAGAGTCTCACTCTGTTGCCTAGGCTGGAGTGCCATGCCATGAACATAACTCACTGCAGCCTGGAACTTCTGAGCTCAAGAGATCCTCCTGCCTCAGCCTCCCAAGTAGCTGGGACTACAAGGCACACAACACAATGCCTGGCTAATTAAGAATTTAGTATTAAATACATTTATTAGGAAACACAATATGTTAATGATAAATGAAGTCAGCAATTAATGGAAAAATCACAAAAGAGCAACAAAGCAAAGAAAAAAGAAGGAAACCATTATAGGGCAGAAATAAATAAAATAGTGCACAACAAAATCAACTGAAAGGATTGGCCCAATTTTTTTTGAAGTATTAAAAAGAGATCTATAAAAAAAGGATTAAGAAAAAAATAAGACATAAATGAAAATACAGAATGGGAAGAAGGAGATCACAACACAAAGATGAGAAGAGCATAGAAGAGCACAGATACCCATCTGCCATTAGATTTGAAAGCCTAGCTAGATGAAAGAAAGAAATTCATAGAAAAATATGAGATGCTAAAATTGGTACAGGAAATAAAACTTGAACTAGGTCAGTAGAATTAAACAAATTGAAGTCAAAAGCCTACCTTCCAAACAAAAATCACAGGCTCAGTCAGTCTCCCAGGCGAATTTTACCAAACTTCAAATGGTGTGACACGTATTAAAAAGATGTCAATTATTATCCAAATCAAGCTGCATATCAAATGCAACTTTAATCAAAACTCCAGCTAGATTGTTTTTTGAGGCACTTGGTTAAATTAATTTATATAAAGACATAAAGATTTGTGACTAATCAACCTTAAAAAAGAGTGTAAAGATGGGGAGGGGGCTAATCCTACTAGATGGTGACATGCTGTGAAACCATAATTAATCTTTTAAGTGTAGTTTTGGAGTAAGAACAGACAAGTTGGTCAATGGAGAAGAATGGAGAGGTCAGGGACAAACACAGATATATGTGGAAATGAATGAAGGACAGAGGCGTTGCCACAAATCAATAGGGAAAGGACAGATTGTGTAGTAAAAATGTTATTAGGAAATCTGGCTCACTATATAGAAAAAAATAAAACTGGGTCCCTACTCTGTACCACATCGCTGGCATACTGGAAATAGACTAGAAACCAAAATGTTTTCTAGATAAAATTATAAAGTTAATCCAAGTAAATACAAGAGGTATCTTTATGACCCAGAAGCAGGGAAAGACTTTTTAAACAAAATTTCAAAAGCACAAATCACATTGCAAAACAACAACAAACAACATAACAACCAGCAAACAAACGAACTGAATTAAATCAAGATTAAACATTCCTGTTCAATAAAAAACACTAGGGACAAAGTTAAGATGGACAGATGACAGAATAGGAGAAAATATTTGCGATGTCTAAACTAGACCTGGGATTAATATTTAGGTTATACAAGAACTTCCTGCAACTAAAAAATAAAAAGAAGTTCCAATAGAAAAATGAGTAAAGTATAGGGACAGGCAATGTACAGCCACCCCAGAAGCTAATTATATAACACTACATAATACATATGAGGAGATGCTAAAAAATAACTAATTAGACAATGCAAATTAAAATGTGAGAAATTAATTTATACCAGTTAGCCTGGCAAAAATATGAAGTTGGATAATGCCAGTTTTTTATAAGAATGTGGGAACCAATATGCACTGATAGAGGGAAGGAGTGGCTGGTTCAGTCTTTCTGGAGAGAGCAATCTTGTCCCATTTAAAAAAGTGTAGTATATGCAACCCTATGCCCATCGAGTCTCTCCTGCATATTTATCCCGAAGAAACTCTCACCAGATCTACAAGGAGATTGCTCAGTACAGTTTGTTTGTTGGAGTAAGGAGTTGGAAATGAAGTTGGTGCCCCTCACGAGGAGAGCAGAGGTGACACGTGATGGGCACACAGGATGGGTTATTTTGCAGCAGTCATTCCCAGCCAAGTTACTATGAGATGGCAGCTTGGATGGATCTTGAAGACAGAATGCTCAATGAAAAATGTAACAAAGAGGCCGAGCACAGTGGCTCACATCTGTAATCTCAGCACTTTGGGAAGCTGAGGCAGGTGGATTGCTTGAGACCAGGAGTTCTAGACCAGCCTGGGCAACATGTTGAAGCCCTGTTGCTACAAAATACAAAAAAAAAAAAAAAAAAAAAAAGAGTGTGGTGGCACACTCCTATAGTCCCAGCTACTCAGGAGGCTGAGGTGGGAGGATGGCTTGAGGCTGCAGTGAGCAGTGATTGTGCCACTGCACTCCAGGCTGGGTGGCAGAGCAAGACCCTGTCCCCCCCCCAAAAAAAAAAAAAAAAAAAGAAAAGAAAAGAAAAGAAAAAATGTAAGAAAGAAAGCGAGCCACAGAATACAATACCACTCACATAAATAAAGTACAAGTATACAAAATAACAACATACATTTTATAGGAACACTGAAAAGCAAAATACACATACATAATCTGATGTAATATTTGCCTATGTGAAAGTGATAGGAAAAGAATGAGGGTGGGTTCTGTGGATGAAGGAATACATTTTTTTAAATGAACGAACAAATAAACAAAAAATGTGTGGAACTCATAAACAGCTGGGTAAAGTCATTTTAATGGATACAACGTTAAAGAAGTTTCTGTTTCATCATGTGAAGTTGATTTGTGCTTTTGAAACTTTGTTTAAATTTGTGTTGTGCAAAGATTTTAAAAACTACTGTCATTTCCAAATTGTTCTCATGATATCTCACTGGGTAATGGAGTTTAAAAGATAATTCTAAAACCAAAACTGTGTGTTATCCGTTTAATTTAAAAAATTAAGTTTTAGAAAATGCAGCACCTGAAAGGAAAAGGAAGGGAAACTACCAAGTCAGACAATGACAGGATAGCCCACTCCAGTGCGGTAAATCATTTAAAACAATGGTTGTCACTGTAGTTTTTTCCTTATAGCCATTATATATTTTATGCTGAACTGTGAACTCATTTACTCCTATTTTGTCCTCTGGGTATTGTCACCCTCTCTATGAACACCAGCGTGTCTAACTTCCCTGAATCACTGCCGCCTTGCCTTCTTAGGGCCAGCATTGGAGACCACAGCCAGCCTGCCATCCCCAAATGCCTGCTCTCACTGCTAATTTCCTGAAGGCCTCTCTGTCTCCAGGAGTCCATTAATAAGATGCAAATTGCTCTTTGAAGGGAACTCTTGGTTGAAGCAGATTGGTCAATACTCTTGATAGTTGGAAGGCAGCCAACACCTGGGCAAATGCAGAGAGGAAGAGAGGATTAGGATGGAGGACGGAAACTGAACAGGACAGTGAAAACACACTTTCACCCCTCACAACTTTACTGAGGCCACTTCTCTCCTGGTAAGCTTCAGTGTCCTGGGGAAGATGAGCAAAGGTCATGGTCGGCTGTGGGTTTCCACTCAGTCGGGTCCAAATGATGTCAATTTTCGCCTTCCTGTGGGTTCCCTGGGACTCCGCTGCAGCTTTCTATGTTATTTTCCCGAAGGCTTGATGAGTGCTGAGGCTGCTCCGCTGACTGCAGACTGTGAGGCGAATTCTGCAGTTCCATATCTACTGGCTTTTCAACACAGCAAGACGCCTTGCTGGTGGCCTCCAGTCTGAGATGCACTGCCACCCCCAGTGCCTTTTCCAGCTGACTCTCCAACTTTCGAGCCCCTGTCTTGCCAGGTGTGAGAAACAGTCCTAACTGGCACCACACCCTCACCCTCCAGGGCCACGCACACAGGTGTCTGCAGTGGTCAGGAGGGACTGGTCTTGCTTGCTGCCAGTCAAAGGTGACAAACCTCTCTGGGTCTCCAGCTGATGGCCCCTGGGGTTCCTCATGCTGGGGAAGGTCCCTGCTCTTGAACACTCTGTCTGGGGCATCTGGGCACCTAGAGGCAGCTGCAGCCAAGGATAGTTTGAGCACACCCTCCTCTCTGAAAGAATGGGAGGGAACCATTCTGATATATGCGGGGAGAATGGATGCGCAGCCATTTCCCCAGTCGGTCTCTCACTTCATGTACTTCTTTTCCATCGGCCCAGTGAACTGCCCCAGTGTGGTACACTGGGGCGGGTGTCAGAGAGGGCTCTGTTTAATTATCTTAAAATAGGATTTCTGGGTCGGACACAGTGGCTCACACCTGTAATACCAGCACTTTGGGAGGCCAAAGCAGGAAGATCTCTTGAGACCAGGAATTTGAGACCAGTCTGGGCAACACAATGAAACCCCATCTCTACAAAAAATATGAAAATAAGCTGGATGTGGTGGCACACGCCTGCAGTCCCAGCCACTCGGGAGGCTGAAGTGGGAGGATCGCTTGAGCCTGGGATGTTGAGGCTGCAGTGAGCCGAAAGTGTGCCATCGTACTCCAGCCTGGGTAACAGAGTGAGACCCTGACCACACCCCAACCCCGACACCAAGAAAAGAACTTGTGCAATAGAATTTTCAATGTTGTCCTTAGTTCAGAAAATTCACTCATAATGTCTTGCCATCATGTCCCCAGAACCATACAGTATGGTAGCTGGAAGTCCCCTGCCCTCAACTACTGGTGAGAAAGCCCTCGAGGCAAAGAGCCTTGCCCAGTCCCACAGCTAGGCAGTGGCTGTGCAAGGTCAGAGCCCACAACTCCAGGCTTGAAGTTCAAGACTCCTTTACTCCTTTGACCCTACATAACTTTAATATATGCAATGGGGACCTGGTTATTCAAAGGTGACTTTGAGAATAGGGAACTGGTATTAAAAGGTGATTTAAGTAGATTTACTCATTATTTGTGTAAAAATTGACACACTGTACAAAAATATAGGATATTGGATTGTTAAGTACTCAGCACTAGTAAAACGCTTTTTTTACTTTTTTAAAAGTGTTCATGGAAATGTGTTTGGGATGAAACAGGCATTCTGGATGATCAACAGGTGGCAGTGTTTCCCTGCTTTATACAATCCTGCCAGTCTGTTCAAGGGAAGAATGTTGTTCGTGAGTCTGGGATTAGACTCTAATCAAAGGACTTTTTAGAAACCCTGCCAGGTGGAGCGACAAGACAGTGCCTAGCAGGGTCCTCCCTGAGCCTCCTGCACCTATTTGCTAGCAGGTGGTAATAGAAGGGTCACCGGGTAAAGCAAGCTTCTCCACAATGACCTGCCTTCATCTCTCAGAGGGGAAGGGTTGAGGAAGACAGAAAAGCCATGCTGACCATGCTGGGCTTAACTGAGTTGTTTATTCAAGCTTAATTTAGAATGTGTTTTGAAATATTTCTTTTCCATTTGCTTTTAATTTGAAAGCATAGAGGGGCATGTTCATGATAGGAGGTGAGATCTGGGGAGACAGGGCAACCTGTCCAGTGTGAGCTGCTATCTGGTGATGAGGATGCAGCCAGCTGGGTCCTTGGGCCGAAGGGACTGGTCCAGGTTGGGTAAGGATGCAGAAAGGAGAGGAAACTACACCAAAACACACAGACCATTGCCTGTTGCTTGTGTGCCCCAGATCAAAAAATAGACAGAGCCATAATAGCAGCCAACTTTTATTCAGGCTATGTGCCAGACACTGTTGAAAGTTTTTCATTTATTTCTTACCACCACCAGGAAGGTAGATACTATTATTATACCCATTTGACAGATGAAGGAAAATTGAGTTTCAGAGAGGAAAACCTGACCATATAATTAGTAACAGAGGCAGAATTTGAACACTAAACCCAGGGAGTCTGACTCCATGCTCCTGCCACTAGTTGACTCCAACTGTCCTGCACAGAGGAGAGCAGAGGCTTGTGAGGTTGAGGCTTGCTGCAGTAGCTCTGGGAGGCCCTGTTTCTTTAAAAAGAGCCATATTCATTGGCTGAGAAGGAACTCTGTGGAGTCGGCCTCCGGTGCAACAGGGCGTCCTGTCCTGGGAGGGTGCATACTGCACATCTGGACTGAGGACTGACTGACTTGGAACTCCATCGTTGGTTAAGAATTATACTTACCATTTTGGAATGATAATTGCAAATTCTTGTGGTTTCCCCAAATAGAGGGGGCCCATCCCAGAGGGAAAGCACTGTGGACAGTCTGCATGGAGTCTTGTGGGGTCCTCAGGGCTGTGTGGAATGCCTACCCACGCCGAGGAGGTCAGTGAGGAGCCACGACCTAGGCCAGGATTTGGCAGGAACAACACTGAAACCTTCCATTTGAAACTGGAGGGATGCTTGCGACGGTTGCCAGACTGGAGAGCCATGTTCCCTCTGTTGGGCAGTGATCTCACACAGTACCCAATCTGGGGTAAAACACCTCACCTTTGTATCTGGTTTGTGTTTGTGACTTCTACTCCACAGAATGTGGTTTAGGCATCTATTCATTCAATCCTTCTGAAAGGATTGACACCTGTTATATACAAGGCTCATATGGGAAGAAGAATAATCAGCAGCAAGGACACCAGCTAACATTTGTTAAATGCCTATCACATACCACGTCCTATGACAGGGACCCTTAAGCCTTAGGAAGCTGGTCTGCTCTGGATTCACATAGTGGGTGGCTCTGGTTTCCCTTGCTTTCACCAAACCCTGTGAGGGAGGCACTACTAGTATTCTCATTTACATATGAAGAAATGGAGGCACACGGAAGTTAAGTAACCTGCCCGAGGTCATATACTTAGAACATACAGAACTAGGATTTCAGCCTAAATGTCCGGGGTCCTTGGGCTCAGCCATTGTGCTACGCTGCATATGTGTGGTACATGAATGAGAAAATTGTCCCTGAGGAAGGTCTAGAAAGTGGCTGTCAAAGGTGAATAGCAACTAGTAGGAAAGAATGTGAGCCATCCTCCAGAGTTTGAACCCAGATGTCTGACTGTGCAGCCCTGTTCCTAACCATTTGTGCTTACTGTCTGTGTTAGAGAAACAGAACCAATAGGATATAGATATTTATATATAATAAAGAACTGGTTCACATGATTACGGAGGCTAAGCACTGGGATATATATATATATATATATATATATATATATATATATATATATATAAAATGAGGAAGCGGCTCATGTGATTATGGAGGCTGAGAGGTTCTGATCTGCCATCTGCAAGCTGGAGGCCCAGGAAAAGGTAATTCAGTCTGAGTCCAAAGGTCACAGAAACAGGGGAGCCAAGGTGTAAGCCCCAGTCTAAGGGTAGGAGAAGATGAGATGAGATGTCCCAGCTTAAGCAGAGAGGCAGGAAGAAAAAAATAGGTGAATTCCTTTTTTCTCAGCCTTTTGCTCCATTCAGGCCCTCAATGGATGATGCCCACCCACACTGGGGAGGGGAGTCCCCACTGTGGGATTACTGAGCCCACCAGTTCAAATGCCAGTCTCATCCAGGAACATCCCCACAGACACACCCCGAAATAATATTGAATCTGGGCATCCCAAGGCTCAGTCAAGTTGACACATAAAATTAACTGCCTATTGAAAAGTATATTAGGATGCAAGTTCGGATGCTATAGCAAAGACGAAAACAGCAGTGGACAAAGCAAGAAAGAAGTTGGTTTCTCTTCCATAACTGTTCAAGCCTAGAAGTCCAGGGCTGGTATCCTGGTTCAATGGTGTGGGAGACCCAGGCTCTTTCATCTCATTCCACAGCCATCCCCAACATGTGGGTTCCATCTGATTGTCTAAGCAGCAACGACTCCACTTACCATGTCTGCATTCTAGCCAAGGGAGAAGGGGAAGAGAAGGGGAAGCTGTCTCTTTCTCTTCGAAGGCACCATTTGGAAGCCATTTACCTCATTTCTTCTTACATGGCAGTAGTCAGAACTAATTGACTGTACCTTGCTGCAAGGAAGGCTGGGAATATGTTATTAGTGTCCTGAAGTTGTATTCTTTTACAAGATAGAGAGAATGAATAGTCGAGTATATCTAGCATTTGTTTCCACAGGAAATATTTACTAGAGGTGAGGCATATAGAGGATCAGATGAACGAGGCTGATAGGAGTGTACCGGTCCCTGCTGCAGAGTTAGAGGTGTGGGACCTAATCAGGCTCCGGTCCCTGCTGCAGAGTTAGAGGAGTGGGACCTAGTCAGGCTGCTTGAGTCTGGATGCCGGTTGCACTGTTCATGTGTGTGTATGATTTTAACCACAAGTTACTTTATCTGTAAAACTGGGATAATAACACTTTATTTGGATGCCATGAGTATTAAATGAGATAATCCATCTAAATGTTTCCTGTTCTTTTTGGCTTAATCTGGATTCCCTGGAAAACAGAATCTGAGGCAAAGTTGAAGTAGTAATGCTTTTTAATGAAGTGCAATAGTAGGGCAGCCAGTGTGAGGCAGGGAAGGATGGGAAGCAAATGCCGGGCCCCGCTGCTGACCTGGCCAAGGCTTCACGAAGACACAGCCTGTCAGATGGCCCCAGGAGATGCCTTTTGGACAGGCCAGAGGAAGGAATAGCAGGCGACTTGATCTGCAGAATCCCTCCTGACTCCTATCCCCAACAGATCAAGGTTCATCCCCTGTGGAGTTTCATATCCCACACTTTGGGGTTGCATCACCTGGCCCTTTTAGAAACTGCTGAGGAATCCATCCCCCGTGCATTGTGGTGTGGCTCTTCTTCCAAGTCTGGGAGGGGCGCATGGAGTCTCAGCTCTGGCTGCTGGTCAGTGACTCCATGCCCTACTGTGGAATCATCTGGCAGAGTCAGTTGATGCAGGGGCTGCAGACGTTACATGGATAATGGAGGGTGGAAGGATTTAGAGCTTAAATAGTCTAAGGCAGCTCATAAGATGTATCGAGTCCATTATTATTATGTGTTGGAAAGAACAGCAGCTTTGACATTAGACAGCACTACCATTCTCTAGCTATGACACCTTAGGTTTAATGTACTCTCACTGAGACTTGGTTTTCTCACATATAAAGATGTGGTGACCACACCGGCTTGACAAGCTATTATGAGGATTAAATAATGCAATTGATGTGAAAGGACCTGGTGCTATGCCTGGTAAACAGCAGCTTCCTGCCTGGTTTCCCATTCTGCGGTCGGGGGAACCAGATCCTCCTTCCCCTGCCAGTGTTTGGTATGTGCAATTGACATGTATCTCATGCATCTTTTGATATTCTGTAAAGAGCCATGCAAACAGGATTTTAAGACAAGTATCCTATCCCTTTCCAACAAGATAGCCACTCCTAGAATATTTCTATGTTCAAATTCTAGAACCGAGATGATCACCCTGGGAAAGGTAGGAAGCTCCTGGCTGCTGTTCAGGAGAGCTTCTCCAATTCCAAAGCAGATCTTGGCAACCCACCCCTCCCCCACTGCGCCTCCCTGGAGCTACTTGAGGGCAGGCAACACGTTTACCTGATTCACTGCTATATCCTCAAAACCTAGCCCAGAAAATCAAGAGCAATAAAAAGAGTGAAATTTGTTTAGTATTTTATGATGTGCTAAGTACCATTCTAAGCATGTTTGTGACTCTACTTTAAGTCTTATAACAACCCGGCAAGAAAAGAATTAATGTTAATGCCATTATGCTCCAAGCAAGGTCACCAGGCCATCTTCACCAGAATCACCTGAAGGCTTCTCAGAATGCAGATTTCCAGAGTCTACCCCAGATCTGAAACAGGACCTCTGGGGTAGAGCCAAGAAGCTGCATTTTTAACAAGGTGTCCAACTGCCTCTTCTTACCCAGAAGCTCTGAAGTCTAACCCCGACTCAACTTCCTTTTGAGATCCCAACTGACCCATCCTACAGTGATGTGCATTATTCGTCTCCAAGTGAGAATATTTCCTTTAACCATTAACCCTCTGCTACATATAGAGAAGTTGAGTGATTTGCCCTATGATGTGGGGTTAATACCAAACAGACAGGCAGTCACAGCTCTAGAACCCAGACAGCAATTCTTTCTAACACATAATAATGTATTAGATACATCTATGAGATTCCCCAGATTCTTTAAGTTCTAAGACTTCTGGCCCAAAGTAAGCTTGAGTAGGGAGTCATCCAAGCTAGATTCAGAAAGGTTTAGATACTTGAGTTGCTGTTGTGTTGTTAGATCTCTACAGCAACTAATGACTATCTATCCAGGCACCAGTGCAGCCACGGGGTGGATTCCCGCATTCCTACTTCATGAGCCTGACACTAAGCCCCCTGGAGGAAGGAATAGAGGGTGACTTGATCTGCAGAATCCCTCCTGACTCCTATCCTCAACAGATCAGAGTTCATCCCCTGTGGAGTTTCATATACCACACTTTGGGGTTCCATCACCTGGCCCTTTTAGAAACTGCTGAGGAATTCATCCCCCATGCATTGTGGTGTGGCTCTTCTTCCAAGTCTGAGAGGGGTGCATGGAGTCATCAGCTCTGGCTTCTGGTCAATGACTCCATGCCCTACTGTGGAATCATCCGGCAGAGTCAGTTGATGCAGGGGCTACAGAAGTTACATGGATAATGGAGTATTAAGTGTATTAAGTAGTATTAACTCACATGATCACAAGGCCCCGCAGTAGGCTGTCTGCAAGCTGAGGATCAAAGAAGCCAGTCTGAGTCCCAAAGCTGAAGAACTTGGAATCCCATGTTTGAGGGCAGGAAGCAACCAGCATGGGAGAAAGATGTAGTCTGGGAGGCTAGGACCGTCTAGGCTTTTCACGTTTTTCTGCTTGCTTTATATTTTGGCTGCACTGGCTGCTGATTAGATGGTGCCCACCCAGATTAAGGGTGGGTCTGCCTGTCCCAGCCCATTGACTCAAATGTTAATCTCCTTTGGCAACACCTTCACAGACACACCCAGGATCAATAATTTGCATCCTTTAATCCAATCAAGTTGACACTAAATATTAACCATCACACTCCAGTAGCTGCTCTACAGAAGCCGAAGAGCCTCCTGAGGTAGAGAGTGAGGGACCTGGGATTCCTGTACTCCACAAAAGGATACTTCTAGTCCAAGGGACTTGCTCTTGGCTCCTCTGGGCACAGGGTTAGACCTCAGAATTTCAGGGTAAGGATGGCATCTGGGCACTTTGGTAAAATTCAGAGGGGAGACCCTGGAAATCTGCATCTTAAAAAGCCCCAGGTGATTTTGGAAAAGGTGCCCTGGTGGCCTCATGTGGAGAATCCTGGGTGTACCAGCTGCAGCTACTCTTGTACCTTTCACTATCATCTGGACCTGGGCTCCAAGGCCTTGCTACCAGAAGAGACAGGGGATTTTTAAAGGCATAAACATGTATTTCTTTCTTCCAATATATTTTTTTTTACTATAAGTTTTAGGGTACATGTGCACAACATGCAGGTTAGTTATATATGTATACATGTGCCATGTTGGTGTGCTGCACCCATTAACTTGTCATTTAACATTAGGTATATCTCCTAATGCTATCCCTCCCCACTCCCCCCACCTCACAACAGGGCCCAGTGTGTGATGCTCCCCTTCCTGTGTCCATGTGTTCTCATTGTTCAATTCCCACCTATGGGTGAGAACATGTGGTGTTTGGTTTTTTGTCCTTGCAATAGTTTGCTGAGAATGATGGTTTCCAGCTTCATCCATGTCCCTACAAAGGACATGAGCTCATCATTTTTTATGGCTGCATAGTATTCCATGGTCTATATGTGCCACATTTTCTTAATTCAGTGTATCATTGTTGGACATTTGGGTTGGTTCCAAGTCTTTGCTATTGTGAATAGTGCCGCTATAAACATACGTGTACATGTGTCTTTATAGCAGCATGATTTATAATCCTTTGGGTATATGCCCAGTAATGGGATTGCTGGGTCAAATGGTATTTCTAGTTCAAGATCCCTGAGGAATTGCCACACCGACTTCCACAATGGTTAGACTAGTTTACACTCCCACCAACAGTGTAAAAGTGTTCCTATTTCTCCACATCCTCTCCAGCACCTGTTGTTTCCTGACTTTTTAATGATCAGTATTCTAACTGGTGTGAGATGGTATCTCACTGTGGTTTTGATTTGCATTTCTCTGATGGCCAGTGATGATGAGCATTTTTTCATGTGTCTTTTGGCTGCATAAATGTCTTCTTTTGAGAAGTGTCTGTTCATATCCTTTGTCCACTTTGTGATGGGGTTATTTGTTTTTATCTTGTAAATTTGTTTGAGTTCATTGTCGATTCTGGATATTAGCCCTTTGTCAGATGAGTAGATTGCAAAAATTTTCTCTCACTCTGTAGGTTGCCTGTTCGCTCTGATGGTAGTTTCTTTTGCTATGCAGAAGCTCTTTGGTTTCATTAGATCCCATTTGTCAATTTTGGCTTTTGTTGCCATTGCTTTTGGTGTTTTAGACATGAAGTCCTTGCCCATGCCTATGTCCTGAATGGTATTGCCTAGGTTTTCTTCTAGGGTTTTTATGGTTTTAGGTCTAACCTTTAAGTCTTTAATCCATCTTGAATTAATTTTTGTATAAGGTGTAAGGAAGGGATCCAGTTTCAGCTTTCTACATATGGCTAGCCAGTTTTCCCAGCACCATTTATTAAATAGGGAATCGTTTCCCCATTTCTTGTTTTTGTCAGGTTTGTCGAAGATCAGATGGTTGTAGATATGCGGCATTATTTCTGAGGGCTCTATTCTGTTCCATTGGTCTATATCTCTATTTTGGTACCAGTACCATGCTGTTTTGGTTACTGTAGCCTTGTAGTATAGTTTGAAGTCTGAATCTTCCAATAATTTTTAAGAGTAGTTACTAAATAATGTAGTGAACATTTAAAGAAATAAACAGAGGGCAGGGTGAGACATTTGTCATGTTCAGCCTTCCTTGGGGACCTTGTCGTGGCTCAGGAGGCACAATGGGAACCGGGAGAACCCTGTCAAAATCCCAGCCTCAGCCACCACCAGTGCATGCTCCCAGCTGTCCTCCTAATAGACACAAGCATGTTGTTGACTTGATTTTTTTGGTTGATGCCTCATTTCCCCAAATATAAAATAATTTGAAAAGAAAGGAAGAAAATGAAAGTCAAGGAAAAATGGCTGCCAAAGCAGACTCAAAATTAAAACCATTCATACCTTTCCTGAGGCTTGGGTGAGCCGGTGGAGAGATTTGTTCCGGAGATATGAGTCTTCCCCTCCTCTAATTGAGGTCAGGGGAAGTTTCTGTCCTCCCATATATCCCTGCAGTGGGACAGGATTCCCCATGACCACCAGAGACCCCCCAGCCCCACCTTACCAGAAACAATGACAAAGTTCGCTTGACATTGGATCTCTCCTTCCTTTTGAGGTCCGAACTACCAAATTGCAGAAATTAGTGTGCATTATTCATCTGCAAGTGAGAATGTTTCCTTTAACCGTGTTAAAGGAAATGAAAGGTTCTATTACTTATGAACCCAGCGCTTGTCAGTGCTAAATTGCCTTTCTTATATATAAAAGCTCTCTGGGATTGCAGAAGGCAGAATGCCATTGCTGTTGTTAGTTACATGGTTGACTTCTTTCTGATGGGTCTAAATTGTTACCTTAGTGACTTCCTGCCATGCTGCATCCAAGTTTTGTGGGGCCTGAAGCTTATATAATTTTGGAGGCTTTCTTAAAACAAAAATACACATTAAAATTCTAGGTATAAAAGCATTTATTTAGAATGAGAAAAGAAGTCACAATGAATCAGAAATTCCACAAATATCAAATTCAAACAACATACTATTTTTATTAATTAACTCTTTGAAACACCCTTATAACACTATATTAACACTTTATTCCCTTCATTCATTCCCCATCTTTTTTTTTTCTTCCATACTCTTCAATCGCCTCTTCACATGACAACTTTGTGATTCCTTTTTTTTTTTTACGGAGAGAAGAGAAAGATAATTCACTTTTCCTCAAACATGGTGGAAAACATTTCTTTATTCTATTTTACCAAAGTTTCTTCCTGCTGTTTATTGGCAGTGTTATGTACATTTTCAGATTTGTTGTCAAATGTTTGAAGCCTAGTGTCAGGTTTCTCATGTGAGCTGTGAGAACTGGATGAATATTCCACAGACTCGCTTCTGGCTCCATCCATTCCAAATTCTGCCTCTCCCTCACTGTTGCTGCACAGCCCCTGGCCTTGCACCTCTGGGGCAAGAAGGCGGTGAGACTTCCTGAAGCCATTCCTCACAACAGCTAGCAATTACTTAACACATAGAAGTAACTGTGGACCATATAAAATATCCCAAGAAATCCCAATTAAATGTTTCCTGTATTTAATTCCCCTTAACCAGATGCTCAGAACATCCTCTGTCACTCTACAAAAGGCGCTGTGTGATGGAGGGGACACCAGGAGGGAAAGAGTCTTCACTGGCTGAGGTTAAGATAGCTTAAATCTATACAGTTTACAAAGACACATGACATAGGAACACATTGCTGGGGCCCTTCCCAGATCCTTGAAGTGAGGTACTAAAGCTTCATTCGCTTCAGGGTTAATCCTTCTCTGCTTGCTACTGGGTCTGCAGAAGTGAAGTGGGGTCTTCCTGTCATACTCTGTGGTTAACATCTGTGCTGGAGACACATGTGGGCATGGACAGGCCTGTGCATGCCTGCCCCGCCCCTGCCCGGGCACCAGGAAAGCTCTCAGCTCAGCTTGGGCAGCAGGGCAGGGAAGGCCTTTCAATCCCCACCTACTTTGCTGAGATACAGGAAACTCAGGCCCTCGATTTCCTGGCATCAAAACAGCTCAGGCATGGTGGCTCGCACCTGTAATCCCAGCACTTTGGGAGGCCGAGTTGGGGGGATCAAGAGGTCAGGAGATCGAGACCATCCTGGCCAACATGGTGAAACCCCGTCTCTACTGAAAAAAAAAAAAAAAAAAAATTAGCTGTAATCCCAGCTACTCGGGAGGCTGAGGTAGGAGAATCACTTGAACCTGGGAGGTGGAGGTTGCAGTGAGCTAAGATCGTGCCACTGCACTCCAGCCTGGGTGACAGAGCCAGGCTCTGTCTCAAAACAACAAAACAAAACAAAAACAACAACAAAAAAACGGAAGTGGCTGTTTCCTCAGTCTGGTGATTTCTGCCCCAGGGAGAAGCAAGGCACACTTGGTTTCTCTTATGGCCCAAAGGAAGTGTGTGGGGGAGAAGGGGAGCTGGGGCGGGGGTGCTGGCCTAATGTCCTGTGTGGACTAGGGTTACAGCAGCCCGGTTTGAAGCCTCTGGTCGTGGGAATGGCTTCTTGGGAGAGCTCCACGTGTCAGGAAATTAGTTATCAGATGTAGAGGTAATAATAGGACATGCCTGGCAATGTTTGAGGGCACTGAGAAGGCAATGAGACAGAAGGTGGTTTTTTTTTTTTTTTTTTTTTTTTTGCTTGTCTCTGCCAAGCCAAAAATGTAGGCCATCATGAACAGTCTGGTTTATAGAGAAACTAGGGGTCAGGGGGTGAAAAGGAGACATTCTGTTTGGGGGCTTAGTTTTCATTTTTGCATTTTTTGTGGGGCTACAGATTTGCCATTGGAGGTGCAGGTTCAGGCCAGTTGGTCTGTAAAAGTCCCTTCCTGGATAACTTTCTATAATTATTGTCTTTGGCTTAAAGCACAGGCTGTTACCAGATGGAAGGTCTTGACTGTGAGTTGTGCAGGTTCTTGGTGTGTTGAACCCAACACACAAACAAAGCAACAAAAGAATGAAACAACAAAAGACAAAGCAACAAAAGAACTAAGCAACGAAAACACAGATTTATTGAAGTGAAAGTACGTTCCACAGAGTGGGAGCAGGCTCGAGCAAGCAGCTCAAGAGCCCCCTGATTTAGGGTTTTTATTAGGCTAAAAGAATTTGGTAACACCCCTAGGTGCCCTTTGGAGGCCTCCAATTGGTTATTCCCTATGAAGGATTGGCCTGAGACCAATCAGAGGCTGAAGCGGAGACCTCTGTCTTGTTATCAGAGGAGCCACGATGTGGGCTGTATGCTACCTAATCCTGCCTAGAACTATCTGTACCTGTTGTTCTTTTGCTTAAGCCTTAACCCTTGGTTACCTTCAATTCCTATTCCCGTGCCTCAAGGCCCCACGATACGGCAGCTGCCCTTGGAAGGGGTCACACACTACGCTGTGATGACCACACCACAGTGAGAATTTGTTCACTAGCTAATTCCACAGACTTGGTGTCTGGGAATATCAAGAAGGGGACCAGCCTTGTACAGGGTTAGGGGGAGAATGTGGGAGGGTCCAGGGCTCTGTCCTCTCACTCCCTCCTGTTTTTCCTTCAGGGTGAGGGGCCCTAAGCAGTCTGTGAGTAGCAAGAAGGTCCTGGTGTCAGAAGTGAGGGGGAACAAAAATCGGGGGAGATGGAGGTGACAGAGTGTCAGAGGGACATTTCAGTTGCTTCATGGACCAGTACCACTTTGTGAGAAACAAATCACTATATATTCTATGTAAAAATTATTACCCTAAACAGGATAAACTTTTGACTCCCCTTTTGTTCATTTGGATTAAGTGGTATAATACTTAATTTTGGCATTTGACTCAAGATTATGTAACCTAGCTACTTCAGGATGGCCTTAGAATATTTTTCTGGTAATTTGTTCCATTTTCTGACTCCTCCTTGCAAACAAAATGATAGTGACCCTTTATCCTGATTTTTTTCTTCTTTTTGGTTTATGCCTATTCTAATTAAATGTGTATACATAAAGTTAAAAAAAAAACCTGGAATCTAATCTGGAATCTCTCGGAGAACAAAGTCTTCTGTTCCTAGAAGCCCTGCTGGGGAAGAAAGGAAGTGATGTGGTTCAGGGTTGGTACCAAAGTGACCATGTTCTCGGACTGCCCAGGGTCCAGGCGATCCCAAGTGGTAGCAGTAATGACACCGACCATTCAGTCCCCCACACTCACCTCTTTATCTCCTCTCCCTCCTAGTCTCCTCTCACCTCTGTCTCTCTTTCCTTTCTCAAATATCGATTGAGTCCCAGTTACTCTCCCTTGTACTGAAGTGACACAGAAGTGGACAAACACAGACCAAGTCCCCAACCAATCACTAATAGGTTAGACATTGTCCTAGGTGTTTATGTCGAATGTTCCTAACAACTCAGAAAATTGGGTTTATTATTCCCATTTTACCTACATGTAATTAAGATCTAGGGTGGTGTCTGAAAGCCTATGCTTATTTTGTAGAACAAATGAATGAACAGAAGCATGAAGAAGGTAAGTGGCTGATCCATAACCACACAGCTCCCAAGTGGTTTAGCCTTGATTTGGCTCCAAACTTGCACCCTGCTTAGCCTTTTAAATTGGGTGGGGTTGAGAGGTTACTTCAACTCTAGTTCTGTTACCAAACCAAACTTGTGTCTGCTTGCCTAATGCACAGAAAAAGCCAAATACTGACACCAGGATTTGCAGTGAGAGAAAGTGAGACATTTATTGCACTGAGCAGAGCCAAGGAGAATGAGCAGCTAACGCTTAAGACCCAAACTCCCTGATGGCTTCCAAGCAGGGGTTTTTAAAGGTGGCAGGGTGTGGTGTGTTGGGGATCGTCTCCAAAGTGAGAGAATTTCTGGAACTTTTAAAATCTACTTCTTGGCTTCAGTCTGTCTGAGATCACTGTGAAGACAGCTGGCATTTTCCATCAGGTGGGAGTCCTGGTTTCTTAAAAACAACTCAAGGACATATGTCAAGATGTTATCTTTAGTTTCTGTAGGGAAACAAACATCTTGTGACTCTGACTTATTTGGGTGGCTATTGCAAAAGTTATTATGATCTTCTCACTTAGGGGGTTATTTATTCAATTCTCTAATTGCTGGCCGTAGGGCTAGTTGGGTGCCTGGAATTTCCCTTGAAGGGACTCAAAATTTTTCCATGCTGGGCAGGGGACAGTGGTTGGGGGAGCCCAGCAGGCCCCTAAGATGGTTCCCTGCCTGTCTCAATTCTGGAGACTGAGGAGAGCGAAAATCACCTGGTGACCACTGAGCAGGCCCCGGAGATAAAAACTAATTATCTGAACAATTCAGAAAGGAGCAAAGACCACCTGGTGACCACCAAACAGGCCATCTGGAGGCAAAACTCCTTATCTGGGGAATTTAGAAGTAATCAAACTTCTCTAGTATCTAAAGTTGTCACCTTTAAGCTGAGGTGCAGTGGCTCACGCCTGTAATCCCAGCATTTTGGGAGGCCGAGGCGAGCGGATCACTTGAGGTCAGGGGTTCGAGACCAGCCTGGCCAGCATGGTGAAACCCCGTATTTGCTAAAAATACAAAAATTAGCTGGGCATGGTGGCACGCGCCTGTGATCCCAGCTACTTGGGAGGCTGCGGCAGGAGAATCGCTTGAACCCGGGAGGCAGAGGTTGCAGTGAGCTGAGATCTCGCCACTGCACTCCAGCCTGGGCGACAGAGCGAAACTCCGTCTCAAAAAAATAAATAAAATAAGTAAAGTTGGCATCTTTAAACTTTCAGAGGTTCCAATCCTCTTTCAACTTTTATAAGCAGCTAAAATTTCTATACATCTCCGGAATGCCGTGCTGAAACTCATTTTACAACCCTCAACTCCCACCTTAAAAGGTTCATAAATGCTGGTAAGGAAAATCCACCAGGGTGCGCTCAGTCCTCTCGCTGAGGTGCCCCACTGCACCCTTTTGTAGCGTTCTTCCTTTCTAATAAACGTTCCTTTTTCAAAGCTGTACTGTTGTCGGTAAATTCTTTTTACCAACCCCCCAGTCGACCACTTCCCGGTGCCGGGGCTCTGACACCGCGCGCAGAGACAGAGGCAGGCGGCCCCCTCTCTGCTGCCCCTTCTCCCTGCTGGTCTCATGAATGCTCTCACCTGAGCTTCTCCTTTTCCTTTTCTACTTTCTCCTTTACCAAGGGCGCAGCTGCTCTTCGGAGAGGCAGTTGGGTCCACAGAATCAGCTGCCTCTTGGAGAGCGGTGTGAGGTTATGAGGGAGCTGAGGGGAAGTAAAGAGAGGGTCCAGTGTGCCTCACCTTGGTCCCACACACCGAAGGAAAGGGTTTCAGAGAGGACTGGTGGATGCTGACACACCGTCCATTTTGAGAAGACTCCTTGTATGGGTGGCAGTGTGCTTCCCCAAAACTCATGTTGAAGCCCTAACCCATAACACCTTAGAATGTGACTGTATTTAGAGACTGGATTTCTAAAGAGGCGATTAATTTTAAAGAGACCATTAGGGTGAGCCCTAATCCAATCTGCCTGCTGTTCTTATAAGAAGAGGAAATTGAACCTGCAAGGAGCTATTAGGGCCTCTTGCAGAGAGGGATGACCGCATGCAGAGGCCACAAGAGGGCGCCCTCTGCAAGCCAAGGAGAAACCTCAGAAGACACCAACCCTGAAGAGGAAATTGATGTTGGACTTCTGGCCTCCGGAAGAGTGAGAAAATACATTTTTGTTTAAGCCGCCCAGTCTTTGTGTGTGTGTGTGTGTTTTTGTCTTTGTGTGTGTGTGTGTGTGTGTCCCTAGCAAAGGAATGCAATTTTTTTCTCA
Organism: Homo sapiens; assembly: GCF_000001405.40. Taxonomy (NCBI): domain Eukaryota; kingdom Metazoa; phylum Chordata; class Mammalia; order Primates; family Hominidae; genus Homo; species Homo sapiens. Next base: position 110,039,407 of record NC_000006.12, on the reverse strand, counting down.
TGTCCTCAAAAAACTTAGTTCATGTGTAGAATTTAAAGTCTGAGGAATCGCCACTTACAAATACTTTGGGTATTTTGTTTTTTTTTTTTTTTTAGACAGGATCTCTGTCACCCAGCTGGAGTGCAGTGGCATAATCACAGCTCACTGCAGCCTCCTGGGCTCAAGTGATCCTCCCGCCTCAGCCTCCCAAATAGCTGGGACTACAGGCATGTGCCACCATGCCTGGCTAATTTTTAAAATGTTTTGTAGAGACAGGGTTTCACCATGTTGCTCAGGCTGGTCTCAAACTCCTGGGCTCAAGTGATCCACCCACCTCGGCCTCCCAAAGTGCTGGGATTACAGGTGTGAGCCATTGTGCATAGCCAACAGACACTCCTCTGAGGGAGGCAGTCAATCTGGGCAGTTTCTACAAGTTTTTTTTTTTTTCCAACAGAAATCAATCATTTCTCATCTTAGCTTCAAGTAATTACACGAGAGTTGTTCAAACTTTAGCATGCATCAGAATCACCAGAGAGCTTGATAAAACTGAGATTGCTGAGCTCCACTCCCCGAGTTTCTGATTCAGTAAGTCTGGTGTAAGGCCTAAGAATGTGCATTTCTACGGTGTTCTCAAGTGATACTGATGCTGCAGGTTTGGGGACATATTTTGAGAACCAATATATTCTATTTTAATTCCACCATTAATGGTTATTTTTTATTTTATTTTTTTGAGACAGGGCCTCGGTCTGCTGCCCAGGCTGGAGTGCAGTGGTGCAATCATTGTAACCTTGAACTCCTGGGCTCAAACGGACCTCATGCCTCAGCCTCCTGAGTAGCTGGGACTGTAGACCCAGGCCACCACCACACCTAATTTTTTTTTCTTTTTTAGACACAGAGTCTTGCTGTGTTGCACAAGCTGACCTCCAACTTCTAGGCTCAAGTGATCCTTCCACCTCGACCTCCCGCAGTGTTGGAATAACAGGTGTGAGCCTGCACCCCAGCCTAATTCCACCATTAATTTGTAACTGGTTTTTGCTATGTTTAAAACTTCTTGGAGGACACTTAGGAAGCCTTCTTCCCCTGTGTCCTGTAATGAGGAGTGGGCACTGTGGTCAGGGTGCTTGGCTAGGGGGTTTAGTCCTCCCATTTGGGGCTATTTCCTGGCCCTTCTGGCCCTGCCCACCCAGGAGGGCGGAAGAGAGCTGTGGTCATCTGAAAGGATACCACGGCAGGATGTGAGGGCCCAGGCGACAGGGTAAAGAGCTGCCAGCATGCGTGGCTATTCTGAGGCCTAGAATTTATGTAACTGGAACACAAAGTCTCAATCCCTAGGGCCAGAGAGGGATTTGGGTCAATGGGAAGTTGAAAACAGCAGGAAAATGAGCCCAAGTAGCTCCGTGCACGTGAAGCAAAATTCATTCTCTGCATGGGCAGTGTGAAATAGGAAATAATTAAATGTTGTCTGGAGCTCATGTAGTCTGCAGGCTTGGGACATTTACCCAGGAGCCAGCTGGGAACATTTCATAGAACTTCTGACTAATCGAAAAAGCAGTTTATTCCAAAATCAAAAATCAAAGCCATTTTCATCTGGTTGCATGTAAAACACCCACTCACATCGGAGTCATCTATTGAAACCCAGGGGTACACACGGGTGCTATAGCTGAGTCTTTTATTGGTAAAGAAGTCAATAGTACCCCCTCCTTCCCTCCTCCCCAGAGAAAGCCACTTCTGGTTTGTTTCCTTTCATACCCTTTTCCATGCATTTGGCATGACTGGTACCTTTGGAACATTTTTACCAAGCTGTGAATTTCTTGAGGGTATCATCCATTTCTTCATTTTAGTAGGCCCAGTGCCTAGCACATAGTAGGTGCTCAGTAAGTGTGACTCCAATGCACCGAGTAAAGGAAGAAATAAATGAACTGGTTAATTTTCAGTGAGGAGAGTCAGAGTGAGGCAACCAGCTCTAGCTACTAAGAGCCTGGGAACCGTAGATGCCTGCTCACACTGTAGTTCATGTTGATGCTAATTTCCTTTAAAAAACCCCCAACATTTGTATAGTGCATTGCAGTTCACAAAGCATGTTTTCATCATCCCCATATCCAGGTCTCAGCAACTCCTTTGTTGCCAACTTTTACCGGACCCATGGGTCTGAAAGAGAAGCACAGTCCATAGTGTTCCAGCTTTGAGTGTGGCTCTCTCAGAAGAAGGTGTGACAGCTGCCTCCTTGCTAAGAGAAAGACGTTTCAGTGTCTGCCTCCTGGGAATGGAGTCTCCTGGTGACTCTGAGGATGGCGCAGGACTCTCCCAGCTAACACTACACAGAGGCTCCCCCTCTTCATGCCACCCCTTTGCCAGCTGCAGCCTGTGTGGACCCAGACACTTCTGACCCAGGCTCCAGTGCCCGCATGTCTGATAGCCTGTATTTCAAACTCTGGGCTCTCCTGGACATTCCCTCTCCAGCTGTATATGATGTTATTTTTCAGACCCATTTACTGTTGTCCAGTGGCCTGCCAAGACCTTTAGGTGAAGACGCTGACTCCCTCGCCGGCTCTTCTTCATTCTTTTCAAACACACGTCAGAGTGGAACGCACATCCTTTTTGCTTCACCTTCCAGGTTTGCTATCCCTTTAATGCAGAAAGACTGTCTTTTGTGTGTGTACTCCACAGAAAAGGATCAGTGTTTACCCCTTGTGCTGATTTTGCATCAAGGATAGCATTCCATGAAGGTGGCTGGGACTGCCTTGCATTTCAAAACCATTTTAAAAGCAGAAGCTAACTCCGCAGCCTATGCTGCCCCAGTTGGCTTTCCTACTTTTCCACCACAGTGAGCTAAGGAGAGCCCATGGTACCACCATGGTCTCCATAAGGAAGGGAGAAGACCAGCACAGGGAGTAAGGCTGCAGGGTCCTTGGTGTCTGTGCTCCCAGTCCCTCTAGCCACCTTCCAGTTGGCTCCCTAAAGACAACGTTTCACCATGTTGCCCAGGCTGGTCTCAAACTCCTGGGCTCAAGCAATCCACCCACCTCGGCCTCCCAAAGTGCTGGGATTACAGGTGTGAGCCACTGTGCCTGGACAACAAATACTCTTTTGAGGGAGGCAGTCAAGCTGGGCAGTTTCTACAAGTTTGGTTTTTTTGTTTGTTTGTTTTTGGCACAGAAATCAATCATTTCTCATCTTAGCTTCAAGTAATTACATGAGAGCTGTTCAAACTTGAGCATGCATCAGAATCACCAGAGGGCTGGATAAAACTGAGATTGCTGAGCTCCACTCCCCAAGTTTCTATTCAGTAAGTCTGGTGTAAGGCCTAAGAATATGCATTTCTACAGTGTTCTCAGGTGATACTGATGCTGCAGGTTTGGGGACCATATTTTGAGGACCAATACATTCTATTTTAATTCCACCATTAATAGTTAACTTTTATTTTTTAGAGACAGGGCCTCAGTCTGCTGCCCAGGCTGGAGTGCAGTGGTGCAATCATTGTAACCTTGAACTCCTGGGCTCCAACGGACCTCATGCCTCAGCCTCCTGAGTAGCTGGGACTGTAGACCCAGGCCACCACCACACCTGGCTAATTTTTTTTTTTCTTTCGTAGACACAGGGTCTTGCTGTGTTGCCCAGGCTGGCCTCCAACTTCTAGGCTCAAGTGATCCTTCCACCTTGACCTCCCACAGTGTTGGAATAACAGGTGTGAGCCTGCACCCCAGCCTAATTCCATCATTAATTTGTAAGTGGTTTCCGCTATGTTTAAAACTTAGCAGAAGCCGCAACTTTCCCTCAGCAAACCAGGGAACAGGTGGTAACCAAGTTCTCAAGACACCTTCTTAATTAACTACTTAACCAGCGCTAGCTGCATGCAACTGAACACTGAAGAAGACAACTTTCAGGTACCAGGAGTTAGGAGCCAAGGCCCCGGGCAGGTGCCGTTTCTTCCATGCAGCCTTCCCTGATTCCCTGTTTGGTGGTGGTTTTCCTTTCTCTCTGCCTTCAGAATGCATTGCCTGCTTCTCCATTACAGCATTCACTGTGTGTCATCCTGAATTGTGGGTATGAGTTGTAAGTCTTACATGTTCTTGTAAACTTCTTAACAGTGAGGACTGGGTCACCCAGGAAAGTGGTTTGCAACATGGTAAGTTCCTGAGGTTTGCTGGATTGAAATGAATTTTAAGTTTTAAATGTTAAGTTCTTATCTTACTATTTCAAACTCTCATCACGGCCAATTCCAGGTGATGCTCTTTCCTGGGTTCCAAACGACACAGGGGCTTACTGGGGTGAAGGAGAGCTCCCCAGCACCGGGGCCTGGGAGCAGCTTGTGGCTGGGGTGGGGTAGGATGGGGTGGGGGTGGCTGGCCTGGCCTCACCTTAGGGCTCTCCACTCTGCAGATGCTCACCCCAGCAAGGGAGTCCAGTGCCATCTTTCTCTGGGATCTGGACCCGCTCAGGGGCTTTCTCTTTCCCTGCCCTTATTTAGAGCAAATCTCTGTCCTTGCCCTTTCCAGCTTCTGCCACGTGCTGCAGGAGGCTTCAGAAAGCACAGGTCTGTTTTTAGATTTTGCCTCACGTGTGTGCAGCGAACTTAATGAGCTCTCTATAGGGGTAGCTTTCTTGAGAGACCGTTGCTAAGGGCCAGTCACACGTTTCTCACCGTGTTGTGATGGAAACGTGATTAGATGCTGATCTGTGCTCAGCAGAACCTGCTGGAGTGTCTGGTTGGAGTGGCCTCTTCTACAGGGGCCTGAGGGATTTCACAGGCCCACAGACCCAGCCTTGTGATTTCAGCAAATGGACAAGGGGTGGTAAAATGTAACGGGGTGGAGGGTTTTGGAAGACCTCAGATCCCTGTGATTGACGGCACTGATCCACTTCAGCAGCTTTGCCTGAGCACTGTCTGTGGTGGGTACCAAAGACACTGGAGCTCTGTGGCCTCTGCCCTTTAGGAGCCTATAAGCAGCTGGGGCAGTGACAGTAGACAGAAAGGGTTAATCAGCAATCTGTGGCTTCCTGGGCCTAAGGGCAGCCGGTCAGGGGATCCCGGCATAGGGAGAATCTGGGGAGTAGTTCAGTGGGCTGGAGTGGTTAGAAAAGTTAGCACTTTAACCGGGTCCTGAAGCACCAGCCTGGAGGATTGGGAGTGGTGGGGAGGAAAGGTAAGGGGCCCGCAGCAGGGAAGGAAGGATCAGTATGCAGCAGGGCTGGAGGCAGAAGTGAACTCATCTGGCAAGATAACAGTGATGGCCACCATTCGTTGACCACCCTTTTTGGGCCAGGCTCCCTTCTAGGTGTTTCCTCTTTCTGTCCTCACAACCACCCTGAAAAGTTGGTGCTATGATCCCAAGTTACAGAAGAGAACTGAAGCCTGGAGAGGCGCCATACACTGTTCATAGTCACACAGCTGGGAGGCAGCCGTCCAAAGTTAATCCCAGGCTGTTCTGACTCCCCAACCGGTGTTGGGATGGAGGAGAGTGGAGGGTGAGCTGCCTGGAAGAGGGAGAGGTCTGGGCTGGGGTGGAGAAGGAGGCTCAGCTTTAGGAGAGAGGGGGTCCAGGATGGACAGCCAGGGAGCTGCCCTGAGGGGCTTGTCTGGATCCTGTGGTTAAGGGGTCTGCAGAGGAGGGATGTACCTCTCATCTGCACCACATGCAAATTCCTGTAAAAAAATATTGCTTTGTGTATATTCTATACACACACAAATATGTCTGTATGCATTAGAGAGTTGCATTTATCTCGCTGTGTAATGCTGTGCTTTATCATATATCTACTATACTGGTATAATAGTGCATGTCTATGATTGGTGTATAACTAAACATACATATATTGGATGTAACAGTGTAAAAATGTTTCAGTGATGGGGTTTCTCCATCCTATGGTTTCTCCAGCCTATGGCTGGAGATGTTGTTCAGGGTGCGAAGGGCAGGGGGAGTCCCCAAAAACCTCAGGAGTGAAAACTACATGAAACACCAGAAGAATGTGGAAGCTGGTGGGCAGCATAAATTCTGCCAGATCCTGGGGCCAGTCTATTGAATCACAGAGGAGTGAAGCTGCCAATAAGAGGCTGAGACCTGGAACTGGATCCATTCCCTGGTCAGGGAGGCCTGGGGGGACGCCGAGGCCAGCAGGCAGAAACTGGAATCGCACCAGTACAGCAAAGCGGACGCAGCCCCTGATGTGACTATAGGGTATCCTGGCGCAGGCCAGGCCAGTGGGGTTTAGGGTGTCAGCATAGAGCAGGGTTCTGGCCATGGGGTGGTGCCTGAGGCAGGAGAGTTGGCAGGAACAAGGCAGGTCCCAGTGTTCAATACGCTGAGAAACTTGGCAGCATCAAGATAGGAACTAAGATGGCAATTCAGGGATCAATGGTGGTATAGTCAAGGCGGTGTTGCCTAATGGTTATGAGCATAGGCTTCAATGTGAGACAAATCTGGGTTTAAACCCCCACTCAGCCACTTCAAAGCCGTGTGAACTTGTGTGAATTTCCCAGCCTCCCCTAGCCTCACTTTCCTCACAGGCGAAAAGGATAATGATACTTATCCACAAGGTAGTTAGTTACAAGGATGAAATGAAATGTGCTATGTGTGTGTTTGGCACTGTATGACCTATGACAACTGCTATTATTGTTTTAGAAATATTATTTATTCTGGTGGGTCTTGGGAATAAGGCAGCTTCCTGGAAATCATACCTGGGGCAAAGGCCAGAGCCAGGCCCATCACATGGGTGACCAGTCGCCCAGCCCTTCAGTCCCTACTGCCTCTGGTAGGGCTGGGGAGAAAGGAGGATTGTAGATATGAGGAATTAGGCCAGGTAGAACAGCAGCTCCCCAAAACCTAAGCATAAGTTGTGAGGAGGTTATTGTCCTCTAATGACAGCAATTACAGGGCCTGCTGGAAGTTTCTCACCCAGCCACCTCCTCCCCTCTCTCAGGGTCTCTGCCCGAGCCGTTCCCTCTGTCCAGCCTGCTCCTTCCACAATCTTTGCCAGGTTGGCTCCTTTTTGCCACTGATAAATTTTGACTGTCATTTTCCCAGAGAAGCCCTTCCTGACTACTCCATCTAAAGCTGCCCCCAGTTATAGAGCCCTCCACCCAGCTACAATGGGATACTCATTTTTTTCAAATGTAAATGGATCATTCACTACCGTAGGCCATATGCTGGTCATAAATCATGTCTCAATAAGTTAAAAGGATTGAAATTATGCAGAGTATATTCTTTGACCACAACAAAGTGAAAAATCATTAACCAAGAAAAATCTAGGAAATCTCCAAGATTTGGGAATTAAATAATACTTTCCTGAACAAGCCATGGGTCAAACAAGTCATAAGAGAAATTAGAAAATATTTTCAAGTGAATTATAATGAAAATACAACATAACAAAATTTGTGGGGTTCAGCTAAAGCAATGCTTTAGGGCGAAAGTGTTAGCTTTAAATGCCTACATTTAGAAATAAGAAAGGTCTAAAGTGAATGATCTGTGCATCCTCCTTAAGAAGCAAAACATACAAATAAATATAAGGAAAAGTGAAGAATGGGAGAGACAGTGAAAATTGATGAAATATAAAATGGATAGCAATAGATAAAATTAATAAAACCAAAGCCTGGTTCTTCGAAAGGCTCAATAAAACAGATAAACCTGTAGCTCAGCAAATCAAGCAAAAATGAAAACACAAATTGACAACATGAAGAATGAAAGAGGAAACATCACAAACACTCCACAGGCATCAAAAGGACAATACAGGGATATTATGAATATTTTTATGTTACTAAGTTTGACCGTGTAGAAAATATGACCACCCCTCATTATAAAAAGTCTGGCACCATTTTTAGATGTTTGGCTGCTGAAAGCTTTTAGGCCTCACCCCTTGCTCTTCCCTTTGTGCCCCACATCTGGACAAGTTGGTAGCCCAAGTGCTGTCTCCTTTGTCATTGGCGGAAAGTTCAAACCGTGTAAGACCCTTTCCTCACCTTGCACAGGAACCCTCACCCTGACCAACCCCATCACTACCATAAAAATCCGAAGCCAGTCTCATTTTTCTACGGTCATATAGCCAAACCAGATTGTGTACTCAGTACACTAGGTTCCAGCCATCAGGCTATACATTTTCAATAAAAATGCAGACAAGCCGATGGAGGGTGTTTCTAGGGGAGTTTTGAACTTTAAATAGCACATTATAAATCACTAGCCAAAATATCTCATTCCTATAGTGGCCAAGGGTCAGTTTCATGGCTCCATATGTCTTCAGAAATAAGCACAGAGCTACATATAAGTCAAGTTAAACTTACACAAAGAGCATCTACAAAAATCCTGCATCTCACTACATATTTAATGGTGAAAGATAACACTTTAACCTAATGTCAAGAGAAAGGCAACTCACAACTCTAGTGCAATATTATACTGGATTCTACCTGGTGCAATCAGGTAAAAAAAAGCCATACAAATTGAAGAGTCAGGAAGTAAAACTGTCCTTATTTGTAGATGTCATGACTGTGTATGTAGGATATCCTAAAGAATCTACAAAAAAAGCTACTAGAAATAAAAATTGAGTTCAGCAGGGTTGCTCAATACAGGGTCAATATGCAAAAATTAAGTGTATTTTTATATTCTAGCAGCAGCAAACAATTGTATCAGGTTGGTACAAAAGCAATGGCAAAAACCACAATAACTTTTGCACCAACCAGTAGTATGACATTTTTAAAATAACACCATTTATTTATAATAGTATCCAAAGAGATGAAATAATTAGGTATACATTTAACAAAGCCTATAAACCCTCTATATAGAAAAGAACAAAACAATGTTGAGAGAAATTAAAGGACATTTACACAAATGGATTAGAAATGTCAATATTGTTAAGACATCAATTCTCCCAAAATTGATCAGCAGAGTCAATACAATTCAAATCAAAATTCTTACAGGTATTTAAAAAAATAGAAATTCACAAGTTGATTCTAAAATTCATAGGAAAATGCAAAATTACCTTGAATAGCTGAAATTATTTTGAAAAAGAACAAATTGGGAGATTTTATACTACCTGCCTAACAAGACATTAATCAAGACAGGTTAGTATTGGCATAATGATAGCCATAACCATCAGGAAAACAGAATAAATAGCCAGAAATAGATCCGCACATGTGCATTCATTTGATTTTCAATAAAAACTAATTAGATGGGGAAAGGACAGTCTTTTTAGCAGATGATGTTGATATCCATTTGGAAAGAAATGAACCTAGAATCTTATGTTGTACCATATGCAAAAATTCAAAATGGATCACAGACCTAAACATAAAAACTAACATTGTGAAACTTCTGAGGAAAACATAAAAGAAGAAAATCTTTGTGACCTTGGGGTAGATGAAGAATTCTTAGGACAAAAAAGCTACACCACTAACAAAAAATTGAAGTATTGGGCTTATTCAAAACTAAAGGCTTCTACTCTTCAGAATAAATTATTTTAAAAAATGAAAAGGCAAGCCACAAACTGGGAGAAAATATTCTTTATTTATAATATAAATTATATATAAATGTATATTTATTTCACATATTAATATAAAATTATAAATATATAAATATATTTTACATATCAATATAAAATATATAAATATATATTTATAAATAAAAATATATAAATATTAAATATATATTTATAAATATAAATATATAAATATTAAATATATTTATATTTCATATTATATAAATGAAATTATTTGTATTCACAAATATTTAAATATATGTATTTATCAAATATATTTGTGAATATTTTGTGAATCTAAATCTATCTAAAATAATAAAAGGCTTACATTCAGAAGACTCAAGAAGATGATGAAAACTCACTGAAAAAATGGGCAAAGCTTTGAACAAGCATTTCACAAAGGAAGATATACAAAAGGTCAGTAAGCACATGAAAAGATGCTCAAAGTTATTAGTCATCAGGGAAATACAAATTAAATATATAATGAAATGCTATGATACTCTGTCTAGAATGGCTAACATTGAAAAATAAGCTGACAATATAAAGCATTAGCAAGGATTTGAAATTACTGGAACTCATACGTTGCTGAAGGATGTGTAAAATGGTATTATCATTATGGAAAAGTCTGGCAGTTTCTTAATGAAATTAAACATATGCTTACCATATGACCCAGCAATTTCAGTCCTGTATATTTGGCCAAAATAAATGAAAATATAGGCCTGCAAGAAAGATTTTCATGCAAATGTTTATAGTAGCTTTATTCATACATGCCCCAGATTGGAAACAGCACAAATGTCCATTAACAGATGAATATTTAAACAAAATGTAGAGCATCCATACAGTGGACTACTACTCAACAGTACCAATAATCCAACTTCTAATGTAGACAATATATATGCTTTTATTTGTATGAAACTCTAAAAAGCTAATTTATGGTGACAGAGATCAGATAAGTGGTGATGGGGTAGGGTATGGGGGCAAAGGATTGACTGGAAAGGAACTTAAGGGAACTTTTGGAGTGATGCTGAAAATTGCTATATCCTGAATGGGGGTGATTGATCCACAGGTGTATACCTTTGTTAAAATTTATAGGTCTAAATCCAAAACCAGTGCATAAAGTTGGCATTTAAAAAATGTTAATATCCTACCTTTTTTTTTTGAATAGCTGAAATTATTTGTTTGTCACCCAGGCTTGAGTGCAATGGTGCAATCTTGGCTCACTGCAACCTCTGCCTACCCGGTTCACGCCATTCTCCTGCCTCAGCCTCTGGAGTAGCTGGGACTACAGGTGCCCACAACCATACCCGGCTAATTTTTTGTATCTTTAGTAGAGACGGGGTTTCACTGTGTTAGCCAGGATGGTGTCGATCTCCTGACCTTGTGATCCACCCACCTTGGCCTCCCAAAGTGCTGGGATTACAGGCCTAAGCCACCGTGCCCGGCCAATATCCTACTTTTTTAAAGAGATCAAATTAATTAATTTTTGTGGGGGGTGAAATTATTAGGGCTCAAATCAGCGATGGCTTTGATCCCACAGTTAGGTTTCTTAGAGCAGGGCATATCAGGGAGCATGCCAAACACAGCCAGGGTGGCCCAGGTACCTGTCTCCAGGTGCACCTCTTCGGGTTGTCTAATGTCAAAAGAAATGCAATCAGAGGCACTCTGGCAACAAGCATAATCCAACATCTGATTAATCTGTGTGCTTTCTTTCAAAAATGGGTTGGAATCAGCTTATAAAATTATCTGTAAGAGGATAGAAGATAAACAGTTGAGGAAATGGAAACAAAGGGAAAATAATGAAAAGAGATAAAGCTAAGAGTGAGGCAAAAACACTAAGATAACTACTGCTATGGTCTGAATGTGTCCCCCAAAATTTGTGTGTTGGCAACTTGACTTCCAGCACAGCAGTGTTGGAGGTGGGGCCTTTTGGAAGGTAGTTGGTCATGAGAGCTCTGCCTTCATCTATGGATTAATGCTGTTATAAAAACGGCTTGTGGGAATGGGTTCTTTCTCTCCTGTTCCTCTGTGAGGACACAACGTTCATTCCTTTCTTGCCCTTCTGCCATGTGAGGATGCAGCAAGAAGGCCCACACCAGATGCCAACACCTTGATCTTGGACTCCCCAGTCTTCATAACTGTGAGAAATACATTTCTGTTATTTATAAATTACCCAGTCTGTGGTATTCTGTTATAGCAGCACAAAATGGGACTGAGAGCTACCTAACATTAAGTCCTATACAAGAGTAGAAGTGGGCTGCAAAATTGACTGAGCCTCCTAGCAACTGAAGCAAAAAAGGAAACATAATCACAGTTCAATCACAGTGGCCATAGATAAAAACAAGCCTGTTTCTACACATGGTATATTTAGCACATCATTTTTCTGAGATTTGTTGGGCAGAAAGAAGACTTGTTGATATGGACTTACATGAGATTTGTCAGGAAATCTGAATGCTTCTTACTACCATTATTGTTTTTGACTTTGCAAAAATTCTATCCTTGCTCATGCGTAAATTAGAAATATCATGACTTCAGAACGTTGGATGTTTCAGCTCCTGACCAAGATGAAAATCACAAACTTGCCAGTAGATTTTGAATCCAGTCCACATTCTCAATATTCTTGAGCCTCCGGAGTATCCCTTTGTTGAAGTGGATTCCAGAGAGGAACGGACTTCTCTGGGTCCAGTGTAACTGATCAGAGACAACCTCTGGGATGTTGCAAGGATTGTGGGAACCCAGAGCTGAACAGTGGATTCTTCCAGGGCATTAAGGGCCAGAATAATAATGTTATCTTGTCCATACAGAGGAAAAATTACAAGTTTTATAGCTACTAAATACAAGGCTCTTCTGGCATTAGGCATGATAGATATCTCAGGGAAGTGAAAAGGTCAGTACTCATTTTAGTAAAGGTTCCCCAGATCTGAGGAAGAGAGGGTATTCCAGTTGGCCTGAGGGGAAGACTGGCATTCACTTCAGTCTTCATTCTTGAGAAGATTTACTAGTTTAACATCATGGTAAAATAGATGTTAATTCTAGGGGGAAATCTCTTCCATTTTGTAATTTAACTAAAAGATAAAAAATAAATGAGCGGATATTTTCATATTTTTGAGATACCTATAATGCCTAATGTTAAAAGATACATTTATTAGCTATGAAACTTTTAATTTTTCAATTGTTTTGGCAAGATAACATTAATAGCCATAATATAAAATAGAAAAAAATTTACCCCAATTATTCCTATACAATATATCATTCTTATTTTGTAATTCTGCTTTTGTACCAAATGATATATCATACAAAAATTTAATGTTATGCAAGCATATTCATAATTGTCTTTGTAAATGACAATATTAATTACATATATAAGTTAGTTAATTATTTCCTTATACACTTACATTTATCCAGTTGCTTCACAAGTATAGATCGTGCTTTGGTAAAGCATTCTTTTCTTTTGGAATATATTACTCAGATGGCATTTCAGAGTTGAAAGGCTTGAAGATTTTAATGGCTTTTAATATGTATTGACGAATTGTCAAAATTCTGCTTCAAATTGCAATAACACCTAGCAATATATGAATACACAAGTTTTACCAGTCTCATCAACATTGGGTTTCATAAGATTTTCTATATTTGGCTAATCTATTATTTAATTTTTTAACATAATGCATCTGGGTTTTCTTTTTAACCTTTCTTCCTTTTATTTTTATTTTTCTTCCAACTTTTATTTTAGATTCAGGGGATACATGTGAAGGTTTGTTACTTGGGTATATTGTATGATGCTGAGGTTTGGGGTATGAATGATCCCGTCGCCCAGGTACTAAGCATAGTACCCAATAGTTAGTTTTTCAAAACTTGCCCCTTCCCCCTGCCCCCTCTGATAGTCCCCAGTGTTTATTGTTGCCATCTTTATGTCCATGAGTACCCCATGTTTACTTCCCACTTATAAGTGAGAACATGTGGTATTTGGTTTTCTGTTTCTGCATTAGTTCACTTAGGATAATGGCCTCCAGCTGCAACCATGTTGTTGCAAAGGACATTATTTTGTTCTTTTTATGGCTGTGTAATAGTTCATGGTAATACATACAATTTGGTTCCTCCCTCGTATGAATTTTTGGTTGTGTGGAGTGGGATGCAGAACATTTTTTCATATGTATTTTGCTACTTATATTAAGGGAGGAGATCACCCCTCATATTGTCTTATGCCCAATTTCTACCTCCAAAGAAAGAAGAAGTAAAAAGTAAAAGGCAGGAATGAAATCCACAGGCAGACAGCCCGGTGCCATGCCCTGGGCCTGGTAGTTAAAGATCAACCCCTGACTTAACCGGTTATGTTATCTATAGATTCCAGACATTGTATGGAAAAGCATTGTAAAAATCCCTGTCTTGTTCTGTTTCATTCTGATTACCGGTGCATGCAGCCCAGTTACATACCCCCTGCTTGCTCAATTGATCATGACCCTCTCACGTGGACCCCCCTTAGAGTTGTGAGACCTTAAAAGGGACAGGAATTGCTCACTTGGGGAGCTCAGCTCTTGAGACAGGAGTCTTGCCCATGCTCCCGGCTGAGTAAACCCCTTCCTTCTTTACCTCAGTGTCTGAGGAGTTTTGTCTGTGGCTCGTCCTGCTACAATATCTTTTCTGTGTGGATTGTATCATTTCTCAATAATGAATCTCAACAATTTCTTCATAAATCATAATTTCTTCATATTATGTAAATATTCATTACATTTTTAATAAAAATATTTTTTTCTATTTTCTTAGTTATCCCATCAAACTATTACACTTTTATGTAGTTGGTTCTGTTGATCTTTACTTTTGTACTTTCTTTGATCACTTAATAGCTTTAAGTTAACCCAGAGATTTGATAATAACTTAGTTTTGTTTTCTGCTGATTTTTGTTTTATAAAAAATGTTTAACTGTTTAATACACATATGGAATTTATTTTCAGTATATGATATGAAGGGTTAGATTATTTCTTTCAAAATAGCCTAATTATCATTCCTGAGAACATTTAAATAATCCTTCTTTTCTTCATTATTTTGTGATGGTTCCTTTATCACATAATTAAGTTTTCACAATAAGAGTAAGTCTCCTATACTTCCTATTCTCTTTATTTATTCACATGTCCATTTTCTTTTGTCAGTAGCCTGTTGCTTTTACTCATTGTTTTAAATCATACTTAAATATCTGGTCGAGCTAGTTTTCTCTGATGTTCTTTAAAGGAATATTTTTTGTTTAAAATTAGTTAATAATCATAACAGCTAATATGTAATGAGTGCTGACCTTGTGTTAGGCACTGTGCCAGGCTCTTCATTTGCACTCTGCCATTTAATCTTTGCCACTATTCTATAAGGTAGGGATTATTGCTGTCCTCACTGTACAGATGAGGAAGTGATGCTTAGAGAGGTCAAGTAATTTGTTAAGGGTCAGACAGCTGAAGCCAAAGCCTGATCAATCTATTTTTGTAGGGAGTCAAAAATAAGATTTTTGGCAGATGCCAAGTCCTTCTTTACTTTGAATGGGATTGTTCCCAATCTATAAAGTAATGAGAAGAACAATTGGCATTTTATCAACAGTTCTCTCAGTCTTATAGAGTGCCCTTCTTCGTTTATGTCTCTTTTCCATATTCAGGGCTTATATAGTGCCCTTCTTCATTTATGTCTCTTGCTAATGTTTTTTAGATTTCTTTAAGATCTCATGCATGTAACCTGAGGCTTATTGCTAAATATGTTCTGTGTTTTGTTGCCATCATGAGTGGAGCCATTCCTGCTGAGGCTACATCATAAGATTCCTTTGGAAATGGCACCCTAACATGGTAACATCTTTAACTTCCACACTTGCAGGCCCATGGTGGGGACAGAGCCCACCCTGCGTGACTCAGGCCTCACTCAACCAGGACACTCTTTCCTTTCATGCTGGCATGGATATTAACACAAAATATGTTCCTTCCCCACTATCTCATTTTATGGGAAGAGCAGGTTTCCAGGCCAGTGTGAAGAGAGAAAGGGCAGGAGGCAGAGGGGATGAAGAGGAAAGGCACATTACAATAAATTCAGAACCCACAACAAGCACACTGCATTTTGTAGTTACCAGGCTCATTTCTTGAAAGCAGCTAATCTTGCATTCTAGGTACAAGCACTTACATTTTTCTGGAAAAAGTCATTTGGTCAGCAACATTTATTGAGCACCCATTTTGGTATCTCTTGGGGCCACAATGTAAATGAAAGTACTACTTCTCCCCTAAAAGAACGGGAGGTATTGGGCCTCTTTGTTTTCTCTTTCCAGGGAGAGAACGAGTCTTGAAGCATCAACAGCTCTTTGAACACTTCCCAGGAAGACTATTCAAGGTAAAATTATGAGTATCTTTTACAGCAGAAATCCTTCTATCATCATCTATCAGAAAGCGATAGGGAGCAGAGGATGGGCAGGACGCTAATAGCACACACTTCGCCTTGGCCAGGACCACACCACGTGCGGCCCACCCTCACTACTGCAGAAGAGTCTGTCATGCCTTTGCCATGCCTCTTGGCAACCTTCACCACTGGCAGTGCAGGGACTGTGAGACTCTGAGCTCTATCATTAACTGATGCTGAAACTGTGGGCAAGTTGCTTAATTTGGGTGAGAGTTCATTTCTTCAGCTCCAAAGCGGTAAGAGATTTATTAGAACAACAAGTGGCCATTCACAGTGGCTCACACCTGTAATCCCAGCACTTTGGGAGGCCGAGGTAGGTGGATCACTTGAGCTCAGGAGTTAGAGACCAGCCTGGCCAACCTGGTAAAACCCCATCTCTACTAAAAATACAAAAAGTAGCTGGGCATGGTGGTGCCCGTCTCTAGTTCCAGCTACTTGGGAGGCTGAGGCATGAGAATTGCTTGAACTCGGGAGGTGGAGATTGCAGTGAACCAAGATCACAACGCTGCACTCCAGGTTGGGCGACAGAGTGAGACTCTGTCTCAATCAATCAACAAAACAAGTAATAGCCAAAAATAGATAAGTCAGTCAGTCAGCATAAGTGCCTGACTGACAGGGATATCAGAGGCCTAGGATGCACTGACATATTATCTTCAAAAGATTTTTGTAAGAATCAAAATATCATAATGCAAATATTAGAAAAGTATTCAAGAACCATTTTTTTGAAAAAAGGTGCAAAAATCCTTTAAAAATATTACCAAATTGAATCCAGCAATGTACAAAATGGACCACCATGACCCAGTGGGGTTTATCCCGGAAATGCAATATTTGTATAACATACAAAAATCAGTCAGTGTAAGCCATCACATTAAACAGACAAAAAATTAAAAAAGTATAATCATCTCAACAGATGCATAAAAAGCATTAGATAATGTTCAACACTGATTCATAAAAACCAAACAAAAAACAAGGAATAGAAGGAAATAATCTCACCTAGGTAAAGGGCACTGACAAAGATACCTATAGTTAACATTAAACTAAATGGGGAAAGGCTGACCATAATGCCCTCAAGATTGGGAACAAAGTAAGGATGTCTACTCTCACTATATCTATTTAATATTATACTATCGTTCCTAGCCCATCTAATAAGATTAGAAAAGATACAAAAGGCATACAGATCAGAAAGGAAGAAATAAAACGATTTATTTGTGGATGACATGGTTGTCTAAAGAAATCCTAAGAAATTTACAAAAAACTGTTAGACCTAACACATGAGTTTGGCAAGGATGCAGGGTGTAAGGCCAGCATACAAAAATCATCATTTTTCTATACAATCAGTGAGTAATTAGAAATTTAACAATATCATTTATAATGTCATGAAAATATTAAATATGTAGGGGTAAATTTAGCAAAATATGTGTAAGACTTGCACAATGAAAAAATGTAAAACATAGCTTACAGAGATTAATGAAGACCTAAATAAACAGAGACCTATACTATGCTTAGAGACGGAAAGACTCAATGTTATCACAATGCCACTTCTCCACAAATTGATCTATACACTCAACACATTTCCAATCAAAACCCCTGAGGGAGTTCTGCAGAAATTGACAGCTAATTCTAAAATTTGTAGGGAAATGCAAAGGATCTAGAATAGATCTGTACCCAGAATACCCAAAACAATTTTGATTAAAATTTTGATTGAAAAGAACACAGTCATAGGATTTACAATACCTGATTTTATGACTTCATATAAAGCTGTAGTGATCAGGAGATTGCAAAATGTGTAGTTCTGATCACTAGTACACCAAGCATTTAAGAGAAAGAACTATGTGTGGGCTGAAGCAGAGAAGTCTTCATGGGTGGGAACGGACAGAGAAATGGAGAATGCACACCTGGATTTGTGTCCGCAGATTCCAAGCACTTGATAAGATTACAGAGCGTATTGACAGATTGGATGAGGCCCACCCACACTGGGGAGGTCAATCTGCTTTACCCAGTTTATCAATTCCAGTGTTAATTGCATCCAGAAACACCCTCACAGACACACCCAGAATCACGTTTAACCAAATATCTGGGCACCTTGTGGCCCAGTGGACACACAAAATTAACCGTCACATAACGTCTCAGCTCCACCTTGGAAAAACTTGATTCTGTGGGTCTGGATGAAACCAAGGAACTATATTTTTAATGGGTAAGCCGGGGTGATTCTGACATGCAGGTGTCTTTTTAACTCCGGTTCCTAACCATGGTGCTTAAGCAATGTGATAAGGTGGTGCTGTGGGAAGGCTTCCTGCACAGGTGAGATGAGGGGATAGTGCTGCTTGGAGCCTGCTGAAATTATTCACACTAGCCACTCACGGGATACTTACCTTGCCTCATTCCCTCTTGCGATAGCCACAATAGAGCTTTTTGCCTGAGCTTTCCTCTCGCTGCTTCTGCTTCCTGCCCAATGCTGGTGCTTTCCTGTGTGGCTCTCTGCATGGTGGGCAGGCTTCCTGTTTCTAGGGCTCTGTGAGTAGAAACTTCTGCCTCCATAACAGTCATTTCCATGTCTCTGTGTTTTACCACATCTGATTTAAACAAGTCCTGGGTACATTTTAAAACAAGATGACCACAGAAAAACAGGGAAGGTGCTGAGCCTTTCATTGCTAACACTTTGTTTGGATTTTTGTCTTCACGTGTCCTCTGGATAAGAGAAAACCTCACCAAGAAAGACCATCAAACCAAGGCCTGGCTCCAAGAGCGGTAATCTCTGTGGGCCACAGACACACACGCGGGCTCCCACTGGGGCATACTGTGCACATACCCAGCCTGACCTTCTGTTATCTTTGTTGATGTTACAATGCAAGTGCTAAATTTTAGAAACTGCTGGAGACAGACTCTCCTGTAAGAAGAGCCAAAGATAGCAAGAGACACTTGATTTTTACCTGGAACCAATCTCATGAGGTGACTAATTTAGGAGAAATAGAATGCAATCTCAGGTTTTTTGTGACAATGAGCGCATTAGGCTTGGTGCTACTGCCTCACAAATCATCTTTTGCCAAGCCTGGAAGGGGGAGTTTAGGGGCAGCTTGTTCAGTGCAGAGAAAGAACATCTTTTTTACACAGTAGATCATTGTTTAACATCACTAAGATTGTGATTTCTCCTCTCATTTCCTCTGCTCCATCTTTCAAAACATTTTGACCTGATAGTGAAAATGGTTTTGATCTCTAGCTTTCTTGTTATAGTCTAATTATTTTTGACAACTAATTGCATTTGCTCTCTCTCATATGCTTGACCTGCTCCTATAGGACATCTCTACTGGAATCAGAATTATTTCCTTGGAGATGGAGAGCTCCAAAACCCACAGTGCTTGGAAGTGAGTATTGTGTGGTTGGAGATAGTTTGCAGACTTTAGATGGTAGCTGTGGATGGTGAACTGAAAGTCATCCTCAGCTTAATGATGAGTTGTCATTTATAAAAGATATCCAAATTTTTTATTGCAATTATTGTATAGAAGTGATCTCACATCTGTTCTCCTTTTCTCTGCTTCCCAAAGGTATTATACAGAAACACATTGTACAAAATGTTACTCTTTGAGGAGTTTCATTTGTTTCATTACTTTTTTTCTTTGTACCTTTTATAAAATTTAAAAATGGTAACTTTGGTATTTGCCTCCTTGGTTTTTTTTGTTTTTCCTGTGAAATCTCTCGGTATTTATAGTGCCCATGCCAGCTCTTTCCAAGTTGTACTCAATAAGTCTAATGAGAATAGCATGAGGGTTTTTTTCAGGTGGAGGATGCCAAATGAACTCTCAGATTGTCTTCAGAGTTTGGTCCTCATAATTCAAGGCTCTCATGTTCTACTTCTCCCTTCGACCTTCAAGGAGCTCTGCCTTCCCTCCCATCCTCCCTCCTGAGTTCAGCTCTCCAGCTCTGACCCTGACTTCCCTCCCAAGCCCAGGTCTGCATTTCAGTCATTTCCTATAAGTCTCCACGTTAATGTCCCTGGAACCTGGCTGGGTTTCTGTTATTGTGAACCTCTAACAAGTGGGAAACTGCTTGCAGGGGAAGCCTGACTTGTCCTTCACCGGGGAAGCCGGGAGTAACAGGTGGGGCTGAAGTCCTGCCCCACGACCATTCCCCAAGTGCAGAACACCACAGTCTTCTCTGTCCTATAATTAAGAAAACAAAACCACCCATCAGACAGGAAAGTGGGGGCCTGGTGGGCAGTCTGAGTGGGCTTTGGGCTTCAGAACAGAAGGTGGGAGCTATGCTGTCCTTTTTGCAATTGAGAGGAACTCATGAGAAGTAACCAGGCTTCAGGGACAGGGTAGCTCCTACACCTAGGATGCTGGGCCAGGGATAACCAAGAATCAGAGCAGCAGTCCTCTGAAGGCTGCACATGTGAACATGCTTCAAACTCAACGGAGGGAGAGAAGGGCAGGATGTAGGATCCCATCCCCAAAATGTCCTGTGAGTATATAGGTCTCCCATGAAAAAGCAGTTTGTAATCAAATGCATTTGGGGGAAGCTGGGCAAATAAAGTTCAATAGGTTTCTTGACTGTAGGAATTCTCAGAGCCTTTAACAAGCTAATGTTCTTTGTGAAGGGGGAACAGTACACAGAATTTTCCACAGGTACCTAAGTCATATGACAATCTCTCTCTCTCTGCATATAAAGAGGCTGTGGAATTATGGAATGCTAGAATCGTGTGAAACAGTTTCTCCAATAACTAGTTACTGAGTGAAACACCACCTACCTCTGAGATTACCAAATAACATAGTGAAGGGTTTACCAGAATCCAGAACTGTGGACAGCCTGGGAAGGTAAAGAAGATGAAGTTGTCATGCAGGCTGGTCAACATAGCCCAAGGCTGGGAGAAAGGATTTTCCTGAGGCCAGCAGGCCAGAAATAAGGGTGCGTGCATGGTGGTGCTCCTGGCTCATGCACACACACACATAGCCACATGCATCCAGCCAGGGTGGCTGGCAAGCGTGGGTACCTTGTAGCCCATGGTGTTAATAGATGCTGGAAGGGGCCGAGGGTACCTCAGAGTAAAGAAATCTAGCACACCTGCTCCTGTTTTGCGGGCATTAAGCCTCTGCAGTCTCTGAGTCACTCTGGGTCCTTTTAAGTGCTGCTTCCCAGGGAGGCAGGCTGTGCACAGGAGAGCACTCTCACCTGAGAGAGGAGACTGGGGCATGGTCCTGGGACACCCCTCTCCCCCCACCACGTGTCCGTGGCAGATGCACCTGACACCAGTAAATTCACTTAAGCACACCCTGAGAATGACCCTGCATGGCAGAAGCACCTGACTGTGTGTTCCCAGTTCTGAGCTAAGGAATCTGGGCGTGGCCCCTGTACTTATTTTATTTTTATCTGTGAGGAACATCTGAGCCCCTACCTATCCTGTGGAACTCAGGCCATACAGAGGATGGAGGCCCTTTGTTTTTAGTGAAATGAAGGTTGCCAGGTGTGGGTTGTTAAGGAGGGTGCTAAGTGAAAACGCTATACAAACTGCATGCTTTTCACAAGCAGTGGCAGTCCTCCTATCTAGCCCGCAGCCCCGGGACCGCCCTGTGTGCAAGTTCCCACTAATAAAACCCTATGTCTCTTCTGCTGGCTCTGGGTCTCTTCAGCCTCTTGAATCTGGTGCCATCCTACTAATGTCAATAGGGGTTTGGTACGACACCCCACTCTCCCAGCCAGGTGATCTTGACTGAGACTTTAAGTTTCTCTGAGCCTCCATTCTCTTCTTTCAGGAGAGGGGCCAACATTCCCCCCACCACACTCACAACAAGCTTGTTATGTGCCATAAATGAAGCAAGGACATCGTGAGTGGACTTTGTAAATGGAAAAGCACTATTTAAGTGTCAGGACTCTTAGGGAGTCATGATCCCTTGGGAAATATGTGGAGGGTAGATGGGGTTGGGGGAGCTGCTGAGGTAGAGCGTGTTCTGACAAGACCCTGGCTGTCCCTTGGGGTCCCCTCAACAGTCACCAGAGGCCCCTGTGTGGGTGACTACGGCTCTGGCAAAGCTCAGGGAGCTTTCTGTCCTTGGTGACGTCACTTGTATGTTTCTCTTCATCGGTTTCTGCCCAAAATGATTTCATGTGACAAAATATGTCTTGAACAGAGTCAGACAGGCCTCCTCTTACGGGGGCACCCAGCTCTGTTTCCCCCAAGGGTGCTCCTCATGGTCACCCTCCCCCGATCTGCTCTGGACTTCACTGCTACCCACCATCCTCTTGTCTACCCAGCCCCTCTCACGCTTCCGTCTGCCAAACCTAACCTCCCCTTCCCCCAGGAGATCACAGAAGTCCAGGGATAGAAAAAATAGCTTCTTTTGTCTCACAGAGGCTCAGGGACTCATGGTTTAACTCATAATAGAGTTTCCGGAAGAAAGGAACAATTAATTAAAGATGAGAAACAAGCTGCTTCTTGGGGGGAAATTGCATTAGTAATTTTCCTTTTTCTCCTACCAGCTATGGGAAAACCAGATCACTGAGTTGCTGAACTGACCTAGTTCACACTGAGCAGCCTAAGGCAGGACTGGGTGATTTTGTATTAATGTGAAACCGTATAATTTAGAATGAAGAGGACAAGACCCATTCACACAAGTACCCCAAAATGATGACTACAAAAAAAATCCAAAGGTGCTAGTAGCTATTTTTACATGAGTAAAAGAAAGTGAAAATGGAATTGGACATTAGTCCAAGCACTGGGAACATTTAGAAATTCTGAGGTCTGGAGTGGGGTGGAGAATTTGCATTTCTGTAAGGTCCCAAGTGATGCTAAGGATACCAATCAAGAGCCACACTTTGGCAGCCACTGATTTAGATAAATTTTCAGCCCTTGAATTTCCCTTTATTGCTAACACGTTCCCTTTTCTTTCTCATTAACAATATATTAGGGAAAACAAATAACACACCCCTTCCTTTGAACCAGCTCTAGAAAATCATCTACAAACACTTCCCCCGATACTTATATTCAATTGCATTGCCTTGTTGCATGCAAAATTAATGCCAGAATAACTATCATCCAAGTGCTTTTAGTAGAATCAGCACCAATGGAATAATGTTGCAGCCTTTACTAGAATTTGTACCTTTGTATACAGAAGAGTTTGGATAATAGTAATAAAAAATAAATAAAAAACATCCCAGTCCTGTTACTTTATCTGAGGCTGTATATGCTGGTTAATCTCTAAGCTCCTTTTTCCTGGCATCTTCCCTCTGAACTCAAAGCAGGTGAGAGTGGAGCAAGGGATCCGGTGTGTGGTTCAGGGGAGTTGGGAAGGGGATTTTTTTTTTTTTTTATTTCTAGTCCACTGGGTATTTTCTTTCACTAGCCCCAATATATTGGAAAAGAACATGTTTATAGCCAGTATTGGAAGAACTTTTATTTCTGTTAAGATTCGGAAACTTAGCTTTCAATCATTTGTTTACTGATTCTAAAAGGGTAAAAAGACAAGGAGAACCTGGAGAACAGACATTTTCCGCTTTGCCTTAGAGGTGGTAACATTATGAGGTTACAGATGAGTCCTCACTGCGGGAAGCTCATGGAGGGAGTACCTTTTGATTTCCTGGGCAGTGGATAGAAAAGCATGGCACATGACCTTGGCAAAAATTTTTTTTTCACCTTATTAAAAAAAGACCACTGTGGGAGGCCAAGGCAGGCGGATCACCTGAGGTCAGGAGTTCAAGACCAGCCTGACCAACATGGAGAAACCCCATTTCTACTAAAAATACAAAATTAGCAGGGTATGGTGGCACATGCCTGTAATCCCAGCTACTCGGGAGGCTGGGGCAGGAGAATCGCTTGAACCCGGAAGGTGGAGGCTGCAGTGAGCTGAGACTGCGCCATTGGACTCTAGCCTGGGCAACAAGAGTGAAACTCCATCTGAAAAAAAAAACAAAACACACATGACTTCATGGAAAGAACGCTACAACTTCCAACAGGAATGCGTTTTGGTGTGAAAGGTGAAAACGTGACGAATCCCCACTGCCTCCTAACCCCCTACATCCATTGGTTGCCCAGAAGCACAGGACGGTCCTTGGGTGAGCCTAGGTGGTCACACTGTTTCTGGTTTGGGACTTCACTGCCTTCACATTTCTGAAAGGGGCTGTCAGTTCCTCCCGAGCAGGAGGTGCTCACCTCCGAAGAGAATGGCAGGCGGGGGAGGCTTTGTTGGTGATGCAGCTGTCACATCTTATTAGTGCATAGGTGGGTGTCATAGGGTACAGGAGGTATGTCATTTATAGACAGAAATTGCATAATTAAGCTTGATAGAATTTTGACGATTTCTTGGCATGCAATTTGTTCGTCAAGTGAAAAGCCTTGAGGAAGTCGATCATGTGGAATTTGGAACTCCAAAGTTCAAGACTAGGTATTTTTCACAGTGGAATGGGAGCTCGAGAGCAGATGTGACTTAGAGCAATCATAAAGGCTCCTGGAATGTCCTGCTCTTGCCTTTGGCTTCTGGCCTTATACACTCAGGAAAAGAGGATGAAGACAAAGCCACATTTTTTCCCAAATTGAGAATATGGACATATGAATGGACTTTAGTTCCTCCCTATTCATTTTCTCTTTAAAAAGTCATTTTTTATTGTGAAATATAACTCACATGTGAAAAAACAGGCCAAACACAAATATATAGCCCAATTATCGATGGCAAAGTGAACACTAGTGTATCTGTCACTGGTCATGACTTTGACCTTTGTTATATAAAGGGACCCAAACAATACGTATGCCTTTGTGTATGGCTTCCTTCTTCAACACTGTGTGTGTGTGACATTCGTCCACGATGGGGTGTGTAGCAGTAGTTTTTCACTGTCATTGCTGTATAGAATTATATTGTGTGACTAGATCTCAATTTATTCTACTGTTGAGAGACATGATGGCAGTTTCTATGTTTTCACCTTTACAAATAGTGCTGCTGTGAACATTTTTGCACATGTCTGCATATCTGAAGCATTTGATAGAACTATAATGCCTAGAATGTACCTTGGGAAATTCTAATTCCATGGGAATGAAAATGGTTGGGGCATAAGACATGGGTATGTCCAAAATTCGTAGATTATGCAAAACTGTTTTCCAAAGAAAATGTAACAATCACCCAATGAAGTAACTGTATTCAGGATCTGACATCTTTTATTACTGGTCATGCCAGCATCTGATTTCCACCTCAAGGTGACCCCGGATAACATACCTCAAGGTGCATATGAACGTTCTTGTTCAGTAAGAAGATTCAGTTCTGCCTGTTTCTGGTCACAGGCTTTTAGAAATGTCTTCGAAATAACTTGTTGGAATGACTTTGTCACAAAAAGCAAACAGGAGGCAAAAAGGG
Source organism: Homo sapiens (assembly GCF_000001405.40). Classification (NCBI taxonomy): domain Eukaryota; kingdom Metazoa; phylum Chordata; class Mammalia; order Primates; family Hominidae; genus Homo; species Homo sapiens. Next base: position 110,014,229 of record NC_000006.12, on the reverse strand, counting down.
TACTATTTGATACTTCACCTAAAATTAAAAATGTCTTTTAGTGGCTTTCTAGAAGTTGGCCATCAATGATTTTATATTTTTCTGTTGGCTGATGAAGGTAAAACAATCTGGTTTTGAATTGCAACAGACCTAAGGAAGCACACATTTTGAGGGGAAATATAGTATTCTGTAACACTGTGTGGAATACCACAGTGGGATCCTTTAAAACTTTTATGTAGATTTTATCAGAACAAAGACTTTTGAGATGAAAAGCAGCTCTGGGCCTACCTGGTTCCTGTGTGAGCTGTCACCCATGTGGAGAAGAAAAAACAGGGGGCTCTTATCTCTCCAAACTCTTTCCTAACAGACCCAGATGTTGATATTGCCATGTTCTGTACAGTTAGCCAAAAGGATCTGTCCCCTTCCTAGACACACACTCACCCGCACACTGTATGGACAGTCCCAACAACTGGATGTCAACATCAAACAAGAGCCACAACACCACTTCTGAGTTTTCAGTCAAGTTGTGCTTTTATGCCTCTGCATCACTTAGGAAGAGAAAGACTGAAGATTTGTGCCTTGCCACCCTTGCATGCTACCAGCGATCTCTCAGTAATAGCAGCACTTGACACTTCCACGTGAGCTTTTGGCGTGTGACTGTGTGTGCCAGTCTTCCAGCTGGCATTTTAATTTGAGATTGTACACTAGCCAAGGTGGGGAAGAAATCCAAAGGCAGCGTGTCGAGAAAGAGGAGGAGGAGGAGGAGGAGGAGGATTTGTCAAGTGGTGGAAGGATATCTCTGAAGACTTTCAGCAAATCAGCAGATCGACCATGTGGCCCCCAAAGCTGGGTAAGATCCTGTCCTGGGAAAAGTGTTGAATAATCAGATTGTTAAAAACATCATAGTGTGTGTGAAGACCACACCACTGTCATAGATAAATTAACTGCACTCCCACTTTCTCAAAAGAAAAGGTTAATAGAGTTGCCCAAAATAGTTGTCAAACTAAAGAATGGCTTTTAAATATTTAGCAAACTCCACTTGGGCTAGAGTGGTTGGGAGTAAAACCATCCGGCGATGTGTATGAACAGCTTTGGGAGGCAGCATCTTTCAGGGTCTCTGAGAACAGGCTCTGCAGTTGGATGCCTGGATTGAACCCAGTGTTATCAATTCCTAGCTCAGGTGACCTTAGGAAGTCACTTAACTGACTCAGTTTCCCAAGTAAGGGTTGCTGTGGGCATTAACTGATAATACTAATGCCTAGCACATAAATAGGTGCTCAATAAATGTGAGCTGTTATTGTTCACATGAGAGCAAGGATAATGTAGGCCCTAAGGGGTGGCCTCTCAGGGCCCCTCTTGCTGGGCTCCTCAGAGTCAACTTCATGTTGATAAAGTGGGACTCAGGGGACCTGAAAACACTACACTGTTTTCTGGCATCTTATTGAGATACCCCCAAACATCAACTGGCTTATTAGATGATTATCCCTGTGGCTTTCTGCCAAGAGACCACTAGGGATATGACCATGAGGGATGTGGCCAACACCCATTCCTACAAGTCTAGGGAAAGTGTCAGCCTTTTACCATTCAGAAAAGGTATCCCAGCCATCTTATCTCAGCACCAGGGGGGCTGTCTCTTCCACCTCTGAACTCTAATCTCTAATTTCTTTAATTTTGAATCTTTCCTCTTCCTTTGCTATGTAACTTGCTACTCATTCATTTATGTAAAAGTCTTTGTTGGGCACCAACCACACATTACAAACACTTAGAATACTGCAATGGGCTTTGCATTCTTGTGAGAGAGATAAATAAAATCTCAGCTAACAGACAAATAAATAAAACAGTAATAAATGGTAAGAAGTTTTACACCATGAAGGAATTCAACAAGGGACTGAGAGAAGAGGAAAGGGGATGCCAATTTGAACCAAATGGTCAGGAAAGGGCCTTCCAGAAGAGGTGACATTAGTGCTCAGACCCCTCCAATCCAAGAAGTAGTGTCTGTGCACAGTGGGCACGGTAGGGGGGCATCTAGGCAGAGTGGGCCACGTGGCAAAGGTCTTGAAGTAGGAACAAGCTGGGACCAAGGAAGAGCCAAGGGGCCAGTGAGGTGGGAGAGAGGGAGCAAGGGGAGAATGGTAGGAGGTGAGGCCAGTGAGAGCAGGAAAGATGGTGTGGGGCCTCGGAGCCATGGAAGGGAGATAGGCTTATTGTAACTAGACTGGTTGGCTCTTCTGGCAGGGAGAATGCTGTATTTCTCTTCATGTATCCTGATTTTTCCACTCTCACCCGTATTAGTCTGTTCTCACGCTGCTAATAAAGACACCCAAGATTGAGTAAATCTACAAAGGAAAGAGGTTTAATGGACTCACAGTTCCACATGGCTGGGGAGGCCTCACAATCATGGCAGAAGGCAAAAGAGAAAAGCAAAGGCACATCTTACATGGTGGCAGGCAAGAGGGCATGTTTAGAGGAACTCCCCTTTATAAAACCATCAGATCTTGTGAGACTTATTCACTATCATGAGAATGGCATGGCAAAGACCTGCCCCTGTGATTCAATTACCTCCCATCAAGTCCCTCCCACAACACATGGGGATTATTACAATTGAAAGTAAGATTTGGGTGGGGACACAGAGCCAAACCATCACAGCTCAAAACCAGCCCCATCATCTATCCCAATGCCATATAGCAGATACAATAAAGAGTTGCTGAATATGATAACTTCTGGTGGTTTGGGTGTACATTAAAGGGCAAATTAGTGAGAAGACCTGGAAAATGAGAGCTGGTAGAGCTCCCAGCATACAATTCATCTTTGCACTTGGTTTTATATTTGGAAATATCTTTCATAAAGGTAAATGCTGGGTCTTCTCTAATTCTGGAGATGATTTCCGGAGAAAGCTTTATGTAGACAAGTTTTATCTTACAGTAGGGGGGCTGATTGAAGAAATCCAACTTTGAATCATTTTCTACAACATAGACCTATTATGAAATATGAAAAATAAATCCTCCATCATTCAAATGCAAGTTTGTATTTTTGTAAATGTCTAATGCATGACCTGGGCCTAGTTCCCATGGGCCGCCCACATGGCCCAATTATTGTTAATATCCTCCACCTGTGCCTGGCTCGCCTTGACCGGAGATGGGAGGAAATTGCTGCATTTTATAGCAAAAAGCTGGCAGTGAAGAGAGACCCTTTACTTCTCGCCACATAGGTAAGGTAGCTAGGTTTTTAAAAAATTTCGTGTATTAGGCACCAGTAAGCATTGTCTTATATGTATTACATGCATTCTTTATTCACTTATTATTTAACTGATCAGGAAGCCAGTGCTCTGAGGGTTGGAGATTGTTGTCTAAGCCTATAGTAACTGCCAGGATCGGAACCAGGTTTTTCTTTGACTTAATTTCTGAAGGGAAGCCTCACAGATACCACTTCGGCCACTTTTCATATTCTGACATGTGAATGGACATGCAGCTAATAGGACACACTAGACCAGGCTGAATGTCTAAGCAAGGCTGTGCTGTGGGCTGAGGGACAAAAGGGAACTAAACACAGAGAGGACGCTATTGTTATTTAGCCTCATAAAACACAGCTTGTTCGTCTTCAGCCTATGGTCCCCTAGCTGAGTGATTTTCTTGTAGGAGAGCTTTATAGAAGACATATTTCTATTCCACTCTTTGAAAATGGTTTGTAGAACTAGAGTGAGGCCTGGAAACTGAAATATTTTAAAATGTCTCCCCAAGGATTAGGCTACATAGCCAGATTTACAAAGTGCCTCACTGGTTGACCCCCAGCCTGCCTCACTGAGGCATGTGCCAGTTTACTACCCAGACCATCCTTAAAGAACTATGGACTCCTAAAACCCCCAAATTGAGATTTAAAAAAGTTTCTTTTCCCACTGACATCCTGTTTGTTAATAAGGACAATTTCTTCCTCTTCGAGACAAATAGCTTCCATCCTTCAAGTCCTAACCAGATAATAATCATTTTGGTCCAATGCCATCAATCTGACATTCAGACAAGAGACAGGCTTCAAGGCATGGGAGTAAGGCACCATAGTGTCATCATAACCCAATGTCCAGAACATCCCAACCTCCTCCCCTTTTGAAAAGTTCTTTCCTGGGTTTTATTAACAGAGCTCCTGCTTTTTGCTTCTGTTGCTGTGTCATTGAGTTTTGATACATCAGGATCAGCATTTTAGTAACTAATATAGGTTAGATACTACCTATAAAATTCAAAACCTCTCTGAGCCTATTTCTTCCTGTATAAAAGAGGGTTGGAAAAATATTCACCTCACAGGGTTGTTTTAAAGATTAAATGAGATTATATATCTGAAGTATTGGCTTTTAAACTTGGATGTATATTGGAATCATCTGGGGAGTTTAAAAAACTGCTGATGCCTGGGTTCTATCCTAGGTAGATTTAATTAGCCTGGGGTTCCACCTGAGTTTAATTAGTCTGGGGTTCCACCTGAGCATCAGGAGCTTTAAGCAGTGTCTAGGTAGTTATTAAATGCAGCCTAGGGAGGCTAAAGCACCTGCCTGGTGGCTGATCTAAACATAGAGAGGAAGGCTGGGGGCCAAGCAGGGATCTAAAGCACCTGCCTTGTACCTGACCCATTAGTGGGGTAGACAATCAAGAAAGCCAATGGGGAGAGTTTGGGGACAGGACTGACGTTAACATGTCACAAGTAATTTGGAGAATTATCTCTAATCTGCATGCTTAGAACTAATTTCCTAGGCTGTTCCAAATGGCTCTTGGGGAAACTGTTCATCACATTTGCAAACTTTTCATTGCTCCCATTGATGGATCTATTAAATGTTCCCAAGCATATGTAATAAGAATTGACCTTAGTGATAGGACGTTGTGGGTCTCAAAGGCACAGTGAAGATGCACACCAGGGTTTAGGTATCCTTAAATTCTCAACCTGCTTAGCACTGAAAGCTGTCTAATCATGTCGAATTAAAAAAACATGTGATTGTAACTCCTTATTCCAGGAGACCTTTGTTTGAAATGAATTCCCCCTGTTCCTCTAGTCCCTGAGTCTCAGGCTGGAGTGTTCATTCCTGAAGTGTGCCCTGCCCTGCTGTGTCACCTAGGCATTCAAGCTCCAATTGCCTGCAGACAAACAGGAGAATTTCGGCCAAGTGGTATTCAGTCTGCAGACTGATTCTAAGTGGGTGGAATAGGATAATATCCCTGCTTGTGTTGCTTGAACAGAACATTTTTTCCTCCAACTTTTTAGCCTTTGAATTGTCTAAGTCATCTTTGGTGATTTGGCTCCTTTTGCTCTAGTTTAGCCAGGAAATTTCTTTTTTCTTTTTTTCTTTTTTTTTGAGATGGAGTTTCACTCTTGTCGCCTAGGCTGGAGTGCAATGGCGCGATTTCCACTCACTGCAATTTCCGCCTCCCAGGTTCAAGCAATTCTCCTGCTTCAGCCTCCTGAGTAGCTGGAATTACAGTTACCTGCCATCACACCGGGCTAAATTTTGTATTTTTGGTAGAGACGGGGTTTCACCATGTTGGTCAGGCTGGTCTCAAACTTCTGACCTCAGGTGATCCACCCACCTCGGCCTCCCAAAGTGCTGGGATTACCGGCATGAGCACCGCTCCCAGCTAGGAAATTTCTTCCTACTTTTTGATTCCAAGACTTTTATTGGTGATAGGTGATGAGATGACAAAGGAGAATGCAGATAAGTCCCTAGCAGAAAGTACCTTCCTATCAGAGAGGTTAGAACTGCTGCACTCAAATGCATATGGGTACAAGGTGTGGGTCCCCACTTCCATGACCAAAAACAATCTAAGGAGTCATGAAATGAGAATTTCAAGTGGATGTCACTGAAGAAAAGTAAAATTCCTACTGGGGCAACTTTTGTGATCTTAATCAGATTTCAATCAAAAGCAGTTGAACATTCTGTGTGTAAATAGGAAAGTCTCTCATCGTGAGCTTGAGTGATGTGAGCCAACTGAACAAAAGGGTCTCATGACAAGGTGTTTGCCTTTTTTATGCAAATATAAAATACATATTCATGAACTTTATTTTAGGGAGAGAAATTCTAAATGGCAAAACTAATTTAAGTTTTATTTCTCCTGTGCACAAATATCTTGAATCCTTCTGAGAACAACGTAGGGGTATAATTACATGTTTTTAAATGTACAGGTGTAGGTGTACTTGTTCATATGTGCCCATTTTCACTAGAAATCAAATACTGAATCATGGTCAATTCCCATCCAAGGAGGATGAGGATGGCTTGAAAAATCCCAGAATTATTATTATATGGAAATCCCAGGCCCGGCATGGTGGCTCACACCTATAATCCCAGCACTTTGGGAGGCCAAGGTGGAAGAATTGCTGAAGCCCATGAGTTTGAGACCAGCCTGGGCAACATGCTGAAACCCTATCTCTACAAAAAATTAAAAAATTATCCAGACATGGTGGTGCATGGCTATTGTTCCAGTTACTCAGGAGGCTGAGGTGGGAGGATCACTTGAGCCTGGGAGGTTCAGGCTACAGTAAGCTATAATCGCACCACTGCACTCCAGCCAGGGTGACAGAATGAGACCATGTCTCCAAAAAAAAGAAAGAAAGAAATCTCACAGTTGTTCACCCAGGAATTCTTTGGACCTAATCATATCAAAACAGCAAGTGGGCTGACTTTGCCCAGCTAGCTAAACTAGTATTGTCTTGTTTTCTTTCAACTGTCTTCAATACAAATAGTTTTTTCCTTTTTATGCCAGAAAATATCAAAATACCAAAAGTAGAGAGAAGGCTGTAAGGAATCTCTGTGTATGCATCACCCAGCTTCAGTAGTTATCAGCTCATGGCCCATCTGGTTTCATCCATAATAATCCATCTCCACTCCCAGATAAATTCCATGCAAATCCAAGATAGAATATTATTTTGTCAAAGCTTTTTGTCTTTTAAACCAAAGTTGAAATAACCAATTGTTCAGAAATTAAAGGTATTAACCAATTTCTATCTAGTCATAAACTGTTGGATTGACCAAATTCAGTTGCTAGAGGAAGCAAAATAATTGTTAGGCTAAATTTAACTTAAATAGTTTATGTAATCAGATACAATCACTATTTATAAACTCTTCTGAACATAAAGTAGCAAGATGCTAAGCTAGCTTTAAATTCGAAAATGTTAAATACTGGCCTTAACCTTCTGGGTTCATCTCCTAAGAGATGTGTTTCTATCTGCATCTATGTGTGACCATAGGTCTTTGGTTATCTCACAAGACCGCATTCAAACTCTCCTATGCCTGCAAGTTCAGTTTTTGATCTGTTGGTTATGATGTTTGTGATTTACAGATATGAAAATTGTTATCCCATTGTTTTTAGGTAAGTCTATGAAAGAAAAATTAGGATAACTGGAAAATGTTTATAAAGCTTTTGTAAGTTTTGCTGAGTGTTAAATACATTAGACTTAATTTCTCAATTAAAATGGTGTTTGATGTTTTTAACTTAACAAAGGAAGCCTTTTAGGTATAATTTATATCTTGAACTGTGGTCATTAATGGTTATTATGCCTTTAGAAAATCATTTCACTTTGCTTAGTTTTCCAACTATTTGTTAAATTAGTCACCACTGATTTAATTAAAGTATAATGCACAGGGAGACAGAGTCATTAATTTGGACAAACTGAGGTGGTCAGTCTAAATTCTAAATATATTTTAAAAATACTTAAAAAAATTGACATACACTGAAACTTGTATTGAGATGTTTCCATATTAAGAGTAATGAACAGAAAATACATATCTAAGAAGGTTGTTTTCATAAATACATTTCAAAGGATTTTATTTACGTTTTTTAGATAAGCAGACCACATATATCTTTCTGAAGTCTTATTTGTGTTATTAGTTTGCTAGGCAAACTCTTTCTTTGTGGATTATGCAAAGGCAAAATTTAGCTAGTCCAGCTGAGATATAATTATCAAAAATTCTGAATGAGTAGAATGCAAATTAATGAAAAATTTAATTTGCAAAAAGATCAGGCTGGGCATGGTGGCTTACCCCTGTAATTCCAGCACTTTGGGAGGCCAAGGCAGGAGGATTGCTTGATGCCAGGAGTTTGAGACCAAACTGGGAAATATAGTGAGACCTTGTCCTGCAGAAATTTAAAAAATTAGCTTGGCATGGTGGCGTGTGCCTGTAATCACAGAAACTCGGGTGGCTGAGGCAGAAGGATCTCTTGTGCCAGGAGTTCAAGGCTGCAGTGAACTATGATTGTACCACTGCCTGGATGACAGAGCAATACCCCATTTCAAAAAAAAAAAAAAAAAAAAACAATTATACCTACCTGGATACCAGAAAGTAAATCATTTAGAAAAGCCAAGTTTTCTGGATGGTTGAGACTTTATCCTTTTAAGTAAATTAGGGAAAAAAATCTTAATTTTTATGAAACTCTTTTTTAAATAATCTGAACACTTCCCTGTTTTCTTAAGGATAATTAACCAAAAAGCCGGTCTTTTTAGGCAATGAAAAGTAAGCTTTTTGAACAATTACTTTACTTGTTCAGAGGCATGAGTTGTTTTTTTTTTTAATCTACTGAAATCAAGTCTCAGAAAGTGTGTCTGTTGTGTGTATGTGTGTGTGTGAGTGTGTGCACATTTATATTCCTACATATTTCCTAATCACCTCACTGTTGCTGTGGTCATTGTGTCCACCTATAGTAAAGTACTCCACTCAACAAGACCCAACCTCCAACTTGACACCTCCATGAACTTCTGTCTCCTTGGGAATCAGATAATCATGTTTATTAGAATGCTGCCTAAAGTCAAAGCCATATGGCTCTGTGTGAAGCCCACTGGGCTCCTGGAAATGGAATGCAGGCTGCTGGGTTGGGGGGCATCAGTACCTCTTGCTCTGGAGGCTCAGATGTTGTTCCTGCTCACTTTCTAGTTCTTAATTGGGTCCCAGATTGATAAGGGCTGAGGCACCAGTGCTGCAAGCTGGAGTGACATTCTTGTCTTTAACACCTTGTAGTTCCTCTTCAGACCCGTAGAAAGGATGCTGATTAGAATCTGTCATTTATCACACAAGTTAGAGGACATGCATGTAGAATATAAGTAACAATTAGAAATTCTGAATCCCTACAATAAAATAGATACATTACTAATCAAGCCAAGAAGACTCAAGCAATATGTTAATTTTAAGACATATATTTGTATCATTAAAAAATTACTGGCCTCATATCTATGAGACAAAAACTGGTTTATCTTAAATATTCATCTCTACCAGAAAAATGGATGAAGCTATTAAAAGATGAGCCCTCTCTAATTTGGGCACTTTTTTTGGCCACATTACAGTATAATTATCACACATGACAGATATTAACATATTTTTACTAATTAAAAAATGTTTGTTCTCTATATTTTCAGCAGTATTTGTTAATTTTAATCAAATAGAGTATTTTTGCTATACAATGGTGTGGTGGGTTGAATAATGGCTACGCTTCCCCTAAAGTCCATGTCCTAATCCCTAGAAACTGTGAATGTTACCTTACATTGCAAAAGGGACTTTGTGATGTGATTAAGTTCCAGATCTTGACATAGGGAGATTATCCTGGATTATCTGCATGGGCTCAGTGTAATCACAAGGATCCTTATAAGATATTTATAAGAGGCAAGAAGGTTACAGTCAGACAAGAAAAGGCCATGTAATGATGGAAGCAGGAGGAGAAAGGGTGACATGATGTGGAGTCCTGGAGCCATGGAATGAGGACAGCCTTTGGAAGATGGAAAAAGCCAGGGATGGTGTCTTAACTTGTTTTCTGCTGCTACAACAGAATACCATAATCTGGGTAATTTGTAAGTAATAAATGTTTATTCAGATTACAGTTTGCAAGGCTGGGAAGTCCAAAATCAAAGGGCCACATCTGGTGAGAGCCTTGTTGCTGTATCCTCCCATGGCAGAAGAGCAAACAAGGTAGAGAGAGAAAGGAGACCAACTTCTCCTTTTATCAGGAGACCACTCTTGAGATAACATCATTAATCCACTCATGAGGGCAGATCTAATTCATGATCTTATCACCTCTTAAAGGTCCCACCTCTTAATATTGTCACAATAGCAAATAAATTTCAACATGAGTTTTGAAGAGGACATTCAAACCAGAGCAGGTAGATTTTCTTCTAGAGCCTCCAGAAGAAACCAGCCTTGCTAACTTTAGCACTGTGAGATTGATTGTGGATTTCTGTCCTCCAGAACCTTAAGTGTCTTAGTTTGTTTTGTGTTGCTCTAAAGGAATACCTGAGGCTGCATAATTTATAAAGGGAAAGGTTTTATTTGGCTCTTGGTTCTCAGCTGAAAGTTTCAAGTTTGGGCATCTGCATCAGGTGAGGGCCTCAAGCTGCTCATGGCAGAAAGTGAAGGAGAACCCACGTGTGCAGAGATCACCTGGTGAGAAAGGAGGCAAGAGAGTGGGGAAGATGCTTCCAGGCTCTTTTTTTTTTTTGAGACGGAGTCTCACTCTGTCACCAGGCTAGAGTGTAGTAGCATGATCTCAGCTCACTGCAGCCTCCACCTCCCAGATTCAAGTGATTCTCCTGCCTCAGCCTCCCGAGTAGCTGGGAATAGAGGCGTGCACCACCACCCCCAGCTAATTTTTGTATTTTCAGTGCAGACGGGGTTTCACCATGTTGGGCAGGATGGTCTCAATCTCCTGACCTCGTGATCCACCCACCTCGGTGTCCCAAAGTGCTAGGATTACAGGCATGAGCCACCGTGCCCAGACCCAGGCTCTTTTCAACAACCAGCTCTCATGGGAACTACTAGTGTGAGAACTCACTCACCGGTGAGGGAGGGCATTAATCTATTTGTGAGGGATCTGCCCTCATGACCCCAGTATCTCCCGTTAGGCTCTACCTCCAACATTGGGGATCATATTTCAACATAAGGTTTGGAGTGGATGAAGCACAGCAAAGACAATAAATCTGTGTTGTTTTAAACCATGAAGTTCGTGGTGATTTGTTACAGCAGCCATTGTAAACTAATACACATGGGAAATAAGATCTCGTGCTTAAATATAAGCAGACATTAACAAACATGGAAATTATGTAGTCAACTCAGATTTTACCTTCCTTCTTCTGCTTATTCTTCAACAAAACAGTAAGCATGAGCTTTCTTGTCTTTTTCAATTTTTAAATAAATTCTTAATTTAGAATTAATTAAGCTAAAAGAAGGAAATGTTCTGCCTAAGCTCTTAAAATCTCTGTGGATTAAAGCTGGCTTTTCACTTTGGTGGGCTCCCATGTATCATGGCTTCCACTATTTACTGGTAAGAAAGACTTTTTGTAAAACCCTACCAGCAAGCGTACTTTTGAGTGACTCATCCTTAGTTCTAAAATGTGTTGCAGGGTGGTTGTTCTTACTGAGAGACGATTGCTGTGAGCCCACGCCATCCCAGCTCTTCGCTAGATGATTAAGAGTTGATTAAGAGTTGACTCTGCTACTGTGTGTTGAGAATTCTGGCAGGAAATTGAACTAGAAATTTGGAACAAGAGGCCAAGTAATACATTTGCAACGTTTTAAGAAGGTCACAATACTATGTTTTCTCTAATACTAGACAACATATTCTCATTTTATATTTTCTTTATTATAAATTAATATTTCCATGATTAATGTGCCATATCACAAATAATTTAGAATGCAGGAAAAATAAGAGAAATGATCCATGCCCCTTTCTTAACATAACCACTCTCAGCATTAGTATATTTTCTTGCACTCTTTTACTCTCTGTTAACACAATTGTTTTGTTTTAATTCAAATAGCTATCAATGTACCTATGGTTTTGCATCTTTCTTTTTAAACTGAACACTGTGTCATAAACCTAAAATAATGGTAACTCTGAACTTTAAAATATCTTCACTTAAGGATCTGAGTTTATATCATGATTCTTTAGTTGTAAACAACAGAAACCAAGTTTGGTCACCTTAAGCACAAAGGTAATGTATTGAAGAGATATTGAGAAGCTCACATAATAGACAGAAGGATGGAGAACCAGGAGAGGGACAAGAACAGGAACCAGGGCAGCTCTGGGCAGTGAGATAGCAGAAAGCATCCAGGCTTTTTTCCTGGCCACTGTCCTTAGAATGGATGCAGTCTTTTCTGTCCTTAAGGCACTGCAGTCAAGAATCAGATCTTGCAGGAAAGAGTTTGGTTGACCTAGCTTGGGTTCTCTGCCCAATTTCTGGCAAGGTAGGGCAGGACACTGTGCACGTAAAAGGGCCATGAGAAGAGGGAATGGAAGCTAGGTGGCTGCACAAAAAAAATGACCAGGTCACAGGATGGCCTGGAGGAACCCATAACACCCACTGTTCACCAAAGTCAGCTCAATTGATCTCAGAGGCTGGTTGGAATAGGATGACCTTCCCAGGGAGGGAGGACTGCTCTTCAGTCAGAGGAAGATTTTAAATAACTATTTTGATAAACCCAAACGAAGTATTTTGCCTTATTTTGTTTTAGCAAAAGCAGACTGAGCCCCACATTATATTTCTATCAAATTTTTTATAAATATGAAGTCTTCTAACAAATGTGACAGAAAAAGTATGTTTTTTCTTCAGCTGCAGTAGCTGCCTCTGAAAATATAAGAAGCATGGTTGCAGTGTGTCTTATATGTAAGTAGTTCTTAATAAGCATTTTGCTTATTAAACACTATTTGCTCATTAAACACCATTTACATATAAGACATGCTGCAACCATGCTTTCTCTAGTGCATATCTGCTTGAATTAGTAGACCCTGCAGTAACAAGTAGATTTCTCAGACTTCCCAGCTGGCTTTTTGGATGTTCCTTGGCTCTGGGACTCCAGAGTTTTCTCAGGGATGTGTGATTTAGCCATGCTGGGTGGCTTCCAGATGCCTAAGGGCACTGTAAGATGTTGGGGGAAAGGAGTATCCTGCTACCCTGGGGCATTAGGCTGTTGGAAATTAGCTAATGAGTCAAGAGATCAAAGTGGGAAGGATTTAATGCCCTCTTTGGTTAAAAGTTGAAAGACTCTTCACTTTTTGCTTTTTAACTAGTTTATTGATCAGCTGAGCTGCCTCCCAGAGCTGTGATGTGCTGACAACATTTAATAGCCTCATCATCCCCAGCCATTGGAATTGTCTGGAATCCCACTTGGAGTCCTTCCAATCCCAGTAGACATCTCTCCACCATTAAGCATTTTAGCTAATTAAGTCACTTAACTAGAACATCTTTGAGGCTCTTGGGCCAGTTGCCATGGAAGTGCCAAAGAACAAAGGTATCTCTCTCATGAAGAGGAAAAAATTCCTTCCATGGCCCTCATTTAACATGTACATTTTTTAGTACCTTCTGTAGACCAGGTTTGTCAAAAATCTTAGCACACAGTGGTGATAAAGGGCAAGGTTTCTTGTAGCTAACAGTTTGGAAAGGAGACAGACAATTTAACAAATAATTATTATGAAAGGGGAAGAATACCAGTTGGGGTGATGGAGTTCAGGGCACTTCAGGAACACCTCATGGAGACCTAATCTGATCTAAGCTGGAGGAATATACAAGCTAAGACCTGAGTATGAAGGAGGAACATGAACTCTAAGACCTGAGTATGAAGGAGGAACATGAACTCTAAGATCTGAGTATGAAGGAGGAATGTGAACTCTAAGATCTGAGTATGAAGGAGGAACGTGAACACTAAGATCTGAGTAAGAAGGAGGAACATGAACTCTAAGATCTGAGTATGAAGGAGGAACATGAACACTAAGATCTGAGTGTGAAGGAGGAACATGAACTCTAAGATCTGAGTACGAAGGAGGAACATGAACACTAAGATCTGAGTACAAAGGAGGAACATGAACTCTAAGATCTGAGTACGAAGGAGGAACATGAACACTAAGATCTGAGTACGAAGGAGGAACATGAACTCTAAGATCTGAGTACGAAGGAGGAACATGAACTCTAAGATCTGAGTACGAAGGAGGAACGTGAACACTAAGATCTGAGTACGAAGGAGGAACATGAACTCTAAGATCTGAGTATGAAGGAGGAACATGAACTCTAAGATCTGAGTACGAAGGAGGAACATGAACACTAAGATCTGTACAAAGGAGGAACATGAACTCTAAGATCTGAGTACGAAGGAGGAACATGAACACTAAGATCTGTACAAAGGAGGAACATGAACTCTAAGATCTGAGTATGAAGGAGGAACATGAACTCTAAGATCTGAGTATGAAGGAGGAACATGAACTCTAAGATCTGTACAAAGGAGGAACATGAACTCTAAGATCTGAGTAAGATGGAGGAACATGAACTCTAAGATCTGAGTAAGATGGAGGAACATGGAAGCTAAGACCTGAGTATGAGTCACCAGTTGGGAAGACGTGGGAGCAGCGAGATGAAAATAGTTCAGGCAAGAGGTAACAGTACACACAAAATCTTGGAGATAGATAGAAGCCAGCGTATTTAAAAACTGAAAGACATTAGGCATATCCAGGGAGAGATCAGTGGGAAGAAGTCAGCAGGGATCAAATTATTAATGGTTTTTCTTCATAAACCCTTATTAGTCATGTTAATGAATTTGACTTTATTTTAGTGACAATGGGGAGCTACTGGGGGTTTAAGCAGAACAACTGATGTGAAAAGAACACTTCTCTGCTGTTCATAGACCTTTCTCCAATGTAGTTGGAGCCTTTTGGGGGAAGGAATTGCTAGAATATGAAATCCCATCAAGTTTCAAAGCATTTCTGCTGCAGTCAAAGCCAGAAAGCACAGAGCAGCCTTTGGGTATAATAAACCCCCTCCCAAGATATTTAAGCAAGGGACATCCCTGAGATCCCGAGGAATGGGCTCGTTCCCAGCCAACATAGCTTCTCTCTATGCTCCCTCACAGACAGGATCTTGGCCAGTCAACTGCTCTGAACAGAGTGGCAGGGTTAGAACTCATCTCAGTCAAAAACCCCTCATTGCTGATGAACAAGCTGAGGGCCAGAGAGGTGAAAGGCCTTATCTGAGGTCACATGGCCATTCAGGAGAAGAGCAAGGGCTGAGGCCCCAGTCCAACTCCCAGGACACCAGCCACCAATTAGCAGAAATCACAACCTTCATGATCTGCCTAGGGCTGTTTTGTATAAACCTACGTCTTGGAAGACTTTAGATGGACCTGGGTATCTAGGGCCTCTTCCTTGTCTCATATCTCTCACCCCAAAGATGGCTAGACTGATAATTCTAAAGGGCAGGATGTACTTCAGGGTGAGGTCTCTGTGTGCCAAGACAATCTGCAGAGGTGCCTATCTGGACCCTGGCCTGTCCCTTCCCTGTGTGGAGTTGGGGCAGTACAGGAAGAGGCTTGGGGAGGTGCCTGAGCAGAGTCTGAGTGAAGATGCAGGGGTTCCCCCGTTCCAGTGCCTGGTATCTCATGTATCCTGGAGAACTGTTGAAATCCTTTGTAGTTTTCCACTGCTTGGTTCCCAGAACTTTCCACGATGTAGAGGATCCGAAGAGAAAACTAATTTATGATGAAAGTAATCAATGAGAATGTCAAATGAGACGACTGACAAAGATGCAGAGTGTCTGGACAGCTCCCCAGCACAGCATAGGATGACTGATGCTGGCCCTAAAAGTCCAGTGTTCCAAGGCAAAAGTGCAAAGTAAGAAGCTGCAGGGGAAAGAGGGAAGAAAGCCACAGCAAGGGGGAGGGCCCAGCGGATAGCAGAAGAGGTGCCAGATACAGGAGGAACTAACCATGGTGCTGCAACCCTACCAAAGGAAAAGGAACAACAAAGAGCGGATGACCATAAGGAGGGAAGAGATAAAACCAGTTGCTAGAGAATTCCAGCTCTCTAGGGGAGTTTGAAAGCACCATAGGAAATGTATAAATGAATAAGATGGCTATGCACCAATAAAACTTTATTTACAAAAACAATGTGCTCTGTCTACTAAGGCAGGAAAATATTATGCATCTTCCTTCCTTCCTTCCTTCCTTCCTTCCTTCCTTCCTTCCTTCCTTCCTTCCTTCCTTCCTCCTTCCCTCCCTCCCTCCTTCCCTCTCTCTTTCCCTCCCTCTCTCCCTCTGAGATGGAGTCCCACAGTGTTGCCTAGGCTGGAGTGCAGTGGCTACTCACAGGCACAATCAGAGTGCACTGCATTTCCAGACTCCTGGGTTCATGTGATCCTCCTGCCTCAGCCTCCTGAGTAACTGGGACTAGAGGCACATGCCACTGAGCCCAACTTTACATATTTTCTTAGGAGCTATTTGGTTGCTAGAAACTTAGCCGATTTAGCTAGTATAGGTGAAGTCAAGATTTTTTTTTTTAAGGATTCAACAAACAATTATCCTGGTAGACATCCAAAATGGAAACCAAAATTCAGCCACATCCATGATGACCAAGTCCAGAGAATTACAGAGATAAACTGCTCCCTCCATCTCTAATGAAGCCATGTGTATGTGCCAGCCTCCATTCCCCAAATTTTCTCTCTCTCTCAACTGATTCCCCCTTGTGTCCACTATTTTCTAACTGGGCTTTTTAGTGTTCTTATCCAAAATTCTTGGTAGAAAGAATCTAAGTGGCTCAGCATGACCTAGAGCCTGGCTTTGTCAATCAGCTGTGGCTTGTGGGGACCAGTTAATGTGGTAAAACTAAGGATTCCAGAGCAGGAAGCAGGTGTGGGGGATGAGACCACAATGATTAGCATCACTACTGTATCTATTCTGCTGTACAGAAAATTCCAAATACTCTTCCATAATACTGGAAAATTGAGGTAGAGATAAAGCCATTTGGGAAAGCTATTTAATACTACTTAGTCAAACGTCATCATTATTTGACTGAGAAATTCTGGGTCAAATGACCTAGTAATTCTGCTCCTAGGTATATATAGTTCAAAAATACCTGGGAATGTTCATTCTGATACTGTTTGTGGTGTTAGGAAGTTGAAAGCCATCTGGGCTTCTTTACCCGGAGACCAGAATGTGGTAAAAGCACACGGTGAAATTCAACAGTGAGGAGCAAAATTTAGATACTCACGTTGCTACAAACATAGCTTAAAGGCATGGTGCTGAGAGAAAAAGGTAAGGAATTCAATGTGATCTCACACAGCACACAGCCATTAATGTAAATATAAAATATATGCATAGAAAACATACATTCTGCAGAAACACATTCAAATAGAATGATACCCATTAAAAACATATTAGAGATTTCTGACTATGATGGGCTAGTCTGTAATAAACCAGTTCTCCCACACAGAACAGCAATAAAAGCTGAATAAAACATATGTGTGAATGTGATCTTATTTAGGAAAAGGCTCTTTGGATATGTAATTAAGAATCTTGAGTCAAGATCATCCTGGATTATCTTGGTGGGCCCTAAATCTAATGATAGACATCCTTGTAAGAAACAGAAGAGAAGACAGAGAGAAGGCCATGTGAAAAAGGAAACAGGGATTGGAGTTATGAAGCCGTGGGCCAAGGAATGTCTGGAGCCACCCAAAGCTGGAAGGGGAAAGGACGGATTCAGCCGTAGAGCCTTCAGAGAGATCTCAGCCCTATAGAAAACTTGTTTTCAGATTGCTGTCCTCCTGGACTGTGAGAGAATAAGTTTCCGTTGTTTTAAGCCATGCAGTTTGTGGTAATTTGTGATGGAACCCTACGAAACTAATACAGTACTGTCACGATTTCCCAGACACTGCAAAGGCTTTGTTAACTTTTCCACCATACAGTTTTTTCCTGATTCACACATTTCTACTCTTAGACAACAAAATTTAATAATGTTTTATTTTAGTTCTACACATATTTAAAACCCAACAGACTTTATGATTATTGCTTTGTCAATATTTTATACTTTCATTTTAAAAATTACCTGACTTGCTAGATAAGAAATGGCATCTCATTTTAAGTCACATTTCTTTGGCAATACAATCCAAGAGTCATTCATTTTCCTTCAGGAAATAGCTTTTATATTTTTGTCAATTTTCCTGTTGGGTTCATTAACATTTTCTTGATTTGTAAAAATTCTTCATATGTAAGAGAGTAAACCCTTTGTCATACATATTTTATTTATATATTTATTTTAATTTTTTTTAGATGGAGTCTTGCTTTGTTAGCCCAGGCTGGAGTGCAATGGCATGATCTCAGCTCACTGCAACCTCTGCCTCCTGGGTTCAAGGGATTCTCCCTGCCTCAGCCTGCTGAGTAGCTGGGATTACAGGCGTGCACCACCACGCCCAGCTAATTTTTGTATTTTTAGTAAAGACAGGGTTTTGCTGTGTTGGCCAGGCCGGTCTTGAACTCCTGACCTCAGGAGATCCACCCACCTTGGCCTCCCAAAGTGCTGGGATTACAGGTGTGAGCCACTGCACCCAGCCTATTTTAATTTTTTTTAACTTTTTATTTCCATAGGATTTTGGGGAACAGGTGCTGTTTGGTTACATGAGTAAGTTCTTTAGTGGTGATTCATGAGATTTTGGTGCACCCATCTCCAGAGCAGTATATACTGAACCCTATTTGTGGTCTTATATCCCTCACCCCCTTCCCATCCTTTCCCCCATGTCCCCATAGTGTCTTTCTTATGCCTTTGCATCCTCATTGCTTAGCTCCCACTTACAATTGAGAACATATGATGTTTGGTTTCCCATTCCTGAGTTACTTCACTTAGAATACTAGTCTCCAATCCCATCCAGGTTGCTACGAATGCCATTAATTCATTCCTTTTTATGGCTGAGTGATACATCATATATATTTTAAATATTTTCTCTGCTATGTTCTTTGTCTTTTAGTTTTGTTTCTGGCAGGGCTTGTTTTGGCACACATGCTTTAATTTCTTATGTACCTTTGTAACTTTGTCCATTGCTTTTAGAAAGTCTTCCTTACCCCAGAGATTTAAGAGGTAGATACTCACTTGTATTTTCTTCTAATTTTTTAATAAAATAATTTCAAAACTTTTAACTCATTAATCTATCTTAAACGTAAATGGAGGAGGTAGAAAACTCTTTTGACTCATTGCACTAAAAGCTTTACCTAAAGACCTTAGGATGGCCAACAGCATGATTTTGTTGTTGAAGATGATGCTGAATGCACTGAACAAGATATGAAAGAGGTCCTGGACTAAATTACAGAGCTCAGGAGAGTTTGGCTCTGGTGTTAGGGATGATGGCTCAACTTGTCTACCAACTCCCTGAATGCTTAGCCAAAGAGAGTTGTCTACAACAATAGACCTGGAAGCTGCCACCAGACTCTGCCTCCTTGGTAGTATCATTTTGTCTTGTGAAGCTCTGAAAGAAAGAGGAAAGGCAGCCACACTTTGAGCCTTGAGAGAATGATAAGCAGAGCGTGGGGTTCACAATCCCTTCCCCTCATCACATCAAAGGGCAAGAACTCTGGAGCTGTGGGACTATCCCGTCTGAGCTTGTGTCCAGAAGAGAGTGTCAGGCTCTGAAAACAGCTCCATCAGCACCCTGTTTGCCAAAGGTCAGGCTTGTGTCACCACCCCTAATAATGCTCGGAGCTCAGCCTGGGCACCAGGGTTGGTGATGGAGTGCTGGCCCAGCTGTGTTCCTAAGATGTAAGGAAGGGACATGTCTGAGAGCAGAGGGAGGGGCAGAGAGGGGCTATAAAGACAGGCAAGAACACACCTGGGCCTGTGTAGCTGACAGAATGCTGAACACCTTATGTGGTAAGAAGCCCTGGTAAACTGAGTTCCAAATCTGTCTTCCCTATTTACTAGCTGTGCAGTCTCGAATAAGTGTCCCTCTTTCTCTGAGACCTGATATCATGGAAACCCAAGGGAGTTGCAAAAGATGGCTTCTAAGGTCCCTGCCTCCCTGATTCCCTCTGATGCCACAACCAAAACCCCCAGCAAACACAGTTGGCTGCCTGGATAGAGAAGGTGGCCCTATGGCAGGAGGAAGAAGGTCACAAATAGTCACAGGATCCTGGAGTTAAGTGCAATCTGCAAGCCCCAGGCAGACTGGATTTCACAAGCACTTTGCATGGCATGGAAATTCTGCTGGTTTAGTACCAACCCATTCAGTGACACCTGTCACATAGTAATTAAATGCCTCAGCCACAAAAATTGATGTTATCAGCTGTCAGACATTTCAGTAATAAAGTGGATGGTCATCCACAATAGTGGAAATATGATTTATCAAAATGTTCTCAAATTATTATTTAGTTGTCTTTACCTTCTGCCATAGTTTTCATATTTATCCTGTTTATAATATTTGCAAAATGCAAATTTAACACCCTTCCAGTAAAAGTAACAGTACTGTCTCATGCTCATTTACTGTGTGTTTTCCCTAATAATAGTAATTTTTAAAATCTAGGGGCAATTATTCTTTTGATACAAGGCTTATTTCAATAGTACAGTAACACCCTACTGCAAGGTACTGTAATCTTTGTTGTGTTTGGTTACGCTACAATTTAAGCTGAGACAAAAGGAGGTCTGTGGCACACAGTTCTCTCCTGCATATTCAGACAGCCTGTAATACATAGAGCCTTTTCCTCCCACCCAACGTGCAGCACCTGATAAGTGACTGTACTCAGAATTCTCTTAGTGACTGTAGGCCCTTCTTTCCCTTGCATTCATGTCTGTGTTCAAATATGTTCATCCAGCCACTACTCTGGCTGGAAATGTTGGTCTTGTAGTTTATGAATATGTGCTATGGTTTGAATTTGGTTAATCTCCACCAAAACTCGTGTTGAATCTTGGTCCCCAGTGTGCTAGTTTTGGGAGGTGGTGCCTTTAAAAGGTGATTAGGTCATTAGTATGGATTAATGTCTTTCTCCCAAGACTGGATTAGTTTTTGTGGGAATGGATTAGTTTCTGAGAGAGCAAATTCTTATAAAGTGAGGTTGCCTTTCATGTTTTGTCCTTCCATTTCTCCACCATGTTTTGACACAGCACAGGGCCCTCACCAGAGGCTACCAGATGTAGCTGCTCAACCTTGAACTTCCCAGTCTGAAGAACTGTGAGCTAAATAAATCTCTTTTCTTTATAAATTACCCAGTCTCAGGTATTTTGTTACAGCAACACAAAACGGACTAAGGCAATATCTCTGGAGTTTATCCTAACAAATTCCTTTCTTATACTTTTTTTAGGGAATAATTCAGTTTTGCAGACCATCCTTAAATGCAAACTACTACTGGGTGCGTATTATATCCTCCCAGTGAGTGAGCCCTGGTAGGTCACAGGGACTCCCAGGTACATAATAATGTGTATGTGTTTCTGTGTGTGTGCATGTGAGTCTGCATGTGTCAGTGTGAGTTAAAGGGAGAGAAAGAGACAGACAGAGACAGAGACAGAGAGAATGTATGTATTTGCTGGTTCGTTTTCTTTTTGTTTAGTTTTTCTGTACAAAGAAACTGGTTTGGGGGAAGCCAAGATGATATAATCTGTGTTAATGTTATTCTGCTCAGGTATTCTTGAATATCAACATTCTATTAGAAAATTGAAGACCAATATTTTATAACAAACACATAGATCTCCATTTTGGTCTATTGGAAAAAATGGGCATAATATTAATTTGAATTGCTGTTTTGGAGATAAATCTTAACTATGTGTCAGTAACAGTTATTTCCAAAGCAGCAGCTAAAGATATCAAAATGGCAATTTTCAAGATTTGCAGATTACTGAAAACAGGTAACATATGAGAAATATATTATGAGTGCAATAGAGGGAAACTTGAAAAGCAAAATGCACTTAAGGCTATAAAATCTAGACTATGAAATTCAGCATTCGTAAAGTCTGCTTAATAGTAGTAAAAACGAGAGTAATAATGATAGTAGCTAAGGCACCTGTACCAGGCACTATTCTAACTTAATGTATTAACTTATTTAAACCTTACAACAACCCTGGTATGCTGTAAGGTGCTGTTCTTTCTCTCTCCCCATCTTCCTGTTCTCTATACCCTTAAATGACAAGAGTACTGATCCAGTTTGTCTATCTGGCAAGTGGCTAACTGCTTACTCCCTTCTTCCTGGCTGGAGTGGAAGGGACAAGCACTGCTTCTTGTCGGGAGCCTAGCTAGTTCCCCTGGCTATCCTCCTCTGTGTTGGCTAGGTCCAGTCTAACTAGCCACTGGGTCTCTCTGTCTGTCTGTCTGTCTCTCTCTCTCTCTCTCTGTCTCTGTCTCTCTCTCTCCCCTCCCCAGGTATGGAGGTTTAAGTTTGCTTTGGTTTGTTTTGTAATGATTAGTGGCAAGATCTGAGACCTGAGTTTGAGTACTGAGGGCTTAAACTGGGCAAAGCAAGTCATGCTTTGGACTGAGGTTCATTAGCCCTTCTTGGGTTAAGAGAAAAGAACAGTTTAGATGGCCTAGCCCAGCTTCCAAGAATGCTCTGTGTTTGGGTTATGTGCCAAAGCCACAGCTTACTGTCACAGTGAAGAAGGGTTTATGCTAAACCTTCACAATTCTCCCTTCCTGTGAGACCAGGGGCAAAGTCTGGCTGAGGCTAGAAAATCAGACTCATCTCTGGACCAGCCCTTTCTTTATGTTTACCTCAAGTTTTTCCTTATTTATACTGTATTCAGCTAACTTAACCCAACATCCTTATTACATAAGTTTTATTAAAGAACCATAAACTTCTGTTTAGTCTTAAATAATATTTGAAAATTTGGGTTTGAATCTTGCAAATCTCTTCTCTCTCTGAAGCCTGATGTTCATTTTGGGATGGCAAAGATGATGTATTTTTTCTTCAAGCCATGAATGGTAAAATCTTCTCAGATGCATTCATTTCTGATTCCCCTTTCTTTCTGAGCACTCAGGAAATTACCCTTGTAGTTAGGTGAGGTCATATGACTAGGTCTGAGAGTGGAAGAGTCACTTATGAACTGTAAATGGAACTGTCACTTATGGGCTAAAACATTTAATTGCTTGCATGAGACCCTCCCGTACTCTCTTCCCTGCCCCAGTAATTACGGAGAAGGCCTCAAGTTGAGGGGATAGAGCCGGAAGATGAATGGCTATATTGCTGCATAGAGAAGCGTTACATTGTGAAGTCTCCCAGACACTGCAGGTAACATTGCACAAATGAGAAATCTTTGTTGTGTCAAGCCACTGTGACTTAGGGTTATTTGTTACTGCAGCACACAATTTAGCCTATTCTGACTAATAAATCACACTATATTGGGACTTGGCATTTTATTTTCATGTGGCATTATTTTAAATTATCTGCTATTGTACTATAGGTCTTTTTCTGACCTTCATTTATTACAAGTTTATTGAGTTATAATTGATACAATGAACAGTACATCTTTAAAGTGTGTAATTTGATGACTTTTGACATATCTATGTGCTGGTGAAACCATCATCACAGTTAAGATAAGAAGCATATTCATCACCCCAAATGTTCCTTTTTCTTTCTTTATTTCTTCTAAAATAAAATGGGATGCATGTGTAGAACATGCAGGTTTGTTACGTGAGTATACATGTGCCATGGTGGTTTGCTGCACCTATTGACCCATCTTCTAAGTTCCCTCCTCTCAACCCCCAACAGGCCTTGGTGTGTGCTGTTCTCCTCTCTGTGTGTATGTGTTCTCAATATTCACCTCCCACTTATAAGTGAGAATATGCAGTGTTTGGTTTTCTGTTCCTATGTTAGTTTGCTAAGGATGATGGCTTCCAGCTTCATCCATGTCCCTGCGAAGGACATGATCTCATTCGTTTTTATGGATGCATAGTATTCTATGGTGTATATGTGCCACATTTTCTTTATCCAGCCTATCACTGATGGGCATTTGGGTTGCTTCCAAGTCTTTGCTATTGTAAATAGTGCTGCAATAAACATACATGTGTGTGTATCTTTTTAGTAGATTGATTTATATTCCTTTGGGTATATACCTAGTAATGGGATTCCTGGGCCAAATGGTATTTCTCGTTATAGATCCTTGAGGAATTGCCATACTGTCTTCCACAATGGTTGAACTAATTTACATTCCTAGCAACAGTGTAAAAGCGTTCCTGTTTCTCCACATCCTCACCAGCATCTATTGTTTCTTAACTTTTTGATAATCACCATTCTGACTGGCATGAGATAGTATCTCATTGTGGTTTTGATTTGCATTTTTCTGATGATCAGTGATGTTGAGTTTTATTTCATATGTTTATTGGCTGTGTAAGTGTCTTCTTTTGAGAAGTATCTGTTTGTATCCTTTGCCCACTTTTTGATGGGGTAGTTTTTTTCCTGTGCATATATTTAAGTTCCTTGTAAATTCTGGAAGTTAGACCTTTGTCAGATGGGTAGATTGCAAAAATTTTCTCCCATTCTGTAGGTTTTCTGTTCATTCTGATAATAGTTTCTTTTGCTGTGCAGAAGCTCTTTAGTTTAGTTAGATCCCATTTGTCAATTTTGGTTTCTGTTGTAATTGCTTTTGGCATTTTAGTCATGAAGTCTTTGCCCATACCTATGTCCTGAATGGTATTGCCTAGGTTTTCTTCTAGGGTTTTTATGGTTTTGGGTTTTACATTTAAGTGTTTAATCCATCTTGAGTTAATTTTTGTGTAAGGTGTAAGCAAGGCATCCAGCTTCAGTTTTCTCCATGTGGCTAGCCAGTTTTTCCAGCACCATTTACTGAATAGGTGATCCTTTCCCCATTGCTTGTTTTTGTCAGGTTTGTCGAAGATCAGATGGTTGTAGATTTGTGGTGTAATTTCTGAGGTCTCTGTTCTGCTCCATTGGTCTATATGTCTGTTTTGGTACCAGTACCATGCTGTTTTGGTTACTGTAGCCTTGTAGTATAGTTTGAAGTCAGGTAGCGTGATGCCTCCAGCTTTGTTCTTCTTGCTTAGGATTGTCTTGGCTATACCTGGTCTTCTTTGATTCCATATGATATTTATAATAGCTTTTTCTAATTCTGTGAAGAATGTCAATGGTAGTTTGATGGGAATAGTACTGAATCTGTAAATTACTTTGGGCAGTATGGTTATTTTCATGATATTGATTCTTCCTATCCATGAGAATGGAATATTTTTCCATTTGTTTGTGTCCTCTCTCTTATTTCCTTCAGCAGTGGTTTGTAGTTCTCCTTGAAGAGGTCTTTCACATCCCTTGTTAGCTGTGTTCCTAGGTATTTTATTCTCTTTGTAGAGATTGTAAATGGGAGTTCACTAATGATTTGGCTCTTTGCTTGCCTATTATTGGTGTAAAGGAATGCTTGTGATTTTTGCACATTGATTTTGTATCCTGAGACTTTGCTGAAGTTGCTTATCAGTTCCAGAGGTTTTGGGGCTGAGATGATGGGGTTTTCTAAATATAAAATCATGTCATCTGCAAATAGAGACAATTTGACTTTCTCCCTTCCTATTTGAATATCCTTTATTTCTTTCTCTTGCCTGATTACCCTGGCCAGAACTTCCAATACTATGTTGAATAGGAGTGGTGAAAGAAGGCATCCTTGTCTTGTACAGGTTTTCAAAGGGAATGCTTCCAGCTTTTGCCCATTAAATATGATGTTAGCTGTGGGTTTGTAATAAATAGCTGTGCACATAAACTAGAAAATCTAGAAGAAATGGATAAATTCCTGGACGCATAAAACATACCAAGACTAAACCAGGAAGAAGATGAATCCCTGAATAGACCAATAACAAGCTCTGAAATTGAGGCATTAATTAATACCCTACCAACCAAAAAAAGCCCAGGACCAGACGAATTCACAGCTGAATTCTACTAGAAAAACAAAGAGGAGCTGGTATTATTCCTTCTGAAACTATTCCAAACAAATGAAAAGGAGGGACTCCTCCCTAACTCATTTTATGAAGCCAGCATCATCCTGATACCCAAACCTGGAAGAGACACAACAACAACAAAAAGAAAACTTCAGGCCAATATCCCTGATGAACACTGATGCGAAAATCCTCAGTAAAATACTGGCAAACCGAATTCAGCAGCACATCAAAAAACTTATCCACCATGATCAAGTTGGCTTCATCCTTGGGAGAAAGGCTGGTTCAACATACACAAATCAATAAACATAATCCATCACACAAATGGAACCAAACACAAAAACCACATGATTATCTCAATAGATGCAGAAAAGGCCTTTGATAAAATTCAAAATCCCTTCATGTTAAAAACTCTCAGTAAACTAGTTATTGATGGAACATATCACTCCAAAACTTTCATTGTGTTCCTTTTCAATCCCTTCCTCTCTCTCATTCCTACACCCCCAATCCCAACCGTTGATCTTCTCTGTCACTATACATTTTAAAGGATTTTGTATAAACAGAATACTGCTCTATTTGCTCTTTTTTTTTTTTTTGGTTTGGCTTCTTTCACTCAGCATAATTATTTGAAGACATATCCATGGTGTTGCATGTACCAATAGTTCATTGCTTTTAATTTCAGGGTAGCATTCTATCATATGGATGTACCACCATTTGTATACTCATTCACTGTTGATGGATATTTGAATTGTTTCTAGTTTTTGGCTGTTAAAAATAAAGCTGCTATAAACATTCATGTGCAAGCCTTTATGTAGACATATTCTTTCATTTCTCTTGGGTAAATACTTACTAGTGGGTGGCTGAGTCACATGTTAGGACTTTGTTTAACTTTTTGAGAAACCACCTAAAGATTTTCCAAAGTGTTTGTACCATTTTACTTTTCCACCATCAGTCTATGAGAATTCTAATTGCTCTACATTCTTGCAGTGCTTGTATGGTGTGAACTTCACCTTTTGTTAAATGATTACAGTGTCTCAAGTATGCAGCTTTGTTCCCAATGTCATCAACTCAGGTTCTCGATACTTCTTGTAACAGTCTCTTAACTGGCACTCCTCCTTCAGATGAATCTAGGTTGTCAGGTAGGAACTCTATGAACTTCCTCCCACCTCCCATAAACTTAGATCTATCAGTACCAATTATTCCCACCTTGCCTCCTGTCAGAGTAGGGGAACTGTGTCCCCACCTCCTCCTGTCTATACTCCTCTTTCCTCTGACACTGTGTCCTGGACCCCATCCTCCTCCTGTCAAGCCTGACTCTGTCAGCCATCTTTCCCCTCTCCTATTTTCAGTGTTTCCAGTTATGTGGTGATTTCTCCTCTGTCTAAAAGTGAGAAAGATTATCTTGTGATTTTGTATTTCCATCTAGATACTATCTCTCTCCTTCCATTTAAAGCTAAATTTATTGAAAAACATGAAAATTCCCATTTTCTCCTCAATCCACTCAACCTAGTTTTCATCCTACTCTCCATGGAAGCTGCTCTCACTGAAGCCATCAATGACCACCATGTTCCTAAATTGAACCCTTGCCAATCCCTATTTACTTGATGTCTTGTCAGCCTTTACACACTTAATCACATCCTCTTGGCTTCTCAAGCTCTCCCTGGATGCCACTCCTAGGTCTCCTTTTCCCTTTTCCTTTTCTTCATTCTACTTCCATATGTTACTGGTCCCGGACTATGACCTTGGCCTATTCCCATTTCCTCCCATAGCTTCACTTCCACTGTAAGGTCAATGACTACAGAAATTATGTCTCCATTCCAAGCATCCTTGTGAGCTTCAAAGTATAAAAGATAAAATAATATTGAGCTCCAAAGCCACAGGGCCACTCAATATCTCACAGATCCTGAAATTCAATACATAGAAAGCTTGACTCGTTATTCTCTTACTCAAATCTTCCTCTCCCTCTATGTTTCCATTTCAGTGAATTCACGCAGTTTAACACTCTTGACTTCTAAACTGTTCTTCAGCCCCTACAATCACTCGTTGAGTCTGAGACACTCTACTTCATTGAGATCTCTTGAGTTCATCTCCTCCCCAGCCCTCTGCCCTGCTTAGCTCACGCTGTTATCACCTCTCACTTGCATTACTGCAACCAGCCTCCCAAATGGTATTTGGGTTCCAGTCTTTTCCATCTACATCCATTGTCAATGCAGCTGTTTGTGCTCTGGTTCCTTCTATCTTTCCAGACTCATCTCCTGCCACCTCCTCTCTGGTCTCTACATCTTATTCACTCCAGCCATGCTGAATGGCCTGCATTTCTCTGAGTGGCCTATGCTTTTGTGCTTCATGTTGCCCTCTTCGCCTAGAACACCCCCCACCCCCTTCAATGCCTTCAAAATTTCTTTTGTTCTTCTAGACTCAGCTTGGTGTTGCCTCCTGAGTGGAGACCTGCACAACATTTTCCTGACATTCCTGTTGGATCCTTTTCTATTCAGTGCATACTTTTGTTGTCATACTTTTCATTAGTACTGTTCTCAGAGCTGTTTCTATTGCCTTATATGGCATTTCACTCCAGGCTGGGCAACAGAGTGAGTCTCTGTCTCAAAAACAAAATTAATTAATTAAAATAAAATAATAAAATAAAATAAAATAAAATAAAATAAAGAACTCCTGGTAGGTTTATGCCTAGATCTGAAGAGTAGTCAAGGAGCAACTGTTTATGTGGGTGAGCCACTGTGTAGATAGTGGGTGGATAGGCACAATAACTGAAAAGTGGGCGACAAGACAGGAGGCTGCTATAGTAATTCAGGCAAGAGATGATGAGAGTGGTGTGGATGGTGAGAAGTGGCTGGATTCTGGGTATACATTGAAGGTAAAGACAACAGGCTTTGCTGACACATTGATTGTGAGGTATGAGAGAAATAGAAGGGCAAGTGTGAGTCTAAGGTTTCTGGCCTGAATACCCAGAAAGATGACATTGTTGTTAACTTATACATAAGGGATAAAGATCAGGTTCAAAAGTGAAGATCAGTGGTCCAATTTTAAATGTGTTAAATTTAGGATGCCCATTAGACAACAAAGTGGGTAGGCAGTTAGCTGTTTGAGTGAGTCTTGCCTTTCTCCAAGACTGCATGTTTTCATATATATACTTACTATGTACCCACAAAAAAATTAAAAATAAAAAAATTTAAAGAACTTTTTAAAAGACTATGTTTCTAGCAACTAGCATAGGATCTTGCAGTAGGTAATTCTTAATTAATATTTGATAGGTCAAATGAATATGTGACTTTCTTCTGTGGAAATGTTTCAAGATCTTCTCACAGTTTTATTTTTTCATATTCCCAGGTTGGTTAATATTAAGCCTGCTGACATTACACAGCTTGGCCAACTGTGTAAGTCAGCATTAGTAACAACTTGATTGTTTAGTATCTTCTTAAACTTGGCTCTCCCAGACATTTTTATTAGGACCAGGGCAGATATTGAATATTAATGAGTGCATTGAAGACAGATCCATGGTTTGCGTCTGATTACTCTAGTGTTGAACTTTCTTAATGTGATGATTGCAAGAAATTTTTTCTCCGTGAGTATAAAAGATAAAATAATATTGACTTTTTTGTTCTACTTCTGAAATTATATTGTTTTCCCCATCACACATGAGAAAGTTGACGGCACGAGCTTTTACATTTTAGTTCACTTGAATGCATTCCAGATGATAATAGGACCTGAACCAGTGTCTGGTGATGCTGAAGAGTCCATGATGGTAGTTAATACTTTAGAAAATTTTAATTTGATGAGTGAGCAATAATGCTGATCTTCCCTGATTTGAATTTATAGACAGTGTAAAACTCTACATCTATAAAATGTAGTGTGTTTTATAGTGTTGAAAAGGTCACCGTTCTGTTGCGAGTTGCTGGAGACTAGATTGCTCATATATTTTCTCTTGTGTCTTCTACAGTCAGGCTTTTTTTTTCTCTCTCTCTCCTGAAGCTTTTCTTGTCAAGTTCACCAATGACATACACATGACATCATCTTTAGCCATTTTTTAAAGTTCTCATTTTACTTATTCTCTCAGCTGCATTTGAACTAGTTGACTACTTCTCCCCACACTTTTTTCTTCTTTATTTTTTGGGTCACTGTACTCTTGGTTTCCTCCCACCTCACTGATCACTTTTCTTTCTCCCTTGCTTGATCCTCTATTTCTTCTTGATTTCTAAATGCTGCCATTTCCTTGGGCTCAGTCCTTGGCCCTCTTCTCTTTTCTGTCTATGAGTATCATGAGGTGACCCCTTCTAGATCCATGGCTTTACATACTACCTATATGTTGACAAGTCCTGAATTCATTTGTCCTGCTTAGACCTTGGTCCTGAATTCCAGATATGCACAGCTAACCTCTCTGTGCCTCCATTTCCTTAGCTAAAAAGTGGGGCAACAAGGGTACTGAGCTCACAGTGTTTGTGCTGGATATTCTCTGTTTGCACCAGCAGGTCCACTTCTCACCCTTCTCTATCTGCTCAGTGCCCAGGGAAGCTGATCTGTGTGGCCTGCACCAAAGAGTTGTCTTGCTGTCTGGCTTCTGACAGTTTAGTTAATGGAAGCCTCCATCAAGAGGTGGGACGGAGGGAAGAGAGTAATTTATTCTCCCAGATCTCTCCCTGTCAAGCCATAGGTTGGCAGTTGCTGCCTTCCTCTGTTGAAGGCCATAGCTCCTGCTGGACAGCCGAGACCTAAAGCCCTCTCTCCTGGTTCCAGTAATTGCTCTCTCTTCTTCCCCGTTCTCGCAGCCCTGCTGGTGCTGGCTCTGGGGGTGTTTCACCATTCCTTGTTGATTTCCCTTAACTATGCTCACACTTTTATAAATAGTCTCCTCATTAAACTCTCCTCAGTCACCTGGTTTGAGTGTGCCATTTGTCTCCTGCTGAGACCTAACCAGTTTGGAATTAAATAAAGGTGGTGATTAAATAAGCTAATATTTGTAAAGGGTTTAGAGCAGTGTCTGGCATATAGTAAGTGCTATAGAAGTGTTTGTGAAATAAATAAATGAATAAACTGCACACGTGAGCTCTCTAGGTATTTAAAACTAACTTTTTAAATTTGCCACCCTTCCCGTATTAGTCAGCATTCTTCAGAGAAACAGGACCAATAGGATGTATATGTACATAGATATATCCTACCCATTGGATGTGCGTGTGTGTGTGTGTGTGTGTGTGCGTGCGCACGTGCGCATATGTGCACATGAAGACATTTATTCTAAGGAATTTTTCAATGATTATGGAGGCTGGCAGGTCCAAAATCTGCAAGGTGGGCCAGGAGGCTGACAACCCAGGGAAGTCGACACTGTAGTTCCAGTCTCAAGACCATCTTCCGTAGAACCAGGAAGAGCCAATGTTGCAAGTGGAGTCCAAGGGAAACCCACTGAAGACTTCTTTCTTGCTTGGGGGAGGCCAATATTTTTGTTCTATTCAGGACTTCAAATGATCAAAATGTGTTTGACCAAATATCTGGGCTCCCTATTGTCTGGCCAAGTTGACACATAAAATTAATCGTCACACTTCCCAATGTACACCCCCCCAACCCTCAGTTTTTCCTTGCTCACTAAAGCCCCGCATTCACTCATTGGATGAATTCCGAACTTTTTTCTTTCATGCCCCACCTCCCATTTATCCTTCAACACATTTCTAGAATCTACTACTTCTCACCATCTCCACCACTGTCATTGTGCCTCAAGCCACTGTCATTTCTCATGGGGATTATGTTTATAGACCCCTATCTCCTGCTCTCACTCTGACCCTCCTAGAGACTATTTTCAACAGGATAGCTAGAGTGATTTTTTTAAAAATATAAACCATATCATGTCACTTTCATATCACTCAGGGTCAAAGCCCAAGTCCCTATAGTGGCCTGTGAAGTTTGAGATGATCGTATCCCAGGTCCTTCAAGTTAACTGCATGCCTCTCTTCTCCTTGTTCAGCCTGTCTAGCCACGTTGACCTCCTTGCTGTTCCTTGAACTTGAAGACCATGCTCCCACCTGGAAGCCTTCACACTTGTTGCTTCCTCTGTCTGGAAAGCTGTTCCCTTGCATGCTCATGCATCTCATTCTCCCTTCACTGAGCTTTCCTCCTAGATGTTATCTCCTCAGAGAGATCTTCCCTGGCCACCCTAACTGGAGCACTCCATCTCTCATCCTCCTTTATTTTCTTTGTTAGCATTTATCCTAACATGACATTATATATTTGTTTGTTTGCTTGTAGGCCATCTTCCCCACTAGAAGGTAGCACTATGGAGTTCAGAGACTTCTTGCCTGTTTTTTTTTTTTCACTTCCATATTCCAATCCGTGGAATTGTGTCTAGGAACTCAATAGTAGGATAGTAGGAACTCAATAAATTTGCTTGTGTGTATTTTCCTAAGGCATAAGAGTAGTAACGACTTGTGCTGGTGTGCATATTAATTCACAGAGGGTTCAGAGCATGCCCTCATGTGTTCTCCAATTTATCCTCACATCATCCTATAAGAAGGGAAGGAGGGGAATCATCATGACTCACATCTATCAGTGGAATAAGAATGTTTAGTGCTTAAGGATTTTAGTGCCCTCTTTTGAAGGTGAGAGCACCTCAAGAGAGGATACTGGATATACTTTTGTGTACCTCATGAGGTCGGAGGTATATATCTTGGAATTCTGTCTTGGAAGAATTTATTCATTTTACAAGCCTGTGCATTTTACTACAAGATCTGGCCAGCGACAATGTATTAAGTCAACATGAATTTTAGACATTTAAAATTCTTGCCATACTGGAAAAATTACAAATGAAAGTTGTGGTTTCAGGATTCACAAGTGCACAGGGAATGAGAGGAAGATATGTTTTCGGACATCCTCGGATACTTGTTTTCCAAACCCACTAACCAAGGGAGTAGACTAAATTGCACAGATAACACCAGTAACCCTTTGTTGTCCTGTGAATACTGCCACATGAATATATTACTCCCTTCCTGCACCCTCCCTCCCCAACCACAATGATATAAATTTGGTATTTCAGTGAAAGTTTATGAACAATGTGCAAATGCATATGATTTTTTTACGTTAAGGTTTTCTCAGGAGAATGATGCTACATAATAAACTTGCAATTGCAAGGATACGGAACCAACCTACTTGCCCTTCAACCAAGGATTGGATAAAGAAAAGATGATAGATAGATGATAGATAGATAGATAGATAGATAGATAGATAGATAGATAGATAGATATAGATATAGATATACTATGGAATACTACTCAGCCATAAAAAGGAGTGAAATAATGTCTTTTTCAGCAACCTGGATGAAGCTGGAGGCCATTATTCTAAGTGAAGTAACTCAAGAATGAAAAATCAAATACAATATGATCTCCCTTATAAGTGGGAGCTAAGCTATGAGGACACAAAACCATATAGAGTGATATAATGGACTGTGGGGACTTGCAGTGGGGAGAGGTTGGGAGGGAGGTGAGGGATAAAAGATTACATATCAGGTACAGTGTACACTGCTCAGGTGACAGGTGCACTAAAATCTCAGAATTCACTACTAAAGAACTCATCTATGTAACCAAAAAAGGCACCTGTACCCTCAAAACTACTGAAATTTTAAAAACTTAAAAAAATAAATAAAGTAAGGTGAGTGCTGTGGCATGCCTGTAGTCCCAGCTACTAGGGATGCTAAAGCAGGATTTCTTGGGCCCAGGAGTTCAAGGCTGCACTGAGCTATGATTGTGCCACTGCATTCAGGCCTGGGCGACAGAGTGAGACTCTATCTCGAACAAACGAAAGAGAAAGAAAGAAAGCAAGAGAAAGCAAGCAAGCAAGAAAGAAAGAAAGGAAGAAAGAAAGGAAAGAAAGACACTCATACACTTACAATTCAGCTAATTGTAATTCTATAGTCAGTGACATACCCCAAATTACATTCTTGTAATGGGTTTATTCGTGTACAAAACATGTTGTAATTTGTTGATGCATGTGCAGCAAAATATTCTATCACATACGACAAAAATACACCTTTTACTCCCTTTTCCCTGCCCTTGAAAATGGCAACACTGTTTTGGCAGTTCAGCAGCTAAAAATAAAGTGCTATAATTAAGCAGTATTGGAATGTCTTCGTTTGACAAACGTGATGTACAATTTGAGTATACAACCATATCTTTTTCTTGGTTTTTCACAGAATAGGAAGCTCCACATCCTGAACACCTCCAGAAGATACAAATATTTGTATATATATGTACACATGTATACACTGTATATGTAAAGTGCCAACAAGCCTCTTTGTCCTTGTAAGTTTGTTACATTTCTCTTTAGTCCCTTTTTCTTTCCAAAGTCAGACTCACACCATTGGGATCTCAGAGTTCGTCAGCAGGCACCGAGCTTACCAAAGGCTGGCTTGTTGGGGTGTGGTGTTGGTGAGAGGACACGGGGCGAGCCCTTCAGACCTCGCTGGGAGACCTGGAACGAAAGGGCACTTTGGACTGGAAACAGCCACAGAGCAGGAGCCACAGGGCGCGCTGGATCTCCTGGTTGCGGAAGGCATAGATGATGGGATTGATCATGGAGTTGTAGGTGGCGGGCAGCAGGGTGGCGTAAGTGTAGACCGCCGGGTCCTCATGGCTGCCCACCACGCAATAGATGGCGAAGGGCAGCCAGCTGGCGCCGAAAGTGCCCAGCACCACAGCCAGTGTACCCACACCCTTTCTGGTGGCAGCGAGATGGGGTGGCGCCAGGCAGTGCTGCTGCAGCGCGATCTGGTGCGCGTGGCGCCAGACCACCTGGCAGATGCGCACGTACAGGTGCAGCATGATGCCGAAGACCATGAAGAAGGCGGCGGAGAGCAGAGCCACGTGGCTGCGCGCCAGCGGGCGCACCACGCTGCAGGCGGCGCGCTCTGCCAGGCAGTTCCAGCCCAGCACGGGCAGCAGCCCCAGGCCTAGGGACACGGTCCAAGTGGCGGCAAGCAGGAGGTGCACGCCCAACAGGGTCCGGCGCGAGTAATAGGTGAGCGCGTTATACAGGGACAGGTAGCGGTCCACCGTAATGGCCAGCAGGCTGCTGACAGAGGCGGCGAAGGAGGCCACGAGGAAGCCCACCGTGAGCAGACTCACAGTCTCCGAGGGCACCAAGTACTGGAACACAAAGTGCAAGATGAGGCCACAGCCCGCCAACAGGTCAGCGGTGGCCAGGCTGCCTACCAGCACGAACATGGGCGTGCGCAGCGCCGGAGTGGACGCGATGAGCGCCACCACCAGCGCGTTTTCTCCAGCGATCACTGTCCCCGACACGCACAGGAGCACGTCCCACGGATTCACCGCTGGCAGCAGGAGTCCCGGTGGCCCAGCCGACAGCTGCGAGGACAGCTCCAGAGACCCATTAGCTCCGCCGCCGGCTCCTAGAGCCGCCGCAGCAGGGGGTCCCCATTCGCCCGTGTCCGGCCCCCCTGCTGCTGTGGCCGCCGCCGCCGCTCCTTCGGCCGCCACTACCACCACCTGGGAGTCGTTGAGCGAGGCGGCGCTCGCGTTCATCGCGGCCGGATTTGCACCCTGCATAGGGAGGGAGTGCAGGCGTCAGGTGTACACTTCAGGCTGCCAGGAAACTTCCCCACGCGTAGAGCCTCCTCTCGCATTGCCCCACTTGAGTTGCCCACCCCACCCTGGGACCCCAGAGCAAATCGGGGAATCATGGGTTAAGTGCGAACCCAAAATAAATACCTGTTGAGTGAGTGAGTGAAATGCCCACGCGGACTTCTGAGTTTTTGCAGATATACACCAGGACAACATGCACTCACATGCACAAGGATCAATTCTCCAAGGCTGCCTGTATTTGCACACGCACCCGAGTGCACCAAGCTAGGAGTGTCATCCTGGGAGAGTCCCGCCTGGGTTGTGGCGGCGCGACCAGGACATCCCCATGGGGCTGGGCAGCAGAGACGCTGTCCGCGGTGCTGAAAGCGAAGTTTCTGGCATTGCGAAGCCTGGAGAGTCCTGGAGCCCAGAGACCCCTGCGAAGGGGGTCTGGGAGGAGAGACTAGGGTGTGTGTATGGGGGCAGCAGAGGGTGGGAGTCAAGGTTGGCTCCATTTCTCCTCTTCTGGAAAGACCTGTCCCCTGGATATCTTTCTCCCCTCCTCTCCCCACATCCTCAAAGTTCCCTGGGAACTCGGCCACTCACCTGGGGCGTCAGGACTTCTGGAAGTCGCTGGTCATGGGCGCCGAGGCGGGGCGCCGGGCTGAGCTCCCCGCGCAAACAGAGCAGCTGCCTGCAGGAGGCGGCCGGGCCGGGGAGGAGGCAAGCGCGGGGCGCCTGTCGCTGTGCCGGCTCCGCGAGTGAGAGATACAGTTGGTGGCAGAAAAGGCGGCTGCGAGCGGCGCGCGCTGCAGATTGACAGGCAGGGCGTGGTGACGTCAGGCTCCCGGCTCCCGGTGCGAGCCCAGCACTCACTCTCCTCGCCAGCCCATCCTGTGCCCTCCCCGCCGCACTCCCCCTGCCCCCAACACTATCTGAGGGTCCTAGGAGGGAGGAGAAGCCAGAGCAACCACCTCCAGTCCAGAACTTCCAGGAATGGGATGGGAGAGAGACAAGGAGAGGTAGAAAGGAGTGAAGAAGACCCTGAGACCAGGCGGCGAAGAGGGTGAGCTGGGAGGGGAGGGGTGAAGGATGAGTGACACCTGCCGGGCAGCAAAGCCCAGCGTCAAAGATCACTGAGGGATCAGGTCAAAAAAGAAACCCCGGAGAAGGGGGAGGTTGGGACAGGGGTGTTTGATGGGAAAGTAGCTACCTTTAAAAAAAAATGCCGTTCCCGAAACAGGAATTATCTGGGAAAAGAAATTCACTTTTTAAAAATTTTATTTATTTATTTATTGAGACAGAGTCTCACTCTGTCGCCCAGGCTGGAGTGTAGTCGCCCGATCTCGGCCCACTGCAACCTCTGTCTCCTGGGTTCTAGCGATTCTCCTGCCTCAGCCTCCCCAGTAGCTGGAATTACAGATGTACGCCACCACGCCCAGCTAATTTTTGTAGAGATGGGGTTTCGCCATGTTGGTCAGGCTGGTCTCGAACTCCTGACCTCGTGTGATCCACCCGCCTCGGCCTCCCAAAGTGCTGTTATTACAGGTGTGAGCCACCTCACCAGGCCTGAAATCCAATTTTTAAAAAGGATGTTTGTGGTACATGCTCAGTTGAGTAGAGTCAGGGAAGAAATTCTGAGTTATGGGGAGCAGTTAAAAGATGGATAAGACAGGGACATCTGAGGAAAACAATCTCTTCTTTTGGAGGTTGCCTGTGCAATTCCTCTCTTTCCCATTATCTTTTCTGAACTCTACACAGCAGGTTTCACTGTGACCTTTTCGGCCCATGTTTTCCCGATTTCGGTAGCTGATATCGCCCTTGGAACTTGCGCTTTAATTAAAGACCAGGTCTGCATCTTGCTAGAGAAAAGGAAAACAGCAAAATGTGATTTACTTTCTTGGCTTCAGACTTTGCCCTGTTAATTAGTACCCTATAAAACAAATTACAGGACGAAAATCGTGATAACTCAGCTGCACCAGACTTCAGTAGGCAGGAGTTTTATTTTCAGCCCAGATAAATCATCCTTTTGTTTTAAAGGTGTTTTGTTTTGTCAGTAAGATACGAATATTAGTCTTCTTATTCTCTTTCTTCTCCCAGAATGTGCAGTAGCTGTACCTGGGCAAGAGCTAAAATAGTTGATGCCATCTGAGGTTCTAAAATAGATGATTGCACATTGGCATGATGGCATTGCACAGAGGCCACAGCCATACTTTTCAGGGACCACATGGTCTGGGAAAAGTGAAAATTGGCAACATTTGTTGCTAGTGCTCCCCCTACTTCTCCCTGTGGACCCTTTCCTCCCTTCACTTTGCCTCTAGCTCCAAAGAGGGGAAAAAAGATATTCAGACTGTCCATGGGTTGGAGGATAAGTTTACCCTAGGTTGCTGCCTTTAAACATGACCCCCAAGTCCAGACTATTCCTGCCTCAATGCAGCCAACTTAATTACAAGAACAAGGGACATATGACAGTTCAATTATTTGGTGCAATAGCTGATGTTGGACAGAAAGTGAGTTTACACACAATTTATCCATTTGGAGAGCTTAAAAAAATCCACACACCACTATTTTCTTGAACCCAAAACTTGGCTGAAGTTCTAAATTTCTGAAAAGAGCCGTTTTGTGTTTCGGTACAAGATTGTCATCTAAGAGTCAAGAATGTTATTTCAGAGCTGTCAAGTGAGCCGTCAAACCACTGTAACAGCATGTTAACTGAGGATTTTCCAAATGATCAGATAAAAGCCCAAGGGGAGGAGAATCCTCCTTAATATCTAAGTATGTTCCATTTTCACATGCCACAATGTAGCAGAAAGTATGAGGTTAAAATTGAACCTACCACAGGATCTCTGAATATCCTTAGGCTTCAACATTACCAAGAATGGATTTCTCAGTGATTTCCAGAGGAAGACAACACATGTAGAATCATGTACATAAATGATGGTTGAGGATATGTAGACTGACTTTGAGTGATGCCAATCTGTGGTTACCTCTTTTGGATGCTAGACTAGGTCCTGGGCAGACAGAGCATGTTCTTTCAAACTCCTCCTTATCTCCCCTATATCCACCCATATTTTGGAAGGTAGAAGATGGGAAAGCAAAATATGTCTGTTTCATCAGTTATGGATGGAAATTAGATGGACTTCTTTACTTGCCTTGCCTATAGCTACTATATAAGCACCTGCCCTTCCAATGGTCTCCTAAAGTGTTCAGCCTGTAAACTACATGAAATTTTCCACACATACCCTAGTATATGGGAGGAGATTGACACCTCAACTGAAGCTAGATACGATCAGCCATCCTTTGCTGGGCTAGTGACCAGATCCTTTTCTGTTGAAAATTTGAACTAAGAAACACGTTAACAACGGTGAGTCAGTGTTGGGCTCTGGACATGAAAGACAGTGATAAATTAGAGCTGAACCACTTGTGTGTTGGACCTTGTGTGAAGTGTTTAATCAGAGAAAGCCAACTGCTCTGGAAGAATGAAGCAGATGTGTGAAGAGGAACAGAGATGAAGAAGATCAAATGACCAAGAGGTGAAAGGAGTGACCTCAGTCCCTGAGTGTCTGGTTCCTGGCTCTGGGAGCCCAAATCCCTTGATGCCTTGAAATTACATTTTGGGTCTCTACCACAAACCTTCCTAATCTTGCGCTACCTTGAATGGTTTCTATTCTGTGAATCCTTGATCATTGACTGAAACATACAACCAAATGTATTATTCATCCACCAGCTTGTCTGGTTTTGTTTATGTTTTGGGGTCTTCAGAGTTTGGCTTCTGATTGGTAGTCACAGATTAAATTCATTATTGCCAACCCTTTGACCAACTTATCACAGGCTGAGGTGCCTTGCTTCTTTCTGTTCTAGCACTATTTAAGCATAAACATGAGGACACTTTTCTTGTCTGAGGCTAAGCCCAGGAATCAGAGCCTTTCAACCACAATCTTTCTTTCTCTAGCTTCCTTTGATATCTCATTCCCATCTCAGCCTAAGCCAGCAGTTCTCAATCCTGGCTGCATATTAGAATTACATGGAAGGGTTTTTAAAACTACCCATCTTTGGATCCCTCACCCAGAAATTCTGATTCATTTTGTCTGGAGTGGGTATTTTCTAAAGACCCGAAAGAAAACTCAGGGTTGAGAACACTCATCTAAACAATCCCTTTGTCAGTTTAGTGTGTAGTGAAACTCCTGAAATAGTGGATATCTTTTTGGAATAGTTGCAATAAAGAAATTTCAGTGAGAATCCAGCTCTAAATCATTGTGTAATTTCAGGTTTAACACATTCACTACATC
Organism: Homo sapiens; assembly: GCF_000001405.40. Classification (NCBI taxonomy): domain Eukaryota; kingdom Metazoa; phylum Chordata; class Mammalia; order Primates; family Hominidae; genus Homo; species Homo sapiens. Next base: position 109,974,784 of record NC_000006.12, on the reverse strand, counting down.
TCCTCTGCAGACCTTTAATTTTCCATATACACACAGAACCTCCTTCCTCTCTCAAGATAAAGGCTGGCACATGGTTCTCTCTTGGCCCTGATGAATTCAATAGCCCCATTAGGGAGCACTAAACTCTGGCTCTGGTTCAGGTTGTCCCAACCCTTTATTCTGCTGTAGGTTTCAAGATACCTCAGCATTTGCACCCTTGCTCTGGCTGATCTCACAGCTGCCTCCCAGGTGTGCCCTCTCCTGGCTCAAATCCTTGCAAATCAATTCTGTTTCATAATATCAGGACTGCAGCCAGCCAAGCTGTCCAGAACCTTACAAAACTACGTTGAAAAGACCCACACTGGCAAGAAATTCTGGTCTCTCTGTCTCTTTCTTTCTCTCTCTCTGGGCATCTGCATGCGCATACACACACACACAAACACACACACACACACACACACACACACACGCTCCCTGTTCTTGATTCTTGGGGATAAGCAGTATAGTGTTCAACTGGGAAGTGTAAGTCTATCTGGTGGTATCCAGGTGCTTGTGCTGACATCTCAGGAAGACAGCAAGTGCTTGGTGAGATGTATGAAGCTGTTTATTAAGAAAGATTGTTGCTACAAGAGACAGAAATCACAAAGGGCCACTGAATACACTACATTGTTTGTCCAGATCCATGGTGTTGGATGGAGTGTAATCTTTTGGGGACACATGCTGAGGAAGATGAATTCTATTAAAAATATCTCCTTTCTTTCTGTTTCTGCTTGTCCCCAGGGGTGCCCCTCATCCTCAGGCATCAGTGCTCTATGGTACCTACTTCTTCAGCATGTCCAGACACATCGGGGATGTTCCTACCTCCCTCATGCCAGGTGGGCAGTCCCCACTCCAAAGGGCTTCTATCCTGGAAGCTCAGCATCAATTAATGTTCCCCACAAATTTAGATAAGGAGCAAAGCACCATTATTATCATCACATGTCCACAGGATGCAGAACACTGCAGGAAAGTTGAGATTTGGGGTTTAATTCACTTAATGAACATTATTTTGCATGAGAAATAAATCATAACATTTAAAGGCATATGTATTTTTTTCATAAAGAGTGAAAATAACTTTATTGAGTTTATGAAGGAATGTATACTATTACAACTTAGAGCACCAACTTTACTGATTATGAGAATGTTAATGAGAAAGTTGTTTCTATTAATTAGTGTATTTGAAAATGAACACAGAGGCAGTCTTCCAACCTGCCATGCCCCCCATTTTCTTTTCTCTCTCTCTCTCTCTTTTTGTGTTTTAATCTGTATTTCCCTGATAACATGTAATGTGGAGCATCCTTTCAGATGCATATGTACCATGAGGATATCTCTTTGGTGAGGTGTCTGTTAAGGTCTCTGGCTCCCCCCACCTTTTTTTTTTTTTTTTTTTTTTGAGAAAGAGAGAGTCTTACTGGGTCACCTAGGCTGGAGTCTCTCTCTCTCTCTCTCTCTTTTTCAAAAAAAAAGGTTCGGGGGTATATGTGAAGGTTTGTGACATGTGTAAACTCCTATCACAGGGTTTGTTGTACAAATTATTTTATCACTCTGGTGTTAAGCCCAGGACTCAATAGTTGTCTTTTCTGCTCCTCCCCTTCCTCCCACCCTGCATCCTCAAATAGACCCTACATGTTCAAAGTGCTTTGAAGCTCCTTCCGTACTATTTCATTTTATTCTTCGAGACAATTACATGGAGTTTGAAGTTATGATCTTTGCAGGTGGGATAACTGAGGTTCAGAGAGGTGAAGTTGTCCACAGTTACACAGGGCACTAGCAGGAGACTTGAGCCTTGATCTGGTTCATTTCACCAGCGTCATACTCACTAAGGGCTGCCATTTGCCAGGGACCATGACAGGTCCTGGAGCTGTTGATGGAAAGAACAGGATGGTCCTCTCCCTCACCCTTCCCTGGCATGGCCATCAGGCCCCCAGTAGCAGGTTTGCCTCTCTTTCTGTCCCTGTCTGGGCCAAGAGGGCAAGTGAGGCCTGATGAACCATGCAAAATGGAGCAGCACTATCATCAACTCTGGCCTCCAGGACACTGGGCATGTGGTCAGGGCTTCCCCATGTGGTAGGAAAGGTGCCTCCCCTTGCCACAGTTCTCAGCTCCCCTCAGTTTCCCTGAAGGGCAGGTGAGCAGGGGCTTGGGGTTGAGTAATTCAAAAAAGGTTCCTCTCCATTTCTAGCATAGACTTTTCCCTACCCCACCTTACCCCAATGTTTCTGCTTTGTATGAAAAGAAAGGCCACCCTTAAACTAGATAGCAAAATTAAGCCAGTTAGGGGCTGCCCAGCACCTGTTTAATCAGACAAATCCATTGTGTTCATGAGACTGACAATCTTGTGGGGAAGCAAAAACAAATATGGATCAAAGTGTGCAACAGTGTGTAGGCAGACTCAAAAACTCATAGAGGATTTACTGTGGATAGATGGATCCAAGATAATGGAGGTTGAATTTTATAACTTCAGTATTACTATGAGCAGCATTTGATAGACTGTTTTCTGTTTGCAAGCTGTTTTTTAAATGTATTGCTTTGAACAATTAAAGAGAATTTTGAAAGAAAATCATTTCCCAATATTCCCATCAGCTAAACAAGATTGCTTCACCCCCACCACCACCCCAAGACTGTAGACTTTTTGAGAGGATGGATCAATTCTAATTAATCTTTCCATTACTATTATCTGGCACAAAGTAGGTGCTAAATAAATGTCTCTTGAATGATTATTTCCAAAATTTATCCACATGTATATATATTTCATGTAGATTTATTGCATAGTGTGCAGTGTACTATACATACAGTTTACAATTCAAATTTTCACTTAGTAATAAATGGCATGTTGTTAATAGTTTTCTTTCCTTTTCTTTCTTTTCTTTTCTTTTTTATAGAGATGGGGTCTCGCTATGTTGCCTAGGCTAGACTCAAACTCCTGGCTCAAGTGTTCTTCCTGCCTCAGCCTCCTGAGTAGCTGGGATTACAAGCATGCCCCACCACACCCAGCTCTTTATTGTCAACCTTTTCTATGTTGCATTGTAATTATGTTTTTATACTTTGCCTAGTCATTGATTCAATAAGCATTTATTGAGTGCTAACTATATGCTATACATCGTGCTAGAAAATGACACCAAAATATTGTCTGTATTCAGAGACAAGTAAACAGATTTTATGAGGACGGTATAATGCATGTTATAAAAGATGTGAATATAAGGGTAATGAGGACACTCAGGAGACTTTCACCCAGCCTGGAGGAGTCACAGAAGGCCTCTCAGGGGAGGTGACACCTGAGCTGAATCTTAAAAGATGAGTAACTGTTATCTAGGTAAGGAAGACACGGAAGTGTTCCAGGCTGAGGGAGCTGCATACCCAAAAGCTTGCAGTCAAGGAAGCCTGGCACAGGGCACTGAGACTGTGGGTAGTTAACTCTGGCTGGCCAGGAAGACAAAAGGACAGAAGCACAGATACACCAGGTAGGTGGAGACAATTCATGAAAGGCCTCTTATGGCATAGCGGGAGTTGGATTTTATATGAAGGTAGTGGGGAATCAGTGCCAGATCTCCTTAAGCAGGAATGGTTGATAAAATCAAACTTGGGATCCTCTAACAATTTATGAAGGCCCCACCAACAACTGTATGGAGAATGGATTAGAGAAAGGTAAGAGTGAAGTCAGGCAAACCTGTTAGGAGGCGGTTACAATGATCTACTAAAAAAAAGGATTATGAAAGCTTAACGGAGGGTTGTAACAGAGGGGACTGGAGTAGTTCATGAATCCTTCAGATATTTTGGACTTATATTAGTTAAAGCATGTCTAGTTGCTGTGAAAGATAGTTTCAAAAATCTTGGTGGCATAAAGTACTAGGGGATTGTTTCTCACATGAAATTCAAAGCAGGCCTTTCTGCCAGGCAGGCAGCCTTTCACATGGTCAGTCTGGGGCCCCAGCTCCTTTTATCTTACAGCCCTGGGCTCCTCTATGATCTTGGAGTTTCCCGCATTTACAACGTTAGCATTTCACCATTCTGGTGGTTGGGGCATGAGCTTAGGGAAATCCACTTGGAGTATTTTATGGGACATGCCTGGGGAGAAAAATACAGATAAAGGGAGAAAAGGTATCAAGGGTGTCTCCCAGTTTTCAGATATGGTCAGGAATGGGGTTGGGGAGGAGCTAAATTGTTCATGCAGTTGTGGACATATGGAGTTTGAGGAAGGACAGCCAGGCAAATGCCTCCAGTAGGACATTGAATACAAGAGTTGCTCTGAAACTCAGCAGAGTCTAGACTGAAAAAATAGAGTAGGGTATCATATAATAATAATAAGAAGAAGAAGAATAGCTAGCATGTATTGAATTTGTACCATTTACTAGGTATGCTATGGGGTGGGTTCTGTTATTATCTCCATTTTACAGGAAAGAAAACTGATGCTTAAGAGGTGGAACAACTTTGCCACATGTTTGGAAAGTGAGAAATTCAGAATTTGAATCCCACGTGTCTGACTCCAGTTGAAAAGAGTTGATGAACCTAAGTGAAGGGGATCAGTGACAGTCCCTTCGGGAATACTGTTTTTACAGGATGGGTAGAGGAAGAGGTAATGACAAAGGATGTTGAGAAGAGCAGTGAGAAAGGCAGGACATATGATGGAATCCCAGCCTCAGTGAGGGAGACAAGACTGTGGGAGACAAGAGAGTGGGCCGTGGGAATCAAAGGAAGAGCAGTTTCAGGAGAAGGAGAGTCAAAGTACACCCTGGGAGGCTAAATGAGCTAAGGTCAAGAAGGAAAAACTATTCACTGAACACAGCAACCAGGATGTTGGTGGCCTTGCTGAAAGCACAGGGCAGCCAGGCTGAAGTGAATGGGTGTCAGTGAGGGGTGAGAAAGGTCAGTGCAGGTGCCTCTAACAAGAAGGTGGGCTTAAAGTGGGAGGGAGCAATAGGGCAGTAGCTAGATAGAGATGTAGGTACAAGGGAGAGCTTTCCTTGAAAATGAAAGCAACAAGAAGGGAAAAGAGACAGCCAAGAGGCTGAGGTTGATTTCTGGGAGAGGAGGTAATTGAGGGAGTGAGATGGTGGGGAACAAAGATAGGGAAGGCCTGCAAGACAGGTGGAGAGATTAACCTGAGAAAGTGGGCAGGGGCAGAAGGATGACAAGCACAGATGGGGCCACACATGATTGATAATTAGGGGGCCAGAAAACCAAGGGATTGCCTCCTAATTCGTTGCACAATGTGGGGATGAAGATATCAGACAAATATGAGATGGTAAATGGAAGGATTATTTTGATGGCTGCACAATATTACATTGAGGACACGGGGCAATGTTTAATTCACCATTCCCCTTCTGTTTGACATTTAGATTGCGTGTATTTTTGCTGTTGTAGACAACCCTACAAAGATTACTTTCATGCACATAATTATTTTTATTTTGCATGATTATTGACGTGAAAATTGTCAATCAAAGAGCAGAAACATTTTCACGGCTCTTAAAATGCACTGCCAAATTGCTTTTCAAAATGATGGTAATAATTTACAATGACAATAGCACTCTGTGAACGTAACAGCTTCTCTGCAGCTTTTCCAGCACTGGGTTTTACTATTTTAAAATAATCTTTCAATCTAATAAGCAAAGTGGTACCTCATTAAAAATTTAAATTACATTTATTTGACTAATATTTATTTGACTACCAATAACATTAAATATTTGTCTTTTTTGTAAGACAGTTTCAATTTCCTCTTATTTGAATGATCTATTCTTTACCCCATCTGTTAGGACCTAATGCTGTACTTGTAGAGCTGATGAAGTCCACTGTAGATAGTAATGCTTTGTATGTCCAATTTGAGGGATTTTTTTTTTCATTTTTCCTTTTCTAACTTTAGTTTTGATTGTCCTGGAAATTGCATTTTTATAAAGGTGGTTTTAAAAGATAATGTCCACTGCGGCTTCTAACCTCAGAAAGACACATCCATGGCTTTACAGTGGAGCCTTTCTGTCATTTATTAGAGAAGACAGAGGACCAAGAACTTCTGGGGAGATAAAAGGTTCTGGAAGGGGGCAGGTCCAGAGGCAGGCTGCAGTCTCCACCTGACTGCCCAGAGGCTGACTCTGCGTCCAAGGCCTGTACAATTTATCCAAGAAGGGTGTTAGCACATCAGGACAGTGGAGACTTTGGGCAGCTGGGAGACCATAGCCACCAAGTTCTGGCACAGAATTCCCTAAGAAGGTCAGAGGCTAGAACCTCAGCTGCAAGAAAAGCCAACAGGCTCTGCACAACTGGACAGCCCAGCCCAGCAGGAGCAAGGTGAAGAAGACCAACCCAGAACAAGTGGCATCCAGGCAGGATACAATCTGCTGTGAACTGAGCAGAGAAAAGGCCCTAAACAGAAAAATGGCTACACAGGAAAAGGAAAAGCATGGGGAGAGGAATGTCACAGTGACTTAATCCGTTGCCAAGGGCCAGGCACAATGCAGGGCACTCTGTGTGCATGGTTTGACCCAGCCACGCCCCTATAGGATCATATTTATTATTCCATTTTTGTTATTCTCTCCTATGTATTATTGATCACACAAGAAAACAGAGGCTCAAAGGGGTTAAATAACATTCAGTATTACACAGTTCATTAGAGATAGAGTCCATCTGGTTCTCAAATTCACCCTTCCTTAAGAAAGAAAGGTCTCAGCCCTGGAAAGGAACCCACAGTGTTGCTGGCTTCAGTACAATGAGGAGCTGGGAAAGAGCCCGCAGTGGGGAGCAGTGAGCTGATCGCAGAGGGGGCTGCAAGTTCAGTAGAGAAGGTTAGATGTGGTGCAAGAGGAAGCAGGGACCCACAGGAGAATTCTCAGACGAGTTGATTTGAATTGATGCTTTAGGAAGACAGCGAGGGAGTGGTAAGCAGAAAGAAAGATGTTTTCCTGTGACACATTTGTGGGGACCAAGTCAATAAAGCAGGCCTACTAAATGAGAGCACACAGGAACTGAGATTTCTTAGTTGCCACTAAGATAAGTCACCATTCTGCATGCTTATCTGAAATGTAATCCTCTGAGCTTTGAGAAGGATTCTAAGTCCTAGGAGAAGTTGCTAAGGGAATAAAGCCCTAAGTATCATAAACAGCAGAATTCATAAAATAATTTTCCCAAAATATCATGAGCTCAATTCTTCAGCCAACACTAGCAGCACTTGAAGGTTTGGCTGGAGAAAGGGAGGATACCTGCATCAATTTGTACTCTCTTTCCCCCCTCCACTTTTCCTTCCCAGGGACAGAGAGGTGAGTCTCACCAGGAGTCCATCCTTTACACCTGCATTCTTAGGGGTTTCACCACTCCCCCATGTGTTCCTTGAGCCAGGGACCCTGCCCTCTCATAGGTTCTCAATTCCTCCCAGCTTTTTGCATGATGTGAAATGGTCTCCTTGGATCCCTGAACTGAATGATACATCAAGCAAGTATTAGTAAGTGTCTTGGATAACATGCTTATTTTATTAGGTCGAATCATAGATTTTTCTTTTGAGCTTTTTAAAAAAGGATAGATATTTATACATAGTCATAAAAAGACATTTGCAAAATGCAAACAAAAAAGTGCATATGGTATTGACTCAGTTTTGTAAAAGAAATTATATGTACACACACACACACACGCTACATATTACAATGTTAACAGTGATTCAGTGATTACCTCTGGGTGGAAGCTTTTTTTTTTTTTTTTTTTTTGAGAGCGTGTCTCACTGTCACCCAGGCTGGAGTGCAGTGGCACAATCACAGCTCACTGCAGCCTTAACCTCCCAGGCTCAAGTGATTCTCCTGCTTCATCCTCCTGAGTAGGTGGGACAACAGGCTAATGCCATCACGGCCAGCTAATTTTTGTAGTTTTTGTAGAGATGGGGTTTCACCATGCTGCCCAGGCTCCCAAAGCTATTTTTAATCCTTTAAAAATGTGTTGTAGAAACTAATAGCTATCTTCTTATATCCACTCTCTTTATCCTATAGTAATAGACCCCAAATTTTAACTGGCACATGGTCACTTAGAATAAATACCATATGTCTACACCTCTCTTGCAGCTAGGTGTGCTCACGTAACTAAGTTCTGATCAGTAAGATGTACATGCAAGTGTAGCATGTCACCTTCCAGAAAGTGCTCTTGAAAGAAAGGGGCATGCCCTTCCCCTTCCTGTTTCTGGCTGGCTGGAATGTCAGCATGATGGCTGGAACTGGAACAGCCATCTTAGATCCTGAAGTGGAAGCCATATGCTGAAGGTGTTGGAGAAACAAGAGAGAAGAAGCCTGTGTCCCCAGTGATGATGCAACCACCATGCCAGCCCTGGACATTCTATATATACATGAGAGAGAATTACTTTCCCTCTTCTTTCTTAAGTCACTACTATTTTGAGTTTCCCGCCACTTGACAGCTGCACCAAATCCTAGCTAATACACTTTTATATATTCAAAAGCCACAAAATACAGAGGGATATATTGAGAATTCAAGACCAAGTCCTGTACATGGAATGATTTTTCTGGTTACAGCATTTTTCATTGAAACCACTTGTGCCAAGTTTCACTCATCTCTGCCCTTAAATTGCATCAAATCAGCAGTGAACACCATGTTCGGTTTTTTACAGAAAGAACTCATTGTCCCATCTCTGGTTCACGGACTATCTTGATTTTAATTCAAAGGGCTTCACAACTTTCCTGGGAATAAGATATTGATTGCGGCTCCACTGTGATGATTTTGGGTTCTTTGTTTTAGGCTTCTAGATTACGGGAGACACTGTAGGTCAGCAGGCCCCAAACTTTTTGGCACAAGGGACCAGTGTCGTGGAAGACAATTTTTCCACAGACCAGAGACAGGAGGATAGTCTCAGGATGAAACTGTTCCACCTCAGATTATCAGGCATTAGATTCTTATAAGGAGCGCACAACCTAGATCCCTCGCATACACAGTTCACAATAGGGTTCGCTCCTATGAGAATCTGATGCTGCTGCTGATCAGACAGGAGGCAGAGCTCAGGCAGTAATGCTCGCTTGCCTGCCACTCACCTCCTGCTGTGTGGCCTGGTCCCTAACAGGCCATGGATTAGTACCAGCCCAGGGGTTGGAGACCCCTGCTGTAAGCTGAAGCAAAACCAAAGTCGCGATGGTCAAGGCAGCACTTTTCCTGCCCAAATGAGCTGCTTCTATCAACATATTGAGACTACAGCCTGTGACGGTCAAGAGGGAAGCCAGAGTAGGAGTGTGTGTGGTGCAGCTGTGTGTTGCACATTATTTGTGTGGGTGTGTTATGCTCATGTGTGGTATTGCTGTTTGGAAAATACACATATATTCTTGAGGTGTGGATGTTCATATGTTTTGGGGGCATATGTTTGCCAAACCTGTGTGCTAGGTAGGGTGTGTATGTGGAAATGTGTATTGTGCATTGGGTCACATAGATATGTGGGTGTGTGAATGCATATTATGTAGGTATGTGTTTGCAGTGTCTGTATGTGTGTGTGTGAGTGCGTGCTTGCACATGCAGGTGTGTTATATGACACTGACATGTTATATGATAGTGACAGGAGATACCTGTGGTAATGGGTCCTAAAGAAGTTGCAGTTGATTTAGAAGCCATGCCAGAATTAGTCATATAGGGAAACCTCCACCTCTTCCGCAATTCCTCATACATTTCTAAATCTCAGGTGTCTCCATTCATTCCTAGTAATAATGCAATGTTTACATTACACTTGGTTATCTAGACTGTAGGAGACTATCTGCAATTTAGTTTTAAGTTGGCTTCAATTCAGCTAGTACTTTTGCTCTTTCAAATGATTAGAAGTCATTTAATTATTTTTAGCATTTTAAATTTTATTTTATGGTTTTTTTTTGAGACAGGGTCTTATTCTAGTTGCCCAGGCTGGAGTGCAATGGCATGATCATGGTTCACAGCAGCTCAAACTCTTGGGTTCAAGTGATCCTCCTGTCTCAGCCTCCTGAGTAGCTAGGACTATAGGTGTGTGCCACCATGCCCAGTTAATTTTTTTGTAGAGATGGGGTCTTGCTATGTTGCCCAGGCTGGCATTAAACTCCTAGCCTCAAGCGATCCTCCTGCCTCAGCCTCCCAAAGCACTGAGATTACGTGGGTGTCCCACTGCACCCAGCTTTATTTTTTTAAATGTATTATTTCCAAGAATTTGCTTACAGTTTGAAGGGAAAATTATCCTGAAACATAAGGAATACTTAATAAAATAAGAGAGAGGTAGCAGATAAAGAAAACAAATGTCAATGAAGCATAGTGTTGATATTTTAGCTATTCTCACATTTGGTATGAAAAATATTGTTCAGAACCCCAGGCATCCATAGTATATCCCCACAAGGAATCCAGCATCTTTTGCTTGTCGACTCACTCATTACACTGGCTGTTGCTCCTAAGCAGGTCTAGGTTAACAAGAACCATCTAAAAGGAGGGGAACCCCACTCCTGTGAGAATATTTACATATTCCATCTCTAGGCATGTAGAGATTTCTGACTCCTCAGGACTGTACTGCCCTCCTGAAGCCTCACCAGCACAGAACACGAAGGTGTCGTGGCCTTGGAGGTTCCTGTGGAGGGAATGCCTATTTCTATGCTGTGGCAGAAGGCCAGGCAGCTTCCAGGTGATGCTGGTGAGCATTCACTTGGGGGTGTGCTTGCCACTTTGAGAAGCGGGCCTGGGCATGATGTAGGTGGGGAGGTGAGCCCCAAATTGGAGCCTAGCCTGGGAGGGTTCTTGACTTCACCAGGAAAGAATTTGAGGGTGAGCTGGTGGTGTTAGACAGCAATCTTTGTTAGAATCGGCACTGCTCTTTGCAGAGTAGAGCTAACTCACAGGCAGTGTGCCCAGACTCTGCACTTATGTACTTATACCCACTTTTAATTACATGCAAAATAAGGGGCAGGTTATGCAGAACTCTCTAGAAAAGGGGTGGTAACTTTTGGGTTATTGTTATGGAAAGAGGCTGTAAATTGTCATGGCACTGCTGGGAGTGTCTCATGCCAATGAGTAATGAGGGCAACTAGAGGTTGCTTTAAGCACCATCTGCTGGTTGCACCCAGTTTCATCACTTCACCAGCCTAAGACTGGAAAATCAGTCCTGTGGGTCTCCTACCTCAGGCAGGCCTTGGGAGAGTTTCTAGAGCCTGCTCTCCTGCCTGGCTGGTTTTGGCTACATCTGAGAATGTGCCCAGAATGTAAATATGGCATCATTAGCATGGTTATTATGCACATAGTCCAATGATGAATAGATTATTGCCAATATCTTATTTATTTTAATACTTCATTTTATTTTTGACAGATAACAATGATACATATTTATGGTGTACATAGTGATGTTTCCGTACTTATAATGTATGATGATCAGGTCAGGGTAATTAGCATATCCATCATCTCAAACATTTATCATTTATTTGTGTTGGGAACACTCAATATCCTCCTTCTAGTAATTTGAAACTATATAACATATTATTGTTATCTATAGTTATCCCACAGTGGTATAGAACGCTAGAACTTATTCCTCCCACCTAGCTGTAATTTTGTACCCATATTTTAAACTAAGGTTTAAAGTCACTTGTCCAAGCTTACACATGTAGTAAAAAGGTCCGTGTTGGGATTTGAACCCAGGCAATTTGGTTTCGGAACTCTACCCTTAACTCCTGCTCCTTCCTGAAAACTTGCAACATGGACCACACAGGAGCCAGGTGGAGATGGGGTTCTATTGACCCACAAACTTGATGCCTGTTCTGAAAGGCTTAGCTCATGAGCAAGTGAGGCCAACAGCCCGGCCTCTTGGAGCAACATTGCTATTTTTATTAGGAGTAATCTTGCAAGGTGAAGAAAATTCTCTCTTTCTAAAAAGTGTTTCAAATGTTGACTGGTGGTGTAGAAAGGGAGAAACATGGCCCTCTATGGGGGGTTTCTCTCAGATCTCCCAGGTAATGACAGAATCCATCAGGACGTCCTGTGGGCTCCACTTTCAAAAAAACAACCGGAAACTGGCCACTTGTCACCTCCTGCATGGCTAACCCTTGCCCACCTTCCTTCCATTCTCAATGCTGCATACAGACAGAGCATTGCTGAGGTGGAAGTCAATTCTGTTCCTCCTCTGCTCAAAGACCTCTGAGGCCGCATCCCACCAGGCCCTGCAGTGGCCATGCAGGCTCGCCATGGTCTGGCTTCCCTCTTTCCTCTCTGAACACAGCTGCCACTTTCCTTTCCCTCCCTCCACTCCTGGCACATGGGTCTCCTTGTTCTTCCTCCAACACAGATGTGCACGCTCGCCAGCATGGGGCCTTTGAACTGGCCACTCCCTCCGCCTGGAATGCTGTTCCAGTAGACACCACAATGAACTCCCTCACTTCCTCAGAGTCTTTGCTCAAAGCCACCTTCTTGACAAGGCCCTCTGTGACCACTCTATTGACAATTGCAACTCACCCTGCCCCATGGCTCTCTGCAGTCATCTTCCCCACTCTGCCTCTTCCCCATGCTCCTTATCAGATTTAACATGCTATAAGTTAGTCATTTATTATGTCTCTTGTTCAATGTCTCTCTCACAAACACTAGAACCTAAGCTCTTTGAGGGCAGTGTTCACTGTATTGTTTACTGATGTATCCCAACTGCCTAGAACAGGGCCTGACACATGCCATGTGGCCAGAAAATATTTTCTGAGTCAATGAGGAGAGTGCCTGCAGCCTGCAAACCTGCTCATCTGTGGGTTTGGGGCTCTGGGGAGATTTCAGGAAGCCTGTCAAGGTCCCAATGAGCTATGGTCCAGGGCTGGTGGAGGGAAGGGCCCACAAAGCTTCCTGGGCTCCAGGGGGAAGCCCTGTGTGCTCTGCTGGTTTGGCTGAACCATCGCTGCGTCTGTGCAAAAGCGAGTGGCTTTATTGTGGTCTCACACTGCATCTGGACATTTTTTGAAATAAATGTACTAAGAACAGGAAATTGTTGGCAAATGCCATTTTGACTTACTCATGCAGACTGCCTTAGAGGAGGGAATATACGTCAAGTGTTTAGCATGGTGCTCGGCACACTTGAAGTGTCTGTAAAGGTCAGTTGTGGTTACCATTATCTACCTGTCTATAAAAGGAGGGAATCCTGGCCACTGCCATGAGATTTCCTTCCTGTTTTTCCAAAGCAGCTCCATTTCTGCCTCCTGCCTTTGGGGCAAGGCTTGGGCTCAGACATCAAGTGCTATCTAGGAAGTGACTTAGCTGGAACGTACTGATGTAAACCTGCCAGTCTGTGGAGGGAGACACCAGCCTGCAGCCAGAAAGCAGGACTGCTGAATATCGCCTCTCTCAGAGCTCAGAGGAAGCCTTGGGCAGATTGCCCTCTGGTTCAGGGGCCTTCTAACAGCCTCAGAGACTGAAGGGAAAGTAAGCCAATTTCTTTAGCAGCCATAGATTTTACCACTTTAATATACCCCTCCCTCCAGACCGTCTCTAGGTATCAGACCAAATGGCTAGACAGTCCATCCAACTTGACCTCTTCTTTCTCCTGTCTGCTGCATGCACTGGCCGAAGCCCAGCTCTGAGGTTGCAGGAGTAGCCAAGAGATCCATTTCCACAATATTTCCAGTTGATAGGGGTGTGTTTGTTTGTTTGGCTTAAAATAACACAAATTTGTTATCTTGCAGCTCTTCCACCAAAGTCCCACATGGGTCTCACTGGGCTAAGGTCAAGGTATGGGCAGGGCTGCATTCCTTTCAGAGGCTCTAGTGGAGAATCGATTTCCTTGCCTTTTTCAGCTTCTTGAGTCTGCCTGCATTTCTTGCCTCCTGGGCCCTCTCTCCATCTTCAAGACCAGGAATTTCTCATCCTTCCAACCGTTCTTCTGTGGTCACATCTCCCACTGATGACAGCCAGGAAAGGTTCCCTGCTTTCAAGGAACTGGGTAATTAGATGCCCCTCACCCCGCCCTGGACAATCTAGGATGCTCTCCCTATCTCAGGGAACTTAATCATATCCTCAACATCCCTTTTGTTATGTAAGGTAACATATTTACAAGTTGCAGGGACTGGGACAGGGGTCTCTTTGGGGTCCATTATTCTGCCTATCACAACCATCAAGATAAAATTGTCTTTTGGTCATAAAATCATCTCTGTGTGTATGAAAGACCATCCACCCCAGTTTCACCTCTCGTTATCTCCAAATACTGGAACACATGCTAGCTGTTTTTGTTACACTTTGGTAGGTTTTTCAAAGATGTCATTAAACGATTTTGTCCTCCTATCCTGACCCCTTGAGGATCTTCTGTTAAGGGCAATGTTACGTCTGTCCTTTCTTTAGTGTTGCTGGAGTTCAGGAAGGGCCTTCCTTTTTTTTTTTTTTTTTTTTTTTTTAGAGCTGGAGGCTTGCTCTGTCACCCAGGATGGAGTGCAGTGGTGTGATTTTGGCTCACTTGCAGCCTCTGCCTCCTGGGTTCAAATGATTCTCCTGCCTCAGCCCTGAGTAGCTGGGATTACAGGTGTGCGCTACCATGCCTGGCTTATTTTTGTATTTTTAGTAGAGACAGGGTTTCACCATGTTGGCCAGGCTGGTCTTGAACTCGTGACCTCAAGTGATCCACCCACCTTGGCCTCCCAAAGTGCTGGGATTACAGGTGTGAGCCACCATGCCTGGCCTGTGAAGGGCCTTCGTTAAATGTAGAGGTGAGAGGCTCCAGCCAAGTCTGAGTAGCCAGGGAGGGTTCTATATGAATCAGGAACAGCAAAGGGGTCTGAGGCATGGGGTCTAGTCAGCTCCAGGACTTGTTATCTGGAATCAGTGCCTTGCAGGTGGACCACCTGGTAAAGGCAAGTCTAGGTGGGGAAGAAGCAAATTCTGCCCCCTTTTGTCCACTGCTGGGGTGAAAAGACATGGGGGAAGGGAGGCTGATGAGAGTTGACTGGGAAGGTGAGTAATTTTTGATGGCTTCCTCCTGAGCTAGGTCTGAGAAAAATTGTACAAGGACTGAAGAAGAGAATTTACCCTTCAGGTGCCTAAATGGCACAGAAATATAAAATATTTTATTTGCTACTTTGGGTCAGAGCAGATGCTGGATAAAGGAGTGCAGGATGGTTGATGCTGAAGAGGCAAGAAGGAAGTGTGGGATGGATGACCATCCCTGGACGGGAAGTGGGAGACAGGGCAAGGCATTAATGGAGATTGAGGGGGGCTCTCAGGGAAGAGCGGAATCTACTGAGAAATGGAAAGTTCCGTGAGGAGTCCTGGAAGCCCCATTCCTCTCCTCTTGGAACTTTAGACAAATAAACCTACTAGAATGCTGAGGAGAACTTTTTCCACCTTTCATTTCTGAAGAAGGCCCTGACTTTCTCAAAAAGCAGTTCACTTGTGAGTTGTACAGTAATACACCAGCTCTCTAGGAAACTCCTCCATCAGAAACCTGACAACTGATGCCTGCATTCTATGCACAACATTTCTTGCCCCTTTAACCATAGGACAACCCCTCACTAGGATGCACTTTTAATTTCATCACAACTAGGGCAAGCTGAGGTCTTATTTTGAAGCAACATTTTAGAAAACAAGGAGAGGGACTGTGGCCATGCTCAGAAGGACAGCTGGGAGCCTAATGGCAAGGATGATTCAACTTTCATAACCAGAACACAAGCTCCAAGGGTAGCCTAGGCTGGGACTTTGGAGTAGGCACAAACATCCCTCTATTTCCCAGGATACCAGGAGGGTTTCCTCTCCTCAGCACAGTACAGTCACTCTCACTTACAATCATGGCCCCAGCTCATCAGGAGAAGGTGAATTTGATCATTTAGCAGGAAGCTGGGAAGGGTGTCATGTGTTTTCAAACTTTCCATCAAATATGGAAGCTACTGAGAAACTCAGCTACCCAGAATGACACACTGCCTGAAAGCACTTGATGGCCAAAGCTTTTCTAAACTGTGGGAAGAGAACAGAGAAATTCACATGAGTGTGGCTGTTGTAGGCGGCAGCATCTTACCACCCCCTTATGACTCTCCAAGGTAGAGTTGAAGACATTCTCAAGCTGCAGAAGTTGTGCCATGTGTGGGAGGCTAAAAAACTGGGAGTTAACCTTGACTCTGCCTTCTTGTCTCATCCCATTTTTCTTATCTTGTCTCTTCCCATCTCATTCACTCATTCATCAAATGTTGGGTGCCTCCTGTGTGCCAGGTACTACTCTAATGCTGCAGATATATCTAAAAATAGCAAAAATCCCTCCTTTGATGGGAACGTTGGCTTTCACTGTTGGTGAGATGGTGAGCCTTCAGAAAGTTTTGAAAGAGAAAGGATGGACTTATATTTTAACAAGATCACTCTGGCTTCTGTATTGAGGAGGAAAGACAAGTTAGCAGACTGTTATAATAATCTAGGAAAAAGATGAGGCCTCAAGGGCTTAGACTAAGCTTATAGCAGTCAAGGTGGGGACTCTACATATATATATACATATATTTAATGTTCTGAATTTTACATTTCATTTTAGTACACTTTTCACACTAAGGTCTTATTATTTGTAAATTTTTTAGGATATAACAAACATTGTTTTTTTCAACTTTTATGTTAGATTCAGGGGGTACATGTGCAGATGTGTTATTTGGGTACATTTCATGATGCTGGATTTGGGGTGTGAATGATCCTGTCACCCAGGTAATGGGCATAGTACCCAATAGTTAGTTTTCCAACCCTTCCCCCCTTCCTCCCTCCCTGTTTTAGTAGTTCTCAGTTTTGATTGTTGCCATCTTTATGTCCATGAGTACCTGATGTTTAGTTCTCACTTATAAGCGAGAACATTTGGTATTTGGTTTTCTGTTTCTGCATTGATTTGCTTAGGATAATGGCCTTCAGTTGCATCCCTGTTGCTGCAAAGGACATGATTTTGTTCTTTTTTATGCCTGTGTAGTATTCCATGGTGTGTATGTGCTATATTTTCTTTATCCAATCCACCACTGATGAACACCTAGGATGATTCCATGTCTTTGCTATTGTGAATAATGCTGAACATACAAGTGCATGTGTCTTTTTGGTAGAACAATTTGTTTTCTTTTGGGTATATACCCAGTAATGGTTGTTCTGTTTTAAGTTCTTGAGGAATCTCCAACAGCTTTCCACAGTGGCTGAACTAATTTACATTTCCACCAACAGTGTATAAGCATTCCCTTTTCTCCACAGCCTCACCAGCATCTGTGTTTCTTTGACTTTTTAGTAATAGCCATTCTTACTGGTGTGAGATGGTATCTCATTGTGGTTTTGACTTGCATTTCTCTGATGATTAGTGATGTTGAGCATTTTTTCATATTTACATGTATATTTTGAAGGAAGTGCTAACAGAACTGGATTGGGGTAAGGATGACTCCAAAGCACCTAGAAGGATTTAGTTGCACTAACTGAGATGGAGAAGACTCTGGGAGGAACTGGTTTGCAGGGGAAAATGAGTTCAGTGTTGGACATGGTAAGTTTCACATGCCTATTGGACATACCCAAGTGGCATTGCTGAGGAGTTGGATTTACCAGGCTGGACTTCAGGGAAGAGATCTGAGCTGGAGCTACCAGCTTACAGGTGATATTTAAGGCCACAGGACTAGATGTAATTACTGGGGCAGTGAGGGATAGAGACAGAGAAAAGTAGGGGTGCAGCTTCTGTGCTCTGAGCCTTTCTGTGTTAAAGAACAGAGGGATGAGGAAGAAACAGCAAGGGAGACTGAGAAGAAAGAGCCAGTGAGGTGGGAAGAAAACCAGGAGAGTATGATGTGCTTGAATTCAAGTAAGGGAAATATTTTCAGGGGAAAATGATCAATGGCATCAAATGCTGATGACGGGTCAAGTAATGCAAGGACCGAGAACTGATCTTCAGGAGAAAACAGTTCATTTGAGTCACTGAATGCTGTAGATTCTTTCTCCACGTTATTTTTCAAGTCAAGCCATGCTGCTCACCCCCTTGTTTCAAGCCACTGTCTTTTCTTGCCCTGCAATTGCTGCAGCTCTTAACTAGTTCTACTTCTAGTGGTGCCCTCAGTCTAGACCTGTGCTTTTCATTACAGGAGCCGCTGGTCACACACGGGTGTTGAGCAACTGAAAATGTGGCCAGTCTGAATTAAGATGTGCTGTAAGTACACACTGGATTATGAAAACTTAGCATGAAAAGATAAAAAATTAAAAAGTAGACATGTCTTATGAACAATATTTTATATTAATTTATGTTGAAATGAAAACAGTGGGGAATGAGAGCTAAGTAAAATATATTTTTAAGATTACTCACACATGAGCTTTTTTTCTTTTTACAGTTTTTAATGTGGCTCCTAGAAAATTTGAAATTACATCCTTGACTTGCATTTGTGGCTTGTGTTATATTTCTATTGGATAGTGCTGGGACAGACCGTGTATGACCCTGCACCCAAAGTGATCTTTTAAAAGAACAAAATGACTGTGTCATGCTTCCTACTGCTTTTAAGATAAATCACCTCATCTTGAACGCAAGCCTCTGTGAAAACAGGGTTCTGTGTGTCCAGCCTTTCCTTGGGTCACTCTCTTCCCTGTTGCCTGTGCTCAGGGCACACTGACCACATCCCTTCTCACCCGGGCCTGCTAATGTGCACTCCACTCTGGCTGAAGCCCTCTTCTCTAGCTTCTTTGCCTTGCCAGTGCCTACACATCTGTTGGGTCTCAGCTTAAGTGTCACTTCCTCAGGGCATCCTTCCTTGGTCCTCAAACTAGGTTAGGTGCTCCACTCCTAAGTCCTGAACTTTTCCTTTGTAGTACTTTCTTCCCATCGTTATTTGCCAAATTAATTTTGCTCTTTCTCCACTAAACTGTTTGCTCCTTAAGGTAAGGGTTGGTGCTGTCTTGCTCATTAGAACATCATCTGCATCTGATGCTGCAGACAGAAAACTGAGTCTATGATTTTATATTACTGTGCTGTTCCTTCCTGATATTTCTTCATTTTTTTTTAAGTTGTTACATCAAACCTACTGATGTGGTGTTTTAGAAAGTGTTCTCATTTTTAAGGGGAAGAGAGTTGCTTTCTGTTTTGTTTTGGGTTTGGGGTATTTTTCGCAATTTATTTTTCTTACTCTTTTAAAAACTAAGGTTAAATTTGCATAGAGACAAATGCACATGATATGGTTAGGCTGAGTCCCCAACCAAATTTCATCTTGAATTGTAGCTCCCATCATTCCCACATGTTGTGGGAGGGACCTTGTGGGAGATAATCAAATCATGGGAGCGGTTTCCCCCATACTGTTCTCATGGTAGTGAATAAGTCTCATGAGATCTGATGGTTTTTAAGGGGAAACCCCTTTCACTTGGCTCTCATTCTTTTTTGTCTGCTGCCATGTAAGACATGCCTTTCACCTTCCACCATGATTGTGAGGCCTTCCCAGCCACGTGAAACTGTGAGTCCATTAAGCCTCTTTTTCTTTGTAAATTACCCAGTCTTGGGTATGTCTTAATCAGCAGTGTGAAAACAGACTAATACAGCACAAATATTAAATATATGATTCAGTGACTTTTGGCAAATTAATATATCCATGTAATCAACATTCCAATCAAGACATTGAAGATTCCCATGACTCCAAAGAAAGTGCCCCTTTATAGTCAATCCCTGCCCTCAAATACAACCACTTCCTGATTTCTACCATCATAGATTATTTTTGCCTCTTCATAAGCTTCATATTAAATAGAATCAGACAGTGCATGTTTTGCTCTGTCTGGCTTCTTTCACTCAGCGTCGTGTCATATGGTTCCATCATTTGTTCCTTTTATTGCTGAGTAACTGAATAGATATATTATAATTCGTGTGTCTATTTGCCTCTTTTTTAAAAATAATTTCAACTTTTAGTTTAGACTCAGGGGGTACATGTGCAAGTTTGTTACATGGGTGAATTGTGTGATGCTAAGTTTTGAGGTGTGGATGACACCATCACCCAGGCAGTGAGCACAGTCCCCAATAGGGAGTTTTTTATCTCATGCCCCTTTCTCTCCCCTCTCCTTCTGGTAGTCTTCAGTGTCTTATTCCCATCTTTATGTCCGTGTGTACACAATGCTTAGCCCTCTCTTATAAGTGACACCATGTGGTATTTGGTTTTCTGTTCCTGCATTAATTTGCTTAGAACAATGGCCTCCTCTTTTTGTTATAATGTCCTTATCTTCCTTCTCTCTCTTTTATGATGGATTTTGTGTAATGTTGGCAATATTTATAGATGTCATCAGAGAAATAATCTGAGCCTGGAATTTTCTTTTTGAAAAGGTTTGTAATTGCATATTTAATTTCTTTAATATAGGAGATATTACTAGAACTAATATGTGAATTTAGCAAAGTCACAGAATACAAGATCACTAATTCAAAAATCAATTGTTTTCTTATATTCTGGCAAAAAAAGAAAAATTTAAATACCCTTTAAAATAACATCAAAAACATAACACATTTAGGAAAAAATTTAATGAAAGCCTACAGTTTGAAAACTGCCAAACACTGTTGAAATTAATATTTGCCCTTCTTTGTCCTTTTCTGTCTTCTTTTGCATTTAAAATTGGATTTTTAAAAGTCATTTATTTTATTTCTTCTATTAGTGTTTCAGCTATACCATCTGTATTCATTAGTTGCTTGGTGGTTTTTAAATATGCACCAGTAACTTTTCACGGACTACTTAGAATTAATATTATTTCATTTCACTTATAATGTAAGAAGTTTATAACAGAATATTCAATTTATTCTTTCTGTTCTTTGTGCTATTGTCATATACTTTACTTATACTTACATTATGGAAGCCACAAAAAGTTATTTTTTTCTTTAAATAATCAATTGGCTTTCAAAGAAATTAGCAAATTTAAAACATTTTTTACATTTACCAACATCTTTGCTATTTCTAGGAATCTTCATTGTTTTTTGTAGACCTGAATTTTCATCTGATATCATTTCATTTCCTTTCAGTCTGAAGAACTCCTTGTAACTTTTTTTTTAAAGAGACAGAGTCTTGCTCTGTTGTGCACACTTCAATGCTGTGGCACGATCCTAGCTTGCTGCAGCCTCAGACTCCTGGGCTCAATAATCCTCCTGCCTCAGCCTCCCGAGTAGCTAGGACTGTATACAGGTACATGCCACCATGCCTGGATAATCTTTTTTTTTTTTTTTTTTTTTTTGTAGAGATGGGGTATGTAGCCCAGGCTGGTCTTGAACTTCTTGTCTCAAGAGATCCTCCTGACTTGGTCTTCCTTTTAGCATTTCTTACAGCACAGTTCTGTTGGCACTTAATTCTCTCAGAATTTATTTTTCTGAAAATTTTCTGAGACTTTCTATCTGTTGTCTTTCTGGCCTCCATTGTTTCTAATAATATTACAAGTACCTTTCTTATCATTGTTCGTTTGTATACAATAATGGGTTTTTTTCTGGCTGCTTTTAAGGTTTTCTTTTTATCTTTGGTTTCAAGAGCTTTATTATGACGTGCTTAGATGCATTTTTGTGTGTGTGTTTTAAAATTAATAGGAACTTAAGAAAGAAAAATCACATTTATAGTGCATCTACCTTCTGACAAATACCATAGAATGCACTGATACAGAAATGATCTCTTCTAATCCTTTCTGTGGATTAATAGTACCTCATTGATGAGGAACCAAGGCTCATTGGTTGTGTATCCAGCCATGACAGAGTGACTGATAATGGACCTATCATTTGGCCATAAACAATAATACAATCAGACAAGATACAGGAACCAACCATTTCAGGCATTGGACAAAAGACAATACAAATCCATACTCTACACACCTACTATGTACTCACAAGAATTTTAAAAATAAAATAAAACAAATAAACAAAAAAC
Organism: Homo sapiens; assembly: GCF_000001405.40. Classification (NCBI taxonomy): domain Eukaryota; kingdom Metazoa; phylum Chordata; class Mammalia; order Primates; family Hominidae; genus Homo; species Homo sapiens. Next base: position 109,953,005 of record NC_000006.12, on the reverse strand, counting down.
CAAATCTGGGCTCTTTGAGAGAAAGGAAGACCCAAAGTGAGCTCTGCATTCTACTCCTACCTTATCCCTTCCCTCCCTTCTGCCCTGCTTTCTTACATCTTGGTGCAGATAGGTGGAGGTTAAATGGAAAGCTACAATTTTACTGGTTGTGGGGAGCAGAGATCAGAGTTGGGGGCTTCTGGTGGTAGTGGTGCACTGGGATATGGAGGGTGGATTCTTCTTGGGCCCTGGGCCACTGAGTCCCAGAGAAGCAGGGGGAGACTTCACAGGGCCTGAGAGGCAGATGGTTGGAGGCTGAGAGCTGAATGGGGATACCAAAGATTGCCCAGTGCTAGGAGACACAGGAGTTTTGGCTCAGCCAGAGCAAAGAAAACTTGCTGAGACTCCCAAACATTCCATTGAGATCTGAGAAATGCTACATCTTAAGAGAAAGGACCACATTCAGAGGCAAGGGTTCTGCACTAAAACGAAGTACAAAGCTGAACTAGATATGCCCATTTCCCTTCACCTCGCTCTGCATCCAATCACACTAAAGATAGTCAACACTTACTGCATGCTTACTATGTGCCAGGTAGGCTATTATTATTTAACTTTCATTGATTGAACATATCACCCCAACAACCCTGTGAGGCAAGTAATATTTTTATCTCCATTTCACAGGTGTGGAAACTGAGGTACGGAGAGAGTAAATAACTTGCCCAATACTGTACTGCTAAGCAGTAGTAGAGCTGGAACTCGAACTCATGTGAGCTGACTCCAAAATCTACACCTTCAACTACAACTCTCACTACTTCAGTGTTCTCTGAGTTGTTATTTCTAGGCTGGAAAATCTATAATGTCTGCTTTCCTTCTCCTGATGCACTGTCACCAGAACCTCAGTTCAGACACTCCTCATCCCTGGCTGTATTAGTCCGTTCTTGCATTGCTACAAAGAACCTCCTGAGACTGGGTAATTTACAAAGAAAAGGTTTAATTGGATCACTGTTCCACAGGCTATACAGGCAGCATGACTGAGGAGACCTCAGGAAACTTACAATCATGGTGGAAGGCCCTAAAGGGGAAGCCAGCATGTCCTACATGGCTGGAGCAGGAGGGAGAGAGAGAAAGGGGAGGTGCTGCACATTTTTAAACAAGCAGTACTAGGAGGATGGTGCTAAAACAATAGAAACTGCCCCCATGGCCCAATCACCTCCCACCAGGCCTCTCCTCCAACCCTGGGAATTACAATTCAACATGAGATTTGGGTGGGGGACACATAGCTAAACCATATCACTTGCCTAGACTTTTATAATGATCTTCCTATAGGTTTCTCTGCCTCCATATTTTCTCAGAGGTGTATTTCTAAATTGCACATTCCATCATATAAACTATTTTCTGCTCAAAATCTTTGAATTACAGTACCTAATATTCACTATGATCCACTCCCCCTCACCTTCCTATCCAGAATTTCCCCCAAGCACTTTCTCCCACGTTTCTCTTTCTCTGTTTCCTTCTTCACCACTCCAGTAATACATACCACTTGTGGTTTAACGAACCATGGTATTCATGCCTCTGAGCTTCTGCCCATGTTATTCCCTCTGCCTCAAATACATCCCCTACTTGTCAGCCTGGCAACCTTGCCTCATCTCTGAAGCTGTCTGACTCCTTGCAGGCATATGGGGGCCTTTCTTCCTCCACGAGTCACAAACAGGCATCCACTAGCCCCCAACATAGAGCATGGCAAAGCTGTCTGTCTCTGGACATCTCATCCCTGGGGGTCTTAGTTATTGCCTAGCACCCAGCACAGGCTGGGCACACAGTAGGCACATAACAAATGCTCTTTGAAATTGCAAACCAAAAATAAAATTCTAAGGCCCCCCCAACCATCTGAATAGACCCCTCCTCTTGGTCAAGGGCATTCCAAAGTTAACCTGAAAAGCTAGTTCAGGCCATCATGGGAAGGGGGAGGTTGTATATGCCTCTTTACATGCTCCTCGCTTTTGGAATTCAGGAAAAGCTGACCAGCATTAACGTCAACACAGACCTTAAGTCTGTTAAGAAACATTTACACTCTATTCTCTCTGAGGCCTGCTACCTGGAGGCTTCATCTGCACAATAAACACTTGGTCTCCACAACTTCTTATAACCCAGACATTCCTTTCTATTGATAATAAGTCTTTCAACCAATTGCCAGTCAGAACTTTTTTTTTTTTCTTGAGACGGAGTCTTGCTCTTGTTGCCCAGGCTGGAGTGCAATGGCACGATCTTGGCTCACTGCAACCTCTGCCTCCTGGGTTCAAGCAATTCTCCTGCTTCAGCCGCCTGAGTAGCTGGGATTACAGATGCACGCTACCACACTGGGCTAATTTTTGTATTTTTAGTAGAGATGGGGTTTCACCATGTTGACCAGGCTGATTTTGAACTCCTGACCTCTTGATCCACCCGCCTCTGCCTCCCAAAGTGCTGGGATTACAGGTGTGAGCCACCGCACCTGGCAGAACATTTTAAAATCTACCCATGACCTGGAAGTCCCCCCACCCCCAGCTTTGAGTTGCCCCACCCTTCCAGAGTGAACCAGTGTGCATCCTGAGTGTATTGATTGAGGTATTCTGTGTCCCTAGAATGTATAAAAGCAAGCTGAACCTTGACCACCTTGGGCACATGTTGTCAGGATCTCCTGAGGCTGTGTCATGGTCATGTTCTTAGCCTCGACAAAATGAACTTTCTGAATTGCTTAAGTCCTGTCTCAGACATTTTGGGGTTCACAAAATGTTATACACATCAAATTCCTAACGACAGCTGAGTGACATCATATTTTCTTCTCCTCAGGAAGGCAGAGAAGGGGTGGTACAGGGAGTCCTGAGAAACCCGCAGGCCTCAGGAGAGGAGGCGAGGAAGGTGGGAAATGTCTTTCTCGGGGGCGGCTCTGCTCTGTTAACAGAAGGTCAATATTCTCACAAGAATGAGAGACGTCTCTTTTCCTTGTTTCTAGACGAAGCTGAGATGTGACTTCAGCATTTCGTTGTTCTCTGGTCTGCATCCTTGGCCTAAAAGTTTTTCCCCGGAATTGTCTTTCTTTCAGAAGGCAGAGTTCACAAGACACAACTGATCACAAAGAGCTCGGTAATAGCTCCTTTGCGGGTGGCCCCTCAGCCCTGCGGCGCTGGGACAGTGGGAGTGGCACGGCCTCTTAGACTCTGTGCACCTGCAGTCCTCCTCCTGCCCATGTGCTGTGAATGGGGAAGGAGCATTGTCACTGTAGGTGCAGCTGAGCTGGCCAACCCACCTTCTCACTCCACCTTGCCAGAAAATTGGGTCAGTAGGAGAGTTTTTGTTTTTGTTCTTTAGATACTTTGTTTTTCCCCTCTAAAGCATTTTTCTAAGATTCTGAGAAGGCGACTGTTAGACGAACATGCAGCTATGACTCCTCATCTGATAGGAGAGCTCATCAGCCAGCCAACCCTGGCGACCATGCTGGGGCAGGAGCTCTAGCCAGGATTCCCTCACAGAACAATCGCACTAAGGTTGGACTGTCCTGGGGTGGGTGGCAAGGGCCAAGGTGCCTCGTGCAGGGGGAAGCAGGCCTGTCATCTGGGCCCGCCGAGGCGCTCTGGATCCCTCTGACTGTTCTGCAGGGAGGAAGCTTTTCACCCCCAGCTCGGGTCAGGTACAGCATTACACTGCCTCTCGCCACAGTATTTTTCTTTCACAGCACTCCCAGAGTTTGCAAGATATAGTTGAAGGATTCTTTCACGTAATAATTATGTTTTCTAGTATCTGATGCTTTGACATCTATGCCTTGCAGTTCCTGGAGGGATTGCCCCTCCCAGGGCTAGCCAATTGCTGAAGATTAAGTAAACAACTCACCTGGGAGCAGATCCTTCCTATGCACAGCAACCAAGCCTGAGCACCTAAGCCCCAACCACCTCCTTCCGCAGGCCCTCACACTCCTGGGCCAGTATTCCCCTGCCCTCATCAGTCCAGGGCCAGAGCCCATTGAAATTATTCAAACTTGCCAACGCTAAGCCTTCCCACCCTGCCTCATCTGTTCCTTTCCCGCCTCACCTGTTCCTTCCCTGCCTCACCTGTTCCTTCCCCGCCTCACCTGTTCCTTCCCCAGGAAGCCACAATAAAGACTCTTGCCCATGTTTTCCCCTCCCTCCCTCCCTCCGCCTCCTGTCCTGACCTACCCTGCTGCTTTTCCTCATGGCCCTGCAGAGCATGCCCTGCCTCCTGTTTCTAGGGATGGGTGAGTACAAAAGCTCCTTTCTCATGACAGTCATTTCCAAGTCTGCATGTCTTGCTATACCTGATTAAAAGAAAGCCTGGCTACCTTTACAACATCTTATTAATGATTCTCTTGTTCACTGGATGGTGACCTCCGTGATGAAACAATGTATCTGTTTAATCCAGTCCCTGGCCCAGCACCTGGCTTGTAGCATTTGTTGAATCAATGATTGAATGAATAACTGAATGTTTTCAAGTTCCCTTAGCAATTCAGGGAAGAGGAAGAGTTTTATAAAATTTTTTTCATCTTAATGTATTGTCCATCTTTCAACAGACTGACACTCCAGTCCTTACTGATTGAGACGAGGCCCCTTCTGACCTGCTGTCCAGGAGTGGAGGTGGTTGGCCACATACTCAGCCCAAGCCAGTTTCCCCCTTTGCTGTGGACTATGCTGGACAATATGGCGGGGTACTGGGTAAAGCTTTACTGCAAAAATAAATAAGGAGAGGGAATCACTGCTTCTATGGGGTCTGCAAGACTTTGAGAAGCAGATAGTACTTAAGCTGGTCTTGAAGAAATGAAAGGACTTTAGCAGATTATGGAGCACCTTCCATGTACCAAGCACTGCTGATGTTTTATTTGTGTGACCTCCCTTGGGCTGAACTGCATCTTTGAGATATATTTAATTTCTTTTTTACAGATGAGGAAGTTGAAGCTAACTAAAGTTAAGTAACTTGTCTAAGGTTACACCATTACGTAGCAGAAGCAAAATTTGAATCCAAGAAGACTTTAGACCAAAGCCCATGATCTCTCTATTATGCCAGGCATGCCGTGTGTTCAATGATAATACGATGCCCGCAATTACATGTGCCTGGCATGCACGGAGGTCACACACATCATCTAATCTAATCATCTTCAAAACATAGGGTGATATTCTGACTATCTTCATTATACAAATTCCAAAAAGAGGCAGAGAACAGTTTAATAACTTGTTTAAGTTCATACAACTACTAAGTGACAGAGCTAGGAATTGAATCCAGGCTGGTGTCAGAATCCACATACTTAACCTAATCATTTAGTTTGTTCATATATGCACATGCGTAGGGGTTTGGGAATGGCATGGAGGGCAGGGGGCAGGGAGGAGTGGAGGCTGGATGCTGGCAGTTTTATCAATTTTGGCAAAAAATCTTTTTAGGATAGGATTTATTGGCAAAATTCTGTGTGAGCAGAAACAATAGTAATAATCAGCAATGATAAATATAGCTGAAGATTTGTTTTCTCTGAGGCAAACCAATTAGGGTAAGGACAGTGTGTCTCCCTAACTCTGCACTCCCAAATGGACACAATGTGCCTGGTATTTCTGGGATGGAAGGGGCTATGAACTGGGACCTGAGGTAGGTACTTCGGTGACTCACAATCCTTGACAATGCCACAGAGCCCTGGGCTCCTCTGCCTCACAGCTATGTCTGCTACCAAACTCCACAGCCAACAGCCAGCCATCAGCCTGGCAGTAAGAAAGGGGCTCGAGGCCTATGGCTGCAGGAACCTGTAGCTAGGGGCAGTGCCCTGGCTCAGCAGCCCTGGCCTCCCAGGCCGTAAAGGTGCAGAATGGCCCCCTTCCAGCTACAGCACCTGGTGAGTCATCAGTGCTCCATCACTGCATGTTAAAGGTGAGCCTCTGTAGGAAAGATAGAACTTACATCGCTCTGTGCCATGAGTGCTCTCAGAAACAGGCCCTGGGCCTCCCTAGCTTTCCTACGTCTGCTGTCATCACCAGCAGTACCCACAGGAGCCTGGGGTGCTTGCTAGGCAACAACCCATCTTGGCATCCTCCTCCAATCTGTAGATGTCTTTACTCAGATTCCCTGTCTCTAGGTTCATCCTTCCTGCAGGAGAATTGGCCAGACCGGGGTCAGAGATTGTGTAGGACTCCTGCAGGATGCTTGGGTACTTCATCCAATAAAAGCCTCCCTTAGAACCAATCACTGTCCCTTAGGTGCCTTCACCTTTCAGTATTTCCAGTGTTTTCATTTGCTAACATTGAAAATATGTGTCTTCCAGAGGCAATTCATTATGGAGAGGTTTATTAGCTCATGCATGAGTTATCTGGAAGTATTCCTCTTCTCTCTCCTATGGTTACTTTTATGGCCATTTTCTGCTAGGAACCAGAGGTCTGGGAGTAACAGAAGGGTAACCTATGTTTTATGACTTACTGCTGCTGGTTTTGGAGGCAATGTGTTATTGACTGAGTTAAAAAAAAAAAAAACAAAAAAACTTTCTTTGGTCCGTGGTCAAAGGTGAACAGGTTGCAAAATTAAGAAGTAAAATATTGGCCAGGCGTGGTGGTTTATGCCTGTAATCCCAGTACTTTGGGAGACCAAGGTGAGCAGATCACATGAGGCCAAGAGTTCAAGACCAGCCTGGCCAAAATGGCAAATCCCCGTCTCTACTAAAAATACAAAAATTAGCCGGGCATGGCAGTGCAAGCCTGTAGTCTTAGCTACTTGGGTGGCTGAGGCAAAAGAATTGCTTGAACCTGAATTGCTTGAACCCAGGAGGCGGAGTTTGCAGAGAGCTGAGATCACATCACTGCACTCCAGCATGGATGACAGAGCCAGACTCTGTCTCAAAACAAACAAACAAACAAACAAAAGGAGTAAAATATTAAATAAATTACCACCCTCCCCACCTCCCCACCCCCTATAACCTTCCCTTTCCCACCTGAGTCTTTTTCCTACTTATGAAGACAAAATGTGTGGCCACTCTATCAGGAGGACCTGCAAAGATTGCACAGGCTGCCTTCATTTCTCCTCAATCTGCCATACTCAGTGGGGCTTCTTGACCCTCTGGCTTTAAACCTCATTTGCATTGCTCTGGTGAAACTCACAAGCAACACAAGGCTGAAGAAGGTGGCAACTGGCAAGAAAGTACTGTTCAGACTTTTTAACACCAACAGGGGCATTTCTATCAAATATCCCAGAACCCATGCATGGGTCTTATTGGGCTGGACTCCACCAAACACATGCCCCACAACCCTGTCCCAAGGAACAGCATTCTTTGGTGTGCACCCCTCTCCCTCCCTGTCCATTAAAGCAGCTCTCTCTCCCCCCAATTTATTTGCCTCTATCTATGGAAGAGCCTGTCCTCCCGAAGGAGGGTGGTCTTAGGAGTAAGAATTGAGGGGAAGAGAATCGGTATTTATGGAGACCTGTAACTGGCCAGGCAATGTGCTAGGTGCCTTCTCTACTTTTTTGCATTAAATCCTTAAAATAATCCTATAATGCATAAATCATAGTTTAGAAATAAGGAGGCAAAAACTTAGAGAGATTAAGACATTTCTTTTTATACCATCACACAGCTGGCAAAATCCCCAGCCCACTGGCCCTGTTTCTCAGCCAGTTATTTTCACTAGAGGGAGTCTCCAGAGAAACAGAGGCTTGCTAATCCTCACACCTATCCATGACAATCATCCATGGTGCAAGCATGGAGAGAAAGGGAAATGGAGGGGTGGCAGCCAGGTTTCAAGCCCAGGTGCTAATACTTGCAATTAGCTGGCAAACAAAACAGAACTGACCAGAAAGCCTAGTAGAAGAGCAGAGGTTTAAGAGAAAAGCCAGCAGCAGGTGACAGGTTTCCATTCTCTTCCACCCCCTGGATGTCCTTGGGAGAGTTTGAAAATGCAGCCTTGAGGACCCTGGCTGTGTTTCCTGAACTGGTAGATCTGGAAGTTGAGTGGCGGTTACAGTATTCCTAAGAACATGATCATTTCCTTTTCAAGGAGAGCTTTAGTCTGAAAAGGAAGAATTCACCTGCTACATTCTATGATCCAGCAGAAGTGACTGACTTGAACTGCCAGCCTCTTGTTGCTATAGGAACGATTTCCTACCCATTTTCTGAAATACACGGGCCTGGGTAAATGCTACCATTATTCATGCATGTACTTCCACTGGTGCAATTGGAAAAAGTCCGCCAGGTGGTCACCTATCAAAGACAGAACCTGAAGACCTCTTTCTAATGTGAAAACTATTTAACAATCCCATCTCAAATCACAGGGGTGTTTGTAGATTCTGTCCTGTGGTGCACTCAAACTTTCCTCTCAGCTTGTTTCCCAGGTAAACAATGATTGGTGAAGGAGGTGCTGTGAGATTCAGTTCAAGGAATGCAACCTGGTGGATATGACTCATCCGGGAGCCAGGGGTTCAGTGCAAGCACAAAGGAGCTGAGGATGAGTGGTGTGTGCACATACTCATTCAGGCCACACACACACACGCACACACACGCAGCCCCCACCTTAATTGTTGTTGTGCTCCACTATGTTCCCTTCCTGGAGGTCACATCACATTTGGTCAACAGAAATTCCTCAGGGTGAGCCACCGAGCCTTAGGACTCAGACAAAGTTTGCTGCCTCCCTGCATTGAGACCCATGGTCCGCACACAATGTCTATTTTGCATGCGAGTGCAGGACATTTCCATTTTTTAAAGGTGGAATTCTCTATGTGGAGGCAGCCTCAACATAAGCGGAAAGGGGACTGGATTTAAACTCAGAAGACTTGCCATCCACTGAGCTAGCTCTGGGACCTTGAGCAAGTCGTCTGGTTCAACTGGATGACATTTTTCTCATCCATGAAAATGGATGATCAAGCCTCCTTCACAGGCCGATTGGCTCAGATAAGTAAATTGATTCATGCATTCAATAGTTGCCTAGGGCTGGGGATATTTCAAATGAAGATGGGAAAAGGTCCTGCTCTCATTCTAACATAAGGAAGTGAGAAAAATAATAAATAGGGGTAAATAATGTGAAGATAAATAACAGGGGAGTATGAAAGAGAGGATCTGGCAACTGCTTTAGATTGGGGGGTCCGAGAAGGCATCTCTGATGAAATGGCACCTAAGCTGAGATCTGAATGACAGGAACCAACCAGTCACACATGGGGGAAAAGCAATCAGCAGAAGGAATATGCAGTGCAATGACTGTGTTATGGGAATAAGCTTGGACTGTTTGAGAAAGCAAAAGAAAGGTGACACGGCTGGAGCATTGTTGGGGAGTGGGAGGGGGAGGCAGAGGCCAGCCCTGCAGCACTTTGTAAACCCAGGTAGTAAGCTGAAATTTTATTCTCATATATAGGAAGTCATGATAATGGTTTGAGAAAGGACAGGGCTGCATGGTTTGTTTTTAAAAGATTTCTGTGCTCACTCTAAGGAAAGTGGATTTAGAAACAAGAAAACAAGTTAGGAGGCAATTGTACTAGTCCTGGCAGAAGACAAGGGTGGGTTGGTCTAAGGTGATAGGAGAGAGATGGAGAGAAATGGGCACTTTGGGGCACTGTGTTGTAGATTGTGTCAATGAGTTCTACTCATGGATTGATATGTGGGGAAAAAATAATAGAGGATAGGTCAGATTTTGGGCTTGAGAAGACTGTTGAGTGAGATGAGGAAGCCTAGGGGAGGAGTGGGTTTGGAGGGATCAATAACTCTATTTATGATGAGCTTCTGCTATGTTTTAGATATCCAAGGAGAGACGTTATCTGGGCTGTTGATTACATGGTCTAAAGCTCAGGAGGCAGGTCGGAGCTGGAGATAGAAACAAGGAGTTTGTGAGCATAGAGAAGGTGTTGGAAGCCACGGGACTAGATAAGGTCACCTAAGGAGAGAGGAGAGGTGCAAGGGCTGAGTCCTGGCTCTCTCCAATCTTTAGAGATGATGTTTGAGGACAAGGATCCAGGAAAAGAAACTGAGAAATAGCAGTCACTGCAGTCAGAGGAAAAGCAGAAGAGTGTGGTTTCCCTGAAGTTCTGTCACAAAATTGGTCCACGAAGAGGCCAAGTACAATGAGAAAAATAATGAGCCTGCATTTGGCAGCATGGAGGCAGTCTCACTGGGCAGCCATGTGGAATGTGAAAGTGCTTTGGAAACCGTGAAGTGTTATTGGTGCTTCTCAAAAAGGGACATTTGTGCACATGTACCCAGGGAGAGCTTTTTCAAAATGCTCATGCCTACACCTTAGCCCCTGATCAACTGAATCTGAATCTGAATCTTTAGGGTGCTTAGAAAGTTCTGCTGTAGCCCTAGTTAAGAGCCACTGTGCTATATGGCTATAAGTTACTGTTGCTATCACCTGCATGTCCCACTCCCAAGTATATTCTGAGCTACTTTCAGCCTCTTTGCAGATATCTTATGAACATCTCTGTGGGAGGATGGTTTATGTTCTTCTTACCAGACACATTGATAATATGTATAGAACAATCCTATTCAATGCCCTGACTGTAATGGTTTACACAAAAGGGTTCTTTGCATTGTCTAAATACCCTTGGGGCTCTGGAATTAACAACTGAAGAGTTCAAAGTAAGTGTTGCAGACGGAGGTCTTCTTTGATTTGGTTTATTTATGAAATTTCCCTGCTCAAACATGAGTTCCAGTTGATTTAGATGAGAACATTACTAGGTAATCCAAAATGCCCAGCAGACACATTTCAAGGCACAGCAAACAAGGCATGTTCCAGCCCATGGCAGGCAGGCATAGTGACCCCACAGAAAATTTGCTCATCATCCCACTTCTCTTCCCCCAGCTCTGTGCCTTTCACTTTGTTATTCTTCCATTTTAGGGGCTCTGGATCCATAAGCAGATGTGGACAGGGTGGAATGGTGAAGGGAATATTTTTAAAAATATCTCACCAATGCTTAATTGATTTTATAAAATGTCACTCTAAAAGTAACTCTAATACTTGTCTGACGATTGCTTCTGAGAAGTCTGCTGAATGTTTGGGGAAACAGTTATGAACACATCATTATGGCAATGATCACACAAATAATCAAATAGCCTTCTTCTCACACTCATACACCTGGATATGGCTCAGGAGGACTGTCACGGGAGTCTGCTCTGCCATGATATCTTTATTAATAAGCAAGAAGCAGAGGTAAATATTGTGCTAATTAGATCTACTGTGGATACTCATCTAGAAGGCACAGTTAGCCATGGGAAGCACAGATGCCGCACTAACTCTGAGCATTTTAAATACGTGGAATGAGAACAGCATAATGAGTTTTGATGACAGAGAATGAAAATGTGAGGGGAAAAAGATTCTAGATGTTCAGATTATTGGAAAGATGTTAGGAAGAAGTAAATACCGACTCTTACCATTATGGCTCAGCAAGAACACTGAGATAGCATGGCCCTGCCCACAAATTGGATCTCCAGGGAAGACTGGAATATTAGCTGGAAGTTTAGTTTTTAAAGACAGAAAAGAGAAAGCCAGGGTGGTTTGAGACCAGATTTACTGAAAGGGAGCGGTTAAGATCAGGTCTGCTGGGCCCTGCTGGAAGATGCAGAGACCAGTTGAAGAGGCTTGTTTTAGAGAAAGAAGTTAAGAGGCAACTGAGGAAAAGGTGAATTAAGGTAGGACCTCTTTTCCTCAGGGTCCTGGGGATAAATGGTCAGTGGGAATCTTGCTGTGCAGAGATTTACATTAATATATGGGGATTGTGCCCAAGAGGGAAAGGCAGGTAAGTGTTTACCACCTTGGTAGCATCAACCTCTTTTTACCTTTTCTTCCTTTTTTCCAAGCTCTCATCCCTTTAGCGGTACCCCCCTTCTGTCAGCCCTGGCCCTGGCCCCAAGAATGGCTGTGAAGAAGATTTCCAGGAATCTAAAGAATTAACTAACCTTTTTCTGCTCCTTGCAGCACTTTCTGGGTCCGAAGAGACAACCCACCAACAGGCGGAGGGTTTAGGGAGAGGTGAGGACAGCAACTCTGACACAGACCACTGTGTCCAAACTCTTTGGAGGTGGGCCCCATGAGGAAGACTTGAGCCCTCCCCAGTAAAAGGCCAAATTCGTCCACTCAATTAAATTCTATACACATTTACTGGGCAACTGCTAGTGCCAAGGTATGTGTTAGGATCTTGGGACATAAGGAAGCAGAAAGAACAGATACATCAATAAACCATGTCAACACCGAGAGGTAAGCTCAGGCAATAGCCTGCCCATGCCCCAAGAGTGGCACTGAGGCCACTTATTGTTGCCTCCACTTATTGTTGGGGGCAGAGGGCTGTCAGGGAAGGCCCCATAGCCTTCAGAACAAAGTGGGGTGTACTAGTCTGTTCTCACACTGCTGATAAAGACATAGCCGAGACTGGGTAATTTATAAAAGAAAGAGGTTTAATTGACTCTCAGTTTCACATGGCTGGGGAGGCCTCACAATCATGGCAGAAGGTGAAAGGTATGTCTTACATGATGGCAGGCAAGAGAGAGAACGAGAACCAAGTGAAAGGGGTTTCTCCTTATAAAACCATCAGATCCCATAGACCCATTCACTACCATGAGAACAGCATGGGGGAAACTACCCCCAGGATTCAACCATCTCCACCAAGTCCCTCCCACAACACGTGGGAATCATGGGAGCCACAATTCAAGATGAGACTTGGGTGGCGACACAGCCAAACCATATCATGGGGGGTTGGGTAAAACCAAGTTTCCCAGGAGATGTGCTGGCAGAGAAAGAAAGACTGGGATAGATGGGAAAGGGGAGGAGAGAGGTGTTCTAGAGAGTTGGAGCAGCGCGTGCAAGACACAGGCATGGCATGGCAGGGTATGCTAGGGAGAGCACAAGGTTTTCAGCATGCTTAGAGCACCAGGGGCCCCAACATCAGTAACATCTGGTTCTTTCTTTCCTGACCACACAAGAGACTACACTTCCTACCTCCTTTGAGTAGGGTAGGGCCATAGTGAAGTTCTGGCCAGGGAAATGTGAGTGGAAGTGATGTATGTCACTTCCAGCCAGAGGCAGTGGAAGCCTGTGTGTCTCTAGTCTCTCTCCTCCTCTGTCTGAAAAACAGAGGACCAGATTGAGAGGACTGAGCCACAAGATCAAAGTGGCCTGAATCTCTGAGTCACTCTACCAAGGTTAGGTTCCTGGACCCACAGCAGTCTTTGCATGAACATAAACTTCTGGTATGTTACGTCACAGAGATTTTAAGAGCTGTTTATTCCTGTAGTAGATCCAAGCCTATCCTGACTCACAGGGGAATGTGGGAAATGGTAAGGAGTAGGGCTGGGGAGACTGGCAGGGGCCAGATCTTGGATGAGGAGTACAGGGACATTTTCTCTCCCAGCTTAAGAGTGTAAATATTCTACGCCACAGGGAGATGTAAAACGTATTTTAAACACCAGAGTGACATGATCAGCTTCGGCAACTGTTTGAAAGGGTGTGACAGCCGGCAGAGAGGCCAGGTAGGAGCAGCAGAGTGATGCTAATGGCTTGAATAAGGTCATGGCCGTGAGGATGGGAACATGCTAGTATGCTAAAACTGAAGGCCTTGGAGATTGCTTAGATGGATGAAGAGAGGAGGAATTAATTCAAATGACTCTTTAGTGTTTGGCATCAGTGATCGGATGGTTAGTTTCAGGATTTGGGGTAAGAATGAGTTTCGGTGACAGGTTATTTATTATTTATTTATTTTTCCCTGTAGCTTAGTGTTACATCCGGTAAAAGCCTCAGTCTACAGAGTCTGGCTTCCAGGTCCTTCCTCAATGGTGTTTCCCAGGCACAGCCTGGGCCTGGACCATATCTAGTTATTCCCAATGTATCTTTCATCACCCTCCTGTCCCACTGATGGGAAAACCCGTTGAGACATCAACGGCTGGGCTGTAAAATTAGGATCTCCCCAGCCTTCAAACCACACACTTGAGGCTTCTGGTGAAGTTATATCACTTGGAACAGTCAGTAGTAATGATTCAGACCATGTTATACTCCAAAGCCTTGGAAGGCACCATTCACCAAAAGGAGGTGAGCCAGGTATGACCCTTGGCCCAGAAAAGTCACTCCAAAATTGTCTTGGTGAAAGGACTCTCCTGGACAGTTACCTAGGTCCTAATGAGTATCAAACACCAGGAGCAGTGGCTTCTCCATATATTACTTGGCCCTCTCCACCCCATTTCCATGGGTCTTTGGAATTCTATGGCTGAGTTGATGGGGCCTGGTTGTCACTTGGAACAATCATGTACTAAACGTAAGAGTTTGGATATTGCTACCAATAATAACAATCATGAACACTCATTGAATACTGGCCCAATAGATGGAGGCACTCAGCATCTGGACTCTCTGGTCAGCCTCTGGACTTATAGTTGGGTGGGCACATCCTACCCCTCAGGCTGTCTGTCCAGATTAGTGCAGGGTTCAAATTAGGGGTGGAAGGGAGGTGGGGAGAACTGGCTATTTACTTATTTTTTTATTATTATACTTTAAGTTCTAGGGTACATGTACACAACGTGCAGGTTTGTTACATCTGTATACATGTGCCATGTTGGTGTGCTGCACCCATTAACTCGTCATTTACATTAGGTATTTCTCCTAATGCTATCCCTCCCCCCTCCCCCCACCCCACAACAGGCCCCGGTGTGTGATGTTCCCCATCCTGTGACCAAGTGTTCTCATTGTTCAATTCCCACCTATGAGTGAGAAGCGGTGTTTGGTTTTCTGTCCTTGTGATAGTTTGCTCAGAATGGTGGTTTCCAAGAACTGGCTATTTCTGATTGGGAATGAGAGTGTGGACCAAGAACCTAGTCAGAAACAGGTGTGGAAAGACAGACAAAAAGTAATGGAGAAAAGGTGTAGCTTGATGCTCACATGACTGCCACATGCCTGCCAAGTGCATTCCACCCTCTGCTCACTGAGACGTTGGCTGGATTTGCTTGTCTCCCCTGGGTTTGGCAGCAGGAGCAAGCTACATCTATGGGTAGCTGAGCAGGACAGGGTGGGCAGGGACAAACAGTGATCTCCAGGAGAAAAGTGAACCTGCAGTGCAGGCGACTTGCCCAGCCCAACACCTTTCTAGGGTTCCAGTCCTCTGAAAAGAAATATGTGGGAAGTAGGGAGTATGATGATCATGGGGCTCTTGGAGCTGGCATTCGCATGCTCATGCTCTGTCCCCCTTGCCATCTTTGGACCTCATTGCAGCAGCTGAGGGCATATATTGAAGTCACTACTGCGTATTTTTATATGTCATGTTTGAAAATGGTCACTTAACCTCTCTGAACCTTGTGTTTCTCAATTAAAAATTGCAGATATCAACACCTAATTGCAGATAACAATATAGAATTATTGTCGTGAGGATTAAATAAGATGGTAAAGTTCTAGGGGAAGGTCCCCCTTCCCATCAGCAACATTATTCATGGAAAAGTGGTCTAAAAAATGAAGGATAGGGCCTGAGCACGGCAGCTCACACCTGTAATCCCAGCACCTTGGGAGGCTGAGGGAGGCGGATCACAATGTCAGGAGTTTGAGACCAGCCTGGCCAACATGGTGAAACCCTATCTCTACTAAAAATACAAAAATTAGCTGAGCGTGGTGGTGGGCACCTGTAATCCCAGCTACTCGGGAGGCTGAGGCAGAAGAATCACTTGAACCCAGGAGGTGGGTGTTGCAGTGAGCTGAGATTGTGCCACCGCACTCCAGCCTGGGTGACAGAGCAAGACTCTGTCACAGAAAAAAAAAAAAAAAAAAAAAAAAAGGGATGGGAGCCCCCACCTGGGGCAGTTTTCAATAATGGAAGGAGAACTTGGAAAGCAAATGCAGGAAGCAACTGGTGGCTATAGAGTTGGGTCCTACTAAGGCCTTTATATCTCTAATCTCTTCCAACTACAAATCTCTAGTATCAACTTGGTCAGAATCTGCATCCAGATACACTGACTTGCCTAGGGTTTTCTTTCATTCTTGGTTGCTGTGAATAAGTTCCATCTGTGCGGTGCATTTTCTGCTTAGAAACATCTGCCCAGCAAGCTTAATACAAGATAAGTATTACCTTAGGCTGCAAAACAAGATCTCACTGCAGCTCCTGCAGCCACACAGGCTCTCTGAGCTCACACTGAAGGGAACATTTCGGCTCATGCCCATAGCCTCTGATGATGAGTTTGTAACACTGAATTGGATCATCATTTCAAAGAAGAGAAGTGAAGCAAAAGCCCTAAGCTAGTTGAAAATCTAGCTGATTAGCATAGCGTTTTTTAAAGATTAAGCGCTTCAGAATCTCCCAGATTGCTTATTAAAAGTCAGATGTGGCCAGGTGAGGTGGCTCACGCCTGTAATACCAACACTTTTGGAGGCCAGGAGGGTGGATCACGAGGTCAAGAGTTCAAGACTAGCCTGACCAATATGGTGAAACCCTGTCTCTACTAAAAATACAAAAATTAGCCTGGCGTGGTGGCACGCACCTATAGTCCCAGCTACTCGGGAGGCTGAGGCAGGAGAATCGCTTGAACCCAGGAGGTGGAGGTTGCAGTGAGCCAAGATCATGCCACTGCACTCCAGCCTGGGCGACAGAGCAAGACTCCATCACAAAAAAAAAAAAAAAAATCACATGTGTGGGCCTCCCTCAGCCCTACTGAATCAGAATCTCTGAGCTTGGGAGTTGGTACATTCCCAAACAAATTCCCTAGTGAATCTGATATACAGTAGTGTGAGAACTACTATAAGACCTATAAGGATGGAAGGGAAAAAACATTCACTTAAATAGAGTAAAACCAATTTGGTAGATTGAGTGGGTTAAGGGCCCCACTGTTCACCCCTTCCTGGATCCTTCCATTTGCAGCGATCTTCTCTTACTCCAGGCTCAGCCATGTGACTTGTTTTGGCCAATAGGATAAACTATACACAATCGTATAGTAAATGCTATATGAACAAGGACTTCTAAAGGGCTTGTGCAATTGGACCTCTGTTCCTGCACCTGCCATTTCCATGAGAATGCTACCTGGGCTAGCCTGCTGGAGGATGAAAGATACCTGGCTCGGAGTCAAGTCCCTCAGTAGTCTCAGCTAACAGACAGCCAACCCTACCCTGTGTCAGTGAGCCCAGCCAACATCAGCTGAGCTGCCTAGCTGGCCTACAGATGACTGCAGATGTAGGAACAAGCCCAACTGACATCAGCAGAACCCTGCAGAATTGCTAGTTATATAAGTGTTTATTGTTGTATGCCACTGAAGTTTTGTGGGGTTTTTGTTGTTATTGTTTTTTAAATGTAATTTGTGTTTATTGTATGCCACTGAAGTTTTTTTTGTATTTGTTTCTGTTTTAATGCAGTTTGTGTGTGATATGGTTTGGCTGTGTCCCCACCGAAATCTCATCTTGACTTGTAGTTCCCAACATCCCCATGTGTCGTGGGGGGGACCTGGTAGGAGGTAACTGAATCATGGAGGCAGTTACCCCCATGCTACTGCTCTCATGATAGTGAGTGATTTCTCAGGAGATATGATGGTTTTATAAGGGGCTTTTCCTGCTTCACTCTGCACTTCTCCTTCCTGCCCCCATGTGAAGAAGGACATGTTTGCTTCTCCTTCCACCATGATTATAAGTTTCCTGAGGCCTCCCCAGCCATGCTGAACTGTGAGTCAGTTAAATCTCTTTCCTTTATAAATTACCCAGTCTCTGGTATGTCTTTATTAGCAGCATGAGAATGGACTAATACAGTGTGTACAGCTTTTTTTTTCTAAAAGCAGACCACCGTAGCCATAGATAATTGATACAATGGAAGCAGGAAGTAGAGTTTGGTAAATAAAAACTTTGACTCCTGAGAAAGCCTGTACGAGCTTAACTCCTCATCCCTCTGTGTATAAGTTATGTGGCTATCGGTAAATTATGCAACTTTTCTGTGCTTGGATCCTTATCTGTAAAATGGAGGTGATGATAGTATTAGCCCCATAAAACTGTCTTGAGGATTAAAAAAACTTAATGCATGTAAAGTTCTTAAATAGTGCCTGACACATAGTGCTCAAAAATTACTAGCTATTTTTGCTGCTTTCTAAAGTGTACTCTCACTCTTGGGCAGGAATTCCTATGTCTGTTAGTGAAGCAGTAAGCATTTGTTTCCCACCAACAATGTGCAGGGCCTGGGGGTGCTCACAGAGACACTTGCCCACCAGAAGGTGATCTGACCATTATTTGTTCTTTTATGCTATGATGATTTCTTCAAGGCCCATGTTTTCCTCAGCTCACATTATAGTCTTAAGAGGATGGTCAAAGAGGTGTGTGTTTCTATAAAAATATTATGGAACATCATCTGTGAGTTGTGCCCCTGTGAGTGGAATCCCTGGGACTCCAGCTTTTCCAAGCCATGACTCTGGGAAAATCACTCAACCTTTTAGAACATTTGTTTGCTGCCCTATCAAATGGGGGCAAACCCTAGCTCAGAGGCTGGGGGAGGAGTAAACATGTTAACACTCACAAACAGCTCTGCACGGTGTGGGCCCTGCAGCAGGTGCTCAGTACACATTAGTGCCCTCTTCCTGCACCCCCAGCCCCTCCCGGCAGCACCGGGTGCCTCCTGCATCCACTGTGCACAAGTCCTCCTCCGTGTCAGGCCTGGTGGGGCCCTGACCTGGCAGCTTCCCCAGCGCTGCTCCCATCTCTCTGGATGGGTTAGGAGGGGTCTTCGAGATTGTCACTGGATTGCGTGTGTTCTCCAGCTCCACTGATGAAGGCCACTCCTCTCAGCCCATGAATGGGAACCGGCTCCCTTGTGTCAGCACTGCTGAGGGCTGCATCCCTGAGCTACCATAGCTGTGGCAGGGCCAAGGTCTTCCCTCCCTCCCCATCCTTTCCAAACCAGTCACTTCACGGTTCCAGACAGGGCTTTCAGTTTCATGTAGCATCCCCTGAGGAGCACACCAGGTTCATGCAGTTTCTCCCTCACCATGCTGGAGAATTTAGGACACTTTCGCTTGAGGCAGGGTCACAGGTCAATGCAGAACAACACATGGGGGCCCCTCAGAAACCTCCCTCCCCTCCGGCAGCACTCCATGAGGGATTTGGCGCCTCGGTGCAAAACTCCCATAGCTACGTCCCCAGCTCAGGGGAGTCAGCGTCCAGGAGGCTGGGAGGGGCCTCTCACCTCTCCTCCTCCCATGGCAGCTACTGCTTTTGCAGCTTTCTGCCCACCTTCTCCAATCCCTTCTCCTGGCTGAGCAGGGGCTGAATAGGGGCCCTTAGGCTGAGCCAGATCCTAGGCCAGCTGAGAGGGGTAGAGGTGGCCTGAGAGGCTACTGTCTGCAGTCTAAAGTGGACTTGGCTGAGGGGGACAAATAGAAGAGGAAGTATTTGAGGAAGAAGTCAAGTCAAAAAGTTGGCTTCACAGAAAGAAAGAAATGGGAATCAGCCTGAGCAGTCCATGCACTCCCTGAGCCTCTGCAGCCAGGCAGGCTTGTTTTCTTTTTTATTTTTTCTTTTTTTTTTTTTTGAGACAGAGTCTCGCTCTGTCACCCAGGCTGGAGTGCAGTGGTGCAATCTCGGCATACTGCAACCTCCGCCTCCTGGGTTCAAGCAATTCTCCTGCCTCAGCCTCCCAAGTAGCTGGGATTACAGGCACGTGCCACCACACCCAGCTAATTTTTGTATTTTTAGTAGAGATGGGGTTTCACCATGTTGGCCAGGCTGGTCTCGAACTCCTGACCTCAGGTGATCCACCCACCTTGGCCCCCCAAAGTGCTGGGATTACAGGTGTGAGCTACTGCACCCAGCTGGGAGGCCTGTTTTCTAAACCAGGCCTGTCAACAAACTTTTTCTATAAAGGACCAGGTAACAAATATTTTAGGCTTCGCAAACCATACAGTTGCATAGCAGTTGCTCAACTCTACCAATATAGTGCAAAAGCAACCATAGACAATATGTAAACAAATGAATGTGGTCGTGTTCTAGTAAAGTTGTATTAATTAATTCCAATAAAACTTTACTGAAAAATAGTCATGGACTTGTAAATATTTATGGACCTTGAAATTTAAATTTCCTATAATTATCATATCACAAAATATTCTTATTGTTTTTACGTATTTAAAAAATCATTAAAAAATGTAAAAGTATTCTTAACTTATAGGCCTTATTTAAAAAGGTGACAGGCCAGATTTGGCCTACAGTCCATAGTTTGCTGACCCCTGGTCTAAACGGTCTGTGGGCCATGGACAGGGCCAGTCCCTGGGCCTCAGAGACCATACTTGTTTCCTCTCATGAGGCCCATTGGATCCTCAAGGGGAATCCCAGGCAAGTAAAGGCAGTGTTTTTCAAACTGCAGATTTCCACCTACAGTACATATATGGGTTAGAAAATCAATTTAGTGGATTGCAACCAGCATCTTTTCAGTGAATTAAAATAAAGTAAAAAAGATTAGATTGCACTGTTCATAGTAAGGATAAGTAATGCTTCATTAAATTTTACTTTCTTTCTTTTTGTGTTTTTCTAGAGGCAATGGGTCTTGCTATGTTGCCCAGGCTGGACTTGAACTCCTGGGCTCAAGTGATCTTCCCGGCTCAGCCTTCAAAAGTTCTGGAACTACAGACATGAGCAACTACATCCAGCAGTTTCATTAAATATTAATTTCATTTATATACATGTGTGATGGTTAATATTAGGTGTCAACTTGACTGGATTAAGAGATGCCTAGATGGCTGGTGAAGCATTATTTCTGGGTGGGTCTGTGAGGGTGTTGCCAGAAGAGATTGACATTTGAGTCAGCGAACAGGGAGAGAATGTTCAACGTGGGTGGCCACCATCCAATCAGCTGCCCGCATGGCTAGAACAAAGCAGGTGGAAAAAGGCAGGATAGCTTTGCTTGCTGAGTTTTCTGGCTCTCTTTTTTTCTGCTGAGATGCTTGCTCCTCTCCTTCTGCCCTTGGACATCTGACTCCAGGTTCTTTGGCCTTTGGACTCTGGGACTTGCAGCAGTGGCTTCTGGGGGGCTCTCAGGCCTTCGGTGGCCTGAGACAGAAGGCTACACTGTGGGCTTCTCTGTTTTTGAGGCTTTCAGACTTGGACTGAGTCACTACCATTTTCCCTCTTCCCCAGCTTGCAGATGGCCTATCGTGGGATTTCACCTTGTCATCCTGTGAGCCAGTTCTCCCTCATAAACTCCCTTTTATATATACATATATCCTATTGATTCTGTCCCTCTGGAGAACCCTAATACAACATGTGATTGTGAATGGGTGTGTGTGTGTGTTTGAACAAGATCACCACATAAAATGTATTTCTTACTGAGGGTCACCATCCAAAAGTTTAAAACACATTACTTTAGAATTGTGTCTTTTGTTGTTGTCTTTGTGGTTCTGGTTTATTCCAATCTTACTTCCCAGTTCATATTTGATGCTAGATGATATTGGAATGGACTTGCCTTCCTTACCCACAAAATAACCGATGGCAGGACAGGAAGCCCAAGACCCCCTGGCATCTTATCTGCTTCAGATGATACACAGAGTAGAGCAATAGGCTTATGTGAATCAATGGGCCTGTGCCATGCAGACAAGTAGCATCACTTAAGCATGGCCTAACCCATAACTGGGAGATGGAGGTGGTAGGGAAAGAACTAAACCTGGCAGCTGGACAGACCCTGCCCCTCCAAGAGCCCTCTGAGATCTCTCTGCTGACTGTCCTATGAGCCTTGCTTCTTTTTATTTCTCATCTTGCCCCAAATAGCAAATCACTCATCACTCGCTACAGACTCCTGGCTCACTCACACCTTTGGGTCTTAGTTTGCTATTTCCTCTCTCTGCATTGCCTTCTCACTGTCCACCCTTCCCAACCTCAACTCAATCAACACTTCCTTCTTCCTAAAACTCTGTCTAGGTACTACCTCTATAAGGAAACTTTTATTGGTGACCTCTACCCCTCCCTACTCTGAGTTTAGCCCCTTCCTCAGGTCCATCCTGACAACCTTGGCCATCAAAACCTATCATAGCTTTTACTACATTGCTTCCAAGTGACCTGTCTCCATATCCAGCTCTGCCACAGGGAGAAGCGAGTGGTGTATATTTATCTCTGTATCCCTAGAACCTAGGGCTGTGCTGAACAGATAAATGGGTGAATGAATGAATGAATGAATGAGTGAATGCCTCAGTGGAGATGATGCAGTTAGGATTTGACCTTCCAATCTTGAAGATGGCCTAGAGTAGCCTTGTAACTAGCCAAGCTATGCTGCTGGATGCTCTACATCCTAGATATGAGGACCTAGTCCTCAGTTTTGTCTGATTTCTAGAGAATTTGCTGTAGCTTCAGGTCATTGATCTTGCAGACACACACTCGAAATAAGTTACCATTGCCAGAGGGTGAGAACAGGAAGGAAGTTGAGTAGAAGCTAGACTTGCCTGAATGAACCTTGTTTTAGAGTTGAATTTTGGAACCAGTGAATGTTTTATATAATTTTAATTAACGAAATAAAAAGAATTCACTCAAAATCACAAACTGAAAAAGGAAATCTAATTATAAATCTGGTTTTTGACTTGACCACACACAGAAGCCTTATTTCAAATGACTTGAGACCACAATATTTTCACTACACATCTCTCATGGAGTCTATCTTGAGAACCAAAAAGAACCACAGACATATCAATAAATCTTACTCTGCATTCAGTGGTCTTATTGTAGGTAGCATAATACAGTGATATTGTTATTTTGATACCAGAAAATAAGATAAAACAGATACATTTCTTCAATATTGTTAGGATGGAACCCAGATTTACAGTGTAAGGAGACAAAACATAGAGGTACAAATTATAAAATCAGGAAGGTTAAATAAAATCCTGTAATTCTTACTTTAAATTAAAAATATCAGTATCAACTCATGATTTTGGTGGGTTTTTTTTGTTTTGTTTTGTTTTGTTTTTTGATTTTTGAGACAGAGTCTTGCTCTTGTTGCCCAGGCTGTAGTGCAATGGTGCAATCTCAGCTCACTGCAACTTCTGCCTCCCAGGTTCAAGCAATTCTCCTGCCTCAGTCTCTGGAGTAGCTGGGATTACAGGCACCTGCCCTACGCCCAGCTAATTTTTGTATTTTTTAGTAGAGATGAGGTTTCACCATGTTGGACAGGCTAGTCTCAAACTCATGACCTCAAGTGATCTGCCCGCCTCAGCCTCTCTAAGTGCTGGGATTACAGGCGTGAACCACCATGTCCGGCCTCATGATTTGTTTTTGTTTTCCTAAAAAATTAATATTTTCTAGTTATGTCCACTGAAAGCATTTAGAAGAAGCAATAACTTAATAACAAGAAACACCCCTAGTTCTTAGACTGTGGACTCTAAATGCCATTTTCCACTAAAAAGAACAAGGACTTCTTGATCTGGAACATCTTGTCATACCTAAAAGCAAGGAAGCTGTCAAAGATTACTGTGATCATATCAAATGATATGGTAGCCAACTTGAAGGGGTTCCCATTGACCAGAGATGAGACAGCTTGAACATTTAAAACAATTACAACAACTGGCCAGGTGCAGTGGCTCAGGCCTATAATCCCAGCCCTTTGGAAGGCCAAGATGGCAGATTGCTTGAGGCCAGGAGTTTGAGGCTTCAGTGAGCTACGATCATGCCACTGTGACACTCCAGTCTCGGTGATACAGCAAGACCTTGTCTCCAAAAATAAGTAAAATAAATAAAATTTACTGCAACGGATTGAAATATATTAAATATACAAAAGTCTCTGGGTTCAAAAATAATACTCCTCATCCCACTTCACTCTTCCCCCTCTGCCAGAATAGGTAAAACCTCCTTAGTCACCTTTGATAGTTGCTAGGACACCAACTCATTATTCTGAAAACTGACTAATAAAGAAAAAGAATCAAATAATTATCCTGCCTTCCTTATACAAACTGTACCTTATAACAATCAAATAGTTGCTATTTGCTTTTTTAGAGAAGCACAAGTAGTAAATGCAACCAGAATGATAAAATTGCAAAATCACCAGTTCTCAAACCCTAAAGAAATAAAGATTCCAGGCAACAGCCATCAATGACTGCTAAAGCCATTAAGTTAAAAGTTGCTGAGAAATTCTACATTGCATGGATCGAGTTGATACCACCTGAACTCAAAGGTCAAGGTTAAACCGGCCAGATGTTACGTGCACCCTGATGGATACAAAAGGAAGTATACAACATCACCTATGAAGTATTATCATGGAGTATTATTCTCCCCACCAAAAACTCAAGAACCTGAATGTAATGAATTATGTAATGAACTCCCAGTTCATAGGAAATATGAGACAGAGAAGAATACGTTAAATGACACCATGAATAATTAATTGGAAATATTAAGTACATGGGAAATTCAACAGGTCAAATTACCTATTTTCATATAAAAATAAATGGCTCTTTTTAAAAAGAGATGGGGAACAATGACAGATGAAAAGAGATTTAAGAGACATACCAACTTCAGTAACTCTTGTTTAAAGGTAGATAGGTGTTCATTATACTATTCTCTCAACTTTTCTGTAGCTTTGAAAATTTTTCAAATTTTTTTAAATTAAAAACATATCTGCCAAATGTAGTGTATAAATCTTGTTTAGATGCTGATTTGAACAAGCCAACTAAAAATATATGTTAAAAATAAACAAATAAATAAATATGTGTATTTGAGACAACCAGGGAAAACAAAACATGGGCTTTATTGCGAATTATTGTTAATTTTGTCAGGTGCAATTACTGTACTGTAGTTATGTTTTTAAAAGTGTTACTTATTAGAATGTATAGTTAAGGCCAGGGGCAGTGGCTCACACCTGTAATCCCAGCATTTTGGGAGGCCGAGGTAGGTGGATAACCTGAGGTCACGAGTTCGAGACTAGCCTGGCCAACATGGTGAAACCCCATCTCTACTAAAAATACAAAATTAGCTGGGTGTGGTGGCAGGTGTCTGTAATCCCAGCTACTCAGGAGGCTGAGGCAGGAGAATCACTCGAACCAGGGAGGCAGATGTGGCAGTGAGCCAAGATCGCACCATTGCACTCCAGCCTGGGCAACAAGAGCGAAACTCCGTCTCAAAAAAAAAAAAATTATGTATATAGTCAAGTAGTAATAAATGAAAAGATATTAACATAGTGCTAAGGTCATGAGGTACAGGAGGAGGAACCTGTTGGGTGTTGTTAGAGTTAGGATTTGGGCTCAAATCCTGGTATCGCCACTTTTTAACTGGGAGAACTTAAGTGAGTTTCTTGGTCTCTCTTAGCCTCAGTTTCCATCAAATACCACCTGCCTTGTAAGACTGTGGAAATTAAATGAAATAATGTTTATGTAAATGCCTGACACATAGTTGATATTTAGGTTTTTTTTTTTTTTTTAGATGGAGTCTCGCTCTGTCACCCAGGCTGGAGTGCAGTGGTGCAATCTCGGCTCACCACAACCTCCACCTCCTGGGTTCAAGTGATTCCCTTGCCTCAGCCTCCTGAGTAGCTTGGACTACAGGTGTGCGCCACCACACCCAGCTAATTTTTTGTATTTTTAGTAGAGACAGGGTTTCACCAAGTTAGCCAGGATGGTCTCGATTGTCTGACTTCATGATCCGCCCACTTTGGCCTCCCAAAGTGCTGGGATTACAGGCGTGAGCCACCACACCTGGAAGTTTATTTTTATTATTATTTTTTAATGTAAAGGGTTATCCCTTACAGACAGATTTGCATTTAGCCAATGTCAACATCTTTAGTGGCTCATGACAGATTTGCAAGCATTCAGTAAAGGTTGATGACTAAGTTATTCCTTACATCACATGAGCCCAGGTCACCTCTAGTTTCCATTGGTCCTGAAAGCATTACACTATAAATCAAGGAGAGACTTAGAGGAGTAGGCAGCCCGCACTGGTCATATCAGTGAGGTGGTCACACAGTGGTCAGATTAAATGAGTTAACATATGTAAGATGTTTGGAACAATGCCTGACTCATGGTAATATTGTGTAAACATTATTATTATTATTAGAAATATCTAGCAGAATATAAGCCAACTTCAGCTTCTGCAAACTCCTACTTTTTCTGTTTCTCTGAACTCCCTCTCAGGTGCTGAGGTGACAATCTATAAATTGATATATTTTTTCTACGTTTAGAAAGGATGACTCAATCTCTTAATTCACAGATTCTGCTCTTGCCTTGGGCTTGAACCATTCTGAGTTTCCATTTTGACTGCATTATCGCTAATGGGTCTTTGACTCTCAGACTACTGCCTTGACCCATAATGATGAGGGAATCGATGGCCCCATGGAGTCCTCCCTCCAGGCTCATCCTGTTGCTCCAAGGGAAGTCTGGTCCTCATTGCAGCCAGTGGTAATCAGAGATAGAGACACGATTAGTCTTTTACTAATACACTGAGAAGTTCTCAGAGGAAAGCATAGGCTATCACCCTAAGAAATCTGCCAGTTTGTAGCCTTTTTGCAGGGGAGGAAATTTCTATGTTTCGAATTCTTTCCCTGACCATGAGCTGCTCAGTATAAATCTCCATGTAACATGTATTCAGTGAGCTGCTCTATGAATCGTCATTTTGGGCTTTGAACTTGGAGCTACTTCAGACAATGAATGTGGACTCA
Organism: Homo sapiens; assembly: GCF_000001405.40. Classification (NCBI taxonomy): domain Eukaryota; kingdom Metazoa; phylum Chordata; class Mammalia; order Primates; family Hominidae; genus Homo; species Homo sapiens. The sequence continues at coordinate 109,926,494 of NC_000006.12, read as the reverse complement.
GAAACATGACCTACACAAGGACTTTGTGACATTGATGAAAGGGATCACCCTAAGACAAACGAGTCAGCAACAAGACCTATGATTCTGGGGCTACATCAGCCTGGGAGGAAAACATTTCATTGTCTTCACCACAACCTGAAATTGCACGGACCTCAGCTCCCTCGAACCCACTACTGCCTGCTATTCCTGGATTCTCCAGCCCACGTCTCACATTTTCTCACAATCCCAGCCCTCCTGGCAGGGTGGTGACCAGCATTTGCCTCTTCTTTCTCTAGGCTCTCCCCACTGTGTCTCCTGCCTCGAGGTACCTCTGATGCTCACCCAGAGCAGTGTGGTTCCAATGTCACTATAAAGCCTCACTGTCCTCCTGGGACCTACTTCTGATGCTTTCTGGCCATCTGATGTCACATTGCTTTAAATTAGCAAGAATCCAAGTGAAATGAGGGCCAGTGTTGCTGGCTGCTTACTGCTTGGAGAAAAGCATCCAGTTAAGATGGCAGGATGGCTAGATCAAGGAGCCACTGAACCAAATTTGCTAGTGTTGATTGGTGAGGCCCCATCAGGGTGTGGGCTTCAGAGTGGCCAGGAAGAGAGGTCAGCAGAGCCTGGTGAAGGATTTGAAAATAGCATGAAGACATCTTAATCTCACCCAAATGGAAAGTAGCAACCCTCTGCTGACAGCAGCCCAGCAGAAGCTATCTAGCCTTGCTGGGGGTAAGTGACCTGGCTTAGTGCAGTTGTCTTCCCAGCACGCTTTTTCTAGGAATAACTGAATATTTTACTATATGGCAATCTCCCACTCCACCAGCATGTCATACATGCATCCATTTCAGAGCCTCTGCTTTGAAATTACACTATTTGAATTCAAAACCTGTTAGCATTGGAAGGTATCTCAGTCACATGGCACCAAAATATGTTACCAGTGGTGAATCCATACAGGTCTGCAGCGACCTCAATTCTTGCCTCCTCAGAAGAAAGAATTCAACTGAGAGGCAAGGAAGATTTTAGAACAGGAGTAAAAGTTTATTCAAAGCTTCAGAGCAGGAATGAAAGGAAGGAAAGTACACTTGGAAGAGGGCCAAGTAGGTGACCTGGGAGATCAAGTGCACAATTTGACTTTCTGACTTGGGGTTTTCTACATTGGCATACTTCCCAGGTCTTGTGTTAGTTCTCCCAACTCCTGAGATCTTATTGGGAAGCTGTGATCACCAGTTTCAGCTGTCTTCTATTAGGAGACTGCCTTTCCCTGGTGCTGTCTGTGACTAATTACTACATTAGAGAGACTGTTAACAACAGCCTGACCATGACCTGACGGTCGCCTGACACTCCTGGTGTGTGTGGGAGCCCTCTCCTGCCCTGCTTATACCCGACTAGCTACCCACTGTAACAAACCTGGCTCTGACACAATAGAAATGTCTTTGGACTTATCATTTACCCTCTCTCAGCCTCAGTTTCCTCGTCTGTTGGTTGGTTTAAGTATCACAAGAATACCTCCCCTGTAGTATTTTTTGAACATCAAATGCACCTACACACTTAGCATAGAGCCTGGCACATGGTAAGCATACCATCAGTGTTTTATGTCATCATTATAAATCACCACTGCCATTCTCAGTGCTTTTATTATTATCCCAGAATTTTGTGCCTGATATTAATAAAGCTTGCCATACTCACAACATGCCACAGATTACTACTTTAGAAGTGAGCTCCCAATCACAGCTCTTGAATCACATGCAAATAGGACAATCGGTTCTGTTCTCTGCATAGGGTCGGATAGAAGTGTCCAAGAGCCAACATTAACTATAAAGGTTTCCCATGTTTATTCCAATATTTACTCACATTTCCTGAAGAACTTGAAAGAGATTCCAGTCCACGGCCCACCACAGTCTACTTCTGATCCTCCCCAGTTCCCTCTCTGCCTCAGCTTCTCTGAGGTCTCTTTCCACGCAACCCATCACCCCAGCACTCTGCCATACCTGGTCTGCTTATTTTTCTTCCTTTTCTCTTTTCTCCTGCCACTGCCTCTTTTTAACCTCTGCAGCCTCTCCCATCCAGCCTGTCTCTTTCCACCCTTTTCTCCCTCATTAAAATGTAGAGCAGGGCTGATTGGCCAAGAGGCAGTTCTTTTTAGGCAGCAGCCTGGGGATTTCTGTGATGAATTAAAGTAATAGAAATAATGTCACTAAAAATGTATATAGCGCCTTAACATATATTATCACATTTAGTTTTTAAATTTAATGCTGAGGGGATGACACAACATTCTCTTTGGAGGGCAGGGAAGGTAGAAAAGAATAAAAAATCAGAAATACCAGCAGGTTACTAAATCTTGGCTCCAAGAAATATACAGCAAGCATGTCCCGGGTGTTCTTCTGCCCCTCAGGCCTTTGCCAAAGCTCCTTGCCCCTCCCTCTTAGATCAAAACCTGACTCCCAGCTTTCCTTCCTAAACTTTGGTACTACTGTGGCATTCTCATGGGGGGTGGAGGGGTGGGACTGCGAGTCCTGCGAAGGGCTTCATTTGAACCCAAGTGAAGTCACCACACTTGGCTTTCCAAAGGCTTGTCATCCCTACAATCTTCGGGGGACCTCCTCTGGGGATCTCCAAGCCACTTCTACAGCCTGATTGTCCTATTTGCATGTGTGATTCAAGAGCTGTGATTGGGAGCTCACTTCTAAAGTAGCAGTCTGTGGCATGTTGTGAGTAATAGTCATTTATTTCCACAGGTGTTACTATAGAAATAACACCTATAGAATTAATTATACTTTCCTTTGTAGAGAATCCATATATATACTTTATTTTTTAGAGTAGTTTTAGGTTCACAGAAAAACTTATTAGAAAGTACAGAGATTCTCCACATTCCCCTCTCCACCCTACACACAACCTCCTGCACTACCAGCATCCCCAGCAGAGGGGTCCATTTGTTATAACTGATGAATCTACATTGACACATCATTATCACCCAAAGTCCAGAGTTTACATTAGGGTTCATTCTTGGTGCTGTATATTCTATGGGTTTGGACAAATGTATAATGTATGGGTTTGGACAAATGGTTCACCCTTGTAGTATCATACAGAATAGTTTCATCCCTGAAAATCCTCAGTGTTCAGTCTATTCATCCCTCCCTAACTCTGATTTCTTTACTGTCTCTGTAGTTTTGCCTTTTCCAGAATGTTAAATAGTTGGAATCATACAGCATGTAGCCTTTTCAGATTGGCTTCTTTCACTTAGTAATATGCATTTGATGTTCCTCCATGTCTTTTCATGGCTTGATAGTGCATTTCCTTTTAACACTGAACAATATTCCATGGTCCGGATATACTATAGTTTATCCATTCACCAAGTTCAGGAAGTCTTGGTTGCTTTCAAGTGTTAGCAATTATGAACGAAGCTGCTGTAAACATCTGTGTGCAAGTTTTTGTGTGGCCATAAGTGTTCAGCCTCTCTGAGTAAACACCAGCAGCAGGATCGCTGAATCATGTGGTCAAAGTAAGTTTAGTTTCATATGTGTTTTTAATGCACGTTGTCTAGTTTTATCTTGAAAGATCTAGTGTCACTTGGATGACTCTCCCATTTTGCATTTTAGCAGCTGAGACTCCAAGGGGTGAAGGGATTTACCCAAGGCCACCAGACTGAGATGTAAATCTGCTGACTTGGAAGAGAATTCCTCCTTTGCCACCGCTGAATTTCAGCCCCTGGTGTCTTAACCCCTTGCCAGAAAGCCCTCTAAGCTGGCTCCCTCCCCACCATTCTTCTCTCAGGCTGTGGTTGACCAGGATGCCTAGAAAGGGGGTTCAGCAAATCCCACTGCCCTCTCAGGGACTTTTACTTAAAGCAACTCCTGCCCATTTCTGACTGCTCCCTCCCCTTGCATCCAGACTTTGCAGGGTCAAGAAACCATCTTTTTTCTTCAAGGCTTAGGGGTCTGCCTGGGGATTCATACACATGGATCAGAATTGGCTCAGACCACAGTTATCACCTAGATAGAAAACCCTTGTCCATTTCACAGTGCCCTACATCTGGCACTGTTCTGTGGATGCCCATGGTGAAAACCTGTTCCACGCCAGGAAGAAGGCTGAGTAGGGAGAGAGTTGCAGTTTATCACCATCCTGCTGCAAATCTGTGCAACAAGGGAGGCTGGAGTCTCGTTTCCTTTCTGAAGGACAAGCGACCTACGACAATAGGCAATCAGTTATCTTGTGGGTGTCTTCCTTTTTTTAAACTTTCTTTCAAGCTCTGTTCCTTTAGCAATTACTTGTTTAAAATCGTTTCTTCAGAATTGCCTGTTTATACTCCCCTAAATGTAGAACTTTGTGTTTCCTGTACAGTATGTCCTCTCCTGGGGACACAGAGAACCCATGCTAATAAGGGCTATGCACATTTTGTTGTTCTTTAAAATTTTTTCTCAGAAGGCAAAGCACTAAGAACCTGGGAATTTTCTTTTTGGTAAGAGAGATGAGCAATTGCAAGTGGTGTGATTAGGACTGTCTCTTCACAAATATGACTGAGATCAATTTATCTAGCCTGAGTAGCTCTAGGAAAACAGGAGGGTGGAGCTGCAGGAGGACAGAGCCATTCATCTCATTGCCACATCTTGATTTCTTCTTATTCCACGCAATAAGGAGACAGATGCAAAAGGAGGCAACAAAATGGCTTTTAAATGCTAACTAAGCATCAGGTGCACCCTGATTCCATGGCGATAGAAGCTTCTGCATTTGGGACCCTCCCACCTCCCAGACCTTGCCCTGTTCCACTCGGCTGTTGACTCTTCCATTTGGCTGTTCCTGAGTTGTATCCTTTATAATAAACCATAGTCATAAGTATTTAAAAAAAAAAAAACAAAATTAACCTGCTGGGCACGGTGGCTCACACCTGTAATCCCAGCACTTTGGGAGGCCAAGGCGGGTGGATCACCTGAGGTCAGGAGTTCAAGACCAGCCTGGCCAACATGGTGAAACCCCGTCTCAACTAAAAATACAAAAAAAAAAAAAAAAAAAACCTGGGCGTGGTGGCAGGTGCCTGTAATCCCAGCTACTTTGGGAGGCTGAGGCAAGAGAATCACTTGAACCTAGGAGGCAGAGGTTGCAGTGAGCCGAGATGGTGCCATTGCACTCCAGCCTGGGCAACAAGAGTGAAACTCTGTCTTAAAAAAAAAAAAAATTAACCAAGTATCAGAATATATGTTGATCACTAAAGTGAGGATGGTAAATGTTTGCAATGATCTTTTTGAGAAGCCATTCCAGTGATTCAGCACTCTTAAAAATCTGATGAGTGAAACAGAAAGGGTGGACAAGGACAATGACTGTCCAGCCGTTGACAACCCTATCAGTCATCATGACAACACATCCTTCCAGCATGTAAATGCGGTGCTGGGCCTGTACCTCGGAACAGTGAGCAACGCGTTTCTGACAACATGGATTCCTCAGGGCCGGTGATATGGCCCTTCTGTGTTTCTGTGCTAGGGAGAGCAAGAGAATTGCTGGTCGATACCTTCATCGAAGGAATCAGGCACTGCACACTGTGGAATCCAGGGGCAAAGAAAGGGCTGAGTGGCGGGAGCGTTGGGGAATGGGTCTGGTAAAGCTTCATGGTGGAAGGGACTTTTCTGTAGGGCTTTCGCAGAGAGAGGACATGTAGAGGAGAGGAGGGCTTCCTGGTGTGTGCTGGGCTGAGGGGGTGTGAGATGAGACACAAGGCGAGAGGAGGAGTGCAGAGCTCTCTGGGCTGAAGAGTGATCCCGGGTGATGATGATCTTGGAGAAACAAGGTATGTGACATGGAGTCAAATGGCAAGGGGACAGTGAGAACACTGTCATTCATACTAGGTGAGCAGCGATTTCCATTTCAGGCCCTAACCTGTACAGCTTGAAAAATGCTTTGCAAATGGTGAAGGGAGATCCTAGTACTAATGCTGTTGCCCTCAGCCAAGGTTTTTTTTGTTTTTGTTTTTGTTTTTTTTGGTAGAGATGGGGGTCTTACTTTGTTGCCCAGGTTGGTCTCAAACTCCTGGCCTCAAGCGATCCTCCCACCTTGGCCTCCAAAGCACTAAGATTACGGGCATAAGCCACCACGTCCAGCCCTATTAGCCAAGGTTTTTTTTCTGGAAGAAGCATAAGGGGGGTTTCTGCTTTTCTTTAGTTCTTTTCTCTCATTTAGTAAGAAAAACATGTTCTATTCAACTGTGGCCAGAAACAGAACTCACTAAACGGAGAATGTTTACCCTCTATCTCCAGGAAGTTTAAAAATGTTTTCAAAACCTTTAAAAATATAAGAATAATTTTATTAGAGAGGCTTTCAGGATGCTCCTATTAATGTATGTACATTTCAACAAATATTTATACACCTGTGTCATGTATGAGGTGCCCAGCTAGGTGCTGAGAATAAGGTGCACAGCAGGGATGAGAGCAGGAGTCAGGGCACACAGCACCCCAGAAGGACAACAGGAGTCAGGGCACACAGCACCCCCGGTGGGACGGCAGGAGTCAGGGCACACGGCACCCCAGAGGGACAGCAGGAGTCAGGGCACACAGCACCCCGGTGGGACGGCAGGAGTCAGGGCACACGGCTACCCGCAGTGTGAGAGGACCACACTACAGTGTGTGCACGCCAGAGACACAGGCACCCCTGACCGTAGTGGAGCTCCGCTGAGCCACTCCCTCTTCCAGCTTTTCTCTGAAGCCTATCAACACTCCCGGTAGACACCATGGACTCTTTCTTCACCTCTTAGCATCTACAAAATGGAGATAAGAATAATAATACCTACCTCACAATGTGGTGAGAATTAAATACAGTCATGCTCCATATAATGACTTTTTATGGTCAACAATGGACATATATAATGTCCGTTGTTGACCATATATAATGGTGATCCTATAAGATTATAGTGGAGCTGAAAAATTCCTATTGCTAGTGAAGTCATACCTTTTCTATGTTTAGATACACACAGAGTTACCATTGTGTTACAACTGCCTACAGCATTCATACAGTAACTTGCTATAGAGATTTGTAGCCTGGGAGCCATAGGCTGTACCATTATAGCCTGGGTGTATGGTAGGCTACACCATCTAGGTTTGTGTAAGTTCACTCCATCTGCACAAGGACAAAATCGCCTACCCACCCACTTCTCAGAGCCTAGCCCCATCATTAAGCAACACATGACTGTAATTTAATACAGCCGAAGTAGTCAGAACAGTGCCTGGCACATAGTAAGCACCAGTAAGTGTGAGCGCTTATTATCAATTCAGTCTTAGGAGGGGATGGGAGGCAAATGCATCTACTTAGGCCACCAATCTTGAATCAGAAACTAGCATAGACATTAGCATAGAAAATAAGCATAGAAAAGCACATTTAAATTTTTTTAGAAAACAGGTTACCAAATTATAATTACATTCTAATCCTCATTTTGGGGAAAATGTGTCTTTATACATAAAGATTAATGGATATTATGGGCTGGATTGTGTTTCTTCCCATGTCCTCAAAAAAATATGTTGAAGTCCTAACCGTCATGTTTGGAGGTAGAGTCTTTAAGGAGGTAATTAGGGTTAAGTGAGGCATTTTGGGTGGTTCCTAATTCAATCCAATGGATACCTTTATAAGAAGGGGAAATTTAGACACAGACAGTATGTGTGCACAGAAGAAAGACCTCATGGGGACACAGAGTGGTATAGCCATGAGCAAGCCAAAAAGAGAGGCCTCAGGAGAAACCAAGCCTCTTGACACCTTGATCTTGGACTTCTGCCTCCAGAACCATGAGAAAATCAGTTTCATAGTTTTAAGCCACCCAATCTGTGTACTTTGTTATTCTCAGGGTAAAGGATTTGCAGCAGAGTTCAATTCAATTTATTTCCCAATTAAACAAAAAAACCCACTAGTTCTTCTATAAGAACTAGTTTTCACAAAGAATTACAAGACAAAGGAGTACCCTCAGGCTGAGCTCTTCAAAAGTTTAGATTTCAAATCTGTTTGCTGCCATTATGTCCCCTGGCTTTGTGCTTCTCTGGCTTGGAGGCCTGGTTGAGTGAGTGACTGGCCTGGGGCCAACCTGCCATGGTCATTACTCAAACACTATCATGGGTGTCCTCACCATAGGGTTTTCCTAGAAATTGAGCAGGGCTTCTGAAAATTATTCCATTCTAAAGAAAGGATGGTCCATTTTTACCTAGTGAATGTTTGAGTCTTTGTTACATCCAAAATGTTAACTTTGGCTGGGCACCATGGCTTACGCCTGTAATCCCAGCACTCTGGGAAGCTGAGGCGGGCAGATCGCTTGAGTCCAGGAGTACAAGATCAGCCTGGCCAACATGGGACCCTGTCTTTACAAAAAAAATTTTTTAATTAGCCAGGTGTGGTGGCCCACACCTGTAGTCTCAGGTACTCAGGAGGCTGAGGTGGGAGGATCAATTGAGCCTGAGAGTTTGACAGGGCCATAATTGTGCCACTGCACTCCAGCCTGGACAACAGAGTGAGACACTGTCTCAAAATAAATAATAAATAAATAAATAAAATGTTAACTCTTCTTGTGGGAATTCTTCAGGGCCCTATCAGAAATACTCCAGAGCCCTGAATTTCCTGGCTCAGGTCCCTGGCATGGATCAGCACCCTCGTCCATATGAACAACCTGCCTCTGTCACTCCGAATGAAAGGGCGTGAGACCAAATACCCTCTCGTCACGAAGCTCTTAGCAGCTTTTGCCTTTTTCTTGCACAAAACAGCTTTGATCCCTTACCTGAGGCAGCTGGACTTCAGCCAGATGAAGGGAGTGGTGGAAGGAGAGGGGGCAGTCAGACCACCGAGGGCACCAACAGCCTCCACCCACATTTCATTCCATCCCCAGAGTAAAACCAAATAGATGAAAGCAAATCTGTGTGGAAGGAAGAAAACAAGAGCCCAATTTCCCTCAAGGGTCCAGCCTCAGCTACTGCATGAACCCCTCACTGCCCCACCAAGGCAGGGGTGGGTGGCACCGAGGAGGGGTGTGTTGGCAGTAGATACCCCCAGACAGACACTCTAATTTGCCCCTGCTCGAGCTGAGGGCTTCCTTATCTCATCAGCAGGAGGAGAAGCAGGAGAACCTTTCCACCAGGCAGATGCGTCAAGCTTTGGGAAACTGTTAGTTCCTAGAGAGCCATTTCTGAGGAGGGCATTAGAGGGGAAGGCTGGGAGGGCCTGATCTGCTCTGCTGACCTAGCAAGAATAGGGTCAGAGGGGTGATTGGAAAGGCTGCTCCGTGACCTCCGAAGACTGCCACCTAAGCCAGAGAGACCCAGCCATGTCCAACATTACCGTAGCTGAAGGCTGAGGAATGGTGCCCAGTATCCCATTCTATTTCTGTCCAGAGTCCAGCAGTGAATGTTTCTCCAGGGAGAGAAGCATCTACTGAGAAGCACCTCGCATCAGCCGCAGCTCTGAGTTTCCACATACATTATCTCCTATATCACTGCATGCTGGAGTTAACATCCTGAGCTAGTAAGCTCAGGCTTTGTGACTTCAACAAATGGCAGCTTGGTTTCCTCATCTATAAAATACAGATAAGAATGTGCCTACCTCATCATTTTGTCAGGAGCAGGATAATAAGCATTCAATAAGTAAGCCATGATTAAAAATGAGGCAGAGCTACAGTACCAATATGGAAATAGCGCTAAGCTATCTTCAGAAAAGAAAAAAGAAAAAAAGAGGGTTGGGGATGGTGGCAGGAGACAGGATACCCAGTACAAGCACACCTCAGAGACATTGTGGGTTCCGTTCCAGATCACGACGATAAAGCAAATATCGCAATAATATGAGTCTCATAGGCTGGGCGTGGTGTCTCACGCCTGTAATCCCAGCACTTTGGGAGGCCGAGGCGGGCGGATCACCTGAGGTCAGGAGTTTGAGACCAGCCTGACTAACATGGTGAAACCCCATCTCTACTAAAAATAAAAAATATTAGCTGGGCGTGGTGGCGCATGCCTGTAATCCCAGCTACTACGGAGGCTGAGGCAGGAGAATTGCTTGAACCCAGGCGGTGGAGGTTGCAGTGAATCGAAATTGTGCCATTGCACTCCAGCCTGGGCAACAAGAGTGAAACTCTGTCTCAAAAATAAATTAATAATTAATAAAATAAAATAAAATGCTTTATTGTTAAAAATGCTAAGGACTATCAGAGCCTTCAGCCCAAGTTGTAACCTTTTTGCTGGTGGAGGGTCTTGCCTCAATGCTCATGGCTGCTGATGGATCAAGGTGGTGGCTGCTGAAGGTTAGGGTGATAGTGGCAATTTCTTAAAATAAAACAACAATAAGCCTGGGCAATGTGGAGAAGCTCTGTTTCTACAAAAAAAAAAAAAAAAAAAAAAATTAGTCTGGCATGGTGGTGCGTGCCTGTAGTCCCAGCTACTCAGGAGGTTGAGGTGGGAGGATGGCTTGAGCCCAGGAGGTCAAGGTTGTAGTGAGTTGTGATCGCACCACTACCCTCCAGCCTGGGTGACAGAGTGAGACAGAAGAAGAAGAAGAAGAAAGAAGAAGAAGAAGAAGAAGAGGAAGAGGAAGAGGAAGAGGAAGAAGAAGAAGAAGAAGAAGAAGAAGACAATAAGGTTTGCTGCATCAATTGACTCTCCTTTCATGAAAGATTTCTCTGTAGCATGGGATGCTGTTTGATAACATTTTACCCACAGTAGAACTTCTTTCAAAATTGGAGTCAGACCTTTCAAATCCTGCTGCTGCTTTACCAAGTTTATGGAATATTCTAAATCTTTTGTTGTCATATCAACAATGTTCACAGCATCTTTACCAGGAGTAGAGGCCATCTCAAGAACACTCTCTTTGCTTATCCATGAGAAGCAACTCCTCATCTGTTCAAGTTTGATCACGAGATTGCAGCAATTCAGTTACATCTTCAGGCTCCACTTTGAATCTAGCCCTTGCTATTTCTACCATATCTGCAGTGACTTCCTCCAGTGAAGGCTTAAAGCCCTCAAAATCATCCATGAGGGTTGGAATCAACTTTTTTCCAAACTTCAGTTATGTTGATATGCTGATTTCCTCCCATGAATCATGAATGTTCTTAATGGTATCTAGAATGATGAATGCTTTCCAGAAGATATTTAATTTACTTTGTCCAGATATATCCGAGAAATCACTGTCTATGGCAGCTATAGCCCTATAAAATATATATCTTAGACGGTAAGTCTTAAAAGTAGAAATTATTCCCTGATCCACAGGTTGCAAAATGGATGCTGTGTTAGCAGGCATGAAAACAACATTCATCATTGTCTTCTTTTTATTTTTAAGGGAAGATGTCTCACTCTGTCACACAGGCTGGAGTGCAGTGGCATGATCATAGCTCACTATATCCTCGAACTAACTCCTAGGCTCAAGTGATTCTCTCGCTTCAGCCTCTCCAGTAATTAGGACTACCAGCACATACCACCATGCCCAGCTAAGTTTTAAGTTTTTGGTAGAGATGTGGTCTCACTATGTTGCTGAGGCTGATCTCAAACTCCTAGCCTCAAGAGTTTCTATTACCTTGGTCTCCCAAAGTGTTGGGATTATAGGCACGAGCCACCGTGCGTGGTCAATTTAGCACAATTCTTAAGGGCCCTAGAATTTTCAGAATGGTATATAAACATTGGCTTCAACTTAAAATTACCAGCTGCATTAGCCCCTAACAAGAGAACCAGCCTGTCCTTGAAACTTTGAAGCCTAAATGCCAGGCATTGACTTTGCCTCTCTAGCTATGAAAGTCCTGGATGGCATCTTCTTCCAATATAATAGTGTTTCACTGACACTGAAAATCTGTTGTTTAGTGTAGCCACCTTCATCAGTGACCTTAGCTGAGTCTTCTGGATAACTTGCTGTAGCTTCTCCATCAGCACTTGCTGCTTCACCTTGCACTTTGATGTTAAGGAGACAGCTTCTTTCCTTAAACCTCATGAACCTACCTGTACTAGTTTCAAACTTTTCTTCTGCAGCTTCCTCACATCTCAGCCTTCACAGAATTGAAGAGAGTTAGGGCCTTGCTCTGGATTAGGCTTTGGCTTTAAAGGAGTGTTGTGGTTGGTTAGTTCTTCCAGCCAGACCATTCAAACTCTCTCCATATCAGCAATAAGACTGTTTCACCTTCTTATCATTCTTGTGTTTACTGGAGTAGCATTTTCCATTTCCTTCATGAAAGAACATTTTCTTGACATTCACAGCCTGGCTAAGTGGCAGAAGAGGCCTAGGTTTCAGCCTACTTTGGCTCTCAACATGACTTCCTCACAAAATTTAACCATTTCTAGCTTTTTAATTAAAGCAACAGATGTGAGACTCTAACTTAGACACTTAGAGGCCACCATAGGGTTATTAGGTGGCCTAATTTTAATATTGTTGTGTCCCAGGGAGTAGGAAGGCCTGAGGAGAAGCAGAGAGATGAGAGAGCAGCCAGTCAATGGAGCAGTCGGAACACACAACGTTTATGAAGTTTGCTGTCTTATATGGGTGTGGTTTGTGGCACCCCAAAACAATGACAATAGTAATATTAAAGATCACTGATCTCAGATTACCATGACAGATATAATAATAATGAAAAGACTTGAAATATTGCAAGAACCATCAAAATGTACCACAGAGACATGAAGTGAACACACGCTATTGGGAAATGGCACCCTAGGCTTCCTTGATGTAGGGTTGCCACAGACTTTCAATTTGTGAAAAAATGCAATATCTGTAAAGGGCAATAAGGCAAACTGCAATAAAATGAGGTCTGCTTGTACATTCCTATCTATTTAAAATGACAAGGATGCATAGCTGTATGTACATGCTTGTGTGGCTGAAGCATAGTCTGAGATTTTAACTTAGGTCTTTGTATTCTGTAAATTTTCCTCCTTTGCCTTGGGCCTGTTGGGCAGGAGAGCAAAGAAGCCAGCTTGGCAGCAATTCTCCACCTGCAGCCTCCTTCAACAGCCCTGGAGCCCTGGGGAAGCCAATGATACTCTCCCTGGTGTCAACAGCTCCAGTACCCCTGGTCAGGGCCTGCAATGGACAGTCCTTAAGCCAGCAGCCAAAAAAGTGGACTCTGCTACATCCCAGCCAGGGGCCTGCCCCTGTATATATGTACCCCCTGGCCCCTGCAGTGTCCCAGTATAACCAAGAATTGTAGGTGGGCCCTGGATACCTGGGAAGGCACACCAGGACACCCTGCCCCTCCAGCTGGGGAAAGACATGAGAACCTCTGAATCGTGGTTGTCTGGAGAAGGGCTCTGGGGAACTGGGAATGGGGAGGAAGACTAACCTCCCTGAAGCCCTCTCCTCCCTCTCCACTCCCTTTGGCTCACTCCCTGAGTGTCACCTTCCACTGGGAGCTTCCCATGTCTTCTGGTATTCCATCATGACTCACATCTGCCCCACCTAGCAGAGGCTGAGGGCCTGTGGGTCCGGAGTATGAATCTCAGCTCCATCACTGTTATGACCATGAGAAATTACTTAATCCGTTTCCATTAGCTTCTGCATCCATAATATGGTGAGAATTATAGTATCTACTCTATAGGGTCCTAGGTGTAGATTAAATAAGATAATGCAGGTAAATGCACAACACAACAGCTGGCATGTAGCAAGCACTTAGTAAACATTCACTAGAATTACTGAGGACAAATCTTGAAACCAGTTGAATAATTTAATTACCTTCTATGTTAAGTGAAAGGGGCAAAAAGGGACGAAGAGAAAGTGGACAGAGGAGGGGGGGTGGGGGAGGGAGAGGGAGAGGGAGAAGGAGGCCCCTCAGGACACAGGGTTGTGTTCTCCCAGCAGGCAGAGCTGTGTCCTTTTTGTGATGGGGGAAAAGAGTGGATGTGACGTCCCATGGTGCCTCCCAGCTCTGCTACAGTGAGAAGGAAGACTATGCCTGGCACAGGCAGGTGCTTAGTAAAGTTTTATTGGTTGGTGTTGGGGAAATATAAGGAGTCTTCTCCTAGCTCAGAAAACCTCTCCACAAAGGTAGTAGAGACAAAATGGTTTTATTATCGAATAAGTGAAGGAAATAATGTATACAGTGGCCCATTTCCAAGACAAAGTGTCTTAAATAGGCTCAGGTCAGCAAACTACAGAAGAAACAGGATATATTAGGCCCCTGCTTGAATAATTGATGCCCGCTTGTCAGCCTCCCCCTTTCTCCCCCTTCCCCCAGGCTTAGTTGCCCTCACCCAAACCAAAGAAGTTTAGTCTAAGATAAAAGTTAACCGGTCTGTGATATAGCTCACTTTTTCTGTTCTTATCAGCCTGCCCAGCTGCTTAGGTCATTAAGTCAAATACTTGAAGAGCCCCTGAGCTAACTAGAATTGCAATGCATTGTGGGCTGCAACAAAATGCAGCAAGACAATCCCCCCCGCCAAAAAAGGCACCTAAAGCCCCTGTCTAACAATCAATAGGTGACGTCCAGGAAGATTGTGACCCCATAGTACTCAGCCTATGAGGAACCGGGGGAGGGACCTGCGCACTAGGGGATAAATTGCTTGTTGAAACTGTGCTTGTTGAAATGCTGCCTGCAAGCCAGACACCCAATCTTGCAAGACCATCATTAAAAGTCTCACTTTCGCTGTTCTCTGGGTCTCTGAGTCCATTCTTTGGGTTTCGACAGGTGAGTTTGTTTCTCACAACAAGTATTAAACCAGAAAGTGATGCACAGTGAAGAGGTTCAGAATATGCCACCCCAAAATGTGCCACTCTGGCATAAGGATATTTTGCACTGAAGGCAACTGAGAAAAAGCAGACACAAAAAAAGCTCCCTCCTTCCCACCTCTACCATGGAAAGACTACTTGAATTGGCTTTAGCTGCAGGAGAAAAAAACTTCTCTCATCTTTATGACAGGAAGCAGTTTTGCAAATTGGAACAAGGTGCCCACTGAATTAGATGTCTACCCTTCCACAGTAATTGAGAGACAGGGGCACTATCTCATTTAATGCTCACATTTCAAAAAGACGTTTCCCAGGTCCTTGAGGAAACATTTCTCAGTGAGACTGGCAAGAGGCTTATTTTGTCATTATAAAGATTTACATACATTTGAAAAAGACAGAAAAAAATTCTGAAACAAAAAGGGAGAGGTAGGGAGAAGTGTCTTCCCTTATTTTCAAAATGGAGAACTAAGCTTTTATTTTAAATGTGTGCCTGCCTTTACAATCAAACTGTGATTAAAAACTAACAATAAATTAGTTAAAAACATTATTGAGTGCTTGTTAAGGGACAAATAGGTATTAACTGATTTAGTACCCACAAAACCCTATAAGATCCATACAATTATCCCCATTTTACAGATGGGGAAACTGATGCACTAGGAAACTGTTTTACTTGTTTATGGTCACATGGAAATGGAGCATGAACTTAAATCCAATCTCTCTTGATAGATGTATTAATGAGTGGATGAACAGATAAAGGAATGCAATCTGCCAAGAAATCAAGAGTATTTCAAGCTGCAGTTGAATTTGAAAATTGAGGCAGAGGGCTGTGGGAAGTCTGCAAAATATGATACTTGTCTGAAAATAAATATTTTCTCTAAGTTCAGCAAGGTAATTCCTTCTCCATGACCTTTTCACTCCAGCATCTGAGTTCAGTACTCATCTCCTCCAATATGCCTCCAGCAGTAACAGTTTTTGATGTGTCTTAATGATAAAATTACAAAATCAGATGATTGCTGATTTTAATCTTTGCCCACACATCATGCCTTCAATGATTTATTCTCTGTGTCTCCCCCAGCCTTCACAGCTTGGGAAGAATAAGCTCAGTTTCGTTCCCCAGCTGTCACCACACACACTCCAGGGCTGCTGTTTTCTGCAGTCCTCAGGACAGAGGTGCTGAGGTTCTACTTTCAATGACCCTTTATCTTTAATTTATCTCCCCCATCATACTTAATCATGTCAGAGGATTCACTTGGGGGAAACAATGTCTTCTTTTTCTTGTCTCAGAAATGTGGTTCTGCATTTTGGGAATGCTACTTTTAAAATGTTTTTAATATTGCTTTTAAACAATGTCTTTCCACAAAGAACATAAGATTTGCTGGATGGCATTATGACATTGTGCAGTGCCGATTGTAAAATTTAAACTATGTTCAATCCTGCTTCCAGGCTGACATTTCCCTTCTCATTTACCTGATTCACTATGGGTGTTTTAGGCAGATGTTTATAAAAGACATTGGATCACAACCTAAATGCATTTAGTCGGGCCCCATGGTACATCAAATGCTGAAATCGGCTTGATGCTGAATGTTGCTCAGAGTGGTCTCTGCTCCATCTACTCTCTAACAGGACAGTGAGGCAGGGGACAGCCTGAGAAGAACAGGAGGGAAGGAGATGAAACAATGACCCTATCCATGAGTAGGCCACAAAGCAGCATCGCATGGACATTAGCTGGGAGGTCAGCACACATGGAGCCAGTTCACTGTTGAGGTGGGCTGTGTAGGGTGAGTTGTGTAACCTCCCAAAAAAGACAATATTGAAGTTCTAACCCCTAGTAGTTGCGAATGTGACCTTATTTTCAAATAAGACCTTTGCAGATTTAATCATGTTAAGATGTCATTAGTGTGGGCTTTGCTCCGTTATGAGTGGTGTTCTTACATGAAGAGAAAATTTGAATGCAGACACACAAGGAGAATCCCATGCAAAGATACAGAGACATGCAGATACAGAGGAAAGACTTGTGAAGATGGAGACAGAGATTGGAGTGATGTTGCCACAAGCCAAGGAACACCTGTGGCAACCAGAAGCTGGAAGAGGTAAGGAAGACTCCTTCCCTAGAGACCTCAGAGGAAGAATGGCCCTGCCACCATCTTGATTTTGCACCTGATCTTAGTCTGTTTGTACTGCTATAACAAGATTCTTGAGACTGGGTAATTTATAAAGAACCAAAATATATTTCTCACAGTTCTGGAAGCTGGGGAGTCCAAGATCAAGGTGCCAGCATAGGTGTCTGGGGAGGGGCAGTTTCTGCTTCCAAGATTGCACCTTGTTGCTGTGTCCTCACATGGTGGAGAGTGGAAGGGAGGAGGCCAAATGTTGGGAAACCTGTTTTATAAGGGTTTAATCTCATTCACTCAGGCTCTGCTCTTGTGACTTAATCACTTCCTAAAGGCCCCACCTCTTAATACTATGGATTTTGGAGGGGACATAAACATTCAAACCATAGCCTCTGTGGTACAGTGGCTTTAGGAAATTATTACATGAATTCCATAGGATATAAGCAGAAACCAACTTTATTTTCTTTCCTCCACTGCTATTTTACACCCATACTATTAGACCATGCATCCCCAAGCCTGGATAAAATCTCGGGTAGATCCCTTAACTTTTCTGGTCATTTTGAGCTATTGAAAGTCAAATTCTATCTAAAATCAAAACTTTAGTCCTCATCCGATTTAGAGCTTCTTCCCATTCTGACTGTAGGCTTAACTTAAGCTCAAACCTGCAGAGGTAAAAGGCAACGTGGCTGCTTTTTCACCGTTTCCCACCTGCCTGTACACCCCTTTTCCCCTTTACACAGCATATGGCCTCCAGTGTTGGAGCAAAGGGGAGAAATGAGGGAAAAAAGAGTATCTTTATGAAGCTACACTTATTATCTGATAATGGGCCCTCCAAATAAGACCGAACCAAAGTCTGGCTTTTTCTTTTATGGGGCTCAGGATATAGTCACCCCAAATAATGGATCTACCCTGCAGGCTCTTGTTAGCTGGGGCCTCTCTACTCCAGCGTGCCCCAATATGGAAGATGGTCTTTCAGACAGAGCGTTTATGACCCACCCCAGTGATACACCATCAGCCCCTGTCTGCTGTGGTTGCCGCTTACCTTGCAGGAAGCTACAAAAGACACAGTCCTAGCCACTTCTCTTAGGCAAAGGTCTTACATTTCTCTAAAGAAATAGACCATTGGAGGAGGAGGAGGAGGAGGAAGGAAGGAAGAAGGAAGGAGGAGGAGTCATTAAAAATAAAAATTAAAACAAAACGTGTTTTTTTTCATATGTCAAACTAACAAAGATTTTACTTTTAAATTACTCAGCATTGGTGAGGATACAGGTACAGTTTTATCCTCTTGCTAGGCATATGAACTAAAACAATGTTTCTGGATGATACTTGGAAATGCATATCAAAGTGTTAAAATAGGCACACCAGATGGCTGGAGAATGCTTACATTCCTGAAAGCCTTAAATTCAGGCACAAGCCATGAAAGAGTTTTCCTGAAGGCCAAAAAGAGGACAATCCTGGGAATCCTGAGACTAGCCTGGAGTTAGGAATATCCAATTTTTATCAAAAGAACCCAGCTGCACCCCATCAGAATTCCTGTTGCCATTCAACAATTTGATCTATAAAGATTTTCCTCTATAGGAAAACTGGGAGCCAGCTGTTCTGAAAGTTGGATTCTTTGGCACATGCTTTGCTATTGTAGGTAATAATTCTACTGAGTCCTAAAAAATCATTTTGAGTTTTTATTTTTCTTTCACAAAATGTATTGGTTTCTTGATGAGAAAAAAAGGCATTTAAAAATGATTTTTTAAAAAAGAAAATGTTTCTTGATTATCTCCAGAAAAACTAGTTTTGGATGTTCTATAGTTAACAAAACAAAAACCCTATGTATCTCTGTAGATTGGGTCTGTCTTTGGTGCCCTATTCTAATTCACCTATTTGTTGCAGTTGCTTAAGGATCTCTATCTGTAGAAGAGGTAAAAACTAGTCAATTTCGCCAGTTAGAACATTCAGTTAAAATGTCAGTCAATTTATTTTATTTTTATTTATTTTTATTTATTTATTTCTTTTGAGATGGAGTCTCACTCTGTTTCCAGGCTGGAGTGCAGTGGCACAATCTTGACTCACTGCAACCTCCACCTCCCAGGTTCAAGCAATTCTCCTGCCTCAGCCTCCCAAGTAGCTGGGATTACAGGCACCTGCCATCATGCCCAGCTAATTTTTGTATTTTTGTTGACCAGGCTGGTCTCAAACTCCTGACCTCAGGTGATCTGCCTGGGTTGGCCTCCCAAGTCAATTATTTAAAAAAAAAAGGCCAATGGGCAAAAGATCTGAACAGGCACCTGACCAAGGGAGACGTACATATGGCAAATAAGCGTATGAAATACATCGTATCACTAGGGAATTGCCAACTACAACTATGAGATATTGTTACGTCTAGAACACTGATAATGCCAAATGCTAATGAGGATATGGAGCAACAAGGAGTCTCATTCATTGCTGGTGGGAATGCAAAATAGTACCGCCACTTTGGAAGACAGCTTGATAGTTACTTACAAAACTAAGCATACTCTTACCATATGATCCAGCAATCATACTCCTTAATATTTACCCAAATGAGCTGAGAACTTATGTTCATCAAAAATCTGCACATGGATGTTTATAGCAGCTTTATTCATAATTCCCAAAACTTGGAAGCAACCAAGATGTCCTTTGGTAGGTGGATGGATAAATAAACTATGGTACATCCAGATCATGGAATATTATTCAGCGCTAAAAATGAATGGGCAATTAAGTCATGAAAAGACATGGAGGAAATTTTAAATGCATATTACTAAGTGAAAGAAGCCAATCCAAAAAGGCTGCATTTTTAATTATTCTAACTATATGGTGTTCTAGCAAAGGCAAAACCATGGAGACAGTGAAAAAAAAAATCCGTGGTTGCCAGAAGTTGGGAGGCAAGAGAGAAGGATGAATAGGGGATTTTTTAGGGCAGTGAAACTTCTCTGCATGATACTATTATGGTGGTTATATGTCATTATACATTAGTCTAAACCCATAGAATATACAACACAAAGAGTGAACCCTAATATAAACTATGGACCTTAATCAATATAATAGTAAAAAATATCATTTATTTAAAATAATATAATTTAAAGACATATAATTAAAATATAATAATAAATAAGGTATCAATATTGACCAATCAATTATAACAAATGTACCACATTAATGCAAGACATTAATAGGGGAAACTGTGGGGGTGGGGCAGAGGAGTATATGAAAACTCTGTGCTTTCCACTCAATTTTTCTATAAACCTAAAACTGCTCCAAAAATGAAGTTTATTAATTTTAAAAAAAGTGTCAAGTTGATTGTTTTATTGAGTTCGTGCCTCAGAAAGGTAGATCCAGGATTTCAACAGAATCTTGGGGTAACTATATAATCTGTGGGGAGATTATTTTTTCTCTAGGACCCTAGACTAATATGACTGCATGTGTTAATTCTGCTGTGACTATATCCACAACTTTGCTATGGTTAGCTAGGACATTTTCAGGAACTGCAGTGGTGAAGGTAAATGGTTTCTCTCTGAATGTTTGGTTTGGGGTTATCCCCAGTGGCAAGAATCTCCACATCTCTCCTTTTCCCCCTGCACACATCCCCACCTTCGCACAGCCTGCCTCCTGCTGATGGAATGACATCGACTTCTCTAACTTGTCCTGAAAGCTCAGCTTCTTTCAACTTTTTCCCGTTTTTCATGTGTGAGAGAAAAAGTAGTATAGTGTTGCCTCATTCCCATAAAAACAGTCTTCTCCTACCCCCAGAGTGCATTCATGTGGGTCGGAAAGGCTGTAATTGTGCCTGTCTTGTCAATGGGTAGGCTGGAAGAGTACCCAAGCTGAGGATAAACCAGAACTCAGAGTGAACATTTGTGTTCATGGCTTCACAAGAATCTGTGAGACTGGACCTTGGAAAGGGCCTGGAGAGAGATGTGGCAGGACAGTCTGTGCAGATGCATATTGGTCCTGGGCTTCGAACCCCATACATAGGCTGCATCCCAAGTACTGGACATGGCCAGTCAGCCAGCCAGAAGGTCAGAATCCCAGACAGTTCTCACCGTGGGAGCAGGCAGCAGGCTGGAGACAGCATCAGGGGTCTGTAGCTGTAGGGGAGGCATGTGGCACATTTCCAAAGTTTATCCCTAAGTGCATGAAGCCATTCCTAACCTCCAGGGCTGCTTTGCAAAGATTCCCTGGCCAGCCTGGTTCTCCTCCTACCCCTACCACCTTCAGCTGGTAGAGCCTGTTCTTTAGCTCCTTTGCTTTTTTTGTCATCTGTATCTCCTTTTTTTAAAGCACCCTAATTTAGTACCTGAAATTATAATTGGGAAGAGGACATCCAAGAAATTTCATTTTATATGACTGAAATTGACTAGACCAGGGTGCAAAAGTGATCTGTTGGCCAGCATGCATTCCCTCAGCCAGTATGGATCAAGGGCCTCCTCCGTATCAGGCTCTGTATTTGATGCTAAAAATAAAATGATGAGTTAAAAAAAAATTTTTTTAAAGCCCCCACCCTCAACAACTCACAGTCCATGAGAGAGACTGACACTAAAGAGATGAGTACCCTGGTACCCCTCCAGAACTTCAGTTTCCTCTACATGAAGTTGTAGCATATCCCTTATGAATTCTAGTTCTGATATCTATCCATTGAATCATCTCATTTGAGGTCATTAGCAGGGAGGGGAGGGAAGAAGACAGAGCTTGGGGCTGAGAAGAAACAAGGGAGACACTATGAATGGCAGGGGAGAAATGGAGACATTTTCAGTGGAACCCAGGGGAGAAAGCAAGGAAACTGAGGCAACACAAATGAGGAGCCTTCTTACAGAGGAAGACGAGAAGAAGAGAGATGTTTATCAGAGAGGCTCACTGCAAGGGATTTGCGTGACACTATCATGGACAGAGCAAAGGCTAAATGACTTGTGCAGGAGGCAGGGAGTTAAGCCACTTCCATGCAGCCAAGTTTCTCAATGATCCATGCTGTTTGGAACCAGTGAGAGCTGGGCGACAGGAGTCAATAACTCCAAGATACAAAATCAGAAAAGCTTTGAGTGTTTGGGTAGAGAAGCAGGCAGAAAAGTACATTCCTTTTATTGGGCAAACTATCTATTTAAAAGTAAAATTTTTTCTTTTAATTATTTTATTGAAACAGCCAAGAAAGAAGAGCCTCAAGATTTTTCTTTCAACAAATGGATGTTAAGCATATAATGTACATTACTGCTAATGCAGAGTATGTAAATGTTATTAATATTTCTTTATATAAGGTACTGTCTTTATTATTTAATGGATGTAATAAATAGAGTTATAATCACTTATAACCTCTACTCCCCAAGGTACATTTTAATACAAGGTGTTAAACTTCTAACTATTGAATTATCTGGGGGTTTCTGGGGCCTGTGATACATAGCTAGAGAGAAATCTTATGGTGGGTACTAGTGTAGGACAAGGACAAATTCATTTTGACCTGGGGAATCCAAGGGTATCTTCTCAAGGAGATGATTTTTAGGCTGGGTCTTGGAAGATGAGATTACATGAGCCCAGGTGACTAAGGAGACATCATTGCTTTCTCATGCCTGCATCCTTCTCATGGTCACAGATCGTTCTGCCCTTATCTAGATGTGTTTCCAATTTAAGAAAGAGTTGAGTAGGGATGTCAGAGAACAGCAGTAATAATATTAGCAAACCACCCCTACCTACATAATCTCATTTGAGCCTCGCAAAAACCCTGTGAGATAAATACAAAGAGCCCATTTGATAAATGAGGAAGCTGAGGCTCAAAGAAACTGACTCAGTTGCTTAAAATTACACAGGTAGTGAGTCATAGAGCCAGGATTTTTCTTAGGTCTTCTGATGCTCAAACCTGTATACCATCAATACTGTTGTTGTTGTTTTTTTATTACACTATGTATGTTGGGAAGAATATACCATATCAGCATGGATGTACTCTATGTGACTAAAAGTGTACTGGATCAAAAGGGGACATTTAGAACTATTTTAGATTGGAAAAATCCATTTTTTGAAATCTTAAAAAAATATTTTGACGTAGATGCCTCCAATAAATGATGCTAAACAAGGCAAGTGGAGAAAGAGACAGAGCCAAAACCAGCATTACATATTTAGAGTAATATTAGTTGAAGCAACTTCTACAAACTAACAATAAAGGAAAAGTAAAGAGAGCATCAGAAATCAATAGCACAATTTTAGTGTTTGCTGCATTTAAGTGAGACAGCTCTGACTCATTCAACATGTGATGTCAGAACAAGCGGGTTGTAAGGGGCAAAAACGTATTTTTGGGAAAAGTTGGAAAAGGAACAAAAAATTTGAATATACCACATCTTAGCCACTCATCCCTATGGACAAAGATTTTTTAAAAATTTTAAGGGATCTTCCTGGAACCCTGAGGACTCTGTATCCATTCTTAAGTCTGCAGAGCAGGACAGAGCATGCACTGCCCTGTATAGGAAGCCAACACAATATGCAAATCACTGACAATAAATGGAAGATGAAGGCTGGTAAGTCTGAAAGGGAGAAAGTCTTAGGGACAAAATGATGCTATGAGAAGAGTCTCAGTTGGTAGAACCCAGTTCCTTTAATCCCTACAAGCAAGGAGTGATCTAGGCCATCATAGGGAAGAAAAAGTAACAAAGAAAGGAGGGTCTCTAATGGCTCTTGGTGGTCCTGTCCACACTTTAATCACAGTTGCTCTCAGGAAGCATCTTCTTAATCCTTTGTTACATACAAGGTCAGCACCTGCCCCATCCTTGAAGTCTCTCCTTCTCCTTTCTTTGTTCTTTATCTCCTTGCTCTAACCAACATCTATGCCAGGGCTCCTTTCGTGTTGCTGTTGGGAGATGGGACTGACTGTTCTATCACATAACTGATGCTGCTGTTTTACTCTGACAGGCATAATTTGACCAAGGACTCTCAGTGCCATGCAATAAAAGATCTGTGTAGTTTTTGTTTTATTCTGCTTGCATTTGTTGTCGTCTTTGGTTGGGAAGGATGCTTCATTCAACACTATTCATGAGTTCCTTCCCTACATTATAAAAATTTCTGTTATGAATCTTACTTTTCTAACAATTGTTTTCTCCCTGCTGAATTACAGGAAGCTCATAGAAGAGAAAAGATTGTAAGATGGGCTATGAGATTTTAGTAGACCAAAGAAGGTGACTTTTGAGGCAGCTCTGCTTGGTTTATAGCTAAATTTATAGCACGGAGACTGTGTCTTCTGGGTACAGGCAGGAGAAGCTTCAGAATTGGCCCTTTGACTCCAGCATGAATGGAACTGAAGTCGTTGCTGACTACTGGTATGCCTTCCAGCTGTGAAATTGCTGCAGAGGCCACGGCAGCTTAACTGCATTGATGGCCACTGGGGTTATTGCACCCTGCACTCCATGTTCTTGCAGTGCCTCTGTGTTTGTGCTGACAGGCCAGTCCAACCAGGAGCTGTAACTATGCACCACACCACTCCACTTTCTAAGTTGTTCGGGTTTTCCATCTCTAACACTCTCTCCTTAGATAACTGGGACGATGGGTGCCATGAAATAACAAATTTTCTTTTGAAATTCTTTCTTTCTTGTTACCTAGCAAAGGGCAAACCCACCCACACTTGTGGGTTTAGGCTGTCAGAAGCCTGGGAATGATTCATATCCACTGTAAAATGAAGTGTTTTTCATGATATGAAATACTATTGTTCAACAAGAAACCTCTAGATTGTTTATCCCCTTTTGCTTTATTGTGTTTTTTTAATACAAAAGTTATCCATGCTTGTTATTATAAATCCTACTGGAGAGAAGCTAATGTTTGATCAGTTGCATCCCCACCTCTAGCCCTACCTCATCCCCTTGCAGTAAAGTGTGTCCCAGCTGTGTGCACCCTTCTATGCCTTTCTTCAACACACATTCCAACATGCACACACAGGTGCACAAAGCTCAAATTTTGACCTCTTCTAGGAGCCTCTCCAACCTTTCCAGTTTGAGATCAGGTTTTCAACACTTCCATCATCTTAGGCATTTCCATCGCGTTCAGCATTCCTAGAATAGCCTTTACTCAATCTGCTGGGGAAACAATGAAACATGGTGGAAGAGTGACAGTCCCTGGGGAAAGCGCTCTCTGCTTCCTGAAAGGCCAGTGGTCAAATAAATCTGAGTCACCGAACTCCTCTCTGAATCTGAACTTGTTGAAGGTGTGAGGATTGGCACATGAGATACCTGTGTAGACCCTGGTGCAAAGAGCAGATTGTAGAGGCTTCTAACCAAGCAGGAGAAGCCGGATAAAGGATGGTTGTTGCAGTTTGATAGCTGATTCTGGAATATTCGGTGACAGTGAGTGGATAATTCCTGACTCTTACTTCTCCTCCTGGGCCTCCTGCTGAGGACAGTGTTAGGGCTCATTTGCACTTCCACTAGAGGCGAGCCCTTGCTGGGAGAAGAGGTGAGAGCAGTCGATTTTGCCACTCATTAGCAACTCTGGACAGACAGTGGTGGGAAGATTGAACCTATTGGCAAAATGAGAGTTTGCTTCTCTGGGGGCACAGTTACCCATTCTAGTCCTTTCACCATCAGCGTATCACCCAGAGTTGATTTTCTGCTGGTCTCACAGAGCAATGAGCAAGACAATATTTTTCAAAGGATTAGTTGCTTTATATAATAACTCAGTGAATAGTCAATGTTGTGACCTTCCAGTGGTGAGACTGAAGAAGGAAAAATGTCTCCTGGAAAACAGATGCCACAACCACCTTCGTGGTCTTACTGTTCTGGCCTAAAGGTCAAAGATTAAGTTTGTGAAGGACAAAATGTGTGTGTGTGTGTGTGCGCGCAATCTGGAATGCTGAAGTAAGTTTGCCAATGGATGCAAAACTGGTTAATATTCTATAAGACAACGCATGTTTGTTGGCATATTTCTACTGGGCAGAAAACTATCATATCTCTACTGGACACCGGCATTTACGTTGCTATGGATAAGAATAATTTCCATTACTGTTTTCTTCAACTTCTATAGTGTAAAATTGCTGGGTCATTAGAGAGACAGAGGGTCTACTAGACAATGCCCAGCACATCATTGAAAGGACACACAATGATGTTAATCTAAAGACAAAAAGATCTATAAACAAATCTTCAACTCCAATTTAGTAAAGGTGTTGTTGGTAGAGGTATGAATGTAGCAATTCTGGAATTATGTTGTGCTTTATTAGTGCAGCACTAAGCAAAAAAGTAAATAATTTGACTGTGGGCCAGGAGTGGCAGAGGGATTCAGGATTCTCACCATGAAAGAAAGAAGATACAAGCATAAACTAGGAAAAAGCAAAGAAGAACCATGTGGTATTGAATTGGGATTAGTGGTTACTACTGGCTCTGTCCATTGAAATGGCAGTGACATCCCAGTAGCAATCAGCAGAGATCTTGGTTTCTAAATACTACTGCTGCCAAAAGAAGCCAGGACTTTTTGGAGAAATGGCTGATTCCAGGGTGGGGCAGGGCAAGTATAAGAACATTTGGTTGTTCTTAAAAGTAAGAAAGTGCTCATAAAATGATGGGAGGATGTTGCAAGAATATAAAAAGCAACTTGAAGGGCTTCCCACTGGCCAAATCTGTAATAATTTGATTATCAAAACAAATAAGAATAGTGATGAATTCTAACCCTTGGAAAAATAATATTTCATTGATTCATATTATACTAAATAAATAAATGAGAAAGAGAGGAAGGCTCTTCTTTAAAATAGAAAGCCAACTAATAAAAGTAGAATAGATAATGGAGTTAGATAATCAACATTTTGCAACATTGTAGTAGTAATTGATTCACACAGGAATTATTAATGGATGCTAAGACAGTGGAAGTCTCAAAGTATTTCTTTAGAGATGACTTATTAATTTCTTTCTTTTTTTTTTTTGAGACAGAGTCTTGCTCTGTTGCCCAAGCTGGAGTGCAGTAGTGCAGTCTCTGCTCACTTCAATCTGCACCTCCTGAGTTCAAGCGCTCTTCCTGCCTCAGTCCCAAGTAGCTGGGATTACAGGCATGTGCCACCACGCCTGGCTAATTTTTGCATTTTTAGTAGAGATGGGGTTTCACCATGTTAGCCGGGCTGGTCTTGAACTCCTCACCTCAGGTGATCCACCCACCTCAGTCTCCCAAAGTGCTGGGATTACAGATGTGAGCCACCATGCCCAGCCATGACTTATTAATTTCAAAGAGAAAAATAGTAACTTCATATTAGAATAACTTGGCTGACACTACTCTAACTAATTGATCAACATTAACATCACTAACGATGATGTGATATGCTGAGGACAAAACATGACTTATGTTATAAACCGCATAACCTGCATATAACCATCTAGAAACACCAGACACATTTAAATTGTGGAAATTCTACCAAATGCTTGGCTTGTGTTCTTTAAGATTGTCAATGTTATGAAAGACAAAGACAAAATAATTCAGTAAATTTTCCAGATTAAATGAGGTAAGAGAATCAGGACAACTAAGTGTAATGCAAAATCCTGAATTAGATCTTCAATTTGGGGAAAAGTTGCCATAAAGGGCATTATTGGGGCAATTGGTGAAAGCTGACTATAAACTGTACCTTATCTTAAATAATAATATTGCATTAATGTTAAAGTTCCTAAAATTGATCATTGTACTATGGTTATGAAGAGAATGTCCTTGTTCTAAGGAGATCTATGCTGAAACATTTAAGGATAAAGGGGCATAATATATGCAATTTTCATTCATATGGCTCAGTAATACTAATTATAATAATTATTAGATATAGATAGAGAAAGCTGTGTCAAAATGTTAATTAGTAAATCTAAGTCAAGAGTATATGGGAGATTACTATATACCTTTTGCAACTTTTCTGTAAGTTTAAAATATTTTTCAAAATAAAAAAGGATTTTTTTTAAGTATTGTATTCTGCTTTTCTAATCTCTCTATTGGAGAAATGAGGATTAGATACTTCAATCAGAATTGAAGATGTGGTCTGGGCACAGTAATGCCTGTAATCCCAGCATGTTGAGAGGCTGAGGTGGGAAGATGGCTTAAGCCCAGGTGTTCAAGACCAGCCTGGGCAACATGGTGAAACACTGTCTCTACAAAAAATACAAAAATTAGCCAGGCACGGTCCACAACTGCAACCCCGGCTACTTGTGAAGCTAAGATGGGAGGATTGATTGAGCCCAGGAGATTGAGAGATTGAGTCTGCAGTGAGCCCTGATTATGCCACTGCACTCCAGCCTGGGTGATAGAGCAAAACCCTGTCAAAAAAAAAAAAAAAAAAAGAATTGAAGTTGTGTGGAATCCCCAGAGAGGTCGGGTTGTGTGGGCAATATGCACCTTGCTAGGAAAGAGGGTCATCAGGGCACTAAAAATCCTTTTCTCAAGGTAATGTCCTGGGATGCCCAGTCCCCCAGCCGTGCTGGGTTGAGTTATCTAGGTGAACTGCAGGATTTTGGAGAAAGAAAAGGTATTTTCCATGTAATTACTGTAACAGAAATGCGGGAGTCACCCTCGGTGCCAATCTCTCATTCAACTCGTCACCAAATCTTATGTATTGATTCCACCTTTTAGCTATAATCCAAATGTGTCCCCTCCCCTCTATGTCCTCTGCCAAGGTCCTCACTTCCTTGCCCACATTTCTGTGTCACCTCATCACCTGTCACCTGGTCTTCAGTGGCATCCCTCTGACCTATTCTTCCCACCCAGCCAGGTGCACAGTGAGTGAAGCTTGGTGCCTTGGTAGGGTGGCAGAGAGTGCCACCATGCCTGCTCCTACCTCTGCTGGAAATATCTCCCACCACCTCCTACCATTTCCTGCTGCCCTCTCTCCAACCCTCAATCCACACAGCCTTTGCTCCAACAATTTTGCACTATTTTTGAAGCCACCTTTGCAAAAATTATATCAGTGAAAAAATTATGACAGTGATCTGAGCTAACCCACCCCCATCTTGCCTTTCCCGGAAGGCCCCAGATGGGAAAGAACAATGAACAACTGTTCTAAGAGACGGCTGATCACAAACTACCCAAGGGTGTGACTACCTCAGTGGGCACAATGAATGGCTTCCTTCCTCAGGCACAAGAACCCTGCATGGAATCCCCTCCAGCACAACCCTAGAAAACTTCCCTCCAGCCCCACCTCTTTGCAGACAGCCCCTTTTCTGCTGTGCTGCCTGTTGTAACCTTTGAATGTATTTTCATACTTTCTCTAATAAATCTGCCTTTCTTTGCCTAGACTGCCACCCCCTCTTCCTGGTTCATGTTGGGAACAATTTGGAAAATAAAAGAATTAAGAAATTAAAGAAGTCACAGATAAAGGGAAAAATATGAATGGCTGAGTGAGGCTAAGCTGGAGGGTGTGGTTCAGGTCTGTCAGCCAGCAAGCTGGGGACAGCTCTGGGCAGAGCAAGCTACCTCCACCTGCCCAACTCACCCTGCAAGAGCTCCAACACCCAATGAGACAAAGCTCTCCACCTCCCCAGAGACCAGGAGGTATAGGGGCTAGGTTTGTGCTGAAGGAAATCCCTCCTGCGGGCTCCCTCTAACACGCCCCAGGCTGCAGCCTGCCCCTGTACCTTGTCTCAGCCTTCCCTCCCTGAAAAGCCAGGAAGTGAGCCCTCATCAGAAGCAGACCATGTGGGCCACCCTGATCTCAGGCTTCAAGCCTCCAGAACTGTGAGAAAATAAACTTTTCTTGCTTAACCCTCCCAGTCTATGATCCTTTGTTGTGCCAGCCTGAACAGACTGAGACATTGAGCATGTTCCATGTAAAGTTAATCACATCTTCCTTAGGTCTGTCTCCTTAGATGAAACTTAAAATTTGTCTCCCAAATCAGACATTTATGTAATTTTGAAAGCCAAGTTATACCGAAAGCCTTATAATGAAAATAGTAGTCTACAGCTCTTTTCCTAACTCCTGTCTTCAGCCCAGCTCTCTGGGGAAAAAAGCACTCTCCACTTTCTATTGTTTTTTTTTGATTAGGCAGACCACTCGGTGCTTCCAAGTAATGTTTACACCATGAATACCGGTGTCAAAAGAAAAATCTTGACCAAATTAAGTTTAACAGAGTTTAATTGAGCAAAGAATGATTCACAAATCAGGCAGCCTCTCAGGCCAGAGTAGGCTCAGAGACTCCAGTGCAGCCACATGTTGGAAGATTTGTGGAGAGTAAAAGCAAAGTGATATACAGGAAATGGAAATGAGGTACAGAAACAGCAAGATTGGTTACAGCTCAGTGTTTGCCTTATTTGGACCTGGTTTGAACACTTGGCCACCTTTGATTGGCCAAAACTCAGTGATTGGCACAAGATTTGGCTACTGAGGACTAAGTTCTGATTTTTTCATCTTGCCCAAATTCCTATCTAAAAGGTCTGGGGAGTCATGCCCTACAAACGGTAACTTCTCATTGGATGGGTTTTACTTAACCCTCTATACTGTGACTTACTTTCCATCCTGACTCTGGTGTAATATTACAAGACAATGAAAAAAAGAAAAATCGAAATATTTTATCCCAAAACATGTTTCTTTGCCATATCTTGAAATGGCCCTTCAAAGCTGTCCTTTGTGGGGGAAAATCTCCATCTGTAGAGAATCTATTAACATAGCTAGATCTTTTCCTTCCAGGCCCTCCCAATCCTAAAGAGATTAACTAAAAGTCTCGCATCTTTTAAAGATTTGAATAGGAAACATTTGTCATCTATTGTCTCTAAGGGAAGCCACTATAAGATTTCAAAGGGACCTTGTTCTCCAAAATATTTTATCTTAACCTGAACATTTCCTTTCTATCAATCCCAGGTCTTACACAAAATCAACCAATTGTCAACCAGAAAATGTTTAAATTTACCTATAGCCTGGAAGCCGCCCCCCAACCTTAGAGTTGTCCCACCTTTCTGGACCAAAGCAATGTATTTCTTAAATGTATTTGATTGATGTCTCATGCCTCCCTAACATGTATAAAACCAAGCAGCACCCCGACCATCTTGGGCACATGTTCTCAGGACCTCCTGAGGGCTGTATCATGGGCCATGGTCACTCATATTTGGCTCAGAATAAATCTCTTCAAATATTTTACAGAGTTTGGCTCTTTTCATTGACACTACAGTCTGTATACAACTCTATTTGGGTTATAGTTCATGGTGTAGAGAGGAACATTTAGGCTGAACTTAAAATATGTAAGGAGGCAGCTATCAGCTAAACTTGATTGAACAATTTCCTACTTTGGGTCATCCTCTCAATTTTGACAGATTGGCCAAAACTTTAGTCATTGATGTCACTATTACCATTGTCTGTACTTACTTGGTTTTGAGACCCACTGGGAAATAGCCGAACAGTGGGGTTTGTAAGGTGGGAATAAGAACTTTAGGGTTTTTTTTGTTTTTTTTTTTGTTGTTGTTGTTGTTGTTGTTGTAAGGTTTAGAGTAGAGGGTATCTCCTTATGCTGGAATGTGCTATATACAGAGGAAAAAACAAAAGCTAATCTGTTCTAGGATCGATGTGTTTCCTTAAAGTTTTAGTTTGGTTATGTCACATTTAGTATGAGAGACTCCATTTTGGTTTGGTCTGGTCTGTTGCAGCCTAGTGCATAAGCTCAGTCCAAAACAATGGCCTTTCCACAATTTTGTTTAAAAATTCTCTCGTTTTGGTCAGGTTCTCACTTAGGTAAGAGTGTGACTGAAAATTAGGGCCTTAGCACTACTCTCAGTTACCATGATTTTGGGTTTCTGGTCTCAGCACATAATTCATAGGTTACAGTGCCCTTATGGTCACACATTTTTTCAGCTCTTGCCATTCAACTTGAAGACAGTGGAATGACATTCTAGAGATGGCTGCATGCAAACATTTAAAACTGTTGAGAGAATACAGCACACCAGACAGACTACTATTATAACTATTATAACTATCAGAAGGATATTACCAAGAGTTTGGAGTATCCTCCTTAGCCAGGGTCCCCATGAACCAAA
Organism: Homo sapiens; assembly: GCF_000001405.40. Taxonomy (NCBI): domain Eukaryota; kingdom Metazoa; phylum Chordata; class Mammalia; order Primates; family Hominidae; genus Homo; species Homo sapiens. Next base: position 109,894,821 of record NC_000006.12, on the reverse strand, counting down.
CCAACTAAAATCAAATAGGTCAAAGAATAAGCTAGATAAAGAATCTACTCACTTTAACTAAGCAGTCTCTTTGTTAATCCCCTACAACTGAATCTCTGTAATACCCAGTGTGATGTATTTCTCTATGAGCAATAAGAAGTGATAGCAGCTGCACAAATGAAGCAGAAGATACAAAAAAACAAAACACAAGTTTTTCTTTTTCGGCCTCCCCCTTCAGATTCTTCTCCCTTACCATTGTTCCTTGTTCTGTTCTTATAATTATTTTTGCAAGTTTTGTAAGTTCCTGTTTTTCCCCTTCTGTGCAGCATTGTAAGGTCACAAGATATGCTTGAGTTACAAAACCTGTCACTGTTCAACAACTGCCTTTGTTCTGCTTCTGAAAGCTTGTTTGCCCACACTACAGGTTTTGTGCCATCAAACCGGCCAACCTCCCTTCAGATGCATGTATAAAAGTCAAGCCCTGTCTTTGTTCGGGCTCAGCCTTCGGATGTTAATCTCCTGGGCCGGTGCGCTCCTAATAAAATCCTCCTGTCCCACCCATTGGTCTCTCCTGTCCCTTGATTCATGTAACATTTCTGGGGGCTCATCCAGGATTGGAGATGACAGGTTTTCTGTCTCCTTTGCCTGTGGGTCTGGGGACCCAAGCCAGGGGGAGACACATGACCTCAGGTGTGCCAAGGGGGGAACTTAAACCCAGGTGAGAGATGGGCTCTCCTGTGACCCAGTGCCCCTCCCCGTCAGTGCAACAGAACCTAAGGGGCTACTGGATGATTCCAGGAACAGCATGCTACAGGACTGCAGTAAGGTTTGGGGCTCGAGGCAGGACCTGTCCCATAAGGATGGAAGGGGAGTCTGATCAACTCCCGGGATGTACCTAGTAGTCCAACCCAGGACATGAGAGTGGCTCGCTAAGTTGGTTGAAACCTACACCCCAACCTGAGAAGAAGAACTGGGAGTGGGAGAGTGTGTGAATGCGTGTGAATGAGTGGAGTGGAGCATGTGGGACTGCAAGTCTCCTAGTGTGAGACCATATGTCCCGAGCAAGTGTGGGACTGACTGGGACTAGTGGTGAACTGCATACAGCTTATGGAGGCTCCCCACAATTTAGTGATTGTGGGGTCCAGGTTTGGGGTTTATACAAACCCTCCAATGCTAAATGGCATCTGAAATACTCCCATGAGGGAGGTGGTCTAATTGGTCTGAAGTGAAAGCAAAAGAGAGTGAGTTGCACCATAACCGGGAGGAAATGGGAGGGAAGCCGTCAAAACTCACCCCATTAGAATGTATGTTAAAGAACTTTAAGAAAGGTTATACAGGGGATTATGGGATCATGTTGACCCCCAAGAAGTTAAGAACCCTTTGTGAAATAGAATGGCCCTCTTTTCATGTCAGATGGCCAGCCGAAGGAACAATAGATGGGGGAACAATTGGCTGTATACATTGGGTGGTGACTGGGGTCAGAGGACAGCCAGGGCATCCAGACCAATTTCCTTATATTAATACATGGCTGAATATAGTCCAAACCTGACCTGCATGACTACAGCCCTGCCTGGCGGCTAGTTACAAAATGCTTGTGGCTTGAGCCAAACCTAAAATGAAAGAAAAATCAGCTTCACCAGAAGCTACGGGGACAAAGGGAAAGCCACAGGAAAGACAGGAAAAACTGGTTTTGCAGGAACCACTGGAGGAAATAGAAATCCCTCCTCCCTATACCCCAATCTACCCCACTTTACCAAGGCTGGCCCCTTAGGAGTCAGGTTCAGATAATGATGAGCCCCAGGCTTCACCCGAAAAGGAAAAATCAGAACCACTGCCCCAGGAGGTCAAGGAGGAAATTCAGGCTGATCAAGCAAGCTGCCTCCAGTCTGGCCGCACCTGGGCTTTGCAGATGCCTCTCTGGGAAACTTGGGGCCCCTCTATTATGATTAATATGGCCATATCCAAGGGGGGCAATGGACCTTCATCTACCAGCCTTTTTCAACCACTGATCTCCTAAACTGGAAACACCATACTCCCTCACACACAAAGAAGCCCCAGGCCTTCATAGATCTAATGCAGTCCATTTTTCAGACACATAATCCAACTTGGCCAGATTGCAAACAGCTCCTCCTGACGCTGTTTAACAACGAAGAGCGCCAAAGGGTGACCCAAGCAGCCCTCTGCTGGCTAGAAAACAATGCACCAGAAGGCACACTTAATGTCCAGGCATACGCTCAGGGCCAATTCCCAGAAGCAGACCCACACTGGGACCCAAATGTTGCAACCCAATTATAGCACCAGCAGAGGTACCGAGAGGCACTCTTGCAAGGACTAAGGGAGGGCAGAAAGAAGGCAGTCAATATGGGGAAAATCTCGGAAGTGCTTCAGGGAACTGATGAAAGCCCTAGCCAGTTTTATGAGAGACTCTGTGAGGTGTTCCAGCTCTACACTCCGTTTGATCCTGAGGCTACTGAGAATCAGTGCATGGTGAATGCAGCATTTGCAGGACAAACCCAGGGGGACATCAGGCAGAAACTACAAAAGCTAGAAAGTTTCACAGGCATGAATGCCACCCAACTTTTGGAAGTGGTCACCAAGGTGTATGTTAACTGTGACGAGGAGGCAAAAAGGGAAGCAGATCAGAGACTCAGGAAGAAAGCTGATCTGCTAGCAGCAGCACTCATGGAAAGAGGAACAAGTATCACCAGAGGACGTGGATGCGGACACAGATGAGGAAGGGACCAAACTGGGCAAAGACCCGAAAATTGGCCAAGACTGGATAGGGACCAATGTACATGATGTAAGAAGAAGGGACACTGGAAGAATAAATGTCTGAGGATGACAAGGGAAATGACAGAGGCTATAAAACTAGAAGACTGCCAGCCAAGGGCTACTGTACCCCAAAGGAGCCAGACGCCAACCTTATCGGGCTGGCAGGGACTGAAGGGTATGAAGACTAGGCAAGACCGGGCTCCATCTCCTTAGGCCCCCAGGAGCCCATGGTCATATTGGAAGTAGAGGGCCAACTGATGGACTTTAAGGTAGACACCAGGGCTGAACACTCGGTAGTGACACAGCCCATAGGGCCACTATCCATACATCGTGCAACTATTGTTGGAGCTTCAGGGGTCCCAGAGAAGAGGCCATTTTGCCGGCCTAGGAGTTGTGTCATGGGGGAAGAGAAGTCCAACATGAATTCCTGTAACTCCCAAATTGCCCAGTTCCCTTGCTGGGAAGAGACCTGTTCCAAAAACTGCAAGCACAGATTGCTTTTGGGCCACAAGGGGATATGACTCTAAATCTGACTTACCCAAGGGCCATGGTGTTAACTCTTACCATCCCTCAGGCTGAAGAATGGAGACTGTACATCAAGGAGTTACCAGAACTGGGACTGGATGAACTGTATGGGCTGCTTTGTAAGATTCCTGGAGTATAGGCCTAGGACAACCCACCTGGGCTAGCTGTAAACCAGGCACTGGTGATAGTAGAGCTAAAATCAGGAGCAACACTGGTCAGGTTCATCAATACCCACTACCCCAAGAAGCCATACAGGGCATTCAAGAACATTTCAAGTGGCTCTTGGAACATGGAATCTTAGCCTGATGCCAGTCATCCTGGAACACTCCACTTTTGCTGGTACAAAAACCAGAGAGTAATCAATACAGACCAGTGCAGGACTTGCATGCTGTAACCAGTGCAGGTTACAGACCAGTGCAGGACTGAATGAATGAATGCAGACTGGTGCAGGACTTGCAGTCTACTGTAACCATCCACCCAATGGTACCAAACCCGTACACATTGATGGGACTCATTCCGGCTAGTGCAGCCTGGTTTACTTGTCTGGACTTAAAAGATGCTTTCTTCTGCCTTCACCTGCCACCAATTAGTCAGCCCATTTTTGCATTTCAATGGGAGGATCCAGTCACAGGCACAAAGGAACAGCTCACCTGGACTAGACTCCCACAAGGATAAAAAAACTCTCCCACAATCTTTGCAGAGGCATTGGCTGCCGACCTCAAGGCCTACACCCCACCAGATGACAACTGCACCTTGCTACAATATGTGGATGACCTCCTTTTGATGGCCCCAACCCGGAAGGACTGCTACTGGGGAACCCAAGGCCTCCCCCACCTCCTATAGAAGGCCAGATATAAGGTGTCCAAGAGAAAAGCTCAAATTTGCCAACAGAAGGTCAAATATTTGGGCTTCATAGTGACCCAAGGGGAACACCAGCTAGGCATTGAATGAAAACAGGCTGTTTGAACACTCCCAATTCCAACTACCCGGCACCAGATAAGAGAGTTCTTGGTGGTGGCAGGGTTCTGCCATATCTGGATCCCAAATTTCTCACTTATGGCCAAGCCCTTATATGAAGACACAAAGGGTGGGGAAAGGGAGCCCGTCCTCTGGGAGGCTGATCAGTAAAGGGCATTTAAACAAATCAAAGAAGCCATAACTTAGGCCCCAGCCTTAGGACTGCCGGATATAACTAAGCCTTTCTTTCTATATGTCCATGAATGAAAGGGAATGGCTATAGGAGTCCTGACTTAAGTCATAGAATCATTGCATCGCCCGATGACATATTCATCCAAACAACAGGACTCCGTGGTGCTAGGGTAGCTTCCTTGCCTTAGGGCACTAGCTGCCACCACCATACTGACACAGGAAGCTGACAAATTGACTTTAGGGCAAAACTGACTATTTGGGTACTGCATTCGATTATAACTTTAATGGATCAGAGAGGGCACCATTGGTTATTGAATCCAAGGATGACTCAGTACCAGGGGCTCCTATGTGAAAATCCCCACATAACTTTAGAAACAGTAAACACCCTTAACCCGGCCAACTTGCTCCCAGTCGAACCGGGAGCCCCACTTCATAACTGTGTGGAAATAGTAGATGAAGTATTCTTGAGCTGGGGAGATCTCATGGACCACCCCCTTAGAGTCCCAGATGTTGAATACTTCACAGATGGAAGCAGTTTTATACTGGAAGGGGTCCACTGGGCTGAGTATGTGGTGGTAACATTGGACTTAGTGGTGGAGGCTCAGCCTCTGCCCACCAGAACATCAGCCCAGAAGGCAGAACTAATATCCCTGACGAGGGCCTGTTTGCTGGCGAGGGGCAAAAGGGTCAATGTTTATACTGATTCTAAATATGCCTTTTCCACATTGCATGTTCATGGAGCTATATATAAGGAGAGAGAACTCTTAACTGCTGGGGGTAAAGAAATAAAGTATAAGGAGGAAATTCTACAACTCTTAGATGCTGTATGGGCCCCAAAGAAGGTAGCTATTATACACTGCAGGGGGAACCAAAGGGCGGGAACACTGGAGGCCAGCCCAAAGGAAACAAAAAGGCAGACAGGGAAGCAAAATGGGCAGCTATGACCACTCCGCATCTTAGGGAAGAAGCCCTGGCTATGGCCCTCCTCCCAGAGCCTCCCCTCCCGGTGGTCCTAAGTTATTCTCCAAATGCGAAGGCCTGGTTTAGCCGAGAATCTGGAAAATACATTGAGAGAGGTGGTGGAGATTCTCCAGTGGGAGACTAGCCATCCCTGAAATGGTGGCCCCCAAATTTGTATAACAATTCCATCAAGGAAATCATATGGGGGAAACGGCACTGGAAACGCTACTGGGACACCGTTTCTATGGACCACGGCTCACAGCCATCACCTGAGCCATTTGTGAACAATGTCTAATTTGTGCCCAGAACAACCCATGACAAGGGCTTACTCGGCCCCCAGGGATTCAGGAAATGGGAGCCACACCCTGTGAAAATCTACTTATGGACTTCACCGAGCTGCCCTGAGCGGGGAGGGCTGCCAGTACATGCTAGTATTCATCTGCACCTTTTTGGGATGGGTTGAGGCTTTCCCTACCCAAACAGAGAAAGCACGAGAAGTGACTAAAATACTGTTAAGAGACATTATCCCCAGATTTGGACTGCTCCTGACTCTAGATTCAGACAATAGACCAGCATTTGTAGCTGAAATAGTTCAGGAACTAACATGGCTGTTAGTTCCTCACAGAGCTCAGGAAAAGTAGAGCACATGAACCAGACACTCAAACAGCTACTAAAGAAATATTGCTAGGAAACTCATCTGAGATGGGATCAAGTCCTGCCCATGGTCCTCCTCTGAGTCAGGTGTATCCCCACCAAACAAACTGGGTATTTACCCCATGAGATCTTGTTCGGCCAGCCACCCTCAATCATAGGTCAAATTAAGGGTGATGTCCATGAACTAGGGGAATTGACCTTGAGAAGGCAAATGCAGGCCTTAGGGATAGGCATGCAAGGTGTCCATGGCTAGGTACAGGAGAGAATACCCATAAGCCTGACAGACTCAGTATGCCCCCTTTAAACCTGGGGACTCTGTTTGGGTTGAGAAATGGAATCCAACCACTCTGGGACCCATATGGGAGTGCCCCCATACTGTGATGTTGGCTACTCCCACTGCTATTAAAGTTACAGGAATTGTGCCTTGGATCCACCACAGTCGGCTAAAACCAGCAATCCAAGACAAGTGGACCAGCCCACAGGACCCAGACCATCCAAGCTGGCTGATCCTACGACGGGACCAAGTTGCCATTAGGGATGACAGCAGCTCTGCTCTGGTCACTCCGGAAGCTGACCTGTCTATGCACAGCTGAAGCTTGAGGAGGCAACAGCCCTGCTCCAGTCACCCCAGAAGCAGACTAGTCTATGACCGGCCGAAGTTAGAGTGGAACATGCAAGTACGTCATCAATACATACTTCTTTTTCTCCTAACTATAATACTACCCTTATCCGTGTTGGGAGAGGGACCCATAGAAGGATGGCCCCCTGCACTCATACTATGGGGTCAGGGAGCAACATAACCAGAACCCTGTTGTACCACACTTATTATGAGTGTACAGGGACCCCCTGGGGGAACTTGTACACACAACCAGACAAACTACTCAATCTGTGACCCAGAAAATGGCCAGCCTTATATATTTTATGACCCTAAGTCCTCACCTTCTGAAGCCTGGTTTAAAGTTTATGTTGGGTCAAAAGAAGGAAGACTTCTGAACCAAACCAAAGTCCCTCCCTCCCAGGGGGAGGTCATTTCCTTATATTTTGATGCTTGCCAAGCAACATACATAGGTCCCTATCTCGTAGTCTCCTGTGGTAGCCTATCATGGGAGAGATGCTATAGTAACTGTCACAAATATATATGTGCTCCAAGGAAAGGAACCAATCAATAGGGAACCCCTCTTTGCTCCCCCTACTCCCCAGAAAAAGACTGTCAGGACTGCACAACATGGTCCACAGACCCTGTGGAAAGTGCAAGAACACCACAGGGGGCAGTAACTCTTACCAAAATGCCGGTAAAATCACATTGTAAGACGAAAACTTGCAATCCTTTAAATTTCGCTATCTTAAAGCAAGATCTTCCCATAGGGACTACAGGTTACCCCATGACATTACAGATCAGCGGTCAAGGAACAGATCCAGGAGTCTATTTATATATTATCCAAAAAAAACCCGGATTAAGCATTCAACCCAACAATTTCAAGTTTTTGAGTCATTCTATGAGCATATCCACCAGGAGTTGCCTAAACCCTTTCTCTTAGCCAGAAACCTGTTCACCCAACTGGCTGAAAACATAGCCAGCAGCTTACACATCTCCTCATGCTACATTTGTGAGGGAACCACCATGGGGGACCAATAGCCATGGGAGGCAAGAGAGCTGATGCCCCAAGATAACTTCACTCTGACTGTCTCTTCCCCTGAACCTACGTTCATGAGCCCGAGCATTTGGTTCTTAAAAACCTCTGTTATTGGGAAGTTCTGCATTGCTCACTGGGGAAAAGCATTTGCAGATCCAGTAGGAGAGTTAACTTGCCTAGGACAATAACATTACAATGAAATGCTAGGAAAGACTTTATGGTGGGGCAGAAAGAATGATTTCAAATTGCCCCACCCAGGTTCATTCTCCCGTTTCCCCTCTTTAAACCACTCTTGGTATCAACTTGAAGCTCCAAATACCTGGCAGGCGCCCTCTGGCCTCTATTGGATCTGTGGACTGCAGGCATATTGGCAGCTGCCAGCTAAATGCTCAGGGGCCTCCTGTCCAACCCATTGGTCTCTCCTGTCCTTTGATTCCCACAACACAGACACTTCTTTTTTCAGCCAGTAAGTCATCTAGAGCAATTCTATTATTTATCATAATGTTCACAAAAGAATTTAAAGTCTGCCTTGACAGTAGAATCTGCTATAGAACCTATCACTACGGATAAATTTCTAAACATTGCTTCACTTACTCCAAATCATAAAAAAAAAAAGACCTAACAAATGATGCCCTTTAGAAGAGTGAAGACCTCCTGGCAATGTTCTCTTCAACCCATGATGTAGGTAAGATGAGTGCATCAGTGTTTTGTTTCTGACTGATCATGAGTACGTACCATCGAAATTTCTCACTCACACTGGGCCTTCATCTTCCATATATCAAAGTATAAGATTAACCATGTAGAAGGCTGGCTGCAAAATCTTTCACAAGTAAAAGTAAACCCCATGAATTCACAAAACAGACCCGCTTTTCACTTCTATTGTTCATAGAGGCATAAGCAAGGGAAAAAAAATTAAAGAATCTCATAATAGTAGAGAAATCTTGATCTGTGATCTTGGGAAAAAGCTGTCCACATCAAAGATGCCATCTTCTGGGAAAAAACTTCCCTGTTTAGCTTTACCTTAAGGTTTCCAATAGGTGTACAGTTCCAAGAATGTAGAGGGACCTTTCCGAGTTGTGAGATTATGAACTTAAAACTGTGGGTCAAGGTCCTGAAGTTTTGCTGCAGTGTGTATGGCAAGAACAGCCTTTCTCTGATGTTCTCAAAAGATCCAATCTTCAGGTTCTAGATTGTGAAGAGGTTGATTTTCCCCAGTCAGTAGACCATGAAGAGGTTGATTTTCTTCACTGAGTAGACCATGTATTTTTTTTTACCTGGTGAAAATATATATACTTTTGTAAAGTGAGCTATTACTGTTACAACAGCTCTCTTGCATGGGAAAGTTTTTATACAACCAGAAAACATGCACTGAAAATGACAATTGGCCAGGCGTGGTGGCCAATTACACCTGTAATCCCAACACTTTGGGAGGCCAAGACAGGTGGATCACCTGAGCTCACGAGTTTGAGACCAGTCTGGGCAACATGACAAAACATCATCTCTACCAAAAATATAAAAAATTAGCCAGACACGGTGGTACATGCCTGTGGTCTCAGCTACTCAGGAGGCTGAGGTGGGAGGATATGGCAGAACCCTGCTGCCACCAAGAACTCTCTTATCTCTCTTATCTTATCTCTTATCTGGTGCCAGGTAGCTGGAATTGGGAGTGCACAAACAGCCTGTTTTCATTCAATGCCTAGCTGGCTTTCCCCTTGGGTCACTACGAAGCCCAAATATTTGACCTTCTGTTGGCAAATTTGAGCTTTTCTCTTGGACACCTTATATCTGACCTTCTATAGGAGGTTGGGGAGACCTTGGGTTCCTCAGTAGCAGTCCTTGCGTATTGGGGCTGTCAAAAGGAGGTCATCCACATATTGTAGCAAGGTGCAGTTGTCGTCCGGTGGGGTGTAGGCCTTGAGGTCAGCAGCCAATGCCTCTGCAAAGATTGTGGGAGAGTTTTTTATCCTTGTGGGAGTCTAGTCCAGGTGAGCTGTTCCTTTGTGCCTGTGACTGGATCCTCCCATTGAAATGCTCTCAGGTTCCCTGGTCAACTTAGCCAAAGATTTTTTCCTACTTGAATGTGCAAGAAAAATAAAACAAAATAGGTAAACACAAAAATCCCTGCGAATTTCCAAAAGCCAAATTTTACAGCTACAGCCCCTGCAGTATTGCCACTCAGTCCTCCATAAGAGTCATCTAACTGGATTCAAGCCAGTTAATTATCAGATCCAATTCAATCGTGGACCCAGTCCAGTTTCTGTTGGGACTTCCAAACCCAGTTTGGATCAGAAATTTGCTCAAAGAAACTCAGAGAGCTCAAAATACAAATCCATAGAGCTTTGGAATTCAAGAGGGAATTTACCACAATCTCCAGCTGCTCTGAGAGAGCAATGTACATAATGGGCCCGGTGGGTACCTCACTTGGTCACTCAGCGCTCAGGGGGGTTGTTAGAAGCTCTACTTCAGATCTCACTTCTCACACCATTTGTTAAAAGAATAACCTTAGCCAAATTAATTTTAAGAGTTTAATTGAGCAAAGAATAATCCACAAATTGAGCAGCATGTTAAGCCAGAGTAGGCTCAGAGACTCCAGTGAAGCTATGTGGTGGAATATTTATGGACAGGAAATGGAAAGTGATGTACAGAAAACAGAAGTGAGCTACAGAAACACCTGGATTGGTGATACCTGGGTGTTTGCCTTATTTGAACATGGTTTGAACACTTGGCCACCTTTGATTGCCCAAAACTCAGTAATTGGTACAAGAGTTGGCTACGGTCTGTATCAAACTCCATTTAGGCTATAGTTCATGATGAACAAAGAAACCTTTAGGCTGAACTTAAAATATGTAAGGAGGCAGCTGTAGGCTTAACTTGATTTAACATCAAATTTATCAACTTGATACATTAATTATTGACTTCTTATTATAAGGATTTGACAGTTTTATTTTATGTCTTACTGCCACTTTCCCACCTTCCAACTCAGTGATAACAATCATTTTCAGTCAATGTTCAGTGTTTCTGCTATTTTGATCACATAATTGTTATTCACTGCCAAGCCAAATAATATAATTCTATTTTCTTTCTTGTACAACATTTTTGTGTTTTCCTATAGATACTGACATTTTATTTAAGCTTAACTTTATATTACTAGCACAAATTCTTCACAAATTCTCCAACAAAATTATAGAACTCCTCTGACTGCTATTTTTCATAGAGTTAAATCATCAGTTAGTCAGTTTATTTTTTGTTTCTGTTCCTATCATATTTTTAATGTCCATGAGTTTTTATATTGTTCTCCCAACATTCCTCTTTAATAGAAAACTCTTCTTGGTTTGAGGATGCTTTCTCTCTCCCAGGCTGTTGACCAGTCAGGCACCATACAATGATGTTTCAGTCAATCACAGACCACATATACGATGGTGGTCCCACAAAATTATAATGAAGCTGAAAAGTTCCTATTGCCTAGTGATGTCCTAGCCGTCATAACATCATAGCACAATGTATTACCCACGTGCCTGCGGGAATAACTATGTAAACAAATCTACTGCATCACTAGTCATATAAAAGCACAGCACATATAATTACATACAGTACATAATACCTGTAATGATAATAAATGACAATGCTACTGGCTTACGTATTTACTATACTACATATATTTTTACATTGAGTCTTGACTTGAAACTCATATACTATACTTTTAATCATTATTTTAGAGTGTATTCCTACATATAAATACATACATATAGTTAACTGAAAAGCAGCCTCAGGCAGGACCTTCAGGAAGTATTCCAGAAGAAGGCGTCATTATCACATAGAAAATGACAGCTGCACATGTGTTAGTGCCCCTGAAGACCTCCAGTGGGACAAGATGTGGAGGTGGAAGACAGTGATATTGATGATCCTGACCTTGATGATTAGGCCTTGGCTAATGTGTGTGTTTGGGTTTTCATTTATTTTATTTATTTATTTTGAGATGGAGTTTTGCTCTTATTGCCCAGGCTGGAGTGCAATGGCCCGATCTCAGCTCACTGCAACCTCCGCCTCCCAGGTTCAAGTGATTCCCCTGTCTCAGCCTCCCAAGTAGCTGGGATTACAGGCATGCACCACCACACCTGGCTAATTTTGTATTTTTAGTAGAGATGGGGTTTCTCCATGTTGGTCAGGCTGGTCTCAAACTCCTAATGTTAGGTGATCCGCCTGACTCGGCCTCCCAAAGTGCTGGGATTACAGGCATAAGCCACCATTCCCAGCCTGCATTTTCATTTTTAACAAACAAGTTTACAAAGTAAAGAATATTTTAAAAATTAAAAACAGAAAAAAAGCTTATAGAATAAGGATATAAAGAAGGAAACTATTTTGTATAGCTGGTAAATAGTTTAAAATAAGTTTCCTTGACTTTGAAAAACAAAACAAGGATCAGCAATATTCCAAGCAAAAAACAAAAAGGTTGCTTCAGCTTTCTGAGTTCAGTCCATTTAGTTAACTCTTGTTTTGCTTGATATTTGTGAACATTTCCGCTCTTCATGAGTCTTGTACATTTTCCTTTATTCCAATGTTACAATCTCTAAAGTTATCAGAAGCCTGTATTTGAGACCTCCTGTTAAAGTTCTATAGCTCATTATAAACTGTAGAGAGTAGAAAAGTTCTTCTTCAAAGCTCATCTTGGTTTAAAAATAAAATAATAGACACTAGGAATAATAGTTCCTTACTCTAAAGCCTCCTATCAACTATTAGTTCTTACACTTTAGCCCAGTTAGTTGCTTTGGCTTACTCAGGCATGTCTGGACAGGCCCAGGCAAGTCTTAGCTCATAGCTTATGCCCCTGGCTTATTTGGTAATGTTATTGCTTCCTTAAACCTTCTGTAAGCAACTCCCTCTCCTCCTTTGTTCTTCCCTGCACTTACCTATTTAGGAAAGTTTTAGGTTATTAGCAAATAGGGTATCAGTTTAAGAGTGTGAGGTCCAACTCCAGCCAATGCATGCAGGACACAGCAGTAAGGATGACCCAAATGCATAAATGATAAATATGTCTGCTTTTCCTTTGTTCAGGTGTGCTCTCACCATTGTTCCATCTGCGACTGAGCATCCTTTCTGCAGAAAGTAAAGATTGCCTTGCTGAGAGATCTTTTGTCTCCATGCTGACTTTTCTTCATGGCACCAATTATCTATTTCTAACAATTTTGGTATTTTAACATAAACCATCTATGAAAAGGATTAGAACAAGACAACAATTGTCTGTGAATATCAAAATGTCCAGGATAGTTACAATTAGAAACACAATTGACAAATGTGGCACATATACACCATGAATACTATGCAGCCATAAAAAATGATGAGTTCATGTCCTTTGTAGGGACATGGATGAAGCTGGAAACCATCATTCTCAGCAAACTATCACAAGGACAAAAAACCAAATGAGAGGTGACAGCGTGCTGGCAGTCCTCACAGCCCTCACTCGCTCTCGGTGCCTCCTCTGCCTGGGCTCCCACTTTGGTGGCACTTGAGGAGCCCTTCAGCCTGCCGCTGCACTGTGGGAGCCCCTTTCTGGGCTGGCCTGTGGGAGCCCCTTTCTGGGCTGGCCAAGGCCGGAGCCCACTCCCTCAGCTTGCAGGGAGGTGTGAAGGGAGAGGCGCGAGCGGGAACCGGGGCTACGTGCGGCCCTTGCAGGCCAGCTGGAGTTCTGGGTGGGCGTGGGCTTGGCGGGCCGCACTTGGAGCAGCCGGTCAACCCTGCTGGCCCTGGGCAATGAGGGACTTAGCACCCGGGCCAGCAGCTGTGGAGGGTGTACTGGGTCCCCAAGCAGTGCCAGCCCACCAGCGCTGTGCTCAATTTCTCACCGGGCCTTAGCTGCCTTCCCGCGGGGCAAGGCTCGGGACGTGCAGCCCGCCATGCCTGAGCCTCCCACCCCCTCCATGGGCTCCTGTGCAGCTGAGCCTCCCTGACGAGTGCCACCCCCTGCTCCACGGCCCAGTCCCATCGACCACCCAAGGGCTGAGGAGTGCAAGCGCATGGCGCGGGACTGTCAGACAGCTCCACCTGCAGCCCCGGTGCAGGATCCACTGGGTGAAGCCAGCTGGGCTCCTGAGTCTGGTGGGTATGTGGAGAACCTTTATGTCTAGCTCAGGGATTGTAAATACACCAATCAGCACTCTGTATCTAGCTCAAGGTTTGTAAACACACCAATCAGCACCCTGTGTCTAGCTCAGCGTTTGTGAATGCACCAATCGACACTCCATATCTAGCTGCTCTGGTGGGGCCTGGAAGAACCTTTGTGTCCATACTCTGTATCTAACTGATGTGATGGGGATGTGGAGCACCTTTATGTCTAGCTCAGGGATTGTAAATGCACCAATCAGTGCCCTGTCAAAACAGACCACTGGGCTCTACCAATCAGCAGGACGTGGGTGGGGACAGATAAGAGAATAAAAGCAGGCTGCCAGAGCCAGCAGTGGCAACCCACTCGGGTCTCCTTCCACTGTGTGGAAGCTTTGTTCTTTCGCTCTTTGCAGTAAATCTTGCTAGTGGTCACTCTTTGGGTCCACACTGCTTTTATGAGCTGTAACACTCACCGTGAAAGTCTGCAGCTTCACTCCTGAAGCCAGCGAGACCATGAACCCACCAGAAGGAAGAAACTCCAAACACATTTGAACGTCAGAAGGAACAAACTCCAGGCGCGCCACCTTAAGAGCTGTAACACTCACCGCAAGTGTCCGCGGCTTCATTCTTGAAGTCAGTGAGACCAAGAACCCACCAATTCTGGACACACAGACACAGCATGTTCTCACTCATTGGTGGGAATTGAACAATGAGAACACATGGACACAGGAAGGGGAACATCACACACCAGGGCCTGTTGTGGGGTGGGGTGGGGTGGGGTGGGGGGAGGGGGAAGGGATAGCATTAGGAGATATACCTAATGTTAAATGACTAGTTAATGGGTGCAGCACACCGACATGGCACACGTATACATATGTAACAAACCTCCACGTTGCGCACATGTACCCTAAAACTTAAAGTATAAAAAAAAAAACACAATTGACAAAGAAGTTTGGTTATCTCTGTGGTTTACAATAACTTAACAACCTTAATTATGATTGGTAGCATATACTTAGACATTAGAATTTTAGAAAGTTCATACAATTTTGGAACATACATTAGCATTGTTACTGGCAGGTCTTTGCTCCCAGAGCTCCCAAGATGGTGGTGGGCCACTCCCAAGATGGCAGCAAGCCTCTTGCTCTCTGACCTGGGGTCCTTGGCCTCACGGATTCCAAGAAATGGAACCTCGGGCCATGCAGTGTGTGTTATAGCTCTATTAGAAGCCATGGGTCACGGAAGAGAACCGTGGAACCCAGCAACTAGTGTTCAGCTCAATTAGGACAAACCCGGACACTTAGCCACGGAGGAACAATGGTGAGCCTCTAGCCTGATTGGGAGCGGCAATGGGTGCCTCGCTGACTCAGAAGTGCAGCAGACACCCTGCCAGATCCAGAGGGGTGGAAGTCAGTGGCAGGTCTGCGACGGTGGTGATCAGCAGTGGTGGACGGCGAGCGAAAGCTCAGCTCAAGCCGGAGCAAACACGGACCAGGAGAGTGTGCAGTTGCAAGATTTAGTAGAGTGAAAACAGAGCTCCCACACCAAGGGAGGGGACCCAAAGGGGGTTGCTCGATCCTGCTCGAATGCCTGGGTTTATATCCCAATCATTGTCCCTCCCCCTGTGCTCTCAGGCGATAGATGATTGACTATTTCTTTACCTGCTGCTTTTAGCCTAATTGGTATTTTAGTAAGCTGTCTTTACTACCTGATTGGTCGGGTGTGAGCTGAGTTACAAGCCCTGTGTTTAAAGGTGGGTATGGCCACCTTCCCCAGCTAGGCTTAGGAATTCTTAGTCAGCCTAGGAAATCCAGCTAGTCCTGTCTGTCAGCATTATTCACAAAAATATAATCTAAAGAATATTGAGCGTCATTTTGGCAATCCTATGTACCTAAACATGTCAAATAATCTTGTTTACCACTCTTTTTTGGACACTTAAGGGGCCCTCTGAAACATCTGAAAAGTCAGGTGCCAGGGAAGACAATTTTGAAACTGAAGTTTGATTTTGGGAAGGCTGTTAAATGTTTGAGGTTTAAAACACTTGATATTATGAAATAGAATCCCAAATTACCATAAGTTATTTATTTTGCCAATATCGTGACTCAGAAATTTTAAAGAAGCAAAAACCTTTCATATGCCTTTATAAATTTTGCCAAAAAGCAGATTAGTGCCTTAGGAAAACCTTTTTATGCTTTTATTTCAATGCTCAATTTACAGAAAAATCATATAATACGCTTTTTTGAATTTAGTCAATATGTTCACACAGAGAACCTCTTTTGCAAGATTTAAGTTCCACAATTCTTCCACCACTTCTTTGAACCTTCAGCTTTTTCCCTCAAAACAATCCTTTAACCCTAGGAAAAGTTCACATTTCCATGCCTTCTTACAACCTTTTACTAAAAAACACAGTTTACTGTTTCCACACACCTTGCATGTAAATCTATTTCTAGTAGTTTCAATTAACTCCTAGCAAATTTTCACTTTAAGGTAAAACTTGTTAGGTTGCTTTAATTGTGTGCGAACTGCAGCCAAGGTTTGCCTTCTTAATTAAGGGTGTGGTTAGTTCCATATGTCCCCAGGCCCTACCAGTTGTGAAGCTGGCAAGTCAAATAGTTCTCAAAACCCCAAAAGCAGTTTATAACTTTAAAACACTTAGCAAACCTTGTATCTGACCTGCATTTTACCAATAGTCTTTAGGGCTGTCTTATTTCTTAAAGATTAAAGTCTCGTGAACTGAAAGGTACGACAGATTTTATCTTCCCTTTAAAAAATATTAGATCCAAGCGCTCGTCTTTCTTTAGGCCAAATTAATTAGAGCTCTTTTTATAGACATTACACACAGTATACACACAGACAGGCAGAAGAAAACCCAGTTGCTGTGTGGGGCCCTTTAAGAGACAGTGTTGCGGGATTTTTAAGGAATCAGAGAGACTGATGGGGTTCAGGAGGATATTTATTATTTAGGTGCACCAGCCCAGTCGGATTAACATCCAAAGGACTGAGCCCTGAACAAAGAGTTAAGTTACCTTTTAAGTATTTCGTGGGGCGGGGGGAGATCTGTGCAGGGGGAAGCATACTACAGAAGTGAGAAACACAGGCAGTTATCCAGTTAATTGAAACATGCATTACATCATTTCTTACTTTTCAAGGAAAAACATGTCTTATGACTTGCGTTTATCTGTCTAGTGACCTTGCAGCTGCACAGCTAGGGAAACAGGCTCTTCACAATGCCTAGGAAAGGAGGAGAGACAAGGCTCATTAGCCACAGAAAAACAGGCAGTTAATTTTTAAAGGACTCCAGCTCTTTCTCTTTCTCAGGGGGAACTGGGTTTTCTTACATACAATTGAGTTTCTGCTTACACACTGTTTAATTTCTTTTAATTCCTGTTCCAACAGGGCTAGGAAAACATGCAGATATGGAACATGAGAGGGCTCATCCCCTCTGGCAGGATTGCCAAACAAAGCCTTGCCAAGAGGTTACCAGCCATGCCCTCCGGATGTAAAACAAGATGGAGGCTTGATTCCACCACCAAAACTTTGCAGAGAATACAGTGATAGTTGGGGGGTCCTAGCCTAGTACAATATCTTCTAAGAGAAAGAAAAATCCTTTTAAAAGTTAACTTGCTGATGGGGTAGAGAAGGGGAAAGAAAAGGCTTAAAAATGCCTGGGGAAGAATCGCTTATTCTTTTGCAAGTGGTTCCTCCACCAGGGAGAAAAGTTTAATTACTGTCCAATGGAGCTGAATCTCTTAGCCAGAAAAAGAGACTCCAGCGGCTCTTGGGGGAAAACGCCAGCCAGCCGCCCCTGGAACCTTGGGTCATGTGTTTCAGCCCCAGCAGGGAGGGGAGAGCGGTGGGGAGCTGCTGCTCTCCAATCTGTCCTGAAAAAGGAAGGAAAAGGCCATGAAGAGGCCCCAGAGCAATGAGGGTTGACGGCATGGTTTCCCCCACCCTCAAAAGTCCGAGGGTCTGAGGACGAAAAGGCTTAAGAGCAAGAGTGAGAGACTTTGAGTCCTCATTTCACTTGCGGCTTCTGGAGCCCCCAAGTTGCGCACCAAAAATGTTGCAGGACTTTTCCTAAGTTCAGCTAAAAACGGGGTTCTTTTTCCTGTGAAAGAAAAATACCCTGGGCTCCCAAAATCACTAAGGAAAACTCAAGCCGGAAACTGCTTAGGGCAAACCTGCCTTCCATTCTATTCAGAGTCACTTCTCTGCTCACTGAGATAGATGCATATCCGATTTGCCTCCTTTGGGAAGGCTAATCAGAAACTCAAAAGAATGTAACCATTTGTGTATCACCTATCTCTGACCTGGAAGCTCCTTCCCCGCTCCCAGTCTTCCTGCTTTGACTTTAAGTTGTCCCGCCTTTTCCGACCAATCCAATGTACTTCTTACATATATTGATTGATGTGTCTTGTCTCCCTAAGTGTATAAAACCAAGCTGTGCCCTGACCACCTTGGGCACATGTCGTCAGGATTTCCTGAGGCTCTGTCACGGGTGCCTCCTCAACCTTGGCAAAATAAACTTTCTAAATTAACTACGACCTGTCTCAGATATTCTGGGTGCACAGTCCCATGGCCACACAAATTCAGGCTGGCAGACAATGTAAATGGTGAGTACAACAGGGTTTTATTGGGTAAAAAGGAAGAAAAGGGGGAAACAGGGACCCTCGCAAGACCAGAGTCCCTCTGCTAGAGCACTTCCCTCCAGCTGCTTGAATCCCAGGTTCCACCCAGGAAGAGGAGGGGCCAGGCTCCTCCCTGCTGCAAATGTCCTGAACTTCCCCAGGCTCCACCTCAGTGGGCACCTGGCTGGAGTTACTCCAGGGACCCCCTCCCACCGGGCTGTCTCATCTGCACCCTTGGGATGCGGGGCAAAGAGGGCTGGGAGTCTTCCAGTTCAGCAGGTCAAGTGCCCTCAGTATGGCACTTTGCCCCACTCTGTGCTGTGGAGCCCCTCTGGCTCCTCCTCTCCAAGAGTAAGTCTCTACTTGGGTAGGGAGGAGTGGCCTCCTAGCTGCTCCGGATGGTGAACAACCTGGGGTCTAACATCTACTTAAAACAGAACTTCAACCAAAACCTCTTGTTTTTCACTTTATGCCCATCATGACCTCTGATAGCTTATGTGTCTCCAGTTCTCCACCCTCTCTTTGGGTGGAGCTGGTTTCTCTGATCAATATCACCTCTGCAGACACTTTGTAGTCAGATTTTTCCGTTCCTCTACTTCATTTAGTTTCCATCCTACCAAATCCAATGGTGGTTTTCATTCATTGTGGTGTCTTCCCCAATTCTCTTGGTCCTTTTGGGTTTATGTATATTTATTTTTATTGCTCTTCTCTCATTTTAGTGCATTTTTCAGGACAGAGCAGATAAACATTCATGTACAATTCACCATCTAATAGGAAAGTCATTCCATGGTCCCTCTAGCTCCAATGTATTTCTTCTGCTTTGAGCTCCTGCTCTGTGCTCTATCTAATGTGTTGTTACTTGTCTACCACTCCTATGGTTTTCCTAAGGGTGGTGGTCACTTGGCATTCCCAGCCCCTATTATAGATCTAGGGCATGTGATAATTAATTATTCAGTTGAATGCAACTTAATTTACATAATTCGTGCTGTCCACTGGAAAGCTGGAGAATAAAGTAAATGACCACATAAGGCCTCATCATCTCCCTTTCTCTATTAAAGATAGTGTCAATGAAAGAAATTTTCCAAGATTGAAGCAGAAATAGCAAACTCCTACTCATAGAGTGTCTTATTTACAGTATGCACAGCTTTATCTGACTCTTTCAGAGAAGTGCTTGTTTTACTTAGAAGTAATTGCTTTTCAAAAGCTGGCAATTATTATTAGTTACAAAGTGAGTGAATCTAATAAGAAAGGTCTCCTGACTGAGCTAGGAAAAGCAATGGAACAAAATGTATAGTGTGGGGGTTTTTTCCACCTTGCCAACCAAATAGGTCCTGTGTACACATAATTGAAAAAAAATTGACATGGATGGTGTAAGATGCATTTTTTTTTCTATGCACACAAACAAAAGTGGGCATGCAAGACAGAGTCCTTTGAGGTCCAGTAAAGGCTGCACTGATGAGTCTGTTACCTCTTGCAGAGCATCGTTTCACTGCTTCTGGGGTCAGACTTCTGAAACAGTTCTGAAACTAGCAGTTTCCCAGGGCTGCTGTAATAAAATCAAGATGTCAACAGGATTGATCCTTCCAGAGGCTCTGAGAGAATCTACTCCATGCCTCCCTTCTAGCTTCTGATGGGGCTGGCAGTTCTGAGCATTCCTTGGCTTGTAGTTGCATCATGGCAGATGGATTCCTGCCTCCATCTTCACATGGCCTTCTTCCCACTGTGTGTCTGTGTGCCTTCAAATCTCCCTCTTCTTATGAGGGCGCCAGTCATTCGCTTTGGGATTTACCTTAATCGGTTCCAGTATGACCTTGTCTTCACTTCATTACCTCTGCAAAGACCCTATTTCCAAACAGGGTCATATTATAAGGTTCCAGGTGGATATAAATCTTTTGGGGGACACTATTCAATCCAGCATATGGCCTAAAACTCTTTTTTCTTGCCCCCTACTTTGAGTTATAATTTTGGAGACTGCATTTGTAATCAAATGCTTTCAGACAATTCACGTAAGAGAAGACACAGGAAACTCCTGGAGAAGGTGCCTGGAAATCAGGTGAGGCTCCCACTCTCTGGCAAGGGTTCCTAATCTTGGCTGCACACTAGCATCACTCTGGTTTTTAAAATCCTGCTGCCTTAGGCATGAGTAGTTTTTAAAGTATGCCAGGTGGTTCCAATGTGCAACCTAGGATGCAAGCCACCACTCCAGGGACTCTTCCTGAAACCCTTGCTGCTGTGGCTGCCTTGTCTGAACTCCGCTGGCCTCTGCTGCCGTGGGCCTTGCACCTGCGTGCTCTTGCTGACTGTGGAGAATTTAGCAGCAGCACATGTGGATTTTATTTCTGCTCCTTCACTTGCTTTGAAGGAGAACAGCTCCCTTGATATTGAAAACCCAAAAGGTATTAAAGAGAAAGAACATTTGTAGGAGAGTGTGGATAAAGAGGAGGTTTAACATTTAGTTTTATATTTCAGAAACAATTTTTAAGTTTATCAGAGTAACAGGTACTCATCATAGAAATTTGAAAACCCCAAAAAGCACAGAGAAGAAATCACCAATAATTTTATCCTTCTGAGAAAATGGTTTGGTGACTGTTCTTCTAATAATTTTTTTCTATGCATCTATAAATATATACTATGTATTTTATAAATGGGGAATTATGTGGTTTGGGCACATACATTACTCCTTCAGCAATACATCATTACATATGTATCAATATGTGCATATCAATAAATATTTCCCATTAAGTTGTCCTTGGATTTTGAATGGCTACATTGTATCCATCGTGGAGAATATTCTATGATTATTAAACCAATCACTATAAGACAATCTCAAACAAAACTTCTGTTGTTTGACTATTGGTCATAAAGCAAAGAGGCAAAGCATAGAGGCCCTGCCCGACTCTCCATGCTATGGTCAATTCCACACTCCAGCCCAACCCCACAGTGCTCAGCCTCCTCTCCCCGGCCCCATGCCCACTCTCACTGAAGTCTCTATGAGCCCAAGATATGAAAACTGGAGGAATTAGGGAGTTTCTGACCTAGGGGAAAATGCTCCCCAGGCCCTGATCCAGATGAATCATAGAGTTTGGGAGTATTGAAGAGAGACAGGCATCTCATTTTCTGAACATTTGCTTAAAGAGTGTATTGCTGATTCAGATTCTCTATCAGTTGAGCAGAAAAAAAAGGAACTGGCTAGAGATGGCACCACAAAGAGAGGAAGCACTTGCTCTTGCCCCCACCTCCACCTTATTTGGTATGATAGGGATGCATGAGTTGCCCGTGGCCAAGTGGACACCGTGGAAGGAAGCCAGGCTTGTGCCACCTTTGCTGACACCCTGCCTGGATATGACTCCCTACAGGGAGACAGACTGGCAGCAAGAGCCTCTGGGGTTCTCTAGCATGGGCTGGAGTTGGGGAGCAGGGGCAATAGAAGCACATGTTCCCTGTGAGGCACCTATGTTGAGGGAGGCATCCCAAAGACATCCCAAAGGACTTTCCCAAGTGCTCCACAAGAGACCTAGTGTATTCATGTCTAACACTTGGAGGACATGAAACCCCAAGAGATGACCATGCCAGGTAAACAGACTTTTGTCCTTTTCCTATCTTTTCCACCCCTCCCTAACCCCTGCTCTGGAGGACTTGGAAGCAGCAGAGTGAGGGGGAGGAGGAGGCAGGAAAGAGCAGGCCAAATCCCCACCCCAGGGCAGTCCCCAAGCCTGGAAGAGGAAGGGCGTTGAATGAGAAGCAGGTTTTGATAACCTGGTCATGTGAATCAGTGATCTCTAAAACATGCATGCCACTTGACCCAGCAGATCCATCTCTAGGAATTTATCTAAGGGAATAATCAGAGCTGTGTAGAAATATTTATGTAGTAAGATAATTGCCATGCATGAAAAATATTTCCATGCATCCTGTAAAACCATAATTTATTGCATTAAAAAAACCCTTCTTTCAATAATTAACAATTAACAGAATTCTGAGAGCCTAATTTTTATATACATTTGCAATATAATGGCCCTTAAATAGAATAACTTAAAGTAAAGAAAATGAGTTTTAAACAGCTGGTCATTACACAATGTTGAGGACATGTGTTCTGGTTACTATTCCTGTGAAAAGCTACCCCATTCTCAGCAAACTAACACAGGAACAGAAAACCAAACACTGCATGTTCTCGCTCATAAGTGGGAGTTGAACAATGATAACACAGAGACACAGGGAGGGGAACATCACACACCGGGACCTGTCAGGGGGCGGTGGGGGGAAGGGGAGGGAGAACATTAGGACAAATACCTAATGCATGCGGGGCTTAAATCCTAGATGATGGGTTGATGGGTGCAGCAAACAACCATGGCACATGTATACCTATTAACAAACCTGCATGTTCTGCACATGTATCCCAGAACTTAAAGTAAAATAAAAATAAAAATAAAAAAAAGAAAAGCTACCCCAAGTACACTGGTATAAAACAAAAGTCAGGAGATAATGCCCATAAATTTTGTGGGCCAGGAATTTGGTTGGCATGTCTCTGCTTCAGGATTCTGGGGCCTCAGCTGGGAAGTTGAATGGTTAGGGTGTCTCAAACATCTGGGGGCTGGAAACATCTGGAGGCTTCTGTGTTCACATGGCTGGCACCTGGCAGGGATGACTTAATGGTCTGGCTCAGCTGAGACGCTTGACCAGAACACCTGCACATGGCTCTGCCTTGTAGCTGGGGTGTCTCACAGTATGGCAACTGGATTCCAAAAGGGATCCTCAGAGCAAGCATTCTAAGAAAGAACCAGATGGAAGCTGCATGACCTTTTATGACCTAGCCTTGGAAGTAAATGTGGAGTCCTGATAAGTTAGCAACAATGAAGTAGAGGCCTTTGGTGGAGGAAAGCAATTGTTCTAAGAGACAGCTAACCAAAAACATCTGTTTTCAAATACCTCACTCTGCACATGGCCCCATCAGCATGATCCTATCTGCACATAACCCCTCCAGCACGACCCTATAAAACTTCCCTCCAGCCCCTGTTGCATTGCAGGCAGCCCCTTCTCTGCTGTGTGGCCGGTTGCTTCTTTGCAATGTGCTTTCTTTCTAATAAACTAGCCTTTTTAACTCATTATTGTTTTGGTAAATTATTTTACCACCTGCAACACTGGCCCCAGCCAATTGTCACCCATGATGGTAAATGGTGTCACTTCCACTACACAATCTTGGTTAAAACAGTTATAAACTTGTTCACATCCAAGGGAAGGGACATGGACCCTATCTTTCAACAGAAGGAATGTTAAACTGCCATATAATTCTTAATATTTAACAAAATTGGAGTAAATTCTGCAGTTAGAGCCAATTCAGGCTTTATGCTTTGCCTCAATTATTAGTCTAGTACATACGTGGTGGTATTTTTCAACAACAAATATAGTGTCCCAAGACCAACCAATTCTCTCATACCAACTGGGTGTTAAACAATTCAATTCAATTCTGACACTAAGTATCCGGAAACAGTGCAGGCCCCACAGCTTAAGGGCTCAGTACTACAAGACTGCCCTCACTTCAGACGCCAGTCACAAGTCCCAGGTCCCCAGGCTACCTACACTTCTGTCTAACCTGGAGACACATTTGGGGGCTCCCATGTCTCCACTTCAGGGTTGGTAATCTGCTAGAACAATTCACAGAACTCAGGAAAGCACTTTAATTACAATGACTGGTTTATTATCAAGGATAAACTCTGGAACAGCCAAATGGAAGAGACTCATGGGGCACAGTATCAGGGGAGTGATGGGGTACACCCCTGCCCAGCATGTGGATGTGTTCATCAACCCAGATGTTCCCTTAGGCTCATAGTGTCAATCAAAACCTCATTACTTAGACATGATTGATCGAATCATTGACCATTGGTGATTGAACTCAACTCCAACGCCTCTCCCCTTCATGGGGGCGGTGAAGTGTAGAGCTGAACATTCTAACCCTCTAATCATGTGATTGATTTTTCTGGTGATCAGCCGCCACCCTGAAGCTATAACCGCTGCTACCCCACCCCTTGAGTCCACTCACTAGCAGACAAAAGACATTCCTACCACTCAGGAAATTCGGAGGTTTTAAGAGCTCTGAGCCAGCAACCAGAGAGAAAGACTAAATATATATCTTATTTATTATATCGCACCATGATGCTCATTATCTGTCTGTGGAGCACAGAGCTGGGTGCTGGAAATCTAAAGAGAACCAAGACACAGTACCCGTTTTTGAAGAGCTCAGAACCTAGGAGGGGAGACAGGAATATAAACAAATTTCTGCAAAATACCGTGAAATAAGCACCTACATGGACTCAAAGGAAGAATGAGTAAGTGCCGAGGAAGCATGTGCTTTTAGAAATTTTTTTCACAAAAGAAGCATATCTTGTTCATACTCCCCTGACTGCTCAGAAGGCTGCTGCAGGAGTGTCAGCATCAGCAGACTGCTCACAAAGTCACTGTGTTCATCCAAGGGGGCCACGTGACCATGGGAGCACATGCATTTCCAAGTCAGGCAGTGGAAAATCTGCTAGGGAGAAATGGAAATACTCAGGCACCTTCTTCATAATACACAACAAAAATGCAGAAAGCCCCTTGACATGCGAGGACAGGCTGGGCTGTGTATTTTACATATGCAGCACTGTGTACACCTGAGCACTGAACTCTAAACCTTGTGAAAGAAAAATAAATTTTGGGGCCCCCAAATCACTAAGCTAAAGGGAAAAGTCAAGCTGGGAACTACTTAGGGCCAACCTGCCTCCCATTCTATTCAAAGTCAACCCTCTGCTCCCTGAGATAAATGCATATCTGATTGCCTCCTTTGGAGAGGCTAATCAGAAACTCAAAGAATGCAACCGTTTGTCTCTCACCTACCTGTGACCTGGAAGCCCCCTCCCCGCTTTGAGTTGTCCCACTTTCACTTTGAGTTGTCCTGCCTTTCTGGACCGAACCAATGTTCATTTTACATATGTTGATTGATGTCTCATATCTCCCTAGAATGTATAAAACCAAACTGTGCTCTGACCACCTTGGGTACATGTCATCAGGACCTCCTGAGGCTGTCAGAGGCATGTGTCCTTAACCTTGGCAAAATAAACTTTCTAAAGTAACTGAGACCTGTCTCAGATTTTCTGGGTTCTCAACCTTCACGGGCCACTCCTAACATTTGCAAACTGGGGAAGGAATACAAAGGAAGGCCACATACCGTGCCTCCAACTTTTGAGGAGTTATAAATCAAGTAAATAAACTGCCAAGTAAAGTATGTTCTTTCTATTTTGACAAATATATCTCAGGACACCGTGGAAGGGCCAGGTTCAAATTTAAAATCTCAGTGCCATGCCTGAATGACCTTCAAGGGCTGGCCTATGCATCATCTCACCCTTGCTTTCAGAGCCCACACATGTGGACAACCCAACATGCATGCCCACACACCTGTAAATGGCCACCATCAGCCACCCCTTAGCCTCAGGGGTACAAGCACCAGCACAGGGGTCAGGGTGGGAGGATGCCTTGGGGAAGGGGCCCACTCAGGGCCCAGAAGTGAGCCCAGGGCTACTGGGATAGGGAATACTGGGTCCCATATACCTGGTGCCTGGCCCAGAAGGGGAGCACACTGGCTCTGAGCGCACACATCCTCTTGACCTTGTGAATTCCTGGCCCCTCTAAAGCTCAGAAATCCTGGGTTCAAGCCATCCTTCCACCTCAGCCTCCTGAGTAGCTGGAGTGCAGGAGTACACCATTGCACCCGGGTGACTTTTTTTTTTTTTTTTTTGAGATGGAGTTTCTCTCTTGTTGCCCAGGCTGGAGTGCAATGGTGCGATCTTGGCTCACTGCAACCTCCGCCTCCCAGTTCAAGCAATTCTCCTGCCTCAGCCTCCCAAGTAGCTGGGATTACAGGCATGTACCACCTCCCCTGGCTAACTTTGTATTTTTAGTAGAGATGGGGTTTCTCCATGTTGGTCAGGCTGGTCTTGAACTCCTGACCTTAGGTGATCTGCCTGCCTCAGCCTCCCAAAGTGCTGGGATTACAGGCATGAGCCACCGTGCCTGGCTGACTTTTTTTTTTTTTTTTTAATAGCAACTTACTGAAAGGCTGTTAATACAGTAATTGTATGAATTAGGACATTCCCCCCAACCCCCACTGAATTTCCTGGGCTCAAACCAACATCATGAGCATCTTTGCTTCCCAGAACTGAATGATATTGGCTAAATAAGAAAAAAAAAAAAAAACACTCAAACCACAAAACTGTGCTTAATGTGTACTTAATGGCAGCAAATAAACCACTAAACAGGGAGGGAAGGAAAAACACTCCGTGAGCAAAAATAAATCTGGCTCCCGCAGAGGGAGGCAGAGCCAAGATCACTGGTTGAAACAGAGTTTTTTTTTTTTTTTCAGGTTACTGAGACATATATTGCAGCAACAGGTCAGAATCAAGCTAAACTGACAAGTAATTTTTAGGAAAAAAGATCTGAAGGAAGCACTGAAATTGAAGAAGAAACTCTAAGCCACACATAAGAATTTGCTAATTCAGCCAAGCTCAGAGACCAAAACCCCTTTCTTTCATGAAGCATGTTCCTGGAATTGCAAGGTGAATTGCTAAATCAGAACTTTCTAGGAGGTAAGATCCTTCCAGTGGCCAAAGGACCACTGTGGTGCCCAAGGTCACACCACAAGTAGGTGACAATGGTGGTAATTTAGGAGATGTTAAACCTACATCTCCTAAATTCCTAGTTACTCTCCTTCCACCTATCAGCACTCACGGGTTGTTAAAAAAAAAAAAATCCATGAGCAAGATTTGATTTACTAGATATAGTTAAAAATAAAAAGTGGAGAAATAATCTCTACCCATAAAAAATATAGCCAAGGGGCTTTCTGTATTTTTGTTGTGTATTATGAAGAAACTGCCTGAGTATTTCCATTTCTCCCTAGCAAATTTTCCACAGCTTGACTTGGAAATGCATGTGCTCCCACAGTCACGTGACCCCCTTGGACGACAAACACAGCGACTTTGTGAGCAGTCTGCCGATGATAACATTCCTGCAGCAGCCTTCTGAACAGTCAGGTCAGAGTCTCAGCCAAGAAAAGAGACCAAAACCCCTTTCTTTCATGAAGCTTTTTCCTGGAAGTGCAAGGTAAATTGCTAAACCAGAACTTTCTAGGAGGTAAGATCTTTCCAGTGGCTAGAGGACTGCTGTGGTGGCTGCTGTTCCATGCCTGCCTGCCACATACACAGGCTGAGAACAGATGAGAGCTCAGGCCACAACAAGTAGCCACAGGCACACACTTCTCTGGCTGTACTTCTTCTAGAACAACCGCCAGTCATGCATCCATTCAGCATGTTTTCCTTGAACATTAAATACTAGGCGTGTGTTAGTGCTGAGGTAGACACAAAGAAAGGTAAGGAATTATCCTGCCCCCAAGGAGGCTGTGGTCTGATGATATATCGCATCAAATGCAGATGAAAGAACACAGGCAAGAGGTGAGGGTCCTGACTTGGTGATTTGGAAGTCACCCAGTGGCTCAGTTTCCCCATTTAGACATTGAGGGTTTCAGGCTGGAGGAGAGGCAATGTTGCTTCTATGCCATTTGCTCTTCTCTTGTCACTGTGGGTGCCACTTAATTTCATATAAGCTTCTGTGCTCAGGTCTCTGAAGAAAGCAGAACAATTCCATAGGGTGGAACTTGAAATTCTAGACACAAACTGTATTTCCATAGGTCTCACTAAGCTTGGGGCAAAATGACCAGTTAGAAATAATTGGGCTTGGCCAGGTACAGTGGCTCATGCCTGTAATCCCAACACTTCGGGAGGCTGAGGTGGGCAGATCACTTTGAGCTCAGGAGTTCAAGACCAGCCTGGGCAACATAGTGAAACCCTGTCTCTACTAAAAATACAAAAATTAGCTGGGTGTGGTGGTGTGTGCCTGTAATCCCAGCTACTTGGGAGGCTGAGGCAGGAGAATCGCTTGAACCCAGGAGGCAGAGGTTGCAGTGAGCCGAGACTGTGCCATTGCACTCCAGCATGGGCAACAAGAGCAAAACTCTGTCTCAAAAAAAAAAAAAAAAGAAAGAAAGAAAGAAAAGAAATCAAAGAAAAGAAAAGAAAAGAAATAGTGGGGCTCTTGCTCTTTTCCACCTCTCAACTTGGGGCATCCTTGCTCCTTTCCAAGGAGTCTCTCAGGTACATCTTGGGACCACAGGTAGATCTCACAAATGCTCATAATCCCCTGGCTGCCCAGGTCCCTGCACCCCCATGCCACGCAGGGGCGCTGCAGCCTTCCCATGGTGTCTGGTATTGCAGGTGTTCCTTCCTCCCGCAGCTACTGAAGCCGCTAAGACATCACTGCCTCCTCTCCCAAAGGTACAATTGCTGCTGCTCCCTGGAGATGCCCCAGTACTCCCACAGCCTTAGAACAGGTGGGGCCCTGACATGACCACTGCCTCTGCCCCCAGTTGTCCACCCATTAAGCTGTTGCGTGTCAACATTCTCTGTGCTGTTTCAAAGGACTTCCCAGGGAAAGTTCTTTTCCCAAAACTTTTTGCCACATTCTGTTATACATGTCCCAGAGCAGCCCTACCTTGTCCTGGGGTTTGGTGAGAGACAGTAGAGTCTGGGCAGAGTGGTGAAGAACTCACGGTCAAGGGCCAGAAGGTCCGGTTTGAATCCTGGTTCCTCTACTTAGAAGCTGTGTGATGTAGGGCAAGTTGCTTCTCCTCTCTGGGCTTCAGTTCCTCTTGCATCAAATGGGAATGACAACATTATTTATTTCAAGGGGGTTGTGACAATCCATTGAGTCATCACATATCAAATGTTTGGAGCAGCATTTGGTGCACACTAAATGCTTGATATGTCCTTGTATTTGTACTTTTAAAGATGGTGAATTCTCAAAGAGCCAGCAAGAGCTTGTGTTTATTTCTGTTTGTAGCTCTAGCTCATAGCACCTGCTTTGCACAGGACAGGTGCCCATTTGGTGAACAAATGAGTTAATGAATAAATGAGTAAAACAAACATGAGCCCAGAAGACTGGATAGAGGAAGGCCATCAACCCGGAAAACAACCACAATGCCACCACCGGAAAGGCTCAAGGGCCTCAGAGGATTCTGGGAGAGTGACAGAGGAGGCAATGGGAAGAACAGAGCTCCACCCAGTTCATCCCTACACCCATGGTAAACTCCCAGTAACACACCCAGTAGTGGAGCCAACATGGATAAGAGAAATTTGGCTACACTGTGAATGGTTCCCATCCTCAGAGCAGCCCTGCCCTCAAAGGGTGGGAAGATGTTGTCTTCCTGGGGAGACGGAAAGTTAGGAAGGGTGGGCATGGAGGCCTTAGGAAGAGATAGCCTTGATCATCTGAAACTTTGAGTTCCTTGTATAGTCAGTTGTATATAAGTTTCACTTTATTTCTGTGCTTTTTGTGAGAATACAGACTGAAAAAATGGTTTTATCCACTCACATTAGGACAATTGAAATTTTCAGACTTCACTTGCATGCATGGCAGGGTTTCACTGTCCATATAGTTCTTGCCCCCACCTCTTAAAAGCATGCCCAAAGCTAAGACACTATAGATCTGGGTGACAACATGCAGCTCCAAGCCTCTCTCGACAAGACCACTGCCCCCTCCCTTTTGTCTCCCCGTCTTACTTTTCTCTTCCACCACATCTACCAGCCACAGTTTTATTTTTTTGTATGTCCCTGCCTCTCCTGCAAGGAGTTAAGGGACTGGGTCACAGTCCTAGAACTGCTGACCTATATCTGTGCTATGAAGAGCAGCAGCTCATGGCTCAGGCCCTCAGGAAAAGTGACAGCAGTGATCTTGTGTGTTAACGTCACTGCCTTCCACATTCATAGCTTCACATACTGCATCATTCATTGAAAAATTAAAATTCATCATCTTTCCCCAGAATGAGGCTAACAGACTTTAATTGTAAGAATCAGGAAAAGCTGTGACATTTTAATTATAACAGTTTTTAATTAAAGGAGTATTACCTCATTTGATCTGTTAAAGAAAAATTATTCATGATACTTGTCAAAGATGGCAAGGTAGGCTTTATGCAAGGGGTCCATGGTGATTGGCATCAGGTCTTGTAGTGAGGGAAAAAGACTGGACTCAACTCTGGCTCCAAAAAGGATAAGTAGGGATTTATTACAAGGAGCAGGGTGGAGGTCAATAGATGGAAAATTACTATGAGGAATTGTCAGGGATAAGGTGTTTCTGGCTAAATTGACTTGACAGTTTATTGCTGAAGGCAAGGGTGGTCAGATACCAGAGTAGGGGTCTTGGTTAATTTGGCTTAGCAGGATTCTTGCTCAAACTGGATTCTGGCCGGGCATGGTGGCTCATGCTTGTAATCCCAGCATTTTGGGAGGCTGAGGAGAAGGGCGATCATGAGGTCAGGAGTTCAAGACCAGCCTGGCCAACACAGTGAAACCCCATCTCTACTAAAAATACAAAAATTAGCTGAGTGTGGTGGCAGGTGTCTGTAATCCCAGCTACTCAGGAGGCTGAGGCAGAAGAATTGCTTGAACCTAGGAGGCAGAGGTTGCAGTAAGCTGAGATCGCACCACTGCACTCCAGCCTGGGTGACAGAGCTAGACTCCGTCTCAAAAAAAAAAAAAAAAAAAAAAACTGGATTCTATTATACAAGGACAGAGAGGGAAGCCCAAAGTCTGGCCTAGTCAAGCAAAGGGCTTGCAGAAGCTTGACTGACGTTTTGATGGAAGAGTCTTTGTCAGATCCAGTGCTATAAAATAGCATTTGAAATTTTCTTTCCCAGTAATGCCAGGGTTGGAAAGTGGTTGCATAAAGTCTTGAATGTCCAGGGAAGCGTTTGATGTCAAAATCAAACACTAACTTTTTGTGTTACCTTCTAGTTACCTCCAGTTGTTTTGCTTTGTTTTCTCTTATTAATGGCTTGTACCAAATAAAACATTCTCTTCTGCTTTGTCCCAGCAGAACTAGATAAGCTCACTACATTAACTTCAAAGTTGATTCTATTCTCTCTGTACCCAGGATTTCTCAGTATCAAAGTCCTAAGCATCCAACTATAGACTCAACAGAAAATATTCTTGAAGCATTTCAAGCTCTATATGGAGATAGATACATAAGCTCTTTCCTTTCCAGAATAGCTGTACCATGCTGGAATGATCTGATTTGTAAAACAGAAAATGTTTAACATAATTTTTAATCTCAAATCAACCCATGTTAAATTGCTTAAAAAATTGAAACTACAGGAAAATATGTAGAAAAAATTTTAATTCACCCACAATTCTACTGACCAGAGGCAGCCATAATACAATTTTTTTTTTTAAGAGTCAGGGTTTCATTCTGTCACTCAAACCACAATTCAGTGGCACCATCATGGCTCACTGCAGCCTTGAATTCCTGGGCTCAAGTGATCCTCCTGCCTTAGCCTCTTGAGTAGCTGGGACTACAGGAACACACCACTAAGCACAGCTAATTTTTTAATTTTAATTTTGTAGAGATGGAGGTCTTGCTATGTTGCTCAGGCTGGTCTTGAACTCCTAGCCTCAAACCATCCTCCCACTTCAGTCTCCCAGAGTTTTGGGATTACAGGCATGAGCCATCATGCCCAGCTACATAATATGGTTTTCTTTTTCTTTTTTTTTTTAGACGGAGTCTCACTCTGTCACCAGGCTGGAGTGCAGTGGTGCGATCTTGGCTCACTACAACCTCTGACTCCCTGGTTCAAGTGAATCTCCTGCCTCAGCCTCTTGAGTAGCTGGGATTACAGGCATGCCCCACCACGCCCAGCTAATTTTTGTATTTTTCGTAGAGACAGATTTTCCCATGTTGGTCAGGATGGTCTCTATCTCCTGACCTTGTGATCGGCCCGCCTTGGCCTCCCAAAATGCTGGGATAACAGGCGTGAGCCACCGTACCTGGCCCATAATATGGTTTTCAATGAAACACTAGTTTAAGTTTGGTGTGTCTTTAGGACATGTGGTAGGTGCTAAGACCATTCCAATCTCTCTGTAACCTTTCACATAAGAGATTGTCTGAAAGGCCATGGATAAGTGCTACTTTGTGCAACTTAACCTGGTACAGTAGTTTCAAATCTTATAAAATCTGTGTTGGTAAAACAGCTATATTTTTGCAGGAAAGCAACCTTCTGTTGGGGTTCCAAACTTCTCAGATGGTAGTTGTAATATGGAGGAGCAGGTTGGTACAATGTAGTGCTACTGTCAAAGAGCAAAATTTTAGCAAATTGAGTTTTAAAGATCTAATTGGCTTTTATTAACAATTCATGAACTGGGCAGCATCCATTCTACAAAATAGGAGCTCCAAGGAGCATGGCAAGACATTGATTTTTGTGAGGTAGCTTGAGCAGAAACAATGAAACAGAATGGTGCAAAAAGTGGATTGGTTAACATCAGATTACTTCAGGTTTCTTTCTTCATATGGGGTAAAGCAGAAGGAATTTTCTTATCATGCTGGCTCAGATTGACTGGGTCCCTTTCTATTAGTTGCTGTGAATCTCCTGTTTATTTATTTATTTATTTTGGAAAACGGGCCTGTTTAGGGATTTGGCTATCATCTCTCCCCTGATTTCTGGGAAAGTCAGATCTTTATCTTTTTCTCTCTTTTTTTTTTTTTTTTTTTTTTTTTTTGCGGGGATCAGAGGAGACAGGTCTCACTCTGTTGTCCAGGCTGTAGTGCAGTGGCACAATTTTGGCTCACTGCAGCCTCAACCTCCCCAGCTCAAGTGATCCTCCCACCTCAGTCCCCCAAGGAGCTGGGACTACAGGTGTGCATCACCATGCTCAGCTAATTTTTTTGTATTTTTTATAGAGACACGGTTTCACCATGTTGCCCAGGCTGATGTCAAACTCTTTGTCAGGCCTCTGAGCCCAAGCTGAGCCATCATATCCCCTGTGACCTGCACGTACACATCC
The DNA here is from genome assembly GCF_000001405.40 of Homo sapiens. Taxonomy (NCBI): domain Eukaryota; kingdom Metazoa; phylum Chordata; class Mammalia; order Primates; family Hominidae; genus Homo; species Homo sapiens. The sequence continues at coordinate 109,861,518 of NC_000006.12, read as the reverse complement.
AGATGGCCAGTTCCTGCCTTAACTGATGACATTCCACCACAAAAGAAGTGAAAATGGCCTGTTCCTGCCTTAACTGATGACATTGTCTTGTGAAATTACTTCTCCTGGTTAATCCTGGCTCAAAAGCTCCCCCACTGAGCACCCTGTGACCCCCACTCCTGCTCACCAGAGAACAAACCCCCTTTGACTGTAATTTTCCTTTACCTGCCCAAATCTTATAAAACGGCCCCACCCCTATCTCCCTTCGCTGACTCTCTTTTTGGACTCAGCCCGCCTGCACCCAGGTGAAATAAACAGCCATGTTGCTCACACAAAGCCTGTTTGGCGGTCTCTTCACACGGACGCGCATGAAATTTGGTGCTGTGACTCGGATCGGGGGACCTCCCTTGGGAGATCAATCCCCTGTCCTCCTGCTCTTTGCTCCATGAGAAAGATCCACCTACGACCTCAGGTCCTCAAACCGACCAGCCCAAGAGACATCTCACCAATTTCAAATCCGGTAAGTGGCCTCTTTTTACTCTCTTCTCCAACCTCTCTCATTATCCCTCAACCTCTTTCTCCTTTCAATCTTGGCACCACACTTCAATCTCTCCCTTCTCTTAATTTCAATTCCTTTCATTTTCTGGTAGAGACAAAGGAGACATGTTTTATCCGTGGACCCAAAACTCTGGCGCTGGTCACGGACTGGGAAGGCAGCCTTCCCTTGGTGTTTAATCATTGCAGGGACACCTCTCTGATTATTCACCCATGTTTCAGAGGTGTCAGACCACGCAGGGACGCCTGCCTTGGTCCTTCACCCTTCGCGGCAAGTCCCACTTTTCTGGGGGAGGGGCAAGTACCCCAACCCCTTCTCTCCGTGTCTCTACCCCTTCTCCACCTTTCTGGGGGGCAAGAAACCCCCAACCCCTTCTCCTTCACTCTTAGCGGCAAGTCCTGCTTTTCTAGAGGAGGGGCAAGTACCCCAACCTTGTATCTCTGCACCCCAATCCCTTATTTCCACACCCCAACCTCTTATATCTCTGTGCCCCAATCCCTTATTTCCACACCCTGACCTCTTATCTCTGTGCCCCAATCCGTTATTTCCATGCCCCGACCTCTTATATCTCTGTGCCCCAATCCCTTATTTCCATGCCCCAACCTCTTATATCTCTGTGCCCTGATCCCTTATTTCCATGCCCTGACCTTGTATCTCTGCGCCCTGACCCCTTTCCCGCTTTTCTGGAGGGTAAGAACCCCCGAACCGCTTCCTTCCATGTCTCTACTCTCCCTTTTCTTTAAACTTGCCTCCTTCACTATGGGCAACCTTCCACCCTCCATTCCTCCTTCTTCTCCCTTAGCCTGTGTTCTTAAGAACTTAAAACCTCTTCAACTCTCACCTGACCTAAAATCTAAGCGTCTTATTTTCTTCTGCAATGCCGCTTGACCCCAATACAAACTCCACAGTAGTTCCAAATAGCCAGAAAATGGCACTTTCAATGTTTCCATCCTGCAAGATCTAAATAATTCTTGTTGTAAAATAGGCAAACGGTCTGAGGTGCCTGATGTCCAGGCATTCTTTTACACATCGGTCCCTTCCTAGTCTCTGTGCCCAATGCAACTCATCCCAAGTCTTCCTTCTTTCCCTCCCACCTGTCCCCTCAGTCCCAACCCCAAGCGTCACTGAGTCTTTCTAATCTTCCTTTTCTACAGACCTATCTGACCTCTCCCCTCCTGGCCAGGCTGAGCTAGGTCCCAATTCTTCCTCAGCCTCCACTCCTCCACCCTATAATCCTTTTATCACCTCCCCTCCTCACACCTGGTCCGGCTTACAGTTTCGTTCCGTGACTAGCCCTCCCCAACCTGCCCAGCAATTTACTCTTAAAAAGGTGGCTGGAGCTAAAGGCATAGTCAAGGTTAATGCTCCTTTTTCTTTATCCCAAATCAGATAGCGTTTAGGCTCTTTTTCATCAAATATAAAAAACCCAGCCCAGTTCATGGCTCGTTCGGCAGCAACGCTGAGACAGACGCTTTACAGCCCTAGACCCTAAAACGTCAAAAGGCCGTCTTATTCTCAATATACATTTTATTACCCAATCTGCTCCCTACATTAAATAAAACTCCAAAAATTAAATTCTGGCCCTCAAACACCACAACAGGATTTAATTAACCTCGCCTTCAAGGTGTACAATAGAAAAAAGTTGCAATTCCTTGCCTCCACTGTGAGACAAACCCCAGCCACATCTCCAGCACACAAGAACTTCCAAATGCCTGAACCGCAGCAGACAGGCGTTCCTCCAAAACCTCCTCCCCCAGGAGCTTGCTACAAGTGCCAGAAATCTGACCACCAGGCCAAGGAATGCCTGCAGCCCAGGATTCCTCCTAAGTCATGTCCCATCTGTGTGGGACCCCACTGGAAATCGGACTGTTCAACTCACCTGGCAGCCACTCCCAGGGTCCCTGGAACTCTGGCCCAAGGCTCTCTGACTGACTCCTTCTCGGCTTAGCGGCTGAAGACTGACACTGCCCGATCGCCTCGGAAGCCCCCTAGACCATCATGGACGCCGAGCTTCGGGTAACTCTCACAGTGGAAGGTGAGCCCGTCCCCTTCTTAATCAATACGGAGGCTACCCACTCCACATTACCTTATTTTCAAGGGCCTGTTTCCCTTGCCTCCATAACTGTTGTGGGTATTGACAGTCAGGCTTCTAAACCTCTTAAAACTCCCCAACTGTGGTGCCAACTTAGAGAATACTCTTTTAAGCACTCCTTTTTAGTTATCCCCACCTGCCCAGTTCCCTTATTAGGCCGAGACACTTTAACTAAATTATCTGCTTCCCTGACTATTCCTGGATTACAGCTGCATCTCATTGCCACCCTTCTTCCCAATCCAAAGCCTCCTTTGTGTCTTCCTCTTGTATTCCCCCACCTTAACCCACAAGTATAAGATACCTCTACTCCCTCCTTGGCGACCGATCATGCACCCCTTACTATCTCATTAAAACCTAATCACCCTTACCCTGATCAATGCCAATATCCCATCCCGCAGCATGCTTTGAAAGGTTTAAAGCCTGCTATCACTTGCCTGCTACAGCATGGCCTTTTAAAGCCTATAAACTTTCCTTACAATTCCCCCATTTTACCTGTCCTAAAACCAGACTAGCCTTACAAGTTAGTTCAGGATCTATGCCTTATCAACCAAATTGTTTTGCCTATCCACCCCATGATGCCAAACCCATATACTCTCCTATCCTCAATACCTTCCTCCACAATCCATTATTCTGTTCTGGATCTCAAACATGCTTTCTTTACTATTCCTTTGCACCTGTCATCCCAGCCTCTCTTCACTTTCACTTGGACTGACCCTGACACCCATCAGGCTCAGCAAATTACCTGGGCCGTACTGCCACAGAGCTTCACAGACAGCCCCCATTACTTCAGTCAAGCCCAAATTTCTTCCTTATCTGTTACCTATCTCAGCATAATTCTCATAAAAACACACGTGCTCTCCCTGCTGATCGTGTCCGATTAATCTCTCAAACCTCAATCCCTTACAAAACAACAAATCCTTTCCTCCTAGGCATGGTTAGTGTGGTCAGAATTCTTACACAAGAGCCAGGACCTCACTCTGTAGCCTTTCTGTGCAAACAACTTGACCTTACTGTTTTAGCCTAGCCCTCATGTCTGCGTGCAGTGGCTGCTGCCGCCCTAATACTTTTAAAGGCCCTAATACTTTTAGAGGCCCTCAAAATCACAAACTATGCTCAACTTACTCTCTACATTTCTCATAACTTCCAAAATCTATTTTCTTCCTCATACCTGATGCATATACTTTCTGCTCCCTGGCTCCTTCAGCTGTACTCACTCTTTAAGTCCCACAATTACCATTGTTCCTGGCCCGGACTTCAATCCGGCCTCCCACATTATTCTGGATACCACACCTGAGCCTCATGACTGTACCTCTCTGATCCACCTGACATTCACCCCATTTCCCCATATTTCCTTCTTTCCTGTTCCTCACCCTGATCATGCTTATCTATTGATGGCAGTTCCACCAGGCCTAATAGCCACACACCAGCAAAGGCAGGCTATGCTATAGTACAAGCCACTAGCTCACCTCTTAGAACTTCTCATTTTCTTTCCATCGTGGAAATCTATCCTCAAGGAAATAACTTCTCAGTGTTCCATCTGCTATTCTACTACTCCTCAGGGATTATTCAGGCCCCCTCCCTTCCCTACACATCAAGCTCGAGGATTTGCCCCCACCCAGGACTGGCAAATTAGCTTTACTCAACATGCCCCGAGTCAGATAACTAAAATACCTCTTAGTCTAGGTAAACACTTTCACTGGATAGGTAGAGGCCTTTCCTACAGGGTCTGAGATGGCCACCACGGTCATTTCTTCCCTTCTGTCAGACATAATTCCTCAGTTTAGCCTTCCCACCTCTATACAGTCTGATAACAGACCAGCCTTTATTAGTCAAATCAGCCAAGCAGTTTTTCAGGCTCTTAGTATTCAGTGAAACCTTTATATCCCTTACGGTCCTCCATCTTCAGGAAAAGTAGAACGGACTAAAGGTCTTTTAAAAACACACCTCACAAAGCTCAGCCACCAACTTAAAAAGGACTGGAGAATACTTTTACCACTTTCCCTTCTCAGAAGTCAGACCTGTCCTTGGAATGCTACAGGGTACAGCCCATTTGAGCTCTTGTATAGATGCTCTTTTTTAGTAGGCCCCAGTCTCATTCCAGACACCAGACTAACTTAGACTGTGCCCCAAAAAAACTTGTCATCCCTCCTATCTTCTCTGTAGTCATACTCCTATTCACCCTTCTCAACTACTCATACATGCCCTGCTCTTGTTTACACTGCCGGTTTACACTGTTTCTCCAAGCCATCACAGCTGATATTTCCTGGTGCTATCCCCAAACTGCCACTCTTAACTCTTGAAGTAAATAAATAATCTTAGCTGACAGGATTATGCTGAACCTCCTTAGGCACTTCCTAATTAGATGTCCTAGGTCCTCCCAATTCTTAGTCCTTTAATACCTGTTTTTCTCCTTCTCTTATTCCGTTTAGTTTTTCAATTCACACAAAACTGTATCCAGGCCATCACCAATAATTCTAAATGACAAATGTTTCTTCTAACAACCCCACGATATCACCCCTTACCACAAAATCTTCCTTCAGCTTAATCTCTCCCACTCTAGGTTCCCACGCCGCCCCTAATCCCGCTCGAAGCAGCCGTGAGAAACATCGCCCATTATCTCTCCATACCACCCCAAAAAAATTTTCACCGTCCCAACACTTTACCACTGTTTCATTTTATTTTTCTTATTAATATAAGAAGACAGGAATGTCAGGCCTCTGAGCCCAAGCTAAGCCATCATATCCCCGTGACCTGCAAGTACACATCCAGATGGCCAGTTCCTGCCTTAACTGATGACATTCCACCACAAAAGAAGTGAAAATGGCCTGTTCCTGCCTTAACTGATGACATTGTCTTGTGAAATTCCTTCTCCTGGTTCATCCTGGCTCAAAAGCTCCCCCACTGAGTACCTTGTGACCCCCACTCCTGCCCGCCAAAGAACAAACCCCCTTTGGCTGTAATTTTCCTTTACCTGCCCAAATCTTATAAAACGGCCCCACCCTATCTCCCTTCGCTGACTCTCTTTTCGGACTCAGCCCGCCTGCACCCAGGTGAAATAAACAGCCATGTTGCTCATACAAAGCCTGTTTGGTGGTCTCTTTACACGGACGCGCATGAAACTCTTGAGCTGAGGCAATCCACCTGCCTTGGCCTCCCAAAGTGCTGGGATTATAGGTGTGAGCCATCACGCCCAAGGAAGGTCAGATCTTACAAGTAAACAGGTTAGGTTTCAGTTTGGTGACATGGAATCTTAGCACAGGTGACTCCATCTTGGGTTCATATGTTGGGGCCTAATGCAGCAGCTCAGTCCAAATTAGTGGGCTCCCATAGATTTTATTTAACACTAGTTAAGAGGATAATAGATTTTCCTTGAAAGTGCCCTGGAGCAGAGCCAGTTTCATGGGCATGTGACTTGTGCATGCGTACAGGGCTGGATGTTTAGAAGGATCCTATGTTTAATTTAATGCACTACTGTTGCTCCCTTGAAATTCTTGATAACTTTTGGACACAAGGTCCTGCATTTTAATTTTGCACTGGGCAAATTCTGTAGCCAATTCTGCACTGGAGTCCAACAAAACTGGTTCAAACCCTGGTCTACACTTATTATTATTACTACTACCACTTTTACTATTGTGCAACTATTACTACTGCTAGCTGTCATTTTTGGAGCACAATGTCAGAGCCTGTGCTAAACGCTTTTCAGGTGTTAATGCATTTAATTCTCATCACAATTCTATGTGCTAGCTACCATTAGAACCCCCATTTTATGGATGATAAGACTGAGGCACAGAGTAATTAAGTAACTTTCTAAACTTGCATAAGATCCCAAACAGTTTAATTCCAGAACCCATGCTCTTAACCACTGTACTATTTCATCTGACTAGATTTGTGACTTTGAACAAGTTACTTCAAAGTTACAAGTAACTTCGAACACGTTACAAATTCAGAGGGGTCTGAACCCAAGGTCTCCTAAATGTAAAATGGGGATATAGTAGTGAGAACAGAACCCACTGGCTCCCATACTCAGCCTGGATACTTAGAACCCAAACCTGCCTTACAATCTAGTTAACAGGATTTCCCTACCTTCATTAGCAAATCTTTAACATATCTTCATTAGCATGACTTTACTTTGATGGTATCCTCCAGCCCAAGGAAAAGCTTTCGTTGTCCATTACAGAAATTTCCTGTAAAAATTCTTCAAATTCCGCTGCGCGTGGTGGCTCATGCCTCTAATCCCAGCACTTTGGGAGCGGATCACCTGAGGTCAGGAGTTCAAGACCAGCCTAGCCAACACAGTGAAACCCCATCTCTAAAAAAAAAAAAAAAAAAAAAAAAATTAGCTAGGTGTGGTGGCATGTGCCTGTAATCCCAGCTACTTGAGAGGCCGAGGCAGGAGAATCGCTTGAACCTGGGAGGCAGAGGTTGCAGTGAGCCGAGATCACACACTGGACAACAGAATGAGACTCTGTCTCAAAAAAAAAATTATTTAAATTCGTCATCAACTAAATCTTCAATAGAAAGCATCAAAGACAAGATTCTTTGAATCTCTCGTCTTGCTATTTCCACCAATCCTGTACTGTTGGATCATGATTACCCAATCCTAATCAAGTCCCACATTGTAAGACCTGCCTTAAACCAAGCTTCTAATTCTCAATCAATTTTTACCTTACCTTTTCCCCTCTGAGACACTGCCAAGTCAAAGGTGGCTTTCTCTTACTGCGTTGAGATGAACTCATCTGTCTTATTGACAATGACTCATTTGTCTTATTGACAGATTCTGTGGTATTTGGGGAGCCAGCTTTTGACAGTTTGTACAAATCTAACACCACACATTCATGTGTATATGAAATAAAAACATATAGAACTCTTTAGTTCTCTGTAATTCCATTTCTATATGTGGCCCCCATGTTCCTCAGGGTGATAGAGATTTAATTTCTGTCACTTTTGTGTCCTTGCCCTACATGTTATTGCATGTTATGAAAGTCCTAGGTGGTTCTCAATGTCATAAGCCTGTGCAGGCATCTACTAGAACATCTGTCATGCTCTCTGTGATTGGCCACAGGTTTGCACAGATCACCATTAAAACCTGTTCTGTTCCCTTCTGCAGGTTGTCCACACTGGAAGGCAATTTGTAACATCTAAATCTCATATGGCTTGGGACCCACTGGAATAGAATGCCAAGATGTTACTGGAGAAGTCCAAAGGCCAATCTGCCTAGACACACCAGATGGTCATTCCCCCTCTGGGTCAGGCCTTGTAAGGCCTCTATCCCATCTGCCTTTCCTCCCAGATCTTGGCAGCCTGATGCAGGAAAAGTGCAGGCATTGGCCGAGCCCACACTTCTGCAGGACACAGCATTCCCACTTCTGTTCCTTCTGTTGTCCAAGACATCCCCAACCCCCAGCCCACCTTGGCCTCCTCTGTACTAAGTGTAGGCTCCTTATAGGTAGGGACCACCATGAGATTCTTGCTTTTTCTACAAGCAAAGCCAGAGAAGCATCTGTAGGAGAGGAAAGGTTTCTTTTCTCACTCATTGCTAGGTTCATGGCTGAAGCATTTATAACAAAAGACTGATCAACAAGATAAAAGCGTACACATTGATTTAAGTTTTATGTGACATGGGAGTGTCCAGAAATGAAGACCCAAAGAAATAGAGAAGCCCATATATTTTTATGCTTAGGGTTGATGAAGGGTGGACAGTCATGCAGAAGTATGATTGAACAAAGAGGGTATGATCTAATGGTAATTAACTGGGGGAAACTTAGAGAGACCTGTTTGTTCAGATTCTTCTCTGTGTCCCTGTATCTTCAGTGATAAGGATGTTGCTTTCCTCTTGGTTTAGGGAGCGCACCGTGGAATGAAGGTTTTATGACCTGCTTCATGGGAGAAGGGCAAGGGGAAAGTGAGAGTGACCTTCCTGCTTCTGCTATTTTCTCAAATGCCAGGTGCCATATTTTGGGGAAGTGTGTCCTGAACCCTTTCATAGGCTTGCAGTGCCCTTAGTAGGAGCTACCACCTGGGAGAAACGACAACTAAATACTGAAATAGAAAGCATTTCAACCTCTTCTCAGCACAATGGTTCTTCCCTTTGCCCCAAAAAGTCTTGTCCGCAATCCTAGGGATCCAGAAGGGCCCTGTGGCATTAGAGCCATAGCCCAAGGGTTTTTAGTGGTGTCCCAATTCTAGGGGGCTTGCATATTGCCAAGCATTGGATAGGGGTGAGGCAGGGAGGGGCGTTTTGTCCTCAGTGCTGTCTGCTCACACGGGCTTTTTCAGAACCTCCTCTTCCAACTTTGGTCATCTGCCCTTAGAGGTCACCACTTCTTTCCCATTTGTATTAGTCAGGGTTCTCTAGAGGGACAGAACTAATAGTGTGTGTATATATACATGTTATATGTCTAATAGGATACATGTACAGGGGAGTTTATTAAGTATTAACTTACACAATTGCAAGGTCCCACAATAGGCTGTCTGCAAGCTGAGGAGCAAGGAGAGTCAGTTCGAGTCCCAAAGCTGAAGAACTTGGAGTCCGATGTCTGAGGGCAGGAAGCATCCAGCATGGGAGAAAGATGCAGCCTGGGAGGCTAAGCCAGTCTCTCCTTTTCATATTTTTCTGCCTGTTTTATATTCACTGGCAGCTGATTAGATTGTGCCCACCAGATTAAGGATGGGTCTGCCTTTCCCAGCCCACTGACTCAAATGTTTATCTCTTTTGGCAACACCCACACAGACACACCCAGTATTAATACTTTGTATCTTTCAATCCAATCAAGTTGACACTCAGTATTAACCATCACAAGTCCACCCCTTGTCAACTTGAACACATACACACCTCCTGAGATCATACATATCTTCAAATAAAGACAATAATAAGGTCATAATTACACCTAATATAATACAGCTATCCTTCATACAACCGGAAATGCACCAATCCCCAACCCAAATACTATTACACAAAGTTAACAATATGTAAATGCTGATATGAAGTAAAATCTTATGTCACATGATAAAGGAAAAGGAAATAAAATAAAGATATTTTCTCAGTAAAAATGTATACTTGCACAAACATGTTTTTTGCAAAAGAAGAAGGAAATGCCCATGACAATTACAGTCCCCATTTCTGCAGCTGGTCACGTGGTCGTAGCTGGTATTGATGACTACCTTCTTTTACTACCCATTCTGTATTCCCTTTGCCTTCAGCAAGCACCTCAGCAGGTCATGGTTTTTTTCCTGGTGGAGTGACCCAAACCTTCATTCCTGAGGGGTCTGGGCCATTTGTAGTCCTGCCTGGATTGGGTTGTTGCAGTTACCCATTGACCTTAATCATAGTGCATGGTAATACCAAGGGATGCCCTAATGGATCTCCTGTATTCCATGCATACTCTTCCTTATCTTCGTTGTGGATTAGTAGACTGATTTCATCTTGATAGTTCAGGTCAATCACCCCAGCCAACACTGTAACTCCCTTCTTAGCCTGTTACCTTAAAGGTAGGAGGAGCCCAAAGTGTCCACGTGGCAATCTTAACTTCCCGTTTAATGGAATGGTTGTTGTGTCTCCTGGTGGCAGCATTCCTCCCTCTGGAATTAAGGCTTCTAGGCCAGCAGAACGTAATGTCGTGGGAACAGGAAGCAAAAATTTTGCTAGTGGATCACTACGGGTGATGGTAAGTGATGCCACTTCTACTTCCACCCCTTGATTCCTGGACCCATGAATCCTGGCTATGGGAGAAAGAGTACCATATATTGAACACTGATTCAGAGCATACACGGCCTTCTGGAGAATTTTGCCCCAGCCCTGCAAAGTATTGTCACTTAGTTGGCATTGTAATTGTGACTTCAAAAGGCCATTGCACTGTTCTATCAATCTAGCTGCTTCAGGATGATGAGGAACATGGTAAGACCAGTGAATTCGAAGAGCATGGGCCCACTGCCACACTTCTTTAGCCATAAAGTGAGTGCCTTGGTTAAAGGTAATGCTGTGTGGAATACCATGATAGTGGATAAGGCATTCTGTGAGTTCACGGATGGTAGTCTTGCCAGAAGCATTGCGTGCAGGATAGGCAAACCCATATCTGGAGTAAGTATCTATTCCAGTGAGGACAAACCACTGCCGTTGGGTGCCATATTGAGGGCTCAGTGTTGGTCTCTGTTGTTGGCAAATTGGGCACTCAGCAGTGTCTGTAGCCAGGTCAGCCTTGGTGAGTGGAAGCCTATGTTGCTGAGCCCATGCATGACCTCCATCCCTGCCACCATGGCCACTTTGTTCATGGGCCCCTTGGGTGATGACAGGGGTGGCTGGGGAAAGAGGCCAAGTGGTGTCCACAGAATGGGTCATCCTATCTACTTGATTATTAAAATCCTCCTCTGCTGAGATGACCCGTTGGTGAGCACTCACATGGGATACAAATATCTTCACTGTTCTTGACCACTCAGAGAGGTCCATCCACATACCTGTTCCCCAAATTTGTCATCAATTTTCCAATCATGCTTCTTCCAAATACCTGACCATTCAGCCAAATCATTGGCTACAGTCCGTGAATCAGTATATTATCACACATTTGGCCATTTCTCCTTCCATGCAAAGTGCACAGCCAGATGCACTACTCAAAGTTCTGCCCATTGGGAAGATTTCCCTTCACCACTATCCTTCAGGGATGTCCTACAAAGGGGCTGTAGTGCTGCAGCTGTCCACTTTCGGGTAGCGCCTGCATATCGTGCAGAACCATCTATGAGCCAGGCCCTAGTCTTCTCTTCCTCTGTCAACTGATCATAGGAAACTCCCCATGAGGCCATTGGTACAGGCTGGGGGAGAGAAGGCAGGATGGCAGGAGTGGAGACTATGGGCATTTGAGCCACTTCTTCATGTAACTTACTTGTGCCTTTAGGACCTGCTTGAGCCTGATGATGTATGTACCACTTCCATTTGATGATAGAATGCTGCTGTGCATGATCCACTTTATGGCTAGATGGATAAGAAAGTACCCAGCTCATAACAGGCAGTTCAGGTCATATGGTGACTTGATGACCCATAGTCAAACATTCAGTTACCACCAAAGCCCAGTAACTGGCCAAGAACTGTCTCTCAAAAGGAGAGTAGTTATCTGTAGAAGATGGCAGGGCCTTGCTCCAAAATCCTAGAGGCTTCCACTGTGATTCACCTAGGGGGGCCTGCCAAAGGCTCCAAAGAGGATCCCTATCTACCACTGACACCTCAAGCACCATTGGATCTGCTGGGTCATATGGCCCAAGTGGCAGAGTAGCTTGCACAGCAGTCTGGATGTGTTGCTGAGCCTTTTCCTGTTCTGGACCCCACTCAACACTGGCAGCCTTTCAGGTCACTCGATAAATGGGCTGGAATAACAGAGCCAAGTTAGGAATGTGTTGCCTCCAAAATCCAAATAGGCCCACTAGGCTTTAGGCCTCTTTCTTGGTTGTAGGAGGGACCAAATGCAGCAACATATCCTTCACCTTAGAAGGAGTATCTCGACAGGCCCCACACCACTGGACCCCTAGAAATTTTACTGAAGTTGAAGTTCCCTGAATTTTAGTTGGATTTATTTCCCAACCTCTGGCACATAAATGTCTCACCAATAAGACCGGTGTGTTTGCTACTTCATCCCTTCATATCTGTGCCATGCTTGCAGGTAGAGGAATCATCCTGCTAGTTCCAGACCATGGTAGGCTTCCAGAATCTAAGAGGCTGTCCAAGGCCCTGTCTACCATCATGTAGTTATTCTGTCTCTTAGATCTTACCCTAGAGCTCTCGGGAAGTACAGATCCTCTGTTCTGGCATTCTCAAATCCAAGAGTGTTTACCACTTCCCTCAGTCCTGGTGAAAGAATACTGGGCCCTGTTTCAATTATTTCTGCATAACAAATTACTGCAAAATTTAGAGTCTTAAAACAACCACTTGATTATGCTCATGGAATCTATGGGTCAGAAATTTACAAAGAGCACGTGGGGACACCTTTCCTCTCTGCTGTGGTACGTGAGGCCTCAGATAGGCTCAACTTGATGGCTGAAAGCAGGAATCATCTAGAGGCTTCTACACTCACATGTGTGGTTGTTGATGGCAGTTGTTCAGCAGGGACCTCAGCTGGGGCCTGAACACCTCCACGAGGCCCCGCCATGCGACCTGAGCTTCCTCACAGCATGGCTGCCCTGGACTTACAGGTGAGAGTCTCAGCTCCCAAACCAGAGCTGCATGGCCCTTAAGAGCTACTGCTGCCAGAGTCTCCAGATTGCTCAGGACCACAGAAGGGGAAACCGGCCCCACCTCTCTTTGAAAGGTGTCACACTCACATTGCAAGAAGAGTGTGTGAGATGGGAGAGGTTGTTGTGACTCTCTTTAGACAATGGAACCTGGTGTAGCCCCTCTCTCCAGGGACCTCTAAAGGCCATTTTCTATTTATTTATTTATTTTCTAGAGGCAGGGTCTTGCTCCATCACCCAGGCTGGAGTGCAGTAGTACAATCATAGTTCACTGCAGCCTTGAGCTCCTGGGCTCAAGCAATCCTCCCACCTTAGCCTCCCAAGTAGTTGGAACTATAGGCATGCACCACCATACTTGGTTAATTCTTTTTTTTTTTTTTTTTTTGGTAAGACAAGGTCTCACTAAGTTGCCTAAGCTGGTCTTGAACTCCCGGGATCAAGTGATCCTCCACCTTGGCCTCCCATACTGGGATTACAGGCATGAGCCACTGTGCCTGGACCCAAAGGTTATTCTTACTTCACCATCCTCTCTTCCCATTCTTTTCCTAGTGGAGAGTGGGTGTGGCAGGTATGCAAAAGAGAATTCCTCCTTAAAAAAAAAAAGTAAATCCTCCAACATTCTGGAAATGCCGATAGTCCTCTCCTTTCTCCAATATCACTGGTTTATGGAAACCAACATAGAAATGCTTCTTTTATTCCCTTTCCAATGGCATGGTTCCTAAAGCCTGGCCATGATAGGAGAGAGGGAGTGAAAACATAAACTGAAGAGGGAAAAGGTTACTATCCCAATATTCCCCTACCACAAGGAAAATAATAAGTATCTTATAAATGCATTGTGAGAATTAACATGAGAATGTATGCAAAGCCCTGGCGATTGAGTGAGGGTTCGCATCTGCCCCTACTCTCTGTGGAGACAACTCCATGTAGGTGTGGGCTCAGCAGTGGAGGAGCTGGTGCTGAGCTGGGTTAACTTGACGACAGTGAATTAATATGAACTTGGACTTGATGGTGGAGTTGACTTACATAACTTTTTAAAGAGCATTTGGAGAGAGAAATGCTATTTCCTAAGGCCCTTTATGGATCTAAAGTGCCTTTGCCGTTCTGAAAGCCCATTGTACTTAGATGCTTCCCACTGCCCTGAGAGTTACTCTGGCAGCTCCTCATTTCAGACTAGATCATCTTTGTGAGCTGATGGGAAAGCCCGTCTTGGGGGGCATTCAGGGCTAGTGCAGCATGGTGCTTTTTCAAAATCAATGTCTGGGTCTCCAAAGAGGAGATTCTTCAAAGCTCTCCAGCCTGGGAGGTGGCTGCTAAGCACCACACCTGAGGATACTAAATGTGGGAATATAAGCAACCTTGGTTGGCAAGAAATCACTTTTCTCCTCCTCAGTGGGGGCCAACTTGCAAGGCGCTTGGCCACGAGTTGTGTTTGCTCAGGGCTCTTGCCTTGAAAGTCTTTGTGGATAATTTGTTGCCTGCAATGCCAAAGAATTTGTTAGTATCTCCTGTGCCCTTCCTTTAGAAAGTAGGAGTAAAGTCAAACTCATAATGAAAACAATTTTTCAAAATATGGGTAGAGAAATTGCTTTGTCATTTACAGCAAAAGAAAAAGTTTGCCTACATTCTTTCATAAGGTGAACTTTTTACCCTCTCAGAGCAAGGAAGACACACATAATGGGCTCAGACCGAACTGTTTGTTGTTACTGATGTTGGAAACAGAAAATGACACCTTTGCTTCTTTGTGATTTAGAATGTAATGCAGCAATTCTCAATTTTTTGGTGATCACAGCATTCTTTTTAATACCAACATGTTTGGTGAGGCACTGAAAGATGAAAACAATGCAACACCAATCAACAAGCTTTGCAACACAAACCTTACCACAAAATATAATAGCACAGTGATTGTCCCAGTGGCCCCTTCAGCACCATTGACTGTTGGAACAGAATGGTTGCTGCCTGGGCTACCTCTCCTGTACTCTGGGGCCCAGTTGTCCTACGGCCCAGCATGCAGAGTCCTCTCTTTGGAGGGAACTTGACTGTGCTCCACTTCTCCCCTCTTACCCGCAGCCATGGCACTCGCTCCACAGCAAGCTGCTCAGCCAGCCCAGGTCACCTTGTACCTGAAGAGATGGCCCTGCTGTGGGAATACTCAGCTGTAGTCAAATCAGTTCTACATACCAGTGAAGAACTGATAGCACATCCATGAAAGGATTCCCTGTGCACCAGTTGAGAACCTCTAGATAAGGAGTCCACATATAGACTTTAATTTTAAGTGTGATTTCTTCCTAATCAGCAAAGCCCTGCTGATCTAGGTGCCCTCCTGGGTGCTCCCCGGATGCCCCGTGCTTACCACACACTATGACGGTGATGTCTAATTTTATATGTCAACTTGACTGGACCACAGGGTGCCCAGACATTTTCTCAAGCATTACTCTGGGTGTGTCTGTGAGGGTGTTTCTGGATGAGGTTAACATTTGAATCAGTGGACTCAAATTGCTTCCCTAATGTGGATTGTCTCCCTAATGCGGGTGGGCTTCACTCAATCAGTTGAAGGCCTGGATAGAACAAAAAGGCTGACCCTCCTGTGAGTAAGAGAGAATTCTTCCTGTCTAACACCCTTCAAATGGAACATAGACTTTTTTTCCTGCCTTCAATCTTGACCTGAAATCTTGACTCTTCCTGGGTCTCCAGCTTGCTGGCCTTTGGATAAAAATGACACCATCAACTCTCCTGGGTCACCTTCTAACTTGGACTGGAGCTAAACCAAGGCTTTCTTGGGTGTCCAGCTTGCTGGCTCACCCTGCAGATTTTAGGTCTTGCCTGCCCTCATCATATGTGATTATTCCTTATAAAGAATTATGTGTATATAAATAACAGTCATTCCTCAGTATCCATGGGGGATTGGTTCCAGGACCTCCTTCAGATACCAAAATCTGTGGATATTCAGGTCACTTACATAAAATGGCATAATATTTGCATATAACCTATGCACATCTTCCTGTATACTTCATTTTTTTTTTTATTGTTATACTTTAAGTTCTAGGGTACATGTGCACAATGTGCAGGTTTGTTACATATGTATACATATGCCATGTTGGCATGCTGCACCCATTAACTCGTCATTTACATTAGGTATATCTCCTAATGCTATCCCTCCCCCCTCTCCCCACCCCACGACAGGCCCCGGTGTGTGATGCTCCCCTTCCTGTGTCCAAGTGTTCTCGTTGTTCAATTCCCACCTATGAGTGAGAACATGCGGTGTTTGATTTTTTGTCCTTGCAATAGTTTACTGAGAATGATGGTTTCCAGCTTCATCCATGTCCCTACAAAGGACATGAACTCATCCTTTTTTATGGCTTCATAGTATTCCATGGTGTATATGTGCCACATTGTATGTTATTTTATTTACTTTTAATTTTTTAATTTTTTATTTTTTTATTTCAATAGGTTTTTGGGGAACAGGTGGTGTTTGGTTACATGAATAAGTTCTGTAGTGGTGATTTCTGAGATTTTGGTGTACCCCTCACCTGAGTAGTGTACGCTGTACCCAATGTGTAGTTTTTTATCCCTCACCATCCCCTATTCTTTCCCCCGAGTCCCCAGAGTCCAATGTATCATTCTTATGCCTTTGCGTCCTCATAGCTTAGCTCCCACATATGAGTGAGAATATAGAATGTTTGGTTTTCCATTCCTGAGTTACTTCACTTAGACTATAGTCTCCAATTCCATCCAAGTTGCTGTGAATGCCATTATTTCATTTATTTTTATGGCTGAGTAGTATTCCATGGTGTGTGTGTATGTGTGTGTTTATATATATACACATACACATATATATGTATATATACACATACACATATATGTATATATATGAAAATGTGATATATATATATATATCACTGATATTGGAAACAGAAAATGACACCTTTGCTCCTTTGTGATTTAGAATGTAATGCAGCAATTCTCAATTTTTTGGTGATCATAGCATTCTTTTTAATACCAACATGTTTGGTGAGGCACTAAAAGATGAAAACAATGCAACACCAATCAACAAGCTTTGCAACACAAACCTTACCACAAAATATATATATCTATATATAGTGTATATATATATCTATATATATATTGTGTGTGTATATATATATATAAAATATATATTATATATCAGATTTTCTTTATCCACTTGCTGATTGATGGGTATTTGGGCTGGTTCCATATTTTTGCAATTGCAAATTGTGCTGCTGTAAACATTCATGTACAAGTATATTTTTTGTATTATATAATGACTTCTTTTCCTCTGGGTAGATACCTAGTAGTAGGATTGCTGGATCAAATGGTAGATCTTTTAGTTCTTTAATGAATCTCCACACTGTTTTCCATAGTGGTTGTACTAGTTTACATTCCCACCAACAGTGTGTAAATGTTCCCTTTTCACTGCATCCATGCCAACATCTATTTTTTTTTATTTTTAAAGTATGATCATTCTTGCAGGAGTGAGGTGGTATCACATTGTGGGGTGTTTTTTTTTTTTGCTTGTTTTTTTTTTGTTTTTGTTTTTGAGACGAAGTTTCACTCTTGTTGCCCAGGCTGGAGTGCAATGGCGCAACCTTGGCTCACTGTAACCTCTGCCTCCCGGGTTCAAGAGATTCTCCTGCCTCAGCATCCTGAGTAGCTGGGATTACAGGCACCTGCCACCACGCCCAGCTAATTTTTGTATTTTTAGTAGAGACGGGATTTCGCCATGTTGTCCAGGCTGATCTTGAACTCCTGACCTCAGGTGATCCACTGACTCGGCCTCCCAAAGTGTTGGGATTACAGGCATGAGCCACCATGCCCAGTCGCATTGTGGTGTTGTTGTTGTTGTTGTTTTTTGAGACGGAGTCTCGCTCTGTCACCCAGGCTGGAGTGCAGTGGTGCCATCTCTGCTCACTGCAAGCTCCGCCTCCCAGGTTCACGCCATTCTCCTGCCTCAGCCTCCCGAGTAGCTGGGACTATAGGCACCCACCACCACGCCCGGCCAATTTTTTGTATTTTTTTTTTTCAGTAGAGACGGGGTTTCACACATTGTGGTTTTGATTTGCACACAGAATCATGGTAAGTAGTTTGATGCTTTTGGCAGTATGGTCATTTTCACAACATTGTAGATTGCTTTTGTCAGTATGCTCATTTTCACAATATTGATTCTACCCATACAAATGGCCAAAAAGCATATGAAAAAATGCTCAACACCACTAATTATCAGGGAAATGCACTGTGGTTTTGATTTGCGTTTCCCTGATAATTAGTGATGTTGAGCATTTTTCCATATGCTTGTTGGCCATTTGTAAGGGCAGAATCAATACTGTGAAAATGACCATACTGACAAAAGCAATCTACAAATTTAATGCAATTCCCATCAAATTATTACCATCATTCTTCACAGAACTAGAAAAAGCAATCCTAAAATTCATATGGAATCAAAAAAAGAGCCTGCATAGCCAAAGAAAGACTAAGCAGAAAAAAGAAATCTGGAGGCATCATATTACCTGACTTCAAACTATACTATAAGGCCATAGTCACCAAAACAGCGTGTTACTGGTATAAAAATAGGCACATAGACCAATAGAAAAGAATAGAGAACCCAGAAATAAAGCCAAATACTTAAGGCCAATTGATCTTCGACAAAGCTAACAAAAATATAAAGTGGGGAAATGACACTCTACTCAACAAATTGTGCTGGGATAATTGGCAAGCCACATATAGAAGAATGAAACTGGATTCTCATCTCTCACCTTATACAAAAATCTAAGACCTGAAACCATAAAGATTCTAGAAGATAACATTGGAAAAGCCCTTCTAGACATTGGCTTAGGCAAAGACTTCATGACCAAGAACCCTAAAGCAAATGCAACAAAAACAAAGATAAACACATGGGACTTAATTAAACTAAGAAACTTCTGTACAGCAAAAGAAACAATCAGCAGAGTTAACAGATAATCCACAGAGTGGGAGAAAATCTTCACAATCTATATATCCAATGGAGGACTAATAACCAGAATCTACAAAGAACTCAAACAAATCAACAAGAAAAAAACAATCCCATCAAAAAGTGGGCTAAGGACATGAATAGACAATTCTCTTCCTGTATACTTTAAGTCATTTCTATATTACTTATAATATTTAAAACAATGTAAATGCTATATAAACAGTTGTTATAGTGTACCGTTTAGGGAATAATGATGGGAAAATATGCTCATGTTCAGTACGCACGCAATTTTTTTTCTGAATATTTTCAATCCATGGTTGGTCTAACTTATGGATGTGGAATCCATGGATAAAGAGGGCTGATTGTGTGTGTGTGTGTGTGTGTGTGTGTGTGTGTGTGTGTACAGATACTCCTCCACTTACGCTGGGGTTATGTTCTGATAAACCCATCATAAGTTGAAATATTAACTCAAAAACATCATAAGTCAAAACATATTTAATACATCCAACCTACCAAACATCATAGCTTAGCCTAGCCTACCTTAAACATGCTCAAAACACTGCCATTAGCCTAGCATTGAGCAAAACCATCTGGCAATGCAGTACACTGTAGAGTATCCATTGCTTACCCTCATGATAGTGTGGCTGACTGGGAGTTCAGCTCACTGCCGCCGCCCAGAATTGCAAGAGACTATTGGACTACCTACCACTAGCCCAGGAAAAAAAACCAAAATTTAAAATTCAAAGTACAGTTTCTACTTTTACATCATTGTAAAGTCAAAAGTTGTAAGTGGAACTACCACAAGTTTGGGAATGGTGAGTGTGTGTGTGCGTGTGTATATACATGTATATATATATATATATATATATGTATGTATGTATGTATGTATGTATGTATGTATTTCTGTTTCTCTGGAGAATACTGACTAATACAATAATGCTTACCATTATGAAGCTTAAGTGCCCTTTTCTTGCCTGTCTTTTTCACCAGGCTGTAAACTCTTTGAAAAAATGAGCTGTCTTGCTTGCCAGTGTGTTTTCAATCTCTAGCAAAGAGCCTAGTAATAGTAGATATTCAGGTCTAATCCTGTAATTGTCGTACTTTGCCATGTATCAGGGCTGCCTTTTCTTTTTGGTAGCTGGCAGACACATGTGGGGAGACCCAGTCCCTGCCTAACTCTCCAGCCTCTGTAGGCTTGCATCTGGCCTAGCACATAGAAAATACACACACACACACACACACACACACACACACACACACACACACACGAAGTCTATTGAATGAATTAGCTGAAAGCATACTTAAGCCAAGGTGTAAATGGATGCATTCATAATAGTTAAGCAGCCGTCTTCTCACAGACTTGGGGGGCATCAGTTGGAGGAGAATGGGGACCTCTTGAGATGGGAAGAGTGACATAGAAGCCTGGTGGTTGTGTGGTGGAGGATGGGAAGGGTCAGAGCTCAGAGGATGGGGTTGTGGGACCAGCAAGTCAAAGCAAGAGGGAGAGAAGAAATCCAGACAGAAAGCTTTGGGCTCTTAAAGCGCTGGCAGTGTTCATCTCTGGAAGTGTCGAGATTTGTAGCTCACTCCTAAGGCTGAAGAGGGCTCTAGGTTTGTCTAATTCTCAGGCAAGTTGCTTGTTAGTGATGCTTCCACCAGCCAAATATGGGCACCGGGGCTCCGGATTCCTTTTGTTTTCTTTGCTTTGTGGTCTCTGCGATAGAGGGTCAGCCCAGCAATGCCCACCACATAACAGCTGGACAGAGCTCCCCATTCTAAGTGTGCTCCTGAAAATACTACTTTTTTTTTTTTTTGGAGATGGAGTCTTGCTCTGTCACCAGGCTGGAATGCAGTGGTGCAATCTCAGCTCACTGCAACCTCTGACTCCCTGGTTCAAGTGATTCTCCTGCCTCAGCCTCCCAAGTAGCTGGGATTACAGGCGCATGCCACCATGTCTAGCTAATTTTTGTATTTTTAGTAGAGATGGGGTTTCACCATGTTGGTCAGGCTGGTCTCGAACTCCTAACCTCGTGAGCTACCCACCTTGGCCTCCCAAAGTACTGAGATTACAGGTGTGAGCCACCGTGCCTAGCCCAATGCTACTTTTTAAAAGAGGAAGTCCATCCTACTGTATATTCCTCCACAGGAAATATTTGCCCCATTATAGGTTTGTTTATATTTTTATTTTCAATAGACAAATAATAATTATATATATTTATGGGATACAATGTAATGATTTCATAAATGTTTACAACATACTATTTCATAAACATATTTGTCAAAAAAAAGAAGAGCTAAAATTGCTGGCTGCAGGAGTTCCAACCAGAGATCTTTTTCATGTTCAAGAATGCACACCTGTGTTTTTCAAATAGGTAGGTACTTTTTTCAAAGTTAGTTAAAAAGTAACCTACCTATTTGAAATAATTTATAATATTTAAGTTATTTAATATTTATAAATTATTTTTAAAATGAAAATAAATATTTATTAAATTATTGAATTAATATTAATATTTAGTAATTCCAAAATAGTATGCATAATTATATGTAAATTCACTGCTTCATGGGTTTCATTAAAAACTCATTACCAATCACCTCTCATCAGCCTCCCTTCCCCCATGTCTTTTCACCCCAGCAGTGGACAAAAGGGGGCAGAATTTGCTTCTTCCCCATCTAGACTTGCCTTTACCAGGTGGTCCACCTGCAAGGCACTGATTCCAGATAACAAGTCCTGGAGGTGACTAGACCCCATGCCTCGGACCCCTTTGCTGTTCCTGATTCATATAGAACCCTCCCTGGCTACCCAGACTTGGCTGGAGACTCTCACCTCTGTATTTAAAGAAGGCCCTTCACAGGCCAGACGCAGTGGCTCACGCCTGTAATCTCAGCACTTTGGGAGGCCAAGGCAGGCAGATCACTTGAGGTCAGGAGTTTGAGACCAGCCTGGCCAACATAGTGAAACCCCATCTCTACTAAAAATACAAAAAAATTAGCTGGGCGTGGTGGCACGCACCTGTAATCCCAGCTACTGAGGTGGCTGAAGAGGGAGAATCTCTAGAACCCGGGAGGCAAAGGTAGTAGTAAGCTGAGATCGTGCCACTGCACTCCAGCCTGGGGGACAGAGCAAGATCCTATCTCAAAAAACAAAAACAACAACAAAAAACTGAGTTGACATGTATTAAATGGGATAGTCACAGATCCAGAGCCATGTACAACCCCGATTCTACTCCATGTAGGGGCCTTGAGGAGTGTATCTGGCAGACAGGGCTGCTCTGGCCCCCATAACAATGAGCAGCCATCAGACAGTGCCAGCCACCATTTCCCTGCTCCTTCTAGTGCAGAGCTGGGCCTGAAACTGAGTTTTGAGGTTTGCAGCTCAGTGTGCCTGGGACCCAGTAAGTACTCAATAAATGTTTGTTGTCCAGCTCAATCAGATTGCAGTTGCTAAAAGGAGAGCCTAACATATGTAATTTTTAAATGACCTTAGATTTTCACATGGGGTTTTTGTGGGCACTAGATCAGCTTATCAGCAACTGTACCAAGAGGATTTTCAAAAACAGAAATGAAATTATCTCTAAGAGTTAGGTGAAGCATACCCTGGGGTGGCACTCCTGCTCTCCTCACTGGTGTATGTGACTCAGCTTAGCTCCACATTGTAAGAATCATCACTGATCCTATTGGGTCACTCCAATTATTCAGTTACTGGGTTGCTCTGCCCCTGCTCCCAAACAAAGAAGTCCTTTTTTTTTTCTTAAATTCACGTGCACATGGCATCCCCAGGAGTTGCAATCCTGACATGTTTGCTGAGGTGAGGGGAGCATGCCTTCCATTAACCTCTTCCTAACTTCTCAGCAGAGCATCTTTTGGTGGAGAGGGCCAAGTGGTGGGCTGTGTCCTAGAGTCTGGAAAACATCTTGTCTTATCCTATCTGCATGGTTTCAGCTGAGGGAAAGTCCAGGGTCATTTTGCTCTGGGCTGCCGAGTCCAGCCACCAGGATGATGATCTCCTGTGGTCTGGAAGCTCCTGCATCAGGGGCACAGGGTCTGGAGGCTCTGGTCAAAGATTCAGGGCACCATGGGCAGGGCTGGTAGCATCCACTGTGCAGCCAGGTTATGGAGAGGCAGGGATAGTGCTGACCCACTGGCCAGTGAGAACAGCAACAGACTGTCAGGCTTCTAATCTCAGGCATTTGCCCTTAGTTCTATGTTACTCCTTGGCTTCAATGGCATAACCAGCCCTGTCACTGTGCCAGCCTTTGGAGATGTGCGTGTGTAACCCAAATACAACTGGGCCACCTCTAGAACCAGTCTCTGTATGGTGTCACATTAAAAAACCCAGCCATCCAGACCCCTCCCTCCAAACACAGCTCAGCCATGCTGAGCTGTAAACCTCAAAACTCAATTTCAGGCCCAGCTCTGCACTAGAAGGAGCAGGGAAATGGTGGCTGGCACTGTCTGACGGCTGCTCATTGCTATGGGGGCCAGAGCAGCCCTGTCTGCCAGATATACTCCTCAAGGCCCCTACATGGAGCAGAATCGGGGCTGTACATGGCCCTGGATCTGTGGCTATCCCATTTAATACATGTCAGCTCAGTTAGTTAAATTAATATAGTCAAATAAATATATTTATGTAAACAAACACAAATCCATACTCAAAAGCTAGTCAAATCCCATTTCGGACTTGGTTCTTGACCATCCTTTTCAGACAGCTCTCACTTTCATCTCACATCTCCCTCTCTCTTTACCACCACCCCCCACGGGACTCCTCTCGCCAGGATGCTCTCCCTGGCTTCTTCCCCACCAGGCCTCACTGGTCATGCACTCCATGCCCCCAACATGTGATCTTCCCATTGCATGCATCTTTCTTTCTCTAATCATTTTCCTAGTGAGAATCTGCCACCCTGCAATTATGGTAAATAAAAATTCTCCACTTTGCTATATGCAGATGCATCAAGCCACCCAACCATGTCCTCCTCCCAAAGTCAGGGTGTCTCCCATTTAGGCTGGCCTTCTCAGCCCATAAGATTGTTGGAAATCCCAGCCTTAGCAGCTTTGTGCCCTTCTTTTAGCAAATATTTTCCAGTCCAGCAAAGGGGTTGGGCCTCCTTGCACAGTTGAAAGAACCATTCTAGGCCCTGCTTCCTCGGAGATATGTCCCAGGAGTGAGGTGCATTGCAATACATGGGTACTGCTCATCACCAGGAGTTTACTGACACCTAGGGCCATGTATGAGGGTCACGGGGGCCTCTCTGAAAAGTGCCCCTCAGCCATCTTGCTTGTTAGTTCTGTGGTCAAAACTCTTCTTGACATCAGTAGCCTTCCTCGGCCTCTCACCACCTCCCCACTATGCTTCTTCTTGTCTTTGGCTCTAAACCAGAGTAGAGCTAGGTGCTGAGATATGGAAGACTGTCTAATTTTTGTAGACTTCTCAGACTTTCAGCAAAGTACACCCCAGCTGGAGAATCTCAAATGGCCTTTAGTTTTTAGGAATACTAGCATATAAAAGTGCTTGCTATTATGGGCCAGGAATAATTCTAAACTCCTTACATAAAATGTCTCATTTAATCTTCATAAAATCCAAATGGGATTCATACTATTCTAAAAGTCATATCCCAGGCCATTTAATAGAAATAGAAAATGCGGCCGACAGAGGTTGAATATTGCTTGAAGTCCCTTGTTCACCAAGTGCTGGACCAGGGACTTGAACCCACGTTCTCTCTCAATCCCTGCACTTTAACCAATTATTAGACAGGGGTCTGAGTTGACACTGACAGTTAGGGATGCAAAATGTCATCATGGCCCCACTGCTAGAGGGAGGGCTCACAGGGGCCAGGTAATAAATGGAGTCCAGGCCACAGTCCAGCACACCATGGGCCCCTTGGGCCTGTGTGGTCATTTTCTCCAGACTTGAGTGTATAGTTGGAACTGATACACCGCAGTTAAGAGTAACTTCCACATTAGATCCTTGGACTGCAGTTCAAGACCTCTCAGAGTGGGGAAGGTCAACTAGAAACTTTTGAAACTGCTCCCCTTTCCTAGGGCCAGGATTGTGAATAAAAAATTCACATCCCAGGGCAGAAGGAGATTAGTGCCACTTTTAAAGAACAAAGTAGTTTTCATAGAGCCCTAGATTGGTCCTAACCCCCAGGGTACATGAAGTTCCCCATATATAGAAATGCCCCCATATAGGGCACTTCTACTCGCAGCCAGTTCTGACCCAAGAGTAGATCCAGAAGAGTCCCTCACTGTGGCTGCCAACCTCCAGCAAGTTGATTTTGTTAAAAATAATTTTTAAAAAACTTACCCTAGTAAGGATGTAAAATAGGAGTCCTTTATATATGTAATAATTTGAGTTTCCTGAATAGACATCTACATTTTTTTAACGCAGAAGACTCTCAGAAGATTTATAGAAACATCTGATTTAATTCTATCCCCAAAGATTTCATGAGGAAAAGATAAAATGGATTTTTACACAAGTTTAATTGACCTGAAACAATGATTCAAAAGGTCATATACTTCCATTTACTAAATGTTTTCTGTGAACAAGCTGACCTGTGAATTTCTCTCTCTGAAGATACAGACAAAATTAAATGTTTTATTGAACTGAATTAAAGATGGCTTCATAATTAGGGAAGAGCAATTCATAAGGGTTCTTTTCTATCACACGTGATTTGCCAACATGTGGTATCTTTTCTCAAATTTATTTTTCAGAGTCGTTGGATTTTATTAAGGCAGAACCAAATTTAACAAAATTGTTATCCATGTATCTTGCAAAAAACCAGACCTCTGTAGCTAGTCTGGAAGTGGAGAGTTACACCGTAATTCATAATTCTCCACAATTGAGTAAATAGCAAAATTTTAAAAACATGTTAATATAATTTATAGAGGTGAGGGATGAGAAATTACTTTATGGGTACAATGTACATTATTAGGGTGATGGCTCCACTAAAGGTCCAGACTTCACCACTATGCAAGATATCCATGTAACCAAACTGTAGGTGAACCCCCGAATCTATAAACATAAGAAATATAATCTATAGATTATCTTTCTCTGCTACAAAACCTTCAAGAGTAAATAAATAAGAATAAAAATACATTGCCAAGAATTTTCAACATTGCTAATATAATTTTTATTATATTTCAATGACCAAGTCCAACAAAGTTAAGGTTCTGCACTAGTTGATTGTCTTGGATGTGATAAATAAAAGTGAATTGTATATTTACATAAATTTCTTCCCTCAAGAAAGACAAGGCATCTAGTCTGTATGCAGAACATTCCTGGGTGGTAGTAGAAAGAGGTATCCCACAGGTTGGGAAGACAGGGATTAAGAAGGTGCAGTTACATCTTCCTTGGACACCTTTTAAAATAGGAATGAGATAACATCTTTCTAAATGGATTAGACACTCAAAGGCAAGAGGATGATTGAAATCTCCTTCTGGCCCTGAGTTTCCAGAGTCACAGTGCTGCTGCAGCCATCCTCAGGGCACTCACTCAACAGCATTTCTTGAGTGCCAGCTAAGTGAGCTCTGGGCTTGGGAGATGATGTGTGTGAGTTAATCTCTGCTCTGCTCTCAAGATGCTCAGTTTTCTTGGGAGACAGACACATAAACACCACTGTTACAGAAGCGTGATAAGTGCTGTAAGATCCGAAGTGCCGTGAGCGCCCAGAGGAGAGTGTCTAACAGAGGCATTCTCTTTGAGACCCTCCATGGGTCCCAACTGTCTACAAGTTAGCACCCTGAGTCTGTAATCCCTTAGCATAGAGGCTCTCAAAACATGGCTCGTAAACCCAGGGGAATTCCTGAGACCCATGCAGGCAGTCTGCCAGGTGAGAGCTATTTGTAGAATGATACTAAAATGTTATATGCCTTTTTCATTGTGTTGACATTTGCACTAATGGTGCAAAAGCGGTGAGGGCACAGCTGCTGGCGTCAGCACCAATCAAGGCAGGGACATGAAAGCTTATTGGTAGTATAGTGTGCCTCACCACCACACACTCTCAAGAAACAACTGCTTCTTAAGTGAGAATGTCCTTGATGAAGCTAGTAAAATTCAATTTTATTAAATCTCTACCCTTGAGTATAGTCTTCTTAAATATTCTATGTGATATGATGGGAAGTATGCCAAAAGCACTTCAGTCTGCACACCCACGTGTAATGCTTGCCTTAAGGAATACTGCAACTGTTTGAGTTGCGAGCCACTAGCCACTTTTTCATGGAAGACTATTTTTACTTGAAAGAACAATTGTGAGACAAACTATAGTTATTCAGACTTGGGTATCTGGCAGACTTTTGCTTGAAAGTGAACAAAGGAAGCCTGCCTATCATTACGAGGAAAACTCTCAGTATTTGTTGCCAGTGATAAAATTTGAGCTTTTCAAACAAACATTAGAGTTTTGGAAAACTTGTATTCACCACTATGAGTTTGGCAGCTTCCCAATGCTTAAAAGCTTTTCTACAAGACGGGTTGGCTGTAAATGAATGTGTCAACATTTGGAAGATCTGCCAGGGACTCAGTGAACCAATTATTTTCCAAATTATCAATGCATGGTATTACACAGTCATGCATGGGTAGAAAAGCCAATCTAAATTCAAAATTAATCAATGGATTTTAATGTCTCACACTGAAAAGTTCATTGATAGTTTCAGATATCACAATGCAACTGACCTTTAAGAATCTATTGCTTAACTATCGCAAGGACAAAAAACCAAACACCGCATGTTCTCACTCATAGGTGGGAATTGAACAATGAGAACACATGGACACAGGAAGGGGAACTTCACACACCGGGGCTTGTTGTGGGGTGGGGGGAGGGGGGAGGGATAGCATTAGGAGATATACCTAATGTTAAATGACGAGTTAATGGGTGCAGCACACCAACATGGCACATGTATACATATGTAACTAACCTGCACGTTGTGCACATGTACCCTAAAACTTAAAGTATAATAAAAAAAAAATAAAAATAAAAAAAGAATCTATTGCGTATTGAGTTTAGTGTATTAAGAAAGAATATTCACAATTATCTAAAAACGCTATTTATTTATTTATTTTTTGAAACACAGTCTCGCTCTGTCACCAGGCTGAAGTGCAGTGGCGCAATCTCAGCTCACTGCAATCTCCGCCTCCCAGGTTCAAGCGATTCTCCTGCCTCAGTCTCCCGAGTAGCTGGGACTACAGGCACACGCTTTCACGCCCAGCTAATTTTTGTATTTTTAGTAGAGACGGGGTTTCATCATGTTGGCCAGGATGGTCTTGATCTCCTGACCTCATGAACCACCCGCCTCAGTCTCCCAAAGTGCTGGGATTACAGGCGTGAGCCACTGTGCCCAGCCAAAAGGTTATTTAAATATTCCTCCTCCTTTCTCCATCTTCATATCTGTGTAAAGATGGATTTTCTTCATGTGCTTCAACCAAAACAACATATCAAAACAGACTGAATACAGAAGAAAATGCAGGAATACAGCTGTCTTCCATTAAGCCAGATGTTAAAAAGATTTGAAAATGTAAAACAATGCCAATCTTGGTTAATCTTTTTGTTTTGGAAAAGTTATTTTTCATAAAAAATATGCTATTTGTGTTAGCATGATGAGTTTATTATCGTTCTTTTAAAATTAATAAATATTTAAAAAATCATCAGTTTCAATTTCTAAATGCGGTATACATCAATAGACAGAACCCAGGTAAACAAAAGCGCTTCAGGGGTCTTCAACAATTTTTATGTTTGTAATGGAGTTCTGAGAGCCCCATTTGAGAAACACTGAGTTAGCATATCAAGCCCTTCACAATCTCACCAGACCTATCTTCCCAGCATTATTTCCTGACCTTTCCCTTCCCATCACCACCCTCCCCTTCCACTGCCATTCCCATGTCCAGAAATACCTGATGACTTTCAGACCCCCTGTATTAGTCCGTTTTCACACTGCTGATAAAGACATACCTGAGACTGGGAAAAAAAAGAGATTTAATTGGACTTACAGTTAGACATGGCTGGGGAGGTCTCAGAATCATGGCGGGCGGGGGAGGTGAAAGGCACTTCTTACATGGCAGCAGCAAGAGAAAATGAGGAAGCAAAAGCAGAAACCCCTGATAAACCCATCAGATCTCATGAGACTTATTCACTATCACGAGAATAGCATGGAAAAGATCGGCCACTATCATTCAATTACCTCCCCTTGGGTCCCTCTCACAACATGTGGGAATTCTGGGAAATAAAAGTCAAGTTGAGATTTGGGTGGGGACACAGCCAAACCATATCATTCTACCCCTGGCTCCTCCAAATCTCATGTCCTCACATTTCAAAACCAATCATGCCTTCCCAACAGTCCCCCAAAGTCTTAACTCATTTCAGCATTAACCCAAAAGTTCAGAGTCTAAAGTCTCATCTGAGACAAGGTGAGTCCCTTCTGCCTATGAGCCTGTAAAATCAAAAGCAAGCTAGTTACTTCCTAGATACAATGGGAGTATAGGTATTGGGTAAATACAGCCGTTCCAAATGGGAGAAACTGGCTAAAAGGAAGGGGTTACAGGACCCATGCAAGTCTGAAATCCAGTGAGGCAGTCAAATTTTAAAGCTCTAAAATGATCTCCTTTGACTCCAGATCTCACATCCAGGTCATGCTGATTCAAGGGGTGGGTTCCCATGGTCTTGCCCCTGTGGCTTTGCAGGGTACAGTCTCTCTCCTGGCTACTTTCACGGGCTGGCATTGAGTGTTTGTGGCTTTTCCAGGTGCATGGTGCAAGCTGTGGGTGGATCTACCATTCTGGGGTCTGGAGGATGGTGGCCCTCTTTTCACAGCTCCATTAGGCACTGCCCCAGTAGAGACTCTGTGTGGAGGCTCTGACCCCACATTTCCCTTCCACACTGCCCTAGCAGAGGTTCTCCATGAGAGCCCTGCCCCTGCAGCAAACTTTTGCCTGGGCATCCAAGTGTTTCCATACATCTTCTGAAATCTAAGCAGAGGTTCCCAAACCTCAATTCTTGACTTCTGTGCACCCTCAGGCTCAACACCAAATGGAAGCTGCCAAGGCCTGGGGCTTCCACCCTCTGAAGCAACAGCCCAAGGTGTACATTGGCTCCTTTCAGCCATGGCTGGAGAGGCTGGGACACAGGGCACCAAGTCCATAGGCTGCACACAGCACAGGGACCCTGGGCCCAGCCCATGAAACCAATTTTTCCTCCTGGGCCTCTGGGCCTGTGATGGGAGGGGTTTCCATGAAGGTCTCTGACATGGCCTGGAGACATTTTCTCCATGGTCTTGGGGATTAACATTAGGCTCCTTGCTACTTATGCAAATTTCTGCAGCTGGCTTGAATTTCTCCCCAGAAAATGGGTTTTTCTTTTCTACCACATAGTCTGGCTGCAAATATTCCAAACTTTTATGCTCTGCTTCCCTTATAAAACTAAATGCCTTTAACAGCATCCGAGTCACCTCTTAAATGCTTTGCTGCTTAGAAATTTCTTCTGCCAGATACCTTAAATCATCTGTCTCAAGTTCAAAGTTCCACAAATCTCTAGGGCAAGGGCAAAATGCCTCCAGTCTCTTTGCTAAAACATAACAAGAGTCACCTTTGCTTCAGTTCCCAACAAGTTCCTCATCTCCATCTGAGACAACCTCAGCCTGGATTTTATTGTCCATATTGCTATCAGCATTTTGAGCAAAGTCATTCAAGTCTCTAGGAAGTTCCAAACTTTCCCACAATTTCCTGTCTTCTGAGCCCTCCAAACTGTTCCAATCTCTGCCTGTTACCCAGTTCCAAAGTCACTTCCACATTTTTGGGTATCTTTTGAGCAATGCCCCATTCTACCGGTACCAATTTACTGTATTAGGCCATTTTCACGCTGCTGATAAAGACATACCTGAGACTGGGAAGAAAAAGAGGTTTAATTGGACTTACAGCTCTACATGGCTGGGGAAGCCAGGGAATCATGGCAGGAGGCAGAAGTCACTTCTTACATGGCAGTGGCAAGAAGAAATGAGGAAGAAGCAAAAGTGGAAACCTCTGATAAACCCATCAGATCTTGTGAGACTTATTCACTATCAGGAGAATAGCATGGGAAAGACTGGCCCCCATGATTCAACTACCTCCCCCTGGGTCCCTCCCACAACTCGTGGGAATTCTGGGAGATAAGATTCAAGTTGAGATTTGGGTGGGGACACAGCCAAACCATGTCACCCCCAAATAGGCTACATTTCTTATTTCCATTGTTCTTTTGAATGCCCTCTCTACTACCCCTATGTGTCAAGTTTCTACTGGTTCTCTTAAAATCAAATTTAGTAAAATTTTCCTTCATTATCCTACAAAGTAAGTTACACCCTCCTGGGGCCCTGGGAGCTTTGTGCAGAGCTGATGATCCTAGGAAATCATTTTGTATTAGATTGTGTATTAGTCTGTTCTCATGCTGCTAATAAAGACATACCAGAGACTGGGTAATTTATAAAGAAAAAGAGGTTTAATGGACTCACAGATCCACATGGCTGGGGAGGCCTTGCAATCATGGTGGAAGGCAAAGGAGGAGCAAAGTCACATCTTACATGGCAACAGGCAAGAGAGAGAACCATGTGCAGGGGAACTCCCCTTTATAAAACCATCAGATCTTGTGGGACTTATTCACTATCACTTTCCTGACCTGCCTTCATGATTCAATTACCTCCCACTGGGTCCCTCCCACAACACATGGGAATTATGGAAGCTACAATTTGAGATTTGGGTGGGGACACAGCCAAACCTTATCACATTGTTTACACATCTGTCTTTCCTCTGTGCAGTGGGCTCCTCAGGTAAAGGAAGGGTATTCCAAAAAAGGAAGAGGAAAGAGAGAATCAGAAATTTCATCTCACTCTCCTGCCCTGACCTAATGACTCTGGGTCAAAGGGAGGGCAGATGGTTGTTGGTGTGGAAAAGGGGCAACCCCCTCAAAAAAGGGATGTGCTAGACAAGATAGGAGATATACACTTGAGCTACTAAGGGTAGCTGCCAGGCACACATAAAAACCTTCTTTCCCCAACACACTTCCAGAAATGTCTTCTTTTAACATGAGCCAAAGTTGCCCACATACAAATTTAATTATGCACCCCCTCCCCATAGGAAACCACCCAGAGAACTATCCAGCTATTGTAACCATAGGTGAGGTCAGGATACCATTGTTCCCAGAGTGCAGGATCTTTAGGATGCACCTGTGTTAGGTATTCTGCCAGCTTGGGACCAGATGGAAAATTTAATCACCAGCCCAATCATCTCTAAGACACAATGACTGGGGGTTAGGGGAGGAACAAGAGAAGAGAACTTTGTTTTCAAATTGTAATTCCCATCTTAAAAGGAAAAATGATGGTGTTAGAGGAGTGCTGGACTTATTTGCTTCTTAGCAGAAAAGAAAATGCAAGTGAAAGCATTTTCCTTGTCTCTGCAACTAACCTTGAGGCAACACCATTTGAGGTTCCTCTCTCCCATTATCCATGCCACGTTTCCCTGGCTTTTGACCAGAATCTTGGTTGCTGCCTAATTTAGCAAATCTGATTTCCTGGCCCTTCTCTTTCTCTATAAACTAAGGCAAGTGGTTTAGTTTTGTAATTTTTTTGTGAAAGAAATCTTCAACCCATGGGGGATCAATTAAGACAACAATTTTTATTTACCAGTTGGATTGCAATTACATTGGTGTTTCCTTGAATGTACTGAAGAAATGAACCCAAAAAAATTCTGTGTATGGGTAGCAAGAGTGAAATGACAGCTTACTATTCTCTATTAGCAAATGACCCTCAACTTCTGAAACGGAAAAGGGAGACTCAAAATTCTGTTAAAGAAAGCTGCTCAAGTGCAGATAGAAAAAACTGACCTATGCTAGGAGCACCTCAGAACCATGCAGTTTCTGAAATAATCCATTGTCTCTTCCAAAGGGAGGGTGATAAGTCTTGAAATAAGGAAAACAGATCATTTTTCCTTCAATAAACGATTCATTTAAGCAATACTTATCTCAACAGAACATATAAAAAATGCTAGGGGGCCAAACCAGAAAAAGAGAATGTATCTTTAAACTGATTTTAAAAGAGCAAAACATGATTTCAAGAAAAAGCATATTCAGGACATAAGAACATCTTTGCCTTCTCTGGCCACTCTAAGCAATCTCATTCTGACCAGCTAACCTCGAAGGCACGTGTGGAGGCAATCGTGAGGCACATTACTTTCCAAAAGGAGAAAATACTTCTGATTCAGCATCTGGTAAATTCTAGGAAGAAGAAAACTCAGTGAGTTGGAGAAAAAAAGCTTTACTGTGAAACATATAATAAGATACAGGACAATTTTCGACTAAAGTTGGAATCTCATTTTCAAGTGGCATCTAATTTATTCACATGTAAGTGAAGAATAAAGTCTATTTGGATTCTAAGTGGAGTCACTTTTCTATGGAGAAATGAACTTCACATAAAATAATTTCCATTTGGATCCACAAAACATAAGATTAAACTCTGAGGACAGAGCACAATCCTATGAATTCTGCCTCATGACAAATGAATGCTTTTCCATGCCAGAACCATTTGTTCAATACATGTGTCCAGTCTTCCCAACAGCATGGCAGGGAGTGTATAAGCTGGAAAAGTCCAACCAAGACGGAAGGATCTCCAGGTTTGACAAAATGATACATGACTTCCTCCGTAGTGGTGGCTAGATTTACATACTAAGTGGCTTTAAGAGACATGCCCCTCCAACCCTATCCTCCACCATCACACACACATACACACACACACACACACACACACACACACACACACGCATACCCTTAGGAAGTTCACATTGTTATTTTAATGTGAATGCTTTGCCCTTGGGTATACAACCAACAAAATTTTATTTCATGGGATCTCGCCATAATTTGCTGAGATTTCAATTTATGACCTACTGTGTCTCCAGATTCATTTAGATTGCCTTATTTAAAGAATTAAAATCTACAATGCCAAGCTGAACTAGGACATCTTCTCCTTTTTCAGTGACTAGGACATGGTGAGCATTAATATATAACCTTGTTCCGAGATGATGCTCAGGTACCAGGTTAGCAAGTGCTGGTGATTATATGTGATCAGTGATCTTTTAGTGAATATTTACGCTGTGCTAGACACCATGCCCAGTGCTTTACAGGTATCTTCTTTCTCTCAGCAACTATCTATACTAGATGAAAAAATTGAGGATTAGAGATGCTAAGTGATTGCTCAAAGACCCACAGCTACTAGTAAGTGATGGAGAGCAAAGCTCCTGCTCTTAACCATAT
Organism: Homo sapiens; assembly: GCF_000001405.40. Classification (NCBI taxonomy): domain Eukaryota; kingdom Metazoa; phylum Chordata; class Mammalia; order Primates; family Hominidae; genus Homo; species Homo sapiens. Next base: position 109,827,463 of record NC_000006.12, on the reverse strand, counting down.
TTGCTTCCCTTTGGGTCTACAAATAAGAGCAGTTTCTATATTTTCCATGACATATTAGCTTTTTAGTACTTTCAGATACGCATTTACTTTGTTTACATGCTCCTTGAGATCACTAACCTTTTTCTAGAGGTTAAATGTTATGTCTGGTTTGCTACCAATTTGTAAAGCCTTCCTTGTATATCCAAAGTTAAGTAATCTGAATGTCAAAAGTAATAGCTCAGATACCACCTTGTTACATCAAAATTGTGTTAACTCTGAAAAGGACATACACGGATGCCTTAAATTGAAAATATCGGGGTGTTGGTGCTGAGGACACCATCACTGTCACCAATACCAACCACTGCCATCATCAACAGCAGCTACCATTGACAGCATCATTTATGTGCCAGGAACCATGGAACCATGGCTGTATGTTTTACATGCAGAGTCTCTTAAGTGCCATAATAAGCCAGTAGAGCAGGGATTATTATCCTCATTTTACAGCTATGGAAAGTTAAGCTCAGGGAGGTTGTGAAAGAAGATCTGGATTTCAGATCTTCTCAAAGAACTTTAAGTTCATTCTTTTCCTAAGTAGGTGGACCTCTAGAAGCCATGTTAAAAATAAATTTTAAAAATGAAGATCAGTGTCTGATCTATAATTGGCACCTCTGCAGCAATTTGGGATTATTCTTTGACTTGGGAAGATTTACGTGAGATCCCACCCCCACACACAACAGCAAGCTATTGTGTTAGATATTCAACCTGCGCCAAGGCAAAATTCCTCTTACCTATTATTTTGTCATTCTCTAATCTTTACTTCATGATGGCATCAATCAAAAATATCTGTCAAATGGGGACTTAACCTTTCTTTGCAATATAAAACCTTCCATAGAATCCCAGCATGTCAGGGTTGGTGATAGCTCACAGGTCATTTTGGCTAACCAGTTTTCCTTCTCCCATTAGAAGGCTTGGCTTTCTTCTCTATATTATTTATGGGGAGGGAGAATGGGACAGTCTGTAACAAAAGTATAGACATAATGAGATCAAATCATTTGTGGTAAACTGTTAGGAAATGCAGAAAGTTGTCCACATTCATGTTTGACTATACAGAGAACAAAACACGTGCTGTGATCAGTCAACACCTGACTGAACACCAAATGTCAAAGTATGTAACGCAGCTGCATGCCACAGGAAGTCAACTGGAATAATAATTTTAACAATTTATTTTGATATAATTTTTTTTTTTGAGACGGGTTTCACTCTTGTTGCCCAGGCTGGAGTGCAATGGCCGATCTTGGCTTACCGCAACCTCCACCTCCCAGGTTCAAGCGATTCTCCTGCCTCAGCCTCCCTAGTAGCTGGGATTACAGGCATGCGCCACCACGCCCGGCTAGTTTTGTAGTTTTAGTAGAGACGAGGTTTCTCCATGTTGGTCAGGCTGGTCTTGAACTCCCGACCTCAGGTGATCCCCCCGCCTCAGCATCCCAAAGTGCTGGGATTACAGGCGTGAGCCACTGTGCCCAGCCTTGATATAATTTTATACTTACAGAAAAGCAGCACGAGTAGCTCAAAGAACTCCTGTTTACTTTTTACCTAGATTTACAAGTTATTAATATTTTGCTCCATTTGATTTATCATTCATTCTTTTTATCCTGAACCACTGGAGAACACTTTTTTGACATCTTGTCCGTTTATCCATAAATATTTCAGCATTTGTTTCCTATAAACAAGGCCTTTTAGAATAATGAAATTTCTGATCAAAATACAAAGTTAACATAGAAGCCACCAGAATAAATGTCAAAATGTTAACTACAAGGAAACAATACTTTGCTTTCACGGATAAAGATAAGAAAAATACTTTGCCTTCATTCCTCACAAGAGAGGAATTTTTTGGCCTGTTTTGCTTACTGGGATGTTCCTAGACCTTGCCATGGTGCCTGGCACACAGCAGGTGCTCAGCAGATACCTGTGAATTTCTTAATGTGATGGTGTGATAGTATATTGACCACATTTGTAAACAAAGTATTTCTAAAATAAAGCAAAGGCAACAACAGCAAATTATCTAGTCATCTTTATTAGCTATAATTTGGAATTTGCAAGTGACAGAAAAGGAGAAAGGCTTCAGACGCAAAGGACTTTTAATAAGTTACCTTTTGAAGATGAGACAAGACAGGTTCTAAGCTAATCAGACGTGTCCACCAGGTGGACCTGCGCTCTTTTCACAGGTAGCGGTTCCTGATGTACTCTCGGTACATGGAGGAGTCCTCTTTTCCTAGGGGCTGCATGATACCTTGGCTGGCCTGGATGTGGGCTTGGAAGATCTCTGTAGATTTTCTGTCTACTCTTGGGGGCTGAACTTCATAGATGTTATCTTGCGAGAAAGCCGAGATGGGTGTTCTATAAAAGATGAATAAAGAGAGGGCTGCATTAAAGAAAATATAAGGAAGGACCACAGGGAGCAGTCTCAGAAGCACTTGAGAGTCGCTGGCATTGAATAAGCAGGCTGACTTTTGACAAGCTGCTGGGATGACCTCCCCAGTCCTTGCGAGGCTGGTTCTCTTCTCTGCCTGGAGGAGAGAGCTGGACCAACACCTCTGGGAGCCTCACCTGATTGCATAGGCAGGGCACACCCCTCTCCTCTGTTTCCACATCTCTGTGTACACCCACGTCTGCACACCCATCTGTCTCCCTCACATGACTGGGAGCAACTTTAGCTAAGGCTGTATAGACTTTTTGCTCTTTTTCCTTGGCACACGCTAGGGACTCACTGGTTTTTAAGGGAAGATATAGTAGAAATCAGTGAAGCAAGGGAGAATAAGAATGCCTACCTCACATAGTTGTAAACAGGAATAAATGAGCTTATATGCATATTTACATGTATAAAGTGTTCACTTAGCGTACTGCCTGGGAGCTCAGTAAATGTGAACTGTTGTTAATAATTACAGGTACAGAATTTCTTACCGCAATTCTGAAATCCTAAAAGCTGAAACAACCAGAAGTTACCTTGCTTGCAAAATATAACCCAACTGAAACTCATTTTGTGGCACATCCTAATGAGCTGACAATAATCACCCCCACTTCCCGTGAATATTAATGTGTCTAACTATTGGACATGGCCTCCAATCACACTGGGGATGTATTAGAAGGTGTATGTACCATCCTGCTATGCTGACAATTCGGAATTCTGCGACTCATCTAGCCTCCGGCTTTTGGATGATGGCTTGTGGGTCTGTAATAGGCCACTTCCTTCCTTTCTCGGGTAATTTGAAAAGCACCCAATAATCTCTCTATTCAAAAATATCCCTCCATTCCCACCCCACTTGGGCTGCCACAGGCTTAAAATTTCCATGCACCCCGTGGGGAAGGCACTGTCTCCAGAAAGGCCTTGTTGAAATGCAGCTCCGTGTCTGACATCCTTAGCAAGAGGTAAGCCTTCAAGGGATGAGTCAACCAACAAGTCAGGTGTGATGCAGAGCATGTGTGTGTACGGAGTGTGCATGCACACGAGCATGTCCAGGAAGGTCACAAAAAGGGGACGATGGTAAGCTAACAAGGCAGTGTGAGGGGCTGGGGGGCACAATGACAACACACTCTGCTACTTGGCTCAGGGCTGGCCCTGTGAGAATGCGGGTGGTTGGCCATAACAGGGTGCCCAAGATAACACAGGGAAAGAAAATCTGGAGAATCTATTCTGCTGAGCTGAGACCTCAGCCTTGCTAGGGTGCATCTTATCAGAGGAATCAGAAATGCACCCTGGATGCCAAACTGGTTAGCTGGGACCCCTGTGGAGATTCCCTGTAGTCAGACACAGAACTGGACCTCAGACCCAGCTGGGTCTGTACTTGAAATATCAACATTTCACTGGACACTAGATAGTACGGTGACATACAAAGGAAGATGGAAGTTGTACAGTAAAACCCCCCAAAAGGGCTCTATCTTCATAGGATGTGCTACAATTAAATGTGGGTCTTTTTAATGCTCCCAGCAAACAGCCAAGATAGCTTACTGTACTTTGCTTTTATCCACAACAATGACACATCCTGAGATGACTGGAGACTACATTCAATTGCATTAAAATAACACAGAACTAGGGGTGACCAGGAGAGCAGGTTGTCTGCTCATGAGGCCCTTCAAAGGATCAGCAATAAGGAATTTCAGCTCCTCAGAGTAGGCTGGGTCTTTAAAGACTTTGATAGGAAGAGAGTCAGTGACATTTTGGTTATAGAGAGAGCATGAGGACAGCAAAATTCTTACTGTACGTGTTTCTCAAACACTGATCTGTCTTCAACCTGTCAGGGAGCCATGTCAATGACAGACCAACAAGAAAGACACTGCAGTCTGGCAAAGGTTGAGGATTTTATCGCCAAGCCTAGGCAACATCAACAGCACAAAAAAATTATTTATAGATCAAAGTATACAATGACATTAATAGATATTAAAGAAATGTATGCATTTGTTATGTCTAAGGCTGCTAAACTCTATCTTTTGTAGACTCATTTGTCATCAGATTCACTAGATTAAAAAATAATGTGTATGCATGTGTGTAGATGAGATATGGTGTATATATATATACACACACACTATATATATATAGTTATGCTTTATACCTACTTATATATGTATATGTATTCTTTAAAAACAATGCTGAAGAAAGCGATATATATATATATATATATATATATATATATATATATATACATACACACACACACATATATATACACTTCAACCATCCCCACCAAGTAATGTGCTTTAAGTGAAGCCATGTGAACTTTTATAATGGTCATTCTATTGTGCAGATATTAGAACAAAAATATAGTTAATGAGCATATGGGGTTTGGAGCCAATAAATCTAGATAACATACTGTAACCCCTATTATTTCCTAGGTAGAGCTGGAACATCTTGTCCTTAAAATGTGACTGTTTTTTTACACTGTTATATAGCAAAGATCAATGAAATACACAATAGAGATTTAGAGGCTGCTACAAGGTTGGTAAAGTTTTCAGTTGAAATACCATTATGTACACATTAATTAAATATAAAAACTAACAATATTTACCCAATATTTATCATAGAAAAACTACTGTGTTTCAGATTTACCAGTGCTTTTCACTTTTTTATTGCAAAATAAAATCGATACAGAAAATCACACAAAACAAACACATAATTATTATAAAGTGAACATCACCCAGGTAAACAAACAGAAATTCTGACAACCAACCCAAAAGCCCCTTCCAGGTGCCCCAACCCCATCACAATCCCCTACCCTGACTCATAAGTAACCTTATCCTGACTTCTATAGTAATCACTTGTTTGCACTTTTAAAAAAAGACACTGTCGTTCAAATGTGCACCCCTAGATTCTATAGTCCTGCTCATTTCAAAAGTGTGATATGCTTTTTAATCTACAGATGCTCTCATCTTTCTTTTTCTTTCTTTTTTTAAGACACAGGGTCTTCCTGTATCTCCTAGGCTGGAATACAATGGAGCGATCATGGCTCACTGCAACCTCGAACTCCTGGGCTCAGGCGATCCTCCTGCCTTGCCCTCCCAAAGTGCTGGGATTACAGGCTCGAGCCACTGAACCCGGCCTCTCACTTTTCTTTTTCTTACAATTTATCTGTTGAAGAATCTGGGTTGTAGAGTTTCCCTCAGTTTGGATTTAGCTGCTTGCATAGTCAAGATGCAGTTCAAAGTGTTCCTCTGCCCTTTATATGCGCTGTGGGTCAGCAGTTGGACCCAGAGGGTGGTGAGATGCTGTTTCGATTGCTTTGGTAACACTATGGCTGGTGGTGTATTGCTTCATCAGGAGGGTCACAGTCTCTGGTTGCTTATCTTTTTTATGTTAACAGTCACTGAGGCCAATGCCTAGATCCAGTAACCCATTGGGACTTGTCAAATTATCACTTGACACTTCATCTTCAGTCCTTTTTAATGTCTTTCTTCATTTCTTTTTAAAGCTTTGTATTTTAGTTCATTTTGAAATAGTATGTTTCTGTTTTAACCTCTTTTATTAACTTGTCTTTCTGGCATGATTTCATTGTCTGTAGGAATGTTATTTTGCTCTGTTCTTTATAATTCTATGATGAGATTGGCCCTTGATACTTTTCTGTTGCTTATTGTGCAAAATTAGTTTTGCAGAGCTGTAAGAAGATGTTGCTCAGGAAAGATTTACTTAACTTCACAGAACTCTCTTTGGTTGTTTCAGTGAAGTGTTGAAAACTGCCACAGCTTGCTCTCTGAGGTTTCCTCTCTGCTCCCCTTCCTCAATGTTGTCTGGGCTTTCTCCTTCCTTCATCTCCATTGTCCTGCTCAATTTTAATGCCACTATCAGCAATTTCTCCTGCCATGTCCAGGTAGGGAGCTTTGGCCGTTTGGGTTCAAGACTGTATGTGGCCCAGACGGCCTCAGCCCCTTTCAGAACTCACCAAAAATCCCTTGCACTCCCCTGGTATTGAATTGGGTGAACCCCTTCTGTTTCAGCTTCAATGATTTCTGGCGACTACCTGTGAGCTATTTTGGGGTTCTCCTATTCTCAGGCCTCTCAGATGCCCCACTGTTTCCTCCTGCTTCTTCCTCTTGCACACACACTGCTATCATGCAGGTCTTTATGGCTGTGGGGGGTTTACTTCCACATCCTCTTTAGATTTGGGGGTGAGTGAGGATACTGTATCGCACAGTTTTGAGGTAAGTGTTGTCTGTAGGTGCCTGGTTTTGCTAACCAGTTGTTCTGTTTTTTTGTGTGAGGATTCAGAGAGATTTTAAAATGATGCTGCTGCTGCTGCTGCCTTCTTCCAGAACCGACCAGGCTCTATTTTTAAAAGTGTATTTTTCACCCATCCCTCAAACTGAGCCCTACATTTGCCATACTGTCAGCTGCAGGGCTCCATTTTCCTTGTTCTGGAGATCGGCACTGCTACACCACCCCTCCTTACCCAGGGCTGCTCTCAGAGAAGCTCTTTCCCAGCTCAACTCCCACGTCTACTCTTGCCGGACCTGTTCCCTTCAGAGACAACGCATACTGCAGATGTTCAGATGGACTGGCTATCTGAGTGATGGGAGACTTGGGGGGTGCGGGTGAGGTGGTAACACTCTTAATCTCATGGTTCATCTGCATGTGGCTAATCAGGTATTGCCTACATAGCAGTAGAGGTACAAGAAGAGTTAGAGAAATGTTTTAAATGACTACTTATCAGATATACTTTTATTGCAGCTAATAGGAGATGGTATACCATCTATTCTCATGTGAGCTGTGGTCTCAGAAGCATTTGACAGTCGCTAGATTGAAGAAGCAGGTTTACTATTAACAAGCTGCTGGAATGACCTCCCCAGTCCACTCAGGGCTGGTTTTTTTCTCTGCCTGGAGGACAGAGTTGGACCAGTACCTGCCTGGGAGCCCTGCCTGATGCATAGGTAGGGCATGCCCCTCTCCTCTGTTCCCATAGCCTTGTGCACACCTATGTCTGTGCCCCCATCTGTCTCCCTCATGTGAGTGGGAGCAACTTTTGCTGAGGCTGTACAGACTTTTTGCTCTTTTTCCTTGGCATATGGTAGGGACTCAATGGCTTTTTAAGAAAGATTTAGTAGAAATCAATGAAGTAGGGGATACTAAGAATTCCTACCTCACACAGCTGTTGAGTGGAGTAAATGAGTTTAAGTTTATATGTATAGCATAGTGCCTGAGTGCTCAGTAAAGGTGAACTATTGTTAACAATTACATGGCCATGGTGAGTCATGCCTATAATCCCAGCACTTTAAGAGGCTGAGGCAGGCGGATCACCTGAGGTCAGGAGTTCGAGATCAGCCTGGCCAATATGGTGAAACCCCGTTTCTACTAAAAATACACAAAATAGCAGCTCGTGGTGGCGGGCACCTGTAATCCCAGCTACTTCAGAGGCTGAGGCAGGAGAATTGTGTGAACCTGGGAGGCGGAGGTTGCAGTGAGCCGAGATCAGGCCATTGCATTCCAGTCTGGACAACAGAGTAAGACTCTGTCTCAAAACAAAAACAAAAACAAAATTACAGATACATAATTCCTATCTGCAATCCTGAAATCCCAAAAGCTATAATAACCAAAAGTTACTTTCTGGCAAAATGTGACCCAACTGAAACTGATTTGGGCCTTGGGCTTCATGGACAAAGGAGCCCTGGATGGCTACCCAAGGACCTCACTCTACTATCTGAGCAAGGTGCCTTTACCATTGTTGCCTAGTGGGATGAGGTCACTACTAAGGACAAATAGCAGTTGTATGTTTCCCATACTCCTCCTTTCTGAATGAGAGTTTTAATTTTCCTTTGCCACCACTGTATATCAGGAGCAGAGGCAGTCTTTATTTATAGGTCACTAGGTGATAAAAAGCTCTATCTGGACCTAATGAAGAGAGCTACACATACCCAGAGATCCTGGACTTTGAATGGGATGCAGAAATTTACAGGGAATGGAGTGGGTCCTACTTACAGCAAGAAGAGTATACACGGATAACTGGGAAGCTAAAGGGCAGACAGTGACACATGACATAGATGAGGCTCCTCAGCATCCACTGCATTCCCCGTCTAGTGTGCAGCAGCGGAAAAGCAAAAACTAATATCCCAGGATCCCTTGCAATTCAGGTTCAGAATGCAATTTAGGTTCTACCTGCGACTTGTACTCAAGTGCTTTGATTTGAAACTGGGTCATATGGAAAGCAGCAGGATGCAGGGTATGTGTTTTGCAGATTAGTGGCACAGGTGATGTGCTCTTGAGTTGGGCACTGTGGTAATGGCTTTTTGAATACAGTATTCCCCCTTATCCTTCAGGGATATGTTCCAAGACCCCCAATGGACGCTGGAAACTGCAGATAGCACCAACCCTCATATATCCTGTTTTCCTGTACATACATACCTATGACATGGTAATTTATAAATTAGGCACAGTAAGAGATTAACAGCCTACCTAATAATATAATAGAACATGTATGACAATATTCTGTAATAAAAATTATGTGAGGCCGGGTGTGGTGGCTCATGCCTGTAATCTCAGCACTTTGGGAGACCGAGGCAGGCAGATCACCTGAGGTCGGGAGTTCGAGACCAGCGTGACCAACATGGAGAAACCCCATCTCTACTAAAAATACAAAATTAGCCGGGCATGGTGGTGCATGCCTGTAATCCCAGCTACTTGGGAGGCTGAGGCAGGAGAATTGCTTGAACCCAGGAGGTGGAGGTTGTGGTGAGCCAAGATCGCGCCATTGCCCTCCAACCTGGGCAACAAGAGCGAAACTCTGTCTTAAAAAAAAAAAAAAAGTTATGTGAATAGCGTCTCCATCTCTCAAAATGTCTTACTGTTCTGTACTTCAGGTAACTGAAACTGCAGAAAGAGAAACTGTGGATAAAGGGGGACAACTGTATAGCTGAGGTGGCTGGTTTTGGAGCCAGCAGCTGCTGTGACAGCTTCCTGATGAAGGCAGACACAGCAGCTCCTCTGATGGTTTGCCATATGGTTTTGGGAGTCATTTGTGGAAGTTTGGTCTAGGGTCTACTTCTTCAGCTCTCCAGCGATCCTGAAAGCTACCTAAAATCCTATAATAAATCACTTTCTATTTAATTTACCTAGAGCAGATTATGCTTTCTGCAGCTGAACCCTGGCCAACACAGCCAAGCTAACAGGTAAAGAAATCCAGCACCAGCCCTCTTATTTTAACCAGGAGCAAGCTCCCAGGCCGCCAGGAGACCTGTGTTCCTAGATGCTTCTGGCAGAGAGTGGACCCTTTCAGCAGCTGAGCACATGTATGTTTGCTCCTCAAGGAGAGAGAAAGGACAGTCTGCCATACGCACATATATGAGTGGCAATGGTGGCACTTTTTATGTTTTAGCCTTTGCCATTGATATTTCATGTTGGTCCAGGTATGGTAGAATTATACTCTTTTTTTTTTTTTTTACACACTCTCTGAGAGCTGTAAAATAAAAAGGTTATTTGTATTTTAAAAATAACTTTTGGCTTTAGAGAAATAAAGCTTGATGATTTTCTGACCTGAAATAGGTAAAATGCTTCCAATTCAGAATGCAATTTATAAACAGTACAATTTCCCTCCCATATGCTGGACACATTGTCTACCTTAGTATAAAAAGAAGTGCAGCTTTTCTCTGTTTCAGCTGCGTTTATTATCACAAACACTCGGGAAGCATCCACCAATATTCGGCTGCATTGTTTGTAGGCTCTAACTCAAACATTTCGGCTGTTGTTTAATGAGAGAGGGCTTGGCTCTGAGCCACAGGCAACATGGACTGGTTCTCCTGCACAGTACTGGGTCTGCTCTGAAAGGGCTTTTCTGCCAACAAAGGACAGGTGGTACATCAAGCACACAACAGCTGTTCTCAAAGGGCAAAGAACATAAGTGCTCCTACCAGAGTCATCCTTTCTCCCTGCCTGGATGCAGGGCCAGATGCTTCCTCTGCACAACTGGTCATCCATCAGACATTTATACGGCGACCTTTTGGAGCAATCAGTCCCTTCTGTCCTCACATTTCCTAGAACAGAAGCAGCGGTAGCCACTCCTGCTGTCACTCCTGGAAACTCAGACCAATGGATTGCAGTAATGGCGTGTGTCTTATCTCCCACATGGAGGTGATGACGCCCTACTTAGGTTCTTCATGTGCGTTCTGATAGTCTCATCTTTTTCTGGTTATTTATAAAGAGCTACCATTGACTTTGTCATGTCACATCATTACACTTCTTGTGACTTCCATCTTCTTTCTAATAAACTTTTAATTTTAGAACCACTTTAGATTTACAGAATTATCGTGCAGAGGACAGAGAGTTCCTACATATTCCATGTTGTTTAATGAGAGAGGGCTTGGCTGTGAGCCACAGGCAACAAGGACTGGGTATCCCACACAGCACTGGGTCTGTGCAGGATACAATTTCCTGTCTTATTAACACCTTCTTCCATTAGTACGGTACATTTGCTATACTTCATGACCTGATAGTGATACGTGATTATTACCTACAGTCCATACTTGGTTTTTGCCTAACGTCCTTTTACTGTCCCAGGATCCCATTTGGGACACATTTCATTTAGTCATCACGTCTCCTTAGGCTCCTCTGGGCAGTGAGTCTCAGGCTTTACTTGTTTTTGATGACGTTGATGGTTTGGAGGGATGCTTAACCTGCATCTTTTCAGAGTTTTCCTAAGAATCACAGAAAACTGTTTTTTGGAAGAAGGTATCAGTAGGATCATGAGCCTCCAAAACAAGACCTAAGTGTCCTGAGGTTGCAGACGGATGAAGTCAGGGGTGCTCTGCCCAGTGGATGTTCCATCGGCTACTGAGGACATTCCTGTGAAGGATCCAGTGGAGCAGCTCCCCAGCCTGGCTTATTGTTACATTCAAATGGAGAACTGTACAAAGCACAGATTTCCAGGCTTTGGCCCGAGTGTACTGGATTAGAATCTCTAGCAATGGGGCCTTGGATTCTGTATTTTTTTATCTTTTAAAAAATAATAATGCTAATTATCTTTAATACTGGCAATTATAAAGAAAACATGGCCTATAATCTGTTAGTATTATTAATATAAATAAAAGTATAAATGTGGAAAATTTAAACAGTAGTCAAAAGTCAAAAATGAAAACTGAGTGCCCCCCCCCATAATCTAAACATGCTCTAGGAACACTCTGGTTGCTCCCTGTTTTTATTGTTTTTTTTTGTTTGCTTGCTTTAGAATTTGCATTTCAACAAGTTTCCTAAAATATGCCAGTGTAACTGGAAAACTGGAACCCACTACTACAGAAAAAATGAAAAATTCAGCTGTTGGGGAGCACAATGTCCCTTTCAGTGCCGATGGCCTTTATGTGATCATAAAGCCGTGCTCTTCCCCTTCTCCACTGCACAGGCCAGTCCTAGAGCCCTCAGATGGGTATAATCTGCATGGAGAGGCAGCCTGTGACAGTCTGGGGGATGGTGGTACCAAGCAGCATGAGGAGGGCACTCTCATTAACGGGGGGGTGGGGGGGGCAGCCTGGAGTGGGGAGTTAGAGCCCAGGCAAGAGAAGGCCATCCCTCCAGAGGACAGATCCAGTGTAGGGAGTGAGAACCTGGATGGGGAGAGGAGAGCATGCATGTGGACGCAGCCGGAGGAAGTATGTCAGAGCCCAAGCAGGGAGAGGCAGGCATGGGAGTCCATATGGAAGGGTGGCCTGGAGCCCAAGGAGAGGAAGAGGGCATCCCTGTGGGTGGGTGTCTCCATGAGTGGAGTCAGAGCCTGAAGGAAGGGCGTTCATGTCTGGGAAGGGGTGGATGCAGTGGTGACAGCCAACTGGTTATGTATGGGGGAATAAATCAAATAAACATAACGAGGGTAATGGGAGTCCAGTTTCCTAACTGTTGGAGAAGGCTAGAATAAACCCTGGATACCCTACAGTTAGAAGAATCAGTATGAACTTATGGATTTAAATATATATTTAGCTATATTTTATTTATAAAAATATTTGATATAATATATAAAATAGATATGCATGTATATACTTATACATACATTTACACATATATGTACATGTACACATAAATTTGTGAATGTTTTTTGAGTGGGCCTGGGGGCAGTGACCCTCCAATTGCAACAGGTATACCTAATGCTCAGATCTTGGCTTTAATGTCATTTTCCACTAAAAATAATCAGGGAGCCTCAGAGAAATGATTTCAGGGCTGGGACAGACAAAGGACATGATGAGCCTAGAACATCTTGTGCCAGAAATCAAAGAAGTATTCAAAGGCTGATGAGGACATATCCAAAGAACACAGAAGCCAGGCTGAGGAGACTCTGGTGAAATTTGGAACACTCTGAGCTTCACAACAAATAATGTCAGTAACAAAGTATATCCCATTGAATACACAGGACGTTAGGATCTCATAGTAAGAAAAACAATGAAAAAAATGGAAATATGATGAAGGATTTTTAGTTTCAAAGTACCTTCCATAAAATATTTATTAATTACAAGAAAAAAACAAGCAACTTCACAGTAGAAAAGCTCAGATGACATTGCTTACTCAAAGGATAAAAAAAAAATCATTAGGCCAGGCACGGTGGCTCAAGCCTATAATCCCAGCACTTTGGGAGGCTGAGGCAGGAGGGTCACTTGAGTCTGGGAGTTCAAAATCAGCGTGGGCAATATAGTGAGACTCCCATCTCTACAAAAAAAATTAAAAAATTAGCTGGGTGTGGTGGCATGTGCTTGTGGGCCCAGCTAGTTGGGAAGTTGAGGTGGGAGTATCGCTTGAGCCGGGCAGGTCAAGGTTCTGTGATTATACTACTGCACTCCAGCCTGGGTTACAGAGCGAGACTGTCTTTAAATAAATAAATAAACATCATCAGTAATGGCACAGACTGAATTTGTGTGCCCATGGTAGGATGCAATAAAAAGAACTCACCATCACTTTTGTGATATTCCTGTCTGTATTTGTGATGTACCTTAAGCCAACATTTATTATGTCACAGTTTCTGGAGGTCAGGGATCTGAGAGGGGCTTAGTTTAGTGGTTCTGGTTCCAGGTGTCCCAGGAGGTTGCAGTCAATCTGTTGATTACAGCTACTGTCAACTCAAGGCTTAACGGAGGCTGGAGCATCCTCTTCCAAGTTTACTCACTTGGTTGACAGGCTCCAATTTCTCACTAGTTGTTGGCTGGACACATCAGTTCCTTATGGGCCTATCCATATGGCTGCTCACAACATGGAAGCTAGTTTCCTGGAGCAAGTGATCCAAGAGATAACTTTCACAACCTTATCACTTCTGCTGTATGCTCGTGGTCACAAAGACCAATCCCGGTACCATGTGGGAGGAGATTACAAGAGGATATGAATAACAGGAGGTGGGGCCAACTTGAAGGTGAGCTACCACACCGTTATCCCCTGATTCATAAGCTGAAGATAATCATAACAAACCCAAATCAATGCCTATTCTATAAAATAACTGGCCTGCATTCTTCAACGTGTCAAGGTCATAAAAATCAAGGAAGAGTGGAGAAGTGTACCAGAATGAAAAAGGCTAAAGAGACATGACAACTAAATGCACCATCAGATGCTGGACTGGATCCCTTTGCAATTAAGGACATTTTAGGGAGTACTGGCAAAAACTTGAATGGGTTTGAGGATTAGAAAGTTGCAGTGTACTGAGGTTAATTTCCCGATTTTCCTGATTGTATTGTGATTTTCTAGGAGAATATTCTTATGTATAAAAATACCCACAAAAGTGGTAGAGAGAGAGAGGATATCAGGCCTGAAACTCACTCTCAAATGATTGGCAGTGGGGAGGGAATGGTCTCTGTTTTATAATGGTAACTTTTAGATAAGCTTGAGATTCCCAATTTAAAATGTATATAAATTAAAAGGACCTATAAATATAAAATTGTCTAGGTTAAAATATTAGGTAGAATTATATGAAACTGCTACTTTTATAGGTAAAAAGTGTAAATATTGGTGATTTCATATGGTTCCATTTAATATGAGAAAATTACAACAAACTAATCAACACCAAAGATAATGAAATTCTAGATTTACATAAGAATACAAAATGATTCAGTGCCTTTTCGAGGATCTCTCTCCTGCAGTTATTCACCCTGTCCAGTGCCCAGCATCTGTCTCTGCCATCAGCATACAGAGAATCTGCTGTGTAACTCCTGTCTGAGGAACGATCATTCCTCAAGTTCATATTCCCCTCCAGATACTGTCCTATTCCTCTGCACCCCTTTATAGTAACATTTTTTGAAAGAATGGCTTCTACTCCTGATGCTCTCTTACTTGCCATTTTTTCCTAAATTCATTCCAAGTGGGCTTGCAAGGCTACCACCCACAGAAACACTCTCATCAGGATCATTAATAACCTTCCTGTTGCCTAAACCAATAATCATTTTTCTGTATTCAACACTGCTGCCCATTTTCCTTCTTGAAACACTTTCTTCTCTTGGCTCCCATGAAACCAACTCCTCTTGAGTTTCCTCCTATTTCCCTCTTTGCTTACATCCTTGTCCACTACAATTCAGAAAGCACCCATGGTCATCTTTTAGAGATGTAAATCAGAGATGCAGCTCTCTACTTAAAACCTTCTGGATGAGTTCAGAGTAACAGCTAAGCTCCTGTGAGAGGTTCCCTGAGATCTGGCCCCTACCTATGCCTCACTCCATCCCACAGCACATGCCTCTGTGCCTTTGACCCAGGCTTCAGCTTGCATATTAGTCCATTTTTACACTGCTATAAAGAACTGCCTGAGACTGGCTGATTTACAGAGAAAAGGGGTTTGCTTGACTCACAGTTCAGCATGGCTAGGGAGGCCTCAGGAAATTTACAATCATGGAAAAGGGGAAGCAAGGCACCTTCTTCACAAGGTGGCAGGAAGGAGAAGTGACAAGCGAAAGGGAAGAGCTCCTTATAAAACCATCTCAAGAGAACTCACTCACTATCACGAGAACAGCATGGGGAAAAACCATCCCTGTGATTCAATTACCTCCACCTGGTCTCTCCCTTGACACAAGGGGATTATAATTCAAGATGAGATTTGAGCAGGGACACAAAGCCTAACCATATCAGCTTGCTTCTCAAACATGCCAAGTTTATTCCTGCCCTGGTCTTTTGTGTATGTTCTCTCTGCTTCAAACACTCTTCCCCAGTCATCTCATGTAGACTGCTCTTTTTCACTAAGTTCTCAGCTTAAACATTAACTCCTCAGAGAAAACTTTCCTCTAAGCCTAATTTAAAACAGCTCCTGACCTGTACCTGCTCCAAGCACTCTCTCGCATTCCCCTGCTTTGTGTTCTTCAGGGTATTTACCCTAATATGAAACTGTCTTACTTATACATGTATTAGGTCAATACTAGTCTGCCCACTCTAAAACAGAAGGGCCCTGGGGAATCTTGTCAGTCTTGTTTTCTACTATGTCCCCAGTGACTAGAACAGTGCCTGACACATAGTAGGTGCTTAGGTATTTGGTGAATAAATGAATCACCTACGTTCTTTCAAGCTGTTAATGATTCCAACTATTAGATGACTTGTGGCTATGATAATAATTATAGAATCTTTAAATGACCTTTATTCCAATCATCTTGTCCAACCTCAAACCAAATGAAGATGCTCTCCATCACATTGCTGATAGAAGGTCATCTGCCTCTGCTTGAGTACTCGAGTAATGGATACCCAGGACTTTCAATCATGGAATGTTTACAGGTCATTGTCAATAGCTCTGGTTGTTAGAAAGATGTCCTCTTCAGCAACCCTAAATCTTCCTCCCTATATGTTTCACTTATTGGTCCCTGAAGCAACTCAAACAGCTCTGCTTCACTTGACAGTGATTCGAATATTACTTGAGGGAATGATCACATGATTCCTAATTCTCTTTTCTGAGATAAATACTCCCAGTTATCTCAGCACTGCACGTGACATGAAAAATTAACCAACACTGCACATGAGAAAGGTCTGTGAAATTTTACCAGCTTGGTTTTAAAAAAATAAAACCTTTCTAAGCATCTTATCTGGGAACTACAACACAAGAGTATCCTTGGATATTCCGAGAATGTGGTCTCATTTCTCACAGCTGTCTTTCTGTTCTCTGACCAGCCTGGTTCTCTGCCTCATACTCTTTCTGATACTGAGGGAACTGGGACAACTATAGACAGCTAGGCCCACAAGCATCTTTCCTGGGACAAAAACTTACCTTTTTCAGAACGTATTTTTCTGTTTTCACTTCTAAACAAATTTTATATTTAATAAGATGAGGGAAAACTTGGACTGCTCACTAATAAGCTTTGTGGCAAGGACTCTTTGCTGAGGGCACTAAACAATTTATTGCATGAGTATTCCATGAGTGAACAAACAGTTTGGATCTTAATTCCCATTGGGCTTTGAATGCGTATGCAGCACAGGAGGAAGAATGTCTGTCGTGGCTAAACAGGCAGCATTTTAGTGCTGATTTGTACCCTTCACGTGACTTAAACAACTGAGTGAGCACTCAATTATTATTGAATGAAGGAGTGAGCAAGGGAATAAATGAACCAATGAACCAGACAATCCCAGAACTAATGCTCTAGCCCATGCACCAGCAAGGCAGCCACGACCTGGACAGGCAAGGACTCACAGCTCAGCAGCGGAAGGAATGGGATCAGATCCCAGGGTGCCTGATTCTCTGGCCTAGAATTCTTTCCACAGATTCATGCTACCTCTCTTTTTGGGCACCTGTGCAAATGAATTTCCAGTTAACTGGAAAAGTACGAAGGATTTTGTTTTTAATAACTAAGTCACTGTGATCAACTTCCCTACATCCATGCACCCTGAATGAGTATTCTAAGCCAATCACCATCAGCCCATACATAGCCTGGCAGTAACATACTTAGGGGTTAGCCTGTGACCCAATCCTGGCCATTTGACATGAGAAATTTGCTGAGCAGGTTCTGGGACTCCTTGCCCCTAAGGAGGAGACACAGAGTCAGTGTTTCCCTTCTGCCCTGGGCACTACTGTGTCTGACTGTGGCACCTGGAACTGCTGTGGCCATCTTCCTACTGGTCTGAAGATGGGGCAATACTGACAATGGGGGAGCAGAGAGATGGAAAAACCTGGGCACTTCATGATCACACGAAGCCCCTGAATCCACCAGCTCTGGAGCTTGCCCATCTGCAATCTTTCAGGGAAGTAAGATAATAAATTATCTTACTGTTTAAACCAGTTGAGTTAGAGGTTCTGTTATTTGGAGCTGAAAGCATCCTAAGAAGTTCAGACAGTTTTTGATAGAACCCTTTAAAAAGAGAACATTTGCTTCCTGAATTCCTTAAAAAATCATAAATCATAGAAAATAAGATTTCTTCAACCAGTCACAGATATCATCCTGCTGGCAAATACTGAGCAAGGCTGTAACATAATAACGTCCCTGGTTGCCTTAGTAATGCATATTGACATAAATAATCAACTACCCTATGCGAACAAGTTCTCAAACTTTTCAGTCTCAGAATCCCTTCACACTCTTAAAAGCATTACTGAAGACCCCAATTAGCTTTGGTTAATATGGGTTATATCTAGTGATATTTACCATATAAGACATTAAGACAGAAGTTAAAAAATAATTATTAAAATAACAAACCCAACACATGATAGCATAAACAACTTCTTAATGAAAAATAACAATTTTTAAAACAAAAAACTTAGTGGCAAAAGAAGCAATGTTTCACAGCTTGCGAATCTTTTCTATATCTGGCTTAATAGAAGACAACTGGATTCTCAAATCTGCTTTTGCAGAATCTGTCGTGATACATTGTTTTGGTTGGCATATATGAAGAAAATATGGCCTCACAGAGATAAGTGGTTAGAAAAGGAAGCAGTATTTTAATAGCCTTCCAAATAAGCCTTCAAATATTTTTATTTGATACTACAACAAAATTTGACAAGTTTCTTAAAGGTTAGTTGCAATGTAGAACTGAAACTATATCAATGAACTTCTCATACTCTCTTATCCATTGATGCATGTCACACTTGGAATGAATGCTTTTTACCCATGCATGAGTTTTTAACAGCATATATTGATCATTTGGAAAATACTGGTTCACCCAGATATGAAGATCTTCTAAATGGTAACATATCTGATTATACATCAAAAAAATCACATTTGTTAAGACTGCTACTGATCTCATAAAACAATCTTAAGTATTGTTCACGGTGGTAGATATACGTGTTCAAAAATTCTAATTTTCACTCAAAAGATCTACTTTATCATTGGTAACAAACACTGTAAATTGTTTTTCTTGAAGTGACAGGCTTACTTTGTTCATTTTTGAAAAAGTGTCTGTCAAATATCCAAGCCCAAAGAAACATAGTTTGTCTGTCTGTCATTATTTCAATTGGTGTTTGGTGAAAAAAGCAATTAGCTCACAAAAAAAAAGCAATGAGTTAGCTCACAACTTAGACAATCACCACACAAGTCCTTTTCCTCAAGACAACCATAGTACTTTGAAATACAAGTATTATGATATGCAAGAAGTGCCTTATGCATATTTTCCATTTTGTCACAAAGAATACTAAAAATACATGCATTCAAGTGTTGATATTTAATAATTTTTACTGCTTTGTCATGACTTAATAAAACTGGCATTTTTTTCTTTCTTCTCTCTTTTTTTTTTTTTTTTTTTTTTTTGCTGTGAGTGTGTAGGAGTGAAGAAAATAATGATCACCAATATACTTTGGTGCCACTGCCTTGCTATCACAGACCCAATGAAAGGGTCTTGGAACCAGGGCCTACAGACCACATTTTGAGGGTTTTGCAGACCACCTTTTGAGGACCTTTGCTTTATGTTTTCTATCTTTTCCCTCTTCTTCCTTTGGTGACAGCTGCTAGCCATTTGCTCACATGGATATTTGCTACTCTCCATGCTTCCTGTGAGTGCTCCTCCACTTTTAGCTGAACCCAGTAGGTGCCCAGGTTGGGTAAATTCCAGGTGCCTGGCTCAGCAGATTGTGTTATTGGACTTTCTGTTTGAGTCCCAAAGAAATGAATTTGAGTGCCAGCTTTACCACTTAAAAGTAACTCTGATCTGCTCTGTTCAGAACAGAGGCCTCAGAAAAAACATCACACATCTACAATCTTTGACAAATCTGACAAAACAAGCAATGGGGAAAGGATTCCCTATTTAATAAATGGTGTTGGGAAAACTGGCTAGCCATATGTAGAAAACTGAAACTGGACCCCTTCCTTACACCTTATACAAAAATTAACTCCAGATGGATTAAATACTTAAACATAAGACCTAAAACCATAAAAACCCTAGAAGAAAACCTAGGCAATACCATTCAGAACATAGGCATGGGCAAACACTTCAGGACTAAAACACTAAAAGCAATGGCAACAAAAGCCAAAATAGACAAATGGGGTCTAATTCAACTAAAGAGCTTCTGCACAGTAAAAGAAACTATCATCAGAGTGAACAGGCAACCTACAGAATGGGAGAAAAGTTTTGCAATCTATCCATCTGACAAAGATCTAATATCCAGAATCTACAAGGAACTTAAACAAATTTACAAGAAACAAACAAACCTGTCAAAAAGTGGGAGAAGGATATGAACAGACACTTCTCAAAAGAACACATTTATGCGGCCAACAAATATATATTAAAAAAGCTCATCATCACTGGTCATTAGAGAAATACAAATAAAAACCACAATAAGATACCATCTCATGCCAGTTAGAATGGTGATCATTTAAAAGTCAGGAAACAACAGATGCTGGAGAAGATGTGGAGAAATAGAAACACTTTTACACTGTTGGTGGGAGTGTAAATTAGTTCAACCATTGTGGAAGACCGTGTGACGATTCCTCAAGAATCTAGAACCAGAAATGCCATTTGACCCAGCAATCCCATTATTGGGTATGTACCCAAAGGATTATAAATCATTCTACTATAAAGACACATGCACACATATGTTTATTGTGTGCACACATTATTCACAATAGCAAAGACTTGGAACCAAACCAAATGCCTATCAATGATAGACTGGATAAAGAAAATGTGGCACAAATACACCATGGAATACTATGCAGCCATAAAAAGGATGAGTTCATGTCCTTTGCAGGGACATGGATGATGCTGGAAACAATCATTCTCAGCAACTAACACAGGAACAGAAAACCAAACACTGCATGTTCTCACTCAGAAGTGGGAGTTGAACAATGAGAACACATGGACACAGGGAGGGCCTGTTGCGGGTTGGGGAACTAGGGGAGGGATAGCATTAAGAGAAATACCTAATGTAGATGATGGGTTGATGGGTGCAGCAAACCACCATGGCACATGTATACCTATGTAACAAACCTATGCATTCTGTACATGTATCCCAGAACTTAAAAGTATAATTAAAAAAAAAAAAAGTAACCTGAATGAACTACTGACCCTCTCCAGGACTCCTTATAAAATCAGAGGATGGAATCAGATGATCCCTAATCATCTTCCAGTTCTCAGATTTCATAGTCTTAATACACTACACAAGCACATGCACACACACACACACTCGTGTGTGCACACATGTGTGCACATTATGGGGCATCCTGAAAATGCCATCTTGCACCTCTCCACACAAGTGTGATTATCCCTTTGTATCTCTAGAAGTCATTATAGAGGGGCTTTGGGAATAAATAAGTATGTGAATAATTCAGATTACACCGATTGAGTTTCTTATTATGGGTCTGCAGGGAAACATATCCAAGGTTCCAGATAAACAAAAATAAAATTAAAGGTTGAACAATAAACCTAACAAACAATAAACTAAATTAAATCACCTACATGATTTATAAACAAACCAGTAACTGATTCTGTTATAGCATGACAAAGTCTAAGAAGAGTTAAAACTGTTTAAAACAAGTAAAAGCAAAATCTTTAGGCCAATAGGAATAATAATGAACAGATAAGCATGTGCAAAACAAAGTTACTGGGCTTAAGAAGCTTCAATATAATTTTATGTAGAGCTGTCAAAAAGACATCTAAAATTACATTTTTTGTTTTTTTCTATCTGTTAAACATTTACTGAAGCTTCTGAGATTATCAGAACGATTTTCCTAGCTCTATTCTATTATCAAAAATAAATGTATTTGAGCACACTAACTCTATTAAATGTACTTTTGTATTTTCAAGTCACATAATAAATGAGCTACCAATTTAGTTATTTATATTTTGAAATAAACCTAAAAGTTTTATTGTAAAAAAAACTAATACATTTCTCTGATATACAATGCTTAAAAAGCATGAATTGATTTTATTTTGACATTAATACATTTTTAACATGAAGAGTAAAACAAAATCGTTAAGAAAGTCAAGATGGTCTCAATTACTTTTCTGAATAAGGACAGGATACATTTTATTCAGACATTTCAGGATTTAATTAGGATTTTGGTGACATCACACATACGGAATAGAAACTGCAACCCTTTAGTAATGGATGTAAAACCATCTTATAAAGAGTTTTTTGCAAGTTAACAGAAAGTGGGTTTGAGAGGCAAGATTTTTAAGAATATAAAAATTTCTACTCTTTCCAAGTAAGATCAAACCACAATAGTTTTCTAAAATCATAGGATTCTAAAAGTAAGTTAAATATAAAAACAAAGCAAATCCTCTTTTAGAGCTTCATGTATTTGGAAACAATAGGCAAATGCAAATCAGGAAATCATGGTTCTTCTCCAGTTATGTTGATCAAGGGACTTCAAGAGCTAATTGCCTATGGGAGGAAATTCTCTCATTAAGAGCTTCAGACATTTGGTAGCAGTAGGGAATCTAAAAATCAGAAAACCATGGTCCCTTGTATCCTGTCCTTCTAACACAATGTGTAACTCAACTAATAAGGACTGGAGTAGTTTGTCAGTTGGGAATATCAAGGGATTCTGCTCAGAACTCTGAGCTGCTATACCTAAAACTGAAAATAAACCATAGTAAAGTAAAAACTTACAAATATTTATCATCTGCCTTGTCATTTGCTCCAATTTGTTAAACCTTGCATCTCTCCCTCACAATTACTGCATAAAATTCCTAAAAGAGGTAAAATTGTTGAATGCCAAATATTCCTCATTCATAATTTAATGTTATTAGTATCACGGTATGGACTGGGGATACAAAGACAGATGGGCCTTGCTCTCAAGAACTCAAAGTCTCTTTATATTAGTTTTAGATTAACAATACCACATAGTGGGTTCCATTTACAAGGACTTTCTGTTCCCATAAAATTGGGAGGGATAGCAGAAAGGTGTTTATAAAATATGAGCAGATCTTTAATTATGAAAATAGAATGCAATTGATTTCCAGAGTATGATTTCTCAAATTTCTTCATAAGACCCTAAGGAAAATAAGTAATAATATTAAAATACTTAACATGGAAAATTGCTTATATAATACTAAAAGATCTGTTGGTAAATTTTAAACACAATTTGGACTTAATGAAGTTTGTACTTTTTAAGGTTCTGAGTAACATGCAAAGGGCAGTGTGACTATATTTAAATATAAAATTGAAATGTGTTTTCTTGTATTTCAGCCAAAAGTTTATCTTAACTGAAAAGACTTCTAGTATATGCTCAGAGAAGACAAGGGCTATAAATACATCATACCTGGACACTCATCTTCATTGTACAAAAGGAATGGTTGTCAGGAAGCCACGGTGACACAGCACAAGGCTCAATAATCACTCCATCTGCCCCAAATCCTCCCACTCACCTTCCATACACAAAACTGATGATAATTTGGTAAACTAACAAAATATTAAAGGTTAAACCACTAAAAAATGTGGTTCTTGTATACAGAGCAAGGAAAACCAATGAGTAATACCCCTCATATGACCACATCAGATATCCAAATCTGCTCCCCCAGATTAACCTGCTTGCTCATGTAAAAGGTAAGAGTGTCTTATGAGACAAAAATACATTAAAAACCATAAAGTCTTCATCTCTATCAGTCATTAAAGAATGTTTTCCCTTTAATCTGACAAGAATCCTTAGAAAATGTTTAAACCACATATAAATAATCTATTTAACTTGGGCCCCTTTAGTTTAGAGAAAGTTAAAGAAATTTAACTTGCGATAGTTTGCTGAGAATGATGGTTTCCAGCTTCATCCATGTCCCTACAAAGGACATGAACTATCAAACACAGCATGTTCTCACTCATAGGTGGGAATTGAACAATGAGAACACTTGGACACAGGAAGGGGAACATCACACACTGGGGACTGTTGTGGGGTGGGGGGAGGGGGGAAGGCTAGCATTAGGAGATATACCTAATGTAAATGATGAGTCAATGGGTGCAGCACACCAACATGGCACATGTATACATATGTAACAAACCTGCACGTTGTGCACATGTACCCTAGAACTTAAAGTATAATAAAAAAAAAAGAAAAAAGAAATTTAACTTACTTGCTTTTTAAATCAATAGCCGAGAAAACCCAAATTATTGAATCTCTCTAATCTAAAACCACTTGAGGCCCAGACATATCATCTTAGGTTTCCCATTATTGTCTGAAACTCACTACCTTAGCCCCCAAACTTGCCCTTGTTGTATATTTGCTATCCTGGCAACTTGCCACTATAGCTGGTCAACCAAGCTATAAAACCCCTGGCCTCTCAAATATTCCTGAAACCCAATCCACTAACAAGTTTTGAGAAGACTTACAGATTCTACCTTTGTAAAAGAATACCCCATCTCTATTTCAACTGCCAACAGCAGACTCCAATCACTTTCTTGTCCTGATGTTTCCAACAGATATGTTGTTTATCGCCCTGCCTCTAATCCACTCTCCACACTACTTCCAGAGTGACCTTTCCAAAACGCAAATGTAAGCCTATCGCTCCCCTGATTAGAACAGAGCTTTTAGGATAAAGGCAATACTCTCTCCCTTAGCATCTCTTCCTGATCTTGTTTCTACCTGTCCCTTGGATTAAACACACAGAATTATGTATGGTTTTCCAAAAGTGGTGCAACAGGACCATCTCCCCATGTGAAGGGGGTACCTAAGCTCTGACATGAGCCCATGAAAGCTCTCGTTCGTGATATGCTTTGTACTCACCAAAATAAAACGGGCAATATGTTAAATTGTAAAAACAAAACAAAAAAAAAGGTTTTTTCATTTTGACTTTCAGCTGGGAGCTTCTTACTATTTTCTTCCCTCACATGCTTATCCCAGCTCCCAATTCACTGGAAATAATGGAAGCCTATTTTCCAAGGCCTGCATTTATTTTATCCACTATGGATGTATCACAGAAACCACTTACTCCTCTTCTCTTTTTCTAATTATCCCCAACAGGAGTCATTCACATGTCTTTCATTCATTCAACAAACAATAAGTGCCTAGATGCCAGGAACAGAGCTAAGTTTTCTAATTCTTGTGGATCCAGAAGAGATGCATTCATATAAATCCAAACAGTGAAGTCACTCACAGTAAGAAATACATGTTGCATGGCAAACTGGTACACACATGCTAAACTTTTGCACAGAAACACAAGTTTCATGAAACAAGACTTATTCATAATATGTGCCTTGTGGTCATACTTTATATTCAGTTCAGTGCTATTTCATTTCACTGCATAGGCCTACTAAATTAATTTCACAACTAATTTTCAGAATTGTCCGAAAAACACTGACCTAGAATATGTATGGCAGGAACTTGTGTTTGGGAGTAATTACTGTATTTTTTTAGAGCTATAAATACCCTGGAGGGGATACAGAAAGGACAGTGAGGGGGAAAGAAGAAAAGCGAAAGGAAGGCAAAAATAAATGGGGAGGGGAGAAAGAGGTAATTAGAAATAGAAAAGATATCTGGAAAAAGTCAGAGATGGGTAAAGGAAAAGAGAAAAGAAAGTAAATGTCAGGACGAAAGAGGAAGAAAGCCTATCTTGGTAATTCCTGGAGTGAGAGGAGAGGTCACATCCCAGTTTCCTTGGGCTGAGGAGCTCTTATCACTTATTATCTCCGCCTGTGGAGGGAATTAGCTGATTAATCACTGATCACTGCCTCCAAGCTGCTCTAATCCTTAAATGTTTGAAGACTGTATTCCAGGTGTTTGGAAAAGATAACAAGAATTATCCATTAAGGCAGAAATACTTATTCAGCTTGCTGCACAGAGACCACAGCAGTATCTACAAAGTTCCAGATGAAATCAATGGAGGTGGGAGGTCCTGGGTGTGACTTGTATGTGAAGAATGTGTTATTGAAAATTAACATCATGAAAAGTAAATGAAGTTGAGTTAATCATGGCCATTGTGTCATGCCCATCTCATCAGTGTGAAGAAGTGCTCTAATTCTGTGTAACAGCATGCTCTGATCTGTAAAACACTTCCCCTGGTAGAAGCCCACACCGAGGGGCATTCACCCAGTCTTGAATGAATACCACTTTTTACGAGAGATTCTTAGGGGATAAATGCAAGCGTATGGTCCTAAAACTGTAAGCGCACTTATTATTATTATTTTTTTGAGATGGATTCTCGCTCTGTAGCCCAGGCTGGAGTGCAGTGTCACAATCTCGGCTCACTGGAACCTCCACCTCCTGGGTTCAGGCAATTCTCCAGCCTCAGCCTCCCGAGTAGCTGGGATTATAGGCGCCTGCCACCTTGCCCGGCTAATTTTTGTATTTTTAGTAGAGATGGGGTTTCACCATACTGGTCAGGCTGGTCTCGAACTTCTAACCTCAGGTGATCCACCCGCCTCAGCCTCCCAAAGTGCTGGGATTACAGGTGTGAGCCACCACGCCTGGCCAAGCACACTAATTTACCCTGCATTACATGTCAGCTTATCCTGCGCTGGAAGAATCCTAAAATACATGGTATTTATACAAACTGTATTATATTTTGAACCATTTCTTAGAGGTGATTTTTAAATGAGACATATTCCTAGAATAGGTGAACCATAGAAAAGCAAGCACTAATGATATGTGTTCATGCCTTTTCAACCTACCACTGATTGGCTTAGTTAAAATCTCTCAAGAACTGGTAGGAGTGTAAAATGAGAACGTGTTGGTCTTGCACGAATATAGTGAATCACTGCCTGGCCCCACAGCACCTGCCTGCCAGGCACAGCAAGTCTTGCCACTCCAGTCCTTCTCACCTGGCATTTGGTCACAGGTGCAGTAGAGGCAGACTAAAGGGGAAAAAATGCTAACAACTTGGTGTGCTTATTTTTTTTCTCTCTCTCAGAAGGCAGTAGGGGAACAAAAAAGCAGGAGGGGCAAAGGGTTTATAAGGAAAAAACACAATAGAGAAAGAACTAAAAAGTGTTCAAGGATGCCCCCTTGAAAACCAGTGGGACATGGAGGGAGCATTCTAGGGATGCTCATGGGGCCTCAACCAGGCCCTGATGGTCATGGGTGTGATGGGGGATGAGAGTCAGTGCATTTCAGTAAATATTTACTGAGCACTCAATTTAAGTTACTGTTCTAGAGACACAAAGATGGGTTGCCCTCTAAAAATGTATAACCTTGTAAGATTACAATAATGTCAGCAACACTGTTCCAGTGGTGGCTAAACAACCTCCATGCCATGTTACCAAATCAGTCAAGCAAAGTATGCTTGCCCAGGAAACTTAAGTGTGTCTACATTAGGGACAGTATGCTAGGTACTGAGGAAAGAATAAAGGTATGTTCTCCTTAAGTATTTTTTAAAACTCAAGATCGACAGAGCAGAAATATTAGAATTTCTGAATATTTCTGAATATAGAGGTGTCTAAAAATCCAGGTCATGTCAGATGCCCAAAATGAGGTCTGTTAATGCTAATAATAAAGCATTGCTACCCCAGTGATTGGAAAGCAGCTGGCAACAACGGGCATTGATAGCTTAGTGATGGAGATCATGGGCTCTGGAGCCATCCTGTGTGGGTTTAAATCCTGGTTCCTCTACTTGCTAGCTGTATCACCTTGGGCAAGTTACATAACTTCTCTGTGCCTCAGTTTCCCCATCTGTAAAATGGAGATGATAATAAGATGTACTTTATAGGGTTATTGTGAGAACTTAGAACAGGCTATGGTACACAGAACAGTGCCCATCACACAGTGTGTTCGGTCAATGTTGGCTGATGCCCTTTCTCCCTGATCACCACCCCTACACTCAGGGAGTGGTTATGACTCACAGGGAGGGGTCCCACTCACACAAACTACAGCTTAGGGTGCCTGGGCTGACAGTACAGACATTGACCAGTTTGGGGTTTAACATCCACTTCTAAGCAAAGTCCTGCAAGACCGTGGTTGAAAGTGTCCAGCTGCCCATTCATGTCTCTGCACGCTCATTTCAAGAGCCCCTGTTCCACTGGCTTCTTGCCAATTATTTACTGTCAATATTTTTTACATTTGGTGTTATAAATATCTCATATTTAGAAAAGAAAAAAATGGTTTCTTCATGATTTCAAGAAAAACTGAGTAAGATTATGAACTATCCAGAGATGGGTAGATGCATATGTGTATGAACTTGAACTTATTATGACTCTTAAATATACTAGAAAATAAAACATAGCAAGAGGAGAATTTCAAGAATCCCAAATAAATGTAATTTCTCTTGGTTTGGACATAGCTTTAGAAATCTAAAAATGAATAGTCGACATTTTAAGAACCTGACTACAGTTTCAATTTAAAGCACGTCCCTGTGCACACGTGCGTGCACACACACACACCCCAAAAACACCAAAAACATTCTTGGGCAGTTGCCATGACAATGTAATGCTGAGCTACCAAGCTCTTTGTTATCTTGCTGAAGATGCTGTGTAAAAACACCATTATGACAGATTCTTTACTAATTAAGTGGAAAAGGTTAAAGAATTCTAGATCCACGTGGTTTTCATCTGTGCTAGGACTCACAGGCAAATACTAAATATTTTAAGAAAAAGAATGCACAAGTAGTAACTGTAAGATCAATTACAGATCAAATCAGAAATAATGTTAAGAAAACGGGGGAAATGTTTTGTTTTTATTTTGTATGCTATGTTCATTTCATCATCTCCTCCTAAGTTGTATCATATTATTTTAGTGGAATAATCACTTTGTATAATACAATTTGGTTAATAGAGTCTCTTATTTTACTAGCACATTTAAATAGTTTCCTTCCTTGGACATATCTATTTCAATTCATTTGAGAGCCCATAGTTCCATATGCTAAATAGTTATAACAACACAAAGTGGTCTCTAAATTAATAGGGGCTTATATGCCAAACAAAAAAAAAAGAGGAAAAAAAGAAAAAATAGTGTTGGGGAGAGAAAGAAGGATAAACAGCATTTTTGAAGGCTGTGATAAAATATGGTCTGGGGTTCTTTCCACTTCTCTGATTAGCCATCTCTGTTTCCCTTGCAGGTTTTTCTATGTCTCTGTCTCAGCCATTAGACCCAGATCCCTGCCAAGATCAGCTGCAGACTGTTCTCACTGTAGTCTCGCTTCCTAGGTAGTCTCATCCTTAACTTATCCTTGACTTTCATTATTACTCATGAGCATTTACATCCCCAGCCCAGGTTCTCTTCTGAGTTCCAGATTGGTTGATCCAACTGTCTCCTAAACTTCTCCACTTTGATGCTACATTAAAGGCAAACCAGGTCCTCTTGCAGTGCTCCTAACCTCAGTGAATGGCAGCTTTAAATGGTCCTAACACAGACATATTCAATACCTATGTGTTGAATGAGTAGGCAAATGAATGCATGAATCAATCAAAACTGTTACACAAACCAAAAAACCTAAGGGTCATCCTTAATAACACCCTCTTGTTCCCCACTCTCTGAGTCAGGATCCAAGTTCTGTCCATTTCACCACTTAAGATTATTTTCCAGATCCATCCCATTCTCAAAATCCTCACAGCTACTACTCTCTAAAAGGCTTTTGCTGTATTACTGTAATAGTAATTACTATGAGCCATTACTAATAGTAATTACTGTGAGCCATCAATTAAGAACCTGCAGATGTGAGACACAGAGAAGTTAGGCAATCAATACCTATTCAAATAAACAATTAATTGATCAAACTGATAAAACTGATCTAAGAAAACGGAAGAGAACATTTACTAAATGTCAAGTGTATGCCAGACACTGATCTAGATGCCTCACATATACTACCTCACTGAATTTCCACAGTGACTCATTTTTTTTTTTTTTTTTTTGGAGATGGAGTCTCACTCTGTCACCCAAGCTGGAGTGCAGTGGTGCAATCTCAGTTCACTGCAACCTCCGCCTCCCGAGTTCAAACAATTCTCCTGTCTCCACCTCCTGAGTATCTGGAATTACAGGCACGCACCACCATGCCCGGCTAATTTTTGTATTTTAAGTGGCCACCGGGTTTCATGATGTTGGCCAGGCTGGTCTCAAACTCCTGACCTCAGGTGATCCACCCATCTCAACTTCTCAAAGTGCTAGGATTACAGGCGTGAGCTACCATGCCCCGCCCACAGTGACCCATTTTATGGAAGCAACTCAACTGAGCATACGGCATCAGGGAGCCTCTTCTGGTCACAACCCTTTGCTTTGTTAGGTCCCAACAAGCAGGCAATAATGATGAATATGAAGAGGATGATGATGGTGATCACAACTATTTCAGAACGTATTCTAGACACTACTCTAAGCACTTTGTGTACATTATTTCATTTGAGTCTCATCACTGTCCTACAAAGTAGGTGTTATTATTCCCTTTTGCAGATGAGGAAACTCAACAACACAGCAGTTAAGTCATTTGCTCAAGGTAAAAAACTGGGAAGTAGTATGATTTGAACATAGTTCCGTTTATTTAAGATTTCACAAAACACCTGTTTAACTTACAGCAAGTTATTAGAACTGATGGGGATATACAGCTAGAAGAGACAAATCGATCCATATCCTCAAAGGTCTTGTATTAAACTTGAGCATGTCTCCAGGATCAGAGCTGTTTCACCATCCCACTTCTACCCAGTGGAGGGCAGAGTTCATGGTTGGAAGCCTCCAACAATGCCAAACCCACCTCCAAAGATGCATTTCAGGACCATTAGGGCTGCCAACCTCTTCCCTATCCCTCAGAGACCCAGTTTTCCTCAAGTAAGGTACCACAAGGAGACACTTTGGTGCTTATACTAATTTGGTGACAAGAGTGAATCTTTTTCTTAAAAAGTCTTTAAAGAAAGCCCTATGAGTGGCATGAATACAAAGATTTCTTTAAAGATCTAATCTAGTACTTACAGTTTTATAACTCCATCTGAGCACCTAGAACAGGGCTGCTGGCTATTCTTGTCTTGTTTATGTTGACTCTGCCCCAGCTGAACAAATCTACAAATTACAATGGATAAGAGTCAGCTAAAGAAGGGAGTACTTGCAATTAATTCAGTAGATCACACAAAATGGTGTAAGCTTTCAAATTTCAGTAGTATGCTTATTTCAGAAAAACACCTAAGAGTACTGTATGTAACATAAGACTTTGCCTGATTTTAAAGTGGGCTTGTTAAAAGTAGGAAAAGGGATTCTACTTAAAATGTAAGTCATAACCATGGATAAAAGAATGAAATCAAATGTGCATGCCATTGAACTTCTATTAATTTAAACATGGTGCAGAACTTGAACAGAAATGTTCCTGAAGCCAGGAAGATGATCTTGCAGAGCCTCACACATCTAAGGGTGACAAATATCTAATGCGTGGAATGCAGGAAGCATGGGGGGAAGCATGCAGGATGGTGCTGGCAGTGAGACAAGTGACGTGGAAAGGGCAGGATCAGGCTGGGGATCCACCTCCTGAAGCAGGGACACTGCTAAGAGCCGGCCACAGACTAGGTTTCCTCTGGACCACAAGAATCCCCCCACCAAGTACTCTAGCCACTTCAAAGAGGAACACTTTCAACCAAGGTTGGGGAGACCCACTGATGAGCACAACGGCCATATGACCTCTTCTGAAAGGTCTTGAACAGCACTTCTCAGACTTGAACAGCACTAAGGCAGGCTTTGAGCTAAGAGCCAGAGGAAATGGCCTGGGCCAACTCAGCAGGCAGAGAGGATACCCAGCAGCTTTCTGGAGTGCATATCTGCTGGAAGCCTGCTTGGACTGCATGGATCTGTCTTTCCTTCAAGGATACGGTTTTGTAGTTTTGTTCTAATTTGCCCATGGGAGGTTACAGGGCAGGTCTGAAGAACTGATTTCCAGGCCACGCGCAGTGGCTCATGCCTGTAATCCCAGCACTTTGGGAGGCCGAGGCAGGCGGATCATGAGGTCAGGAGATCGAGACCATCCTGGCTAACACGGTGAAACCCCATCTCTACTAAAAACACAAAAAATTAGCTGGGCATGGTGGCATGCACCTGTAGTCCGAGCTACTCAGGAGGCTGAGGCAGGAGAATTGCTTGAACCCATGAGGCGGAGGTTGCAGTGAGCCGAGATCATGCCATTGCACTCCAGCCTGGGTGACAGAGAGAGACTGTCTCAAAAAAAAAAAAAAAAAAAAAAAAAAGGACTGAAACCAAAAGAACAGATTTCCTTATTTCCTTTCCATTTTTTTAACTACTTAAAAGTATTTTCTTTGAAGACTATGGAAAAGTTTACCATTTGTTTTTCATTAGCTTTTTTAAAGGTCAAGAAAGTGTTACAGAAACTACCAATTATTGTATCATTACAGTGCTAAAGAAAAACTTTCAAACAGCTTACTTTTATCCAACTTTATATCTTCAGCAAGTAAAAAATGTTGATCCATTTTTTGGGAAGAATGCCACATAGTACTGATTATTTGTACAGAACTTTAAACTTCTTAAATCAGGTGTACAATCACTGCCAGAGTTTTCTAAAAACTGGCAAGTGTCGGGAGGCTGAGGCAGGAGAATGGCGTGAACCCCGGAAGCGGAGCTTGCAGTGAGCCGAGATTGCGCCACTGCAGTCCACAGTCCCGCCTGGGCGACAGAGCGAGACTCCGTCTCAAAAAAAAAAAAAAAAAAAAAAAAAAAAAAAAAAAAAAAACTGGCAAGTGTATGAAGCTTTGAGGAAGTAAGTAGAAAGCTTTCAGGTCTGGTAAAATAGCAAACCAAAGATACTAGAAAAGGTGAGGGAAAAGGAAGACATAGACAGCGGGGCTCAGCAATTAGAAAAAAACTACAAAACCGAGAAATCCTTAGGCGTCCAAAGGTGGGCAAGGCCTAAGGTAGGAAAAACAGGCAGAAGAATGGGAAGCTGGAAGACAGGCTGCGGAAACCACTTCTAGCTGTGTGGCTTCCCTTCTCCACTGGTTCTGTGATAGGCCAGGTGGGAGCTGTTACATGCAAGCCAGGCTAGGTCACTGTCTACTATGTGCACAAACATAGCCAGCCAACTGAGTGCAGAAACGGGGTGGCAGGGGCACCTGCCAATTCAGCGCAGAACTACCTGGGCTCTAGCCCTGCCTTGAAACTCTCCCCTTTGGATCAGAGGAGGCACTAAGAAAGCTCCAGAGCCTAGCTGAGCCAAAAGTGGGTGCCAATCAGTCCCTGAACATCCCTTGGTCACCCTCTGGCACAGTTACCCCACAGATACTGATGGAGGGAGGATTCCTCTGCCTACTGCAATGCCCATGGCAGATGGAGAGGGGAGATATTCCAGGGCAGGCAAGGCAGTAAGGGCAGTGTGCCCACAGGAAGGGGTACTCACAGGGAAAGAATGATCAGCCCCGTTTCTCCCCTTCCCCCAAGGTCTGCATCATAAGCAGAGGCAGCTGATTATGATCAAGAGAACAAAAAGGAGGGAACAGCCTAAAATCCCACGGTACCCAGAAACACAGGATATGACTCCTGGATAAGGCACTAAATGGCTCTACTTGCTGCGCTATTAGCCCATAAAAGGGGATAATATCTTTTTAATCTACTACAGAATTGCCTAAAGAACAAACAAAACAGTGTAAACTGTTATACAATGAAAGGAGGTATTATCTTCAGAATATCAAACACAGAATTTTATTCTAGGACATGGGTTCCTCCCTCCCCTGAAGTAACCCCTTCAATCCTTGGCACATACACTCATTCCCTCTGCAATAAACAAAGTCATATTACTCAGTCAGTAACTTCAGATAATTCATTCTTCAGGCCACATGGTTTGTAAAGGCCCACTTCAACTACTACAGAGTTTGGCTACAGAGTTCTGACAGCCATGATGAATAAGTACTGTGTGTTTGTGTGTCAGAGTGAGGAGGGTGTGGCTGTGCTCTGATGACTAAATTGGCTTCCAGTCAATGACGCATATTCAAAAAAGTGCAAGTTACAGGAGCTGCTTTGGCAGTCAGGAAATGCTGTGCATTTTATATTTTATATATTATAGAGTAGTTTTTATTAATTGAAATGAAAAGCTGACAATATCTAATTCAATGGATTCTGTAAATGAAATGCCCTCATTTAAAAATAACTGAAGATCAGTGCTCATTTTATATTATACAATTTACATTTTACAGACACATTTACAAATTTGTATAAGTGGAACTGTATTCATATGCAATAATCAAGTCTTCTAAATCCATGTATTAAGCTGAGGAGGTGTTTGCAATGTTCTCATCAGGTTCGTGGGGATTTCTGAGTGAAGGATTCTTTTGAGAATCTGCTAAATCTATCTTCTCAAAAGGACACACATACACACGAAATTATGCACATGATTTCAGGGAATGCCTTATGGGTATCCCCTCCTTTCAACTAGATTTGCCTAATAAAGGCCTATAACATTGTGAATTAGCACCCTATTATTACTGTTTTCTTTTTCCTCCTCAGTCACCACTCCCACCAGCATCCAGGACCTAAAGTGATGCAAGGTCCTCATTTGTCAATATCCCAGATTTATTTTGTGAGAAGGGACTTTGATCTTGAGGATTTAGAAATGCAGGAATGTACTGGTACTTTGGTTTGTAGTTTACATATGAGCAGTGCAGATACCTGCATGCATCATAAATTTTTATCATTGAGGGGCAGAGTCTCAGGCATTTAGCACTTTAACTCTGTATATAAATCAATGTTTCAGAATTTGACCGCCTCAATGCTGAAACTGCATTTTAAGTGGAATTCATTTTCTTCTGTATTGCTGACTATTTTCATTTCTTAAAAGTTATATTAGGCTGGACGCAGTGGCTCACACCTGTAATCTTAGCACTTTGGGAGGCTGAGGTGGGCGGATTGCCTGAGCTCAGGAGTTTGAGGCTAGCCTGGGCAACACAGTGAAACCCCGTCTCTACTAAAATATAAAAAATTAGCCAGGCATAGTGGCGTGCACCTGCAATCCCAGCTACTCAGGAGCCGAGATCATACCACTGCACTACAGCCTGGGCAACAGAGCAAGACTCTTGTCTCCAAAAAAAAAAAAAAAAAAAGGTATAGTAGTTAGAAGTTACTGTAATTATAAATATTCATTTTTCTTTAATATCTACATGAAAGTATCTCACCTTGAATAAATGGAGAAATCTTCTTCTGAGAGGCCATCTGAGAGGTTAATTCCATATAGCTCCTTCATGGGTTGGACCACATTCTGGGGTTTAAAAAAAAAAAAGAAGAACCAGGAAGAATTTTTAGACATATAGCATATCAATAATTTCCCCAAAAAAATGAAACTGTGAATTTTTCCACAAAAGCAATCACAGTGCTTCTTTAACCTGTTCATTAAACTTCTTAGTTGATGGTTTTAAAAAATTTTGATTTCCATTTCTGCTAAAAATAGTTTATTCTAGGATTTTAAAAAGCTGTTAAATAATTACTAGGTGTTTTTGTATAATGCAGGAGTTGGCAACCTTATCCTGTAAAAGGCCAGATAGCAAATATTTTAAACTTTTTTGGGTTATGCTGTCTCTGTTGCAAATACTCAGCTCTGCTGTTATAGTGCAAACGTAGTCACATACAATGAGTAAACACAAACAGGCATGGCTGGATTCCAGTGTAATTTTATTTACAAAAAAAGGCATCAGGCTGGATTTGGCCAATATGTCATAGTTTGCCAACTTCTGGAACATGGATTTAGCTCTTGTATTAACACATTTTTATTTGCCTTATCCATTTCTAAATGAGTTTTGGATATTTCTAGAAATCAAATTTCCCCAAAGCTAGAGTTGGTCCTTTTGTTGCTTATTTCTATTTGTTTCCCCCAATCTATCAGTAATATTGAATTGAACAGGATGAATTTCCCATTGCAGCCATTCAAAGATTGTGAAGGCCACGTCTAAATCCTGTGATCCAACAATGTGCCCAGTAAGAGAATAAATGGACCTCAAGCGGATGGGCTGATCAAAGAGGGCCAGAATTCACTTGAAAATTCTGAAAGGATCAGAAATTCACCATTACACATGCGAGCAAAAACACCAATTTTATTTTGAAATGAAATAAAATCATGTAAATGCTAAATGTATTCATCTTATGCAGTGCCTCAAACACAACAGTGAGATAATGTGACATTTTCTTGCTCTCAGCCTTTTAACTGAAAGCGGAGTTGTAAAGATCATTTTCCAGGGCTTCAGGCTGGATGCCACAGGCTTCCCTCCCCCGCACCTCGGTCACTTTGGCACTGTCTCCTGCATCAGTCATCTTCACGGGAGTGGAGCGCTGAGACACAGAGCCCTCTTCTTCCCGATCAGTCCCAGAGTCATCCTCAGAGCTGCTGGACACAGCCTCCTCGCTGGGGGGCGGCGGGGCGCTGGCTGCCGTTTTCCGCTGTAATACAGCTTCTTCTCTATTGCTTTTGTTTCTTTTAAAAGAATAATATGGAAGTGAAGCATCTTTAAACTAACCCTCAACACCCACTGTCTATCACTCTGTCCCAAAGCCTTAGGCCTAGTGAAGCATAAGAAAATGACTGTGACACTAGTTTCTGGATTCAGGTTGTGCTACAGGGAAAAGGTTCATATTTCTCCATGTCCATGCACTGACCTTATATGAATATAAGCCCTGTTATAAATTCAAAAAATAAATGAAAATTACTTGCAGAGCGTGAAAAAATCTTCTCACCACTTGGTTACCATGCCTTCCTTTGGTAACTGATATCAATATTCTCAAAACTTACCCTACAATTATAGAAGACTGTATGTTTGGGATATTATTAAAATTAGCTGTAACTCATAAAAGGTCCAAGAAAAAGTGGGTAGCCAAACCTATGTATATTTCTCTCCCGCCTATAAATTTTTTATCAATCATAGTGTATCCAAATAATGAACAACTGATGAACATAAACTACATTTTAAATTTTATTGTGTTATTAGTAAACAAGTGTATTTGCTGAACATTCCCTTTAATAGTAGGGAATAGAAGGGGGGAAAACCCTACACTTATAAAAGTATTTACTTTCATTTTAATGCCAAATTGGAAGAGTAGTAAGAATGCTGTTTTTTAAATTCAGAAAACCATTTATAGTAATACTTTTTGCTTTATGAAAAATGTTTAATATTTCACTCTTTAAAAAATTCTCTATAAGGAGCTAAAAATACCATAATATTTTGAAATGTTCTAGGAAAGGAAAATGCAATTTTATGTGACCATGGGTTAGATATTGCAGAAAACAAGCAGTCTCTGACCTTTTGCAACTAAAAATTAAAGTTGGTAACGTTTCTGTGACACACACTAATATAGCTGGTCATTTACTTATTTGTTCTGGGAATTCCCTGAATTCCAAACTCCTGAAGACCTTCCTTCTTTTAAATTCCTCATAGCATCTGGTCAGGGCTTAACATGAGCTATTTAAAGGCTACATATAAAAGCCACAGAAATAGTGTTTCTGGAAAATATCAATATATGTCCCATTGGATAAATCACACATAGCTAGAATACAATTAAGATTCCATACAATTAGGACTCTGTATCTGCAGTCTGGCTGGGGTATGTGGCCAGAGTCTAGAAGAAATCTGTCACTGAGACTAGGCAGGTCAGTGGAAGGGAAAGAGGTTCTCATGCCAGGAAACAACACATTTCACTCCAGTCTCTTAAGCATGAAGATGCAAACACAGTATATCTTCTTCTTTACTGGACTGAATAAAATAATAGTCTTCCCCCAAATAATGTTATAGCAATGCACAGAAAAATCTATTAAGTTCCGTAACAGGGTATATTTGCTTTTATGTTACTGAGGATGCCAACAAAATAAATATAATAAATACAAATTTTTACTTAACTATTTCATGTTGGGAAACAGAGAATGCTGAGTTATTTATAAGACATCATATCTGTCACCTGCCTTTATGTCATCTGTTATATTCCCAATTTAAAACAATAAAATGCACTGTATTGCTGAAACTCCCATAAATTCTACTTTCAGTATTGAACACCTTAGTGATCCCAGTGTTATTAATAAACTATATATGACCTGAAGTTATTAGTTTTTGGTGGAAATCATATTGCAAGTACTATTCTTTTACACAAATCTTTAAAGTTTCGTTCTATACACAAATCTTACCCCAATACTGATTTTCCAGTTTCATCTGGTTTACGCACAGTAAATGGACTTGGATCAATTCCAACGGTCTTAGGCATAAAGTCACTAAAGAAAGGTGAAAACACAATTACATATGAATTACTGTCCATCCAGATGATATTGGCTTCCATCTCAGTTCACACTCTTACAATATTCCTTCTTAACTCTAGGAGTTACATATTACATATTCTGAGCCAACTTGTCAGGGACATAAAACCATGAATTAACAGCACTAGATAATTTCAATGTTATCAGTCTTAATTGTGAATTCTCTATGATCACGAGGCCCAATAGGGACATAAAACCATTAATTAACAGCACTAGATAATTTCAATGTTATCAGTCTTAACTGTGAATTCTCTATGATCACAAGGCCCAGTAGTTTTGAATTTAAGTATCATCTACTATAACAGTGTTGACATCTGAACTTCTGCTAAGATGTATACCATCTGGTTAATCTGGTTATATATCATGATTAGTTCTCAGGTAAAATTTAAATTCCTAAAGGCCAATGACAAAACACTAAGCTGTTCAGTTTCATGGACAACATTTTTAAGCTATACCACCTAAGGAGGTAGACATAATGATCAAAAACACAGTGGTATGAACTGAAATACCAACATCTACCTCATTAGGCTGAGGTTAATTCATTAAAACACTGCCGGAACACTTTAAATAGAAACTCTTTTAATTTACCACTTACTGAGATAAGCTAAAGCTTCCACATTATGCAAAGGCCACCTCACCATTACTGCTGAAGCCAGACCAGATTCCACAGTAGATGCCAAAAACGCAACAGTTCCAGGATTTCTGATGGATAAGACTCCTGGCTTCTGGCAAGGACACTGCTCCAAGCGTGTGACTGAATATCACATTATTTGAAGGAAAAGAAAGTAATCTTGATTCTGGCCTAAAATAGCTATTTTAACATTTGCAAATGTTTCAAAGATGTAACTGGCTTAAATTCTTTTCTTTTTGAACATACACAATTGATCGTTTTCATTTGCACATTCCATGTTTGTGAGACTGCTTGCTCACTAAGGTGTATCTGTAACCCCCAAATCAATCCTCGTGGTACTTTCACAGTCACTGCAGACATGTGCATGTACAGAGTGGTGAAAACTTTGAATCCCTTGCTTATGTTCTCAGCTGAGGCTGAACAAGGGGTACTCCGCTTCTTAATTTCTGCTCTCCTATCGTAAATGAGTGTCTTTTTCACAGTCTATTTGACACCATGTTTTTCACATTTTTGGTGCCTTTTTTGGTGATCTTGCTATTTAAGATGGTCCCCACACATAGTGCTGAAGCTGTTTAGTGTTACTAAGCACAAGAAAGCTTGGATGCACCTGACAGAGAAAACATGTGTGTTAGATAAGCTTCATTCAGGCATGAGCTATAGTGCTGTTGGCCATGAGTGTTATGTTAATAAATCAACAATATACAGATGCTCCTCAACTTAGAATGGGGGTTACATCCTGACAAACCCATAGTAACTTGAATATGTATTTAGTACACCTAACCTACTGTACATCATAGCTTTGTGTAGCCTACCTTAAAAGTGCTCAGAACATTTACATTAGCTTATGGTTGTGCAAAGTCATCTAACACAAAGCCTGTTTTATAGTAAAGTTATTATAAAGAATTTTGAATCAAAATTCAAAATTCGAAGAACAGTTTCTAGCTAATGCATGTAACTTTTGCACCATTGTAAAGCTGAAAAATCGTAAGTTGAATCATTATAAGGCAGGGACTGATTGTATATTAACTACGTTTCTGTCTTTAAACAAAAACATACACAAAACTAGGTTATGTATTGATTGGTTGACAAATATGATGTGACCAGAGGCTCTCAGGAACCTAACCCTGTATTTCCCTTAGAAGCAATGGTCCAGTATTTACTAATTCAGTGTTTGCAATGACTTTATAGAACACAGCTACCACAAACACAATTAACTACAGTAAGTCCTCACTTAATGTCATTGATAGGTTCTTGGAAACTATGACTTCCAGTGAAACAATGTACAGCAGGTCCTTAAATAATGTTGTTTTTTCCGACATCATTTCATTTAAAGTCAGTTTCCAAGAAGCTGTCAAAGATGTGAAGTGAGGGTTTATATGTATATGAACACATATACCTAATGTCATTTATCTTTTGCTGAGTTAACAACTTCTAGAAATGACAAAGGTCTCATAGTTAAAACTGCTAAACCTTAACAAGTTTACTTGAAAAATCAAGCAAGT
Organism: Homo sapiens; assembly: GCF_000001405.40. NCBI lineage: Eukaryota > Metazoa > Chordata > Mammalia > Primates > Hominidae > Homo > Homo sapiens. The sequence goes on along the minus strand of NC_000006.12, from coordinate 109,787,418 downwards.
AAGAATTTCGAACTGTTCCTAACTATCTGAAACTGAAGCAAAATGTAGAGTGATTTCTAGGAAACAAAACCACAGAATATGTTTCTATGTACCACACAAAGTATAAGCATATAAATACCACATCTGAAGAAAATGTGAAATATAAAAAATTAAATTTTAGTATAAAATATAACAAGTAATTTTCTTTGCTCGATTTTCTTATTCTGGTCCCAGCGTTTTTCCTAAAGGGTCCCATCAAATTCTAAAAGAGATACAGAGAATGAAATGTGTCTGAAGGTGAGAGACTAGGATGGAGAGAGAATGGAAACCATGCCACATAAGTTATGGAAGAACAAATGAAGGATATTTACCCTGAAAAAATGAATACTGCTTCCTCAAATATCTTGAGGCAAAAGAGAAACTAGATTTGTCCTATGACTAATAATAATAGTAATAATAATAGCTACCATTTATCAATCACCTGCCTGTACCAGGCACTACAAAGGCACTTGCGGGGCGTGTGTGTGTGGGGGAGAGAGAAAGAAGAGAGACAGAGAAAGACAGATTAAGAAAATAATGCTCAGGTAAGTTGGATAATTTTCCCAAGGTCACACAGGAAGTGGCTGAACTAAGATTCACATCCTAGCCTTTCTAGTACCAAAGATGATGCTTTTCCCACTAATTTATGTCAACTCTCAATTTCTATGTTCAGTGAAAAAACTGAGTTTATTCCAAATGGCAAACTAGGACTAATAGGAGGCAGATTTCAACCTATCAAAGGGGAGAAATCAACTCCAACTGTCAATAGAACAATAGAAGGGGCTGCCTCTTGAAGTAGTGGGCTCCCCATCACAGGAGGTATTCAAAGGTGGACTACCCACCTGACAGAAGGCCTACAGAATGGATTTCTGGTAAAGACAGACATATATATACAAACTAGGAAAACTACAGTTCTCAAATACTTATGGTATCAGAATACACACAACATACCGTGCTGAGCTTGTCATAGCCAAGCAAAAGGTATCATCAAAGCTGCTCAACTCATATGGCCGAAAGAACTCATTGTGGATATCAATCTCTTCTTCATATTTGTGGAATTTCTTCACTATCAACTTCTTTAAGTTCACAGCACAGATAACTAAGAGAGATACTGCATGTTACTCTAAAAGTCTGAGATTATAGCAAGCAAACATTTCCATAATATTAACTGTGTTCACAGACAGCACTGTGATAAGCTCTGTGGGGGATACAGCCCTGACCGAGGGTAAGCTCCTGCCTCCAACACTTACACAGTTAGAAAGGAGATGAGATAGATGCATAGAAAATACAATGCAAAGCTGAGTTCAACAAGCTCTAAGGAGCCAGGAGGGCCTCAGGAAGTCCAATGGGAGCAGGCAGTTATTTAGAGGAGGTTCTTTAAATTCCTTTTTGCTCTTAAATAAATGCCCTTTGTGTTTTAGCTAAAAATTGTACAGCTTTTTCCCTAAGTTTCCCTTTATATTTCAAATTCTGTTAATAGCCACTGTTAGTTAAAACCCTTTCCTTTCTCCCAGAACAACTAAACCTTTTCAGCAATATGAGTAATGATTTTGCCCAGAATTTCAAGTTACAAATACCTTCCAAAATGAATTTATAACTTAATAAGAACCAAAAATACTTTGTAATCTTACTTTATGGCCTTCCCCACCCAAAGTTGGGATGCTGAAGCATGACTAGATGGAGTCCTCAATTGGAGCATTCCAGATTCGCAGGAGATCTTGCTAGGAACCCTTTACCAAATGGAAAATGAGCTTGCTCAAGGTCAGGGGAGTTAGTAACAAAGCCAGAACTAAGCTTTATTTAAAATTTGGCAATTATTTAAATTTGGAAACATCATTCTAATGTATTATACACTTGAAGGTTTTCCTTTAATATAGAATGTTTCCTGCCCCTCTGACAAATTAATGAAATTTAATTTAAATGTGACTAAAATGTACTTTTATACATGCATCTGTACCTTTTTTCACTGCTTATTAGCACAGGAAAAAAGTTTTAAGTTCTCCTTGTGAATAGGTCCTTACTTCCTCCGCATTCTCCCAAAATATGTAGAAATATAAACTGTATTAGTTTAAAGTGATGAGCCGATATATCATATTTTACTGACTAAATATTTGACAGACACATAATAATTGTAAGACACAATACAAGGTATTGGCCTACATAGATAAAAAGAAGTATAATATAATTCCTGCCCTTTAAAAAGCTAAGAGATGTTATAATATCCTATCTATTAAAGCAGCAACATAATACTGAACAGCCATTCATTTGTTTCTAATAAAATACTATGTGCAAAGGATTTAATGCTTCAAGTTCATTAAGGTATAATGCCAAAATATGTTAGTGTAAAAACTAAAACACAAACAGTTACCTACCTTCATCATAGGGCAATGGTAAATGCTTTATCACCTCTGGTGTCCACCAGTAAGTATAACTATAAAATAAAAATTAAAAAAAAAGATGAACCAAATGTAAATGTTGGTTTTCTAAAATTTACTGGATAAAATAATTTATATGGTCTATAGTAACATGTTCCTACTTCAAAGTTAATATTTTTCTTTTTAAAACATGTTTGCAAAGCTTTTGACACAGTAGGTCTTCAACATGGTAATTCCCTTCCCAACTGCTTTCTTCCTTCAACTATGTTGCAGATCTACAAAAATGCCATGAATACACCTGAGAGTCAAGATGCTCTGATATTATTTACTTTTAGCTAAAAAGGATTAGAAGGTAATAAGCTGACTCTATGAACTGCTGTTAACTTCTCCCAGGGACTGTGCCTACAGTGACTTACTCTGCCACCAGGTGAGTAGTGGGACCTTGACCCAAGTCCTACAACCAGGATTCCCTTGCGTGTAGTTATCTGATAGTTAGAATCTACTCTGCTGTATAGTACACACCTGTGTGTATAGTTAAAACAGTTAAGCAAAATCATTAAGGAACGAATTAGACAGTCCTAACGAACAAGTTCCCTTAGAAAGCAGTATAGACCGTTATTCTTTAACTGTAAATATGTGCTACTTGATTACAGAAGCTAGTCAGAGTAAGAGTAAAGAATGTCACCTGTCTGGATTTCTGCTAGAAGGCTCGTCTGCTATAAGCAAAGAATCTGAAAGAATCCTAAGTGGCCTTCTCTCTGAACACCTAATTTAATTCTCAATCAAATTCTAATGAAATGAATATTTAGAGGAAAAGGATATATGTCAAAGTTCATGAGAGCTAGGAAGGAGAAGAATTTTTTAAAAATCAGATTTCTAAAGATTAAAAAAAGAGCCTATAGCCAAAAATTGCTAAAAAGAGATTTTAATATAAATGAAAGGCTTTCTAAAAATATAAAGCTGAAATTACAATCTTGAATAATCCTGATTATGAAGCAACAGGAAAGTATCCAAATGAAACTGGCAACACAGGGAACTCTCCTAGGGATGGCAAGCAGAATACACAACCACTAATGATGAAAAAAGGAATATGAAGCCTAATGAATTGTGTGGGGCAAATCACTGTTCTAACAGGAAAGGTTCCTAAAGTTTTGTTTTAGACTGAAGTTATGCTTTACAGCAGTGCTATTCAAAATTCAATGTGCATGTAAATCACTTTGGGATCTTGTTAAAAGGCAGATGATTCAGTAGGTGGGGCCTGAGATTCTGCCTCTATGACAAACTCCTGAGCAAAACCAAAGGGGCAGATCCTCCAACCCCTTTTCAATAACAAGGCTTTGAATATGAGAAGAACAGAGCAAGGATAAGGCTGCTGCTTGTGAAGAATTCATTCAGTTATTCCACATTTATTAAGCACCTGCTATGTGTCAGACACTGCTCTATGTGTTGAAAGTGCCAAGCTGAAAGCAATGACAGAGAAAGTAGAGCTACTTAATTCCAGTACTGTTTCTATCCTCCCTAGCCATAACAAGTTTCGCACCTGAAAGAAAAAACACAAGAGGGAACTGTGTACAACCCAGAAGACAGAAGGAGGCGCTAGAGCGTCTCTACAAGAGGCTAGTGTCCCGGTGTAGCTGAGATCTATAATCTTTAAGGAACAGTGAAACATGGAGCTGATACTGGAAATGGGCCAATGCAGTCTTTAATTTTTACATTTAGCAGAATTTATTTATTTATTTACTTTTTTCAACTTTCATTAAGTTCAGGGGTACATGTGCGGAACGTGCAGGTTTGTTACATAGGTAAATGTGTGCCATAGTGGTTTGCTGCACAGATCATCCCATCACCTAGGTATTAAGCCCAGCATCCATTAGCTATTCATACTGATGCTCTCCCTTCCACCCTCACCACTGCAGGCCCTGGTGTGTGTTGTTCTCTCCCATCATGTGTCCATGTGTTCTCATCATTCAGCTCCCACTTTTAAGTGAGAACACGCAGTGTTTAGTTTTCTGTTCCTGCATTAGTTTGCTGAGGATAACAGTAGTCTTGATGCTCAGCAGTGAGAGGGTGACAGATTCCAAAAACCAGACATCAACAAGTGATGTAAGTGATGTTGATCCCAGCAACATAACAGAATCAAATATGAGATCGAGATGTGTTGTAAGTGACCTAAAAAGATAGCCAATGCATTCTCTGAATTCACATCTATTCACAAAAACAAGCCACACCAAGCTAATATCATTTCCTTTCCTAATAGGAAAATCAGACTGTCAGATCAGGGGAATGAAAAAGACATGGACTAATTGTTTAAGAGGGGTGTATGCATGTGTGTATGCATGCATCTGAGTAAATCTAATTCTGTGATGATCTAACACTGGCAGACGAGTAAAGTAGAGAAGTTATCAGTATATGAGAAATTCCCTAAAGAATGTTGCTTACAATCAGCTTGCTTAGGAAGAAGAAGTAGACATTACAAAAAATGTGTTTTAACTCAGAATTCTTGTGGTGAGCAAAAATGAAAAGATAATCATGTATTCATGATTTAAGACCAGGCCATAAACTTTTTAAAAATATTACTAAATTGTATTTCCCTTACAATATGTAGCAATTTAACAACACTTTTAAAAGATTCCAAGTCTTTTGGGTGAGTCTCAGAAGCAAAGAAATATCTGCCTTGGGGAAGATAAGCTAAAATGGATGGAGGATAAGAGCATCTAAGACGACTAAGCCCAAGATAGGGGAATCTTTACCACCTCTACTACCAGGTACATTTATCCAGAGGAAGAACAATGCACTGGGTCAGAAACCTGCTTTGGGACCAGGGATCAGAAAACAGGAGATTGCAAGTTAGTGTCACTCCCTTCTTTGCATACAAAAGAGCTAGTAAGTCAGATTCTCTTTTCTTTTTCAGTTCCTAGTATTATTAAGAGTTCTCGGTTCCATAGGAAGGTTAGGGAAAATTTTTACACTGTCTAATTTTCCTAGCTAACTTGGGAGCCCCCTGAAACATTCATGAATGTCAGCAGAGCAATCAATATTTGTGAACAAGACAGAGAAATATGGGCAGGGCAATAGTGTAGTTAAGTGAAATTACAGCTGTTTAAATGATTACAATCAAAGGCACTAAACAATGTTATGTGGAAGGAGTTGTCTGTGGGTAGAAATCAATGGGTTCTGCCATTTACCCTACTGTACTCAACATTTTTCATCAAGTACTTGAATTAGGATCAAGATGGTCAACTGATTAAATCTGAAGAAACTATAAAGCTAGAAGTATTCATTAAAGGTACACATTTCAATACTTTTTTTGGAAGTAGGCAAAGCATATACGAACATGACAAGAATGGTACAGATGTGGCAGAGTGGCAGCGGCACATGTTAAAAAGACTTAGGAGTTCTAACAGACAGGAAGCTTGGAGAATGCACACTGTGATGGCAATGCTGAGGATGGCTGGTGTGACCTTATGCTTATCAATGAAAACACAGCATCCAGGACAAGGGGAGTGATGGTCCCAGTGGTCTCAGAACAGCTAGCACAAATCAGACCAAATGCTGACCATTATTGGACCCAGATCTGGGGGCCACAGTTTAAGAAGAACATTGACCTCAACTGGAATATACACAGAGGAGAGTGTTGTTCCGAATGCTGGAGGGCCTTGAAACCACAGCATATGAGGAACAGCTGAAGAAACTGGGGCTATTTAACCAGTAGAAGAAGAGATTTTGAAAGTGTATGAACTCAACTTCAAATATTTAAAAGATTATCAAGTGGATGAGGAAATCTTGTTTTTAAGGTCTTTAACTAGGATTAATAGGTAAGATTACAGAGAAGCAGATCTCAGCATGACATGAGGAAGAATTGTGTAAGTGAACTGTTCCAAAACAACTGCCTCTTCAACAGTTGACAAACAAGAACTTGTCAAGCATAGGCCAGATTACCTCTCTCTCTCCCTAGGGAAACAGAAAGGGAACTCACATATCAGACAGGGGGCAGGCCAAGAAATCTCCCAACTCTAGGAGTCAATGAAATAATTAATGCTTAATACCTAAAAACATCTTGGTGACATTCTAAACACCAGTTCATTAGATGGAATCTTAGATGATTGTATGCCATATTAATCAAATTCAGAACAAAGCTTCAATTAGTGGTTTTAGGCAGATCAGTCAATGTGAGATTTTGTGTCATCGAAGTACTTATCTCAAGAGGACCTTGTTCCAATGACTCTAGGTAGAGTTAAGTTTATTCCCTCTTCCCTTATTGTGCAAGAAAAGTATTATTTCATGGCATAGATATGCCACGCCATTATCTATACCATTCCTGTATCATTGATAAACACAGTATAAGATACAGCATGCCACAAATTTCAAAACACTCATGAATAAATAATAAAGTCTTTATTAATATTACATTAATAAGTCACATTATCTAAGTTTCCAGACTTTATGGGCATCCCGTATGATCTTTAATAAATGTTAAAAACTAGGGAATGTTATCTCCTTAAAGAATAGTAACAGGGCAGGTGCAGTGGCTCACACCTGTAATCCCGGCAATTTGGGAGCCAAAATGGGCAGACTGCTTGAGCCCAGGAGTTGGAGGCCAGCCTGGGCAACATGACAAAACCCAGTCTCTACCAAAAATACAAAAATTAGCTGGGTGTGGTGGTGTCCACCTGTGGTCCTAGCTACTTGGAAGGCTAAGGTGAAAAGATGGCTTGAGCCCTGGGAGGCAGAGGCTGCAGTGAGCCGAGATCACGCCACTGCACTCCAGCCTAGGTGACAGAGCCAGACTCTGACTCAAAAACAAAGACAGTAACAATACTAACACCTATTGTATTTGCTAGGTGCTAACCATTTATATGATCTCATCTGATTCTCAGAGAAAGCTGTAAGTTAGGTACTATTATTGTCTCTGTTTTAATGATGTGGAAACAGAATGAGACCAGTTAAGTGACTTGCCCAAGGTCACCCAGGTATTAACTGGAGGCAGGCTTTCCAGAGCCTGGCTACTTCAGTACAGGGTTTATTCTGTGTCAGACCCAGTATTAAGTACTTTCCATATATTTTCCCATTTAAGCCTCAATGACCCTGTGAGGTATGTATAATCATCTCCATTTTATAGGTGAGAAAATGAGGTTGAGAGGTTAATGGGTCGCAGGCCACATACACTTGCAGAAATTCCAACTCAGCTCTACGTGAGCCTGAGCTCTGTGCTCTTGTCCTGTTGCTGCCTCTGGGTAAACTGTTCATTTCTTTTGAGAACTGTAATGCTGCTTTAACTGTCAGCAAAATAACCTGTACAGGTGGGTGACACTAGAAAGTTTTTTTAAAAACCCACTGAAATTTATCTTACAGTATTTATAAAAATTGTTTATGCACAGTATCAATTCCCTCTTCCCCTGACACCAAAAAATAGTTTTCAGAATTTTGACATTCTAGAGGAAAAACAAACAAACAGAAAAAGGAGACCTAAATCAACTGAGTAAGCCATATTATCTACTTAGATACAATTTTATTTTCAGTGGTAGGCTTAGAGCTGATTCTCACTGAATCATCTAACTGAATAATCTTAGCCAAGACATTATCTCTGCACCTCAATTTCCTTTTTTAGAAAATGGGGATGTAATACCAGCTTCCTTTTATTCCCACATATAAACTCTCAAACCACCTGCCTTTGTGATGTAACTCAAGGTGAGCAAGGGGTTTAAATTATGCTTTTAATACATAGCTAATTTCTGCAGTGGAAAATTGAGTTATGGCTGTTCCCAAGCTGTATCTAAATAGCTTCAACACTTTAAAGTAATACAAAATTTCAGAAAATCAACCATATTTACCTATGGTTAACTGTCATCAATAAATATAAATATAGGTATTTATACCCATCTCTCAACAAATAAAGTTTCAAATTTTTTGTCAGCAAAAATTCATGTAAATAATATTTTATTAATAATAAATTTAATGTAAAAATTAGCAGTGCTCCATTTATAGGGACAGTAAGCTCAAGTATTAAGTTGGTTATTCCAATAATATGCATTGATAAGAATAAATTTGAGAAACATACAAATTCTGAGACCTTCCAAATATTTTAAATATTCCTGAAGCAACACAGAACTTAATAACAGCTGCAAGAAGCCGGGCGCGGTGGCTCACGCCTGTAATCCCAGCACTTTGGGAGGCCAAGGCGGGCAGATCACAAGGGCAGGAGATCAAGACCACCCTAGCTAACACAGTGAAACCCCGTCTCTACTAAAAATACAAAAAAATTAGCTGGGCATGGTGGTGGGCACCCATAGTCCCAGCTACTCGGGAGGCCGAGGCAGGAGAATGGCGTGAACCCGGGAGGCAGAGCTTGCAGTGAGCTGAGATCGCGCCACTGCACTCCAGCCTGGGCCACAGAGTGAGGCTCTGTCTCCGAAAAAAACAAACAAACAAACAAAAAAAAACAACTGCAAGAGCTGTACTTGCAACTCTGTCAGTTGTTCATGGTCCCATACACACAATTAGCACAGACTGGCAATGATTCCTGTAGTGTTTGGTAGGTATCCTTTTTTTTTTTTTGAGACAGAGGTTTGCTCTTGTTGCCCAGGTTGGAGTGCCGTGGCACCATCTCGGCTCATGACAACCTCTGCCTCCTGGGCTCAAGCGGTTCTCCTGCCTCAGACTCCCGAGTAGCTGGGATTACAGGCACGTACCACCATGCCCAGCTATTTTTTGTATTTTTTTTTTTTTTAGTAGAGATGGGGTTTCACCATGTTGACCAGGCTGGTCTCGAACTGCTGACCTCAGGTAATCCTCCCGCCTTGGCCTCCCAAAGTGTTGGGATTACAGGCATGAGCCACCACGCCCGGCCTGGTAGGTATCTTTGCGCAAAATTAGGGCTCTATCAAACTGATGCTGTAAGAGAAAAGCACGATGGGAGAACTTGACATTAGAGGCCTTTGAGTGCAATGGACTAGGCTCTAACTTCATGTATGGTATGTAAAAAATTTTGTTCATGTGGCAAAATTGATTATATTATTATAGTACATGACTCCTCAGTTAAAAACACTAAAAAGCCTCCTCATTAAGTCCTCACAATGACTCTGTGAGGTGTGTCCAGGCATTTACATTTTCAGATAAGGAAAATAAGGCTTAGAGAGTTTAAATTACTCGACCCAGGTCACAGAACTGCAGAGATTCCAACTCAACTCTACCTGATCCTGAGGCTCACACCACAGAGCATCACACTAAACTGCTTCAGGTAAACTGTTTGTTTCTTCTGAGAATATTATATTACCAATTTAACTGTACTCAAAATAACCTGTACTGGCAAGTGACTCAAGCATGTGAGTGGTGGGGACATGAAAGTGGTTATCTGACGCTAGCTAGTAGCACTGCTCTAGCTTCCCGTCTTCCCAGTGTCACTGAGACTGGTTGTTTCCTGGAGGAGAGAATATTGGAATTACAAGGTACATGCTGCTTAGCTGTCACACTTGAAAAATCTAAGACTGACTCTCTGCATCTTAGAGTCCTTGAGAGTTTCAAGTTTGTAGGAAACACTCAAAGATGATACTGTTGGTTTGCTTTAGTGGAGCTACAACTTCTGTTTAACAAGGAAGTTCTGAAACTTCATATCTTAGAGAAAATACAAAACAACAATTGCTAGCCACATTTTCCCCAACCTACTATCAGGACATCAATAGTACGGAACTCATGGCAAGCATGTGGCCAGACTGACTGCTTTATGCATCAGAGGATGGATACCCCATTCTCCATGATGTACTTCCTTCCCATTGCATGCCTGTATCAAAACACTTCATGTACCCCATAAAAATATACACCTACTACGTACCCACAAAAAATTTTAAAAATTTTAAAAAATAAAATAAAACTGACTATTTTAGCCTATGATTTCTCAAAATGAAAAGTATCTCATATTCAAAATAACACCAAATGGGAGTTTATATTACAGACTAGGAAGAAAAATACCTTCTTCTTGTTGGCAAAAGTCTCATGGTATTTTTGTGATGCAAATAAAAATCTGTTGGGAGCTCCCAGAGATGAGGTTTCCCTTCAGTGGGATGGAAAACTCCCAGGAAGAGATTAATGGAATCTTGTCTATCGGCATCTAAAAAGCAAAATATATATTTCAGAAAATCCATTACTGATGGATATATAACTCAAGAGAATATTTTCTTAGGAGGATAGTGGTACAAAAGTAGTATTTATAGTTCAAATACATACAAATACAAATACTTCATACACACACACATAAGTTACCAAGATTTGGAGCAGAATTAAAATCTTGCTTCAAAATGTTTCCTCTTTGTTCCATACCTCTCATAAAATATACAGATGATAGCGAACATAAACTGCTTGTTGAATTTGGAGACACTTAAACATCTTTAAGAACTCAGATAGTAAATACCTTAGATAGCAATTTTATTTTTAAAATGAAAATATATCCTCACCATTTGTTATTTTACCTGAAGTAAATGTATCTTCACTTTATTGCAAAGACAAGCAGAGACTTCAGAGACAAATAAAATGACCCAATTTCTATCCATATTCTGTTGCACAACCTTGAACAAGTCAGTTGCATTGTCTCCACTTTTAATCCTTGAAAAGATACTCTCCCTTTCTTTAACAGAGACAATGTTTACAACACATTTTGTCCCTGTCAGCTGTGAGCCTGGCCCATTCTCTTTTGTGGTTGAAAATGAAGGCAAAGAAGGCACATGGTAACAGCCTCATTCTAACTATTCAAGCATTCCAAAATTACCTTTTAAACTATACTATGAAGTAACAAAACTGACTCTGTGTATGTTTTACTTCCTCTTCCTTTTCCTAATTATCTTTTGGTAACAATGATAATATGCACTGAAGTGGTCTCATGAACCACCCATCCCATTCTACATTCTCCTCCCTAGTGTCCTTCGTTCTTTCTCCTCGTTTCCTTCTTTCCATTCTTGTCTCAGAGCCCTGTATATTGAAGTTTGTGGCAGACATCCACAATATAAATAATAACCTCTTTCCAAAAATGAGCATAGAACTAAAAAGATAGCACAGTAGAAATGACTGCATTTGGAACAAGGTAACATTATTATAAAATCAATTTTCTTCCAACAGTTATAGCGAACAAGATATACCTGAAATTAGCAACACTGTTCTCATTGGGTTATTTGGTCATTACAGCAAAACTAAATGAATGAAATACGAAATACGGTACATCAAACATGTATTTCAGATATTAGACAGGAAGCATCCCATTAAAACAGCACTTACCTTTCGGGCTAAAAGTAATATATAAAAAGGGACATGTTTATATGCTGAGCACATTTGGGGACTTTCTTTGCACTTGTTGAGAGAAAACATCAAGCATTAAATAATGCATACATTACTGCCCCAATTTGTACCCTCTTTACATAATACAAAAGTAAACATGATGCTCTTATGGCAATTACATTCTTTCTGCTTCTTAAATAGCCTTAATAGCACTTAATAGTTCATTCTACGTAGTACCTCAAAATATCTTAATATAATCTAGAGAAGCTTTGCACTTTTCAGCCACATTTTCTAGGAGTTTCTTTCATCCTTTAACAGCAGTTACCTTTAATTTTTAGCAAGTATGGTAAAATGTAAGATGTGAGAAACATAGCCAAAAAAAGAATATTCTTTCAAAGGATCATAAAGAAGCCTTTTTGGAAGTACTGCTGCTGCAACTGAAAATACATGTATGATGTTTACGGTCACTTACTAAGCTTGAGATATAAGGCCAGCCCTAATGAGCCCAAGGATCTTCTCCTGGCTACTTCTGACTGCAAATAAAACAATCACCTCCAGGAAGATGGTGGTACTCTGGATATGAACAAGGGTTTAAAACTGGTAGGCTCTCTGTGGTTGTGGATAACAAGAGGGCGAAATGATTAGCCACTTTTATGTTTAATTGTGCTTGAAGGGAAGAAAGAATATGCACCAAATACCATTCAAACAGGTTAAACATTAGCCAATTTTACTACTGACTACATTTAAATAGATCAGGTTTAAATATAACAATTCTTTTTAATTAGAGAAAAAAATTCATTTTTGAACTGAAATAGCTCTTATTCTAATATTAAGTTTATGATACAGTGTCCTCTGAAATCAGCAATGAAAGGAAGTATTATTCAATAAACAGTACAATAGTATTGGGGTGGGGGTGGAAGGGACAATGATGTTAGACCCCTACCTCACATCAGACATTGAAATAAATACCAACTAAATGTAGGAAAGACACAGATTAACCCCTAATAGAAAAACAGGTACACACAATTTTCAAAAGAAACAGAAACAGCCAATGGATATATAAAAATCCAACTTCGCTAGTTATCAAATACTGCAAATTAGAACAACATACCATTTTCTGTCTGTTAAGTTGGCAAATACATTTCAAAATAGGCACTCCCATACTCTGCCAAGGGGAACATTAACTGTTTACATCCTTTCTGAAAGGCAATTTGGCAAATATATATCTATATAATATATATAGATAGATATTTTAAGCCCTAAAAATTATTTTTACCCTCTGACCTAATAAATTTGCTTCTGAACTTTTCATAAGATCAAAATATGCAAAAAGGTATATGTTCAAAGATGTTTGTTTAGAACAACTCTAAATGCACAAAGCAAATAACTAAATTATGATGCTTCTCAAAGATAGAGTACCATAGGGCTACTAAAAATCATGTTATAGAAGAATATTTAAGGTTATAAAGATTCATTACATTATCTAAAAGAGCAAAAGCATATTATAAATTACAGGTATAGTAAAACCAGAAGGATCATGTTCCCCTAAATATACAAGTGGCTATCTCTGGAAGGTGGGGATCATATGATTTATTTGTGAGCCATTCTGTACTTTGTATAATTAACATATATACTTTAGTAGTTGAAAAAAATGGCCAGGCATGGAGGCTCATGCCTGTAATCCCAGCACTTTGGGAGGCCTAGGCAGGCAGATCGCTTGAGCTCACAAGATTGAGACCAGCCTGGGGAACACAGGGAGATTCTGTCTCTACAAAAATAATAAAAAATATGAGCTGGGCATGGTGGCACACGCCTATAGTCCCAGCTACTTGGAAGGCTGGAAAGAGGGAGGATCACTTGAGCCCAGGAGTTAGGAACCAGCCTGGGCAACATAGGGAGACCCTATCTCTACAGAAAAAATAAATAAATAAATAAATAAAAATTAGACGAGTGTGGTCCCAGCTACTCAGGAGGCTGAGGTGGGAAAATCACTTGAGTCTGGGAAGTCAAGGCTGCAGTAAGCTGTGATAGCACCACTGCACTCCAATCTGGGTGGCAGGGTAAGACTTCACTCAAACAAACAAACAACAAGAATAGCAAACCCCTGCAGCCATCCAGATAACAGTGGATGGCCGTGGCTGTGTGGACTAGCGTGTCAGAAGTAGGGATGAAACACAGAAGATATTATTTTGGAGGTATAACCAACAAGATTTGTTGACAGATGGGATTGGGGAACAGTGATGAGGAAAAGAAATAATGCAGGGAGAATTCCTAGGTTTTCTGAATTGATCAATGGGTATTGAAGTAGAAAAAACAAGTAGAGAAACGGACTTGAGACAGAGTCAAGAGTTTCTGTCTCAGAAATGGTAAGTTTGTGATTTTGTTAGATTTCTGTGGTAGGAAGAAATTTGGCCCCCAAGACCTTTGCTCCCTAGTATCATACCATGAATATTTTCTACTACATGGTAAAAAGGACTTTGCAGATGTAATTAAGGTTACTCATCATCAACTGCAAGATAGAAAAATCCTAAATCATCTGGTTGGGTCCACTGTAATCACATTAATCCTTTAGAGGCTGAAGAGGAAGGCAGGAGGGGAAGGCAGAGAGATTTGAAGCACAAGATGTATTTGGTGCACTGTGGTAGGCTTTAAAATAGAGCAGGCCACAAGCCAAGAAATGCAGCAGCCTCTAGGAACTGACAGTGGCCCCCAGCCAACTGCCAGCAAGGACATGGGACATCAGTCCAATAGCTGCATGGAATTCTGCCAACAATGAGAATGAGCCAGGAAGCCTCCAGGTAAAAGCCCAGGTCAGCTGACATTTTGACTTCATTTTAACGTCATGTGACATCATTTTTACTCTAGTCTTGTGAGAACCTAAGCAGAGAATACAGCTCAGTAATGCTGTGTCCATAGACTTCTGATCCTCAGAAACTCTAAGATAATGGGTATTGTTTTAAACCACTGAGTTTGTAGTAATTTGTCATGGCAATGATAAAAAACTAATTCAATGGCCAGGCATGGTGGCTCACACCTGTAATCCTAACACTTTGGGAGGCTGAGGCGGGCAGATCACCTGAGGTCGGGAGTTCAAGACCAGCCTGACCAACATGGAGAAACCCTGTCTCTACTAAAAATAAAAATCAGCCAGGTGGTGGCACATGCTTGTAATGCCAGCTACTCGGAAGGCTGAGGCAGGGGAGTCTCTTGAACCCAGGAAGCAGAGGTTGTGGTGAGCCGAGATTGCGCCATTGCACTCCAGTCTGGGCAACGAGAGCAAAACTCCATCTCAAAAAACAAAAAACAAAAAAACTAATTCAATATCCCAGCAGAGATGCTAGGTAGACATTTAGATAAATGAGTCTGGAGTTCATGAGAAGTTAAAGTTAGAGCTAAAAATCTGAGTGTCAAATGCATGGTAGTCAAAAGCTGAATGTGATATCCCTAGGACAAAACTGGAAAAAGAGAAAGGTTTAGAAACACAGCAGGGGAAGTCAATAGGAGACTGAGACTCTCTCCTATTGACAGAGATCTCAATATCCCACTGAGAGATCTCACAAAGTGAAGTTTAAGAAAGAGGAAGTGGTCAACTGTGATGAAAGTTGTTGAAAGGTTGAGTAAGATGGAGTCAGAAGAGTAAACATTAGATTTGGCAATGTGGGAATTGTTGGTAACCTGGACAAGTACAGTTTCGGTGTCATGGCAGGGCAGTTGCCAAGTGGAGCAGGTAGAGAGAACACAGTGGAGACAACCCTTTCAAGAGGTTTTGCTCATGAGAGCAGAAAAATAGGACTGTGGCTGGAGGGGCATGTGGGATTAGGAATAGCTGGAAAGGGTGGATGGAAAATGCTAAGGTATGCTTTTATGTTAATGGCAATGATGCATTAGAGACAGAGAAACTGATGATGTACAGCAACAAGCATATAGTTAGGGAACACAAGAAGGCATGGGATTCAAAGAAAAAGGCAAGGTTTCACTTAAGATGGAGCAGGGCCACCACAAGCATTGTAATACAATATAGGGTAGAAACTATGGGTGCAGAAAAGGACGCCCTCTGCATTTGATGGGAGAATTAGAGGAAGTCCTGGCTAACATGGTGAAACCCCGTCTCTACTAAAAATACAAAAAATTAGCCGGGCGCGGTGGCAGGCACCTGTAGTCCCAGCTACTCGGGAGGCTGAGGCAGGGGAATGGCATGAACCCAGGAGGCGGAGCTTGCAGTGAGCCGAGATAGTGCCACTGCACTCCAGCCTGGGCCACAGAGCGAGACTCTGTCTCAAAAAAAAAAAAAAAAAAAAAAAAAGAATTAGAGGAAGTTCCCTTTCAATAACTTATTTTCTCACTGAAGCACGAAGCAAGGTCATCAGATGAGACTGAGGTGTTGTAGTTTTAAGGAGAGAGGACAAGTTATGAAATAGTCATTTTGGAGAGGGGAAGAATGAACTTACTATGGAAATGTCACAGGACAGTCCGTTGTCCTTTGGAGAACTGTAGTCTGTTTAAGAGTAATAAATTACAAACTTTTCTCTTGCCATGTACAACTGCTTTGGTTGCAGAAGAGGTGAAGAGTTGGGCTTTAACAAAAGTTACCAAGGGTATTAAAACAAACGTTATTAAAACAAAACATTTTTCCAACTGTTTTATTTCTGCTATTGCCAAATACAGCTTATTCACTCACAATCTGCTGTTTGAAGGATAACCTCAGAAGGCTATCTCACTATTCTTGATAAATTAAAATGTTCTCAGCATGTTCCCTTTGATGTCCCTCTTTCAGCAGTGAGCAGAAAGGGGAAGAAACTGCTGGCAGTCCTTTAGAGTACTATCATAATGCCAGGTGAAGCCACCTCAGCACCATCTTCTGGGATCACTGTCTTCCACACGTGATAAGCTTTGAAACCCTGACCCTGTGATATCGTTTGGATATTTGTCTCTGCCGAACTCTGGTGTTGAAATGTAATCCACAATTTTGGAGATGGAGTCTGGCGGAAGGTGTTTGGGTTGATGCACTCCTTGCGATAGTGAGTTCTCAAGAGATCTGGTTGTTTAAAAGTGTGTGGCACCTCCTTCCCCTCACCCCTTGCCATGTGAGACACCTGCTCCCCCTTCTTCTGCCAGGATTAAAAGTTCCCTGAGGCCCCACCTAGAAACTGAGAAGATAATGGCACGATGTTTCCTGTACAACCTGCAAAATCATGGGCCAATTCAACCTCTCTTCTTTATGAAATTACTCAGTCTCAGGTATTTCTTTATAGCAACGCAAAAACAACCTAACACACCTTGGGAGCTTTTCTCTTTAGATCCCTGTTGAGAACATGATTCCCCTCCATGCATGCATACACACATTCACTACATTCAAATTATGCACACGCATGTGGGTGTACATATTTATGTTAGGCATATATATACACACACACACACGTATATACAGCAGATCTATTATTAACTGCTGTAGGTTTCTTATCTTTTTTTTATAATAGGATTTAAATTCAACAAGCTCCAGCAAGAAAATCCAGGCTTAAAAATTTGCATTTAAAAAAAAATAGAAAGAGCTTAGCAAGGCCCTTAAGGGAATTAAAAGCTCTCCCTAACATCTGAAGAGATACCTATGCTTTCCCTGTAAAGCATCCTCCAACTCCCTATGTAACTAGTTATATTAAAAACTAAAAGGTGCTTCCTAGACCAACATGCATGCTAGCATGTGAAGCCTCAAGAACAGTTTTTAAAATGAATAGAAAAAAGGGTCAGGTGAGTTGACCCCATAGCATCAGTCCATCCACATAAACCAAGGGTAAAATTCCTAACAACCTAATTTCACTATTCTGGTTGCTTTTGTTTGCTTGTTTTTTGAGAGACAGTCTCACTCTGTCACCCAGGCTAGAGTACAATGGAATGATCATAGTTCACTGCAGCCTCGAACTCCTGGGCTCAGGGGATCCTGTGCCCTTAGGCTCTCACATAGCTGGGACTACAGGTGTGCACTACCATGCCTGGTTAATTTTTGTATTTGTTGTAGAGATGGGATCTCACTATGTTGCCCAGGCTGGTCTCAAACTCCTGGGCCAAGCAGCCCTCCTGTCTTGGTCTCCCAAAGTGCAGGATTACAAGTGTGAGCCACTGTGCCCAGCGCTTTTTTTTTTTTTTAATCTAGTTTATCAGTATGTTCCTGCCTAGCCCAGAGGCATAACATGAAAAGATTGATTAAGTTTTGCAAAGTTGTCTTGAGTGGTTTAAAGAAAATTCTTCTATATTGCCACCATTATATAATACCCATTGTAATTTAAAAATAAGTTGTACACCCCAATGATATCATGCTTCTTAAAATAAAGAAGCCTGTTTTAGCCACATTATTCATAAAATCATTCCTTTCACGGTAGTTCCTCTTTCAGTTGTGCATAATTTTGCCTTACCTTTCCATTTGTGCACATCATTTTCTCAGAATATCTTTATCTTTTATATTACTCCTTTCTTTTTTAAACATGGACAGCTACACAGTCATTCTGTCCGTCCTCTAGTCTTATTAAAAAGCACATTACACTCCGGAGGCTGAGGCAGGAGAATCGCTTGAACCCGGGAGGCGGAGTTTGCAGTGAGCCGAGTTTGAGCCACTGCACTCCAGCCTGTAGACAGAGCGAGACTCCCTCTCAAAAAAAAAAAAAAGCACATTACTTGATCCTTAAGTGTCAATAATGACCCCTATTACAGGGACAACGACCACAGGAGAGGGCAAAAGAACAGATGCCCTTTTTCATGGTGATATACACCCTGAGGGATATGTACGTATTAGCACATGACAGAAGTAGCCGATGAGGATTCTCCTCTCTGGGTTTTCAGAGGGAGCATGGCCCTGTCAACACTTAGATTTCAGACTCCTAGCCTCCCGAACTGCAAGAAAATACATTTCTATTGTTTTGAGCCACCGGTTTGTGCTGTTTTGATACAGCAGCCCTAGGAAATGGATGTGGATTTCCCCCGTGTTTGTGGGCAGGGGCACCTATGATTTGCTCCTGACCAAAGAAATATGGCAAAGATGACGGGATGTCACTCCCATTATTACATTACATTTGTAAGACTCAGTCTTGCCAGCACACTCATCCTATTGTCAGCTGTGAAGAAGCACGCTGCTATGAGTCCTACAGCCACAAGGAACTGAATTCTGCCAGCACGTGGGCTGGGAAGTGGTTCTTTCTCAATGGCAGCCTTGAGAGACCCTAAGCAGGGGACCCAGTTAAGTTGTGCATAAATTTCTGATGCACAGAAATTGTGAGATAATGCATGTGTACTGTTTTAAGCTGCTACATTTACAGTCATTTGTTACACAGCGCAGAAAACTAATACAGTTGGACAGGAGCATAACAGACCAGCTTTGCAAACTCTCTGGGCCTAGAAAATGTGGACAGCTGACTCTGATGGATGCTTTCCCAGATGCTTCTGAAGCTGCCAGCACTGGGGACTCTCTTACAATTCCCTTTTATCAGGCAGTTTCTTATAATTCCTTCCTTGGCTCCTTAGGTATCCAGTGTTTACCTCCTGGATCTTGCTGCTAAGGTCTCTCTGTCCTTCCAGGGGCCTTACTGGCCAGGACCCAGGCCAACCCCATGCTGGCACCCTCCTCCACGAGGCCCACATCCGGTTACCAGTCAACACTCAAGTATCCTTTGGCCCACCCAACTGGAGGAATGCAGACAATTCCCAATGTGGCACACTCTCCTCAGCCCATCCCTCTGCTTCAGATCTGCTGTGCAACAGTCCAAGGCCTACATGCTGCGTCTCTTCAACAGCAGGATACCATGTCAAGCTCACCCAGAGTCCTGTTGAAGCCCACTCTCTTTTCACTGAGGGTGGGTGTTATTGCAGGCAATAGTTCACTCCTAAGGACCTTTTTTTTTTCTTTCCGAGATGGAGTCTTGCTCTGTCGCCCAGGCTGGAGTGCAGTGGCGCGATCTCGGCTCGCTGCAAGCTCTGCCTCCGGAGTTCACACCATTCTCCAGCCTCAGCCTCCCGCGTAGCTGGGACTACAGGCCCCCATCACCACGCCTGGCTAATTTTTGTAATTTTTTTAGTAGAGACGGGGTTTCACCATGTTAGCCAGGACGGTCTTGATCTCCTGACCTCGTGATCCGCCCACCTCGGCCTCCCAAAGTGCTGGGATTACAGGCATGAGCCACCACGCCCAGCCCCAAGGACCTCTTTACTAATCTTCTCCATATTATGTAAACTTTTCTATCCTTAATCTGGTACAAGAGCTGAAGACTCATGAAATCAATCACTGAGCACTTCCTTCATAAATTCTGTGCATGGGGGTTTGTCTCACAATCACTTTGGTCTGTGATACCTATTGTATTGGCAATTCCATCAGAATGGAGGCAGGAAAAGCACCATTTCAACACCCTGTTACATGTAGTATTCACAAGTCATAAAACAGTAGAATTTAATGAGTATAATTTAGTGCTAATATCACAATTTGTTTCTAGTTGACATTTTAAAAATTCAGTGATATTTACATTCTTAGACAATTGTCGAGACTTTGAACCCTATTTAAAAAAATGACTCAACACCCTCAAAAAATTTTATCTATATACTGCAAGCAGAAAAATAGAAAGAGACAGAAGCCAAGGAATTAAAGTGTGTTGCATTATATAAAAACTCTAATTATGGGTGCCAAAATGCAAAAGTGTCCTATTTAAAATACAAATGTTTATTCATTCATTTATTGGACAAATATTTACTGAGCACCTTCTAAGTGACAGACTGTTTTATTTAAACTTTTAAAATATTAAATTTTAATTTCACTTAGCCAGATAGCTTTAAAAGACATACAAAAAATGCACTTCAGAGTAAGTCTTAAAAATAGCTATTACTTCAGAATTACCTGAAAAAGCATTGCTGTAATATCTAGACAGGGTTTGCATGATGTCTTTGGAGTGCTGGGTCCATGGTGCTATCTTTCTGTAGGTTTTCACACGATGAACAAGTTGAGAACCACCATACTGAAGGGATAGGGTATCACCATGATCTTCATAGAGTTCCTCAAATAACCTAAAAAAAGAAAAACCCGATTAAAGAATTTCACCAAAATCAAAGCACAAGTTATTCACTTAGCCAAACTCCAAACAAGTCTTATACTTTAAAAATTCTTCTGAGCCTTTCAAGTTAGATTCTTCAATATCTTGCAAATAAATGCAAACGCTAATATATTTTAGAGTGATATTCCAGTAAACACCAAAGCCATAGAAAACACTAAAATGGAAGCAGGGGCACCAAAAACATGGCCCACCAAAGCCAGACCAGGTTGTTTCTAACCACACTTAAAGACTCCTAACTTTCTGCAGCCTGCCAGAGCAATTCACTTCCCATAACGGAATGTACTGTGCTCTCTGAATTGCCTCTGAAAAAAGAATATGCTCCTGTCACGGTGTCAGTCCATTCGAGCTGCTGCAACAAGACACCATAAACTGGGTGGCTTATAAACAGCAAACATTTCTCACATTTCTGGAGGCTGGGAAGTACAAGATCAAGGAGCTGGTAGATGTAGTGTCTGGTGAGGGCCCATTTCCTAGATCACAGATGGTCTTCTCACTGTGTCCTCACATGATGGAAGGGGCTAGCTAGCTCTCTTCAGTCTTTTATAATAAGGACACTAATCCCAGTCATGACGGTTCCTCTCAGCTCTACTCATTTTCCAAAGGTCCCACCTCCTAATACCAACCATTTGGGGGTTAGGGTTTCAACGTATGAACTTAGGGAAGACACAAACATTCAGATCACAGCAGACTAAGAAACCATATTCTTTCTTAGATATGTACTTTTGAAACCTGTGTTTCTTCAAGTGTCTGTTAATATTTCCAGTGCAGTGATATCTGTTGGTGTGGCCATTTGTAAACTGATTACTTTCCTCAGCTGAGCCTTTATGACAATTTCCGATGACCAGTATCAGCTATCATTAATTGTATTTTCAAAAAAATAATACTTCATGGACTGTCATAGATCCAATAGACAGTGAAGAAATAGTAATCCTTAATGAAAAATCAATCTTTTATACATCTTAGATTTTTAGTATGTATGAAGACACAGTACTCTTTTTTAAAATGCCATCTGGATTTGTTTTAAAACAATGCCCACTAGTTTGTCTAAGTACTTTGGATTTATCTAAAGAATGTGGTGTTTATTCATAATTAACACAAGCAAAAACAACAACAACAACAGAAGAAAAACCCAAAGCCCAAACCATGGCAAGAATACACAAATTTTTAATAGAAATATTTATTCTAAGACACCAAGAACATCCACTGGGGAAAGGACACCCTCTTCAACAAATGGGTGCTGGGAAAATTGGATATTCATATGCTGAAGAATGAAACTGAACCCGTCTCTTAACGTATACAAAAACCAACTCAAGACAGATTAAAGACTTAAACATAAGACCAAAAACTATAAAACTACTAGAAGAAAATATAAGAAAAACAGAACGAGTTTGAATAATGTTTTCTAGCAACATAATTTTTGAGAAGCTAAAAGTAGAAACGCTTTCATAAAAAAATCTTATTAGTAACCAGGTTTGCCTTCTGCCATTATCAGCATTCAAATAGCAAAAAATAAGACTTACCTAACTGCATCTGTATCAAACTGTAGATTAGGTTTGTCAATCAGTCCCAGTGAATACAGCTGATAGGCCAGAGCACATTTTCCCACCATAAACTGTGCTGTGTTGGTGCGATCTAAACAGTCCACACAGTTGGTTCGAAGGATGCCAGTCTAAAGAGAAATACCTTAAGATTTTCAATCATTATTCCATCACCAAAGAACTTCCATACTACTTTAGATTTCTTTAAGAAACAAAAACAAAAACAAAAACAAAAACAAAAACAAAAAAAGTCTGTGGGCAGGTATTATTCCTGAACAAATATTATTCAGTTTTATGTAAAGTCAAAATAATAAAGAACATGTTTAAAGTTGCATAAGGTTATACATTGCTGTAACAGCACCGTTAAATCTTCTGGTCTATATTTGAATTTACTTTGTTAGTTTAACAAAATAAAACAAATAGCTGACAATTTGCTAATTTACCAGTTAGCAAAATATGGGCTTTTTTCTGACCTATCTCCTTATTATACAGTGTAAATATTCAGTGGTTAGGGCCATATCATTCTTAAAGCATAGTTAACATATATAGTATATACACTTGGCGTCTTTTCCAAAGTCACTCTAACTTATTCTTTTCATGTTCTTGTTTGTGTTTCTATTTCCAGTAATAACATTTAATATATAGAAAAATTCCATAGGACATATTATTTCAGCTACACATTTTTCTTTTTTTTTTTTTTCTTTCTGAGACAGAGTCTTGCTCTGTCACCCAGGCTGGAGTGCAGTGGCATGATCTCGCCTCACTGCAACCTCCGCCTCCCAGATTCAAGCGATTCTCCTGCCTCAGACTCCCAAGTAGCTGGGACTAGAGGTGCATGCCACCAAGCCCGGATAATTTTTTGTATTTTTAGTAGAGACAGGGTTTCACCATGTTAGCCAGGATGGTCTCGATCTCCTGATCTCATGATCTGCCCACTCCGGCCTCCCAAAGTGTTGGGATTACAAGCATGAGCCACCGCGCCCAGCCAGCTACACATTTTTCATAAGCATTAAAGACTAGAAGTAAGGCTTTTAACAATCATTCTCAAATAATAATTCTGCATTAAATAAGATACAGGTCTTTCCATGATTGCTTACAGAAAACATACAGTACACAATGGATACAGATTCTATTCATTACGAATTGTAATACTGTGTATACCTGCAGGCGACCAGTGGGAATCACACATCCTCCTAGTTCATTCCACCTGTGTTTAAAAATAAACACTTTTAAAAAACTTAATGGCAGAATACATATTTATTTTCAGTACCAGATCCTTGTTAAGAATCATAGAATTAAAGTAATAGAGCTGAAGGCTCCTGAAAAATCAGCTGATCCTGCCTACTCTCATTCTTTCAGGTAAGTGAACATGCAAATGACTGAGGCAGACTGCTTACCACACTCTCCTCAAAGACAGTCCAGGAAAGGGGCATTTTAATTTGCCTGAGTGTCCACTCTGGCATTTTGTTACCCATGCTCAACCAAAATCTCCCTTGCTTTCATTCAAACCCAATTCCTGTTTGGTCTCTATACACATGAATAATAATTGTAGGGCATCTTTCTAATAAAATCTTCCAAGCCTTAGCCTTCCCAACTCAACATTAGGATTCTCTACCTCCCCCAGCTTTTATTCATAGAGGCTTTGTTATATTTCTTTGGTTGGTTTTGTAGATTTCCTTTTAGAGACTACTTATTTTCTCCATGTGCAATGAATACATAGGAATATGTTTTGTTATGAAATACTATAGATGATGTTAATATTTTAATTATTTAAAAGAAGGTGCTGTGCAGAAAAGAGTTAACCTAACAGGCCTAACTGCTATCCTTAGAAAGTCCTGCTTATAAGGTTGGCCCTTGGCCAATGTCTGGCAACTTAAATTTCAGGAGGGTTTCCACCATTCCCAGAACTGATAAGAGTGACTAACTGTGCTGAAATGGTTTGTAGAAATAATATGGTTTTTCCTGAATACCTTCTTTCCCTCTGGAAGTCAAGAATTTTGGTATATGTCAGGCAGAGGCTGCCTATGTGACCAGCCTCCAGTAAAAAAACAGAGTCTCCAACATGCTTCCTTGGCTGGCAACATTTCACCCATGCTTCACAATCTGTTTCTTGGGGAATTAAGTGTGTTCTATGCAACTCCACTGAGGAGAAGACTCTGGAAGCTTGTGCCTGGTTTCCTCTGGACTTTGCCCCTTTTGCCTTTTCCCTTTGTTAATGTCACTTTATATCCTTTCACCATAATAAATTATAGCCAGAATACAATAGGCGGAGTCCTTTCAGTTCTCCTAGTGAATCACTGAAATCTGGGACTAGTCTTGGGGGACCCCTGTCATGGGTACCCTAAAATTCAAATAAACAAGTGCAAACAATGCAAACTATAACAAAGGGATTACTTCCAAAGACATATACACTAGTAGTTAGTTCTTTTTTATTGTCTTATGATTGTAGTTAACTACATTAACTGAAAATAAAATGCCATAAATACATAGTATTGGTTTCTTAAAAGATAAAGCATAAATCCTTGATCTGAAGAAGCTCCCAAAATAGTAATAAAAGATTTGTGAGCGAATAACTATAATACAATACTATTTTTATAAAAATGTTAGTATGTAATCTATAAGAAAAAAATGTCTGTTTCTATTCAATACTGAAAAATAGTTCACTGTTGAAAATTTTACTTACAGAAATATTTTATGTAACATTTGTTCTATGAAGCAAGAGATGCAGATCCCATGGCTTACATCTCAAGGTATGTAGGTAACCACCAAAGGAATTCCCATGCCCCAGTGAACATTCAGCACTCAGTCATGTGAGCAGTGTGCCTCCCCCCAGGACTAAATTCATCCAATTTCCAAGTAGTACAAACTGCTGTATTTAGAATACCCATAAGAGCAAAAATCATCATTTATTATAAGTTTTAAAATACCATACATACTTTTCATCTGGCCGCAAAATGCTACAGTAAGAATCAGGGCGGTTTACAAAGAAACCTGTTTTCTTCACCACACTTTCTGCAATCACATTTAGTCGATCAAGAACATTACACAGCTTGCTGAGGAGAGAAGGAAGAATGAGAAAAGTGAGAAGCCAAGTTTTAATATATATTTATCCTTATATCTAAAGCCAGTAAAGTCTATAGCAATGATACTTAAAGATGTAATTTTTAAAATCTCTTGGCTGGTACTTGATAGAAACATGTAACAATGTCTAGAATATAATGTGTACTCAGTAACCAGCAACATTTGATGTGAAAGAGACACAAAAGACCTGCAACTTAATATCAAATATTGGTGATCCTTAATCTTGGCATATAACATCCCTGCCTGAGCTTTCTCCAAAGCCTTTCACTCCTCAAGAGTTGTCAAGTCAATATACATTCATAAAACGGCTGTGAAAAGAGCACCACGCACAGTGCAGGTGGCAGAGCAGAAAAAACTGCAAAATAATATGAATGGCAGCTGGGTGCAGTGGCTCACGCCTGTAATCCCAGCACTTTGGGAGGCCAATGCGGGCGGATCACTTAAGGTCAGGAGTTCGAGACCAGACTGGCCAACATGGTGAAACCCCATCTCCACTAAAAATATAAAAAATTAGCCGGGCGTGGTGGAGGGTGCCTGTAGTCCCAGCTACTTGGATGGCTAAGGCAGGAGAATGGCGTGAACCCGGGAGGTGGAGTTTGCAGTGAGCCGAGATTGCGCCACTGCACTCCAGCCTGGGCAACAGAGTGAGGCTCCATCTCAAAAAACAAAAACAGAAACAAAAACAACAACAACAACAACAAAAAATTAGCCAGGCACGGTGGTGCATGACTGCAGTCCCAGCTACTCAGGAGGCTGAGACAGGAGAATCGCTTGAACCCGGGCGGCAGAGTCTGCAATAAGCTGAGATCGTACCACTGCACTCAAGCCTGGGCAACAGAGCAAGACTATGTTTGAAAAATGATAATTAAAAAAATAATATGAATGGCAATAACTTGTAAACAAACTTATACTCTGAGAAAGTGTGTGTGTATCTAACTGTATAAAATGACTCAGAAAAAAGTACAATAAGTACAAAACGATATAGTAACATCTTAAAAAATAAGACCTTAAGTAAACCTACAGCTTGTATGATTCTGTAGTAAGTGAACAAAAAGACAATGCAAGATTTAACAAAAGTAAGTTCCTTAGAAGAGATGAGTTTTGAATCAGATCTTGAAAGACAAAAGAGAGGTGGGAAAGCATCCCAGGGAGGGTGAAGAAGAGGAATGGAGGCTTAGGATGGGACTTTGGCTGCCACATTTGTGGCAGAGCATGAAAATTCAGTTTTCTGGAAGAGAACAGCCCTTGGGATAAATAAAAAGTGGTCACATTCTGAAGCCAACCAGATGACGAGCCTTTGACATTACACTAAGGAGTTTGGATCTACTATATACAGTCAGGAATTATCACAGGTTCATCCACGAGTGACATCTGAGAAAGTGTTTAAATAGTGAGACAGAATGATATAGAAAAAAGCAAAACTAATGCCTTTAAGGAACAGTTGTAGAGATGTTCTGAAATGACTAAATATTTCAAACAATTTGCAAATGGTATATATGATAGGCAAAAAGAAAAAAAAATGTTTGGTTAGTTTCTTGATGCACTCAAAACAGCCCCTCAACAGGTTCATGAAGGAAATTAACAGGGTAACATTTACTTTACCACAGAGGTCAGCTTCCTGTTATTTCTCATCACAAGAAAAGGAAACGATCATAGCCAGACAGATGAGTATCATTCACCTTTTGGTATACTTGGCCATGTCCCAGGGAATATAAACAATAGTGTGCTCAGGAGGCAAAAATTGGTTGAGATAGGTCACAGCAGCAACAAGTTCTTCACTCAGAATTCTTTCATGCTTTCTTTTCTCTCGTTCCTTTATCAAAAATTAAACATTTTCAGTGTTCTAATTTCCTTAAATCAGAGGAACAGGCTCAACATGTTTACTTTTAAGCTAAGCTAAGACAAAAAAATCCAAGTCTTAAATATACTAAAATGAAACCTAGCTACAATAATCAGAAATAATAAAAACACAAAGAAATAAATGCTCCATTGTATTAAAGTGAACAGCTAATGAACTTTGAAGATTCTAGGAGATCAGGTTTCTTCCTGGTACTCTCCCTGCACCCTGAGAAACCCAGCTTACCCAACGTGGGCCATGGCCCACACACTCCACACCTGACTCTGACAGAGGAGATCCCTCCCAAGGACCAGAAGAAGGGAGCCCCCAACTTTAACCAGCTGGAGGCCAGAAAGAAATCAACTAGTCTGGATGAACAATTCCCAAACTAGCACAGCAGAAAGCAGCTTCTCAGCCTTCACAGGACTTCATAAATTAGACTTGCAAATACTCTGTGAGATAACCAAAACAGGCATTTCTTTTTCTTTTTACACTGTGGTTGAATGAATTGAGGTGGAGAGGCATTCATGGAACTAAACCTTGCCTTCTGCCTCCTTGCCTGGGGCATCTCTTTAGTTAGACACTGCACTGCCTCTCATTCAAGAGAAGCTAGTACTTTACTGTACAGTTCTGTGGTTGGAATGGTGACTCTGCCACTCACTAGCCATGTGACCTTGGGCAATGTTCTCAATTTCCCTAGGCCTCCATTTTTTCATCTATAAAATAGGGTAAAAACAGTATCTTCCTTACAACATCAATGTGAGACTTAAATGAGACAGAGCATGGTGAGTTTTTTTTCTTTTTTTTTCTTAATACTTTAAGTTATGGGATACATGTGCAGAACGTGCAAGTTTGTTACATAGGTATACACATGCCATGGTGGTTTCCTGCATCCATCAGCCCAATATCTACATTAGGTAGTTCCATCACTCTCAACGACATGAACTCATCCTTTTTTATGGCTGCATAGTATTCCATGGTATATATGTACCACATTTTCTTTATCCAGTCCATCATTGATGGGCCGTTGGGTTGGTTTCAAGTCTTTGCTATTGTGAATAGTGCTGCAATAAACATGTGTGCATGTGTCTTTATAGTAGCATGATTTATAATCCTTTGAGTATATACCCAGTAATGGGATTGCTGGGTCAAATGGCATTTCTGGTTCTAGATCCTTGAGGAATCACCACACTGTCTTCCACAATGGTTGAACTAATTTACACTCCCAACAGTGTAAAAGCGTTCCTACTTCTCCAAGTCCTCTCCAGCATCTGTTGTTTCCTGACTTAAATAATCGCCATTCTAACTGGCGTGAGATGGTATCTCATTGTGGTTTTGATTTGCATTTTTCTAATGACCAGTGATGATGAGCCTTTTTTCATATGTTTGTTGGCCACATATAAATGTGTCCTTTTGAGAAGTGTCTGTTCATATCCTTCGCCTACTTTTTGATGGGGTATTTTCTTGTAAGTTTGTTTAAGTTCCTTGTAGATTCTGGATAGTAGCCCTTTGTGAGATGGAGAGATTGCAACAATTTTCTCCCATTCTGTAGGCTGCCTGTTCACTCTGATGATAGTTTCTTTTACTGTGCAGAAGCTCTTTAGTTTAATCAGATCCTATTTGTCAATTTTGGCTTTTGTTGCCATTGCTTTTGGTGTTTTAGTCATGAAGTCTTTGCCTATGCCTATGTCCTGAATAGTATTGCCTAGGTTTTCTTCTAGGGCTTTTTTGGTTTTAGGTCTTACATTTAAGTGTTTAATCCATCTGGAGTTAATTTTTATATAAGGTGCAAGGAAAGGATCCAGTTTCTGTTTTCTGCATATGGCTAGCCAGTTTTCCCAGCACCATTTATTAAATAAGGAATCCTCTCCCCATTACTTGCTTTTGTCAAGTTTGTCAAAGATCAGATGGTTGTAGATGTGTGGTGTCATTTCTGAGGCCTCTGTTCTGTTCCATTGGTCTATGTATGTGTTTTGGTACCAGTACCATGCTGTTTTGGTTACTGTAGCCTTGTAGTATAGTCTGAAGTCAGGTAGCATGATGCCTACAGCTTTGTTCTTTTTGCTTAGGATTGTCTTGGCTATACGGGCTCTTTTTTGGTTCCATATGAAATTTAAAGTTTTTTCTAATTCTGTGAAGAAAGTCAATGGTAGCTTGATGGGGATAGCACTGAATCTATAAATTACTTTGGGCAGTATGGCCATTTTCACAATATTGATTCTTCCTATCAATGAGCATGGAATGTTTTTCCATCTGTTTGTGCCCTCTCTTATTTCACTGGGCAGTGGTTTGTAGTTCTCCTTGAAGAGGTCCTTCATATCCCTTTTAAGTTGTATTTTTAAGTTATTTTATTCTCTTTGTAGCAATTCTGAATGGGAGTTCATTCATGATTTGACTCTCTGTCTATTATTGGTGTATAGGAATGCTTGTGATTTTTGCACATTGATTTTGTATCCTGAGACTTTGCTGAAGTTGCTTATCAGCTTAAGGAGTTTTTGGGCTGAGATGATGGGGTTTTCTAAATATACAATCATGTCCTCTGCAAACAGAGATAATTTGACTTCCTCTCTTCCTATCTGAATACCCCTTATTTCTTTCTCTTGCCTGATTGTTCTGGCCAGAACTTCCCATACCATGTTGAAGAGGAGTGGTGAGAGAGGGCATCCTTGTCTTGTGTTGATTTTCAAAGGGAATGCTTCCAGCTTTTGCCCATTCAGTATGATATTGGCTGTGGGTTTGTTACAAATAGCTCTTATTATTTTGAGATATGTTCCATCAATACCTAGTTGAGAGTTTTTAGCATGAATGGGTGTTCAATTTTATTGCAGGCCTTTTCTGCATCTGCTGAGATAATCATGTAGTTTTTGTCATTGGTTCTGGTTATGTGATGGATTACGTTTATTGATTCGCATATGTTGAACCAGCCTTGCATCCCAAGGATGAAGCTGACTTGATCATAGTGGAAGAGCAAATAAATTCAAAAGCTAGCAGAAAACAAGAAATAACTAAGATCAGAGCAGAACTGAAGGAGATACAGACATGAAAAACTCTTCAAAAAATCAATGAATCCAGGAGCTGTTTGTTTGAAAAGACTAACAAAATAGACTGTTAGCCAGACTAATAAAGAAAAAAAGAGAGGGGGAGGAGCCAAGATGGCCGAATAGGAACAGCTCCGGTCTACAGCTCCCAGCGTGAGCGACGCAGAAGACGGGTGATTTCTGCATTTCCATCTGAGGAATGCAGTTCCTCACCAGCAATGGAACAAAGCTGGACGGAGAATGACTTTGACGAGTTGAGAAAGGAAAGCTTCAGACGATCAAATTACTCCAAGCTATAGGAGGAAATTCAAACCAAACACAAAGAAGTTGAAAACTTTGAAAAAAATTTAAACGAATGTATAACTAGAATAACCAATACAGAGAAGTGCTTAAAGGAGCTGATGGAGCTGAAAGCCAAGTCTTGAGAACTACGTCAAGAATGCAGAAGCCTCAGGAGACGATGTGATCAACTGGAAGAAAGGGTATCAGTGATGGAAGATGAAATGAATGAAATGAAGCGAGAAGGGAAGTTTAGAGAAAAAAGAATAAAAAGAAACGAACAAAGACTCCAAGAAATATGGGACTATGTGAAAAGACCAAATCTGCTCTGATTGGTGTACCTGAAAGTGACGGGGAGAATGGAACCAAGTTGGAAAACACTCTGCAGGATATTATCCAGGAGAACTTCCCCAATCTAGCAAGGCAGGCCAACATTCAGATTCAGGAAATACAGAGAACACCACAAAGATACTCCTCGAGAAGAGCAACTCCAAGACACATAATTGTCAGATTCACCAAAGTTGAAATGAAGGAAAAAATGTTAAGGGCAGCCAGAGAGAAAGGTCAGGTTACCCACAAAGGGAAGCCCAACAGACTAACAGTGGATCTCTTGGCAGAAACTCTACAAGCCAGAAGAGAGTGGGGGCCAATATTCAACATTCTTAAAGAAAAGAATTTTCAACCCAGAATTTCATATCCAGCCAAACTAAGCTTCATAAGTAAAGGAGAAATAAAATACTTTACAGACAAGCAAATGCTGAGAGATTTTGTCACCACCAGGCCTGCCCTAAAAGAGCTCCTGAAGGAAGCACTAAACATGGAAAGGAACAACCGGCACCAGCCGCTGCAAAATCATGTCAAAATGTAAAGACCATTGAGACTAGGAAGAAACTGCATCAACTAACGAGCAAAATAACCAACTAACATCATAATGACAGGATCAAATTCACACATAACAATATTAACGTTAAATGTAAATGGACTAAATGCTCCAATTAAAAGACACAGACTGGCAAATTGGATAAAGAGTAAAGACCCATCAGTGTGCTGTATTCAGGAGACCCATCTCATGTGCAGAGACACACATAGGCTCAAAATAAAAGGATGGAGGAAGATCTACCAAGCAAATGGAAAACAAAAAAAGGCAGGGGTTGCAATCCTAGTCTCTGATAAAACAGATTTGAAACCAACAAAGATCAAAAGAGACAAAGGAGGCCATTACATAATGGTAAGGGATCAATTCAACAAGAAGAGCTAACTATCCTAAATATATATGCACCCAATACAGGAGCACCAAGATTCATTAAGCAAGTCCTGAGTGACCTACAAAGAGACTTTGACTCCCACACAATAATAATGGGAAACTTCAACACCCCACTGTCAACATTAGACAGATCAACGTCACAGAAAGTTAACAAGGATACCCAGGAATTGAACTCAGCTCTGCACCAAGCGGACCTAAAAGACATCTACAGAACTCTCCACCCCAAATCAACAGAATATACATTTTTTTCAGCACCACACCACACCTATTCCAAAATTGACCACATAGGTGGAAGCAAAGTTCTCCTCAGCAAATGTAAAAGAACAGAAATTATAACAAGCTGTCTCTCAGACCACAGTGCAATCAAACTAGAATTCAGGATTAAGAAACTCACTCAAAACCGCTCAACTACATGGAAACTGAACAACCAGCTCCTGAATGACTACTGGGTACATAACGAAATGAAGGCAGAAATAAAGATGTTCTTTGAAACCAACGAGAACAAAGACACAACATACCAGAATCTCTGGGACACATTCAAAGCAGTGTGCAGAGTGAAATTTATAGCACTAAATGCCCACAAGAGAAAGAAGGAAAGATCCAAAATTGACACCCTAACATCACAATTAAAAGAACTAGAAAAGCAAGAGCAAACACATTCAAAAGCTAGAAGAAGGCAAGAAATAACTAAAATCAGAGCAGAACTGAAGGAAATAGAGACAAAAAAAAATCCTTCAAAAAATTAATGAATCCAGGAGCTGGTTTTTTGAAAGGATCAACAAAATTGATAGACTGCTAGCAAGACTAATAAAGAAAAAAGAAGAATCAAATAGATGCAATAAAAAACGATAAAGGAGATATCACCACCGATCCCACAGAAATACAAACTACCATCAGAGAATACTACAAACACCTCTACGCAAATAAACTAGAAAATCTAGAAGAAATGGATAAATTCCTCGACACATACACCCTCCCAAGACTAAACCAGGAAGAAGTTGAATCTCTGAATAGACCAATAACAGGATCTGAAATTGTGGCAATAATCAATAGCTTACCAACTAAAAAGAGTCCAGGACCAGATGGATTCACAGCAAAATTCTACCAGAGGTACAAGGAGGAACTGGTACCATTCCTTCTGAAACTATTCCAATCAATAGAAAAAGAGGTAATCCTCCCTAACTCATTTTATGAGGCCAGCATCATCCTGATACCAAAGCTGGGCAGAGACACAACCAAAAAAGAGAATTTTAGCCCAATATCCTTGATGAACACTGATGCAAAAATCCTCAATAAAATACTGGCAAACTGAATCCAGCAACACATCAAAAAGCTTATCCACCATGATCAAGTGGGCTTCATCCCTGGGATGCAAGGCTGGTTCAATATACACAAATCAATAAATGTAATCCAGCATATAAACAGAACCAAAGACAAAAACCACATGATTATCTCAATAGATGCAGAAAAGGCCTTTGAGAAAATTCAACAACGCTTCATGCTAAAAACTCTCAATAAATTAGGTATTGATGGGACATATCTCAAAATAATAAGAGCTATCTGTGTCAAACCCACAGCCAATATCATACTGAATGGGCAAAAACTGGAAGCATTCCCTTTGAAAACTGGCACAAGACAGGGATGCCCTCTCTCACCACTCCTATTCAACATAGTGTTGGAAGTTCTGGCTAGGGCAATCAGGCAGGAGAAGGAAATAAAGGGTATTCAATTCGGAAAAGAGGAAGTCAAATTGTCCCTGTTTGCAGATGACATGATTGTATATCTAGAAAACCCTATTGTCTCAGCTCAAAATCTCCTTAAGCTGATAAGCAACTTCAGCAAAGTCTCAGGATACAAAATCAATGTACAAAAATCACAAGCATTCTTATACACCAATAACAGACAGAGAGCCAAATCATGAGTGAACTCCCATTCACAATTGCTTCAAAGAGAATAAAATACCTAGGAATCCAACTTACAAGGGATGTGAAGGACCTCTTCAAGGAGGACTACAAACCACTGCTTAACGGAATTAAAGAGGATACAAACAAATGGAAGAACATTCCATGCTCACGGGTAGGAACAATCAATATTGTGAAAATGGCCCTATTGCCCAAGGTAATTTATAGATTCAATGCCATCCCCATCAAGCTACCAATGACTTTCTTCACAGAATTGGAAAAAACTACTTTAAAGTTCATATGGAACCAAAAAAGAGCCCGCATCACCAAGTCAATCCTAAGCCAAAAGAACAAAGCTGGAGGCATCACGCTACCTGACTTCAAACTATACTACAAGGCTACAGTAACCAAAACAGCATGGTACTGGTACCAAAACAGAGATATAGATCAATGGAACAGAACAGAGCCCTCAGAAATAACACCGCATCGTCTACGGCCATACCACCCTGAACACGCCCGATCTCGTCTGATCTCGGAAGCTAAGCAGGGTCGGGCCTGGTTAGTACTTGGATGGGAGAAATAACACCGCATATCTACAACTATCTGATCTTTGACAAATCTGACAAAAACAAGCAATGGGGAAAGGATTCCCTATTTAATAAATGGTGCTGGGAAAACTGGCTAGCCATATGTAGAAAGCTGAAAATGGATCCCTTCCTTACACCTTATACAAAAATTAATTCAAGATGGATTAAAGACTAAACATTAGACCTAAAACCATAAAAACCCTAGAAGAAAACCTAGGCATTACCATTCAGGACATAGGCATGGGCAAGGACTTCATGTCTAGAACACCAAAAGCAATGGCAACAAAAGCCAAAATTGACAAATGGGATCTAATTAAACTAAAGAGCTTCTGCACAGCAAAAGAAACTACCATCAGAGTGAACAGGCAACCTACAAAATGGGAGAAATTCTCCGCAACCTACTCATCTGACTAAGGGCTAATATCTAGAATCTACAATGAACTCAAACAAATTTACAAGAAAAAAACAAACAGCCCCATCAAAAAGTGGGAAAAGGATATGAACAGACACTTCTCAAAAGAAGACATTTATGCAGCCAACAGACACATGAAAAAATGCTCATCATCACTGGTCATCAGAGAAACGCAAATCAAAACCACAATGAGATACCATCTCACACCAGTTAGAATGGCGATCATTAAAATGTCAGGAAACAACAGGTACTGGAGAGGATGTGGAGAAATAGGAACACTTTTACACTGTTGGTGGGACTGTAAACTAGTTCAACCATTGTGGAAGTCACTGTGGCGATTCCTCAGGGATCTAGAACTAGAAATACCATTTGACCCAGCCATCCCATTACTGGGTATATACCCAAAGGACTACAAATCATGCTGCTATAAAGACACATGCACACGTATGTTTATTGTGGCACTATTCACAATAGCAAAGACTTGGAACCAACCCAAATGTCCAACAGTGATAGACTGGATTAAGAAAATGTGGCACATATACACCATGGAATACTATGCAGCCATAAAAAATGATGAATTCATGTCCTTTGTAGGGGCATGGATGAAATTGGAAATCATCATTCTCAGTAAACTATCGCAAGAACAAAAAACCAAACACCGCATGTTCTCACTCATAGGTGGGAACTGAACAATGAGAACACATGGACACAGGAAGGGGAACATCACACTCTGGGGACTGTTGTGGGGTGGGGGGAGGGGGGAGGGATAGCATTAGGAGATATACCTAATGCTAAACGACGAGTTAATGGGTGCAGCACACCAGCATGGCACATGTATACATATGTAACTAATCGGCACATTGTGCACACGTACCCTAAAACTTAAAGTATAATAATAATAAAAAAAAAGAAAAAAAATACTTAAAAAAAAAAGAAAAAAAGAGAGAAGAATCAAATAGACACAATAAAAAATGTTAAAGGGTAGATCATCACTGATCCCACAGAAATACAAAATACCACCAGAGATTACTATAAACACCTCTATGCAAATAAACTAGAAAATCTAGAAGAAATAGATAAATTCCTGCACACATACACCCTCCCAAGACTAAACCAGGAAGAGGTCAAATCCCTGAATAAACCAATAACAAGTTATGAAACTGAGGCAATAGTTAATAGGCTACAAACCAAAAAAAGCCCAGTACCAGATAGATTCACAGCCAAATTCTACCAGAGGTACAAAGAGGAGCTGGTACCATTCCTTCTGAAACTATTCCAAACAACAGAAAAAGAGGGACTCCTCCCTAACTCATTTTATGAGGCCAGCATCATCTTGATACCAAAACCTGGCAGAGACACAACAAAAAAAGAAAATTTCAGGCCAATATCCCTGATGAACATCGAGGCGAAAATCCTCAATAAAATACTGGCAAACCGAATCCAGCAGCAGAGCATGGTGAGTTTTTATAGAACAGCTGGCATATGGGAAGTAACTTATAAAAATTTGCCATTTTCATTATCACCCTGATCAAGCCTTCACTTAGAAACAAAGAAAAACAATTAATTTCACAATAGTGAGACTGAAATGGTGTTAAGGCACTATTGTTGGCATCAAAATTAGATTGTGCTGTTTTCAATCATGGAGATTACTTTTCAATTGTCATGAATTTAATGAGATAACTACTGTAGAAACAAAAAGGGGTAGCTATTGAGCACAGCTGAATACATCAAATGAAATAATTAGATAAGAATTAAGAACAGTGTTAAATCAGTTTAGGATGAAAATAAATTTTGCTTATTTATATATCGGAGAAAATTAAATTATATATCTGAAATTTTTCTCAAAAGCATTTAAAATCAACTAGGGAAACAAAATCTTTTTGAAATGCTTATATCAAATCTGACATTTCGTGGGATGGAGAGGAAATGTTGTTTGAGCAACCTTCGTATCATCTCTGTGTGAAGAATCTGCTGTATGCATTGTCTGTCCATAGTGTAATAGTGTTAGTGGGTTGTTAGTCAACCTCTTTAGAGCCACAGACCCCTAACAAGTAAAGGAAAACTACTACACAAGTGATTTTGCATAACATTTCTTTTTTCTTTTTTTATAAAGAGACAGGGTCTCACTCTGTCGCCCAGGCTGGAACGCAATGGTGCAATCATAGCTCACTGCATCCTGGAACTCCTGGACTCAAGTGATCCTCCAACTTCAGCCTCCAAGTAGCTGGGACTACAGGTGTGCATCATGCTCAACTAATTGAAAAAAAAAAATTTTGTAGAGACTGTGTCTCCTATGCTGCCCAGTCTGCTCTCAGACTCCTGGCCTCATGCAAGCCTCCCGCCTGTTTCCCAGGTCACTGGGATTATAGGCATGAGCCACCACATCCAGCTGCATATCATTTCAAAGGGTTCCAAGATCCCCCTAACAGCCATGCATGGCCCACAGATTAAAAACTTCTGATGTACAGTTATACTTGATCCTAGGTTGGCCTTCTGTTGATACAGTAGCAGCATTGAAGGCACATGGATTGCTGCAAACTGTCTTTCAACCAGTGCCTCAAACTTTCACAACTGGGAAGAAGTTCGCAACACAGGGTAAAAGAGAAATGAAATCATGAAAAGCATTTCGCTTTATTAACTTCTTCATATGGTGGTAGAATAAAGAGTGAGTATCCCCTAGGTATCATTCTATACACACATGTATTCTTTGGCTCTTTAATCACAATTAATAAGGTCTTCTACCAAGTGGCCTGAATAAACATCTTCTTTAATCCTATGAATAAAACTAGTGCTATAAACAACAAAATATTTTCCTATTCCATGAAACAGCAACTTAATCTCCAAACTATTTCTGTAGCTAACTTCTAGTCATTGTCAGGATTTTTATTGCAATAGAACAATAAACAAGTACAACTTTAAAATCCACTGACTGACCTTTAAATATTCAAAAAAATAAATGTACATGTGAGATACCTGGCAAAGAATACATTATGATCACATGTATGATAGTATTTTTTGAGTGTGCACAATTAAGAGAATTATTTCAAGCATTGTAGACATGAATCTCCATTTAATGACAGCTTTTCAACCACACTATACGAACTCTGTAAAACATGAACTTACTTTTTATTTTATTTTATTTTATTTTATTTTATTATTGAGGCAGGGTCGTGCTCTGTCTAAATCCACTAATTCAAATCTAGGTTTCTAATCCAGTAACACTTTATAATTTAACACTTTGGCAATAATTTATTTCCATACTAACAATATCTTATTTTCTATACATTTACTGGAAAACTGTCCATGAGCATTTTCACTAAAGTTTTCATATTTTAAATTTGCAATTATGTATACTACAGCTACTGTTTAATACTAGGCTGAGGTTAGAGATTATCCACCTTACATTATTCTGAGTTGATATGGAGAGAGATGTGAACATGAAACTTCTGAATTAATATGAACAAATGTCTAGAAAAATGATTATTTAATATCTGAATGATTTATTTTACAAAGTCAATCCCTAGTGGGATACAATTACAAAGAGCAACACAGGAAGAAATAAAGCTGACTGCCTCACTGTTTCACTCTTCTCCCCCAACTGCCAGTTTGGGGACATATTCCTCCATATTCTTGATTTAAAACACACACACACACACACACACACACACACACACACACACACACACACAGAGCTCCTTTGAGCCCATGCATGTAGTTATACAGTCCTCTCCTAGGAACTGTCTCTTCCCCACCCCAAGCTTTGCCTCCATCCTGGGTGATATGGTTTGGCTGTGTCCCCACTCAAATCTCATCTTGAATTGTAGCGCCCATAATTCCCACGTGTTGTGGAGGGATCTGGTGGGAGATAATTGAATCATGGGGGTGGTCTCCCCCATACCGTTCTTGTGGTAATGAATAAGTCTCACGAGAGGTGATGATTTTATAAGGGGTTTCTCTTTTCGCTTGGTTCTCATTCTCTCTTGTCTGCCGCCATGTAACACGTGTCTTTTGCTTTCCGATATGATTGTGAGGCTTCCCCAGCCACGTGGAACTGTGAGTCCATTAAACCTCTTTTTCTTTATAAATTACCCAGGCTCAGGTATGTTTTTATCAGCAGTGTGCAAACAGACTAATACACTGGCTGACTTTCAGTATCTCCACCTCCTTTTCCATTCTAAATCCCCATTCCCACTATCACATCTTACACCAATTCATTATCACAGGCTGCTCTTTCTTCAACATTTCTTATTCGTGACCTCTTTTATTTCCACACTGCTTGCTTTAAATACCCCACCTCGTGAGGACTGCAATCCACTGACATCTCCACTTTCTCCAGCAGCCCTGTTCTTTAAGCCCTGTCCTTACTTGGCTGAGATTTCATGGACCACTTCGATCACAGTATTGCCAAAATCCAAAATGCCTTTCATCCTGTCTTTTCATGTCACACCTGTGTGGCAAAACTAAATAAACCCAATTACTATTTTACCTGTGCTTATACTCATTCACAAGCCTGCTGGAAGAAGGCAGGCAAGAGCAAAATGGTTCCATTTAAGAAATCATGATCACCAACTTGAAATTGGCTCTTGGTACTTCCTGCAGGTTTCTAGTCAACTTACCCTCCCACGTACAAAAGACTTAAACCTTCTCCACTCCCTTCAAACCTCCACTCTCAGCAGATGACCATTCCTCCTACCTTAAGGAGAAATTAAAGCCATCAGAATGGAATGTGCATGCTCACAAATACACACATGCCCGAACCCTTACTATTTTCTGTCTCTCCATTAAAATAATTCCAGCCAGGCGCCATGGTTCATGACTGTAATCCCAGCACTTTGGGAGACTGAGGTGGGAGGATTACTTAAGGCCAGGAGTTCAAGGTTGCAGCGAGCTATGATCTTGCCACTGCACTCCAGCCTAAGTGATAGAGCACGACCATGCCTCAAAAATAAAATAATAATTCTACTATGTATGCTTCAGATTTCATCATTTCCTACTTTCTTAAGTACATGAAATCACTGATCATTCCTTTTCTCTCCTGTGTCATACAACTATCCCTTTCACATGTATCCTCCCCATAGGCTTTTAAACATATCGATATGATCTCTTTCAAAAAATAAAAATGCCATCTTTCACTGGGTACTCCTATTGGGGGAAAAGTACATCACTTACTCACTGTTATCCCACACTCGGTCTACTTCAATCAGTGCCCTCCATGATGCTAACACTAATGGACAATCTTTCCATCCTCATCTTACTTGACCCCTCAGCATTTGATGCTGTTGATCATTTACTTCCTTCATTGTGAAACACGCTTTCTCCTGGCATTCCTGACACAGCACTTCCTGGTTTTCTTCCTACTCCTCTGGATGTTTTTTTCTCTGACTCCTTTGGAGATTCAGCCACTCTAAATGGGCATTAAGAGCAGGAGATCCCCAAGACAAGCTCTGAGGTTTTTCCTTCTCACTTTATACTCTCCACATGGGCATCTCATCCATGCCCATGCCTTCAAATGTCATCTGTACACAGAGTTACAAAAATCACATCTGGGCCTAGACCTCTCCTCTGAGCTCCAGAACCATGCCCTGACCTGTTACCTCCGTTTAGAGGACTCAAGCATCGCTTCTCGGCCTTTTGGCTAAGAACAAGTGTAGAGGACGCAAGCATACCTCAAACCTCACTCAGCATGTCCAAACTACACTCATGATCTTCCCCCAACAAACCCAGTCAGGGTTCTGTATTTCAGTGAATGGCATCACCATTCACCCACCTGAGTAAGCCAGAAACCTGAGAATTGAGCCTGACACCCCCTACTCCCTCATTTCAAATCCAGCCCATCACCAACTCTACTGACTGTCCACTTCTCTACATCTCCACCATACCACCCTGGTTTAAGGCATAATCACCTCTTTTCTGGACAATTATAACAGCCTCCTATCTGGTCTTCCAGCATTGACATTAGCCTTGTACCGATCCATTTGTTTTCTATGTTGAGGTCACAGTAATCTTTTCAAAACATAAATCTGACAATGATCCTCTCAACCATGCAAGATGTTTAATGACTTTCCATTACTCTCAGGAAGAAGGCCAGGCTCATTAATGCAGCCTACAATACTCTGCATGGTCTGGCCATAACCATCTCTTTAGCCTCATCTCAAAACAAGCATCTTGTCCTCACCCTCTGGGCCCCAGCCACAGGGAACCCCCTTTTCTTCCTCCAACCCACCACACTTCCTCCTGTCCTAGGGCCTTTGTACATGCTGCGCTCTGAGTTGAATACCATTCTTTCCCAGTGACCTGGTTAATGCCTCTTCCTTCAGGCTGATGCTAACTCATCCCGTCCTCAGGGAAGACTTCTCTCCATTATAAACTCTTGTTGCACCATTTACCTTATATTGTTGCCTCTGCATTACCTCACCATCTCCTACAACAGGCTGTTAGCTCAAGGCAGGAGCTGTTTCTAGAACTGCCTTTGCACATAGGAAACTCTCAAAAATACTTGTTAAATGACTGACTATAAGGTGTAAGGAAGGGACCCAGTTTCAGTTTTCTGCATATGGCTAGCCGGTTTTCCCAAAACCATTTATTAAATAGGGAATCCTTTCCCCATTGCTTGTTTTTGTCAGGTTTGTCAAAGATCAGATGGTTGTAGATGTGTGGTGTTATTGCTGAGGCCTCTGTTCTGTTCCATTGGTCTATATATCTATTTTGGTACCAGTACCATGCTTTACTGTAGCCTTGTAGTATAGTTTGAAGTCAGGTAGCGTGATGCCTCCAGTTTTGTTCTTTTTGCTTAGGATTGTCTTGGCTACATGGGCTCTTTTTTGCTTCCACATGAAATTTAAAGTAGCTTTTTCTAATTCTGTGAAGAAAGTCAATGATAGCTTGATGAGGATGGCACTGAATCTATAAATTACTTCCTTACACCTTATACAAAAATTAACTCGAGATGAATTAAAGACTTAAACGTAAGACCCAAAACCATAAAAACCCTAGAAGAAAACCTAGGAAATACCATTCAGGACATAGGCATGGTCAAAGACTTCATGACTAAAACACCAAAAGCAATGGCAACAAAAGCCAAAATTGACAAATGGGATCTAATTAAACTAAAGAGTTTCTGCACAGTAAAAGAAACTATCATCAGAGTAAACAGGCAACCTATAGAATGGGAGAAAATTGTTGCATCTCTCCATCTCACAAAGGGCTACTATCCAGAATCTACAAGGAACTTAAACAAATTTACAAGAAAAAAACAACCCCATCAAAAAGTAGGCGAAGGATATGAACAGACACTTCTCAAAAGAAGACATTTATATGTGGCCAACAAACATTTGAAAAAAGGCTCATCATCACTGGTCATTAGAAAAATGCAAATCAAAACCACAATGAGATACCATCTCATGCCAGTTAGAACGGCGATCATTTAAAAGTCAGGAAACAACAGGTGCTGGAGATGACGTGGAAAAATAGGAACGCTTTTACACTGTTGGTGGGAGTGTAAATTAGTTCAACCATTGTGGAAGACAGTGTGACGATTCCTCAAGGATCTAGAACTAGAAATACCATTTGACCCAGCAATCCCATTACTGGGTATATACCCAAAGGATTATGAATCATTCTACTATAAAGACACATGCACATATATGTTTATTGCAGCACTATTCACAATAGCAAAGACTTGGAACCAACCCAAATGCCCATCAATGATAGACTGGATAAAGAAAATGTGACACATATACACCATGGAATACTATGCAGCCGTAAAAAAGGATGAGTTCATGTCCTTTGCAGGGACATGGATGAAGCTGGAAACCATCATTCTCAGTAAACTAACACAGGAACAGGAAATCAAAAACTGCCATGTTCTCACTCGTAAGTGGGAACTGAACAATGAGAACACATGGACACAAGGACGGGAACATCACACACTGGGGCCTGTTGGGGGGTGGGGGGATAGGGGAAGGATAGCATTAGGAGAAATACCTAATGTAGATGACGGGTTGATGGGTGCAGCAAACCATCACAGCACTT
Source organism: Homo sapiens (assembly GCF_000001405.40). Lineage (NCBI taxonomy): Eukaryota > Metazoa > Chordata > Mammalia > Primates > Hominidae > Homo > Homo sapiens. The sequence goes on along the minus strand of NC_000006.12, from coordinate 109,744,713 downwards.
GTATACTTATGTAACAAACCTGCACGTTCTGCACATGTATCCGAGAACTTAAAGTATAATAAGAAATAAGTAAATAAAAATAAATGACTGACTAAATGGACACACAGGGTCACAGGCTTCCTTGGTTTTTCAGTAAACTCATCTACATTTATTAACCAACCTCTCAGAATAACCTCAGACACTACTAGATTGTTGGACACCACCAAGAGCACATAACATAACAACACCCTTGCTTTTCATACTCTCAGGGTATTCTTGGCTTCTGACTGAGAGTCTTTCAATTCACTTGGCTGCAACAGATGCAGATAAAACTTATTCTGTGGTTCCCTGCCTCCTATCCTCAGCCTTTGACCTGTATGCCCATTCATATAGATAGATATGCTGACCAGTCAGTGTACTCTGCCAAGAAAGCAGGGAACTATGAGGCTAATACCACCTTGTCTGGGCTTCTCACATGCCCACCTGATCCTTCAGTCACAACAGTACCCCAGTTTATGAATCTAGCCTTTGATCCTATTACTATAAATTAATTTGCCCAGGGGAGCTTATGGATTTTCAAGGGAGATGACTGTAAAGGTGAGGCTGTGACAGTTTGATTTCATGCTTCTTTCTCCAAGTTGTCCTGGAAACTAAGGCAGAAATTTGACCTATATCTAATTCACACAAGGAAATCAGGACACAATGATTTCCTGATATACTGAATCACTCTACTCCCTTAGATATATACTACTCATTTTTTTCAGCCATGCAGAGAAGCCACATGGAATCTGAGGCCAAAGGAAAGTGACTCAGCTCAGACACAGTGAGCTGTCCCAGCATAATAATCTGCACGTCTCTCCACTAGGAAGAGGGAAAGCATGGCTTGTTAACCCCCTCTGTGTTGAGGAAGAGGCTTCCCAGAGCGTCTGAATCTCATAACCAAACAGATGAGCACATCATACCTTCACTAAATTCAAGATGATGATGGGAGAGCCAAACCTCTGGAACATCTGGTCAAAGTGAAGGGCAGCCACATGTGCAAATGGATCTGCCTGATCCACTGAGAAGGAAAAAAGATGAAAAAGCACCTGAATGAAAATTGCAAAGCAAAATAAAAGAAGCATAGGGTTGTTTTTTTAAAGAAATGCAATTCAACTAATCTTTCAATAGTTTCACTTCCCAAATCCTTCTTAAGATGCTCACTAGACACTTATTCATCATGTATTTATTACATTTGAATGATTCTTACATTTCTGAAGCAAAATAAAAATAATTTATTTAACAGTCAAAATTAAACATAAATTTATTACATAAGAATAACGGAAATTCCTCTTCTAAATTATCTACCTTCCAGGACTAAAACCTCCTGAAAACCTAAGCATTTATGAGATTTCTGTGACAACAGTTCATTATCTCTAAATGTGAGGACAGGAGTTATTATTAAAAACATGGCTCCACACACATGTAATAGGTGGTTTAGGCATCATAGTTGAAATGTCCTGAGACCAGTATAAGGGCACAGATCCTCTAACTTGTACATATGAAGAATAACTTCCTGCAGTGAAAGACATCACAGAAGCATCGCAGAGTATTTGTTCAGTCTCCACTTCATTTGCAACATCACCCTGAAAAGAAAGGTGCATTGAAAAATATTTTATGTTATTAGAAATGTTTAATGAAATAACTTTCAATGAAGTTATAATTCCTATTCTTTCAATGAAGTTATAATTCCTATTCTTTGAAAGTCTTGAGAGGTAAATATTGATCAATATTCAATATGCACATTAGAAAAGCAAAACCATTAAAATATAATAAAGAAGGCAATTAAAAGTAGCAGAGAATAGACTAGAAAAAAACAAATTAATCTCTAATAATACAAGTCAGATAGGAAACAGCTGGTTTAAATAAATGGGAGAGAGGGAAAGAAATGACAATTACATGAAATTATACAGGAGGTGAGGAAGACTAGAAGAATATCAAAATTCAATTCTGAAGACCAAAGTGAAATGAAAGGAGTGAGATTCAAATAATGCCTAATGGACAAAAGGAAAAAATAGGGTTTTGAGGTACTTACAGAAGTATATAAGGACATAATAAAGAATAATTTTAGAGGCAGTAATAACATGTCTGATTATCCTTTGAATATTCAAAAGTAAATAATATAGCTGCAAAATTCTGATATTTTAAAGCACCAGCTGTAACAATTTTCACTGTTGATATAATTTTAAGAACAATGTTGCTATTTTAAGCCAGGATCAAAACCCAGTGCCTCACTCAATCTGTCTACCAAATCACACATCCACTCAAAACTCAAGTTGTCTATTGCAAACAGAGACGGAGCACTCAAAGGACAGAACACGGCTGATGGAAGGATGGCTGCATTTTTGCTGTTGTTATTTCCTAGCGATGAACAGAAAAAGGAGTATGGGCAAAAAAGACAAAGAGGGCAAAGCGTTTCCTGAACCTTGCTCCACTTCGTCTTCTTATCAAGAATTGACTTCCCGTGATGAGTGCTGCCTTCTACTTGGGTGGAGGTGCTTTGCTATTTTTGTCTCTACATTAAACATGTACCGCATTTCATATATTATAGAAATGGCTCACCCTCCACAACATTAGACATTTTATAATTCCTCAAAGCACTGCATAACTCTAAGATAGCTGACTTTTCAGAACATCTGCATATTAGTCATATTTCTCACATGTTTCAGATGCACTGGAGTATTAATTATTGTCAGCCCCCCACATCCATGGGTTCCCTCCACAGAGTCAACCAATCTCAGACAGAAAATGTAGTTAGGCCTACGATGGTTGCATCTGAACTGAATACGTGCAGACCTTTTTTATTGTCATTATTCCCTTAACAATACAGTATTAGAACTATTTGCATAGCATTTACATCATATTAGATATTAGAAGTAATCTAGAGATGATTTAAAGTATACAGATGGATGTACATAGGTTATATGCAAGCACTAGGCCATATTATGTAAGAGACTTCAGCATCTGTGGATTTTGGATGGGAAGAGGGTTCCTAGAACCAATCCCTTGTTGATACTAAAAGGCAACTGTATTCTCTTGATAATATCCCAAACTAAGAAATACCACTTCTTAAAATTTCACTGTGCTTCTACATCAGCAAAGCTGATATAAAAGGTTAAAAGGTCAGTGAAGATACTGTTTGTCATCTTACCTCACAGTTTGCACCTCTTTTAAGAAAACGGGTGCCAGCAAATTTACTGGATCTTCTAGCTATTAGAGTGACATACACTGGTCGTCCATAGATCAACAGCTCTTGGAAATCAAGTTAAGGTTGTTTAGCATTCATGACTGTCACATAAGACCAAGAGAGTCATTATTCCTTAAATAAACATTTAGATACAGCTTGTCCAATGGCTTAAAGAACACCAAAAGCTCCACCCAAGAATGGAACAGCACTTGATCTAATGGTTCTTCAGAATTGCAGTGCAGCTACAAAGGGAAGGCAATATCCAACCTGACTAAGGAGTGCTTTCCATAAATTTCAGAGAAAATGGTAACCAGGTGTAGGGTTACTGGCCAAGGAAAGCCCTATGGCCAAGTAAGGATGTAAACAAGTACAACTAATCCTTCTGATATGGTTTCGCTCTGTGTCCCCAGCCAACTCTCATTTCGAATTGTAATCCCCACGTGTCAGGGTAGGGTCTGGTGGGAGGTGATTGCATCATGGAGGCGGACGTCCCCCTTGCTGTTTTTGTGACAGTGAGTTCTCACAAGATCTGGTTGTTTGCAAGTGTGTGGCACTTCCCCCTTTGCTCGCTCTCTCTTCTGCTCTGCCATTGTGAAGACATGCGTGCTTCCCCTTCACCTTCCACCATGATTGTAAGTTTCCTGAGGCCTCCCAGTCATGCTTCCTGTTAAGCCTACAGTCAATTAAACCTCTTTTCTTCATAAATTACCCAGTCTCAGGTAGTTCTTCATAGCTGTGTGAGAATGGACTAATACACCTTCCTTAGTCTTCCAAGATCATACACCTCTCAAAGAGAACATGTGTCATTTAATAGGCTGTTTCAATTATGAATAATATGTAATACTGAGGTGACAAACTGAGTATAAGACTCTAAAAGCAGTCAAAATTTGTCACCTACCTGCAAATTCTGAACACTGAATAATTTATTGTGAACTGCTTAACCAATATACAGCTTATTAGTTATGTCGCCTTACTTAACTTTCTGAGCCAAGTCTCATCTTCTATAAAATGGAGTAACAGTAAAGTAACCAAAGGTGGTCAGGAGGACTAGGTGAAGTAATGTGTGTACAACTAGTGCCTGGCCTGTAGTATTCATAAACTACTCTTATCAAAAGCTACTCTTTTTATAATCATATAGAGTTCCAGAATTCATTAAACGCTTGATAACCAGGAAACTAGATTCATTGTTTAAACTTACGAGCTTTAAAATGATCATCTATCATGGTGCTCACTATTTTAAAAAACAAACATTTACTATGTTTAATATGTGCCAGGACCCGAGTTAGCTCTTGGAAATACAAAACAGCTTAGAACTATCTTTTAGGAACTACCTTTAGAAATTGTAGCACATTCTTTTTGGTATCCTTGGTGGTGAAAAACCTGTGTTCTTCCCAGGTAGAATTTACTTTTGGAAAGAGAAAAAAGTAATTCAGGATCAAATCTCTTTATGCAGTAATGATCAACCAGATAATACCACTCACTGGTTGAAAGTGATTATAAAGTAATGAGCCTGATTTTCAAGTGTAGCACATAAATCTCACTGATCTTCATTTCAAAATCCCTCTGTGCTTTTATCTAGCCTTTCGTCCCCCTCACAGAAGGCAGCCCTGCTGCTCTTCAAGGCTAACCTCGCCAGCTGTGCCCTTGGCACCACTCCTCTCAAATGCTCCTGGTACAAGAAAGCATAATAATGGTCAGTCACATTCACCCACTTAATAGTCTCAAAGCAACCACTCCTTTAAATTTTTTTTTGTACATTATTATTATTTTAATATAGATCTGTAACTTCGGTTCCAAGTACCAAGGGGGGCCAGGGCTGGCCTGAGTGGGGCCTCACAGTGCGCTGGACAAAGTGACTGGTTTTTCTCCATAAATAAGACAAAGAAACCCTGGGGATCTGGAGAAAGATGTGAGGCCATTAAACTGCAAATCCCAACTGAAAATGAAGAAGCAAAAGTTTCTTTTTTGGTTCTTTTAAATGTCTAAAGAGAATAAAACTAAGAAAAATACAAATCCATTACAAATACTTCTTATCTGTGGGGGGAAAATGTACAAACGCCTTTTTCTTTAAAAGTCTAACATACTAGAAAACATGCTGAATGCAAAAATGCCCTACGTGATCTCAAAAGGTGATAGAAAAAATCGAAAAACCACTTCTAGATGGTACATGCTGCCTTCTTAAACCCCATAATTGCACTTTATTAAAAGGCTTCAATGTAGCTACAAATTAATGAGACATGAAGCTACTGAAGGAAATAAAAGTTTTTACAAAATTGAACTCATCAGCTTAACCCAAAGCTGAACCTACTTCTCTTTAATCTATTTTGCCCTCTTGCCTGGACTACTGCAATCTTTTCCTAACTCATGTTACTTGTTCTAGTTTCATTTTACTTAATCCAGCTTGAAAACGGTTGTCAACTCAAGCATCCTAAATACTACTTTGCAAATGTCATTCTTCTGCACAAAACCTTTCAAAAGTTCTAGCACCAAACCCAAAGTCCTCAGCTTGACCACCAAGGCAATCTGGTGACTGGCCATCTGACTCCCACATACCAATCTCCTTCCCACTATATCCTACCTCCTGGGAGTTTTATGCACAAGCCATGAGAACACTCCCATGTGTTTTTCCACCTCTACACACACAGTGTTTCCCAGGCTGTGATCTCTCTCTCTCTGCTCGGCCTGATCTCTCTCGCTGCTAAGGCACTGACTTTTGTTTAGGGCCCAGGCCAAGTTCAACTATTCCCATGGGCCTGTCCCATCCTCTCCAACTATCAGTAATTCTCCTCCTTCTCCCAGATAAGCATGACACTTATTACCTATATCACATTGCATTTTCTTCCTTGTTATTTATTCATCTTTATGTGTATATAACAGGCCTGTTCAAATAGTCTGCATTCTTCTTTGTATTTCTGCTACATAGTATCATGGGCAGGTTTTCCTGTTGGGGTGCACAGAGTGGTATTATAATCATATAATTCATATGTAGCTGTCTACAAATTGATACATCATAAGTTTAGTAATATGTATCTTACTTTTTCTTCAGAAAGGATACTTGACTGCCCACAGAACCCATGAATAATATACAAAAGCCAGTCACGATGCACAGTACTTTTAATTATATCCAGAAGTTCACCATTCCATACATATTTCATATAAGGCTCACTACAGATCCCAAATACCCCTGAAAAATAAAAGTCTGTATCAGTCCATAAATACACAAAATATTTTGTATCAATTAAAAAAAAGGTTGGTATCAGAAAGATATGGAAATTGGCTGACATTCAACTCATTTTTAAGTTAACTTCTGTTTTTAACTTCAAAGTAACATGCTTGGTTAATAGCATTGCCATTTTCAGTGGATATCATTCCTTTCATGTCCAGAACATTGTGTTGATTCTGTAAAAAGTCAAAGAAATCCCTTTTCTGACTTGTGAGAGTTCTTGAGAGAAAAGAAAATGACAAGGAAATTGAGGACATGTTACAAATATATAAATAAAGTCAAGAGGTGGCAGGAAGTAGCGGTTGAGCACAGGGCTATGAGGTCAAAGTTCCTGGATCCAACTCCTGGCTCTGCCTCTCATCAGCAGGGTCAGGCACAATCAAGAGTGTTACTTAGGGAGCACGGCACCTCTGCTCCCTCACCTGTACCACGTGGTTGTTTTAAGGACGAAATGAATTAATAAGGCACGTAAGGGGCCTAGAATAAGCCTAGTGTATTACAAATACTTCCAATAGGTGGCAGTTATTATGATGTCAGGCCTTTTCTCTATGAATAAATTAATTTCATCAAACATAATTTTAGCATATCCAGATAAATGTATTAAACAGCAATGAGTTTTACAAAACTTACATGAAGTGAAAAATTAAAAGTATGTTTATAAGATAATAGCTTAAAAGACTGTAATGGTTCTGAATAGCAGTTAATAAAGACCATTTTTTTCTCAAAACATGATCTGTTAAGAGTATTTGTTTATACACTATACCACACTTAGATTTGATTCATAAAAGCTAAACTTTCTCTGCCCTTTCAATGCATTACACGAGAGAATTAATAATAAAGACATCAATAGGAGTCCTGTTTTGTCACTTACTCTGTGACTTTAGGCAAGTTACTTAATGTCTTTGAATTTCAACTTTCTAAACTAGAAAATGATGTTAATACTACTCACCTCAAAGATATTGTTCAGATTAAATAGTATATGCAAAGTACCTGACATGCAGTAAAGATTATTTTAAAAATTTATTGTTTTCCTTTTCAACCTACTCTCATACCTTCTACCCTCACTCCATTTCTTATCAGTTTACCCCTGTGCGATAAGAGAATAATCTCACCTTCGACAAAGATGTATGCAGGCTAATCACCAGAAACTGTGAATATGAACTGTTACATTACATGGCAAGAAGAAATTAAAGCTGCAGATGAAGTTAAGGTTCCTAATCAGGACCTTGAGATGGGAAAATTATTCTGCATTATCTAAGTGGGTCCAATATAATCACAGGGTCCTTGTAAGTCAAAGAGGAAAACAGGAGTATGAGTGTCAGGTAATGTAATGTAGCCTTAAAGATGGAAGGGAGCCATAAGCCAGGGGATGAATGCAGCCCCCAGAAGATGGAAAGGGCAAGAAAACTGATTCTCCCCTGGAGCCTCTGGAAAGGAATGCAATCCTGCTGATATGCTAATTTTGGCTCACTGAGATCCACTGTGGACTTCTGTAAGATGATACATTTATGTTATTTTAGCAACTAAGCTAGGTAATCTGTCACAGCAACAAGAAGAAACTAATACACCCTGTTATTCATATCTATCAAGTAGAATTGCTCCAGAGATGGCAAAAAATTTAGTAGCATTGGAGGCTTAATTCACATCCCAGAACAGATATTCAAATTCAGATTTTGGATGGCATGTGGGGCAAATTTAGTGATACTTTCAGCTTTTGTATTACAAATTGTGACATTCAGAAGCGTTGCAAGCAAATATTCAAACACACCAGTTGTCTTGCCCTCTATCTGTCTCTAGTGGTATGGGTTACCACCAGAGTGTCTGAACCAGGGCAAATGTATGTGATCTAATGATCTGGGAGTAGGGAGGGTGCCCTGGGTTTGACCTTAGCTCAAGTGATAATCAAGTAAACTAACAAGAGTCAAGGGGAATGCCAGGGATAAATTCAGTTTAAGTAACAGCCTAAACCTTTTTAGAGTTGATCACAACCTTTGGCAAACCATTAACAGAACACAGCCTCTTTTTGAGAGTGCTGCAAGGGCAGATCTTCTGGGACTACTTTAGATTGGATTCTACCTCTGCACCTCTGCACCCACATGTTCATCACTATCATTTAAGTTGCACAGAGCAAGGAGCCCAAAGACACTATTGACTTACTTTCCACAGTCAGCTGAACACAACTAAAGTGTCTTAACTATTGAAATGCTTCCCTTACAACATTCATACTAGCAATGCCTCTAGCTTTACAGTGCTAGACCAACCCAAAAATTTGGCGATAAAGGTATTGCGTGACTGGTTTAGTCCAGGATTTCAGGGGCACCCTAGATGAGGCACTGAGTGGTCCCACAGCAGTCCTGCAGAGGCAAGACCTATGCAGGACTGATGGGTCAAGCTGGGACCGATCAAAGTAATAACGACCTCTGACTTGCTGCATTGATTCCCTGACATGGCTGTATGATCTTCATTTCCAGGCCTCCATTTCCTACTTAGTCTTTAATTCTATAAAACTAGCATTATACCTACTAAGCAGAGTTTTTATGAGGATTAGAGATATTACATGTAAATGTCTAGCACATAATAGGCAACCCATGGTAACTCTTTTTCAAAACTCAGACCATAACAAACTGGTCTCTGTGAAGGAAAATAAGTAGTGTGTATTACCTAATATTAAAAAAAATTATCCATGTAAACTTCACCTCTGCACACCATGTAAAAGTCTAGGCTTGAATGTATTCAATAAAAAGTACGTGAATAATTGCTAGAAAATGTCAGCATACAATTTTGTGGTTGGCCTACAAATGAAATCACATGGTGATTAATATCTCTATAAAAATGAATTGATCAACTTCACATATCCAAAACAACCCCACGTAAGGACAAACAGCAAAGAGGGATGGACAAATATGAGGGAAATGTGAGTGAATTTAATAAGATATCACTTCATGGATACCACATTAATATACATTAGATATATCAAGACCACCTACCGCTTCCACCTTGTGTAATTAATCCTTCATCTTCAAAGATGTCAAAGCTCTCTTGGCGATTCTGGGTCATTTCTGACTTTAACATCTCCAGGGGCATTCGCAAGACAGTGAGATTATATTGAAGTGAGTGGGACAAATCATAGCTGTAACTGAGAACAGAATTGAAACTTAATAAGAATTACAAAAGCAAAGCATATTTCATGGTCTTGGCGCCCATATAGAATTAAAATCTGTGAACTAAATTACTTAGCACCTATTACTTTATTTGGAAGCAATGCTATTCAAATAAGCACTGTAAAACACAGCAAAATATAAATGTAATTGGAAATAAAAACCTCACTGCATGACTAGGCATCTGCATGACTGGAAATATACAATACAATGTCAGTAACCTACGTTATTTGATTTGTACAATGTGCATTTTTTGCTTCATACTGAAATCAATCTAAGTTGATGGTCTTGTGCAAACAGGGTCACACCTTCTATGAATCTGTATGGGGTTTTATAGATCTATAACATCCACTGCAATACTGCATAGTTCTGTACCCTAGTTTACCCAGGAGCAAAAATAATTCTATTAATTATTAATGGTGGTATCATAACTGACTTCATAAAACAGAAATAAGCAAATAATATAGGCCATTACAGTGAAACATGTTTTAGAAGAGTAAAAGGCATTTCAAAAATATAACCGTCTCTGTGCAAATTAAATTTCATTACAATTTTGATCTCACATAATACCTTTTAAATAAGCATCTCTAGCTCTCTTTATATATATAGCTAGAGATATTTTAAAAGTATCTATATATAAATATATTTATACTCTATATTTATATACAGTATTTATATATGCATACTCTATATAAATATGCATATATAAATATGCATACATACATAGTTGTGTATATATACTATACTATATATATGTATAGTGTGTGTGTGTATATATATTTCTTAAGTGTTGAGGGGGCTTTCCAGTTTTTACTAGAAACTCTAAAGGAGCCTAGCTATATATTTTTAGCACAGAATTTCAGAAGGTATTTTGAATATTTTATACAAATTTGTTTTTAAAGTATTTTAGTCATATTTTAAAATGGTACAATTGTGTCTGGAGAGTCACACACATTATTTTAATTATTATTTATTCATATAATTTGATTGAAATTGATTTGTTTCATCTGTGAAGTTCAATTGTATCATTTTTGCTTGATGGATCCATTCATTTTAACAGCATCTAATCTCAAAGGGATAAAAGCTATATTAAGAAGTTGGTTTCTGATTTTTAACAATCAATTATTTCTATTTAAAACAATTCCTTTTTTCTAGAGAGTCTTAAGAATATATTATAACCTTTTTAAAAGCCTACTTATGAGGCACAAAAACTTTAACCTACATGTATTTACTTATAGAATGACTTGATCACAACTCAGTATAAAAATACAGACAAAACTGAGAAATATGAAGAAGAAGGCCATTTCTAACAATAGCACTGAGCTTCAATAATAATTCACAAACACTAAAAAGTTAGGCATAAAGACTGAAAACTAGAAGATGGCGAAAAATACAATGAAAATATACATTCAATAAACGTGTGTGGAAGTAAAAACTATTTCTTTAGGAGCCCTTCACTCCATTTCTGTTAAAATAATCAACTTCCTTCAGGTTTGCATCAATAAAGACATAATTCACCCCATGTAGTAGACATGTTTTTCTTTGTTTCATAAAGAAATGGTTAACTATATTAATAATTTAAAATAATTTTTAATGCAAAGCACCCTGTCAGTAGTATGTAACACCAACAGCTACAAATGCTCTAGGTCCTCCTTTAGTCTTTATGACTCAAGTCCTTACTGTGTTCTATTTTTATTTTGGATATTATAGCTGATAGAATTTTCCATCTATCACAATAATTGCATCTATCAGGCCCACATACTGGTCACGTCAATGGTAGTAAAATACTTATCATGATGCTGTAATAATCTACTTGCCTGTTCTTCAATTATCAATATTTGGGACGTCCCTGGATTATCTGGTTTGCTTGTTTGGGCTATTATAAATAGAGAAGCAATAAATGTCTCTTTACCAATGGAGAGTTGTATTTTTGCTCCTGGTTATTTTCTTAGGACATATTTTCATGTATGTTCAATGCCATATTCCTTCTCAGGAAACTGTTAATTTACAATGCCACCAGCAGTACATCAGTATTGCAACAGTTCTTCCTATTTTTAATTTGTTTTTACCCAATTTTGCCAGATTATTTACTAAAAGTTGAACAATGAAATTGTTACAACTCTTATTACAGGCTGAATGTAAATTTCATTTTTGTAATTTAAGATTACAAAATGAGAATATTTCTTTAAAATACATTAAGTCCTACCTAAAACAACGATGATTTTTATAATGTGAATAAATATCCTTTAATTTATCCATTTGGATTTTCAAATATAAGATTTTTAAAAGGAAGAAATAGCTATATTTTAATGATTTTAGATAAAACAAGTTGACTAAAATGAAAGAGAAGTACTACTATGTTCTCATTCTGCTTTTACCCGCTGGAAAATAATATAAAAGTTTATGTGATTGATAGGAGCAAAACTAACCTCACACTTACCTAAAGTAAAAATTGCTAGATAGGTCCACATTTTGAAATATTCGTAGATACCTAAAAAAAAAAAAACAAAGTACATTTCATTTGTCCAATACTATTATTTCTCACAGTTTAACATGTACCCATATGTACATTTATATTTGTAAATATGCTCATTAAAGCTGAGGAATTCAAACCATATCTAGAATAGGGATTACATCCAAAGCAATTCTAGGTCTATTGATCATCCCTTTGGAGACCTTTAACTTTATAGTTTGGCTGTTCCTTACCACTGATTATGCCAGTGAGAGGCAAAGTCGTGCATCTACATGTAGGGGGCACAGCAGACTTTGGGCAAGACAGAAGTAAATGCTGTTTTTGCTTTTACAACATGCTTTGCAAATGCTTTGAGGATGGAGAGAGGAGAGCAACAACAACAAGCGCAATGTGGGTCACCACAATTTTAAGTTGGTAAGTTTTTACACCAAAAAAGGTATAGAATAAAATGTTCACATTTCTGTCACTCATGATTAATAAGTGTTCACATTTTAAAATATCTATTTCAACCTTTTTAAGATAAATAACGAACAATTTAAAAAGTTAACATTCCCTTTAGACTTCCCCAGTCCGGCTCTCTCACTCCAAATGCAACCATTTTCCTGTCACTGATGTGAATCCTTCCAGTCCATGCATCTCTTTACTTTTATCACATTAGAGCCATCTTTAAATAATACATAGCATTATATTGTATATTTAAAATATGTATGCAAATCATTACAAACTTTGTATACTGTCCTACTTTTTTCACTCATTTTTTGAAACCTAGTTACGTTGAAAGTTATAGATTTAATTTGTTCACTTTGTAATCAATGTTTGGTCTTCACTATATACAGTCATCCCTCGGTATCTGTGGGGGATTGGTTTCAGGTCCTCCCTCAGATAACAAAATCTGCAGATGCTCAAGTTCCTGATATAAAATGGCATAGTATTTGCACATAATGCACAATACACATCTTCCTGTACACTCTCAATTACCTCCAGATTACTTATAATACCTAATACAATGTAAATGCTACGTAATTCTATAGTTGTTATACTCTATTCTTTAGGGAATAATGACAAGAAAAACATCTGTACATGTTCAGTACAGACACAGTTTTTTTCAAGTATTTTCAATCTGTGGTTGGTTGAATTCACAGAGGTGGAACCCATGGATAAGGAAAGCCAACTACACATGACACACTTTATTTATCCATTGTCTGCTGATAGACCATTAGGTTCTTCCTAGTTCTCCACTATAAGATACAATGCTGCCAAGAGCATCCCATGCATGTTTTCCCATACACATGTGCAAGAGTTTCTCTAGGGCAGATACACGGAAACAAGAACCACTGTGCACTATAGATAACGTGCATTTTCAATTATGCTGGAATTGCCAAAGTGTTCTTCTAAGTGGTTAAAATATCACTCCAACTCATAGTGTATAACTCATAGTATACAACTCATTTCCCACATCTCTGCTATAATTTGATGACAGCAGATATTCTGATTATTCCCAAACTGACTAATGAGAATAAAATGGTACCTTTTTAATTTGCATTTCCCAAATTACTAGGTAAGGTTCAGAATCTCTACTGTGAGCTGCCTGTTCCTTTTAATCATTTCTCAGTTATGTTGTATTTTTTTCTCACTGATTTGTAGAAATTCTTCCCACATTCTAAATAATAATCATTGTTATATGTTACAAATATCTACTTTCAGACTGCTGCTTGTTTCCTAAAATTTGTCTAGATTATAAATACATTTTGAATATTTACAGTATCAAATATAGCATTGTTTGCCTTATGGTTTATGCATTTTGTATTTTGTTTGTAAAATCCTTTTCCATACCAGGATTATAAAAATATTTACCTTTATTTTCTTAAAATTATCTTTGTACTTCTGGAATTGCTTCCTGAATATTATCAGAGAATGGAATCAAATTTCATTTTTGTCCAACTGGAAAACCAACACTATTTATCCCATCTTTTCCCCCAATGACTTGTAATGCTCACTCTATCATATTCCAGTTTGCCACATAAAATGGATCTTTTTCTAGGCTTTCTCAACACTGTTCATTGACCCCCATCAATTCCTCCACCAATACTTAGCAGTCTTATTTACTATAGCTTACTACCTGATTATCTTAATTATTATAGGTCTTACCATCTTGTTGACTTTATCCCTTCTTGTTTTTCTTGTTTCAATTGTCTGGACCATGCTTAGACATTTGCTTTTCCATATGACTTTTAAAATCATGTCAAGTTCCATTCTCAAAACATCCTCTTGGAATCTGGATCAATGTTACATTAAATTTATAAACTGGCCAGGCCCTGTGGCTCATGTCTGTAATCCCAGGACTTTGGGAGGCCGAGGTGGGAGAACTGTTTGAGCCCAGGAGTTCAAAACCTGCCTGGTCAACACAGAAAGACCCTATTTCTGCCGAAAATACAAAAATTAGTCAGGCGTGGTGGCATGTGTCTGTAGTCCCAGCTACTGGGGAGGCTGAGGTGGGAGGACCACTTGAGCCCAGGAGTTCAAAGCTGCAGTGAGCCAAGATTGCACCACTGCACTCCAGCCTGGGTAACAGAGTGAGACCTTGTCTCAAGAAAAAAAAAAATTATAAATTAATTTTGGAGAAAACTAACATCTTCAAGATATCAAGACTCATCCATGAAAAAGGGACATCTCTCCAATTATGTAGAGATTTAAAAAATCTTTTAATAATGTTTGAAGTTTTTTCCATAAGGTTTTGGATAGCTTTTGTTATATTTATTGGCAGGTACCTTATACATTTTCTAGTTCGTTACTGCTAGTGTGTGGAAATATTACTGGTTCCTGTATGTCTTACATGTTGATCTTTTCTTTTTTCTTCTTTTAATCTTTTTTTTTTTTTTTTGAGGCAGGGTCTCACTCTGTCACCTAGGCTGGAGTACAGTGGCACAAACATGGCTCATTGCAGCCTCAACCTCCTGGGCTCAATCCTCCCACCTCAGCCTCCCAAAATGCTGGGATTACAGGCATGAGCCACCATGCCCAGCCATCTTTTCTTAGTCACCTTACTGAACTCTTTCATCAGTTCCGAGAATTTGTAGATATTCTCAAATTTTCCAAGTAGGAAATGATGCTGTTTGCATAATGACAGTAATTTTTCTTTTCAAGCTTTATGCCTTATTTTTCTAGTCTTGTGGCACTGCCTAGGGACTTTCAGTATGAGGCTGAATGTTAGTAGTGACGGCAGATACCTCTGTATTGTTCCTTACCTTGATTAAAAGTAATGCTTTTAAAGTTTCACTTCTAAGAACAATTTTGGATATAGGTTTTTAATAGGTATCATTTATCAGATTAAGAAAGTCTGCTTATATTCCTAGTTTGCTAAAACCTTTTATCACAAATGGGTATTGAATTTTGTCAAATATGTTTTCTGCAAACATTAAGAAGATAATTTTTCCAGCAATATTTTAATGTGGTGAACTGTTCTAGTAAATTTTCTAACATTGGTAACAATCATGCATTACAGAGATAAACATTATGTATGAAATGTTTAATAGTACTGTATTTTATTTCCAAATATTTTACCAAATAGTTTTGCTTAGATACACTATTGGATTATATAGTTTTATAAGTATTAAAAGTTTTTCCTAATTAGTAATATTACTTCAGTTTACCTATAAAAAACTATTAATATAATTGTATCTTATTCTGAATAAGTCCATTTACATGTTATTACTCATAATTTTATTCTTTAAAGATATCCAAATCACTGTACACAACAACATAATTTGTATTAGTATTCTTGGCTAAAGTATCATAAAGATGAGACTTATAAACAACATTAACTTCTTGAAATTTTCCTATCCCTGGATTCGCATGGTCTGGTCAATCTGATTCACTTTTAGTCAATACACTATATAGGCCTTCCTATCAGCTGTATCAGATATAACCTTTTTCAGTTAGTGCAAGACAAAGGTCTACTCTGATAAACTGTACTTATCCTCAAATGAAACAAATTATTTTCTAATAACCCCCTTCCAAATCATCATCAAAAGCAACATCACAAGGGCTCAGAAAACCACTGTCTAAGATGGTCTCAAGCAACAGGGCTGCATCACCTTTAAATTTTGGTTCATGTATTGGAACACTACAAAAGTACAGGATATAATTAAAATCTAAACTGTTACCTATCCTAAAAACTTATAAATATTTCTTTGTTCCATTTTAATCTTCATAATATTAAATCAATTCAACCTTTACAATTTTATCAATTTGTTAATAGCTTTTCCCAC
This sequence comes from Homo sapiens, assembly GCF_000001405.40. Taxonomy (NCBI): domain Eukaryota; kingdom Metazoa; phylum Chordata; class Mammalia; order Primates; family Hominidae; genus Homo; species Homo sapiens. The sequence goes on along the minus strand of NC_000006.12, from coordinate 109,728,386 downwards.
GTTTCCAAGGTTCCAATAATTCCTCCAAAACTTTTGAACATTTCAGATATACAGGAAAAATTGCAGGGAAAAAAAAGTACAATTAACACCACTATGCCCTTCTTCTGAATTCACTTTTAGCGCTCTCTCCTTAAACACATAAACAAATATTATCTCTCTTTAAATATACAAATACATTTTATTTTTCTAAACCACTTGACTGTAAGTAGCAGACATCATGACACTTCACTCCTAAGTATTTTAGCATGTATCTGTTATAAACAAGGACAATCTCCTCAGTGACCGCAAACCATTATTATACTCCAAATTTAAATACTGATTCAAGATCACTAGTATGTAGTCCACATACAAACTGTCCAAATAAAGCCCTTTAGATCTTTGTGTGAGGATGTGTGTACAAGTACATGCACTTTTAACCCAGAATCCGACCAAAATCTGCATTTAGTTGTCACGTCTGTTTAAAAATCTGGAACAGTCTTTTGTTTTTTGTCTTTGATGACTTTTACATTCTTTTAAGAATCTAGGCCAGTTATCTTGCAGGAAGTCCAGTGGTATGTATTTATCTGATTATTTCCCCATGCTTAGATTCAAGTTAAATATTTTTAGCAATATTTAACTACTAAGGTAAACTGTGTCCTTCCCACTGAGAGTCAAACAATGTCAGTTTCGTCTCATTATTGGTGATGTGAAGTTTGATTATTTGGATAAGAATGTCTGCTGTTTTTTTCATCATAAAAATACTTATTCCTCTGTAAATAACAAAGAGATCCATGGAGTTTAAAATGTTGGGACTATGTGATTATTCTATTCCTCAATAACAACCTCTCACCTAATAGTAGCCATTGTTGATTCTTGCCAATTGCTATAATGGAGTCTTTAACAGCTCTTAACAAAAATTCTAAAATTCTGAGCCAACATTTGATCTTTTTACATAACATTCATAATATCTAAACTGTATTTTATTTTCTACCTGATCTACGACATTAAAAAAAAGTACTTGAGCCTGGGAGGCCAAGGCTACAGCAAGCTATGACCATGCCATTATATTCCAGCCTTCCAGCCTGGGCAACAGGGCAAGACCTTGTCTCCAAAAAAAAAAAGGTAGTTACCACCATACATACCTAGCTTCATCAGGATGAGTAACCCGTACAGAATCATTGGGTATATAGATCATATTTGTATCTTCGACCTTATAGATTGCATGACCTCCAATATCCGCCATCTTCCTCCTTTTAGTTATTAACACAATATAATAGCCTTCTAAGAACCTGACAAAACCTATGCAACAAAAAATAAAGAGAAATATGCTTTATAAACTTAGTAATGGCTTTTAGATGCCTATTTAAAAGGCCAAAGACCTTTGATACATTTCTCACTTTATTATTTCTATGATTTATAGCCATACAAATTTTCAGGTGTCTTAGGATTATTCTCTAAGACTATCTATACTGACATTTACCTCACTTAAAAATATTACTCTAAACAGAGCCAAATCATGAGTGATCTCCCATTCACAATTGCTACAAAGAGAATAAAATACCTAGGAATACAACTTACAAGGCACGTGAAAGACCTCTTAAAGGAGAACTACAAACCACTGCTCAAGGAAGTAAGAGAGGACACAAACAAATGAAAAAACATTCTATGCTCATGGATAAGAAGAATCAATATTGTGAAAATGCCCATACTGCCCAAAGTATTTATAGATTCAATGCTATTCTCATCAAGCTACCATTGACTTTCTTTGCAGAATTAGAAAAAACTACTTTAAATTTCATATGGAACCAAAAAAGAGCCCTCATAGCCAAGACACCAAGACAATCCTAAGCAAAAAGAACAAAGCTGGAGGCATCACACTACCTGACTTCAAACCATACTACAAGGCTACAGTAACCAAAACAGCATGGTACTGGTACCAAAACAGATATATAGACCAATGGAACAGAACAGAGGCCTCAGAAATAACACCACACATCTACAACCATCTGATCTTTGACAAACCTGACAAAAACAAGCAATGGGGAAAGGATTCCCTATTTAATAAATGGTGCTGGGAAAACCAGCTAGCTATATGCAGAAAACTGAAACTGGACCCCTTCCTTACACCTTATACAAAAATTAACTCAAGATGGATTAAAGACTTAAATATAAAACCTAAAACCATAAAATCCCTAGAAGAAAACGTAGGCAATACTATTCAAGACACAGGCATGGACAAAGGCTTCATGTCTAAAACACCAAAAGCAATGGCAATAAAAGCCAAAATTGACAAATGGGATTTAATTAAACTAAAGAGCTTCTGCACAGTAAAAGAAACTATCATCACAGTGAACAGGTAACCTACAGAACGGGAGAAGATTGTTGCAATCTATCCATCTCACAAAGGGCTAATATCCAGAATCTACAAGGAACTTAAACAAATTTACAAGAAAAAAACAAACAACCCCATCAAAAAGTGGGCAAAGGATATGAACAGACACTTCTCAAAAGAAGACATTTATGCAACCAACAAATATATGAAAAAAAGCTCATCATCACTTATCATTAAAGAAATGCAAATCAAAACCGCAATGAGATACCATCTCACACCAGTTAGAATGGAAATCATTTAAAAGTCAGGAAACAACAGATGCTGGAGAGGATGTGGAGAAACAGGAAAACTTTTACACTGTTGGTGGAAATTAGTTCAACCATTGTGGAAGACAGTGTGGTGATTCCTCAAGAATCTAGAACCAGAAATACCATTTGACCCAGCAATCCCATTACTGGGTATATACCCAAAGGATTAGAAATCATGCTACTATAAAGACACATGCACACATATGTTTACTGCAGCATCATTTTACAATAGCAAAAACTTGGAACCAACCCAAATGCTCATCAATGATAGACTGGATAAAGGAAACGTGGCACATATACACCATGGAATACTATGCAGCCATAAAAAAGGATGAGTTCATGTCCTTTGCAGGGACATGGATGAAGCAGGAAACCATCATTCTCAGCAAACTGACACAGGAACAGAAAACCAAATACCGCATGTTCTCACTCATAAGTGGGAGCTGAACAATGAGAACACATAGACATAGGGAGGGGAACATCACACACCAGGGCCTGTCGAGGGGTGGGGGCAAGGAGAGGAAGAGCATTAGGACAAATACCTAACGCATGTGGGGCTCAAAACCTAGATGGTGGGTTGATAGGTACAGCAAACCACCACAGCATGTGTGTATACCTATGTAACAAACCTGCACATTCTGCACATGTATCCCAGAACTTAAATTTTAAAAAAAAATTACTCTAAACAATTTAATTCATTCATTCCTCTTAGTCTCACTGCAAATAGGACTGAGGTGCCTTAAGCACAAATAGATATAAGATTAAGAGGAGTTGTTGTTCCATGGGTATAGAGCTTTAGTTTTGCATAGATGAAAAAATTCTCAAGATCTGTTGCACAAGATGCATACAGTTAACACTGCTGTACTGTGCACTTAAAAATGATTGTGACGGTAAATTCTGTTTTTTACCAAAATTAAATATATATATATATATGTACACACACACACACACACACACACACACAAAGGATTATAAAAATGAAGAGGAAATTACAGTAAAGGAAATAATGTTTAAAAACATAGTAAGATGAGTCCAAAAATAAAAGTTGTACATAAGAATGCATCTTAAGATCCTATGTACTATTCCCCACATTTGGCTCTCCATTTTCTAACAGATAATGCAAAGAGGAACACACATCCAATTATACCATGCACAGTGGCTGAAAGATAAAAACTAAACCACTACTTGGAGAAGCTACAGCAGTTACAAGAACTGGGAGACAATTTCAGAGTGAGTCCACATAAAAAGATATGTGCTGTAGAGAACAACCTCAGGAGAATTCTCCAGCGATGTCAAGCACACATTTCTCAATGCTGTTTCATATGCCAAGGCACAATTCAATAAATGTCATTCTTTACAAACTAGAAGAATGCAGGCAAGGTACACAGCTGAACGGAGGTCTAATTTCATCTGAAGATAAAAATCTAAGTATCTCTGGTAACATTTCCCCAAATGTGTTCTCCATGAAATATTAGTTAATGGAATCCCAGGGGGGAGAGGAGTGGCAGTGAGCAAATAATACTGGACTAAGAAACTTAAAACAAAAATCCTGAGAACCTTATAGGACTGTGCTAAAGTACACCGTGAATCTTGATGGGAGATAAAAACCAAGTGCCTTTCCAGATTCGTTTGTTCGTGGAACCTCCTCCCACCCCCCGCCTTAAAACAACAACAACAAAAACCAATGGATATACGTTCTGAGGAACATATTTTGGGAAATATTGCCCAAAAGAACAAACTTCATGGACTCTTGATAATTAATGTCAAAAACCAATTTGAGTCAGCTTAAACTAAAAAAAGGAATTTATATTAAGGATCCTGAAGTGATCCATTCCACACATGGGAAACAGTGTGACTGGGCCTCAGAAAAAGCCTAGTCAAGATGTCTCTGAACATCTACTCCATTCTTCTCTCTCTCCATAGACCAAGCTCCTCCACTTCTCTGGATCATGTGGTAGGAAACACAACTGCTGACAGCTCTGGGCTTTCCATCCAAAACCTTTACTGGGAAGAAAAGGACATTTTTATCAAGTTCAATTTCAGAATTCCTGGGGAAGAACTTGGACTGACCCAACTTGGGTCAGGGGCCCAGCCCAGGACCAATCAACTATGGCCAAAAAATAGAATCATGCAGCATTGGAAGCCATTTTATATGATAACTAGGTGGCCTAGATGAGGCCAGGGGACATGGTGCCAGTTCCCTGGAAAGTGAATAGGTTGGGCAAACAAAACAATGTATCAAGTAAATTACATATCCTTCATGCAATCTTCCACAAATATCATTTCTGATAGTTCAGTTTTTAAATGAATATTGGAGAGTTATAAATAGAGTTATATTTTATGTCAGATCATTAGAATATAGAGGTTCTATATTGGTGACTAAAGAAAGAGCCATATACATTAATGTTCAGCAGCATTATATTCTCAGCAACACACTAGTTGCCATATAATCTTGGTCAAAAACTTTCAGGTTCCCTGAACTTTGCTTTGGGAGTTAAAACTAACTTTCTTGGTGGTGGGGAAGAGGTGACACTTCTGAAATAGCAATGCAAGGAGCTCAGCAGACTCTTTCCTAGGAAAACAACCATAACTACTAAAAATAATAAAAACAAAGGAAAACATTAAAAGTTTCTGGAAACTGCCCTAAGGGCATACAGAAAGTGGAGAAACATTTATCCAAGAAAATCTAATAAATCTTGTTAAGAACAGCAAGTCTGTGGCATTTGGATCATGGCCTGCTCCCCTTCCACACTGCCTCCCAGTTCAGCGTTGACAGGATATCTACTCTGGGCAGGTGCCGCCAAGAAGGCAGGGCTCCTTCCTCTCTCTCCAGCTCCCAGTCTAGGACCACAATTGCTGCTCATGAGGGGTAGGCCACCAGCTTTTCTCATCCCCACCAACTCTGTGTTGTAAAAGCTCTATTCCAGGCAAGCATGGCTAAGGTCTGGGCTCCTTCCTTCAACCAAGCACCGACTCACAGGGTAGAGGCTCTACTCCAGGCATGTCAGGCCAAGAACACAAGGTCCCATCCCTGCCCAGCTCACTCACTCACAGGGCAAGCTAGATACAGTCATATACAGCTGTCTTCTCATCAGAAGCAATGAAAGCCAGAATGAAGAGGGATGCCATAAAGTACTAAAATATATATATATATATAAGAATCTTATATCTAGCTATCTTTCAAAATGAACTTTCTTACACATACATTCCCTTTGTTTCTCTCTCTGTATGTGTGTGTGTGTCTCTCTCTCAGAGTGTTATAGTCTATAAAGTCTAAGCTAGGATCCTGGTGCTCTGTCTGAATTTTTGCTCTAGAATTGGCAAATACCTATGATCTATGTCTTGTTATTCTCAGCTGATGAAAAAAGAATGACTAATTGAATACATTAACATGAATGAGCTGAAATCTATAATGGAAAGATGCCTCAAGAATCTTATCGGCCATGCCACTGCGAAAAAAATGCTATTAAAATAATGAAAAATATTGGTATTTTAGAAATCCACAAAACACAAAGTGTTTTTTAAAAAAGGTTAGAGACTCGCCAAAAATGACCTCACTAAAGTTGGAGGACACAGGAATGGGAAGGAAGGAAAAAAAAAAAGCTGATGACAACTTTACTAAAAGCAACTTAGGAAGTAGTCATCCTTTCAGAAATATAAAACTTACAAAAGTAAGCATTTCAGAAGCAGCACACACACCAAAAAACTTAAAAATGGAATGTAATTGGGATTAAATAATAAATATTTACAAGATAAATTAGTTTTCCTTTTATTCTTGCTGTATATTTATTTTTTAGATAAAAATTCTTAGTAATAATTTCTCTCAACCTGCATTCTAATTGAATTTTAATTTTATGTTTTTAGCACCAGGCTATTTATATCATTCTACACTTCCCTTCATAATTTGTATAAGGGAAAGTAAACATACTGCACAAAAGAGACACTCTTCTTCCAGCACAAATGGCTTCAGTATATTATAAATGAGATTATTTTCCACTTCCTTGTTACTACCAATTGGAAATGTCTCTCAACAATTAAAGGCTTCAGCTTGGCATAGACATCCACCAAGAATCAGCCTGTTCATCCTTCTAACATGATGAACACCAGAACAAGTTTCTTCATCTTCATTCTATGTACTTCTGACCCCAGACCAATTTCACTGAGTACTTTCCAGAAGACAAGATGATGGTCGTCATGCAAAAGTGATTTCTCTCTCCAAAATAAAAAAGGCTGTGTCACTTGAGAGGGAAGCCAAGCAAAGTATATTAAAAAGGACAATATGAGAGAATGGAGTAGTATGCAATTCTGGTGGCTGGAGAGGACCCTCATCAGCCCACTAACAGGGAATAGTGTAATATCCTGTATGGGGGGTCACCATGCCAGCCAGCTATTATCTTGAAAGCCTCCACTGAGAACAGCACTCCAGCAGAGAAGGACAAAACCCCCCGCAAGGTACCCAGTGCCTTTGTACAACAGAGCTCTCTGGAACCAAAGTGACATCTCTACTACCAAATCATACTGCCCCCTAACTAGTCTGAGACTCACACTTTTTTGGTGTTTTCACTGTTATCTTGGATCTGCAGTCTATTTGTAAGGGTATTGTTTTAAACAATAGCTTAGTCCATCACAGTGTACCGTATTGATACTTCTTATTTTGCCACTCCCCTTCAACATACTAGAGGCTTAGAAGAGTGTCGTCTGACAGACGACAGTGGCAGAAAAAGGACACGTACCTAAGGGCTGTGTATCAAAAGGAGCTGGGATGATAACAGAACTGAGTAGTATGAACTATAGGTCATTCCATTCATGTGCCCTAGGACCACATAAAACAACTTAGTGATGGATGCTCACGATCCCATCCAGTGGTTTCCCAAACTTCCTGCTGGCTGTCAAATAACAAAGGAACAGATCAGGAATTGGCCAGGCAGCTACAGGACTGGATCAATCCGTTTATAGCAAGGAAAACCCTCTAGGTCAGTAATATTCAAAACATGGCCTAGGGACCAGTGCTGGTCCATGAGCTTTCAGAACCGGCCCGTGAAAAGACAAGTAAACAAATTGAGACGAAGGATTTAGAAACTTTAGAACAATTTAGATTGCCCCACAACATCTGTGTGCATGATCAGTGAATCTGCCCTCACACAGGGCATAGACTAGTTTGGATAGTATTAAACTCGTGTTTTAAGTCACATGTGGTGTTGGTCTGCAACATGTGATATATGTGAGGGAGGGGGAGAAAAATGGTCCTTTATTACAGATCCTAGAGAAGTATTGTTCTAGATTCTCATGACATGTGTACTAAATAAACCATGACAACAATCCAAAACATTCCACCAAAAATATTTTCCACCAATTCAGCATGTTCAAAAAGTTAGTGAAGAAAATATTTTAGCCACAGAATAGAACACAACCATTCTAGTCATTTCACACGTGTTATTTTAACAACTAGACTACACATTTTTCAAAGATAAGTATTTTGTGTTAATAATTTCAGTATCCACTACATTTCTAAGCTTGTACTAGAAAAATCATAGACTTTTATTACTCCCTGTTTACTTTTCATGGATTCTTAACTTTATTTACATGACTGAAGTAGGACACATAAGGCACATTTCCATAAAAATACTAAATGTTTACCAGTACGTTATTGTCTTACTTTACTTGCAGGTTAATCTTACAATGACTTCACCATACATGCACAGTCTCAAAGCTAAAAGGGCTCTAACTTCAACAGAAATAGCTAAGAATGTCACCTTTAAAAGAAACATGGAGACACCTTCAGCCCTCACCCAGAGTTTATTAACCAAAACTTGTGTGTAAATTAAACGTCTGGTTACAAACTTGGTTATCAATTGATTCAAAGAAAAGTTCTAGTTTTACAAGCTTGGTTATCAATAGATTAAAAATGAGGCTAGGAATATGCTAAAAGCAAACATGTCAAGAACAATAAAAGGTGACCAAAGTATTAAAAAAAAACAAAAGAGTCCAGCAGTCTAGAGGCCATTTAATGTAAAGTCAAACAGCCCAATACAACTCTGGAATACCCAAGGACAGCTATTTTTAAACACAGTTCAGGCTGAGCACGGTGGCTTATGCCTGTAATCCTAACACTTTGGGAGGCCAAGGCAGGAGGATTGCTTGTGCTCAGCAGTTTGAGGCCAGCCTGGAAAACAAAGTGAGACCATCACCTCTAAAAAAAAAAAGAAAAGAAAAAACATTAGCCGGGCGTGGCGGCATATGCCTGTAGTCCCAGCTACTCAGGAGCCTGAGGCAGGTAGATCATTTGAGCCCAGGAGGTTGAGGTTGCAGCGAGCTATGACTGGCCACTGTATTCCAGCCTAGATGACAGAGCAAGGTCCTGTCTCAAAGAAAAAAAAAACACACACACACAGACACAAACACACAAAACAAAACCCACACAGTTCAATAAGTGATTTTCACTTCGTTACATTTAATCATCAAGAAAACTTCAATTATGAATAATAAAATCTGGCCAATAAGGCATTCAATAGTATATACACATTATGAAATGCCTATCAAAAAAGTTGTGGCCAGGCATAGTGACTCACATCTGCAATCCCAGCACTTTGGGAGGCTGAGACAGGCAGATTGCTTGAGGCCAGGAGCTTGAGATCAGCCTGGCCAACATGGCGAAACCCCATCTCTACAAAAAATGCAATAACCAGCCAGGCATGGTGGCGCACACTGGTAATCCCAGCTACTCGGGAGGCTGAGGCACGAGAATGGCTTGAACTCAGGAGGTGGAGGTTGCAGTTAGCCAAGGTCGCGCCACTGCACTCCAGCCTGGGTGACACAGCAAGGCTCTGTCTCAAAAAAAAAAAAAAAATGTAATAAGGTATCAACATTTAAGCTTAAACTATTAAGTAACTATTATTTAAATTAGAGTCTACTATATTTTAAACACATTTTATTTACAGTATTTTTTTCTTAAATTTAAAATATAAGCAGGACTGAAAGTGGAATTTAACATACTGGCATTTATGGCATTTAAGCACATGAACTCACGTGACACATACAGACATACACATTCCCACAAACACTCATCCATTCAACATGTAACCTCAAGGGCCTTCTCAAGACTAAGCAAAAGGCATAGAAAAGGGGCCAGGCCTGAGGAGAAGAAACCAGTCATGTTATACTACTCTTTACCTTCCCCTGCAGCCACCTAACACACAAAATGAGCCTAAAGGGATTACGTATGAAGAGCAACGACAGTATTCTTAGAAAAGCAAACTCCAAGGATGGCAGAATATAATCAAAGTTTTCATAGACATACAGTCACAAAATAGAAAGTGCTAAACAGAAGACCCAAAATAAGAATCTGAAAAACATATAGCATAGTCAAGTCCATATTAATTTTGTTAATATCTGTAGAAACCACTGATACGGTTTGCATTTGTGTCTTCACACAAATCTCATGTTCCATTGTAATCCTCCATTGTTGGAGATGGGGCCTGGTGGGAGGTGCCTGGGTCATGGGGATGGATGATTGAATGGTTTACAACCACCCCTTTGGTGCTGTTCTCGTGATACAGAGTTGTCATGAGATCTGGTTGCTTAAAAGTGTTGCTTAAAAATGTGTGGCACCTCCCCCACCATTCCTTAATTAAGCTCCAGTCATCTAAGACACACCTGCTGTCCCTTCCCCTTCTGCCATAATTGTAAGTTTCCTGGGGCCTCCTAGAAGCAGAAGCTGCTATGCTTCCTGTACAGCCTGCAGAACCATGAGCCAATTAAGCCTCTTTTCTTTATAAATTACCCAGTCTCAGGTATTTCTTTATAGCAATGCGAGAACGAACCAATACAACCACTTAATATTACACACAGTCCAGTAGGTTTAAGAAACACAGAGATAATTTCCTAAGTGTTTACAGAAAAAAAGACTCAAAATAAGGTGCTGGCAGCAGAGATGCTAAAATACAATAGCCCTCTGCTTTGGCTTTCAAAGCCCAAAGCAATCTGGCCTTGCCTGACTACTCCCCAGCATTCCCAGCACCTCTGGGTACCTTCATGTATGTGCCTCTGCTGTCACCCTTACTGGAGTTCCCTCTTTTCTTCTCTGCATTTATCCATACCTTGTTCCTCCTTCAAGGTACAGCTCAAGTCTCATCTACTATAGGAAATCTTCCCTGGCCATTCCAGGTCCAAGTAATTTACCTCTTCTGTGACCTCCAACACCATTTAATTCATACTACACAGCTTGGCTCTTACTTATAATCTTAGAGTTGTTTCATGTACATTGGATTTTATCCTCTGCCACAGACCAATCAGGGACAAACCCATAGTACAGTAAAGACAGGTTTATTGATTCACCACAAGGAGGGACAATGCATATCAGAGAAACCATGGAGCATCTTGCTAAAGTAAAGGAGTTATTACAGAATTGGGGGAAAGGTGGAGCTCAGGTAAAATTTAAATGAAGAGGCTCAAACCAAAGCAAGGTGATATTTAAAGAGATCAATATCACGTTTGGACTATGAAGTAGACCAAGGGTCCTGTTTCCTTGAAAACAACAGAATCATCATATCTATGGACTACTGTGTTCAGAAACCTCGTCTCTGAAGCTCTGCACCTGAGTTGGTAAACCAAAGCTGCTTCTCTGTGTCACAGTGACTTGGGTTGTCCAAGTAAATGTGGGATGTTTTATCTTACTAACACAATTTCAAACAGTGAAGTTTCTGATGGTCTGTGATTTTAGAAACCAAAGTTTCTCAGTGAGTTAAAAAAAAAAAAAAAAAGCAGTCATCCAAAGAAGGGGGTTATGACATTTTATAACTATAGACTAACCTTAGGAGAAATTCCTATTAATTTTAAATCCAGTTTTACGTGATTTGTTACTCCAGCTGACGAATGGCAGGGTGGATGTTTACAGTCCAGTCCAAGCTAATTTTTACTTTTTCATTCATCAATGAGACAGACAGCAACCTCCTCAAAGGCCAAAAACATTTTGATATTTGTTTGTATCCTAAATAAAACTGAGCAGTGCTAAGTGCATAAGCAGATGCTACAGAAACGCTGTTTGCTATCTGATTGATGGATAATGAAGTTTTAAATAACCAAAGCTACAGGTAATTATAATTTTAAAGCCTTATAGCCTTATAAACTCCTTTAAGTAGTCTATGTAGAGAAGACAAAAACAAAAAACAAGAGATTGTAAGAAGGGGGGCAGATTTCTTACCCACAACACCAAAAGCTGAAACCGCTCGAAATAAGCCCGAGGATCCTTTCTGTCCCATCTTTGTTCTATTTCCAAGATCCAAGCGGCCAAGAAGTTCCCTTACTTCTTGTTGAGTATAGACATGCTAAGAATAAGCACATTTACTCTGTAAGGTTGTGCTTAAACTTTAGATTATTTATTATTTGTGCCTGAAAGTTAAAAAGTTACCTACAAGCATCATCAGCTATTTCATACAGAAGTATATAATAGTACACAAGTAAGCTACAATTTTAAAAAGCTAACAAGTTCTTTAACATTAGCAATTAAGGTTGGTTATTGGATCATGCTGCTATACTAAAAAAAATGTCCAAACCTTATACTCTAAACCAGAGATGCAGAGATTTAAGGGATCTACAGGTAAATTTCAAGAGTCCATGAATCCCTTAAAACTATGTGCAAAATTTTGAGTAAATGTGCATCTTTAACGAGAAGGCCCATAGATTTTCTTAACATTTCAAAGGGCTCTCTGACCAATTGCTCCGATCTCCAAATAAAGCCAAGAACCATTACATTATATTGTTAAAAATGCTCAGATAGGTGGGGAGCAGAATGGACCCCAGGAGTAGCATGGGAAATCGTAACAAAGAATTTATCTAAAATTATTACAACACAGAAAATAGTTTTGTTACAAGTAGCTTAGTGAAAATGGATTCCAAACTGTAGTTACTACATATTTGAGAAACCAGGAATCTTTATGGATTCCGAAATAGTCACAGACAGGAATTTCAACACAAAAGATAACTTGAGTTCTTTTGTGTGAACAGTTAAACTTAACTGTTCAAACCACCATATAGTATTTCACTTTTGACTAACAGCTTCAGGTTTTTGTGCCATCTGAATTCCAGCCTCTGTATTCTTGACTCTGGATAATCTAACTCTGGATAAGAACAGCTTAACATTTCCTTAGTGTATAGCAAATCATCAGTAAAGGTCCTAGAGGTGATTTTTAGGAGGAAAATAAAGTCTGTAGCATAGAAGTCCTCCCTGACTTCAAGTAGCTTGATATTAAAGAACCATAACAGATCGTCTCTTTGGCAGATACAATATTAAGTTACACTGAATCCTTAAAATGTCAGCCCTCTTTAAGAAACAATACTCATTATCTTATCCTAAGAGTGTGTTTTCGAAAACAAGTCAAAACGAGGGGCAAAGTATAATTCTGGCGTACTTCTTGACACCAGTGATTTCTAGAAATCAGATTGGAGATTCAAATTCTAGCCAACCAAGAAAAATAACGGAAACTTTTAGATTTATGATAAAAATAATATATCACTAAAAACTGTAAGGATATTTCATGTCCTTTAAACAACAGGTATGAAAGTTTTTTTGCAGTCAGGTTTGGAGGATACTTACCCTGTCATCAATTATGACCAAATCTTTTGGTTCTGTTCTATCAATCTTCAAGACACGATATTTCGTTTCTGCATTATTGCTCCCAACTAGAAAGTATCTCTATAAATAAAAAGGAATGTCATTAGTTTATCAAAGCATTTTGCCCTATACACATTTTATACCACTTTAGTTTTTGAAATTAAATACATTAATAAAGTCAGGTTACTTTTTAAAGAAATATTTCTGTTATGTATAACTGGCAGATTAAAGAAAAGCTGACTCCAAAAGGTCAATTTTAAAATTAAAATATTCCTAGTGGTTTCATGATAAAGATCAGTCTGATGTCTGAAATGTGCCCAGTAACCAGGTCAGATGAATTTAATTGTCATAAATTTAGAGATTAATCTAACTGATTGGAGGCTGATGTTTAAGCTTTACCAGGAAGAAGCTCTGGTAAAAATTCTAAAGCTCAACATATAATTAGGAACGCTTAGGCAATTATAGCTACTAAAGTACTGACAGCTTATCAAAAAACTACTTACAAATTTTCATAAATGTCTGCAAATGTCTTTAATATAGTAACTATAAAATCTACCCAAAAGTCCCATAAATGATTAAAATGGTTGTCCTTCCCAAATGACCTTTTATAGATAAGCTACAAGAAATTATCATCATTCTTTCTTTCCTAAAACAGTTCCTTGGAGCGTTCTGACTAAACACAATCACATTAGTCTTATTAAATAAATACTGAAGGGGTGCTGGGCAAGATGGCTGACTAGAGGCAGCCAGGCGGAACAGCTGCCACCAAGGGACCAGGACAACTGGAGCACTCCTAACAGATCTTCAGAGGGAAGGCACTGAGAGTGGTGGAGGGAAGACACAGAAGCTGGGCTGAAGAGGGAAGAAGCTGGGAACCCTGCATGGGACTACCATGCACTGGCATTCATTCCTGGCCCCCAGTGACTCTGGGGGAATGGGTGAGTTGAACTGGTAAGGAGAAACTTACTCTCGCCAAGGCCTCTGGAATCCTGACAGAAGGAGACTCCCTGACCATCACAGACACTCGAGTTGGCAGGAAGAGCTGCTCAGAGAAGTGGTAGGGGCAACACGCTGGCTTATGCAGAGCCCAGAGGGTTTGGTATGGGAGCGTTTGTAGTGGAGCACAGCCAGGGACACTCATCCCCCTAGGGTTGACTTGTTCCCATAGGAGACTTTAGCCCTAGGGGAACTGTCGGACCTGAACTCTGCAGGGCGCTCTTGCCCATCAGACTGGACAGTCAACCTGAGCACCCCTTGGTCTGCTGACCTCTCTCCCAGGGCCCCAGCCCTGCTTGCAGGGAAGCCTTAGGTGTCCTGGGGGCCTGCATCAGAGACCCTGTGCTGGTGGACTGGCACCTGATTGGTGAAGAGCTCTAGTGGGGTGGCCCCCATGGCCACCCAGCAGCCCACCCTCTCCCTCCCTCCACTGCAGCTTCCCGCAGGCTCACTGCCACTTCCAACATCACTCTGCCAACATGTGTGTGCGCAGGTGGGTTTTGTCTTCCTTGCCCTACCAGTGCACGTGTGCGCATGTACCCTGTCCTGCCACTGCTGCAGTTGGGGGTGCAATCCACCTCCCTCCTTCAGCTGCACTGCCATTGCAGCTGGAGCCTTGGTGGGCACAGAGCCAGCCTGCCCCGTCCTCATCCCACCCCTGTGCCAATGCTGCCATGGGAATGAAACTATGCACAGAGGCCAGTGGACCTTCCCCAGCCCTCAGTGACCACCACTGCCTGCAGCACACAGAGAGTGTATATAGACCTGCACCTACCAGTGCCCTGCCCCTGTGCTAACAGGATCACCATGATGACTGCATGCACAGTCACCAGCAGGGCCTCCCCCGCCCCCTCAGCCATGCTGCCTCTGCTGCTGCTGTGAATGCCCACATGGAGGCAGGCACCTGCTGGCATCCTGCTGCAGCCACCATGCTTTCGCTGCCACTGGCACATGCGAATGAGGACATATCCCACCGCCACCGCACCATGAAATGCTTTGGCTGACACCACCCATCAAAGCATAGTGACCAGCAGTCACTACACGTTGGCACCCTCAGCGCATCGGATACCTAACCTCGAGGAGCCAGAGAACAAAGTCAGAGCCCAATACGAGTATTCCAGAGTTAGAGCACACAGTCCAGGAGTTGGCAGCTGAACGTTGGCCCCCTATAATCTTCCAGAAACAATACCTGTCGACTGAATCCACCTGATCCCACAATCGAACCCTTAAGGTCATCAAATAGGATAAAAGAAAAAAAGGCCATATAAAGGTCAACAGCTTCAAAGATTGAAGAAACATTAGCCCACAAAGATGAGAAAGAACCAGTGCAAGAACTCTGACAACTCAAAAAGCCAGAAGTGCCTTTTTTCCTCCAAAACAACTGCACTTTTCTCCAGCAAGGGTTCTGAACCTGGCTGAGATGGCTGACATGACAGAAATAGAATTCAGAATAGGAATAGAAATGAAGTTCATTGAGCTACAGGAATATGTTGAAACCCAATCCAAGGAAGCTAAAAATCATGATAAAACATGACAGACAAAATAGCCAGCATAGAGAACATTTCTGACCTGATAGAACTGAAAAACATACTACAAGAATTTCATAATGTAATCACAAGTACTAATAGCAGAACAGACCAAGCGGAGGAAAGAATCTCAGAGCTTGAAGACTGGCTTTCTGAAATAAGACAAGAATAGAGAAAAAAAAAGAATGAAAAGGTATGAACAAACCCTCTGAGTAATGTGGGATTATGTAAAGAGACTGACTCTACGACTCACTGGTATACCAGAAAGAGAATGGAACCAACTTGGAAAACATATTTCAGGATATCATCCATGAGAAATTCCCCAACCCATCTAAAGAAGCCAACATTCAAATTAAAGAAATGCAGAGAACCCCAGTCAGATACTCACTAGAAGATCATCCCCAAGGCACATTATCATCATATTCTCCAAGGCCAAATGAAAGAAACAATGTTAAAGGCAGCTAGAGAGAAAGGTCAGGTCACCTACAAAGGGAAGCCCATCAAACTAACAGTGGACCTCTCAGCTGAAGCCCTAAAAGCCAGAAGAGATTGGGGGCCAATATTCACCTTCTTGAAGAAAAGAATTTCCAACTCAGAATTTCATATGCAGCCAAACCAAGCTTCGTAAGCAAAGGAGAAATACATCCTTTTCAGACAAACATGCTGTGGGAATTTGTTACCACCAGAACTGCCTTGCAAGAGCTCCTGAAAGAAGCACTAAATACGGAAAGGAAAGACCATTCTCAGCCACTAGAAAAACACCCTGAAGTACACAGACCAATGACACTATAAAGCAACCACATAAACAAGTGTGCAAAATGACCGCTAACATCCTGATGATAGGTTCACACGTATCAATTCTAACCTTGAATGTAAATGGACTAAATACCCCATTTAAAAGGCACACAGTGGCAAACTGGATAAAGGACTAAGACCCATCAGTATGCTGTCTTCAACAGACCCATCTTACATGCAATGAAACCCACAGGCTCAAAATAAAGGGACAAAGTAAAATCTATCAAGCAAACGGGAAACAGAAAAAAGCAGGGGTTGCAATTCTAGTTTCTGACAAAACAGAGTTAAAACCAACAAAGCTTTAAAAAAAAAGACAAAGAATGGCATTACATAATGATAAAGGGTTCAATTCAACAAGAAGATATAACTATCCTAAATATATATGCACCCAACACAGGAACACTCAGATTAATAAAGCAAGTTTTTTGTTTTTTGTTTTTTTTGAGATGGAGTCTTGCTCTGTCGCCCAGCCTGGAGTGCAGTGGCGCAATCTCGGCTCACTGCAAGCTCCACCTGGGTTCATGCCATTCTCCTGCCTCAGCCTCCTGAGTAGCTGGGAATACAGGTGCCTGCCACCACGTCCAGCTAATTTTTTTTATTTTGTTTAGTAGAGACGGGGTTTCACCGTGTTAGCCAAGATGGTATCGATCTCCTGACCTTGTGATCCACCCATCTCAGCCTCCCAAAGTGCTGGGATTACAGGCATAAGCCACCACACCTGGCCATAATAAAGCAAGTTTTTAGAGACCTTCAAAGAGACTTAGACTCCCACACAATAATAGAGGGAGACTTTAACACCACACTGACAATAGTAGACAGATCATCAAGACAAAATTAACAAGGATACTCAACATCAGAGCTGAACTGAAGGAGACTGAGACACGAAAAACCATTCAAAAGGTCAATGAATCTGGCAGCTATTTTTTTTTTTTAAAAACTAATAAAGTATATAGACCGGAGGCTAGACTAGTAAAGAAAGAAGATTCAAACAAACACAATCAGAAGCAACAAGGGGGATATTAACGCTGACCCCACAGAAATACTAACAACCATCAGAGAATAGTATGAACACCTCTATTCACATACACTAGAAAATCTAGAAGAAATAGATAAATTCCTGGACATATACACCGTCCCATGACTGAACCAAGAAGAAACTCAATCCCTGAACAGACCAGTAATAAGCTCTGAAACTGAGGCAGTAATAAATAGCCTACAAGCAAAAAATGACAACAACAACAACAAAACAAAAATCCAGGTCCAGACAGATTCCAAGCTGAATTCTAGAAGATGTACAAAGAAGAACTAGTACCATTTCTACTGAAACTATTCCAAAAAAACTGAGGAGGAGGGACTCCTCCCTAACTCATTCTATGAGGCCAGCATCATCCTGATAACAAAACCTGTTAGAGATACAACAAAAAAAGAAAACTTCAGGCCAATATCCTTGTGAACACCAATGCAAAAATCCTCAACAAAATACTGGCAAATCGAATCCAGCAGCACATCAAAAAGCTTATCCACTACGATCAAGTAGGCTTTATCCCTGGGATGCAAGGTTGGTTCAACATATGCAAATCAATAAATGTGACTCACCATATAAACAGAACTAAAGACAAAAATCACATGATTATCTCAATAGACCCAGATGCTTTCAATAAAATTCAACATCCATTCATGTTAAAAACTCAATAAGCAAGGTATCGAAGGAACATACCTCAAATTAATAAAAACCATATATGACAAACCCACAGCCAACATCATACCAAATGGCCAGAAGCTGGAAGCATTCCCCTTGAAAACTGGCACAAGACAAGAATGTCTTCTCTCAACACTCCTATTCAATATAGTATTGCAAGTGCTGGTCAGGGTAATCGGGCAAGAGAAAGAAATAAAAGGTATCCAAATAGGAAGAGAGGAAGTCAAACTATCCCTTTTTGCAGATAATATGATTCTATTTCTAGAAAACCCAACAGTCTCAGCCCAAAGGTTCTTAAGCTGATAAACAACTTCAGTAAAGTCTAAGAACACAAAATCAATGTGCAAAAATCACTAGCATTCCTATACACCAACAACAGTCAAACTAAGAGCCAAATCAGGGACAAACTCCCATTCACAATTGCCACAAAAAAGAATAAAACACCTAGGAATACAGCTAACTAGGGAGGTGAAAGATCTCTACAAGAACTACAAACCACTGCTCAAAGAAATCAGAGATGACACAAATAAATGGAAAAACATTCCATGTTCATGGATAGGAAGAATCAATATTGTGAAAATGGCCATACTGCCCAAAGCAATTTACAGATTCGATGCTATTCCTATTAAACTACCACTGACATTTTTCACAGAACTAGAAAAAACTATCTTAAAATTCATATGGAACCAAAAAAGAGCCCAAATAGCCAACACAATCCTCAGCAATAAGAACAAAGCTGGAGGCATCATGCTACCCAACTTCAAGCTACACTACAGGGCTAAAGTAACCAAAACAGCATGGTACTGGTACAAAAACAGACACGCAGACCAATAGAACAGAATAGAGAACCCAGAAATAAGGCCACACATCTACAACTATCTAGTCTTTGACAAACCTTACTAAAACAAGCAATGGGGAAAGGATTCCCTATTCAATAAATGATCCTGGGAGAATTGGCTAGCCATATGCAGAAGATTGAAACTGGACCCCTTCCTTACACCACATACAAAAATTAACTCAAGATGGATTAATGTCTTAAATGTAAAACCCAGAAGTACAAAAACTCTGGAAGACAATATAGGCAATACCATTCAGGACATAGGCACAGGCAAAGATTTCATGATGAAGATCCAAAAGCAATTGCAACAGAAGCAAAAAATGACAAATGGGATCTAATTAAACTAAAGAGCTTCTGCACAGCAAAATAAACTATCAAGAGAGTAAACAGACAACTTACAGAATAAGAGAAAATTTTTACTAACGATACATCTGACAGAGATCTAATATCCACCATCTGTGAGGGACTTAAACAAATTTACACGAAAAAAAATCATTAAAAAATGGGCAAAGGACATGAACAGACACTTTTCTAAAGAAGACATACATGCAGCCAACAATCATATGAAAAAAAAGCTCTGCATCACTGATTATTAGAGAAATGCAAATCAAAACCAAAATGAAAGCCCATCTCACACCAGTCAGAATGGCTATTACTAAAAAGTCAAAAAACAACAGATGCTGGAAAGGTTGCAGAGAAAAAGGAACACTTATACACTGTTAGCAGGAATGTATATTAGTTGAACCATTGTAGAAGACAGTGTGGCAATTCCTCTAAGACCTAAAGACAGAAATATCATTCGGCCCAGCAATCCCATTACTGGGTATACACTCAAAGGAAGAGAAGTTGTTCTATTATAAAGACACATGCACGTGTATGTTCACTGCAGTACTGTTCACAATAGCAAAGACATGGATTCAACCTAAATGCCCATCAGTGATAGACTGGATAAAGAAAATGTGGTACATATATACCATGGAATACTATGCAGCCATAAAAAAGTCCTTTGCAGGAACATGGATGGAGCTGGAGGCCATTATCCTTGGCAAACGAATGCAAAAACAAAAAACCAAATACTGCAAGTTCTCACTTACAAGTGGGATGAGAACACATGGACACACAGAGGGAGCAACAGACACTGGGGTCTTTTGGAGGGTGGGAGGAGGGAGAGGATCAGGAAAAATAACTAGTGGGTAGTAGGCTTAATACCTGGGTGACAAAATAATCTGTACAACAAACCCCCATGACACAGGTTTACCTAGGTAACAAACCTGCACATGTATCCCAAACTTAAAAGTAAAAAAAAAAAAAAGAATACTGAGAATAAAATGAATAATCAAAATGTAGAAAAATATATTTAAATGAAAATGCTTTTAAGAAAAACTAAATGAAATGAATTATTCTAAAATTATATCTAAAAAATAAGTACTTCATTAGCAAAAATAAAGATATTTCGCTTCAAAAAGTCCTTTAAAAAGTGACACTTTTTAAACATTGCAAAAATTGAGAAAACACTGCCATAATCAACTCACATTGTGCCATTTACTATTGGACATATAAGGTGTAGATACACAAAGCAACTAAATAACAAACAAGTCTTTCGATATTAAAGGCCAAAATGAAGCATGTAGACCATAGGAAATCAGC
This sequence comes from Homo sapiens, assembly GCF_000001405.40. Classification (NCBI taxonomy): domain Eukaryota; kingdom Metazoa; phylum Chordata; class Mammalia; order Primates; family Hominidae; genus Homo; species Homo sapiens. The sequence goes on along the minus strand of NC_000006.12, from coordinate 109,707,657 downwards.
GCAGGAAAGATTAATGTGGCTTACTATAGATGAGAAAAATGTCAGACAAGTTGGGTCTAGAATTGAACCTTCAAGAATAGGTAACACTTTAAAAGGTAAGAATTTACTGTATATTACAACATGAACACTTGGATATACTGTTTTAACTTTAAATCTGTAGAAATACATGGAATTTTTACTATTAAGTATATATATGTGTATATATGTGTATATATATGTATATATATGTATATATGTATAGGTATATATGTATATGTATGTATACATATGTGTATATATGTATATATATATACACGTATATATGTATGTATATATGTATATATATACCTATACATATATATATACACATACACACACACACACACATATATATATATACACACACACACACATCAGTTTATAAAGGCCTGATTTACTGATAAGTTATGAAGAGCAAAACAATCTGTTAAAAATGATGGGTTAGCCTGACCTCAAGAAGAAAGCTAGTCAAGAAATTCAATCCCACATCTCCTAGGAGAGGTACAGTCTAGATGACACTATGAGTTATAATGAGGTAGAAATAAAGCAATTATAATAAAAATTAGTAAACTAAGTTGGGACATCCAGTGACAGGATTCGATGTACTGGGGGTGCAGTTAGACAGACAGGCAAACAGGAAGAGAAAGGAAGTCAAAGAATCTCAGCCAGGCTTCAGCTAATTCCTGTCCCTGACACCCTACCCACCACTGAGAGGAGAGGGGGTAACCAATCTAACAGCGTTCACCTAAGAAGAATGGTTTGTAAACTATACGTGCTTGTTAGCAGAAAAGGGAGCCCTTCTTGAGGACTTAAAAAATGGCTTCTAGGAGAGGAAATAGCAATTGCAAAGAACTGAAAAGGGAAGAAGATGGTATGTTTGTTACAGGCACAAGAATAAGCGAGAAAATGTTCGTTCACAAAGCACCTAACACAGTGACCACAGCAGTCAGCACAAAAAAGACACTCAATAAGTGTTAGTTCCTTTTCTGTCCTTCACTTTGTAAGATGTCAGTGAGACTATGCCATTGTATTTGAGGAAAAAGACAAACGCCAGAGGAAAACAGAGAGTAGCCCAAAGGGAGGAAAGCATGTTCAGGACCAGAATGGACTCACAATGGGAAAATGCGCCAATCTGTTAGTAGTCAGTCTATGTCCTCGGGAGAGAAGAGCATGCAAATTGACAATCATGAATAGCATGCTATAACAGAGGCATGAACTAGATGCCATGAGAACACAGGAAGGGCATTTGACTTATCTGGGGATGGTCAGAGCAGGCTGGTGTTGTCCTGATTCTGAATTTGGCCTTGAGGAACCTCTAAGCAGGACTTTGGGCACTGAGCCAAGACAAGGCCAGTGAACCACCCATGTCCACCTGCACCAATCCCTACTCATCACCTGTTCTCCCCAAAGCACTTTTGTTTCTACCTAAATGTAGTACTTACTTCTGAAAGTCTTGTCTAAATTTGTTTGGGGCTTGTCTGCCCCCTACTATAAGCACCTCGGGAGACTGGGGCTAACTCCTTAACCTCTGTGGATTTTAATTTCCTAGTCTAGTAGCACAATATGGTGCCTCAGGCATTAGCTAAGTGTTAGGTGAAAGAACAACTATGTACCACAGAGTAATCATTTCATGTGCTGGGTAATTTTCTAAGACATTTACACTAACCCAGCTTTTCTGGGTAAGCACATAGAAAAATGGCTCTTTTAAGTCAACCACTCAGTAAGGAGGAACATCCTAGGTTTAAAAGAGGTAAAATCCCTAAATGAAATTCCCTAGAATTTTATTTTTTAATTTTAACTTCTATTTTAGGTTTGGGGGTATATGTGAAGGTTTGCTACATAGGTAAACTCATGTCACAGGGGTTTGTTGTACAGAATTTTAATAAATCCTACGAAACCTAAAGATTAATTGCAATGGGATGATACTTTGGCAGTTTGTGATTTTAAAAACAGATATAAATCCTGACATGCTCATGGGCAAATGCATTATTGGACTTCGAAACACATACTTAGGAAGGCAGATCTGTACTTCCAATATCTAGATCCTTCCAAAGAATCCATGAATCAGAGGAGCCAAAGGCTAAAACCCACAGAATCTGGAAATAGATCAGAGTGGAGGGAAAGAAATGGGAAGCACTATACCTACCCGCATTCTCTCTCTTCTCAAACAGTCTAAGAATCCTAAAAACGTTTTGTGCAGAGAATAGCGACCTCATGTGGAGCCAGTTATGAGGGAAAGAAAACCCCTGCTTTTCAGCTGGCCTACTGTAGACCGCGGAATCACTGCCTGCACTGCCCTCTGGTGGGCAGCTGACCATCCACTTTCACACCAATTTTTTAAGAGGTAACTTCCAGAAAGGCCTTGTTTCTACTCGTTCTTATTTCCTTCCTATTGAATATATCAACACTGTATATCCTCAGCCTTTGTTACATTTAATAGTATGCTTCAAAATGGACCTCAGCATTTTGGGGATTAAAAATTTCCCTAAAGTTTCCCTCCACTAAATTTTTCTCCACTGTTGATTTTTTTCCCAATTTTTAATTTAAAAAAATCTTCAAAGACAACAGAACAGTACAACGAACACCCATATACCCTTCATCTAGACTCACCAACTGTTAACATTTTGTTGCATTTGTTTTCTCCCTCCCCCACTCCTGATAGATGCTTTCTTCCTCTGAACCTCTGGAAATGAGTTGCAGGTATCGTAACACATAATCATAATATCATCAATACAATATATATGTACAATTTATATTCCAATTTTCCCCCCATCTCCCTATAATACCCTCTATAGCTGGATTTGATAAAGCCAGAATCTAATCAAGGATCATGTACTACCTATCTTTATGTAAAGTTATGTTACATCTTTTTAAATCTTTTAATCTAGAATAGTTCATCAGGCTTTGTTTTTCATGACTTCCCCATTTTTAAAGAGCCTACTTTTTTTTTTTTTTTTTTTTTTTGAGATGGAGTCTCACTCTGTCACCCAGGCTGGAGTGCAGTGGTGTAATCTTGGCTCACCAGAACCTCTGCGTCCTGGCTTCCCAGGTTCAAGCAATTCTCCTCCCTCAGCCTCCCAAGTAGCTGGGATTACAGACGTGCACCATGACACGTGGCTAATTTTTTTTGTTGTTGTTGTATTTTTAGTAGAGACAGGGTTTCGCCATGTTGGCCTGGCTGGTCTTGAACTCCTGACCTCAAATGATCCACCTGCCTTGGCCTCCCAAAGTGCTGGGATTACAGGCATGAGCCACCATGCCTGGCCCCAAGCCCACATTTTTTTACATACATTTTCTTGGTGTTTCTATTGATGTCACTCATTGGACCACTGACTAGTAAATGCCTCATATGTGTCAGGCACTAGGCTCGATGCCTGAGGAAAAAGATAAACTGAAGATATATTTTGGATATATAACTTACTGGTAGATGGGATCAGGAAGGAGAGTAATAGATCCAATTACCTTTAAGCAGATAGCTAGATGATGGTGCCACTTACTGATGTCGAGATGACTGGAGAAGAAACAGGTTTGAAGGGAAACCAAGAGTTCTGTTCACAACATGCCCAGAGAGGCCAAGTGAGAACTCAGTGGGTAAAAGAGCTCAGTGGGTGCCATCAGCATGTATGCAGCATTTAAAGCCATGGGACTGGGTTAAACCTACTAGAGAGAGTAGGGAGAGTGACGAGAGCCCAAAAAAGCTAGCCTGAGGAACTCCATTATTTAGAGGCTGGATACGGAGAAGGAACCAGCTGAGAAGATTGGGAGGAATGGCTGGTGAATGAGAAAACCCCAGCACGAGGTGGACTCGTCAAAGCAAAGAAAGATCATCTGGGAAAGGAGAAAGCAGTCACATCAGATGCTGCTGAGAAGTCAAGTCGATAAGGACAGAGCATCTGATGACAGGCGCTTGTGAGTGGCCCTTCTGTGGGCAGTCTCAGGGACAGAGAGGGGGCAAGATCCACAACAGAGATGTCTGAGGTGCAAAACAGGTAGAATCCTGGATAAAGATGGAGGAGTGGACACCTCTGGTCCTCCCAAACATCTTACTAAAACCATAGTAAAGTTTTTTATGTTTGTTTTTAGGCTCAAGCCCCAAGAGCAAAAGGAGGAACAAAGAAGATAAAGGAGAAAAATAAAAACCATTTGAAACTGAAAAGCATGTGTAACAAAGCTGACTCCTAAACTGGCAATGGTAAAGTCAAGAAGCAATCCAATTTACACAATAGAACCTCCAAAAGGCTTGGGAATTTGAAGCCCCTGATACCTCTGTAGTGTCAGAAGAAGATAAAAAGAAGAGAGCACAAAAAGAAGTTAGCACAGCTTCTGAAAAGAAAAAAAAACAAGCTTCAAACTAAAGATCAAGAACAGAGTAACATTAGAAGCTCTCAGCAACAATGCTGGAAGGTGGAAGAGAATGACATAAGGCCTTCAAAACTCTAAAGGAAAATTCATTCCAATCCTTAATTCAGTATTTATTTTATCAATCAAACCTGAGGGTGGCATAGGACATTTTTAGATACTCATGGGCTTAAAAAAAAAATGAACTTCTATGAACCCTTTCTCATGAAGTAATTAAAGGAAGTACTCTACCAAAACGAGGCCATAATCAAGAAACAGGAAGTGATGGGATCCAGGAAAACAGGGAAACTGTCATAGAGAGTATGATATAGGGTAACGGTGAAGGGAAACCCCAGAATGGCGGCTGTAGTGCAGGCCTTGGGAGCATCCAGTCCGGACTAAAGCCATTGCTTCAAGATGAAACCCAGAAGAATACTTAAGGGGTGTGAATGTGTTGAGAGATTTTTACATCTAGGGGAAAGTCAGGGTTCAATTTATTACAAATTTGTAGTAAGAACTAGGGATTGAAAGAAGACAGAAAAGTCATCTCAAGTATTGGCAGAGTCTGAAGAAGCAAAGGGCCCCTAGTTCAAATGGTAGGGAAAGGAGATAAATAAAATATCCAAGAATAGGGAAGGAAAGGGAGCAGTAACTGGAGCACACAGGATTTCCATAGATCAGGCATGCCTCAGCCAGACTCCCTAAAGGCATATATACATGCAAGTAGGTGCCTACGAATCAACACCACTAGGGAAAAGGTTTGTGTATTTGTAGATATGCTGGGGCTTGGGATTTGGCAGGAGTTCAGGTGGAGAATTAGGATACCAAAGAGAAAAGCTACATTGAAATAATACCTGTTAAGATAGAAGATGAGCTAAGCTGGCTCTCTTCTGAAAGTTAAGTGTCATTGTTCAGGCAAAAGCTTACAATTTCAATATAGCTTTAATAGAGGTGACTTGGTATAAAGATGAGTATTTCTAAAATATATATGTGAAATCCAAATAGAATACAATAGGTAATCCATTTAACAGGAAATTCAGTATCTACTAACATTATCTTCTTTTATAATGACAGGCTAATTAATCACTCACTTTTCATCTGAGGGAGGAAAATCAGCCTTCTTGAAAGAAATTTTAGGTTGTATGACAGCTTCAATTCATGTTAAACTTCACCTGAACTTTCAGATTAAATGTATTATTTGTAAAGAGCACCATGAAGTTGCTTCTCCCAATCTAACAGTATTGCAAGCCTGCCTCCTCACTTAGTCCAGTAATCCCAGTAATTGGGTAATGCCGCCCAGAAGGGGGAAGTGAGTCTCAAGAGAGGTCTGCAAGTCTATCCATTTGACCTTCAGGGCTTTACTCTGGGGAAGCTTCAAATCCTCTGTAGAAACAAATGTGAATGTCACCTCCAACCACACACTCTAAACCAGTTATTAATATAATCGCTATGTTTCTCTCTCTCACTTTATATACTTTGGTTTCCTTTTCCAATCCTTAGTCAACTACACCCTATATTGCTCTCTCCCATTCACTGATTACACAAATCAAGGCTAATTAAGAAAGGTGCATTTCCTCACCATGTGGTTCTTGTTTTATTCTACTTTCTGTGATGGGGGTGGGAGGGAGCTTCCTTAAATCCTTTTGGAACAAGGCAGGCAATAAATGCATACATATATGCTAACAATCTTGAACAAGTAAGAGTAAAAATTATCCTAACAACTTTCATCTCCCCGTCCCCTGCTAAATAGACACATGCAGACCTAGTTCTGTTTAGCTACCAATTTTAACGTCAACTATTATGTGTTCATTTCTTTGTTATGAAATGGTCACTTATTGTGATGCTAAGGTCCCTATGTCATCACATATTAAGCAAGGGCACCTTCTTGTAAAGGCAAACTGCAATTTCACCCAGGATAACTTCAGGTTGCTGAATCTCTGCTGGAAACTCCTAGTTGCACTGGGCTGTATGACTGTTAGTGCTGCGTTAGGCCTGGGCCACAAGGCATATTAGGACCACAGACGAGTCACAAGAGCTAAGGAGCATATTGAAGGTGCTAGGTGCCAAAAAGAATAGGTTAGTTTGGGAAAGGGCCAACCCTCACAAGCTAGAACTACACTTCCTGCATGTCATCTGCCAACACAGCTCCCTTTCCTCTCCAAATATTCCTCAAAATCCACCTCTATACACAGAGAACAATAACGACCTGAACTTCGCCTCCAGAGCAAGTCTACCCAATTATATTTCTAAATGAAGGCTCAGGACAAGAGACAGCCCATCTTGTCCACTGGCTCTTTTGCTTCTTAATGTGTCTCCTAATTCCTTTATAACTAATTAAAGGTAGAGTGTCCCTTATCTGAAATGCTTGGAACCAGAAGTAAATCAGATTTTCTGTTTTCTTAGATTTTGAAAATATACATAATGAGCTATCCTGGGGATGGGACCCAATCTAAACATAAAATTCATTTATGTTTCATATACACCTTATAGACATAGCCTAAAGGTAGTTTTACACAATGTCTTAAATAATTTTGTGCATGAAACAAAGTTTGTGTACACTGAACCATCAGAAAGCAAAGACATCACTAGCTCAGCCACCCATGTGGACAATCCACAGTTGTTGGCATTACCACTTGTGGTGTCATGTCATGTCCAAAAAAATTTTGGATTTTGGAGCATTTCAGATTTCATATTTTCAGATTAGGGATACTCAACCTCTAATACACCCCCACCAACCAAAATAAGAATGCCCATTTCTTTCAAATACTTCCCAGCAACGGCTTTGGCAAATCTTTGCCATTCTAACAGGGGGAAAAAGGGAATCTATTTTCATTTTATTGCTTTAATTATTTGCAAGTTGAACATTTTTTCATATTCAAACTTCTTTTTAGTGAGCTACTTGTTGATATCCTTGTCCTTTTTATTGGGTGTTTTATTTTTCAGATTGATTTTATAAGATATTTTTGCATGTAAGGATATACTGCTTTATCTGTTGTTCAGGCTACTAAGACTTTCACCATCTGTCATTAATCTTTTGACTACTTTTAAATTTACATTGATAGTTTTAAATGTTTTATATTAGAAAAAAATTAAGTCAACGGCATAAATTTCTATCTTATGAAGCTAGAGAAAGATAAGTTGATTGCTATGGTATACATGTCTGTGTCCTCCCAAACATTTAAAATTCATATGTTGAAACCTAATCCTTAATGCAATAGTATTCAGAAGTGGGACTTTTTGGAAGTGATTCAGTCCTGAGAGCAGAGCCCTCATGAATGGGGATAGTGCACTTATGAAAGAGGTTCAAGGAAGCCTTATTTGCTCCTTCCATTGTGTGTGGACACAGCAGGTCCTCACCAGACACTGGATCTGCCAGTGCCTTGATCTTGGACTTACCAGCCTCCAAACTGTGAAAATCGTAAGCCAACTAGTTGATGGGATTTTGTTACAGCAGCCTGAACGGAATAAGACACTGATTAATCCAAAATGCACATGAGAGGCCAGGCACGGTGGCTCACACCTGTAATCCCAGCACTTTGGGAGGCCGAGGCAGGCAAATCACTTGAAGTCAGGAGTTCGAGACCAGGCTAGCCAACATGGTGAAATCCTGTCTCTACCGAAAATTCAAAAAATTAGCTGGGCATGGTGGCGTGGGCCTGTAGTCCCAGTTACTTGGGAGGCTAAGGCAGGAGAATCACTTGAACCCAGGAGGCAGAGGCTGCAGTGAGCCGAGATCGAGCCACTGCACTCCAGCCTGGGCGACACAGCAAGACTCCGTCTCAAAAAAAAAAACAAAAAAAAAACAAACAAAAAAAAACCGCGTATGAGGAAAAAAAATAAGCCTAGGAGCAGAAATTAATTAACCAGAAAATACACAATATAGAAAATTAACCAAGTCAAAAGTTTATTCTTTCAAATCCCTAGCAAGATGAATCAAAGCAAAATCAAAGAGAACACAAAACACCAATGTCAGAAATAAAAGTGAAAATTTTACTACAAATCCTATAGACATCAAAAGGATTATAAGGGAATATTATGGGCAACTTAATGCCAATAAATTCAACAACTAAGATAAAATGAACAAATTCCTGGAAAAATATAATTTGTCAAAACTGATTCTAGGTCCACTGAAAATGTGTATAGCCCTATATCTGTTATGGAAAATGATTGATATCATTATCAAAATTCACCCCACAAAGGAACTCTATTCACAAATCTTTCACTGGTGAATCCTAGCAAACATTGAAAAATAGAAGCAATACCAATCATATAATCACTTTCAGAAAATGAACACTTTTTAACTCATTTTATGAAGCTAGAGTTATCCTGATATCAAAATCAGACAAAGACATTAAGAAAATGATAGACCAATATCCTGAATGTATTAATAAAAGCAAAGATTCTTAACAAAATATTAGCATATAGAATCTAGCAATATATAAAAACAGTAATAAATCATGATCAAGTAGGGTATACCTCCAAAATCCAAGGTTTAACATTTGAAAATGAATTAATGTAATTGGCCATAATACGCAAATAAAGAAAATGTCATGTGCAGATGTGAAAAAAACATTTGACAAAATTCAACATCCACTCACAATTTTTTTATAAAGTCTCATCAGACCAAAGCAAGAAATATTCCTCAATCTGAAAAAGGGTATCTAACCAATAGCTAACATCATACTCAACAGTGAAAGACTGAATACTTTCCCTCTAAGATAAAAAACAAGACAAGAATGTCTGTTCCGGTCACTTCTATTCAACTTTGTACTAGAGGTCCTGGCCAGGGCCATAGGTCAAGAGAAAGAAATAAATGGCATCAAGATGGGGAAGCAAAAAGTGTTCCTCTTTCTAGATTATACAATTTCAATTATCCCGAATTGGTCTACAGATTCCATGAAATTCAAATCACAATCCCAACAGGCTTTTTATTAGAAGTTGACAAGCCTATTGTAAAATTCATATGGAAACACAAAGGTTCTAGAATAGCCATAATAATTTGGGAAAAGAATAAAGTTGGAAAACTTCCTGATTTTAAGACTTACTATAAAACTACAATTATCAAGACAAGTTGGTAATGACACTAAAAAATAAAAAAATAAAAAAAAAAAACAGGCCAGGCACGGTGGCTCAAGCCTGTAATCCCAGCACTTTGGGAGGCTGAGGCGGGCGGATCACAAGGTCAGAAGTTCGAGACCAGCCTGGCCAACATAGTGAAACCCCGTCTCTACTAAAAATACAAAAAATTAGCCAGATGTGGTGGTGTGCACCTGTAATCCCAGCTATCCGGGAGGCTAAGGCAGGAGAATCGTGTGAACCCAGGAGGCAGAGGTTGCAGTGAGCCGAGATCGTGCCATTGCACTCCAGCCTGGGCGACAGTGCAAATCACCGTCTTAGAAAAAAAAAAAAAAATTGATCAATGGAAAGAGTTTAAGAAAAGATCCACATTTATTCAGTCAACTAGTTTTTTCAAAGGATGCCAAAGAAATTCAATAAAGGATAGTCATTTTTACAAATGATATGGGACAATTGAGGTACAGACAAAAGTGAACTTTAATCTCTGCAGCCTCCAAGAACTCTTAATGATTCTTGTCTCTTGGTATTCATGTCCTTCGTATGGCCCCCTTCCATACTCAACAGGGCTAACCTGTGTAAGAATATTGTAGAAATGATAAGAGTGTGACTTCTGAGGCTCAGTCACAAAAGACATTGCAGTTTCCTCCTTGTTTCTCTTGCATAACTCTCTCTGGATGAAGCAGGCTACCACATTATAAGGACAGACACTCAAGGAGTCCTGTGGAAATGTCCATGATGCAAGAAGGCAAAGCTCCTTGTCAACAGTCAGCTCAACTTGTCAGGCACGTGAGTTAGCTATTTGGGAAGTAAATCTGCCATTTCTTTCAAGCCTTCAGATGACTGCAACCCAGTTGAATCTTGACTGCGACTTCATGAGACCCTGAGCCAGAATCACTCAGCTAAGTCACTCCCAAAATCCTGATCTACTGAATCATACATTTTTCCCTTTTTTTTTTTTTTTTTTGAGACAGAGTCTCACTCTGTCGCCCAGGCTGGAGTGCAGTGGCACAATCTCGGCTCACTGCAAGCTCCACCTCCCAGGTTCACGCCATTCTCCTGCCTCAGCCTCCCGAGTAGCTAGGACTACAGGCGCCCACCACCATGCCCAGCTAATTTTTTGTATTTTTAGTAGAGACGGGGTTTCACTGTGTTAGCCAGGATGCTCTCAATCTCCTGACCTCATTTTTCCCTTTTTTAGGTAACATGTAATAATTGTACATATGAAACATAGAGTGATATTTTAATACATGCGTACACTGTGTAATGATCAAATCAGGGTAATTAGCATATCCATCACCTCAAACATCTATAATTTCTTTGTGTTGGGATCACTCAAAATCCTTTCTTCTAGCTAAGTGAAAATCTATGATAAATTATTTACCTATAGTCAGCCTACAGTGCTATAAAACACTAGAGCTTATTCCTCTTATGTAGCTGTTATTTTATATCTGTTAACCCTCCCTCCCTATCATTCCCTCTTTCCTACCCTTCCTACCCTCGAATAACCACAATTCTACTCTCTGCTTCTATAAGCTCAACATCGTTTTTTAGCACCCACGTGTGAATGAGAACATTTATCTTTCTGTGCCTGCCTGATTTCATATAACATAATGTCCTCTAGACTCATCCATATTTGCTGTGAATGACAGAAATTCATTCTTTTTCCTGGCTGAATAGTATTCCATTGTGTGTATATATACCACATTTTTTAATCCATTCACCTGTCAATTCACATTTAGGCTGATTCCACATCTTAGCTATCGTGAATAGTGCTACAATAAACATGGAGGTGCTGATATGTCTTTGACATACTGATTTCCTTTCTTTTGAATATATAAGGGGACTTGATAAAGTTCATGGAAAATGCGTATTATAAAAAAGCTATGGATTTCAAAATTTTTTTGCACCAAAATAAACTGATACTAACTTGCTATAACATGTCTGAACAGGATCTAGTTTGAAGTACTAGGAAGGATAACAGATCAGTTTGAAAACAGCCCGTCAGAGCAACATGAATTCTGCTAAAATTGAAACATGAACAAACGTCAAATCTATGGTAAAACTTGGGTGGAAGAAGGGTGAAATCATTGATGCTTATTAAAAGTTTATGGGGACAATGCCCCAAAGAAATATGCAGTTTACAAATGAATAACTTTAAGAAGGGATGAGACAATGTTGAAGATAAAGCCCACAGCAGCAGACCACCCATGTAAATTTTTCAGGAAAAAAATTCACTTGTTTGTTCCCTGATTAAAGAGAACAGATGATTAACAGCAGAAATAAGAGCCAACACCATAGACATCTCAATTGGTACAACTTACACAATTCTGCCTGAAAATTTAAAGTTGAGCAAACTTTCCACTTGATGGCTCCCAACGCTGTTTCACCCAGATCAGCTGCAGACAAGAGCAGAGCCTTCTATAGAAATTTTAAACAAGTGAGATCAAGATCCTGAAGCATTTCTTCAAAGAACTGTATTAAATATGGCGTTACCAGTATGATCCTAAAGTCAAAGCACAACCAAAGCAATGGCTACCAACAGGTGGCAGTGGTCCAATTAAAGCAAAGCAGACGGGCCAAGAGGAAAGGTCATGGCAACATTGTGTGTGTGTGTGTGTGTGTGTCTGTGTGTGTGTGTGTGTGTGTATTCACTGCATTTTGCTCGTTGACTTTCTGGAAAGCTAAAGAACAGTATCTGCTTATTATGAGAGTGTTTTGAGAGAGTCAGCCAACACTTTAGCAGAAAAATACCCAGGAAGCTCCATCACAGAGTCCTTCTCCACCACAACAATGCTGCTGCTCATTCCTCTCATCAAACATGGGAATTCTGCAAGAGTTTCAATGGAAAATAATTAGGCATCTGCCTTACAGTTCCAATTTTGCTCCTTCTGACTTCTTTTTGTTTCCTCATCTTAAAAAGAATCCTTAAAGGGCACCCATTTTTCTTTAGTTAACAGAGTAAAAAAGACTGCACCAATATGGTTAAATTCCCAGGACCCTCGGTTCTTTGTGGATGAATTAAATGGCTGGTATCATTAGTTACAAAAATGTCTTGACCTTGACGGAAGTTAGCTTGAGAAATAAAGTTTACATTTGTTATTTTTATCTTTTAATTCCATTTTCCCATGAACTTTTTGAAATCCCCTCATATACACACCCAGTAGTGGGACTGCCGGATTTTTAGTTTTTTGAGGAACCTCCATACTGTTTTCTATAATGGCTATACTAATTTACATTACCACCAATACTATATAAGAATTCCCTTTCTCCATATCCTCACCAGCATTTGATAATTTTTGTCCTTTTGAAAATAGCCATTTTAACTGAGGTGACATGATATCTCACTGTGGTTTTAATTTGCATTTCCCTGATAATTAGTGACCTTGAGTAATTTTTCATATACCTGTTGGCCATTTGTATATCTTCTTTTGAGAAATGTCTACTCAGATCCTTGCCCATTTTTAATTGGATTATCTGGGGGTATTTGCTGTTGAGTTGTTGAATTCCTCATATATTCTGGATATTAGTCCCTTCTTGGATGAAGAGTTTGCAAATATTTTCTCCATTCTATAGGTTGCCTCTTCACTCTGTTGATTGTTTCTTTTGCTGTGCAGAAGCTATTCAGCTTGATATAGTCCCATTTGTCTATTTTTGGGTTTGTTCCCTGTGCTTTTAAAGTCTTACTCATAAAATCTTTGCCTAGACCAATATCCTGAAGCATTTCCCCTATGTTTTCTTCTGGTAGTTTTACAGTTTTGGGTCTTGCACTTAAGCCTTTAATCCATTTTAAGTTGATCTGTGGATATGGCAAGAGAGAAGGGCCTTATTTCATTCTGCACATGGATATCCAGTTTTCTCAACACCATTTATTGAAGAGACTGTCCTTTCCCCAGTATACATTCTTAGCACCTGCACCACACCTTATGCCTAGTGTTCCGTTATTGGAACGCTAAGCTTGTGGGAGTTATTTATATCCTACTGCTCAAGGTCATCGCAAAGGTCTGATTTTTCACACAAAAAAATTTGCAACCTCTGGCATAAATGGGTTAAGTAACTGCCTTAAATTATCTTTGCCTCATTTTTTTTCTTTACTAAATAATATATATAGTAGTAGAATTAACAGCATGATCTCTTAGAGGTCTTATGAGGATTAAATAATAAAATATATGTAGAATATTTTGAGCTATTATCCTCATTATTACAACCTACTACAGTTTTTGTTTTTTTAATTCATAGCATTTATCCAGTTGCCTGTAATTTTATGCCTTTTTCTTATTTATTTATACTTTGAGCTTATTAGTAAAAACAAAACAAAACAAAACAAAACCTTTCTGCTTATATCTTTAACCAAAAAAAAAAAATTATTTAACAAAACCGAGACTCAGTGATTCAATGCAGCAGACATTTTCAAGGGTGGTTGCCCAGCCCCAACCATTTGCTGAAACAAAGAGGATCCTGATTCCACAGCTAAATCATTCCTGCCAGACCCCCCCTGGCCATGAATGATTTGTCCACTCAGGGGATGATAACCAATCATAGTTGAGTCGATCAGATTTTTTCTCCCAGCACCTACACTGTTTTTGGCAGTACTCTGAGAGGGTTCTCAAACCTGTTATCTCTTTCCTGCTTTTCCAGAAGCTGGATACCATGCAATGGCTCCCCTAGCATCCCTCTGATAAATTTACCTTTTGTCTCTAAGCTGGCCAGAGTTAGTTTCCATTACTTAGGCAGTTGAGAGGGGTCACAGCTGAGTTCTGGAACACACCTCTATCTCTTTGTGTTAGAGCTCCTTAATCCACATCTATTGAGAGACTACTGTTTGCAAGGCATGACCAGATATGTGCTGTGAGGATCAGCAAGGTTTTGACAGGAAAAGAGGGGGTGTGGCATTAAGAGAATAGAGAACAGCAGAAAAACACAGGGCAGATATAGGGAACTGAAAGCAATACAGTTTTACTGCAGAATAAGGCATATGAAGGCACATGGTTGATCCTCAATAAATGTTTCATTAATTGATATTAAATTAGATGTAAAACTAGATAGACAAGTTGAGGACAAATAATACATGGCTTTGAATGCCAACTAAGGGATTCAGAGTTTACTTGCTTCAGAATTGGGACCACTGAAGATTTCTGAGCAGAAGAGCCCTATAATATGAATTGTGCTTTCTGAACACTAATATCTCACGCAGTCCTCATGAGTGATCAGCTTTTTAATGGGCTGAAATTTGTGTTTTATTTACGGCCAGATGCGGTGGCTCATGCCTGTAATCCCAACACTTTGGGAGGCTGAAGCCAGGAGTTTTAGACCAGCCTGGCCAACATGGAGAATCCCTGTCTTTTATTAAAAACACAAGAATTAGCCGGTCATGGTGTCACATTCCTGTAATCCTAGCTACTTGGGAGGCTGGGGTGCGAGAACTTCTTGAACCTGGGAAGCAGAGGTTGCAGTGAGTGAGCCGAGATAGCACCACTGCACTCCGGCCTGGGTGACAGAGCAAGACTCTGTCTCAAAGGGAAAAAAAAAAAAGTTATTTATGTTTCTAATGAGGGAAATTTAGCAGCATATTTTACAGAAAATAGGTTTCATTTCAATGACAAATGATACTTCTTTATGGGTCTCATTAGAGAACTGAAAATACTTGCAAATACAGTATATTTGATAATGTCATTTTCTGCTCTAGATCTAATCAAAGTTGTCAGCAAAATTAATTTAAGGTCCACAATTCTCTACTCATGTTAACCTGAGGGAGAGGTTATTGTGCTATTAGGACTACGTTATAACTGAGAAACTGTTAAATGCCTTCTCATACTCCTCTAATGGAGACAACCCAAGTTTCAGAGAAACAGTTTATAAAGCACTCTATAACATAGTGAAGAGCATTATGAAAATATCTGGCATATGCAATCTTGTTAGCATGAAATGGGTAATATTAAACACAGTCCCTAATATCACTGTGGCACCCCAATTTAGAAGAGCTATACTGTACCAACTTTGCTTTCCACCCACAGAAAGGACCAAGTATGAAGTTATATAAACACCATTCTCCCTTAATTGAGGAACTGGTAATCGAAATACAAACTGATCTGCTTATTCACTATTTACATGGCCATTCAAAGTAATAAAATTTTAAAAGTAAATGTTATGTTGAAAAAAGTCAAGTGAAAAGCAAGATGTTATCCAAACAAATTATCTGTCTTTAAACAAAGTAAGTTTTCCTTTCCTTTCAAATAAGAAAAAAAGAGAACCAAAAAGTTCACCAATAGAAGTGTAATTCACATGAATCGCAGTGATGGTATACCATGGAATAGGAAAAAATAAGTTACAAGTCATAGTTCAAATTTTTTTCATACCCCTGCCTGTACTGTAACTTGTGAACTCTAGAACTTTAACAGACTTTCTGAAAGCTGAAAAGAATCCAGTAACTCGTACAGAGAACCTCATGAACAGTTCCTGAGGTACCACAAGCACCTGTTTCCAGCGTGTTCCAGCCATGGCTTGTAAGTGGACCTGCAAATGCTGCAATGTCCAGGGTACCAAAATAGGGGAAAGGCGCCCAGGCACAGCTCAAGGGAGCTAGCTTACCCCAAGGCTGTGTTTGACAGGGATTTGGGAACTGGAGAGGAAGGAGGAGGAGGCAGAGTACAGCCTCTGTCCTACGGCCCCACACCCACCGGCAGACATCCATCCTCCCGCCTGCGCCCCGCCGCGAGGGGGTACTCACAGCTCTAGTCTCATACAGAACCAGCTTCTGGACCGAGCTGATGATGGGGGCGGCGGCCGTGGGCATGGCGGCGGCAAATGGGGGCCCCACAACAGGGCACGAGCCTCCGGACCGCCCCAGGAGACTCGGCGAGAAAACCCCTCAGGCCCTGGACATCAAGTCCAGCCAGGAACAACACCCATTAGGCACTAAACCTATAGATGATCAGGTGTTTCCGGATCCCTGCGCCCCGCCTCCAGGCAAGCCCCGCCCCTCACGTCGGGAGCGGGGCTGGAGGACGTATCATAGAGAGGTCGGGTAGAGGCTCCCGGGACCTGCGTGCTGCCGAGAGAGGAAGCGAAGGGCACCATCTTTGGTAAGGATTGGAGGAAAACATGGGCGGAGAAAAAGTCGACGGATTAATTGAGTCTATTTATCTCCTCCCTCTCTTTGGAAAAAAGCGGAAGGTTTGGGATTGGGTAGCTTCTTTTGAAAAGGGTTCTCCGAGTTGCAGGATAGATCCTTGTGTTTTCCCTGCCTGCTGCGGCCCATTTTCCTGGAAGCCGGCCCTCTGACGGTCCTTCACTGAGTGTCAGTTTTCCCCTCACCTCTAATCCATGTTGTACCTACGCTGTGTGGCCCAAGAAATTGTTTTAAAATCACCTAAAGCTGGAAAGTGTGGCTTTGCCACACGTTTGTGCGTGAGGCTAGCCACTTGAAGTTGTCGACAGAGACTAGCGCAGTGTGGCGGAGCCGCGCTTGAAATGAGGTTTCTTCATTTCATGTGTGCGACATAAATGGGCATGCGCGTACCCTCTCTTCCATAGTTGTGAAAATGAGTGTATTATAATTATAAATGCCAAATTAGGTACAAAAGTGACTATTTCGAATTGGAAAAGAAATGACAAAGAACTACAGCCCCGCCTCTCGAGGCCCCGCCCCACCAAGCAGCAGGTGCGTGGCGGCCAGAGGTCTCCCCGGCAACCGCCCGACAGCCCCGCGGAGTCCCTGGAGGCAGTTGCTTCCCTGAGGAGGGTCCGGCTGCGGCCAGGTAAGGAGCCTTCCGGCGGCCCGCTGGGTCGTGGTCCGCCCTGGAGGCATCTTGGTATCTGTTGCACGGAACCCCGCCTCCTGCGGGGACCCCCAGACCAGCTTCTTTTCTTGCAAAACGGTCTCTTTGTAAATCCACTTTTTAAAACCACGTCTCCTTTCAACGACTGAAGTATTTATTCCACAAATATTTACTGAACACCTACTGCAAGAGTATAAGATGTAGGGGAGAGGCAGCTATCCTATCTTAGGCGGCAATTCTAGGTTTCCCAGGAAACCTCTAAACCTCAGAAACCTCTGCTAGAGGGCTTCTCAACTGCTAAGTGTAAGGAAACTTTAAAAAAAAATTATAGAATTATAGCATACCCAGATAACATTCATGTAATACCAAAGATCATATTGTAAATTAAAATTTGAGAAATTACAAAAATTGTAAAGAAATACTTAAGTCTATGTTATTTTGCGCTTCTTTCCCCCTGTAGTTTGGTACTCCTTTTATTAAGAACTAGAAGGATGGCCGTGTCCGTTCTGGCATTTTGGACTTGGATCTTTTAACTGGGAAAAATAGTTAGCTGTGTTCTGTTTCATAATGAAACCAACTCTTCTGAATATTAGTTAAATGTTTGCACAGTGTTTTTATCTAGGATAGCAACTCTTAAAATACCTGAAGGATTCTAGTTTTCAATTATTATAGTTTAGCACTTCCATTTTAACTTTATCTTAGTTTATTTCACCCGGAATCAGATCCTAAGACAAAACTTTGAAGGCAGGTTGTTTATATGAGACGTAATCCCAGGAAACAGCAGCAGGGAGGGGAAGAAAACTAATAAAGGAAATATTACCAGAGAAATTTCTCTGTGGGCTGAATTCACTAGGGAATACTGGGAGGCATGTCTCAGTTATCCCCTCTTGAGGGGCAAGGAAGCTGGAGTATTTATTCGCCAACTTCCATCAGTTATTGGATGAAGCCTGATAGGGCAGAACATTGATGCCCTAGAACTTCCAGTCTACCCTGTGTTCAGGGAGAGTAGGTTCTGGCAGCCAGAGAAAGCCCTTAGGCAAAAAGTCGCACATGCTAACATTTTGGAAGTTGGGCTGGTCGTGCATAGAAAAGGTGTATGTCAAGTGGATATGGGGGAGGCACTAATAGCAGCTGCTACATTCCACCCTTTGCAGCACTCGTATCCATTCTTCCTCCACATCAAGTTCACACCATGCCACCCTAATTCTTTAAGGTAGTGGCTAGTCTCAATTTTTAAAAGAAAAGGACTTACAAAAAAAAAGATTAATGGGACAAGCTGCAGAATCCACTACTGCAATTAATCTGAGGTCTCTAATTGATCATCTCCTTCCTCTAACATCATTCTAGATTTTCCTTACTCTTGGCCAACACTTCTGCTGGTCTGTGTTTGCCCAGTAGGATAACAAGCTTTCATCCCTGAGGAGCATAAGCCCTTGGTTACTGTGTCATTGTAAGGTTTTGGTTGCTGCAATTACCCATTCACTGGACATGAAAGCATCAAGAGCTGTCTCAGAGAATCCCCTGAGTTCAAGAAATGCATCCCCTATCCCACTTATCTAGCAGTTTATGGCCATACCACCCTGAGCACCCCCAATCTCATCCAATCACATAGCAGCAACCCTATCTCCATCTGCCAGTGCAATAACTCCTTATGAGCTTTTGGAGTCAAAAATGACCAGGTGGCAGCAGTAGTTTTAAGATTTAATGAAACCTTTACTGGGTCCCCTGATAGAACCATCTCTCCCCTCCACCAGACCCAGGACCTCTTGTCCAGAAGTGAGGTGCAAATTTCCCAAGTCAATCACTGAGAGTATTAGTGAGAGGGGTCACTCCTACTTCCAGCCCTTGATTCAAAGCATGTTCCTCATCTTGAAGTACATTGTCTCAATCCCACACAATCCCAAGCTAGCGCCTTAGCTGTGCCTTTAAGAGACCATTCCAACATTCTGTCAAACCAGTAGCTTCTAGGTAAAGTGGTATTGTAAAAAGGGTCCTCTGATCCAAGGCAATGGTATATGAGATCTCATGAAGATAAATGAGACATACTCTAAACCTTTAGGTAGTGGTGCTGGCCAAGGCACTGCAGGTAGGAAAAACAAGCCCATATTAGGAGCATTTGTCACTTGCCCCTTTAAAGGTGAAGGGGTCCTGTGTAATCAATTTGTCACTGAATGAATGTTTTGTCTCCTAAAGGGGTTGTACCATATTGAGGGCTCAATATGAACAGGTCTCAATTTGTAATCAATTTGTCACTGAATGAATGTTTTGTCTCCTAAAGGGGTTGTACCGTATTGAGGGCTTAATATGAACAGGTCTCTGCCATGAACAGGTAGAACATTCAGCAGCAGTAGTGTAGCTAAACCAGCCTGGTGAAAGGAGGCCTTGATATGAGCCCATGCCTATCCTTCATCACCTTCATCCCTGCCACCATGCCTACTTCATTTACAAACCCATTATGCAAGCATTGAGGTGACCAGAAGCAAAGATTGGCTCATGTCTACTGGATAAATTATCCTGTCCACCTGGTTTTTTCAGTGCCTCTTCTGAGGTGGATGCTTTCTGAGATACAAATATCTATGTATTTTACATCCACTTACATTAGTTTTCTATGCTGCATAGCAAATTACTGCAAATTTAGCAGCTTAAAACAACACACATTTGTGATCGCACGGTTTCCATGGCCAGGAGCCCTGGCATCACTCACCTGGGTCCTCTGCTCAGGGTTTTACAAGGCTGCAATCTGGTGTTGGCTGAGATGTGCTTCCATCTGGAGACTTGACTAGGGAAGAATCCACTCCCAAGCTGATTCACATTGTTGGCAAGCATCATCGTTTTGTGGTTGTAGGACTGAGGTCACTGTTTTCTTACCAGCTGTTGGCAGGGGCTGCACTCACATGCCACCCACTCTTCCTCATCACGTGGTCCTCTCACAACATGGCAGCTTACTTCTTCCAAGCCAACAGAAAGTCTCCCTCCAGTCCCCTAAAATGGAGTCTTATACCATGTAGCATATTCATGAGACAGACATTCTGTCACCTTTGCTCTATTTAGAAGCAAGTTACAGACCCCACTCCCACTCAAAGGAAGAGGATTATGCAAGGGTGTGACTCACTGGAGGTCAGATTAGGGTGTGTTTGCTACACCACCCTCATAGGCCCAATCACATGCTTCTTCCCCAGAACTCTTTTTCTCTTACCTTCTGATCTTGTACCTTCTAGGCCCTTGATGAAACCAATCCGCATTGTCCTCCAAATTGAGGGCCTAGGAATACTGCTTAAAGCTCTGCCTGCCAGGAAGATTTCCCCTAATCACCATTTTTCAGGGCCACTTGTGAGAGGAACTCATGTCTGGAAGCATTACATTTACAGCTTTTACCAGTATATTGTGATTCATCCATGAATTTTGTTTTCATTTTCTGTCAGCTCTTCTTAGGGAATTCCACATGAGGTGTGAGCTGAAAGAGACATTGGTGCATGAGACAGGTGACATGGGCATCTGGGCTGCTTATTTTTGAAATTTATTTGTGCCCTGAAGACCTGTTTGAGCCTGATCCCATTGTTCCATTTTTATCATTTAATGGGTTGCTGCAGTGCCTGCCTGACTTTAGGACTTGACTTGTCTGACATAACCAGCTCATAGTGGATACTTCCAGTTGCATAGTCACTTGATATCCCATGACCAGGCATTCATTCTCTACCAGAGCCCAAGAGCATGCCAAGAGCTGTTTTTTGAATGGGGAATTATTCTCTGCTGCAGACAGCAAGGATCTACAGAGAGAGGCTCCTGTTGTGGCTTTCCTAAGACTCCAGAAGGTATCCTTACATACCACAGCATTGTGGGACCTTTAGTATTGTGGGATCTAGCCAGATGTATGGCCCAGGAAGCAAAGCCTCTGGTACTACAACCTAAAACTACAGAGCTCTTTCTTGCTGTGTGCCCCACTCAAAAATGACAGCTTTCCATGTCACCCACTAAATGGGTCAAAACAGTATTCTTTAGTGCGCTTTATGCTCTCTTTGAAAACTAAAGAGGCCTGCAAAATACTGTGCCTCTTTTTTAGAGGTTGAAGGTACAAGGTACAGTAACTCATCCTTTACCTTGGACAGAATGTCCCAGACCACTGGCCTTTTAAAACTTTACCAAAGTAATAAGACCTTCAAACTTTGTAGGTTTATCTCTCACTTTATACTTACTGCTCATGTGTCTTTATAAGGGGATCCGGGACACTTGCAACTTCCTGCTCACTAGGTCTGATATTGTCAATATTGTGGATCAAGACCCCTTTATACTATATTGTCTCAAACAGCAGGAGAGTCCTTGGGTAAGACTGGATGTTCACTGTCACTGCTCTAAGTGAATACAAATTGCTTCCGATCCTCTTTCTTGATAGGGATTGAAAAGGATGCACACATTGCCAGATCATCAGCTGCGTAAAAAATACAAGAGACTGTGTCTATCTAGTAAAGATCCCATCTGCACAGCAGTTGCAACTGGGACTACCAGCTTGTTAAATTTGCAGAAGTCTACCCTCATCTGTTGTGCTCTGTCTAGCTTCTACAAAAGCAAGACTGGAGAAATAAGCAGGATTGTACATCTTTTAAATTGTGGTTGGTATCACTCTTCATTCAGAATGATTTACTCTTGGTTATCTTGCCCAGGGGTGGAGGACCCAGTATGCAATGTCATGAGCTTCCACTTGGCCTTTTCTTTTTCTTTTTTTATTATTATATTTTAAGTTCTGGGGTACATGTGCAGAACGTGCAGTTTTGTTACATAGGTATACATATGCCATGGTGGTTTGCTGCACCCATCAACCCATCACCTACGTTAGGTATTTCTCCTAGTGTTATCCCTCCCATAGCCCCCCACCCCCGAAAGGCCCCAGTGTGTGATGTTCCCCTCCCTACGTCCATGTGTTCTCATTTTTCAACTCCCACTTATGAGTGAGAACATGCAGTGTTTGGTTTTCTGTTCTTGTGATAGTTTGCTGAGAATGATGGTTTCCAGCTTCATCCATGTCCCTGCAAAGGATGTGAATTCATCATTTTTTATGGCTGCATAGTATTCCATGGTGTATATATGCCACATTTTCTTTATCCAATCTATTATTGATGGACATTTAGGTTGGCTCTAAGTCTTTTCTGTAGTAAATAGTGCTGCAGTAAACATATGTGTGCATGTGTCTTTATAGTAGAATGATTTCTAATCCTTTGGGTATATACCCAGTAATGAGATTACTGGGTCAAATGGTATTTCTGGTTCTAGATCCTTGAGGAATCGCCACACTGTCTTCCACAATGGTTGAACTAATTTACACTCCCACCAACAGTGTAAAAGCGTCTCTATTTCTCCACATCCCCTCCAGCATCTGTTGTTTCCTGACTTTTTAATGATTGCCATTCTAACTGGTGTGAGATGGTATCTCATTGTGGTTTTGCGTTTCTCCAATGACCAGTGATGATGAGCATTTTTTCCATATGTCTGTTGGCTGCATAAATGTCTTCTTTTGAGAAGTGTCTGTTCATATCCTTTGCCTACTTTTTTTTTTTTTTTTTTTTTTTTTTTTTTTTTTTTTTTGAGACGGAGTCTCACTCTGTCGCCCAGGCTGGAGTGCAGTGGCGGGATCTCGGCTCACTGCAAGCTCTGCCTCCCGGGTTCACGCCATTCTCCTGCCTCAGCCTCCCAAGTAGCTGGGACTACAGGCGCCCGCCACTACGCCCGGCTAATTTTTTGTATTTTTAGTAGAGACGGGGTTTCACCATTTTAGCCGGGATGGTCTCAATCTCCTGACCTCGTGATCCGCCCGCCTCGGCCTCCCAAAGTGCTGGGATTACAGGCGTGAGCCACCGCGCCCGGCCTCCTTTGCCTACTTTTTGATGGGGTTGTTTGTTTTTTTTTCTTGTAAGTTTGTTTAAGTTCTTTGTAGATTCTGGATATTAGCCCTTTGTCAGAGGGATAGATTGCAACAATTTTCTCCCATTCTGTAGGTTGCCTGTTCACTCTGATGGTAGTTTCTTTTGCTGTGCAGAACCTCTTTAATTTAATTAGATCCCATTTGTCAATTTTGGCTTTTGTTGCCATTGCTTTTGGTATTTTAGTCATGAAGTCTTTGCCCGTGCCTATGTCCTTAATGGTATTGCGCAGGTTTTCTTCTAGGATTTTTATGGTCCTGGGTCTTACGTTTAAGTCTTTCATCCATCTTGAGTTAATTTTTGTATCAAGTATAAGGAAGGGGTCCAATTTCAGTTTTCTCCATTTGACTAGCCAGCTTTCCCAACACCATTTTTTAAATAGGGAATCTTTTCCCCATTGCTTTTTGTGTCAGGTTTGTCAAAGATCAGATGGTTGTAGATGTGTGGTGTTATTTCTGAGGCCTCTGTTCTGTTCCATTGGTCTATGTATCTGTTTTGGTACCAGTACCATGCTGTTTTAGTTACTGTAGCCTTGTAGTATAGTTTGAAGTCAGGTAGCGTGATGCCTCCAGCTTTGTTCTTATTGCTTAGGATTGTCTTGGCTATGAGAGCTCCTTTTTGGTTCCACATGAAGTTTAAAGTAGTTTTTCCCAATTCCATGAAGAAAGTCAGTGGTAGCTTGATGGGGATAGCATTGAATCTATAAATTACTTTGGGAAGTATGGCCATTTTCACAATATGATTCTTCCTATCCATGAGCATGGAATGTTTTTCCATTTGTTTGTGTCCTCTCCTATTTCCTTGAGCAGTGGTTTGTAATTCTCCTTGAAGAAGTCCTTCACATTTCTTGTAAGTTGTATTCCTAGGTATTTTATTCTCTTTGTAGCAATTGTGAATGGGAGTTCACTCATAATTTGGCCCTCTGTTTGTCTGTTATTGGTGTACAGGAATGCTTGTGATTTTTGCACATCGATTTTGTATCCTGAGACTTTGCTGAAGTTGCTTATCAGCTTAAGGAGATTTTGGGCTGAGACAATGGGGTTTTCTAAATATACAATCATGTCCTCTGCAAACAGAGACAATTTGACTTCCTCTCTCCCTATTTGAATACCCTTTATTTCTTTCTCTTGCCTGATTGCCCTGGCCAGAACTTCCAATACTGTGTTGAATAGGAGTGGTGAGAGTGGGCATCCTTGTTTTGTGCCAGTTTTCAAAGAAAATGCTTCCAGTTTTTGCCCATTCAATATGATATTGGCTGTGGGCTTGTCATAAATAGCTCTTATTATTTTGAGATACGTTCCATTGATACCTAGTTTATTGAGAGTTTTTAGCGTGAATGAGGTGTTGAATTTTGTTGAAGGCATTTTCTGCATCTATTGAGATAATCATGTGGTTTTGTCATTGGTTCTATTTATGTGATGGATTACATTTATTGATTTGCATATGTTGAACCAGCCTTGCATCCCAGGGATAAAGCTGACTTGATTGTGGTGGATAAGCTTTTTGATGTGCTGCTGCATTCAGTTTGCCAGCATTTTATTGAGGATTTTTGCATTGATGTTCATCAGGGATATTGGCCTGAAATTTTCTTTTTTTGTTGTGTCTCTCCCAGGTTTTGGTATCAGGATGATGCTGGCTTCATAAAATGAGTTAGCGAGAATTCCCTCTTTTTCTATTGATTGGAATAGTTTCAGAAGGAATGGTACCAGCTCCTTTTTGTACCTCTGGTAGAATTCGGCTGTGAATCCATCTAGTCCTGGACTTTTTTTGGTTGGTAGGCTATTAATCACTGCCTCAATTTCAGAGCTTGTTATTGGTTTATTCAGGGATTCGATTTTTCCTGGTTTAGACTTGGGAGGGTGTATGTGTCCAGGTATTTATCCATTTCTTCTAAATTTTCTAGTTTATTTGCTGAGAGGTGTTTATGGTATTCTCTGATGGTAGTTTGTATTTCTGTGGGATCAGTGGTGATATCCCCTATATCATTTTTTATTGCATCTATTTGA
Organism: Homo sapiens; assembly: GCF_000001405.40. Classification (NCBI taxonomy): domain Eukaryota; kingdom Metazoa; phylum Chordata; class Mammalia; order Primates; family Hominidae; genus Homo; species Homo sapiens. Next base: position 109,682,532 of record NC_000006.12, on the reverse strand, counting down.
TTCTTCTGTCTTTTATTCTTTATTAGTCTGGCTAGTGGTCCATATATTTTGTTGATCTTTTCAAAAAACCAGCTCCTGGATTCATTGATTTTTTTTTTTTTTTTTTGAGACGGAGTCTTGCTCTGTCACCCAGGCTGGAGTGCAGTGGCCCGATCTCGGCTCACTGCAAGCTCCGCCTCCCGGGTTCACGCCATTCTCCTGCCTCAGCCTCCCAAGTGGCTGGGACTACAGGCACCCGCCACCACGCCTGGCTAATTTTTTGTATTTTTTTAGTAGAGATGGGGTTTCACCCTGTTAGCCAGGATGGTCTTGATCTCCTGACCTTGTGATCCGCCCACCTAGGCCTCCCAAAGTGCTGGGATTACAGGCATGAGCCACCATGCCCAGCCAATTCATTGATTTTTTGAAGGGTTTGTCGTGTCTCTATCTCTTTCAGTTCTGCTCTCATCTTAGTTATTTCTTGTCTTCTGTAGATTTTTAATTTGTTTACTGTTGCTTCTCTAGTTCTTTTAATTGTGATGTTAGGGTGTCAATTTTAGATCTTTCCTGCTTTCTCTTGTGGGCATTTAGTGCTATAAATTTCCCTCTACACACTGCTTTAAATGTGTCCCAGAGATTCTCATACGTTGTGTCTTCATTCTCATTGGTTTCAAAGAACATCTTTATCTCTGCCTTAATTTCATTATTTACCCAGTAGTCATTCAGGAGCAGGTTAGTTTCCATCTAGTTGTGTGGCTTTGAGTGAGTTTCTTAATCCTGAGTTCTAATTTGATTGCACTGTGGTCTGAGAGACTGTTATGATTTCTGTTCTTTTGCATTTACTGAGGAGTGTTTTACTTCCAATTATGTGGTCAATTTTAGAATAAGTGCAGTGAGGTGCTGAGAAGAATGTATATTCTGTTGATTTGGGGTGGACAGTTCTGTAGATGTCTATTAGGTCTGCTTGGTCCAGAGCTGAGTTCAAGTCCTGAATATCATTATTAATTTTCTGTCTCATTGATCTGTCTAGTATTGACAATGGGGTGTTAAAGTCTCCCATTATTATTGTGTGGGAGTCTAAGTCTCTCTGTAGGTCTCTAAGAACTTGCTTTATGAATCTGGGTGCTCCTATATTGGGTGCATATATATTTAGTATAGTTAGCTCTTCTTGCTGCATTGATCCCTTTACCACTGTGTAATGACCTTCTTTGTCTCTTTTGATCTTTGTTGGTTTCAAATCTGTTTTATCAGAGATTAGGATTGCAACTCCTGCCTTTTTTGCTTTCCATTTGCTTGGTAAATATTCCTCCATCCCTTTATTTTGCACCTATGTTTGTCTTTGCATGTGAGATGGGTCTCCTGAATGTAGCACACTGATGGGTCTTGACTCTTTATCCAGTTTGCCAGTCTGTGTCTTTTAATCAGGGCATTTAGCCCATTTACTTTAAGGTTAATATTGTTATGTGTGAATTTGATCCTGTCACTATGATGCTAGCCGGCTGTTTTGCCCATTAGTTGATGCAGTTTCTTCATAGTGTCGATGTTCTTTACAATTTGGTATGTTTTTCAGTGGCTGGTACCAGTTGTTCCTTTCCACGTTTAGTGCCTCCTTCAGGAGCTCTTGGAAGCCTCGTTTTGACAAAATCTCTCAGCATTTGCTTGTCTGTAAAGGATTTTATTTCTCCTTCACTTATGAAGCTTAGTTTGGCTGGATATGAAATTCTGCGTTGAAAATTCTTTTCTTTAAGAATGTTGAATATTGGCCCCCACTCTCTTCTGGCTTGTAGGGTTTCTGCAGAGATCCACTGTTAGTCTGATGGGCTTCCCTTTGTGGGTAACCCAAGCTTTTTCTCTGGCTACCCTTAACATTTTTTCCTTCATTTCAACCTTGGTGAATCTGACGATTATGTGTCTTGGGGTTGCTCTTCTCAAGGGATATCTTCATGGTGTTCTCTGTATTTCCTGAATTTGAATGTTGGCCTGCCTTGCTAGGTTGGGGAAGTTATCCTGGATAATGTACTGAAGAGTGTTTTCCAACTTGATTCCATTCTCCTCATCACTTTCAGGTACACCAACCAAATGTAGATTTGGTCTTTTCACATAGTCCCATATTTCTTGGAGGCTTTGTTTGTTCCTTTTTATTCTTTTTTCTCTAATCTTGTCTTCTATCTTTATTTCATTAAGTTGATCTTCAGTCACTGATATGCTTTCTTCCACTTGATCGATTCGGCTATTGAAACTTGTGTATGCTTCATGAAGTTCTTGTGCTGTGTTTTTCAGCTCTGTCAGGTCATTTATGTTCTTCTCTACACTGGTTATTCTAGTTAGCAATTCATCTAACCTTTTATCAAGGTTCTTAGCTTCCTTGAGTTGGGTTAGAACATGCTCCTTTAGCTCGGAGGAGTTTGTTATTATCCACCTTCTGAAACCTACTTCTGTCAGTTCATCAAACTTATTCTCTGTCCAGTTTTGTTCCCATGCTGGCAAGGAGTTGTGATCCTGTGGAGGAGAAGAGGCATTCTGGTTTTTGGAAGTGTCAGCCTTTTTGCGCTGGTTTCTCCCCATCTTTGTGGATTTATCTACCTTTGGTCTTTGATGTTGGTGACCTTCGGATGGGGTTTCTGAGTGGACGTCCTTTTTGTTGATATTGATGCCATTCTTTTCTGTTAGTTTTCCTTCTAACAGTCAGGTCCCTCTGCTACAGTTCTGCTGGAGTTTGCTGGAGGTCCACTCTAGACTCTGTTTTCCTGGGTATCACCAACAGAGGCTGTAGAACAGCAAAAATTGCTGCCTGTTCCTTCCTCTGAAAGCTTTGTCCCAGAGGGGCACCTGCCAGATGCCAGCGGGAGCTCTCCTGTATGAGGTGTCTGTCGGCCCCTGCTGGGAGGTGTCTCCCAGTCAGGAGACATGGGGGTCAGGGACCCACTTCAGGAGGCAGTCTGACCCTTAGCAGAGCTCAAGCACTGTGCTAGGAGATCCCCTGCTCTCTTCAGAGCTGGCAGGCAGGGATGTTTAAGTCTGCTGAAGCTGTGCGCACAGCCACCCCTTCCCCCAGGTGCTCTGTCCCAGGGAGATAGGAATTTTATCTATAAGCCCCTGACTGGGGCTGCTGCCTTTTTTTTTCAGAGATACCCTGCCTAGAGAGGAGGAATCTAGAGAGGCAGTCTGGCTACAGAGGCTTTGCTGAGCTGCGGGGGTGGGAGGAGGGAACTTCCCCAAGGCTTTGTTTACACTGTGAGGGGAAAATCACCTACTCAAGCCTCAGTAATGGCAGACTCCCCTCCCCCAGCCAGGCTCCAGCATCCCAGGTCACTTCAGACTGCGGTGCTGGCAGCGAGAATTTCAAGCCAGTGGATCTTAGCTTGCTGGGTTCTGTGGGGGTGGGATCCGCTGAGCTAGACCACTTGGCTCCCTGGCTTCAGCCCCCTTTCCAGGGGAGTGAACAGTTCTGTCTCGCTGGCGTTCCAGGCGCCACTGGGATATGAAAAAAACTCCTGCAGCTAGCTTGGTGTCTGCTCAAACAGCTGCCCAATTTTGTGCTTGAAACCCAGGGCCCTGGTGGCGTAGGCATCAGAGGGAATCTCCTGGTCTGCGGGTTGTGAAGACTGTGAGAAAAGCATAGTATCTGGGCCAGAGTGCACCGTTCCTCATGGCACAGTCCCTCACGGCTTCCCTTGGCTAGGGGAGGGAGTTCCCCGACCCCTTGCACTCCCTGGGTGAGGCGATGCCTCACCCCGCTTCAGCTTACCCTCCATGAGCTGCATCCACTGTCTAACCAGTCCCAGTGAGATGAGCTGGGTACCTCAGTTGCAAATGCAGAAATCACCCACCTTCTGTGTTGATCTCGCTGGGAGCTGCAGACCAGAGCTGTTCCTATTCAGCTATCTTGCCAGCCTCCCGCATTAATCTTTTTTGGGGGGCGGCAACTAGTTAATATTTTTTAGTCAAACTTTTCATTTTGAGATAACTGTAGATTTACATGGAGTTGTAAGAAATAATATAGAGGAATCTTGTGCCTTTATTTCTCTTATGATAATATTTTGCAAAACTATAGTATTGACATTGATACAGTCAAGATAGAGAACGTTTCCATTCCATATGTTGCCCATATATAGTCATACCCACTTCCTTTCTGCTCTACTCCCTGCTAACCCGTGGCAACCATTAATTTGTTCTCTATTTCTATATTTTTGTCATTTCAAGAATGTTACATAAATAAGACAATATGTAAACTGTGGGATTGACTTTTGTTGTTGTTTTGCTCTGTTTAATTCTTTAGAGATTGATACACGTTGCTGCATGTATCAATAGTTTATTCATTTTTATTATTATCATATTCCATGGTATGGATGTACCACAGTTTGCTTAATTGTTCACCTTTTGAAGAACATCTGGGTTGTTTTCAGCTTTTGACTATTTTGAATAAAGCTGTGATGAACATTAATGTATATGTTTTTACGTGAACATTAATTTCCTTTTCTTTGAGATAAATGCCAAAAAGTGCAATGGCTAGTCATATGTAGTTGCATGTTTAGTTTTTTAAGAAACTTCCAAATATTTTCCAGACTATACCATTTTATATTCCCACCAGCAATGTATGAGGGATCCAGTTTCTCTGCATCCTCACCAACATCTGGTGTTGTCACTATTTTTTATTTTAGCCATTCTGATATACATGTAATATTATCTGATTATTATTTTAATTGCATTTCTCTAATGGCTAGTGATTTTTAACATCTTTTCATGTGTTTGTCATCTGTATATCTTCTTTGATGAAATGTCTCTTCAGATATTTTGGGCATTTTCCAATTGGATCATGATATTTTTTTCCTGTTGACTTTTTTAAACTCAGTGAAAAGAATTCTGTTGACCTTTGATAGTTATTTATGCATAGCCAATTATTCTAAACAATTTATTTTTTATTCACCAATTTTAAATGCCTCCTTTATCATATTTTAGGCATGTATATATTTAGCAGGGCTAGGACTCCTGCATGCATGGCTCTTCACACACACATCACACACACACAGACTCTTAATTTTATGTATTAATTTGAACATAATAGATATCTTTACAAATTAAATCCTTTCGCCCAAAAATATATTATGGTTTTTTCTTCTTTAGTGTTCATCAGCAAAATGTTATAGTTAGTGCACATGATATATCACTAATGCACATTTTTACTAAAATTATTCATACCTTTTTATAGATTTGTGCAATTATGAGTTTTTGTTGTTATTAGTGTTGGTCTGAAAGAAAATTACTATTTTTAAAAAATATTTTTGCTATATCATTTTATTTTATTTTTTAACTTTTAGGTTCGGGGTACATGTGCAGGTTTACTATATAGGTAAATTGCATGTCATAGGAGTTTGGTGCACAGATTATTTCATCACTCAGATAATAAGCATAGTACCCAATAGGTAGTTTTTTGTATCCTCTTCCTCATCCTACCCTCTACCCTCAAGTAGGCCTTAGTATCAGTTGTTCCATTCTTTGTGTCCTTGTGTACTTGATGTTTAGTTCCCACGTATAAGTGAGAACATGTAGTATTTGCTTTTCTGTTCTTGCATTAGTTTGCTTAGGATAATGGCTTCCAGCTTCATCCATGTTGCTGCAAAGGACATGATCTTATTTTTCATGGCTGCATAGTATTCTGATATATATGTACCACATCTTCTTTATCTAGTCTACCACTGATGGGCATTGAGGTTGATTCCATGTCTTTGCTGTTGTGAGTAGTGTTGTGATGAGCATATGTGTGCATGTGTGCAAAGGACATGATCTTGTTACTTTTTGCTATATCATTTTAACTAAATATTTAATAATACTATTATTTTGCTAATATTTTATTTCCATTTTAAAATTGTATTGATCAAGTAATATTTAGAAGAATATTGTTTTCATTTTTCTTTTTAATTTTCAACAATTAGGGATTTTTAAAAATACTTTTATCACTATTTTTTTCATTATTTTATCGTGATCAAGAGATATGTCTCATGCTATTTTACTGTTTACATAATAGAAATATTCGATGGATATATATAAATATTTTATGAACATAAATATGTAGTCTACAAGTGCTTGAAAACAAGAGACAGTCTTTGTTCAAAAACAAATAAACTGTTGTGACCTTATTTGTTTCTGATTGACTCCAAAAGAGTTGGACTAAGTTGAAAACTGTTCATGTTAAAATACTGAGGACTCAAGCTTCTGTGCCTAGAAATCCGCTTAAGAGCAAATCAAAATAGCAAAAGGTTTCTGAAAACAACTTTAAAATAAATATATGTTCTTACAGATATTTATAAAATATTACAAAAGAAAAAATGTAAAAATGACATTACTTTTGGAAAAGTTTTCTTCATGGAATTAACCAAAGCTTCCTAAAATATGAAAATATGAATCTAATACATTTAGCCAACATTACCTTTTCTATTTCTGGTAAAATTTATACATGCACCTATGTTGCATGTGCATGTACAACATATTTAACTTTAATTTGGTTTTTAATATAATACACACAAATCTGTATTTTTTCCTCAAGTTAGTCTTTCAGAAACACTTTGAGCTCTCTTTTATACAACATATAGTTGGATTTTGTTTTTGTCTCAAACTAAGAGCTTACTATTGTTTTTATAAATGAGTTAAACTTATTTGCAATTACTGACAAAATTCATGTGTTTAATGGTACAAAATGACTTCTGGGCTAAGAAAACTCACAGGTTATTTCAATTGTTCCTAGTCACCTCATCCAACCAAATTAGACAAGTTAACAATCTTACCCTTTTTTATTGTAGTATTTTGTGTCATGACTTCTCAAGAGAAGACAGAAGAGTATCCTTTTGCAGATATATTTGATGAAGATGAAACTGAAAGGAATTTTTTGTTGTCCAAACCTGTTTGCTTTGTTGTATTTGGGAAACCAGTAAGTTATCTCTTATTATTTGGTATAATTTTTTTTATTTTTAAAATCACAATTTTCTAAGTTACCATATAAAAATAAAAACCACATATTGTGCTCATTTTTTGAGTGTCTGATAAGCTTTTATTATATGACTTAAAATCTGCCATAATATTGGTTATAAATTCATAACTATCTCTTGCACACATGCACACATATGCTCATCGCAACACTACTCACAACAGCAAAGACATGGAATCAACCTAAATGCCCATCAGTGGTAGACTAGATAAAGAAGATGTGGTACATATATACCGCAATACTATGTTATATGTTATAATTGAGAAGGAACCCAGACTATATTTAAATTTGCTTTTATATTATGATGAAATTAACTTACCAAAACACTGCACATGACAACTGTTAGTAGTGTGTAATCTGAGGTTATTTCAGACTTGATTTGCATATGAAACTTCCTATGCAATTTGTTTTGAGGCTCTGTGGATATGTGAAGATAGGACACCATCAAGATGAGCCAGGAGGTTCTCCTGTTAATATCTGAGATCCTGAGAGGCACCATGCCTCAGGCTTTACCTACAGCATGTTAGGGGACCTATGTGTTGACTTTCCACAAATCAGAAAGACACCAAAATGGCTATTATAATAAAGTTTGCTTTTCTAGACATTTCTAGTAAGAAACTCTAGATAAAAGCTACTGACAGCCACTGAGCTGGTTGATTAAAGAGCCTCTCCAGAATAGCAGAGATTAAGAGCTGGATCCCATCCTTGACTTACTTTACATGGACCCTGGGACAGGTACCAATAAATGGTTTCAACAACTTTCACTATGTTTCTAAAAACATAATGGGTTTTAAAAAGTCAACAGTGAAAGCAACCAGACACAAATGTTACTTCATCAAAACGACCTTTTATCTTTAAAGTATGATACTTTCCAAAGATGTCAGTTAAAAAGGATCTTTTTGCTCATCAAAATTACTAAATGGAAGCCTGTCAAAACATTCATGATTATGAACTTTAGAAAGGAAATAAAATGATGACTCTCCAATATAATCACAATGATTTGTAATCAAAATTATAAAAATTGACAGTTAAAATTGTGCAGTACCATAATGGTATAGCTTCTTGATTTTAGGGCTATGTACTTAATATTAAAAAGTTTATTTATATTACTTTAGGAGATGTGACATATGCAAAAATTAGTAAAGAAAAACTAAACTATACGTATCTAGGGTCTATTCTTCATTTTTTATGGGAAAAATTATAACATTGATGTAATAGTAACTAGCAATAGAATCTTTAAAAATTGCTGTATCTGTGTCACTGGCAAGTAACTGTTCTATTGGGCTTTAAATAACATTTTTCTTTTTAAGGGTGTTGGGAAAACAACATTAGCCCGTTACATAACACAGGCATGGAAATGTATTCGTGTTGAAGGTAAATTTTATCTTTTTTCTCTAATATTTTATTATGAAAACTTTCAAATATTCATAAAATGGAGATAATTATACAGTGAATGCCCATATACTCACCATCTAGAGTCTGTGATTAACGTTTTGCTATATTTGCTTTATCACACATTTGTCCACCTATCAACCCAGTGAATATTATCTGCTTGGGTTTTTATTTATATTTAATTTAATTAATTATTATTTTTTTTTTTTGTAGAGACATGGTCTTGCTTTGTTGCCCAGGCTGGTTTCAAACTCCTGGGCTCAAACAGTCTTCCCACCTTGGCCTCCCAAAGTACTAGATTACAGGTGTGAGCCACAACACCCGGCCCAATATTATTTTTATAACAGCATTATCAATCCAATAATGTTTTGCCCTTCTGTTTGTCCTAGTTTTGTTCATAGCATTTATGAAATGTCATCAACTCTATTCTACTACCTCCAATTCTCTATTCGTAATTTAGAACTGTTTGGGATATGTGTGTTTGGGTGTCTTTTTATGAAAGCTCAAATGAGATGGAACTCTCACAGCTTTTCTTAGGAACATTTTTCAGAACTTAATTGTCTTCAATGATAACTTTTATTTTTTATTTATAAATTTTCTTGCATTCTTTGCAATATATAAGAGAATGGGTTGATATCTTTATATATAAATATTCTTTTAATTAATAAAACTATTTATGCCCTAATAGAAAAATAAGAAAAAGAATGAATAGGCAATTCATAAAAGTAGAAATAAAAATAAACAATATAAGAAAAGAGAGTTTAACATCATTCTAAGAAATGTTAATCAACATAACACTGGTCCATATTTGCCTATCAAATTGGCAGTGAATCTTTACAATTACTACAATCACTGTAGGTAAGGATGTTATGAAATGGGCATTCCACATGCTGTTAGTAAAGTTGCAATCTGGTACAATTTTTTTGGAGAACAATTTGTAATACATAACACACACACACTCACACACACACACAACTCTAAAAGTTTCTTCTTTCTTTGTTCAAAAAGTTTACTTCTAGGAAATCTTAAAGAATACCAAACATCCCATAGATTATTAATAACTAATGATATAACAACTCTCCTGGGTCCTCCCCTGGGTCATGCCCCTGTCATTCCTATCCCAGGATGTCCTCTATCAAGGAATGATACATTTCCTCTTTTAAAGGAAATAAATCATTGGAATTTCAGCCTCAAGACCCCTCTTTCTAATCAGTGTTTACCCATTTTAACATTTCTTGATTCATTTCCTTTTACACCATGTGCAAAACTAGCAGGCTTTGGATGTAATTGTATGGTTATGAAAATCTGGATTAATTAATACCAGTGCATACTTTTGTAACTAAATGATTTAGAAATCACTGTCATATACACCACCTGATTTCATCCTTACGTTCTATTGTACACTACACAGTACATATGCATCCAAGGTGCAGAGGCGTTTACAGAGTTAACTCCCCCAGGATTCTTTATTTTTTTATTTTTTATTTTTATTTTGAGACACGCCCTCACTTTGTCATCCAGGCTGGAGTGCAGTGACATGATCACGGCTCTCTGCAAACTTGACCTCCTGGGCTCAAGTGATCACCCCACGTCAGCTTCCTGAGTAGCAGGGACTATAGGCATGCACCATAACTATGCCCTGCTAATTTTTTAACTTTTTGTAGGAATGTAGTCTCCCTATGTTGCCTAGGCTGGTCTCAAACTTCTGGGCTCAAGCAATCCTCCTGCCTTGAACTCCCAAAGTACTGGGATTGCAGACATGAGTCACCATGTTCGCTTCTCCAAGATTCTTAAGCTTAGTAAGTGGCAGAGACAAGTTCTCTATGGAAGACATTCTGCTGCTTCTGCTTTGGTTAGGCTTAAGTGAAGTAATATGCATACATTTGCATTGTAAATTATAAAGTGATGCACAAATGTTAATCTTTGTTACCAGTTACAAGACACTAGAATGTGTTTCTTATTTTGGTGATCTTAATATCAGTCTGTATTAATATTTTGAATTCATGTTTTAGCTTTGCCAATTTTAGAAGAACAGATTGCTGCTGAAACCGAATCAGGAGTTATGGTAAACAAACCTAAATTTCAAAGTAACTATGATTACAAAAAAAGCTCTGTATCATAGATATATTATACAGTAATGTACAATATCTATGCTTGTCCTTAGTTGCAATCAATGTTGATCAGCGGTCAAAGCATTCCAGATGAACTTGTCATAAAGCTAATGTTGGAGAAGCTCAACTCCCCAGAAGTCTGTCACTTTGGTATGTTTATTTTAATATATTTACAGCCCACAAAGCAGCCTTAAAACTCATGCTTTATCTGAGGCAAAAATAGTTTCTGGAGTTGCCCTTTCTTTTGCCTTAGCATAAGAATCTCATTATCTCTATTCAGTTGAACAGCTCAGATGGTTTTATTTGCTTGTTTTTATTTCTCAGATTGTACATTTGTTTTAAAAATAAGTTTATATGACCCAATCTTCTTTAACATTGTGTTATCCAGTAAAAGCATCAGAAATCTGCTGTGGTCCATCTTGCAGTACTGCTAACTCTGCTGACTGCTTCCTCATACACCTTGGGTTATATTGCTAAGTCCTGACAATGGCTAGGGTTGTCTGCATTAATCCACACTTAGAAGGCGGGAGTGGGAAGTGGAATGCCACTATCTTACTGTTGAGCTCCAGATATTGTCAGGCTTCAGCCTGTTCTTCCAGTCTGCCCTCTGACTCTGGACCTGAAACCTCTCCTGGTACTCAAATGGATGCTGAGCAAGGGCTTTGGATCTAATTTTTCAAGACAAAGACCACTGAAGCTCAAAATGATTAAAAAGAAAAGAGCAAACTCTAATACCTCTGCAAAAGAAGAGGAGAAGAATAATGACAAGTTTGGGATAAAATCATCCACCTGAAATGGATTTACTGAATGAAAAAAGAAAAATTAAGAAAGTTGTTTTATATTCTTAGTAAGTTAGAAGAAGACATTGTAACTATTAATGCAGGAATAAAAATACAGGAAAGTAAAAACCATAACTGCCAAAGCAAATCAATGATGGAAGCAGCAAACGCAGCCTTGTCAAACTGTATTTACTGGTTTCTATCTATAGACAAAAAGATTCCTTTTCATATAGCTCATGTGTATAGAGAGATGATACATAGAATGTCCCATATCCACATATGTAGACAGGTCTCTATATGGATATATGGGTTTTTATATATAATACATATATAGAGATTAATATATATGGATTATAAATACATTATAAGTAGATAAGGTTTCTCTGTAAACTATCTACCTATCTATCCACTTATTACCTATTTGTTCAGCAGTGATAAAGAGACTGAACGGCAAAATATCCAGAATATGGAAGGCTGGATAAGTAAAAAGGCAAACAGGAATCACAGAATTCCAAATTACGTCAATAAATGACCTCAGAAAACATAGTATTTGAAACAGATATGTATATAGGTAGGTAAGTAAATACCTATTTGTTAACCTCACTTACCTCTTGAAAAACTTAAATTGGTTTACATGGCTACAAAAAAGATGACATAAATTATAAGTATTGGCAAAAGGAGAAAGAAAAAAAAACAACACGAAGAAACTCAGTTGTGCCTCTCATGGTGTTCATAATGTTTTACAGTTGTTATTAGGAAATAGTTCAAACAAAAGTAGGGAGATTAGTATAAAGATGCTTCCACATTACCACTCAGGTTCAGCATATGTCCAAAACCAACTCTAGTCTAATCTCGTTTCATCTACACTTCTACTTACTCCCTTCTCTCAACCTATGTTATTTTGAAGCTAATCCATATCATATCAGTTCATCTGTATAATGTTCCATTTATATCTCTAAAAGAAAAGGACACTTAAACCTATTACACATTACCATTATCACACCTAAAAAATTAATTGTTATTCCTTGATATCATCTACTAGATTTCATTAATTACCTCATAGATATTTTTTAGTTGATTTTTTTTGAAGCAGGATCTAACCAGGTTTCACATAGTACAAGTGATTAGTATGTCTCAAGTCTCTTTATATATAAGTTTCCCCTACTTCTTTCTATCTTATTGTTTCTTCTCTGATGAAGAAAACAGGTCATTTGTCTTGTAGAGTTTCCCACATTCTGGATTTGGCTGATTGCATTCCTCAGACCCCAGTACTTCCTGTATGCCGATACTTGTCCTAGGAGCTGGCAGAGGAAAAGTGATATAAATGGTTTCCTGAGTCTGGGGGCCACACCCTCACCATTTGGTTACAAGGCCACGTTCTAGGCATGCACAAACGAGCTCATTTAAAGGTTGCAGTGGAGATGGAACCTAAAGCGCCTTCTGCCCAGCCACCCCTTAACCCATCCTGTAGCATCCCACAGGAATTGTTTTAGAACCTAGCACTCGGCTAAATACAGTTTGAAAATCTTTGCCCAAATTCCCAGCAAGGCGTCTCATCCTGATGTTTGCTCTCAACCCGTAGCCTGGTAGAAGGTAGAAGCAAAATTGGAAGTGAAGGGTTTTCAAAACAGGGATATAAACTTGATTAGGTCAATAGATGCAGAAAAGGCCTTTGACAAAATTCAACAGCCCTTCATGCTAAAAACTCTCAATAAATTAGGTATAGATGGGATGTATCTAATCATAATTAAGCTATTTATGACAAACCCACAGCCAATATCATACTGAATGGGCAAAAACTGGAAGCATTCCTTTTGAAAACTGGCACAAGACAGGGATGCCCTCTCTCACCACTCCTATTCAACATAGTGTTGGAAGTTCTGGCCAGGGCAGTCAGGCAGGAGAAAGAAATAAAGGGTATTCAATTCGGAAAAGAGGAAGTCAAATTGTCCCTGTTTGCAGATGACATGATTGTATACCTAGAAAACCCCATCGTCTCAGCCCAAAATCTCCTCAAGCTGATAAGCAACTTCAGCAAAGTCTCAGGATACAAAATCAATGTGCAAAAATCACAAGCATTCTTATACACCAATAACAAACAGCCAAATCATGAGTGAACTCCCATTCACAATTGCTTCGAAGAGAATAAAATACCTAGGAATCCAACTTACAAGGGATGTGAAGGACCTCTTCAAGGAGAACTACAAACCACTGCTCAATGAAATAAAAGAGGACACAAACAAATGGAAGAACATTCCATGCTCATGGATAGGAAGAATCAATGTCGTGAAAATGGCCATACTGCCCAAGGTAATTTATAGATTCAATGCCATCCCCATCAAGCTACCAATGACTTTTCACAGAATTGGAAAAAACTACTTTAAAGTTCATATGGAACCAAAAAAGAGCTGGCATCGCCAAGGCAATCCTAAGCCAAAAGAACAAAGCTGGAGGCGTCACGCTACCTGACTTCAAACTATACTACAAGGCTACAGTAACCAAAACAGTGTGGTACTGGTACCAAAACAGAGATATAGACCAATGGAACAGAACAGAGGCCTCAGAAATAATGCCGCAGATCTACAACTATCTGATCTTTGACAAATCTGACAAAAACAAGCAATGGGGAAAGGATTCCCTATTTAATAAATGGTGCTGGGAAAACTGGCTAGCCATATGTAGAAAGCTGAAACTGGATCCCTTCCTTACACCTCATACAAAAATTAATTCAAGATGGATTAAAGACTTAAATGTTAGACCTACAACCATAAAAACCCTAGAAGAAAACCTAGGCAATACCATTCAGGACAGAGGCATGGGCAAGGACTTCATGTCTAAAATACCAAAAGCAATGGCAACAAAAGTCAAAATTGACAAATGAAATCTAATTAAACTAAAGAGCTTTTGCCCAGCAAAAGAAACTACCATCAGAGTGAACAGGCAACCTACAGAATGGGAGAAAATTTTTGCAACCTACTCATCTGACAATGGGCCAATATCCAGAATCTACAAAGAACTCAAACAAATTTACAAGAAAAAAAAAACCCCATCAAAAAGTGGGCAAAGGATATGAACAGACACTTCTCAAAAGAAGACATTTCTGCAGCCAACAGACACATGAAAAAATGCTCATCATCACTGGCCGTCCAAGAAATGCAAATCAAAACCACAATGAGATATCATCTCACACCAGTTAGAATGGCAATCATTAAAAAGTCAGGAAACAACAGGTGCTGGAGAGGATGTGGCGAAATAGGAACACTTTTACATTGTTGGTGGGACTGTAAACTAGTTCAACCATTGTGGAAGACTGTGGCGATTCCTCAGGGATCTAGAACTAGAAATATCATTTGACCCAGCCATCCCATTACTGGGTATATAGCCAAAGGAATATAAATCATGCTGTTATAAGGACACATGCACACATATGCTTATTGTGGCACTACTCACAATAGCAAAGACTTGGAACCAACCCAGATGTCCAACGATGATAGACTGGATTAAGAAAATGTGGCACATATACATCATGCAATACTATGCAGCCATAAAAAATGATGAGTTCATGTCCTTTGTAGGTACATGGATGAAGCTGGAAACCATCATTCTCAGCAAACTATCGCAAGGACAAAAAACCAAACACCGCATGTTCTCACTCATAGGTGGGAATTGAACAATGAGAACACTTGGACACAGGAAGGGGAACATCACACACTGGAGCCTGTTGTGGGATGGGGGGAGAGGGGAGGGAAAGGATTAGGAGATATAGCTAATGTAAATGACGAGTTAATGGGTGCAGCACACCAACATGGCACACATATACATACGTAACAAACCTGCACATTGTGCACATGTACCCTAGAACTTAAAGTATGATTAAAAATAAATAAAATAAAACAAAAGAAAAAATAATTAAGCAAATGACAACTAAAATAGTAACTTCAAAATGAGATTAATGGAATAAAATAACAAAGAGAATTAAAAAAAAAAACAACTTGAGTGGGGGGCTGGGTGAGGATGGATAATTGATGACTCCAAAATCCCTGAAGAGATATGTGCACTTCCAGGGACATCACACGGCAGAGTATTGCCAAATTCATCTTAATTTTGTTTTATACTAGAGCCCTTTTAATAATTGGTGTTTCCATCACTATTTTAAAAGGGCCTACACGATCTATAATTATCTTTTCATTCACAATCTATTGTGTTGTTTTGGCCCTTAGCCAAAATCAGCTTCTCGGAGCTATATCCTTACCCAAGAGAAACAGATAGAGTCAATATGTGGCATCCTAAAAGCTCCTCACTGCTCCCTGCTTCTAGATTCTGGAAAATCTCGTTTTCCCCAGTGAATGAATAGCCCCAGTCTGGGCATTCCCTGCCCCGAGTATATCTTTATGAATAGTCTTGCAAGTCATTGGTCACCAATGTGTCCACTCATATCAGCCTGGTCTGAGGTCAGATGGGTAGAAGAGATGGCTGGACACAAGGCTACATCAGCCTGGCCAGAGGTCAGATGGGTAGCAGGGATGGCTGAACACAAAGCTACCTGATATCTCTGAATCTGTCATCACTTCAATCTGAAAGCAGTAGTCTGCCATCTTCATTTGTATGGAAATAGAAAATGCCTTCTTCCCACTGTGCCAAGAAATGGTGGCAAAGTGATGGTATGGGCCTGAGACAAGTCAGTTTCCTCTGGGCAGTGGTCTGGACAGTCTTACAGTTTCTCATTGGTTGAGCTAATGAGAACTGGGCAATGGCCTACAAAGCACCTAGTCTGCCTATGATAGAACATGCAAAGTCTCCCAGCAAGGACTGGCTTGGGGTGCGCCACTCCTCCATCGTTAGCATGGAAGGGCAAGGGCTTGGTAATGGTCTCAAGGACATGTGGGGTGGGAGCGAGGAGTTCCTCATCTGTGCTTTCATCCTCACATGTCTCTGGAATTGGAAAGGTTGACACTGGGCTCAGTAGTTCTGGTCTGTTTAACAAGCAGTGTGTCCCTGGGATCTTCCAGAATTGGGACTAGAGGACTAATCTATTCCACTTTACATCTGCAATGGTGAGACAAACTTAGATGACATAATTGTCTATCCCACACCTCCTCCCATAGATACACCCCTAGGCTCTGGAATGATAATACTAGACATCTCTCAGAGGGTAGAGCCCCACAATTCATAGCTCAGAACATTCAGGCAGCCCAAACAATGGCCTTTCAAGAGAGAGCTAGATCCATGGAAATTACTTATTCTTCTGCCATTTCCATCAGTAAAGAGACCAAGTATGAACATCATTCCAATATACATGTACACCAGAAGTTCAGCATTCCTGCAAACAGTTGCACGTGGAATGCCTGACAAGCTCTCCAGGCAGTGGCAGTGGCAGTGGCTGTAGGAACAGGAAGGTTTTGGCAAGCACAGCAAACAGTGCCAAGCATCTTTCTGTGATCCACTTACGATACACAGATGTTGGGAAGTATTACCAGCATAGGGAATGGCAGGGAGATACTGTTGCTTTTGCTTACAAGGCAAGGGCAAGGACTCTGGAGATAGATGGTCTCTGGAACTGTCTAACTTGGAGGAGTTAGCTTGCCAAGGTCTGAGTTCCATCCAGAGCTAGGCATGCAGTCCCGTTCAGTGTAGTACCTACCATCACAATGTGTCAGACCAGGAGTTAATGCCAGCCATCGTGTCCCAGAGGAGATACTGGTCAAAGTCTTAAAAACCAGTTCAAACATGTTGTTAATCAAGTGGAAGCTAGACTCACAAGAGCAAAGATGCCAAACCAAATGAGGGTGGTGTGGAGCCAGAAAAGCAGAAAGAGAACAACAAGAAGAGGCAGGTAGAGAAAGGTCTGGCCCATTTCTTGAGACAGTGCAGGCAGTGTCTACATTTTTTTAGGGATGTACTGAGCTAATTTAATGAACCTCCAATAGGATAGATGCCTTGGGGATACCACGCTATGTTTAAGACAATAGCAGGAGCATGTAAGTAAGTCAAGTTGGACACTAAGGATCATAGCAAGACAAGAGGGAATCATACCTACAGTTCATATATCTAAAACCAAGATGACAAGGTCATCCTTTCTGCCTTTTTAAGTTAAATTAGGTAGGATTGCTTCTCTGGATAGAGCCCAACACACTGTTAGCAGAAAGTAAAGTGATCAAAAAAGCTTAGGAGACATTGTGTATGCCTAAGCATTTAATTAGGTTTTGAATTAGCATGATGGTTCTTGGTCTTCTTCTTCTTTATTTTTTTTGAGACGGAGTCTCGCTCTGTTGCCCAGGCTGGAGTGCAGTGGTGCGATCTCGGCTAACTGCAACCTCTGCCTCCAGGGTTCAAGCGATTCTCCTGCCTCAGCCTCCCGAGTAGCTGGGATTACAGGCACCCGCCACTATGCTTGGCTAATTTTTGTATTTTTTTTTTTTAGTAGAGATGGGGTTTCATCATGTTGGCCAGGCTGGTCTTGAACGCCTGACCTTGTGATCCACCCTCCTCGGCCTCCGAAAGTGCTGGGATTACAGGCATGACCCACCGCACCTGGCCTGATCTTCTTTTTTAAAAATAAAAGATTGTGGCCTGACGTGGTGGCTCATGCCTGTAATACCAGCACTTTGAGAGGCCGAGGCAGGCGGATCACGAGATCGGGAGATCGAGACCATCCTGGCCAACATGGTGAAACCCTGTCTCTACTGAAAATACAAAAATTAGCCGGGCGTGGTAGCATGCGCCTGTAGTCCCAGCTACTCAGGAGGCTGAGGCAGGAGAATCACTTGAACCCCGGAGGCGGAGGTTGCAGTGAGCCGAGACCACACCACTGCCCTCCAGCCTGGGTGACAGAACAAGATTCTGTCTCAAAATAAATAAATAAATAAAAATAAAAATAAAAGATTGTGATGAGCATGTTCTGAGGTGAGGAATTTTAAGTTTGTTTTACACACATTCATTCACTCGTCTATCAACAGGTGCTTGGTAACTTTTTTTATTATGCTATTCTAGGCATTGCATTAAGATAGTGGTTCTCAAACTTTTGGGGCACAAGACTCTCTTACACTAATAAGAATTGTTGAGGCTCCATAAGTAGTTATGCTTACATGGGCTATATGTATTTATATTTACCATATTAGAAATTAAAACAGAGACTTTAAAAAATATCTGTTTAGAAATCATAAAACCATGACTTGTTAACATAAATTGCATATTTTATGAAAGATAATTTTTCAAAACAAAAAATTAGAAAAGTGGCATTGCTTTACATTTTCACAATCTCTTCAATGTCCAACTTAAGAGAAAGCTGGATTCTCACACCTGCTTCTGCTCAATCTGTTGCAATATATTGCTTTCGCTGAAATACATGAAGAAAATGTAGTTTCACATAGATATATTCTTGGAAAGGGAGGAGTATTTTAATAGCCTTTGGAATAATTGTGGATATTCTTGATTCTACATCAAAACCCAACAGGTGGAAGTTTCCTGAAGGTTGGTTGCATTGTGGAATCTGAAACTGTATCAGTGAACTTTTCAAAACTTGGTTACATTAAAATCCATTGGTCTGTCTTGCACTTGGAATAAGCCTGTAACCCATGCCTAATTTTTGTGGCACCATGCATTGGTCATTTGGAAAATGTTGGTTCACTGAGTTATACAGATCTTCCAAATGTTGACACACTTTACTATACAGTATCAAGAAATCACATTTGTTAATGTCACCACCACTCTCATCAAGAAAAGCCCATTATTAAGCTTTTCTTAATAATGGATGTAAGTTTTTCAAAATTCAGATTTTCACTTGAATATTATAACTGGCAACAAATGCTATCAGTTTTTGTCCTTGCAGTGACAGGGTCATTCCATTCACTTTTCATAAGATTTCTGCCAAATACCCAGGGCTGAATAAACATAGTTTGTCTGTTGTTCTTCCAAGAAAAGATGTACAGAAGTAAGCTGAAAGCTTTTAATTCCCACTGAAGGAATTGAGACTTTATTAATAAGAGAAAAGCTTCTTGAGCAAGACAGTAACATAATTGAAGAAATATATTAAGGAAATTAATATGATGATGGTAAACGGTGAATTTCAGTGAGAAGATTGAGATTTCTGGGTGGGGATACAAGCCAATAACTGCACTAAACCAAAATCATATTGGCTGTTTAAAAAACAGAAAATTATAGTGTGTCCATGGGTGTTTTATTACTCTCATAACTTATAAAAACATTATACACACATGTTCTACTATATTATGAAATATTAATATGAGAAAAAAATAAATATGGCATGCAACCCCTATAATATACCTTTACCATTCATATGAGTAAACTTTCCTAACATGAGTTAAAATAATTACTAGCATGAAATTTCCTTCCCTAGGCACCTCATCTGTCTAAAATAAATTGACTTGGAGTTTTCAAAAATGTCTTCTTCTAGTCCAGTGATTTCTTTATCATCAGAAAAACATTATTCATAGTTACACTTCATGTGGCAATAACTTTAAGTGTTAATTTAAAATTTTTGAGAGATGACTTTATGATAGATGAGTATAAAGTAATAATATAGTAAATATATATATAATATAATAAATCCATGCCCTCATATGTTGATAATTTTATAAAAGTTTTAAAATTATATTTTACTTTACAGGTTATATTATCACTGAAATACCATCACTTTCACAGGATGCCATGACTACCTTACAGCAAATAGAATTAATTAAAAACTTAAACCTGAAACCTGATGTTATAATCAATATAAAGGTAAGGATATTAATTGTTTTGCTAGTAGAGTAAACCATTCTTTTTGATAGTAGTTAAATTCAAGGAATGCTTTAAACATTTTTAAATAGTTATGGAGATAATAACTTATGCATCAATCACAGGAACTGAGTCATACTTCTCATAGTTCTGTGCTCTTGCTCCTAAAGCTCCATCCACATGAGATACCTTCTTGCCTCTTCACCAGGCTTCCTCATAGCCATCCTTTGAAAGTCAGTTAATACATCATCTCTTTAGAACTTTCCCTGACAACTACCCCGCTCCACCACCTCTCTTTCTGTCACTCCCTTCCACACCTTACTTATCATAAGAGAGTTAAATCCTTCTCTGATGACCATTCGTGGTGCTCTCCGCTCCCTGTCATGTTACTCACCTTACTATATTATAATTATCCATTTTCCTCCTAGACTCTGTCTTACTTGAAGGTAGGAACCATGTCTTGCTCATATAAACATCAACCAGTATATTACGTGGTACATAGTGGCACCTAGTAAGTTTACTAATAAAATGAAAGAATAGACACATGACATGAATGTATGAATGTTAAAGAACACTACTACATTAATTACGAGTTAAGGTTGGGTCTTGTTCCTAATTCTCTCTTTTATTATTAGAATTTGGTAAATCACATCTAGAAGTCTTGATTTCCTTTTTACAAAAATGACAATAGCTGCCTCATGGGGTTGTGATAAGAATTTAGCAAGGTGGTGTCTTCTTGTTTATGTCAAAATGAATGATAAGCTTTTGTATCCATACTCGGCCAGGGTTTATGACAGCTCAAATAAACTAGATGGTTTTCAGCTCAGATGCTGGGACCCAGTGGAGTGTCAGGGTCAGCTGTGAGAGAGAGGTGGCCTTGCAGTGCTGAATGTGGTGTAATCTGCAGCCCCAGCCACCACTCATGGCCAGGGGTCAATCACAATTGTGAGTGAACTTGAGAATGTCACACATGTGAATGTGGACATAACAGAGATATCTCATTCAACTGAAACCACATACAAAAACTAAGCCTAGGAAAAGACAG
The DNA here is from genome assembly GCF_000001405.40 of Homo sapiens. Classification (NCBI taxonomy): domain Eukaryota; kingdom Metazoa; phylum Chordata; class Mammalia; order Primates; family Hominidae; genus Homo; species Homo sapiens. Next base: position 109,661,508 of record NC_000006.12, on the reverse strand, counting down.
ATTCAATAGAAAATTAAGATCTAATTGAGAGAGAGCACACAGTTGTGCAGGCCAGAAGACCCCAAATGCTTACTAAGTTTGGATCATAAATTTGGTTCTAGGTTTGGTGAACTAAAGTAAAAGGGGAAATGTGACCAGTTATAAAATTCACATTGTCCATGAGAAGACAAGCCATTCCTCAGGCAAAACAAGACTGCCATTGAGAATGAGAGAAATACCTTAGATGGGTCTTAATATAAGAGACTGCTTAATGTAGTGAATAAAGTCCTTAACCCCATTCATGTTATAAGTGTGATCATGAAGTATCCTATGGCAGTTTCTACAGGGTAACCAGAGTATCATCAGAGGGCTTAATGTGAGACAGAATTCAGTGCAACACACATTTTTTGGATAGTTTGTCCTTATTGGGGAATAAGCCTGGAATTTCTAGAGCAGAAGCTCTTAGCCCAAGATCCATAAATCCCTAAGCATTCATGAACCTCTTGAAATTATACATAAAACTTTATGTATATGTGAATTTTTCTGATGCAAAAATCTATGGCTTTCATCATGTTCTAAAGGATTCTGTGCTACCAAAAACCTGGTTAAAGGCTAGCAATCTACTAGAGCAGTAGTTATCAGAGAGTGGTCCCAGTTCCAACAGCACCCAGAAGCTTAGTAGAAATGCAAATTCTCAGGCCCTACCCCAGAACTAAGAACCAGAATCTGTCAGGTGGAGCCCAGCTATTAGTGTTGCAAAGCCCTCCAGGTGACACTGAGCACTTCTGCTCTGAGTTATATCCTTCAGACTCACACTTTCATTAGTCATTTCCTGCAAATGAGAACGGGAGACAGCTGAAGGAGATAGTCCTTGTCAAGGTCCTAGAAGGTGGGTATCCTGGGTTGTAAAACAGATGTTTTAAAAAATTACCTGTGTAGGTTGAAATTCTTTTTGTGAAAAATTAGGAAGCCTAACAAAAGTCTTACCTCAATAATTACCCATCCCATCTCCATCTAGAGATGGCATGAAGAAATCAGAAAATGAGCAATGAAGGTTCCAACATTCCTGGCTTCCTTTGTTTCTCAATGTGTGGTACATGAACTGCCAGCATCAGAATCACTGAGGATGCTTGTTGAAGAATCTAAGCCTCACTCCAAACTTAATAAATGACAAGAGGAGCTGCAATTGATTTAACAAGCTCCTCAGATAGAGTTACATGCTCATATGTCAGAATCACTGCCTCAGAAAACCATCCAGATTTTTTTTTATCCTGAAAAACATTCAGAGCACAATTTACAACCTCAAACCATCATCATTAATAATGCATCATAGACCATGGACTACAATCAGAAGGCTTGGTTCCAAGTTGCAGTTCCTCCATGTGACATTGTGACCTGAGATTGGTTTCTTAGTCTGCCATAGCTGTACTTCTCTGACCTGAAGGATGGTTTTAATTGTAATTTGGATTGCTTATCTTACAGGGTTAGTTGAGAATTCAGTAAAATCGCACGAGTGAAAGCACTTTGGAACAAGAAACTTACTTGTAGACTTTGGTTTTGGCTTTTTTACTACCTGGATTCAGTTTTCTCATTTACAAAATATAAATGTTATACTAGAATAGATGATCTTTCAGGTCCCATTTATGACTGGCATTGTATAAAACACCTCACCCATAAAGCTGTAAGTGATAGTAAATATTACAAATAAACAATATATTTTATTGGAAATATGTGGCTATTCCCCCCATTTTGCTCCATTCGTAAACTTTTCAAGCTAATCATAGAATTCTGTGTACCTTTGCAGAGTTAACTGATTTTCTATTCCATTTCTCTACTGTTTCTACTTTTCCAATCCTCTTTTCTCATCTTAAGACTTGTAATACTTTTTCACCTATATTAATTTTGGACAAATAAAAACATATAGCATAAAATTAGTGTCTGAGCCTCTCTTGGCATGTAATGAAACCTGATGCAAAATGCCAGTCACAATATTGCATTTGCTCAGGTTTTAAAGGAATTTTTTGGTTTATGTACTGTACAATATATTCAATAAATACACAGGGAATTAAAAGCATATTCAAAATGTTTTAAGTGATTTAATAATGTTGTTTCTTAGTGTCCTGACTATGATTTGTGCCAGAGAATTTCTGGGCAAAGACAGCACAATAATACGGGATACATATACAGTAGAGACCAGTGGGATCCTGAAGTCATTGAGAATCATAGGAAAAAGAAGAAAGAAGCCCAAAAGGACGGAAAAGGAGAAGAGGAAGAAGAGGAAGAAGAGCAAGAAGAAGAAGAGGTAATATCTCAATAGGTAACTACCATACACTACACTTTTTAAAATTGCTATAATTAAGGTAAATGATGGTATAGGTAATAGGAAATAGTAGATGCTATACATTTTCTTTACATCTTTATTGAGTTTGGAGGAAATAAGCAAAAATCTTTCATGTTTTCAAGGATTATGAGATCATAATCTTGAGGTCAAGTTTAGCCTTCCTGTCAGCATAGACGTGTCTCTACATTTCTGATGTTCTGACACCTAGTGTGCTTCATTTCATAACTATGGAGTTATTGGTCACCTACTGTGTGTCAAGCACTAGGCAAGGTAGAATAAGAAGTTAGAGCATTTCTTAGTCTATTTTCTGTTACCTACAGCAGAATACCTGAAACTGGGTAATTTATAAAGAATGACTTTTTTTTTTTAATTTAAGCTTCATGCTTTTTAAAAGCAAAAAGAAGCAAGTGAAAGTCATTTGAATAATGTATTTTATTTAATTGAATATATCCAAAAATTTTATTTCAACTTATAATCAACATAAACAAGTGAAAGTCATTTGAATAATATATTTAATTAAATATATCAAAAAATTTTATTTCAACTTACAATCAACATAAACATTCTGAGAATGACATGTTCTATTTTCATCTAAGTTTTTGAAATCTGGTATGTATTTTACATTTACAGCACGTTCCAGTTGCACTTGCCACATTTCAAGTGCGCAATGGGGAGATGTGGCTAATAACTTCCGTGCTGGATAGCCTAAGTCTAACCCTTTGCTCTGTTTTATTTTCCTTATAGCACTTAATCACTTTCTGAAATTATGTTACTTTTGTTACTTGCTTATTATCTGTCTGCCCCACTGAATGAAAACTCTATGCAGCAGGGACTGTCTCCAGTGCCTGATAGTGGGTACTTAATATGAAGATGTGTAATGGCTGAATGAATGAACGCCAGTGTGCTAGCAAAGCCCTCTACTAGGGAGAGAAGAATGGTAGCTTCTTTTGGAAAAGACGTGTATTGAGCCACTTTGAAATGTATAACCTTTGGTCCAGTAATTCTACTTGTAGGAACTATTCTAAGGGAAAATATTAGCCATATAAAGATTTATCTATGAAGCTACTTATTGCAACATTATTTGTAATTGTGAAAAGCCTGAAACATTGTTGTCCAACTATAGAGTAATTAAATAATTGTACATTCAAGGAAATTAATATATTATTTGACTATTAAAATAATACTTAAAACAGGTTATAAAATGGCTTATATAGAGAATATGGCTCAAGTCAAATATGTATGTGTGTACATTGATAAAAATGGGAAAGAATTAATAATTAGCATCATAAATATGATATGGAACACTTATCCTGTGCCAGGCCCTGGGATGAGAACTTTTACACACGCTGTTCCCTCTACCTTAAAATGTTCTTTCTCTAGAAACTTGTGTGGCACATGTTCTCACTCATAGGTGGGAATTGAATAATGAGAACACTTGGACACAGGAAGGGGAACATCACACACCAGAGCCTGTCAGGGGGTAGGGGGAGGCAGGAGGGATAGCATTAGGAGATATACCTAATGTAAATGACGAGTTAATGGGTGAAGCACACCAACATGGCACGTGTATACATATGTAACAAACCTGCATGTTGTGCACACATACCCTAGAACTTAAAGTATAATTAAAAAAAAAAAAGAAAGAAACTTGTGTGGCAGTTCTCTCTCCCTCATTTCCTTCAGATTTCAACTCAAATTCCATTTCTCTAGATAACCCTTTCATGACCACTTGATGTAAACAGCTTCTTCTCCTACCACTCTTCATCCATGCTACCCTGCTTTATTTTTCTTCCTAGTACTTACCACCACCTAATATATTATATATTTATTTGTGTACTTGTTTATGCTGCCTTCCTCAACTGCAATGTGTGTGAGTGCTATGAGCCCAGGGTGTTAGTTGGTTTTGTTCACTGTTCTATTCCAAATCCTTAGAACAGTGCCTGATGCATAGAAGGCACTCAATAAATACTTGAATGAATGAACTACAAGCTCAGGTGTTCACAGGAAATCTAATTTCTCTATTTTGTCTCTGAAAATCTGATGTTCTTCCCCTACTCGTCCCTACTTATTGGGGAACAAACAGAAATGAGTAAATATCCAGGTCAATTTAAAGCTTTATTCCATCTGATGAAGACCCGTTAGGAGTCTTCCATTCTCTTAAATAAAAATCCTTAATCTTTAATCGTCCCCTCCCCCTGCTTCTCACCCCAAAATGATATCTAGGTGTAAGGAGTGGGGAATATGGCTTGTAAATTGAATAGTCATTGACCTAAAGATATTTGAAATCTCTTCTTTTCCATTTAGGCATTTATTGCCGAAATGCAGATGGTGGCTGAAATTCTTCATCATCTAGTTCAGAGGCCTGAAGATTATTTGGAAAATGTTGAAAACATTGTTAAGCTTTATAAGGAAACAATTCTCCAAACTTTAGAAGTAAGAACAAAATATATTGCTGAAAATGAATATTGATATTTGTGTTTCATCACTGGTTAAGTAGCTTTCACATGTCTTCATCCCCATGTGTTATTATCTGTCTGATTCTCCCCTTGAGCTTTGTAGAAAGCTGTCAGAAAAAGGCCTCCATCCCAAAGACTGTTTCCCAGAACAATATTATTTTACTCTTACAAAGCAACTCTGTTACTGCAAAGTGACAAATGAACTGCATTTTTCAAAAGCCAGTGAGGAAATTCCTTTATGGATGGGAGTTGGGAAATTCATGTTAAAAGACTATGTTATAAAAGCATTTTCAATCTGTAAGTTATAGCTTTATCAAAACAAATATACATTTAAGGTACACCTTTTGTTTAAAAGGAATTGTTCATTTAGTTAAATTGCAATCTAAAGAATTTGTTACACTGATTGGTCTATGGTTATCCCATTATATGTAAACATGGTAAGACCATTATATAATGTAATAGGAAGGTTTTAATTAAAATGATTAGTATTTTAAAAGTATGATGACTGAGATTACAAGTAGCGAAAAGCGTATTTTATATGGTAAAAAGTCCAGGTAAGACTCTACCAAATGTAATCATTTGTGTTGGAGATTTAGTCAACAAACATTTATTGAACTTGCGCATTTAGCCAGACTCTATGCTAAGCAACAGAACTGTGAAGACAAATAAAACACAGTCCTCCAATTGCCTATTCCCATATGATAGAGAAACTAAAGAATGTGTTTCATGCTGTCTCACAGTGTTTATATTACTTTAAAGATAAATGAGTGGATCATTTTCATTCTCAACATCCATCCCCCAAAATGAGAACCACACTTAATTGCTTTCATATGTATGACTTCTATTCCTCCCCACCTCTCCTGTCACTGGCTTATAAACGTAGCTTCTGAAGCGTGAAGTACACGACTATCAATAACATCCTTTCTTCCTTCAATAAAAGTATCTTGACTACTCCTTAAGTGGCTGGCACTGGGTATGAAATAAAGCCAAATTAGAATCAGATTCAGAAAGTAGAAAATTGTATTTATGGGGGGAAAATGCAGAGGTTATCTTTTTAAGAACAAGCACCAGGTTATACTTCCTCACATTTGGGCAGTGCAGCGCCCAAAGTCTGGCAAGCAGTAAATATTTAACAAATGTTCATCAGCACAAATGACAAGATACAAAGGAAAAAGAATGATAGCTTCAATTTCGTTAAATGCACAACTTCCGGAAATTAAATAGATGAAACCACACTCAAACTAAAAGACAATAAACTGGAAAAATATTCACGTTAACTATGATGAAAGATTTAAAGCTTTGATATATTAAAAGGTCATAGAAATGATTTTTTAAAAACCTGTAAGTTCACTCTGTCTTGAGATAAATGGACAACAAATATGAGCAATTAACAAAAATGAAGAATGATAAGCCTGTAGAAAAAATGTTCAGCTTCACTGATAATAAAGAAATGCTAATCTAAGTAATGAAATATCATTTCCATGATGAAAATTTAAAAGATGAACAGGTAGTAAGAATTCCTGATGCTAGCAAGGATATGGTAAAGAACTCTTATACCCCAAATATGAATTTGTATGGCCATCCTTTGACAGGTTGTCCACAAAAACACCCAGAAGTAGAAAACTTCTAGGCCCTGCAGCAAAATATAGATAAGAATTCATTGCCCTAGTGCAACAAAGCAGTATTTCAAAGCCAAGAACCTAGACTTTAGGCCTAGATGACACTTGCTGAATAGCCAAGCAATTGCCTTATATGTTGAGGGAGGAGACCCATAAAGGGTAAGACCCTACAATTCTAGTCTTCTCTGACCTGGCTGAGATGTTACTTCACTTTTAGACCAAGACCACTAAAGTTCAGTGTGTCTCCAAGAGATACAAGGAAAGCAAGCAGGAGCAAACTGAGCTGCATCACTTTCTGGTATACATTCTGCAAACTGCTTCAGGGCTAAGCCAACACCATGTTCCCATTTTGGCCTGTCTTTGAATCCCAACTCAACTCCTGGTGCAGGTATCCATTTCCTTAAGAGTGTTGATACTCTCCAACTTAGTAGTTCACTCTTAAGATTGAATCTAGCTTAAGGAAACAGTAAAAAATATAGAACAGGCAGGGCGCGGTGGCTCATGCCTGTAATCCTAGCTCTTTGGGAGGCCAAGGTGGGTGGATTGCCTGAGCTCAGGAGTTCGAGACCAGCCTGGGCAACATGGTGAAACCCCATCTCTACTAAAATCCAAAAAACAGCCGGGCATGGTGGTGCACACCTGTAATCCCAGCTACTTGGGAGGCTGAGGCAGGAGAATCACTTGAACCCAGGAGACAGAGGTTGCGGTGAGCTGAGATTGTGCCTCCAACCTGGATGACAGAGCAAGACTCCGTCTCAAAAAAGAAAAAAAATATATATATTATATATAAAACAATGCGATGTGATGCCTTGTTCAAAACATGATTATTTATTGGTAAGTGAATAATGCTGATATAATCTGTTGTCGGTCTAGAGGAAAACACCTAGAATCTAACCTCATACAATATTGTGAAAACAAAATACACTGGATAAAGAGATGATTTTGTTCAAACTTGCAATAAGGAGAATGTTCATTAATAAAGACCTTCTAAAAGCAATGGAAGAGAGCTGGGTTTTATGGAAGCAGGTAAACAAGGGAGCCATCCTTGAGTCATGAGAAAAGATGGAGACAGACTTTATCTGAGTCCTTGAGGAAGGATGGAGGTGGGTCTTCTCAGCCATCCCTGCTTTCCAGGAACACAGGGCTCAGAGTTCAACATTGTTGTTGTACACAAATAAAATCCAGTAGATATTGGATTTTGTATTAAAAATAAAAACAAATAGTAGAAGAAAACTTAGAAGAATATTAATATAATCTTGAGATAAAGAAAATCTAATTTAGGCCAGGTGTGCTGGCTCATGCCTGTAATCCCAACACTTTGAGAGGCCAAGGTGGGCAGATCACTTGAGCCCAAGAGTTCAAGACCAGCCTGTGCCACATGGCAAAAAACATGGTGAAACCCTGTCTCTACAAAAAAGAAAGAGAGAGAAAAAAAAAAAAATCTAAACAAGAAAGGAAATCTACAAGTAATGAAAATATATATTTGATTATAAAAATATTTTATCTTGCTGAAGACGCCATAAATACATTCAAAAGATAAATCATAGAAAGGAAAAATGTTTGCAATCCACATGCCAGATAAGGGTTAAAAACTTTCCGTGAATGTCAGAGAAAGGAAACAATCCAAAAGAAAAATGCGTAGAGGCTATGATAAGGCAGTTTACAGAGATGCATATCTGAATGCTGAACCTCACCACAGGAATAAAAAGTAAAATAAACTGATTCCGTTTTTTAACTCAGTTTGGCAGAAATTTAAAAGCTAAGATAGCCAGTGGTGGCAAGAAGAAATGAACCTTCTCATACATTGCGGGTTAGGGCTTTGAATTGCCACCACCTTTGGAAAAACAACTGGCTATACCTACCTGTATTAATATTAAAACCTACTTTTGCCAGGCGTGTTGTCTCATGCCTGTAATCCCAGTACTTTGGGAGGCGGAGACGGGTGGATCACCTGAAGTCAGGAGTTTGAGACCAGCCTGGCCACCATGGTGAAACCGCCTCTCTACTAAAAATACAAAAATCAGCCAGGCATGGTGGCAGGCACCTATAATCCCAGCTACTCAGGAGGCTGAGGCAGGAGACTCACTTGAACCCAGTGGGTGGAGGTTGCAGTGAGCCAAGATCATGCCATGCAGTCCAGCCTGGGTGACAGTGAAACTCCGTCTCAAAAACAAAAAAAAAACACCTACTTTTACAAATCTGGCCCATATATCCAATATATCAGGATATACCAAAGGATATTCTGTGTTACTGAACATTTATATGTGTGCATATATTTATATCAATGAGGTGAATGGTTGTATAAAAAGACGCACTGTGTTGTGCGGGCAGCATGGAGGAGCAGGGAGAAGTCGTGTTAACTGTTTCTATGTACTTTTTTGCATTCCTTCACTGGTTGCAGTTAGTACAAGTTATTTTTGTAATTATTAAAGAAGAAAGTAATTTTTAAAACTTTCATAAAAAGAAATGCTTGAAAATAACTAATAAAGTATTGTAACATACCTAAATGTCAAACAGCAGAAGAATATGAAATAAATTATGCTATATCCACAGTACATAATCTTATAAAACCATTAAAATGTTACATTGACAGTGATCTTATAAAAAGTGTAGGGGAAGTTTAGTTATAATGTTAAGTGAAAAAGTAAGCTCCATTATGATCTCAAACTCCTGAGCTGTGGGTTTGTCATAAATAGCTCTTATTATTTTGAGATGCATCCCATCAATACCTAGTTTATTGAGAGTTTTCAGCATGAAGGCTGTTGAATTTTTTTGAAGGCCTTTTCTGCATCTATTGAGATAATCATGTGGTTTTTGTCTTTGGTTCTGTTTATATGATGGATTACATTTATTCATTTGCGTATGTTGAACCAGCCTTGCATCCCAGGGATGAAGCCAACTTGATCGTGGTGGATAAGCTTTTTGATGTGCTGTTGGATTCAGTTTGCCAGTATTTTATTGAGGATTTTTGCATCGATGTTCATCAGGGATCTTGGTCTAAAATTCTCTTTTTTTGTTGTTTCTCTGACAGGCTTTGGTATCAGGATGATGCTGGCCTCATAAAATGAGTTAGGGAGGATTCCCTCTTTTTCTATTGATTGGAATAATTTCAGAAGGAATGGTACCAGCTCCTCTTTGTACCTCTGGTAGAGTTTGGCTGTGAATCCGTCAGGTCCTGGACTTTTTTTGGTTGGTAGGCTATTAATTATTGCCTCAATTTCAGAGCCTGTTATTGATCTATTCAGGAATTCAGCTTCTTCCTGGTTTAGTCTTGGGAGGGTGTATATGTCCAGGAATTTATCCATTTCTTCTAAATTTTCTAGTATTTATAGTATTCTCTGATGGTAGTTTGCATTTCTGTGGGATCGGTGGTGATATCCCCTTTATCATTTTTTATTGCATCTATTTGATTTTTCTCTCTTTTCTTCTTTATTAGTCTTGTTAGTGGTCTATCAATTTTGTTGATCTTTTCAAAAAACCAGCTTCTGGATTCATTGATTTTTTTGAAGAGTTTTATGTGTCTCTGTCTCCTTCAGTTCTGCTCTGATCTTAGTTATTTCTTGCCTTCTGCTAGCTTTTGAATTTGTTTGCTCTTGCTTCTCTAGTTCTTTTCATTGTGATGTTAGGTTGTCGATTTTAGATCGTTCCTGCTTTCTCTTGTGGGCATTTAGTGCTATAAATTTCCCTCTAAACACTGCTTTGAATATGTCCCAGAGATTCTGGTATGTTGTGTCTTTGTTCTCATTGGTTTCAAAGAACATCTTTATTTCTGCCTTCATTTCGTTATGTACCCAGTAGTCATTCAGAAGCAGGTTGTTCAGTTTCCATGTAGTTCTGCGGCTTTTAGTGAGTTTCTTTTTTTTTTCTTTTAATTGTATTATTATTATTCTTTAAGTTTTAGGGTACATGTGCACAACGTGCAGGTTTGTTACATATGTATACATGTGCCATGTTGGTGTGCTGCACCCATTAACTCATCACTTAGCATTAGGTATATCTCCTAATGCTATCCCTCCCCACTACCCCCACCCCACAACAGTCCCCGGTGTGTGATGTTCCCATTCCTGTGTCCATGTGTTGTCATTGTTCAATTCCCACCTATGAGTGAGAACATGCAGTGTTTGGTTTTTTGTCCTTGCGATAGTTTGCTGAGAATGATGGTTTCCAGTTTCATCCATGTCCCTACAAAGGACATGAACTCATCATTTTTTATGGCTGCGTAGTATTCCATGGTGTATGTGTGCCACATTTTCTTAATCCAGTCTGTCGTTGTTCGACATTTGGGTTGGTTCCAAGTCTTTGCTATTGTGAATAGTGCCACTATAAACATACGTTTGCATGTGTCTTTATAGCAGCATGATTTATAATCCTTTCGGTATATACCCAGTAATGGGATGGCTGGGTCAAATGGTATTTCCAGTTCTAGATCCCTGAGGAATCACAACACTGACTTTCACAATGGTTGAACTAGTTTACAGTCCCACCAACAGTGTAAAAGTGTTCCTATTTCTCCACATCCTCTCCATCACCTGTTGTTTCCTGACTTTTTAATGATCGCCATTCTAACTGGTGTGAGATGGTATCTCATTGTGGTTTTGATTTGCATTTCTTGGACGGCCAGTGATGATGATCATTTTTTCATGTGTCTGTTGGCTGCAGAAATGTCTTCTTTTGAGAAGTGTCTGTTCATATCCTTTGCCCACTTTTTGATGGGGTTTTTTTTTCTTGTAAATTTATTTGAGTTCTTTGTAGATTCTGGATATTGGCCCATTGTCAGATGAGTAGGTTGCAAAAATTTTCTCCCATTCTGTAGGTTGCCTGTTCACTCTGATGGTAGTTTCTTTTGCTGTGCAGAAGCTCTTTAGTTTAATTAGATTCCATTTGTCAATTTTGGCTTTTGTTGCCATTGCTTTTGGTGTTTTAGACATGAAGTCCTTGCCCATGCCTCTGTCCTGAATGGTATTGCCTAGGTTTTCTTCTAGGTTTTTTATGGTTTTAGGTCTAACATTTAAGTCTTTAATGCATCTTGAATTAATTTTTGTATGAGGTGTAAGGAAGAGATCCAGTTTCAGCTTTCTACATATGGCTAGCCAGTTTTCCCAGCACCATTTATTAAATAGGGAATCCTTTCCCCATTGCTTGTTTTTGTCAGATTTGTCAAAGATCAGATAGTTGTAGATCTGCGGCATTATTTCTGAGGCCTCTGTTCTGTTCCATTGGTCTATATCTCTGTTTTGGTACCAGTACCACACTGTTTTGGTTACTGTAGCCTTGTAGTATAGTTTGAAGTCAGGTAGCGTGATGCCTCCAGCTTTGTTCTTTTGGCTTAGGATTGCCTTGGCGATGCCAGCTCTTTTTTGGTTCCATATGAACTTTAAAGTAGTTTTTTCCAATTCTGTGAAGAAAGTCATTGGTAGCTTGATGGGGATGGCATTGAATCTATAAATTACCTTGGGCAGTATGGCCATTTTCACGATATTGATTGTTCCTACCCATGAGCATGGAATGTTCTTCCATTTGTTTGTGTCCTCTTTTATTTCATTGAGCAGTGGTTTGTAGTTCTCCTTGAAGAGGTCCTTCACATCCCTTGTAAGTTGGATTCCTAGGTATTTTATTCTCTTCGAAGCAATTGTGAATGGGAGTTCACTCATGATTTGGCTCTCTGTTATTGGTGTATAAGAATGCTTGTGATTTTTATACATTGATTTTGTATCCTGAGACTTTGCTGAAGTTGCTTATCAGCTTGAGGAGATTTTGGGCTGAGACGATGGGGTTTTCTAGATATGCAATCATGTCATCTGCAAACAGGGACAATTTGACTTCCTCTTTTCCTAATTGAATACCCTTTATTTCCTTCTCCTGCCTGATTGCCCTGGCCAGAACTTCCAACACTATGTTGAATAGGAGTGGTGAGAGAGGGCATCCCTGTCTTGTGCCAGTTTTCAAAGGGAATGCTTCCAGTTTGTGTCCATTCAGTATGATATTCGCTGTGGGTTTGTCATAGATAACTCTTATTATTTTGAGATATGTCCCATCAATAACTAATTTATTGAGAGTTTTTAGCATGAACGGTTGTTGAATTTTGTCAAAGGCCTTTTCTGCATCTGTTGAGATAATCATGTGGTTTTTGTCTTTGGTTCTGTTTATATGTTGGATTACATTTATTGATTTGCATATATTGTACCAGCCTTGCATCCCAGGGATGAAGCCCACTTGATCATGGTGGATAAACTTTTTGATGTGCTGCTGGATTCGGTTTGCCAGTATTTTATTGAGGATTTTTGCATCGATGTTCATCAAGGATATTGGTCTAAAATTCTCTTTTTTGGTTGTGTCTCTGCCAGTCTTTGGTATCAGGATGATGCTGACCTCATAAAATGAATTAGGGAGGATTCCCTCTTTTTCTATTGATTGGAATAGTTTCAGAAGGAATGGTACCAGCTCCTCTTTGTACCTTTGGTAGAATTTGGCTGTGAATCCATCTGGTCCTGGACTCTTTTTGTTTGGTAAGCTATTGATTATTGCGTCAATTTCAGAGCCTGTTATTGGTCTATTCAGAGATTCAACTTCTTCCTGGTTTAGTCTTGGGAGGGTGTATGTGTCGAGGAATTTATCTATTTCTTCTAGATTTTCTAGTTTATTTGTGTAGAGGTATTTATAGTATTCTCTTATGATAGTTTCTATTTCTGTGGGATTGGTGGTGATATCCCCTTTATCATTTTTTATTGTGTCTATTTGATTCTTCTCTCTTTTCTTCTTTATTAGTCTTGCTAGCGTTCTATCAATTTTGTTGATCTTTTCAAAAAACTAGCTCCTGGATTCATTGATTTTTTGAAGGATTTTTTTGTGTCTCTATTTCCTTCAGTTCTGCTCTGATCTTAGTTATGTCTTACCTTCTGCTAGCTTTTCAATGTGTTTGCTCTTGCTTTTCTAGTTCTTTTAATTGTGATGTTAGGGTGTCAATTTTAGATCTTGCCTGCTTTCTCTTGTGGGCATTTAGTGCTATAAATTTCCCTCTACTCACTGCTTTGAATGTGTCCCAGAGATTCTGGTATGTTGTGTCTTTGTTCTCGTTGGTTTCAAAGAACATCTTTATTTCTGCCTTCATTTCATTATGTACCCAGTAGTCATTCAGGAGCAGGTTGTTCAGTTTCCATGTAGTTGAGCGGTTTTGAGTGAGTTTCTTAATCCTGAGTTCTAGTTTGATTGCACTGTGGTCTGAGAGACAGTTTGTTATAATTTCTGTTCTTTTACATTTGCTGAGGAGTTCTTTACTTCCAACTATGTGGTCAGTTTTGGAGTAGGTGTGGTGTGGTGCTGAGAAGAATGTATATTCTGTTGATTTGGGGTGGAGAGTTCTGTAGATGTCTATTAGATCTGCTTGTTGCAGAGCTGAGTTCAATTCCTGGGTATCCTTGTTAACTTTCTGTCTCGTTGATCTGTCTAATGTTGACAGTGGGGTGTTAAAGTCTCCCATTATTATTGTGTGGGAGTCTAAGTTTCTTTGTAAGTCACTAAGGACTTGCTTTATGAATCTGGGTGCTCCTGTATTGGGTGCATATATATTTAGAATAGTTAGCTCTTATTGTTGAACTGATCCCTTTACCATTATGTAATGGCCTTCCTTGTCTCTTTTGATCTTTGTTGGTTTCAAGTCTGTTTTATCAGAGACTAGGATTGCAACCCCTGCCTTTTTTTGTTTTCCATTTTCTTGGTAGATCTTCCTCCATCCCTTTATTTTGAGCCTATGTGTGTCTCTGCACGTGAGATGGGTCTCCTGAATACAGCACACTGATGGGTCTTGACTCTTTATCCAATTTGCCAATCTGTGTCTTTTAATTGGAGCATTTAGCCCATTTACATTTAAAGTTAATATTGTTATTTGTGAATTTGATCCTGTCATTATGATGTTAGCTGGTTATTTTGCTCGTTAGCTGATGCAGTTTCTTCCTAGCCTTGATGCTCTTTACAACTTGGCATGTTTTTTCAGTGACTGTTACTGGTTGTTCCTTTCCATGCTTAGTGTTTCCTCAGGAGCTCTTGTAAGGCGGGCCTGGTGGTGACAAAATCTCTCAGCATTTGCTTGTCTGTAAAGGATTTTATTTCTCCTTCAGTTATGAAGCTTAGTTTGGCTGGATATGAAATTCTGGGTTGAAAATTATTTTCTTTAAGAATGTTGAATATTGGCCCCCACTCTCTTCTGGCTTGTGGAGTTTCTGCCAAGAGATCCACTGTTAGTCTGATGGGCTTCTCTTTGTGGGTAACCCAACCTTTCTCTCTGGCTGCCCTTAACATTTTTTCCTTCATTTTAACCTTGGTGAATCTGACAATTATGTGTCTTGGGGTTGCTCTTCTCAAGGAGTATCTTTGTAGCGTTCTCTGTATTTCCTGAATTTGAATGTTGGCCTGCCTTGCTAGGTTGGGGAAGTTTTCCTGGATAATATCCTGAAGAGTGTTTTCCAACTTAGGTCTGTTCTCCCTGTCACTTTCAGGTACACCAATCAAACTTAGGTTTGGTCTTTTCACATAGTCCCATATTTCTTGGAGGCTCTTTCATTTCTTTTTACTCTTTTTTTTCTAAACTTCTTGCTTCATTTCATTCATTTGATCTTCAATCACTGGTACCCTTTCTTCCACTTGATTGAATCAGCTACTGAAGCTTGTGCATGCATCACGTAGTTCTCATGCCATGGTTTTCAGCTCCATCATGTCATTTAAGGTCTTGTCTACCCTGTTTATTCTAGTTAGCCATTCGTCTAACCTTTTTTCAAGGTTTTTACCTTCCTTGCAATGGGTTCAAACATCCTCCTTTAGCTCAGAGAAGTTTGTTATTACCGACCTTCTGAAGCCTACTTCTGTCAACTTGTCAAAGTCATTCTCCGTCCAGCTTTCTTCCATTGCTGGTGAGGGGCTGCAATCCTTTGGAGGATTAGAGGCACTCTGGTTTTTAGAATTTTCAGCTGTTCTGCTCTGGTTTCTCCCCATCTTTGTGATTTTATCTACCTTTGGTCTTTGATGATGGTGACTTACAGATGGGGTTTTGGTGTCGATGTCCTTTTTGTTGATGTTGATGCTACTGTTTTCTGTTTGTTAGTTTTCCTTCTAACAGTTAGGACCCTCAGCTGCAGGTCTGTTGGAGTTTGCTGGAGGTCCACTCTATGGATACCCTGTTTGCCTGGGTATCACCAGCGAACGCTGTAGAACAGAACATCAAATATTGCAGAACAGCAAATGTTGCTGCCTGATCCTTCCTCTGGAAGCTTCATCTCAGAGGAGCTCTTGGCTGTATGAGGTGTCAGTGAGCCCCTACTGGGAGGTGTCTCCAAGTTAGGCTACTCAAGGGTCAGAGACCCACTTGAGGAGGCAGTCTCTCCATTCTCAGAGCTCAAACTCTGTGCTGGGAGAACCACTGCTGTCTTCAAAGCTGTCAGACAGGGACGTTTAAGTCTGCACAAGTTTCTGCTGCCTTTTGTTCAGCTATGCCCTGCCCCCAGAGGTGGAGTCTACAGAGGCAGGCAGGCCTCGTTGAGCTGTGGTGGGCTCCACCCAGTTTGAGCTTCTGGCTGCTTTGTTTACCTAGTCAAGCCTCAGCAATGGCGGATGCCCCTCGCCCAGCCTGGCTGCTGCCTCGCAGTTGGATCTTGGACTGCTGTGCTAGCAGTGAGCAAGGCTCTGTGGGCATGGGGTGCTCTGAGCCAGGCGCAGCATATAATCTCCTGGTGTGCCATTTGCTAAGACTGTTGGAAAAGCGCAGTATTAGGGCAGGAGTGTCCCGATTTTCCAGGTACCCTTGGAAACACTTTCCCTTGGCTAGGAAAGCGAAATCCCCCCACCCCTTGTGCTTCCCAGGTGAAGTGATGCCCTGCCCTGCTTCGGCTCGCCCTCCATGGGCTGCACCCACTGTCCAACCAGTCCCATTGAGATGAACCAAGTACCTCAGTTGGAAATGCAGAAATCACCCATCTTCTGCATCGATCACGCTGGGAGCTGTAGACCGGAACTGTTCCTATTTGGCCATCTTGGAACGATCAAAATACGTTGTATCTTCTAAATGATGCTAGTATCTATGTGAAGAAAGTCTGTGACTTAAAGTTTAATCAGATGCTTCCATGGTTTAGAAACCAAATAGCAAAGCTATGAACATATGCAGATAGATGCCCCAAAACATTTTGTATTGGAAAAAACATTAAGGCATCAAAGTAGAGAAAAAAGATTTTTTTAAACAGGAAAATAAAATTCATGGTGAGAAGATTAGTTTGAGCTTTTGCAAAAGATCTCTTGAGCATTGAAAATAACATACATTATAGCATGTATAAGGCAAACAATTTACTTTAAATATATCTGCACAGTATATTAAGATTCTGATCTTGTATTCAGTTTTTCTAGTGATCCTGTATTATAAAGTTTCTTTTCTATTATCTGCAGGAAGTAATGGCTGAACACAATCCCCAGTATCTCATTGAGCTAAATGGAAATAAACCAGCAGAGGAGCTCTTTATGGTGAGTGCAGTGTTAAGCAGGAATACTTCACAGCATGGAAAATTTAAATCTATTGACAGTATTGTACTTCTTTTAATAAACAGAAGCATATTTATATTTGAACACCATTTATCTTTGAACAATCTGTCTTAACACTTAAAATTTTGATGTTCTGTTTATTCATCTGTCCATTTTAAAATCAAAACTACATTCGAATTTAAAATCTCTTTCAAAAGGCGTCTCAAAGAAAAGTAAAAGCAATGGTAACCAAAAGCACATGAGAAGATGCTGAACATCATTAGTCATTAGGGAAAGGCAGGTCAAAACCACAATGGGGAACCCCCTTTTACCTTCTAGGATGACCAAAGTAAAAACAAACAAACATAAAACAAATAATAAAAAGTGTTGGTGAGGATGTGGAGAAATTGGAACCCAAAAATGTTTTACAAAAATAATTCAATAATACAAAAATATAGTAACTATCTCTTAAATGTCAAATAAGTGTCTGGCATTATAATGGGCTCTAGGGATAAAGATAGGAAGGAGGCAGAAGGGTCCACACATCTCTGCTCATGCAGTATCCAATATGTTGGGGAAAATAAATCTCTAGAGAGCAGTTTGTGTTACAGTCAGGGATACACATGCATGGTATTACAGCAGTTCATAGCATAAAGACAAAACCTAGTCTGGTAAGGAGGACCACCAGTCTGAAACTATGTTTAAATAGAAACTTAAAGGACCAGTAAGAACTAGACCTTGAAGACAAGGGGAGGTGAGGGAAGTGAGACAGTGTTCCATGCTGAGGGAAGAGTCTGTGTCAAGGACCCAGAGGCCAGAAAGAGCATAGTGGTTTGCAGGTACTGAATATAGGACTGGAACGTAGGAGGATGGGGCTGGAGGGGTGGAATAGAGCCAAGACTAGAAATAAGAAGGGATTGCACCAAGAAAGACCTTGTAAACCATAGTAAGGAGTTTGGACCTCAACATGAGGGAATAGGCATCCAGTGAAAGGTTTTAAGCCAGAAAGTACAGATGATCCTATTTCTGTTTAAGAAAGATCACTCCGTTCCAAGCAAGGAAAAAAACTAAAGGAGAATCAAATTGGTGGTAGGAAAACTAGTTTTGGCTTTTGCCATTGATCAGGTATGAGATAGTGGCCTAACCTAGGGTAGTGAACACAGGAATGGACAGAAAAGGACAGATCTGAGAGACATTTAAGAAATCTACTTGACAGGACTTGGTGAGTAACTTAATATGGGAATTAAGGGAGAGAGAAAAGTCAAATATAATGCCCAGATTTCTGGCTTGATATGACTGGTGGCAGCATGGTAACAGTGCATGCTAGTGGTGGAGCCACCTCAGGGAGAAGCTCCTCACTTGGGACATGCTCTTGCCAAGATCACCTGTGATCTCATGACCAAAGTCACTGCTCATTTTTCAGTCTTCATCTAATTCAATCTATAATAGAAGCAGCATTTGACACAACAGATCACTTCTTTTTTTCTGCACCCTTCTTCCCTTGGCTTCTTGGACCCCACACCACAGTAGTTCCATTACACCTCACTTCACACTCTAATTCGCTAACCTGCAGTGTTGCAGGACCCCAGAGTTCACAAGGCATGAGCCCTTCTCTGTTTACCCTCACTCCTTAAGAGATTTCATTCAGTCAGTAGCTTTAGATATCTTCTAACCACTGACATCTCTTAAATTCATGATGCTGTATCAGATCTTTCCCCTGAATTCCACACTTGTATACTTAATGGCTGCTCAACTGCTGTTTTTCCAATTGGATGTCTGCTAGTCATTTCAGATTTAAGTGTGCAAGATAGAACTTCACCACCACCACCCTGCCCCCAATGTGCTTCTCCCACCGTTCTCCTTTTTCAGTAAATGCAAAAACCACCCAGCCAGCTGCCCTCCTTGACTTTTTTTTTCTCACATCCCACATCCCATTCACCAGCATATACAGCAGGCTTCTCCTTCAAAATATGGCCAGAATTCTACCACTTTTTACTACCTGGGACACACTTTCCTCAAGGTAGAGGGCAGAAGCTCCAAGGGGCCTGGCTGGAACTTGCCAAACCTGTGAAGGTGCCCATGGGAACTGGTACTCTGCACTTCCACCCACGTTCCATTGGCAGAGCAGGCTACATGGAGAAGCTTGACATTAGTGGAATAAGGAAGTGTACTCCACCCAGAATGAACTAGGGAATTAATCAGTGAAGGTTGCATTGTAACACAGTCTGTCACAGGCTACCACACACCATCAGGATTTTGGCTATCTCACTATCTCCCATCTCATGATCTGTGTGCTGGCCTCTTTTATTTTTCCAGATTCTTCCATGTAGTGTCTGCACAAATTTCCTGGGGTTGCCATAACAAAGTGCCACAAACTGGTAGCTTAAAATGACAGATATTTATTCTCTCACAGTTCTGGAGGCTAAAAGTCCAAAATCAAGGTGTTGGCAGTGCCATGCTCCTTCCAAAGTCTCTTGGGGAGGCTCTATTTTTGTTTCTTCCAGCTTCTGGTAGCTCCCGGCATTTCTTGACTTATGGCAGCAAAACTCCAATATCTGCCTCCATCTTCACATGGCAATCATCCCTTTGCCTGAAGAGGTCCCAGAGACCAAGACCTCTAAGGACATGAATATCTGGGGACCAGAGGGCAGACTGTTATGAGTTGAAATGTGTCCCTCAAAAAGATATGTTGAGGCCCTGAAGTCCAATACCTATGAATGTGACCTTATTTGGAAATAAGGTCTTTGCCTATAGATTAGGAGAAGAGACTCAGACACACAGGGAGAAGATGTTTCTGTGACAACAGAGGCAGAGATTGGAGTGATGCAAGCCAAGACATACCAAGGATTGTCAGCAAACAGCCAGAAGCCAGAAGAAGCAAGCAAGGATTCGACCCAGAGTCAGGGGGAGCATGGTCTTGGCTCATAAGCCCACCACTGTTTCAGAGTATTTGAGATATTCAGATGCCAATGTAGTTAAATATCTGTTCTTTAAATCTAGATTGTTATGGATCGACTTAAATATCTGAACCTAAAAAGAGCAGCTATTCTAACCAAACTTCAGGGTGCAGAGGAAGAAATTAATGACACAATGGAAAATGTAAGTTATATGGAACTGTCTGAAAGTCTAATTTTCAATATATGTTGTGGGCAGGGTGCAGTGGCTCACACCTGTAATCCCATGGGAGGATCACTGGAGCCCAGGAGTCTGAGACCAGCCTGGATGACCTAGTCAGAACCCATCTCTACAAAAAAAAAAAAAAAAAAAGAAAGAAAGAAAAAATTAGCCAGGTGTGGTGGTATGCACCTGTAGTCTCAGCTACTCAGGAGCTGAGACGGGAGGATTGCTTGAGCCCAGGAGGTTAAGGCTGCAGTGAGCCATGATCATGCCATTGCACTCCAGCCTGGGCAACAGAGCCAGATGCTATCTGAAAAAAAATTATATATATATAAAAATGTATATATATATATATATTTATTCATATATATATGTATGTTGTGGCCTTAATTTGTATTCTTTTATAAAAATGGATGTGATTTCTAGGAAGAAGCTGTAATATTAGCACAATATCCTTTCAGATATTAGACACAACACAAGTTTTGAAACAAAATCATAACAATTACATGTAGGAACAGTAAAAAAGAAAGAAATCCAAGTTCAGTTTAAAAATTTGCAGCACCAAAGAATGTGAAGACCTAAAAGTTCTTAACTCTATTTCTTTAATAATTCAACCAATTTTTTTGAGTAACTAATGTGTTCCTGGCACTGATGTGCTACATATGTGATGGGTATCAGATTATAACTGCCAATTGCCAAAAGTGCCACAAGGAGTTTTAACTGGAGAATTTGACCTATTCTGAGAAGCTCAGTTTCACCTAAATGAGTAGAAATTATTTTTAAAAAACGCATACCAGGACTGGGCACAGTATCCCAGCACTTTGGAAGGCTGAGGTGGAAGGATCACTTGAGCCCAGGAGTTTGAGACCAGCCTGGGACATAGCGAGACTCTGGCCCTACAAAAAATAAAAAAAAAAAAAAATTGGGGTGGAGTTCCAAGATGGCCAAATAGGAACAGCTCCAGTCTGCAGCTCCCAGCGGGATCGATGCAGAAGATGGGTGATTTCTGCATTTCCAACTGAGGTACCTGGTTCATCTCATTGGGACTGGTTAGACAGTGGGTGCAGCCCATGGAGGGTGAGCTGAAGCAGGGCAGGGTGTTGCCTTACCCAGGAAGTGCAAGGGGTCCGGGGATTTCCCTTTCCTAGCCAAGGGAAGCCGTGACAGACTGTACCTGGGAAAAACAGGACACTCCCCACAAATACTGTGCTTTTCCAACTGTCTTAGCAAACAGCAGACCAGGAGTTACTATTGCATGCCTGGCTCGGCAGGTCCCACGCCCATGGAGCCTTGCTCACTGCTAGCACAGCAGTCTGAGATTGAACTGTGAGGCAGCACAGTTTTGGTTCATATGGAACCAAAAAAGAGCCCACACTGCCAAGGCAATCCTAAGCAAAAAGAACAAAGGTGGAGGCGTCACGCTACCTGACTTCAAACTATACTACAAGGCTACAGTAACCAAAACAGCATGGTATTGGTACCCAAACAGAGATAAGATCAATGGATCAGAACAAAGGCCTCAGAAATAACATCACACATCTACAACCATCTGATCTTTGACAAACCTAACCAAAACAAGAAATGGGGAAAGGATTCCCTATTTAATAAATGGTGCTGGGAAAACTGGCTAGCCATATGTAGAAAGCTGAAACTGGATCCCTTCCTTACACCTTATACAAAAATTAGTTCAAGATGGATTAAAGACTTAAATGTTAGACCTAAAACTGTAAAAACCCTAGAAGCAAACCTAGGCAATACCATTCAGGACGTAGGCAGGGGCAAGGACTTCATGACTAAAACACCAAAAGCAATGGCAACAAAAGCCAAAGTAGACAAATAGGATCTAATTAAACTAAAGAGCTTCTGCCCAGCAAAAGAAACTACCATCAGAGTGAACAGGCAACCTACAGAATGGGAGAAAATTTTTGCAATCTACACATCTGACAAAGGGCTAATATCCAGAATCTACAAAGAACTTAAACAAATTTACAAGAAAAAAACAACCCCATCAAAAAGTGGGCAAAGGATATGAACTGACACTTCTCAAAAGAAGACATTTATGCAGCCAACGGACATATGAAAAAATGCTCATCATCACTGGTCATCAGAGAAATGCAAATCAAAACCACAATGAGATACCATCTCACACCAGTTAGAATGGCAATCCTTAAAAAGTCAGGAAACAACAGATGCTGGAGAAGATGTGGAGAAATAGGAACACTTTTACACCGTTGGTGGGAGTGTAGATTAGTTCAACCATTGTGGAAGACAGTGCGGTGATTCCTCAGGGATCTAGAACTAGAAATATCATTTGACCCAGAGATCCCATTACTGGGTATATACCCAAAGGATTAGAAATCAGGCTACTATAAGGACACATGCACGCCTATGTTTATTGCAGCACTATTCACAATTACAAAGACTTGGAACCAACCCAAATGTCCATCAATGATAGACTGGATTAAGAAAATGTGGCACATATACACCATGGAATACTATGCAGCCATAAAAAAGGATGAGTTCATGTCCTTTGCAGGGACATGGATGAAACTGGAAACAATCATTGTCAGCAAACTATGGCAAGGACAGAAAACCAAACACTGCATGTTCTCACTCATAGGTGGGAATTGAACAATGAGAACATTTGGACACAGGGCGGGGAACATCACACAACATGGCCTGTCGTGGGGTGGGGATCTGGGGGAGGGATAGCATTAGGAGAAATACCTAATGTAAATGACAAGTTGATGGGTGCATCAGACCACCATGGCATATGTATACCTATGTAAAAAACCTGCACATTGTGCACATGTACCCTAGAACTTGAAGTATAATTAAAATTTTTTTAAAAAATTAACCAGACGTGATAGCACATGCCCATCGTCCCAGCTACTTGAGAGGCTGAGGTGGGGGGATCAGCTGAGCCTAGAGGTTGAGGCTGCAGTGAGCCATGATTGTGCCACTTGCACTCCAGCCTGCGTGATAAAGCAAGACCCTGTCTCAAAAATAAAAATAAAATAAAAAACAAAAACATATGCCAGGATCATAAATAGACATAATTCAAATTTTAAAATCTTTGAAGAAAGAGGTCATTTTGTTATCCTGTATCATAACAAGATCTCAGTGGGTCAACATAACTGGGATATGTGCTGGGACCCCTGCAATATGAACTGGTGCTGAAGAGGAAGAAAAGTGGGCTTGGTCAGAACAGAGGCTGGGAAAAATAAACTGAGTACTGAGGCCTCCTGTTCTAGGTCATCAATGAAGGAAAGAGAAAAAGTATCTATAAAACCTGCAGGAAATTTCTGAGCCAGAAAGTTTGTCCTTAGAAAGCATTGCATGCATGGGGCATAGGTGTAAGGTTGTAGTTCATAAGCTGTATGACTAGGTGAACCTGCCTCCTTTTTCATAAAAGGGAAGATGTGGCTGTGTATGCTGGAGTCATTATTCATATCCCTTAAGCAGCATTTCTACCTGGCAGTCCAGACCACCTCCAAAAGAATCACCTGGGAAGCTTACTACAAACACAAATCCCTGAGGCCCAAATCCCAGACTGATTGAACCAGACTATCTGGAGATGGAACCTGAAAATGTATTTTTACAAAATCTAGAACAAATTCCTATGCCCACTTAAGTCTGAGAACCACTGCTTTAACTCTTGGGACACCAAAGGAGCCTGGTCAATTAAAGTTGATTAATATACAAGTTCTTGTGTTTTTAAAGGACTTTAGATGAATAATCTTCAGCTAAAGGCAGGTGATTTTTAGAGAATCAATATAATGGAAATATTTAAAGCAGTGGGTCCCAGCCCTGACTGCAAAATGGGGTCATCTAGGAAGCTTTTTAAACATTACAATGCCCAGGCCAGTTAAAACAGAATTTCTAGGGTAGGGCTCTGTCATTAAGTGAAACAAAACAAAATAGGATATGACATCAAAGGCAGAGACTACAAAAGAAAAATACAAAAAAACTTTTCTGCATCAGCACTATCAGTAGAAGCCGGGCATGGTGGCTTATGCCTGTAATCCTAGTACTTTGGGAGTCTGAGGCAGGCAGATCACTTGAGGCCAGGAGTTTGAGACCAGCCTGGCCAACATGGTAAAACCCCATCTCTACAAAAAAAAAGGAAAACACATCAATCAATAGAGTAAAAAGACAACCCACAGAAAGGAGAAGAATATTTGAAAATCACATATCTGATAGGGATTACTATGCAGAATATGTAAAGAACAACTACAACTCCACAGCAGTAAAAAAATCCAGTTCAAAAATGGGCAAAGGATTTGAATAGACATTTCTCTAAAGAAGATATATAAATAGCCAGTAAGTACATGAAAAGATGCTCAATATCACTAGCCATTAAGGAAATGCAAATCAAAACTGCAATGAGATGCCATCTCATATCCATTGGGGTGCTATTATTCAAAAAATGAGAAATAACAAATGTTGATGAGGAGAAATGAGAACCCTCTTGCATTGTTTGTGGGGATGTAAAATGGTACAGCTGCTGTTTAAAATAGTTTGGTGGTTGCTAAAAAAGTTAAACATAGAATTCTCATCTATCCAGCAATTACACTTCTAGGCATTTCCCCCAAAGGATTGAAACCAGGAACTCAAACAGATACTTGTACACCAATATTTATAGCACCTCTATTCACAATAGCCAGAAGGTGGAGATAACCCAATGTCCATCAATGGATGAACTGATAAAATGTGGTGTGTGTGTGTGTGTGTGTGTGTGTGTGTGTGATGGAATATTATTCAACCTTAAAGAGGAGTAAAATTCTTATATATGATAAAATATGATCCATGAAAACATACTAAGTGAAACAAGCAGATACAAAAGGGCAAACATATGATTCCACTTATACGAGATACACAGAATAGACAAATTCATAGAGACAGAATGTAGGATAGAGGTTACCAGGGGCTGGGGGGAAGGAGAGTTATTTCATGAGTACAGAGTTCTGTTTGGGATGATGGAAAAGTTCTGGAAATGAATAGAGGTGGTGGTTGCACAACACAGTGAATATACTTAATACCACTGAATTGTATGCTTAAAGGTGGTTACAAAAACAAATTTTATGGGATGTGTATTTTGCCACAATTAAAAAAACAAAAAATAAACCCAAAAATCTTCCCTAGGAGATTCTACTATGCAGCTCAGGAAGAGAACCACTGGTTTAAAGGGGTAGGAAAGCCACAGAGACCTTACTGTAGACTCCAGCTCCCTGGTGAAGAGTGAGAGAGCTATAGCATCTGCTGAGTTGCAGGAGAGGAGGGGCTGTGCAGGTAGATGAGGACATGGGCATGGGTTTGTGCAGTAGGAGGAAGGACAGGGTCAGACTGGCACCTAGCACAGTAAAAATTTTGGCTTTCGAGTCACACAGACCTGGATTTGAATTCAGCGGTACAGCCTATCAGACCTGTGACTCTGC
The DNA here is from genome assembly GCF_000001405.40 of Homo sapiens. Lineage (NCBI taxonomy): Eukaryota > Metazoa > Chordata > Mammalia > Primates > Hominidae > Homo > Homo sapiens. Next base: position 109,636,061 of record NC_000006.12, on the reverse strand, counting down.
TTAACCTTGCTGCCCTTTATTCAATGGTATATATTAAAAAAGGAGCAACAATCCCTATGGCATCGTATTATTGTAAAGATTACATGAGATTATGCTTTTAAAGTGCCTAGAACCAATGGTGATATTTTAAAAATTTAACAGCTGCATTGCAGGGGCAGGGTTGGCTTCATGAACTTCACACAGGACCATGTGCTTAGTTTAATACTCTGCTGCTGCAGTCCTGAAATTCTTAATAATTGTAGAACAAGGGTCCTGTAATTTTCATTTTGTTCTGGCCCTGGCAAATTAGTTTTTGTGGTGCAAGAGCATTCACCCAATCACAACAGAGCTGGCAGAAGTGCTGAAGACATTTGCCAGGCATTAACCCTTAGTTGCTGGACCATGGAAAGGTCCAGAGTTTCTTCAGCAAGAGGATGGGTAGGAGTAGAGCTTGAGGGTAGTGGTTATAGTGGCCAACTTTCTTCTGCCCCTGCCCCGCTACCTTGGCTGTGTCTGGGGTCCCTCACATGCTCCTCTGGTTAAGTGGCTCCAGAAAGTATGCTTCTGGTCTTCTCACTGGGAGAGAAGTGGTGGGAGGGGACCAAGTGGAGTAGGAGTGGCTCTGGCACTAGCACCTTCTTTCAAAGATTTCCAACCAGTTACACTGTTTTCTGCTCTCCATTCATTCCCCTTCAGAGGTACCTGGTATCACAAGGTCCCATGTCTTTCCAGGGTTTTGCAAAGTGAATCCACTGACTCCTTGTTGTTCTTACCCCTCCCATACCTATCTTTGCTCTACAGATATTTAGCTTTCACCTATCTCTGATATAAGTCAGTTACCACTCATCCATCTGCTTTCTAACTTACAAAACTGTGTAGCTGTAACTGGTGAGCTGTCAGCCTTGATCAGCACCTCTAGTCTCTTCTCCCATTCTCTGCGTCCTCATGAGTTTATTTCTTTTTTTTTTATTCTTCTACTGTCATTTTAGTGAGGTTTTAGGAAGCAGCAAACATAAATTCATGTTTTCAGTCTGCTTTGTTTAACCAGAAGCCAGTCCTGATCATTTTTAAGCCTGTAATATCAAATTCATTCAAAAGCTCATCTTCTCTTCTCCCTTCGGCACCTGCTGAACGTGTGGCCCCATGGGCATGAAGTTGAGAGAGGAACATGGTCTGCTATTCAAATACTTAACCTTTTAGAGAATACTTATGGTCTATTCAAATACTTTTTTCATGTATGGGTGGGAAATATGGATGATAAGGAAAGAGAGACTGCCTCCTGACCTAACTGGGCATGGTTTCAGTCCCTAGCTCATTGTCCAGGAACCCTGTGGAGAAGGCCTGTAGCTTAATGTGCTCCATGGATGAGGTTCTCAGTCTTATACAACTCTCCTAAGCATTGACAGTTTCCTTAATATTTACTATCACTTCCAGCTCTCACTTGGGAACATTCATGCAGTATCCCTGCAGTGCACATGCCTCTTTGTTCTCTGATGCTGCAGTGGTCCATGGAAGATCATAGCTCACAATCTCATCTGCATTGCATAGTCAACTCTGAAGCAAGCATATATCATGTGTGACCCACATCTGAGGGTTGGGGGGAGCAGTTTTCCCCTCGCCATTGCCCACTCTCTTCATTTTCTTTTGCTATAGCAGAATACCGCAGACTAGGTAATTTATAAAGAAAATAAGTTCATTTGGTTCACAGAAATAAGTTTATTTGGAGCCTGGGAAGTCCAAGTGCATGGCACTGGCATCCGGTGAGGGCCTTTGTGCTGTGTTTCCCATTGTGGAAGGTGGAAGAACAAAAGAGTGCAAGAGCCAGAGCCAGGGCAAGAGGGGTTAACTTGCCTTTATAATAAGTCCACTCTCAAAATAACTTACCCACTCCTGAGATAAGGACATTAATCTATTCATGAGGGCGGAGCACTCGTGACCTAATCACCTCTTAACAGTCCTACCTCTTAATACCATCACAATGGCAATTAAATTTCAACCTGAGTTTTGGAGGGGACATTCAAACCATAATACTCACCATGCCATCTCTCACCAGTTTTCTCATCCCCTGGTAAGGAACCACAAGGACAGATGAACCTTTCAAGCAACCTTTCTATCATATGGTTAAGTAAGCATAAATATAAAATAAAATAAGCATGTTCCCAACTGAGAATTAGCAGTTTTCTACAGAATTTTGCAGTCTGTAGAAAAGTATTTCTTAACTTATCTGGAGGTCACCAACAGAAAGGATTGCTGATGAAGGAGACTTTAAATTTTAAGAATTAAAGAACTGCTTATAGCTAAGTAAATGCAAAAACAATCTGTACATAACATCTTAGGTATATGTGAAAGCCAAGGTAAATTAGCTAAGAATCTGGTACATTTTCCAAAATTTTTAATAAGAATTTTTCAGAATCTGTTTTCTAAGGAAGATGATAGAAAATGCGCTATCTACCTTATGCTTATTTTACCATATGATAGAAATTGCTCAGTAGAATTTAAAGATTTTTTAACATAAATGTAAACTAGTTCTTTGTAAAACAAGGGTCCTGTAATTTTCAACTAGTTCAAACTAGTTCTACACTGTCTTATTAAATCAAGGACAAGTGCAGGATGTTGCAATTAAGAAAAAAGCCAAAATTTCCTTTTTAAATTATTTCTTAAATAGTAAAGCACTATAAAATGATAAATGAAATATTTAATGCTCCTAATTTCAGCAAAATTTATGCCCATATTTTTAATGTAGTATTTGCAATTCACAGGATGAGCTATTTCGTACTCTTGCATCTTATAAACTTATTGCACCAAGATACAGATGGCAAAGAAGTAAATGGGGACGTACATGTCCTGTGAATTTAAAAGATGGTAACATTTATTCAGGATTACCAGATTATTCTGTGAGGTAAGTAAGATTTTCAGAACTTAATTTTAAATCTTCCTCATACATCTTTTCAGTTGTTTACTAATATGGCATATTTTAAGTTTTCTAGGTAAAATCTACTGTCTTTCATCAGAAGAAGCATTAAAACCATTTTTGTTGAACCCACGTCCCTATCTGCTTCCACCTATGCCAGGACCACCATGTAAAGTATTCATACTTGGACCTCAATATTCAGGGAAAACAACACTTTGCAATATGCTTGCAGAAAATTACAAAGGAAAGGTGACTAACTAACTATCTGTCTATCTATCTATCTATCTATCTATCTATCTATCTATCTATGTCTATCTGTCATGTATCTATACTCGATTATAATTTGTAGGATTTTATTTGTACTCAGTTTTTAAAATTTCATGTTTTAATTGAATAATTGTTCCACTGGGCTTGGGGTAGGGTAGGCATTCTTTTTGTTGTTTATTGCTGCTTCCAGACCAGAGTCCCTCCCTGCTTCCCAAAAGCTCCCACATGTGAATATCGTGTCATTCAGACTCTGCCACCTATTAGCTTTCTTGGTTCTACTCATCTTCTGTCCCCTGGGTTTCACTTCTCCTGGCTCACTCTCACTCTCCCCATATAATCACTCCTGTCCTAATTCTTGGTGATTTCAGTATTACAAAGATGATCCTCCCAACACCTTGACACCTCCCTCAGTAATCTTGTTCTCCACTCTCAGTAAATGAAATTATTTTTAGCTTAGACAAGAGTGATAGCAGTAAAAGTGGTATGAAACAAGCATATTTGGGATATAATTTGAAGACAAAGCTGAAAGATTTGATGAGGGATTGGAATGTGGAGGAATTCTAGAAGGGGCAATGTGGCTTGAGGATTGCCTATGCAAGAAGGAATGGCACAAGATCATGGCTAAAGACAGAGCAATTCAGGCCACAGAAAGGTGTTAGAAGTTGTTCAAAGTGCTGTTGCATTCTTTTAAGCGCCGGAGTATCATTTTCTATTTGCTTTTAACTTTTTCATTGTGAAACATGACAAACATACAGAAAAGTGAAGCCCACTGAGTTACCGCAAAATGAACCCCCATGTAACCACCAACCAGGTCAAATCTGGAATGTTGCCAGCACCCAGACGCCCTCTCATGTTTCTTCTCAATACCAGTCTCCTCACTCTCCACACAAAGGTAACCACTGCCCAGAATTTTATGGCATTCACTTCCATACTTCTCCTATGGTTTTGCCGTGGAAGCATACATCCAAATACCATAGGCTAGTTTTGCATGGTTTTTTTGAATTTTATAGACCTAAACAATTTATCTTCTTTGTGCCTGGCTTCTTTCACTTAACATTATAATTATGATATTTGTCCAGACTATTGAATGTAGCTGTAGTTTATTCATTTTTATTGTTTTATTGTATTCTGTTGATTGACTTATACCATAATGTATTTATCCACATTTGAGCACTAATAAAACTTGGATTGATTCCAGATTGGAGTAAATAACACTACTATAAACATTCTTGTATGTGTCTCTTGGTGCACACATGGACATATGTTCAACTTGTGTAGATAATGCCAAATTGTTTTCCAAAGTAGTTCCATTATTTCACAATACTATCAGGAGTATATGAGAGTTCTGTTATTCCACATTCCTGTCAACTCTTACTATGGTCGGTCTTTCTAATTCTAGCCATTTTAGTGAGTGTATAATAGTATCTCACTGTGGTTTTAATTTGCATTTCCCTAATGACTAATGAGGTTGAACCTCTTTCATCTGTTTACTGACCATTTAAATATTCTCTTTTTGAAGTGTTTTCTCAAGTGTTTTGCCCATTTTTAGTTGTGTTTTTGTATATTATTAGTAAGAGTTCCTAATATTATCTATATACAAGTTATCTGTTGATTATAAGCATTAGGACTATTCTCTGTCTCTCTGTGGTTTGCCATTTCACTTTTCTAATGGCATCTTTTAATAAACAGAAGTTCTTTGTTTCAATGAGGAATGATTTATCAACCTTGTCTGTTATCATTAGTGCTTTTTATGTCATACTTAAGAAAATTTTTCCGCCCAAACATCATGAGGATATTGTCCTATATTAACTGCTAAAAGTTTTATTGTTTTGACTTTCACATTTAGATATATAATCCACCTAGACTTGACTTTCTTATGATGTGAAGGACAGGGTAAGTTTTACTTTTTCCCATATAGATATTCAGTTGTTTCAGGATCATTGAAGAAAACATCATCCTTTATCAACTGTTTGTCCCCTTTGTCTTATATCATGTTTTTATACATATGTGTGTCTCTTTTGGGGCTCAGTGGTCTATTTCTTTTTTTTTCTTTTCTTTTTGAGACAAGGTCTTGCTCTATTGCCCAGGCTGAAGTGCAATGATACCATCATAGTTCACTGCATCCTCTAACTCCTGGGCTCAAGCAATCCTCCCACCCCAGCCTCCTGAGTAGCTGGGATGACAGATGCACACCACCATGCCTGGCTAATTTTTGTATTTTTTTGTAGAGATGGGGTCTTGCTATGTTGTCCAGGCTGATCTCAGGAGCTCCTTGCCTCAAATGATCCTCCTGCCTCAGCCTCCCAAAGCACTGGGATTACAAGTGTGAACCACCATACCGAGCCTCACTGATCTATTTCATCATTCTATTAGTATTTTGCCAATACTACATTGACTTAATTATTTTAGCTTTACAATAAATCTTGATGTCAAGTAGAGCAAGGTCTTCTATCTTATTGTTCTCTTTCATGAGTGCATTGGCTATTCTTAGCCCTTTGCAATTTTATGTAGAAAAATCTTTTGAGATTTTAACTAGGATAGCATCACATTTATAGATCAGTTGGAGGAATGGACATCTTTACAATATTGACTCTTCTGGTCCATAAACATGATACATTTTGCCATTTATTTAGCCCCTCTTTAATTTATGTTAGTAATAATTTGGAGTTTTCTGTGTAGAAATTTGCACAGACCTCTGGGTATTTGATGGGTTTTGATGCTATCCTAGGTAATATCATTTTTAACTAATTAAAACTTCTCTCTATTATCTTGTATGTTATATATTATTTTCTTTAAAGAGTCACCCAAGAAATAATGCCTGACATATTACTTTCAATATAAATTGGTACTTTCATACTTCTTAGATAGTGCAAGGGTCTTATAATTCAAACATACCCTTAAAATGTATTCCCACATAATGTTTTCCTGTAAAGCATCACCTGGTTTTTAATGTGCAAACATCATAGACCACACATATCTCCCGGTGGCTCACGCCTGTAATCCCAGCACGTTGGGAGGCCGAGGCGGGTAGATCATGAGGTCAGGAGATCGAGACCATCCTGGCTAACACGGTGAAACCCCGTCTCTACTAAAAATACAAAAAAATTAGCCGGGCACGGTGACGGGCGCCTGTAGTCCCAGCTACTCGGGAGGCTGAGGCAGGAGAATGGCGTGAACCCGGGAGGCGGAGCTTGCAGTGAGCCGAGATCGCGCCGCTGCACTCCAGCCTGGGTGACAGAGCCAGACTCTGTCTCAAAAAAAAAAAAAAATTTTTCAAATACTGTTTATATTTACATCTCCAAAAGAAAATTCTACATTTTAAATTTATAATATTCAGGAAAGATGGTGTGATACATTTCAAATACAAGTAGTAGAATGTCAAAATCAAGTGTAAGTGTTTAGAAAAACTTCCTCATGTGTCAGTAACGGAGTCTCAAATGTTGCTGGCCCTAAGAAAGGCCATTTTACTGCATGGAAAACAAATGTGTATCACCAATAATATTAATTGTTTGGTGATCACATAATGATGTTTTAACCATTTTGCATCCAAACATGATTGCCTATTACTTGTAATAGGCCTTTGCTTATGTTTTAGTTACATTATAGAATTTGAGTCAAGGTATAATGCATTATAAATTTCCCATTTAAAATAATGAAAAATCGGCTGGCATGGTGGCTCATGCCTGTAACCCCAGCACTTTGGGAGACTGAGGCAGGAGGATCACTTGAGTCTAGGAGTTTGAGGCCAGCCTGGGCAAAATGGTGAGACCTTTTCTCTAAAAAAGTAAAATAAAATAAAATAAAATCATGAAAAATTGTTATCTCTGACCCTCAGAAACTGAAATAATAATTTTTGTTTAAGTCCTTAAGTTTTTAGGTACTTTGTTATGCAGCAATTAGAAAATACCCCAAAATAATTTTTTAAGATTGATAATTATATTTCATCAAAGTATAAAACATTTCTCTCTGATACAAGGCCTTTGTTTTTTTTAAATGAAACGCAGTAGCCTGGGAGATCTTTGAAACAAGTATAACTAAAAACATGTTTCTGGCACTGTATACTTAGAGCGCCTACAGATCAAAAGGATAAAGATAGGCAATGCTAGGAAAATAGACAACAGATAGCTAGAGAAAAACCACAGAAGTTTTCCACTGAGTTGTCAGTGGAAAAAACTTATGAAAGCTGCCTAACCTCATCAGGAAATAGGTAACATAAAATAATAGTAAGATGAAAATTTTCACCCATATCAAAAGAATGACAACCTTTGTTCTAAAGAGAACATGTATGAATGGGAAGTTTTAAAAACTGTTGATGGAACTGTACATGGCTACCATCTTTTTAAGAATCTTTAAATTCCAGCCATGACAGTGAACTAACCCTCCTAACGTGATCCCTGCGGGAAGAGAAACTCATGAGATGAGCTCCATGGTTACCTCAATTGTCTGCATGGATAGGGACAGTTTCCTGACAGGACAAGCAGAGCATGGTGCTTCCATGGAGCTGAGGAGACTGAGCTCAGTTCTGAAGCAGCCTGCACTGTGAAGCAGAGCAGCAGGGAGAAGGGAGCTGCTTGTGAGTAGGGTGGGAGCAAGGCCCAAGTGTGTGTGGCCAAGAGCTTCTCAAAGGAGACTTCACAAAGCTTATCAAAGGATGGCTCCTACAGGTTGTGAACAGAACAGATACTGGAGGTTGAGCAGTGCAGGGACTTGAGACATCTGGCCCAGTTGCAAAGGAGAGGCCTTATTACTAGAACATTGAGCTGACACACTGTAAAGGCCATCCCTTGGGTGTAAGGACCACAACCTAGATTAAGGCCTACTCTACACCCTCCCTTACCAAGCCTACAACCACTCCTCAATAAAATCTGGGGGAATGAATTTGGAGATTGAGCCCTATCAAATTGGGAAATACTTGGGGGCTTTCCAAATTTGGATTTAATAAAGCATAAAATAGAAGTTCAGGCCGGTTGCAGTGGCCTGTAATCCCAGCACTTTGGGAGGCTGAGGAGGGCAGTTAACTTGAAGCCAAGAGTTTGAGACCAGTTTGGCCAACATGGTAAAACCCTGTCTCTACAAATACGAAAATTAGCCAGGTGTGGTGGTGCACATGTGTAATCCCAGCTATTCGGGAGACTGAGGCAGAATTGTTTGAACCCAGGAGGTGGAGGTTGCAGTGACCAGAGATTACACCACTGCATTCCAGCCTGGGTGACAAGGAGAGACTCTGTCTCAAAAAAACAAAAAACAGAAGTTCAGTGTGGTAAACCAATACAGTTATGTGCTGCATATGCAACAGTGGTCCCATAAGATTATAATGGAGCTGAAAATTTCTCATCGCCTAGTGAAGTCATAGCCATTGTAGCATCATAGCACAAGTTACTTATGTGTTTGTGATGCTGCTATAAACAAACCTACTGTGCTGCCAGATGTATAAAAGCATAGCACATACAATCATGTACAGTTATGTCATACTTGATGACAATAAAAAACAATGATGTTAATGGCTTAGTATTTACAATACTGTACTTTTAATCATTATTTTAGAATGTACTCCTTCTACTTGTAGAAAACGTTAACTGTAAAACAGCCTCAGGCAGGTTCTTCAGGAGATATTCCAGAAGGCATTGTTGTCGTAAGAGATGACAGCTCCATGCATGTTCTTGTCCCTGAAGACCTTCCAGTGGGACAAGATATAGAGGAGGAAGACAGTGATATTGATAATCCTGACCCCATGTAGGGCTAGGCTAAAAAAAAAAAAAAAAAAAAAAAAAGCTTAAACATCGAAAAATAGAAAAAAGCTTATAAAGATACAAAGAACCTATTTTGTACATCTGTACAATGAGTTTGTGTTTTAAGGTAAGAATTGTTATAAAAGAGTCAAAAAGTTTAGAAATTTTAGAAGTTTATAAAGTAAAAAAGCTATAATAAGACAAGGTTAATTTATTATTGAACAAAGAAACAAATTTTAAATAAATTTAGTGTAGCCTAAGTGTACATTGTTTATAAAGTCTATAGTAGTATACAGTAATGTCCTAGACCTTCTTATTCACTCACCACACACTGTCTCACCCAGATCAACTTCTAGACTTGCAAGTTTCATTCATGGTAAGTTCCCTATACAGCTGTAGCATTTAAAAAATGTTTATGCCATATTTGCACAGAACCTTTTCTATATTTAGATATGTTTAGACATACAAATCCTTAACATTGTGTTACAGTTGCTTGCAAAATTCAGTACAGCAACAAGCTGTACAGGTTTGTAGCCTAGGAGCAATAGGCTATACCATATACCCTAGGTGTTTAGTAAGCTGTACCCTCTAAGTTTGTGTAAGTACACTCTATGCTGTTTGCACAACAACAAAATCACCTTATGACACATTTCTCAGAATGTATCCCCATTGTTAAGCAACACATGACTGTAACTGAACTGCCTGATAGAACAAAAGTCAACACTGACAGTCTTCAGAGGAAGATAACAGAATTCAAAGTCCCTAATAATGTATCATCCACAATGTCCAACATGTAATGAAACGTTACAAGACATGCAAAGAAACAGGAAAACGTTACCCATATCAAGAAAAAAGGAGACAATAGAAACTGGCCCTGAAATGGACCAAATGTTGGATTTAGCAGATAAAATCTTTAAAGTGGCTATTATAAATAATGCTTAAGGTCTTTATAAGAGAATAGAGAATCTCTTAAGATAAATGAAAAAACTACTTAAAACAGAACCAAATGGAAATCCTGCACTAAAAATATAAAAACCAAACTGAACGTTTTACTGAATTAGCTTGACTGCAGATTGGAATTTGTGGAAGAACTTGAAGACAGATCAATAAAACATTTCCAGTCTGAAAAACAGAGGGAGAAAAAAATATTGAAAGAAATGAACAGAGCTTCAGGGACCTGTGGGAAAATCAGATGGTCTAATGTGAGTAAGTGGAGTCCCAGAAGAAGATTATAATGGAAATAGGACAGAAAAAAAAAATACTTGAAGATATTGTCAACATTACTGAAATTAAGAAACCAAGCAAAAACCAAAAAATTATAGATTGACTTACAGGTCCAAGAAGCTCAGCAAGCCCCAAACAGGATAAATACAAGGAAAACCACACCTACACACATCATATTTAATGGTGAAAACCCCAAAAGCAGCAGTCCCCAACCTTTTTGGCACCATGGACTGGTTTTATGGAAGACAGTTTTTCCACAGACTGGGTTGTGGGGGTGGAGGATGGTTTCAGGATGAAACTGTTCCACTTCAGATCCTCAGGCATTAGATTCTCATAAGGAGCACACAAACCAGATCCCTCGCATGTGCAGTTCACAATAGGGTTCGTGCTCCTATGAGAATCTAATGCTGCCACTGCTCTGACAAGAAGCAGAGCTCAGGCAGTAACGCTCATCGACCGCTCACCTCCTGCAGTGCCCCTCAGTTCCTACCGGTCCATGGCCTGAGGGTGGGAGACCCCTCCCCTAAAGCAGTCACAGAAAAATTGATATGTTAAATAGAATAAAACATTGATACAAATGACAGCCAACTTGTCATCAGAAGCAATGGCAATCAGAAAACAATGAAACAAGAGCTTTAAACAACTACAAGAAGAAAAGCCATCCTAGAAGTATATAGCAAGTGAAAATGTCCTTGAAAAATGAGTTAACACAAAGACATTTTCGGATAAAAGACACTTCTGGCCTTCTGATGACTACGAGTTTCATAATATAATTGCCAAGCCAGATCACCTAAACACTAAACAAACAATACTCACGCAAATGAAGCTTCCAATTATTAACATGCTCTGGAAAATAAGAGTAATTATTGAATCCAGAAACTAGATCAGGATATTAGAAACAGAAAAGGGAACATTTGGAAAACAAAAAGAGTCCTTTGAAATTAAAATATATGCAAGATGAAAGAACATTAAAAAAGAAAATATAACACAAATGAAAAATTCAATAGAAGAGTTAAAAGATAGAAATTAAAGTTACCTTTTAGGTATTAGTATAAACTGACAAATGGAAAAAAGAATAGAAAAGAAAAGAAACTATAAAGTCAGTCTAGGGTGTTCATTTTCCATATAGGAATTCTTGTAGGAGCTACCAGAGAAAAGAATATTACCAAAGAGATAACTGCAGAAAATTTCCCAGATTGAAGGACATGCTTCCAGATAGAAATGACACAGTAAATTCCCAGTAAAATGGATGGAGAAAGACCTACACGAAGGGACATCACTTTGAAATTATAAGACAATGGGGGCAAAGATCCAGAAGCTTCTGTAAAATGAGCCTAGAAGACTCTGGAGAGGAAAACTAGGTCCCATGGAAAGGACTGGGAATTCCAATAACATGGAACTTCTCAAACCACAACTCTGGAAGCCAGAAGACAATTTTTGGGGGGAGTGGCTGATAGCCTAGAATTTTATATTCAGGCAAACGAAGTCTAATAATAGAATGAGGGCATTTTCAGTCACACACACAAAAAATTGCCTCTCATGTATTCTTTGTCAGAAGCTACTAGAGGATGTAGTGCATCAAAATGGGGGCCTAAACCAAGATGGTGACATGGGATCCAGAAGCAAAAGGGCATCTATGCATCCCTGACAAGGAAGAGGGTTAGGAAATCCCAAGATGGTGGGGGAAGGAGAGCCCATGATGTCAGTTGTTCTGCAGGCCTGGAAGCCTAGAAAATAACCAATCCAGTTTGGGGTAGGAGAACAGAGGGGTCCAGAAGAGATAGCTCCAGGGAGATGATTACCTGATGTATTTTCAAGCAGAAATTTATACTTGTGAAGAAGAGTTTGGGAATTCATTATTGATAGGTATATAGAAAACTAAGCAACCCCCACAAAAAAAAAACCTGCAGGAACAGAAATATGAACATGTTCTACGTAATTGTGAGTAATTGTTCCATAAGCATAATAACATGAATAATGCATATTATTTTTTTAAAATGTATTATCTAATTCTTGGGGGCTTACGGAGGGATGTGGGAGAAGAAATGTGTGTGTGTGTGTGTGTGTGTGTGTGTGTGTGTGTGTGTGTCTAAGATTCCTAACTAGTTCATCATTTGGGGAAGAAAAAGTTTTATCCAGGTAATTTCAGATTATTTAAAGTGTAAATTAGAAGGAAAAAGGAAAAAAATTAAAAGGAAAGTAAAACTTTTGACAGCATACAGAGGAAAATACTGAGTATATATTTGCCATGTGTGTGTTTCTCATTTATTACTGCATAAAAAATTACCCTAACAGCTTGAAACAACAATAAGCGTTTATGATCTTGCATAGTCTCTCTGAGTCAGGAATTCAGGAGTGGCTTAGCTACATGGTTCTGTCCTAAATGCTTTCATGAGGTTACAGGTAAGATGTCATCTGGGGCTGCACTCATCTGACACTAGGCTGGGGCTGGAAGATGGCTCGATCACATGAATGAGACCTCAGTTCCTTTCTATGTAGATCTCTTCATAGGACTGCTTATGTGTCCTCATGACCTGGCAGCTGACTACCCTCAGAAAGAATTAATCAAGGAGGAAGCTATAATGTTTTTCATGACTTAGTCTTAAAAGTCATCCACTATCACTTGCATCGTACTCTATTTAAAGCAAGTCACTACTAAGTTCTAGTTACACTAAAGAGGAGAATTAGGCTCCACCTTCTGAAGGGAGGTGTGTCAAAAGATTTGTGGACTTATTTTAAACCCATCACATCATAATATGTGTCAGATAAAGGAATTATCATTTTAAAATATAAAAAGACAAATCAATATGCAGATAAAGCTTCAATAGGAAAAAAAAATCAAACAGGCAATTCACAGAATAATAGATACAAATAGCCATTAAACATTAGCAAAAGGATACCACCTCCCTGATAGAGAGATGCCAAAAAACAGAGACTTGTCATATCAATCTCATTGTAACAGTTAAAAGATTACTAAAAACACCTAATTTCGATGTGTACCTAGGATGGGAGAAGTACATTCTCATAGACTGCTAGTAAGAGTATAACCATTAGGCATAGAAATTGGAAATACATATGCAAACCTAAAGTCCATGCATATCCTTTGAACTGCCAATTCTGTTTTATGGATTTTTCTAAAGAAACTATCAAAGATATGTAGATAATTGTGTTCATCATAGCCTAGTTTATGTACCAAAAATGTATATACCAAAATATAGATAATATATAATATGTGTGTTATATATTATCTACATTTTATACATATTATCATATATCATATATGTATACATTATGTCTATAATACACATTATATATTATATACATATATTTTATGTCTATAATACACATATATACATATATAGCATACTATGCATATATTATATTAATATACAATATAATATGCAATTTAATATTAATATATTATTGTATTATCCTGATTTATAATAGTAATATAATATTAACACTATATTAATATATATTATATTAATATTATATTATACATTGATGTATAATATACTATAGTATACTATTATACAAATATATATTACATATTATTATATACATAGTATACTATACGATATAGTATGCTATATATACTATATATATGACTATAGTATATACATATACATATATGTACATGTATGTGTATGTATACATATGGAGACTCCTGATTCTTTTTCTTATAGGAATGTATATGTACATAATATATAATATAATATGTATATTATATATAATGTCTAAAATATATACAATATGTATATTATATATAATGTATAAAATATATAAAAATGTATATTATATAATGTATAAAATATATACAATATGTGTATTATATATAATGTATAAAATATATACAATATATAATACACATATATAGATAATATATAATACACATGTATTATCTATATTTTGATATATACATTTTTGCAACTATAAACTAGGCTATGATGAACAAAATTATGAACATATCTTTGACAGTTTTTTTTGTTTTTTTTTTTGTTTTTTTTGCTCTGGAATTTCTCTTTCTGTTTTTTTTTTGTTTTTTTTTTTTTTTTTTTAATTATACTTTAAGTTTTAGGGTACATGTGCACATTGTGCAGGTTAGTTACATATGTATACATGTGCCATGCTGGTGCGCTGCACCCACTAACTCATCATCTAGCATTAGGTATATCTCCCAATGCTATCCCTCCCCCATCCCCCCTCCCCACCACAGTCCCCAGAGTGTGATATTCCCCTTCCTGTGTCCATGTGATCTCATTGTTCAATTCCCACCTATGAGTGAGAATATGCGGTGTTTGGTTTTTTGTTCTTGCAATAGTTTACTGAGAATGATGGTTTCCAATTTCATCCATGTCCCTACAAAGGACATGAACTCATCATTTTTTATGGCTGCATAGTATTCCATGGTGTATATGTGCCACATTTTCTTAATCCAGTCTATCATTGTTGGACATTTGGGTTGGTTCCAAGTCTTTGCTATTGTGAATAATGCCGCAATAAACATACGTGTGCATGTGTCTTTATAGCAGCATGATTTATAGTCATTTGGGTATATACCCAGTAATGGGATGGCTGGGTCAAATGGTATTTCTAGTTCTAGATCCCTGAGGAATCGCCACACTGACTTCCACAATGGTTGAACTAGTTTACAGTCCCACCAACAGTGTAAAAGTGTTCCTATTTCTCCACATCCTCTCCAGCACCTGTTGTTTCCTGACTTTTTAATGATTGCCATTCTAACTGGTGTGAGATGATATCTCATAATGGTTTTGATTTGCATTTCTCTGATGGCCAGTGATGATGAGCATTTTTTCATGTGTTTTTTGGCTGCATAAATGTCTTCTTTTGAGAAGTGTCTGTTCATGTCCTTCACCCACTTTTTGATGGGGTTGTTTGTTTTTTTCTTGTAAATTTGTTTGAGTTCATTGTAGATCTTTGACAGTTTTTTAAGAAAAATCCATAAAACAGAATTGACAGTTCAAAGGATATGCATGGAATTTAGGCTTGCATATGTATTTCCAATTCCTATGCCTAATGGTTATGCTCTTATCAGCAAGTATATACATATATATGTATATGTTTGTATATGTATATATATGAATAGTATATATAGTATATGGTGTATATGTATATGTATGAATAGTATATATAGTATATGGTGTATATGTGTATACTATTATGTGTATATAGTATACCATACATATGTATTCATATTTTAGTTAAGTAAGTTGTAACATATTCATCTGATGCAATACTATGCATGTACTAAAAACTGAAGATGTGGATGAAGATTTATTGGCATGGAATAAAACAGTGTAAGCCTACCAAAAGAAAAGCAGAATGGGAATATAGGGATCTGTAAATATTAATTAAAGACACATAGAATCCTATTTTTAAGATCCCAATATTCTGTATTAAATCTATTATCTACCTGACAAGTTATATCCAGAACATAGAAATTATTCTAACACAATTTTAGGCAAAAGCTGAACATATGCTTAAAGAGAAAAAAATAAGTGAATAAGCATATATAAAGAAGTTCAAAAGTATTCATGATTCAGGAACTGTAAATTTAATCTACAATGAGATACTTCTTCACACCCACTAGAAAATTTAAAAACTTCACAAAACCAAGTGTTGGTGAGGATGCGAGGAAACTAACTTTCATATCTTTCTGGTAGAGATGTAAAATAGTTCAGTTGTTTTGGAAACAGTTTGATGGTTTATTATAAAGTTATCTACACACTTACCATATGACCCAGGAATTTCACTCCTAGGTATTTACCCAAGAGAAGTGGAAACACATAACCACAAAAAGACTTCTGTACAAGTGTTCATCACGGCTTTATTCATAATAACCAAAACCTAGAACACAACCCAAATGTCTATCAATAGATAAATGAATAAAAAACTGTAGTATATTCATACAATGAAATCCATTCAACAATAAAAAGGATACCCACAATAACACTGATGAATCTCCAAAACATTCTGCTAAGGAGGGAAAACCTGAAAAAGATCACATACTGTATGCTTTCATTTATATGAAATTCTAGAAAAGGTAACACTAAACTAATTTATAGCTACAGAAAGAAAGTAGTTGCCAGGGGCCAGGAATGAAAGCTGGGGAAGGAGTAAGGCAGGAAAGGATTGACAACAAAGGAGCATAAGGGAATTTAGGGAGTGATGTAAAAGTTCAGGCTGCTCTTGAACTCCTGACCTCAAGGGATCCTCCTGTCTCAGCCTCCCAAAGTACTGGGATTACAAATGTTAGCCACCACACCCGGCAAATGTTCTATATCTTGATTGTGGTTAATATATATATATGTATATTTGTGAAAACTCATCAAACTGTGTACTTAAGATGTATGCCTTTTATTGTATGTAAGTTATACATATAACATGGATTTAAAATATATATATGTTTTAACTTCTGTTAAGTCAAAATATATACATAATCTGAATATATATACTACATGATAAATACATATATAGACATATATCCTACATGAAAAATATGGCTGAATTTCTATTAAAGCAAGTACTCAAAAATAGGTGAATTCTGAACATAACTCCAAATATACCTCAAGCAGTATTAATATTTTTGGAATAGAGATAGAAATATAGATAGATATACATAGATAGATGAACAATGTGTTTAATAGTCACAATAACTCCTGCTTATGTCGATTTTCTCAAATATTCTTTGCAGGTAGTCGACTATGCCCAACTTGTTCAGCCACGTTTTGATAAAGCCCGTGAAACATTAGTAGAAAATACCATAGCTGAGGCCACTGCAGCAGCAATTAAAGTTGTGAAAGAAAAGCTTCTCAGGGAACTGCAAGCTAGAAAACAAGGTGAAACATCTTTTTAAAATGTGTGTTTTAAGTTTAGGTAAAAATTAAGCCGGGCTACTTGAAAGCAAGGACTTTGTTTAGCTCATCTTGGCATTCTTGGCACTTTACACATTATAGACTCTTAACAAATGGTTGAAGAATGGATGTACATAAACCAATTCAAAAGCAGAGAAAAAAACTTTCAATTCTAGACCTCTAAGGAATGAATCAGAATGAGCCTCTAAATTTGGATTTCTTTCTCCAATGGGTCTACCTTACTGGGCAGACTGTTTGATCAGGATTTACACCTTTATCTACACCAGTCATTAAAACAACAGGAAGAATCCACCTGACTCTTGTGGAGTTTGTTGTTTTAGACTTATATGGCAGTCCTGATTGTGACTAAATCTTTCTATTTGGGAAAGATTAATTTAATGCGATGAAACTAGAAGAAGCCTTTGTGATCACTTAACACCCTTCTCTAATTTTATAGTTGAGAGAACTGAGGTTCATGGAGGTTGAATGGCTCCCTGGAAATCACCCAGCGGGTAGCATAGCTGAGACTTGATCCCTCATTTCCAAAGTCCTGGTGGTCTTTCTCCTGACCATTCTGCCTCTTCCTGTGTCTCACTGACTGTTGATCACATTGCAGAATAGACAAAAAGCGTTTTGTTTTTTTTTTTCTGTTTTTCTCCAGGAAAAATGAGAGTTCTCATTTCATGACTACTTTTGATGTTCATTGATTGGTTTTTGCAGACTTTCTATCTCTAGTTGGTAGTCTTGTAACTAATCATATTAGAACACATGAAAGTAGCTTAATCTAAACCTTTCCTCTTAATGGAATGTCCTTAATGCAACATTTCCTATGTACAACATGGGATCTTCCTCACTTTCAAAAATCTAAATCCAAAATCTGGGATTAGCTTCAGCAATTTTAGCTAGATTCAGTCACCACTGTTCAGAGTCCCAGAAGCTATGGCAGTGCACTCTGTGGCCATCAGTGCATCCATTCCAAATATCCTTTTCCTAATTATGTTTTTCTGATGACAAAAGTAATAATAGCCATTCGTGATGCATTTACTACAGGCTGGAGCTATGCTAACTGCATTGCATGTATTATCCTATTTAATCCTCATGACAAGTTTGCACGGTAGATGTTCTTATGGCCAATTCTAGTGGTTGAAGAAACTCAGAGGGATTATTTAAGAGTCAACAGCCAGCAAGTGATTGGGATTCAAATAAATGTGCTCTTCTTTACTGTGTCTCTCAAGTGAGCACAGAAAACCAGAAAAAGCAGATAGAAGGAAAACTCACTCATACTTAGAACGAGAACCATTCTTATTCTTTGCTGCTCTCTTTTTTTCTATTCATGTTTGTAATGGTTAATTGTGATCCTATGGTATACGCAAAATTACATTCACTGATTTTAAAATAATACTTCTTTCTAATTAAGATGTAATTATTATAATACATTTTGTATTAGATATATCTCTAAATTCATTATTTTTCCCAAATGCTGAGCCAATGTTACAAATAACAATTACTAAATTATCCATAATTTTACTGGAGGTTTGAAATGCCAACTTTATCCTAATATTAAGTTTGTGTGTGTATGTATAAACTTCTGGAATTTCTATTCTATTGATATTTATAGTAAACTTTTAATACATAATGTAATTATCAAAGCTTTATGATACATTTTTACTCTTGTGATAATATAAATCCTCCCTCAAAACATTTTGTTTTAAGTTGTTTCCTGATTATTTCTTCATTTGTTCCATGAAATGGGTGCTTATTGTTTGCCAGAAACTGTACTAGATGTTAGGATGCTTGTAGAATTTTTCTCAAGTTCTACAACAAATCCAAATGGGAGGATTGTATTAATATTATATAATAATTTGGTAAGAGTTCTCATATTTACTATTAGATCTTCTCATGCAGACATGAAATCTCCATTTTTTAGTCTAGTTTTGTCTTTCCATAATATTTGGTAGCTTTCTTCATGTGTTGTCTACAGTTTTCTTAATAAGCTTATTTCCAGATATTTTGTCATTTTATTACTAGTGAATGGGATCTTTTTATAATATTTTCTAAGTAGTTATTAACAGTATGTTGGAAAGCTATTTGATTTTCATATATTTATTTATAACTATCTAGTTTATTAAACTTACTTTCTAGTTCTGATGGACTTTCAGTTGATTCTCTTGGGTTTTCCAGAGAGCTAATCATATAATTTGAAAAGAAGTATAGTTTAAACCCCTCTTTTTCCAATACTTATATTTATTTCCTTTCTTGACTAATTAGGTAGGTGAGCAATTCTAGAATGTCAAATAGTGGTTGTGATACTGACCATCTTTAAAGGGGTTCTGGTCAATATTTCTCCATCAGGTTATTAAGTATTTTTATCTGGAATAGATATTGAAAATTGCCAAAAGCAGTCAAGGTCAGTGGCTCATACCTGTAATCCCAATGCTCTGCGAAGCCAAAGTGGGACGATCTCTTGAGGCTAAGAGTTCAAGATCAGCCTGGGCAACAAAGGGAGACATTATTTCTACCAAAAAAAAAAAATTAGTTGGGTGTGGGGGTCCACACCTGTAGACTCAGCTACTCAGGAGGCTGAGATGGGAGGATCACTTGAGCCCAGGAGGTTGAGGCTGCAGTAAGCTATGATCACATCACCACACTCCAACCTGTGTCAAAAAAAAAAGAAAGAAAAAAAAATGAAAATTATCAAATGTATTGCCAGCATCTTTCAAGAAAATCATTAAGTTTTTAATCCTTTGACCTATTGATTTGATCAGTTATACTAATGTATTTTCCAACATTAAACAATTCTTGTATTTCTGAAATAAACCTTACTTCGTTTCAGTTGGACTTTCAGTTGATTCTCTTGGGTTTTCCAGAGAGCTAATCACATAATTTGAAAAGAAGTATAGTTTAAACCCCTCTTTTTCCAATACTTATATTTATTTCCTTTCTTGACTAATTATGTAGGTAAGCAATTAATGTCAAATAGTGGTTGTGATTTTTTTTTTTCTGGCAGAGACAGGGGTCTCAGTATGATGTCCAGGCTGGTCTCTAACTCCTGGCCTCAAGTGATCCTCCGGCCTTGGCCTCCCAAAGTGCTGCGATTACAGGCATGAGCCGCTGTGCCTAGTTTCATTATTCTTATAACATTTTTTTTACTTTTGTTTGTTTATTTAGGACTTTTCCCCTACATTCTTAGGTGTGACTGGTTTATAGTTGAGCGGGGGAGATGTTCTCTATTTGTCAGAGTTTGCTATCGTTTCTTTTTTAACTTTTTACATAAATTGGGAAGCTTCTCAACATTTTGCATGCTTGAAACTATTTAAATAGCAAGGAAATTACTTCTCTGTGTTGAGTTTTTGCTAGATGAGAACACAGTATTTACCTAATAAATCTGCCTCTCTTCTTTCTCAGCCTATAAACAAATAAAATAATTCAACATGGTGCCCAAGAGATTACAAAAAACAACAAAAAGACCAGCACTGAAATTGCATGCCATCCAAATGGTTATCCAGACAATCTAGAGTGAAGTTATATTTTTAGTATAATACCTTCAAAATTAAAATTAAAATTTTAAAATATCTCAGTCAACTTACAAACTGAAGCTGGAGAAATATTGGCTCAGTCTACTAAAGTGGCTTGTTATTCAACCTATTTAAGGCTGGACAAAATGAATTTATTAATTCATTCAACAAATACTTGAATACCTACTTTGTATTAGACTTTATTCTAGGCACCAGCAATACAGATGAGAACAAGACACATGAAGTCCCTATCCTTGTGGTGCTCACATTTTAATAGAAGGCAGAAGGCAAAAAAAAAAAAAAGCCAAGGGAACAGATGGAAAAAAAATACAACATGGTAATGGGGCAGACAGTGATTGGAGTAGGGATACTGAAGTGTTGGGATGCCCAGGGAAGACCTCTCCAAAGAGGGGACGTTTGACTGAGACCTGGACCAAGGCAGGAAGTTAGCCGGGCTCCTGGAGGAAGAACAGTGATCTGTAATGTTTCTTTCACATTAAATTATAACATTAAATCATAGATTTTACAGCTTTCCACAAATTGCCTTCTCCCACTGGAATATAGCAATAGATGCTATCTCTCATATGCTGCAAACTTAAAAGCCTTTTTATTTTCTTTTCCAAATTCACTAATTATTCTAAATCTGACAATAGGAGTAACTCTACTTAAAATTTTAAATTGGAATTTTTTGCTGTTGAAGTTTGCCTCAATATATTTTTAAGAAAAATTTGTCAGTGGAGAATATTGAGGTTTTTTTAACATAAAAATTACATGATTATACAGAGGATGGCAGCTAACATGGAACAGCCTTCCTGTGTGCCAGCATTTTCCAAGTTAAGTATTTATATTCATTACCTCATTTAATCCTCACAGCAGTGCTTTCAGTTTAAAGATCCTCATTTTGCCTAGAAATTGAGACAAAAAGATCAAGTGATTTACCAAAGTCACACAGCCCTTACAGCTTATAAGTCAGAACTGAAACTCAACTGTGTCTAACTTTGAAGCAGGGGCTTTTGGTCACTCTACCTGTTTTTCTATCCCCAACTACGTTTTGCTAACACCACCCATTGTTATATTTCAGCTGAAACAGCTTTAAGAGAATTTCAAAGGCAATATGAAAAAATGGAGTTTGGAGTATTCCCAATGGAGGCAACACACTCATCAATTGATGAAGAAGGTAAAGAAATATATTGCTGATGTTATTGACCAAATCATCCCTAATATAAATAGATTAGCTGATAAAGTATATTATTCTTTCATTGCAGGGTACATTCAAGGCTCCCAAAGGGACAGAGGCAGCTCTTTAGTGGACACCGAAGAAGCCAAAACAAAGTCAGAAAATGTCCTCCATGATCAAGCTGCTAAAGTTGATAAAGATGGTAACAAAGTGAACTGCTAATCCCACGTTTGTGGATCTCATTTTCATTTATTTCATATTTGATTATGTTTATATTTATGCTTAAAATTACCCCCAAAATTGGAAACTTCAGGAGGAAAAAAGCTAAATATTTCCTTATGGATTTAACCTGAACAACTGTAGAACAGAAGTCAATTTATTAGAATAAAGAAGAAAACATATAAATGGGGAGTCAGATACAATTAGAGCCCAAAGAAAAATGTTTGAATGTTTCCAATGTTATAAAATCATTATCATATCATAAATTCTTTTTAAAAGCTCTCTACTTTAACGTATTGGAATCAGAGCATCTTAAGGCCACAATTTTAGCTGTGAAATTTTATCATTTACCCATTGTGCTATTTATCCTTATAAAATTTTTCTATTCATATTTGAACATAAGAGCATATAGCATTACATTATATAATAATTATATGTAATATATTATAGAATAGCTGTAATATATTATAGAATAGCTATAATATAGACTGTTTTTACATTTTTTTACTTATAATGTACCATTTAATTATATTACTTCATTGGGAAATATTTTAACCCTCATTATAAGTTACTGCACAATTTCTCTAGAATTCCTGGGGATTTCTAGGAACTACTAAATTAATAAATATGAAGCTATAGACAGAGTCAAATTGCTTTGCATAAAATTGTTCCAAATTATGTTTCCCCAGTAATATACAAAATCCATGTCATTGTTTCCTCAGTATTTTCTGTTGTTTTAATTTTTACTTCAGAAATTTATATTCATATTTGTTAACCATTTATATTTCTTCTTTTTTGAGGTGACTATTTTTGTCTTTTGCCCGTTTTTCTAAATGGTTATATCAATTATATAGTCTCTGTATAAACTTTCTATATTAGTCTCTTATTTTTCATATATTTTACAAATTGAGTGGTTTGTCTTCTAAGTCAGCTTGCTGTTTTTGAAGTAAAGGTATTTTTCATATTTTTGCAGTCAAATCATTATTTTCTCTTTGTTGCTTTCTTCCTTCACTTTTAGGCTTAAAAAGTCTTTCTCTCAATCAGGCATTTATATATATATTAAGTGTCTGAGAGGATAGATTATTATTATATCTAAATGTCTGATTGAGAGGATTGATTGATTATATCAAATTCTATAAACGTTCAATTTATAATATATAATATATAATTATATAAATGAGAGGAAGACTTTTTATATATAAATAATTGAAAGGACACATATAAATAATAGCTTTATATACATAAATTTATATGTATTTGTATAAATTTTTATATAAATATATTTGTGTAAGTTTATATATATAAACTTACATTTTGGTTTTTTTATTCAGTTTTAAAGTGCATCTATCATTTATTTTGTTAAATAATGTAGAGCTGATTTTTTGTTTAGTTTCTCCTACTAATTCAGACAGATGTGCTTGCCTGCTGTTTATTTAAAGCCTAGTAAGAATTGAACAGGGCACTGTCAGAAACTCACGTATGGCACTCCTCCTCCCTTAACACACACAGCCTTCACAGAACGACCCCACCCCCTATACATTAAATTTTTGACCATCAGATGGCAGCTGACAGCCTCATCTTTGCTGCTGTGGAGTTCCCAACTCCAATCCACAAAGAAAGCCCTGCCCCAAGACTGTCTGCTCCATCTTTGGGGGAGGCAGTCCAAGTTAGAAGCAGGCAGCAGCACCTCTATCCACTGCTGGAAGGATGCCAATATTGCCAGTATCCATGGGTAAGAAGGCATTCTTCTGCCCTGTGTCTCTGAGGTAAGCACATCATTGACCTCTAGGAGTCAAGAGGGTGTTAGTTGCCTCAGGAAGGGCACTGTTGATTGTTTTTTTCTATTTAGATCCATTGGCATTATAATAAACTGAAATTACTCCTGGTTTTGTTATTATGTTCATTATCTGCTGCTAAATATATTTACCCATTTAAATGTTAGGGTTGTTATTTTAATTAAAAATTGGGAATGTGAGTCCTGGTTCCCTAGGCTTATATTACAATCTTCCTTGGGAATCACCTACATTTTTTTTAATACCGTTCTTTAGGCATTCACAATGTTTTATTCACAGATGGAAAAGAAACTGGTGAAACATTCACATTTAAAAGGCATTCTCAAGATGCTAGTCAAGATGTAAAGTTGTATTCAGATACAGGTAAATTAATATTTGTATAATTTGATTCTTTTAGATTGTGGTTCTAAAAAACACAAGTAGTTCCCTCAGAATTTAGAAGAAGAAATGTGTGATTTTTCAAAAAAAATAAAAGCATGATTAATACCCAAGTACTCTATTTTAATGGCTACTCTATTATGTTGGACATGCAAGAACACTGAAAAACTAATACTTGATATGTTGTTTTGGTGAAAAAGAATGTTGGGAAGACAGGCAATCTATCTTTCTGCTCTGCCAGCCCTGGCACACAGCTACTATAATAGGCCACAAGATGGCTGCTGGAGCTCCAGCCATCACATCAGTGTACCTAGCAGGAACACTGGAAAGGGAAAGGAAAAGGAAAGGAAAGACAAAAACTGGCACTTAGCTGAGTCAGCCAAGTGTGAGGAGCACATGTGCATGCGAGTGCACACACACAAACATGTGCACACACACACACAAACTCTGCTTGCCTCTTGTTGGCTGTCCAAGCTATAAGGGAAGTTGAGAGATATAGTTTTTCAGCAGGGCACACTGCTAGCCTTGACAAAATCAGGGTTGCTGTATGAAGGAAGAGGCGAATGGATATTGGGTGGACAATTAGCGGCTTCTAGCACATTTCGCATCTTTGCCTGGCTGTTTCTGCTTCACTATGCACCCGCTCCCATGGGCACAGTAAGATCATGGGTTCTTGACTTTTCTGCTCTGGCTTTCCAGGAACTGTGAGTCTTTTGATCCCTGAGAACACTTTCAGGCAGGGAGGGCAGCAGGCAACTGCTTTTGAAGACCCTTTGGGATTTTTCTGGGTTGGGATCAGTCTGGCTCCAGCTAGACACCCTGACAGTTGGAGCCCTGAGGCAGAGGCTCAGAAGCTTGACTGCAAATGCAGAATTCAAGGAGTCAGGTGAAACTGCCAAACTCCTATCTCATTAGAGTAGCAGATGAACAAACATTTACATCATGATGCAGCCTGAGAGCCAACTCAGCCATGCAAGGACACACTTCACACCAAAAAGGACAAGAATCAAGTGTAACACTTGAAACACCAGGCTATGCCACCTTTTCTCCATCCCCTCCAACTTGCCTACCTCTTGTCCTCTCACTGTCCCTTGTAGTCTCATGCTAGTAACTGGAAGTATCCATCTTGTTTTTTGACTCATTCCCTGGATGCTTATGCTTTCACTTGATTCCTGGAATCCTCTGGCCCCTACATTTCTTCCCTGGTTTTGACTCCTGCCAGACATGACTTTCTTCTTGCCTCTTTCACTTTCATTCTGCTGTACTGGCTTTAAGTTACTTCTCTGAGAGTTTGCGGTGCTGTGATTCCTGACCTAACATTTCCTCTCCAGAGTCTTATTTCTCCCTCCTTCCAACATGTGCTGCGGTGACATGAAAATAATACTTTCTTGGGTCAGATATTATCAATCATGTTTTATTGCAAGTAGTATTGTCCACTAAAATTATTAATGGCATTAATTTATCAGCTTATTTTACTTTAGCCCCAACAGAAGACTTGATAGAAGAGGTAACTGCAGATCATCCAGAGGTTGTGACCATGATTGAAGAGACTATAAAAATGTCACAGGATATAAACTTTGAACAGCCATATGAAAAACATGCTGAAATCTTACAGGAAGTCCTTGGAGAGGTAAAAAATCTAGCTGGGCAATTCTTATCAGTGACTTAACTATTACTGAGAAAATGTTAATCTAATATGTGTGTAATTATTTTAGAGTCTTATGATGTTGAAATTTGTAGCCTTCAAATTCATGTACATTTTGTAGTCAGCATTGTTAAGTGCGAAGTACCCCAGTGAACAACTACTGATGCTCTTTGGTAAATTTTCAATTACAAACAAAATTATGTAATATAACTTTATGCTTTGAAATTAATTCTTCATTAAATTTTATTGTCTTTGATTCAGTTCAGTTAGTTAAAAGATGATGCATATTGGTACTAGGTACCAAAGTTATATGTTTCATCTATGAACTAATTAGTTATAAGCCAAGACAAATTTTGACCCCTGGTTAATTAATTTCATCCAACCAACTTGAACATGTGTTCATAGGGGAGATGAGAGGACACACATGTGCTGTTCCAGTCTAAAGGGAAAAAAAAATCCTCAAATGCTATCTATCAATGGCAGATCAGAAGGCCTACTGTTTGTTTATAAAGAACAGGATATTCATATGGGTCTGTTTTGTACAAAGATCTTAAGTAAACATTCAGAGCAAAAGTCAAATGCAGAACTAATCTTTTAGGCCCTCGATGAACTTCTGTATATCTCTGTGATTTAACTTAAAATTACTATGTGAAAAAAATATGTAGGATGTTAGAGTATGGAACCTCTTTGTAACACATTGGGTGGTTTCCTCAAGTCCCCAGCTCTACCAGCCTCTCTGACTCTCGGGTTCTCATGGCTCCCTTTGGGCTTCCCATACAGACTTTTCAAAGTTTTCTGCATACCTATCTTCAGGTTGTTCTATCATCCGTTTAGTCCTTCAGAAATATTATGAGTACCTACTATCTGCCCTATACCATGTTAGATACCAGGAATCTGAAGATGAATTAAACACAGCCCTTTCCTTTAAGGAGCTATCCGTCAGGTGGGGAAGACGGAACTGACATGTAAACCAATAACTGAGTTATCATGTGCTAGTGGCAGATAGATGTGTATGAGGTGTAGGAATTCCATGAAGGTCAGAGCCATCATCTCTGCCTGGGAGGTAAGAGAAATCATCCCAGAGGAGATCTGCAAGTGAGGGACATGTTTGGGTCTGTGGAATTTCCATATTTGCCCTTGAGTGAAATTTTTCTCCATTCTCTTCAGAGTTTATTCTGGAGCATATAAATCTACAAGGAATCCTACACTTCTGATATAGGAATATATATAGTATTAGATGGTAAACTGTAGCTCTGGGACTGTAGTTTAAATCGTATGAGATTTTAACACCAAAGCTCATATCAGGTTGTCATTTCTCAAAAGACCAGAGACCTGTGCAGGAGACAGTTTTACCTGTCATCAGTTCTGTGATCTTTATGATTAGAAGAACTATTTTTCATAAACAGCTAGAGATATGCTCCTTTGAGATGGGCCTGTACAAGTCATATGCCCATGTTGTTTTGGGGTTTGGGGGGTTTTGTTTTTATTTTTTAAATTGGATTGTTTCTTTTTTGATTCATGTGTTGTTTATGTATTCTGAGTATGAGCTCTTTGTTGAATATTTTGCAATTATCTTTACAAATATCTTGTCTTGAATAATAGGAGTTAATTTTAATGAAATCAAATTTATTAATTTTTCCTTTCATAGTAGTTAGTGCTTTTCATGTTCCGTTTCAGAAATATTTGCCTACCCAAAATCAGGAAGATATTCTCCTAGGTTTTCTTCTGGAAACCTAGCTTTATCTTTCATATTTGGATCTAAGGTCCATTTGAAACTAATTTTTGTGTATCAAAAACAATATTCAAATGGCCAATATACATATAAAAAGGTACTTAACATCACTAATCATTGACCACAATGTGGTCAAGTTTTATTTTTTTTTCAAGATAGATAGCTAGTTGCTCTAACACCACTTATTGAAAAGGCCATCCTTTCTCCACTATCATATATCAAGTGGCCATATATGTGTAGTCCCTTTATAGACTCTTCGTTCTGTTCCATTAGTCTGTTTGTTTGTCTGTGCCAGAGCCACATGTCTTAACGACTGTAGTTTTTTTTTTTTTTTTTTTTGAGCCAGAGTCTCGCTCTGTCACCCAGGCTGGAGTGCAGTGGTGCGATCTCAGCTCACTGCAACCTCCACCTCATGGGTTCAAGCAATTCTCTTGCCTCAGACTCCTGAGTACGTGGGACTGCAGGTGTATGCCACCATGCCTGGCTAATTTTTTGTATTTTTTTAGTAAAGACGGAATTTCACCATGTTGGCCAATGTGGCCTAGAACTCCTGACCTCAAGTGATCTATCTGCCTTGGCCTCCCAAAGTGCTGGGATTACGGGCGTGATCCACCATGCCTGGCCCTGCTGTAGCTTTATAATAAATCATGACATCTGAGAGGGTGAATCCTTCAGCACCCTATTTCTCCTGTCATTGCGTCCTTCTCTGTATCATATGTTATGTTTTCTTCTGCTTACTTCTTTAAGATTATCTTAGCTATTATAGGTCCTTTTTACTTCCACATAAATTTTAGAATGAGCTACTCAATTTTCACACACACACACACACACACACACACACACACACACCCCTCTGCTGGGATTTTGATCGGGTTGCATTGTATCTATTAGATAAATTTGGTTAAGACTATCATCTTTACAATATTGAGTCTTATAATCCATGAACATAAAATATTTGTACAGCCATCCCTCAGTACCCTCAGTGGATATCCTCAGTGGATTATTTCCATGACCCTCACAGATACCAGAATCCATGAATGTTCAAGTTCCTTGTATAAAATGGCATGACATTTGCATATAACCTATGCACATCCTTCCATATACTTTAAATCATTTTTAGATTACTTATAATGCCTAATACAATGTAAATGGTATGTAAATAGTTGTTTACACTATATTGTTTAGGGAATAATGACAAGAAAAACAAGTCTGCACATGTTTAGTACAGACATGACCATCCTTTTTTTTTCCAAATATTTTATATCCATGGTTGGTTGAATGCACAGATGCAGAGCCCATGGATACAGAAGACTGACTATAATTAATTTAGGTCTTCTTTAATTTTTCCCAGCATTGTTCTGTAATTTTCAAGGTAAAGGTCTTCAACGTCTCTCATTAGGTTTATTTTTTATTTTTAGGTATTTGATGTATTTTGATGCTTCTATAAATGATATTAGGGTTTTATTTTATTTTCTAATTGTTGCTGCAACCATTTTTTATCCCATTTTAAAAACTGTGCCTCCCATTAAATTGCTTTTTGTCTGAAGCTCACAGCCCATGTATAGAATAGATATGATTGATGCACTTGGACCTAATGTATGATCCAGTCCAGGGAAAGAAAATAGGTTATATTTTACTTGCAAATGGATCAGTTAAGCATTTTTTAAATAATTTTTTAGAATTATAGTTTAACAGTATTTTAAAGCCTTAAAAATATAGAAATAATGATAGATATTGTTTCTACCAAAGGAAGAGAAGAGTCACTCCCTTGCCATGGAGAATGCACAGAAATTATTTTGTTCATACCAAACCATTCGCACTTCTCCCTGTTCTCTGCCTTGACCGGCTACGGAGCACCCAAGGGAAGCAGAGGCAGAGGGACATGGGACCTTACTCTACAGCAGCTGTGTCTTCTGCTTCTGCTCTGAGCAGTTTTGTTGAGTGAAGCTGTTACACTGGCTATATGAAAGGTACTTGCCCAGTACCTAACAGAAAAACAGTAGCAACCTCTAGGGAGATGGGCCTTTTGTGTCAAACCTGCCACTCTGTGTTTTGCAGTGGAAGCTCATGACCTGTTATCCAACTGCACATCTAACCACAGCCTGTTCTTTTATCTCTGCACCCTTCTGTGTCATTAACATGATTTGCTCTGCTTCTCTGTCTACATGGTTTCCCTCTAACATCTGTACCTATCTGTTCTTGTTCATTTCTGTGTACTTCGCACCATGTACTTGGCACTGTCGTTATGTCTTTCTGTGCCTCCTACATCTCTCTGGGTCATGTCCTATTTCCTCTGCTTCCCCCAGTCTCGGTCTCCTATCTATCTATCTATCTATCTATCTATCTATCTATCTATCTATCTATTCACAAGTGATAAAATATAAAGTAAACATAAAATAGTATAGAGTAAGGGAATCCAGAAATAGTA
The DNA here is from genome assembly GCF_000001405.40 of Homo sapiens. Lineage (NCBI taxonomy): Eukaryota > Metazoa > Chordata > Mammalia > Primates > Hominidae > Homo > Homo sapiens. Next base: position 109,606,189 of record NC_000006.12, on the reverse strand, counting down.
TGTTTAAATGCAGAAAAAGTAAATATTTTAAGTTTAAATCACAGGAGGATAGAAGAATGAGTAATGTATAAAAATGTTATACCATTTTTGTCAAAAGGAAGTGCCACTTTAATTTTATTTGATCAAACTCTTGAGAGTTTGATTTCCATGATTCTCTCTGGTGATACTAGACTGGACATAGACCACATGTAAAGGCTTCTCAGGGGCCCTTGTCCTCACCACTCTCCCAACAGGCACAGTCCCCAGCCTCAGAGCCTTCTCACCCCTCTGCCTGGCCACATACTCTGGAATTCTTTGGAATATGAAATCCTGGGGAAGGTTTTCACCTTCTCCCCACAGTTATCCCAACTAAGGAATCACCTCAGTATATTCCCAAAATAAAGCTGTGTGGCCGATTCATCCAAAACTTGCATCCTCAGGTACCCAAGTCCTCATCCCTCAAACCTTTCCTCACCTCAGCTTTGAATGTTCCTGAACTTGAGCAACTTGGGCTACTTCAACAACAGTAGCACCTCTCCTTTCAAGCCACCTCTTTTCCTGAAGGCATGGGAGATGCCCATCATGTTTCATTTCTCTCTTTCTTACTCCAAAATTGCTCAGTATTTGCTCTTTATCCATTTGCATCAGAATCATGTGGGATAAATTGAAATCAGAAAGACATCTAATGCATTCAGCTCTGCCACACAAACTTCTCCAAAAAAGGAGCCTGGAGATCCTGGCTCCCTTCTCAGAGTGGGGATGAAAAAAAAATAGCAAGAAAAAACTCAAATGAATATCTCAATAAATTATCTTGTCACATTAAGGATAGCAGAATACCTTATTAACATGACAAATGAGTTTGGCTTCAGGCTGCAGACCACATAACCTTAAAGTCAGAAATAAGACAATGATATTCCTATCACACTCATTTATTTTTTTAGGATATGGGGCCTTGCTATGTTGCCCAGACTGTTCTCAAACTCCTGGGCTCAAGTGATCCTCCCACCTCAGCCTCTCAAGAAGCTGGGACTACTTGCCACCATGCCCAACTGCTGTCACACCCATTCTTAATGATTTATAGAAATTTTAGCTTTATACAATGCCTTGAAACATAATAACAGGAATAATTATTAGAATAGAGGAGAAACATAATCATTATTTCAGTTGATACTATTTACTTTTAAAATATCCAAGAAAATAATCTAAAAAACAATGGAGCTAATAATTTCATTTAGAAATAAGGTAGCCAAAAGAATTTTAACAATCCACATGTGACAAGAACATAAATGTAATGTAACTAAGTTTGAAATAAAGATGAAGGATCCACATGAATAAAATTATTAAACTTTTAATGTGAACAAAAGCATATATCAATAAATAGAGACATAAATTCTTAAATGTAAAGATAAAATCTTATTAAGGTATCTTTCTCAATTTATAGATTTGATACAGTTCTAATAAAAATATCAAATTTTTTAAAACTGACAGCATCACTCTAAAGTTTCTCTGGAAGAACCAATAATTGAGACTAGAACAGTTCAACAAAGAAGTATGATAGAGGGAGACTTACTCTACTAACTAGTAAAATATGTTGTAATGCTAAAATGGTATATAGGCCTGATAAACATGCCAGAAGCAACAGAACTACAAAGAGGGTACAGAAACAAACTTCAGTATGGATAAAAATTTAGTATATGCCAAAGGTTACATCACAATCCAAAAGGAAAGAATTATTTAATGGTGTTGATAAGATTAACTGTTGGGAAGAAACTATTTAGATTCTCACTTTCTATCAAAATAAAAATAAATTCCATATATATTAAATAGTTAAACGTAAAAATGATATTTTATTTAAACTAGTAGAAAGTGTATTAACATTGAAATAATTTGGAATGGTCAAGGATTCCAGACACAAATGCAATGGAAGAACTTGTAAGGGAAAATCTCAATAGACTACTTAATAATGACCAACTCTCTATAAAAAAATTTACACGGCGGTTCCAAGATGGCCAAATAGGAACAGCTCCAGTCTACAGCTCCCAGCGTGAATGACGCAGAGGATGGGTGATTTCCGCATTTCCAACTGAGGTACTGGGTTCATCTCACTGGGGCTTGTCGGACAGTGGGTGCAGGATAGTGGGGGCAGTGCACCGAGCATGAGCTGAAGCACGGTGAAGCATCACCTCACCTGGGAAGCAAAAGGGGTCAGGGAATTCCCTTTCCTAGCCAAGCAAAGCTGTGACAGAAGGCACCTGGAAAATCGGGTCACTCCAACCCTAATACTGCGCTTTTCCAATGGTCTTAGCAAATGGCACACCAGGAAATTATATCCTGCGCCTGGCTCGGAGGGTCCCACGCCCAGAGAGCCTCACTCATTGCTAGCACAGCAGTCTGAGATCGAACTGCAATGTGCCAGTGAGTCTGGGGGAGGGGCGCCTGCCATCGCTGAGGCTTGAGTAGGTAAACAAAGCAACCAGGAAGCTCGAACTGGGTGGATCCCACCACAGCTCAAGGAGGCCTGCCTGCCTCTGTAGACTCCACCTCTGGGGGCAGGGCATAGCCAAACAAAAGGCAGCAGAAACCTCTGCAGACTTAAATGTCCCTGTCTGACAGCTTTGAAGAGAGTAGTGGTTCTCCCAGCACAGAGTTTCAGATCTCAGAACGGACAGACTGCCTCCTCAAGTGGGTCCCTGACCCCCAAGTAGCCTAACTGGGAGGCACCCCCCAGTAGGGGCAGACTGACACCTCACACGGCCAGGTACCCCTCTGAGACGAAGCTTCCAGAGGAACAATCAGGCAGCAACATTTCCCGTTCAGCAATATTCGCTGTACTGCAGCCTCCGCTGCTGATACCTAGGCAAACAGGGTCTGGAGTGGACCTCCAGCAATCTCCAACAGACCTGCAGCTGAGGATCCTGACTGTTAGAAGGAAAACTAACAAACAGAAAGGACACCCACACCAAAACCTCATCTGTACGTCACCATCATCAAAGACCAAAGGTAGATAAAACCACAAAGATGGGGAAAAAACAGAGCAGAAAAACTGAAAATTCTAAAAATCAGAGTGCCTCTCCCCCTCCAAAGGGATGCAGCTCCTTGCCAGCAACGGAACAAAGCTGGACAGAGAATGACCTTGACGAGCGGAGAGAAGAAGGCTTCAGACAATCAAACTTCTCTGAGCTAAAGGAGGAAGTTCGAACCCATCGCAAAGAAGCTAAAAACCTTGAAAAAAGATTAGACGAATGGCTAACTAGAATAACCAATGCAGAGAAGTCCTTAGAGGACCTGATGGAGCTGAAAACCATGGCACGAGAACTACGTGACGAATACACAAGCTTCAGTAGCCAATTCGATCAACTGGAAGAAAGGGTATCAGTGATTAAAGATCAAATGAATGAAATGAAGTGAGAAGAGAAGTTTAGAGAAAAAAGAATAAAAAGAAATGAACAAAGCCTCCAAGAAATATGGGACTATGTGAAAAGACCAAATCTACGTCTGATTGGTGTACCTGAAAGTGACAGGGAGAATGGAACCAAGTTGGAAAACACTGCAGGATATTATCCAGGAGAATTTCTCCAACCTAGCAAGGCAGGCCAACATTCAAATTCAGGAAATACAGAGAACGCCACAAAGATACTCCTCGAGAAGAGCAACTCCAAGACACATAATTGTCAGATTCACCAAAGTTGAAATGAAGGAAAAAATGTTAAGGGCAGCCAGAGAGAAAGGTCGGGTTACCCACAAAGAGAAGCCCACCAGACTAACAGCGGATCTCTCGGCAGAAACTCTACAAGCCAGAAGAGAGTGGGGGCCAATATTCAACATTCTTAAAGAAAAGAATTTTCAACCCAGAATTTCATATCCAGCCAAACTAAGCTTCATAACAGAAGGAGAAATAAAATCCTTTATAGACAAGCAAATGCTGAGAGATTTTGTCACCACCAGGCCTGCCCTACAAGAGCTCCTGAAGGAAGCACTAAACATGGAAAGGAACAACCAGTACCAGCCACTGCAAAAACATGCCAAATTGTAAAGACCACTGATGCTAGGAAGAAACTATCAACTAATGAGCAAAATAACCAGCTAATATCATAATGACAGGATCAAATTCACACATAACAATATTAACCTTAAATGTAAATGGGCTAAATGCTCCAATTAAAAGACACAGACTGGCAAATTGGATAAAGAGTCAAGACCCATCAGTGTGCTGTATTCAGGAGACCCATCTCACGTGCAGACACACACATAAGCTTAAAATAAAGGGATGGAGGAAGATCTACAAAGCAATTGGAAAGCAAAAAAAGGCAGGGGTTGCAATCCTAGTCTCTGATAAAATAGATTTGAAACCAACAAAGATCAAAAGAGACAAGGTCATTGCATAATGGTAAAGGGATCAATTCAACAAGAAGAGCTAACTATCCTAAACATATATGCACCCAATACAGGAGCACCCAGATTCATAAAGCAAGTCCTTAGAGACCTACAAAGAGACTTAGACTCCCACACAATAATAATGAGAGACTTTAACACCCCACTATCAACATTAGACAGATCAACGAGACAGAAAGTTAACAAGAATATCCAGGAATTGAACTCAGCTCTACACCAAGTGGACCTAATAGACATCTACAGAACTCTCCACCCCAAATCAACAGAATATACAATCTTCTCAGCACTACACCACACTTATTCCAAAATTGACCACATAGTTGGAAGTAGTAAAGCACTCCTCAACAAATGTAAAAGAACAGAAATATAACAAACTGTCTCTCAGACCACAGTGCAATCAAACTAGAACTCAGGACTAAGAAACTCACTCAAAACTGCTCAACTACATCGAAACTCAACAACCTGCTCCTGAATGACTACTGGGTACATAACGAAATGAAAGCAGAAATAAAGATGTTCTTTGAAACCAACAAGAACAAAGACACAACATACCAGAATCTCTGGGATACATTTAAAGCAGTGTGTAGAGGGAAATTTATAGCACTAAATGCCCACAAGAGAAAGCAGGCAAGATCTAAAATTGACACCCTAACATCACATTTAAAAGAACTAGAGAAACAAGAGCAAACAAATTCAAAAGCTAGCAGAAGGCAAGAAATAACAAAGATCAGAGCAGAACTGACGGAGATAGAGACACAAAAAACCCTTCAAAAAATCAGTGAATCCAGGAGCTGGTTTTTTGAAAAGATCAACAAAATTGATAGACTGCTAGCAAGACTAATAAAGAAGAAAAGAGAGAAGCATCAAATAGACAATAAAAAATGATAAAGGGGATATCACCACTGATCCCACGGAAATACAAAGCACCATCAGAGAATACTATAAACACCTCCACGCAAATAAACTAGAAAATTTAGAAGAAATGGATAAATTCATGGACACATACACCCTCCCAAGACTAAACCAGGAAGAAGTTGAATCTCTGAATAGACCAATAACAGGCTCTGAAATTGAGGCAATAATTAATAGCTTACCAACTAAAAAAAGTCCAGGACCAGACAGATTCACAGCCGAATTCTACCAGAGGTACAAGGAGGAGCTGGTACCATTCCTTCTGAAACTAATCCAAACAATAGAAAAAGAGGGAATCCTCCCTAAGTCATTTTATGAGGCCAGCATCATCCTGATACCAAAGCCTGGCAGAGACACAACAAAAAAAGAGAATTGTAGACCAATATCCCTGATGAACATCGATGCAAAAATCCTCAATAAAATACTGGTAAACCAAATCCAACAGCGCATGAAAAAGCTTATCCACCATGATCAAGTGGGCTTCATCCCTGGGATGCAAGGCTGGTTCAATATACGCAAATCAATAAGCATGATCCAGCATATAAACAGAACCAAAGACAAAAACCACATGATTATCTCAATAGATGCGGAAAAGGCCTTCAAGAAAATTCAACAGCCCTTCATGCTAAAAACTCTCAATAAATTAGGTATTGATGGGACGTATCTCAAAATAATAAGAGCTATTTATGACAAACCCACAGCCAATATCATACTGAATGGGCAAAAACTGGAAGCATTCCCTTTGAAAACTGGCACAAGACAGGGATGCCCTCTCTCACCACTCCTATTCAACATAGTGTTGGAAGTTCTGGCCAAGGCAATCAGGCAGGAGAAAGAAATAAAGGGTATTCAATTAGGAAAAGAGGAAATCAAATTGTCCCTGTTTGTGGATGACATGATTGTATATCTAGAAAACCCCATCGTCTCAGCCCAAAATCTCCTTAAGCTGATAAACAACTTCAGCAAAGTCTCCAGTATACAAAATCAATGTGCAAAAAATCGCAAGCATTCTTATACACCAATAACAGACAAACAGAGAGCCAAATCATGAGTGAACTCCCATTCACAATTGCTTCAAAGAGAATAAAATACCTAGGAATCCAACTTACAAGGTATGTGAAGGACCTCTTCAAGGAGAACTACAAACCACTGCTCAAGGAAATAAAAGGGGATACAAACAAATGGAAGAACATTCCATGCTCATGGATAGGAAGAATCAATATCGTGAAAATGGCCATACTGCCCAAGGTAATTTATAGATTCAATGCCATCCCCATCAAGCTACCAATGACTTTCTTCACAGAATTGGAAAAAACTACTTTAAAGTTCATATGGAACCAAAAAAGAGCCTGCATTGCCAAGTCAATCCTAAGCCAAAGGAGCAAAGCTGGAGGCAGCATGCTACCTGACTTCAAACTATACTACAAGGCTACAGTAACCAAAACAGCATGGTGCTGGTACCCAAACAGATACATAGACCAATGGAACAGAACAGAGCCCTCAGAAATAATACCACACATCTACAACTATCTGATCTTTGACAAACCTGACAAAAACAAGAAATGGGGAAAGGATTCCCTATTCAACAAATGGTGCTGGGAAAACTGGCTAGCCATACGTAGAAAGCTGAAACTGGATCCCTTCCTTACACCTTATACAAAAATTAATTCAAGATGGATTAAAGACTTAAATGTTAGACCTAAAACCATAAAAACCCTAGAAGAAAACCTAGGCAATACCATTCAGGGCATAGGAATAGGCAAGGACTTCATGTCTAAAACACCAAAAGCAATGGCAACAAAAGCCAAAATTGACTAATGGAATCTAATTAAACTAAAGAGCTTCTGCCCAGCAAAAGAAACTACCATCAGAGTGAACAGGCAACCTACAGAATGGGAGAAAATTTTTGCAATCTACCCATCTGACAAAGGGCTAATATCCAGAATCTACAAAGAACTCAAACAAATTTACAAGAAAAAAACAAACAACCCCATCAACAAGTGGGCAAAGGATATGAACAGACACTTCTCAAACGAAGACATTTCTGCAGCCAACAGACACATGAAAAACTGCTCATCATCACTGGCCATCAGAGAAATGCAAATCAAAACCACAATGAGATACCATCTCACACCAGTTAGAATGGCGATCATTAAAAAGTCAGGAAACAACAGGTGCTGGAGAGGATGTGGAGAAATAGGAATGCTTTTACACTGTTGGTGGGACTGTAAACTAGTTCAACCATTGTGGAAGACAGTGTGGCGATTCCTCAGGGATCTAGAACTAGAAATACCATTTGACCCAGCCATCCCATTACTGGGTGTATACCCAGAGGATTATAAATCATGCTGCTATAAAGACACATGCACACGTAGATTTATTGCGGCACTATTCACAATAGCAAAGACTTAGAACCAACCCAAATGTCCAACAATGATAGACTGGATTAAGAAAATGTGGCACATATACACCATGGAATACTATGCAGCCATAAAAAATGATGAGTTCGTGTCCTTTATAGGGACATGGATGAAGCTGGAAACCATCATTCTTAGCAAACTATTGCAAGGACAAAAAACCAAACACCGCATGTTCTCACTCATAGGTGGGAATTGAACAATGAGAACACATGGACACAGGAAGGGGAACATCACACACCGGGGACTGTTGTGGGGTGGGGGGAGGGGGGAGGGATAGCATTAGGAGATATACCTAATGTAAATGACGAGTTAATGGGTGCAGCACACCAGCATGGCACGTGTGTACATATGTAACAAACCTGCAGGTTGTGCACATGTACCCTAGAACTTAAAGTATAATTTAAAATATATATATAAATTACACAAATCAAAAATTTAAGACAAAGGACAAGCTGGGGAAAGTATTTATAATAAATATAACATTAATTTCTTAGAAAGCTGTAGAGAATCTAATATGTGATCAAAAAGCAAGCAAGGGATGTGAGCAGATTTTATCAAAGAAGAAATACAAATGGTTCATTGAAAATGTTTAGGCACTGGGTTTCTCAAGTTGCCCACTTGGCCCTCTTCCAAGTTGTACTTTCCTTTTTTTCTTTCCTTTCCTTTCTTTCCTTACCCTTCTAAAGCTTTTTAATAAACTTCCACTTCTGCCCTGAAACTTGCCTCTGTCTCTTCTTCTGCCTTATGCCCCCCAGTTGAATTATTTCTTCGAAGCAGGCAAGAATTGAGGTTGCAATAAAAAAAAATTTTTTTTGAGACGGTGTCTCTCTCTGTCCCCCAGGCTGGAATGCAGTGGCGCCATCTCGGCTCACTGCAAGCTCCGCCTCCCAGGTTCACACCATTCTCCTGCCTTAGCCTCCCGAGTAGCTGGGGCTACAGGCGCCCGCCACCACACCTGGCTAATTTTTTTGTATTTTTAGTAGAGATGGGGTTTCACCATGTTAGCCAGGATGGTCTCGATCTCCTGACCTCGTGATCTGCCCGCCTCGGCCTCCCAAAGTGCTGGGATTACAGGCATGAGCCACCGCGCCCGGCAAAAAAAAATTTTTAAAGAAAATTTTTAACGTTTGTTTCAATAAAAATTAAAACAATGAGATACAATTTCTCATCTAATTGGCAAAGTTTTTGACAATTGGTAATAGTGAGGCTGTACTGATAGAGTCACTTTCAAACACTGTTAGGAAGTATGAAAATTGATACAGATGCTTTTGGCAGCAATGTGGCAATGTGTATGAAAAGACTTTAAAATGTTTACTCTTTCATTCCCTTTGACCTGAAGTCATGTGAGGAATCTAATCTGAAGAAATATATAATATTTGGACAAAGATTTACAGATGTTGTAAAAAAAAACACAATGTTAGTAAAATAAAGATTTTCTATATAGATTTTCTTCACAGTGTTATAATAAAATTACAAATGACATAAATATTTAACAGTAAGGGGTGATTAAACAAATTAAGGTTTATTTGTTTGATAAAATACTATAAAGCCATTAAATTTTATTTCAAAAAAAGGTTGAATGAAGAACTAAAAATAGAACTACAGTACGATCCAGCAATCCCACTACTGGGTATCTACCCAAAGGAAAAGAAATCACTATATCAAAAAGATACCTGCACTCATATATTTATCGCAGCTCTATTAATAGCAATGATATGGAATCAACCTAAGTGTCCATCCATGGAGGACTGGATAAAGAAGATGTGGTATAAAACCCAGTCACTTTGTTTAGAAGCCTTAGCCACCCCTCCCTTCCTGTTCACAGATTTCATTGCAGTGGCACTCTCTTCACTTCATGCCTGTCATATTTCTAGGCATTAGGCACACCTGCTAGCCTGAATTAGGAGCCTGAGCTACCCCTCCCTTCAGGTGCAAACATCTTGGTGCAGCAGCATCCTTTCCACTCCATGCCAGGACACATCTCCAGGCATTTGGAGCATCCACTCTTCTAGGTCCTCCAAATGAGGAGCTTAGGCTGCCCTAGGATGAGGATGAGGAGTTTGGGCTGCCCCTCTTTTCCCAGGCAGAGAACTTGGGGCAGCAGATTTCTCCACTCCATGACCTGGCACATCTGTGGGTACTTGGTAACTATGCCCAGATCCCCTCTTGGAGCTGGTGCTGGTGCCTGCCATTGGAAGACATGTAGGTGGGTCAGCCCAGTTAGGCTTCACTCAGCTTGGTCTCTTCTCCAGGGCTGAGCAGGAAACTGAGACCACTCTGCCTTCCACCTGACAGCCCATTGCCTAAGGCAACAGAGAGCTTCCCACGATAAAGATCAAGCAAAGCATATACCCATCTGCATTGGCTGCAGCTAGCTCTTATCTGCAAGTGCCACCTGTTGGCTCAGAGGTTGAACTGCAATACCCAATAGAAATAGATTTTTTTCGTTTTTATTTTATTTATTTATTTATTTTTCTTTTTTTTAAATTATACTTTAAGTTCTGGGATATATGTGCAGAATGTGCAGGTTTGTTACATAGGTATACACGTGCCATGGTGGTTTGCTGCACCCATCAACCCATCATCTACATTAGGTATTTCTCCTAATGCTATCCTTCCCGTAGTCCCCTACCCAATGACAGGCCCTGGTGTGTGATGTTCCCCTCCCTGTGTCCATGTGTTCTCATAGTTCAACTCCCACTTATGAGTGAGAACATGCAGTGTTTGGTTTTCTGTTCCTGTGTTAGTTTGCTGAGAATGATGGTTTCCAGCTTCATCCATGTCACTGCAAAGGACATGAACTCATCCTTTTTTATGGCTGCATAGTATTCCATGGTGTATATATGCCACATTTTCTTTATCCAGTCTATCATCGATGGGCATTTGGGTTGGATCCAAGTCTTGGGTATTGTGAATATTGCCACAATAAACATACATGTGCATATGTCTTTATAGTAAAATGATTAATAATCCTTTGGGTATATACCCAGTAATGGGATTGCTGGGTCAAATGGTATTTCTGGTTCTAGATCCTTGAGGAATCACCACACTGTCTTCCACAATGGTTGAACTAATTTACACTCCCACCAACAGTGTAAAAGTGTTCCTACTTCTCCATGTCCTCTCCAGCATCTGTTGTTTCCTGACTTTAATCACCATTCTAACTGGCGTGAGATGGTATCTTATTGTGGTTTTGATTTGCATTTCTCTAATGACCAGTAATGACAAGCTTTTTTTCGTATGTTTGTTGGCCGCATAAATGTCTTCTTTTGAGAAGTGTCTGTTCATATCCTTTGCCCACTTTTTGATGGGGTTGTTTTTGTCTTATAAATCTGTTTAAGTTTCTTGTAGATTCTGGATATTAGCCCTTTGTCAGATGCATAGATTGCAAAAATTTTCTCCCATTCTGTAGGTTGCCTGTTAACTCTGATGATGGTTTCTTTTGCTGTGCAGAAGCTCTTTAATTTAATTAGATCCCATTTGTCAATTTTGGCTTTTGTTGCAATTGCTTTTGGTGTTTTAGTCATGAAGTCTTTGTGCATGCCTATGTCCTGAATGGTATTGCTTAGGTTTTCTTCTAGAATTTTTATGGTTTTAGATCTCATGTTTAAGTCTTTAATTCATCTTGAGTTAATTTTGTATAAGGTGTAAGGAAGGGGTCCAGTTTCAGTTTTCTGCATATGGCTCACCAGTTTTCCCAACAGCGTTTATTAAACAGGGAATCCTTTCCCCATTGCTTGTTTTTGTCAGTTTGTCAAAGATCAGTTGGTTGTAGATGTGTGGTGTTATTTCTGAGGCCTCTGTTTTCTTCCATTGGTCTATATATCTGTTTTGGTACCAGTACCATTTTGTTTTGGCTGCTGTAGTCTTGTAGTATAGTTTGAAGTCAGGAAGTATGAAGCCTCCAGCTTTGTTCTTATTGCTTAGGATTGTCTTGGCTATATGAGCTCTTTTTTGGTTCCATGTGTAATTTGATAGTTTTTTCTGATTCTGTGAAGAAAGTCAATGGTAGCTTGATGAGGATAGCATTGAATCTATAAATTACTTTGGGCAGTATGGCCATTTTCATGATATTGATTCTTCCTATCCATGAGCATGGAATGTTTTTCCATTTGTGTCCTCTCTTATTTCCTTGAACAGTGCTTTGTAGTTCTCCTTGAAGAGGTCCTTCACATCCCTTGTAAGTTGTATTCTTAGGTATTTTATTCTTTTTGTAGCAATTGTGAATGAGAGTTCACTCATGATTTGGCTCTCTGTTTGTCTATTATTGGTGTATAGGAATGCTTTCGATTTTTGCACACTGATTTTGTATACTGAGACTTTGCTGAAGTTGCTTATCAGCTTAAGGAGATTTTGGGCTGAGACGATGGGGGTCTTCTAAATATACAATCATGTCGTCTGCAAAGAGATAAATTTTGGCTTCCTCTCTTCCTATTTGAATACCATTTATTTCTTTCTCTTGCCTGATTTTCCTGGCCAGAACTTCTAATACTATGTTGAATAGGAGTGGTGAGAGAGGGCATCCTTGTCTTGTGCTGGTTTTCAGAGGGAATGCTTCCAGCTTTTGCCCATTTGGTATGATATTGGCTGTGGGTTTGACATAAATAGCTCTTATTATTTTGAGATATGTTCCATCAATACCTAGTTTATTGAGAGTTTTTAGCATGACGGGGTGTTGAATTTTGTTGAAGGCCTTTTCTGCATCTATTAAGATAATCATGTGGTTTTTGTCATTGGTTCTGTTTATGTGATGGATTACGTTTATTGATTTGTGTTTGTTGAACCAGCCTTGCATCCCAGGGATGAAGCTGACTTGATCGTGGTGGATAAGTTTTTTGATGTGCTGCTGGATTTGGTTTGCCAGTATTTTATTGAGGATTCTTGCATTGATGTTCATCAGGGATATTGGCCTGAAATTTTTTTTTGTTGTTACGTCTCTGCCAGGTTTTGGTATCAGGATGATGCTGGCCTCGTGAAATGAGTTAGGAAGGAGTCCCTCTTTTTCTGTCGTTTGGAATAGTTTCAGAAGGAATGGTACCGGCTCCTCTTTGTACCCCTGGTAGAATTCAGCTGTGAATCCATCTGGTCCTGGGCTTTTTTTGGTTGGTAGGCTATTAATTACTGCCTCAATTTCAGAACTCATTATTGTCTGTTCAGGGACTTGACTTTTCCTGGTTTAGATTTTAGAGAAACTCAATGAGATCCAAGAGAATGTTGAAAACCTACACAAAGAAATCAGAAAAACAATTTAGGATATGAAAGATGAGATAGATTTTTCTAAATTCTAGAAAGAAAAATTTATTGAAGGAATTGCAAAATACAGTTGAAATCTTTAACAATAGCCCAGCACAAGCAGAAGAAACAATCTCAGAGCTGCAAGACAGGGCTTCTGAATTAACCCAGTTAGACAAAAATAAAGAAAGAAAAGTAATAAAGTCTTCCAGAAATATGGGATTATATATAGTGTCCCAACCTACTAGTTATAGGTATTCCAGAGGAGAAGAAGAAAAAGTAAAAAGTGCAGAAAACCTATTTGAGGAAATAATTTAAGAAAACTTCCTTAATTTTGTCAGAGATCTAGACAGCCAGATATAAGAAGATCAGAAAACTATTGTAAGATATAGTGCAAGAAGTACCTCACCAAGGCATATAGTCATCAGACTATCTAACGTCAATGTGAAGGGAAAAAAATCCTAAAATCAGAAAGAGAGAAGCATCTAATCACTTATAAAAAAAAATCCCGCTGGGCACGGTGGCTCATGCCTGTAAAACCAGCACTTTTGAAGGCCGAGGCGGGCGGATCATGAGGTCAGGAGATCGAGACCATCCTGGCTAACATGGTGAAACCCCGTCTCTACTAAAAATACAAAAAATTAGCCGGGCGAGGTGGCAGGCGCCTGTAGTCCCAGCTACTCGGGAGGCTGAGGCAGGAGAATGGCGTGAACCTGGGAGGTGGAGCTTGCAGTGAGCCGAGATAGTGCCACTGCAGTCCAGCCTGGGTGAAAGAGCGAGACTCCGTCTCAAAAAAAAAAAAAAAAAAGAAATCCCATTAGACTAACAACAGACTTCTCACCAGAAACCTTATGAGCCAGAAGATATTGGAGTCCTATTTTTGGTCTTCTTTAATCCTTTTCCTATTTGCCCCTAGAATACTCACTGGTGGCAATTGCAGCTGCAGTGTTTACCCTGAGATAACTTTGCCATGAAATACCTCGCTTTTATTATTATTATTGTGTTTTGCTGTAGTATAGCAACTTTGGAAATAAAAGACATCATTCTATTTATAGAATTCTGTTTTTAGTAGTGGTATTTCCATTTACAAAATATAGTAATTTTCGATTGCTGAAAATGTCAAATCCTAGAAAATGTAGCATTCCTACACGTGATGTTAACATCAGTCTCAAACAGTTTTTGGCAAAAGATTCATTTCATGAATCCAATTTTTCTGAAATAGACAATTCTAATGATTCAGATGATTCTGATGTTAGTTCTGTTTAGAAATAACTCCAAGACCAGTTTTTATACTTTATTTTCACATTGAAAATCAGTCAGATTTGCTTCAGCCTCAGAGTTCATTTATATAAAATCAAATGAGTGCTGGCAGTGAACTGCACTTTTTTTTTTTCTAAATAGGAAAAGGGTTTTAAAAAATGCCAGGCAAGAATTTTATATCCTGCTAAACTAAGTTTTATAAATGAAGGAGAAATGAAGTATTTCCCAGGCAAGCGAACAATAAGGGAATTCATCACCACTAGACTGTACCTACAACAAATGCTCAAAGGACTTCTAAACATAAAAGCAAAAGGGTGATATTCAGCATCATAAAAACACATGAAAGTATTAAACTCTTTGCAAGTATAAGACCTCTTTGCAGGTCTTATAATGCAGTTACACAATCGAGACTGTAAAGCAAGTAGGTAATAATTAACATGACGAGGCTATCAATACTACATATAATACTAACATTAAACATAAATGGGCTAAATGCTCCACTTAAAAGATATTGGCTGATGGAATGGATTTTTTTAAAAAATCCAACCATGTGCTGCATACAAGAAACCCACCTAACTAGTAAATACATTTACAGAGTCAAAGTAAAGGGATGGAAAAAGATATTCCATACAGATGGAAACCAAAAGCAAATAGGAGTAGCTATACTTATATCAGATAAAACAGATATTAAATCAACAATAGTTAAAAAAAGACAAAGAAGGTCATTATATTATCATAAAAGGATCAATTGCAGAAGAAAAATGTCATTTCTAAATATATATGCATCGAATACCACAGCACCAAGATTCATAAAACAAATACAACTAGACCTAAGAAAAGAGAAAGACAGCAATGCAATCATAGTAGGGGACTTCAGTACTCTACTGACAGCACTAGACAGATCATTAAGGCAGAAAATCAACAAAGAAACTCTAGGCTTAAATTGGACTCTAGACCAAATGGACCTAACAGACATTTACAGAACATTCTACCATACACCTGTAGAATATTCATTCTTCTCATCTGCCCATGGAACATTCTTAAATGACCATATGCAAGGCCACAAGGCAAGTCTCAAAAAAATTTTAAAAATTGAAATAATGTAAAGTACCTTCTTGGACCAAAGTGGAATAAAACTAGAAATCAATAACAAAAGGCACCCTCAAAGCCATACAAATGCATGGAAATTAAATAATCTGCTCCTGAATGATTGTTGGATCAATGATGAAATTAAGGTGGAAATTTTTTAAAGTTTTGAAACAGATGAAAATAGACACAACATACCAAAAGCATTTGACGTACAGCAAAAACAGTGCTAAGAGGCAATTTTATAGTGTTAACAGCCTACATAAAAAAGATAGAAAGATCTCAAATTAACAATGTAACATTGTACCTCAAAGAACTAGAAAAACAAGAGCAAACCACATCAAAAGCTAGCAGAACTAAATGAAACTGAGACCAAAAACATTACAAAGAATTAATTAAAAGTTGTTCTTTGAAAAAATAAGCAAAATTGATAGCTAGATAATCAAGTGAAAAAGAGAACATTCAAATAAGCAAAATCAGAAATAATAAAGGTGTCATTACAACTGATGCAACAGAAATACGAAAGATCACTAATGACTACTATCAGCATCTCTGTGCATACAAGCTGGAAAACCTAGAGGAAATGGATAAGTTCTTAGAAATATACATCCTCCCAAGATGAACTAGAAGAAATAGAAAACCTGAACAGACCAATAAGGAGTAGTGAAATTGAATCAGTAATTAAAAATCTCTCAACAGTAACAAAAAAGCCCAGGGCCAGATGGTTTTACAGCCAAATTCTGCTAAATGTTGAAGGAAGAACTGCTACCAATTCTACTAAAACTGTTCCAAAACATCAAGGAGGAGTGAATCCTCCCTAACTCATTCCATGAAGCCAGCATCACTCTGATACCAAAGCCAGACAAGGACACAACAAAAAAGAAAGCTATAGACCATTATTCCTGATGAACATAGATGCAGATGTCCTCAAAAAAATACTAGCAAACCAGATTCAGGAACGAATACACAAAGAAAATCCAGCATAATCAAGTGGATTTTATTCCAGAGATGCAAGGTTGGTTCAGCATACACAAATCAATAAATGTGATTCACCACATAAACAGAATTAAAAACAAAAAACTATGTGATAACATCAATAGATGAAGGAAGAGCATTCAATAAAATCCAGCATCACTTCATAATAAAAACCCTTACCCAACTAGGCATAGAAGGAACATACCTCAAAATAATAAAGGCCGTATATAACAAACCCACTGCCAACATTTTACTGAATGAGGAAAAGTTAAAAGCATTCCCCCTAATAACAAGACAAGGATACCCAGTTTCACCACTGCTGTTCAACATAGTCCTAGAAATCCTAGCTATAGCAATCAGGTAAGAGAATGAAATAAAAGGCATCCAAATTGGAAAAGAGGAACTCAAATAATCTCTACTGTTGATATGTTTCTATACCTAGAAAACCCTAAAGATTCCTTCAAAAGACTGCTAGATTTGATAAATGACTTCAGTAAAGTTTCAGGATACAAAATCAACATACAAAAATTGCCATTTCTGTACACCAATAACAATCAAGCTGAGAACAAAATCAAGAACTCAATCCCATTTATAATGGCTATGAAAATAATAAAATACCCAGGAATACATTTAACCAAGGAGGTGAAAGATCTCTACAAGGAGAACTACAAAATACTGATGAAAGAAACCATATATAACACAAATAAATGGAAAACATACCATGTTCATGGATCAGAAGAATAAATATTGTTGAAATGAGTATAATACTGAAAGCAATCTACAGATTTAAGGCAATTCCTATAAAATTACCAATGTCATTCTTCACAGAATTAGAAAAAATAATAGTGAAATTTGTACAGAACAATAAAAAGAGCCCAAATAGCCAAAGTAAACTTAAGCAAAAAGAATAAAGCTGGAGAAACCACATTGCTAGACTTCAAATTATACTACAAGGCTATAGTAACCAAAACAGCATGGTACTGGTATTTTAAAAAGACACTTAGATTGATAGAAAAGAATAGAGAACCAAGAACTAAAGCCACATACCTACAACTAAGTGATCTTTGGCAAAGTCAACTAGAATATACACTGTGGAAAGGACACCCATTCAATAAATGGTACTGGGAAAACTGGAGAGCCATATGCAGAAGAATGAAACTGGACCCCTATCTCTCACCAGATACAAAATTAACATGGGTTAAAAACTTAAATGTAAGACCTCAGACTATAAAAATCCTGAAAGAGAACCTAGGAAAAACTCTTCTGGACATTAGGCAAAGAATTTATAACTAAGTTGTCAAAAGGAAATGCAGCAAAAACAAAAATAGACAAATAGGACGTAATTAAATGAAAAGTTTCTGAAGAAATAATCAACAGAGTAAACAGAGAATCTATGTAATGGAAGAAAACATTTGCAAACAATGCATCTGACAAAGGGCTAATATCCAGAATCTACAAGAAACTCAAACAACTCAAGAAGAGAAAAACAAATAACCCCATTAAAAAGTGGGCCAAGGACATGAACAGACATTTCTGAAAAGAAGACATACAAGAAGGCAGCAAACAGCCGGGCGCGGTGGCTCACGCCTGTAATCCCAGCACTTTGGGAGGCCGAGACGGGCGGATCACGAGGTCAGGAGATCGAGACCATCCTGGCTAACACGGTGAAACCCCGTCTCTACTAAAAATACAAAAATTAGCCAGGCATGGTGGCGCATGCCTGTAGTCCCAGCTACACGGGAGGCTGAGGCAGGAGAATGGCGTGAACCCGGGAGGCGGAGCTTGCAGTGAGTCGAGATCGCGCCACTGCACTCCAGCCTGGGCGACAGAGCGAAACTCCGTCTCAAAAAAAAAAAGAAGGCAGCAAACATATGAAAAAAAGTCCTCAACATCACCAATCATCAGAGAAATGTACATTAAAACCACAATGAAATAGCATCTTACTCCAGTCAGAATAGCTATTATTACAAAGTCAAAAAACAGATGTTGACAAGGATGCAAAGAAAAGGAAATTATTTATACACTGTTAATGGGAATGTAAATTGGTACACCTTTATGAAAATGGTGTAGAGATTTCTCAAAGAACTAAAAATAAGACTACCATTGAACCGCAATCCCATTATTGAGTATCTGCTCAAAGGAAAAGAAGCCTTTTTATCAAAAAGACACCTGCACTAGTATGCTTATTGCAGCGCTATTAACAATAACAATGCCGCGGAATCAACCTAAGTGTTCATTAGTGAAGAATGAAATCATGTCTTTTGCAGTAACATGGATGGAACTGGAGGCCATTATCTTAAGTGAAACAACTCAGACACAGAAAGACAAATACCGCATGTTCTCACAATTGGGAGCTAAACAATGTGTACACATGGAAGCAGAATATGGAATGATGGACAATAGAGTATCAGAGGGGTGGGGAAGTGGTGAATGATGGGAGCTTGCTTGGCTGATACAGTGTGCCTTGCTCTGGTGATGGATGCACTGAAAGCCCTGACTTCACCACAGTGCAATATATCAATGCAGCAAAATTGCACTTGTAACCCATGAATATACACAACAAATAAATAAAGTTGAATGAGGTGGAGAAATTATAAGTTATATCTCAATGTTGTTTTGTTTCAAACAACAATTGAAACATTGTAAAATTGTTTGAAAATTTGTTTCAAAAATACAATTTCAAATTTGAATGGTTAAATTTGTGTTAACCATTTATAGGTCTTCTTCATAGCTTTCTTTTTCCCTAATTCTCTTATGTTAAACATTTCAAAGTGCTTAAAATTATTTTTTAAAAGACTGCTTATTCAGATAATAATTCAAAAAGCAAGATGGACATAGTGGTGCAAGCCTATAGTCCCAGCTACTCAGGAGGCTAAAGGGGGAGGATTGCCTCAGCCCAAGAGTTCTAAACCAGCCTCGACAACATAGCAAGACCTCGTCTAAAAAAAAATCAAAAAGCAGATAATTTTAAATTCTGCATAGGCCTGTCAAGAGGGTAATATTGGCCCTCTTGACATCTCTTCCCCTTTGACTTGTAATATTTTGTGATTACCTAATGGTACACAAACTTGTTTGAAGCTCTCAGAATTGGTGTTTTCATAGATACACATTACTAATTTCCAAATATGTGTTGAAACTATTGCTATTGGAGAGAAGCAGGAAGACAAGAATTTAGCAGAATTCTCTAAGCACCTGCAAAGTTTGTTTTGTTGTTTTGACTCCATGCTTCCTACTGCCATCAGTAGGAACCATCTCAGTACCTTTTAGCTCTCACACTGAGAAATGAAAGCAGAAGAGAAGTGAAGGGTGTTGTCACTGAAAAGGCAAGCTGGACCAGGAGCTTTCTACTTAGAGTGGTCCAGGCATCATTATCACCTGGAAGCATGTTAGAAATGTAGACTCTAGGGCCATTCCCCAGACCTTCTGAATCATGATCTGTCCTCTGAGTAATGTATAGCAAAAATGTATTATTATATTTATTTCACAAAGTCTGTTCTTCCCTTTGTTAACTTTGGTTGTCGTTGTCTCATTAGAGACAGGGTCTGACACTGGTGCAGTGGCACAATTATAGCTTACTGCAACCTCAAACACCTGGGCTCAAGCAATCCTCCTGCCTCAGCCTCCTGTGTAGCTGATACTACAGGCATGCACCACTTCGCCCAGCCTCCATTCTTAACTTTTTAAACTTACGATTTTATTGCTTTAAAATTAAGTTTAGCTTTAAAAATTGTCACCCTTTTTTTTCCTTTTGAAAGAAGAACTCAAAAGATACTTGTTTAAGATCCACAAAAATTACATATCAAGGTTGCATCCTTGACTTGTCAAGCTATGATAGTAATATCAGTGTACAATTTTTCACAGGTAATGGAAGAAAACAAGGATAGGTTTCCTGGTGCCCCAAAATATGGAGGCTGGATTGTGGACAACTGCCCTATTGTAAAAGAATTGTGGATGGCCTTAATCAAGAAAGGAATTATACCTGATTTGGTCATCTATTTATCAGATACAGAAAACAATGGTTGGTAAATATTTATTATGTAAATTTGAAAGTGAAGTTTTGTTATTGATATTTTTGGTTAAATATAGAACGGACAACTCTCCACTCTTCCTAGATAGAAATACCCACCCCAGCAATCCCTGCAGGAACTAGAGGTACACAAAATGAGGCTTCCATATACTGAGAAGGTGGCCAGGAATAAGTGCCGGATGGTTGAATGTTCTAGCTGGCCGTTGTAATTTTTCTTTAAAGCTTACAGTTTAGCACGCACACACACACAATTAGAAGCTATAACTTCTAAATGAATAACATATAAGGCTGAGGGCAAAGACTAAATGTTAGTTCTTCTTCACCTCAAGTAGGAAAAATGAGGTACATAAATTTAGCAGAGCTAAATTTTAATTATTCTGTTTGCCTCTTAAAGTAAGATATTCAAAATGGGAATTGCCAGGGGAAAAATATAATATACTACCTCTTTTCATGTTTTACTTATTTCTACTGTATTCATACATACCTTTTTAAAAGAATTTAAGATGGTCTATTAATATTTTAAAGAATCTGGGCTCTATTTAGATACATGCTTAAAGGAAAATGTATTTAGATATAAGCAGAAATAATGTTTGTGTTAATCTTCAAAATACATCTCACTGTATTTTATAAGCTACAAAAGTAATATTAGTCTCCTTATCTGTATTTCAGGAAAATGTTTATTTAATAGAATATATTTACAGAAGAAATCTGAAATTGACTCTAAGATTTTAGAAAGATTATTAGAAGAACTACAAAAGAAAAAAAAAGAAGAAGAAGAAGCAAGGTAAAATCTGCCTAGAATGATAAAACAGATTAATGTATCTGTTATAGCAGTTAAATATCTTCTTGCAATTATACTTATAGAATATATTTAATATTGAAATGATAATTTATTATCTTGATCTGATTCTAGTTAATTTTAAGAAAAGCAGCGATTTCACAAATACTTCCAGAATCTCTAAAGCACACAGTTGTGATTTTTTCCCAGCCCATATCAAACTTATTCTAAATCAAGCATCTGCTCTTAAAAGACACTATTTAAAAAATGAGCATGGGTAAGATATATATATTGTTATATTTATCTGTGACTTAATTTTGTTAACTAGCATTTACAAATTGAAGAAACAACATCATAGGAAGCAGATGAAAATATATAGTACTTGTGCGACATGACTAAAATCCAAAGCCTGACTAAGTTCTACACATGGAAAGACCAGGCTAATTATTTATGTTTGACAGGTTTAACATTGAGGGCTTATTCTCTAATCTGGGTATAATGAATGACTTTTTAAAATGTGACCACACAGTTATCTGTTCATGGCAGGGGTCAATACTAAACTTTAATAAACTATAAGTCCTTCAGATTGAAGAATAAAATATTAAAAGAAACAATGACTTAGTTTGCTAATTGTTCTTCCTTACTAAAAAATTCTCTTTAAATACTTTACGTTTTAATTTGTCCACTGGGATTTCTACTATTCAAAGTAATAAAGGCCTAGACATTTAAGAATTAAATTTTTCTGTGTAAATCCATGGAACTTCCTACTATTGATGATGGCACCTATGGCTTTCTTAAATGCTGTTTCCTTTTCCCTTTCAAATATTAGCTATTTGAGCTGAGACTTAGGAGAGCTCTTTAAACCCTAGAAATGAAGAAGCTGGGAGGTGGATAATTACAGAGGTAGAGAGCAGTTTAACTGATATGTGTGCCAGAGGATTTTATTTTTTAGTGTTCATTATTCATTTAAGCTAGTCACTCCTTTAGAAATTTAACACACAAATATGTAAGATTTAGTTAAATTAGTTAATAAAATTATTATGTGATATATTGACCAAACAGTACTTTAATTCAGACAATAATTACAAACTTACTTATATTCCCTTTTAGCTTTGAAAACTTTTGTTACAAATCTACTAATTAGCTCCAATCAGCTATACTCAATCTACAGATCAGCTATAATCTGTTGATAATTAAGGAATTACTTAATCTTTTTCCAGTGTGTGAGAACTAGTCCAATCTTTGAGAACAGATGGAGATCTCAACATAAGAGTAAAACAAAGTTGATGTGATTTGTAGACTGGAGATCTGCTACATCTTAAATATATTAAAAATATGTATACCTTTAACTTTTTTTAAAAAGGAAAAGATATCTTCTCCACTTTCTGTCAATTCTACCTTCACCTCTTTAACCATATGGAATTCTCTAAGTTATTTTTATAATCAATCTTTACTTCTTTTGATTCTAAATTTTTACATCTTTATAAACTCCTTAATATCACCTGCCCAGATTGAAGCAGGCTTTTCTATGTTTTTATATGTTGATTTTTAAAATTCAACATGAGTTTTTCAAAACAAACTTTTTTCCTTTATACTTCAGAAATAAAATTTAAGATGGTTTTTAAAAAACTGTCAGACACTCACTTAAAGGCCTTATAGGTTGGTTAGAAAAGAGAGAAACTTAACAGGATTAAGAACTGCATCTTGATCAAATATCTAAAGACATGCTAAATTTTAAAACTTTTCCAGCATCAGTTTCCAAATATGCTAGTCAAATGGCAAGATAATTTCTGTCATATTGTTAGTCATTGGATCATCTATCCAAGTGGGTTACAGAAATTTCTAAGAACTGGCAGCAAAATTCTTCCTTGTTCTGTTCAGGTCTTAGATTCTCAGCAGCAACATACTTGATCCAGGATTTGGATAAGGAAGATGTCACAAAGAGCCCCATCTGAGGTACAGGCATAGCTTGGAAATATTGCAGGTTTGGTTCCAGGCCACCACAGTAAAGCAAGTCACATGAGTTTTTTTGCTTCCCAGTGCATATAAAAGTTATGTTTACACAATATTGTCATCTATTAAGTGTGCAATAGCATTATGTCTAAAAATGTATATACCTTAATTTTAAAATGCTTTAAAATAACATGGTGATGATCATCTGAGCCTTTAGTGAGTCAATCATTTTCCTGGTGGAAGGTTTTGCCTCAGTGTTGTTGGCTGCTGACCGATAAGGGTAGTGGTTGCCAAAGGTTGGGGTGGCTATGGAAATTTCTTAAACTAGGACAATGATGAAGTTTGTTGTATCTGTTTATTACTCTTTCTTTCCCAAAATATTTTTCTGTAGTATGTAATGTTGTTTGATAGCATTTTACCCACAGTAGAACTTCTTTCAAAATTGGAGTCAATCCTCTCAAACCCACCACTACTTTATCAACCAAGTTTATGTGGTATTCTAAATTTTTTGTTGTAATTTCAACAGTATTCACAGCATCTTCACCAAGAATAGATTCCATCTCAAGAAACCAATTTCTTTTCTCATCCATGAGAAGAACTCTTCATCTGTTCAAGTTTGATCATGAGATTGCAGCAATTTAGGCTTCACTTCTAATTCTAATTATCTTGCTATTTTCACTACATCTGCAGTTACTTCCTTCATTACAGTCCTGAACTTATTAAAGTAATCCATGAGGGTTGGAATCACCTTCTTCCAAATTCCTGTTAATGTGGATATTTTGACCTCCTCCCACAAATCATGAATGTTCTTAATGGCTTCTGCAATGGTAAATCCTTTCCAGAAGGTTTTCAATTTACTTTGCTCAGATCTATTAGAGGAATCACTATCTATGACAGCTGTAGTCTTATGAAATGTGTTTCTTAATAATTAGACTTAAAAGTCAAAATTACTCTTTGATCCATGGGCTGCGTTATGGATGTTGCATTAGCAGGCATGAAAACATTCATTCTCCTTATGTGTCTTCATCAGAGCTCTTGGGTGACTATCTGCATTGTCAATGGGCAGTAATATTTTGAAATTAATCTTTTTTTCTAAGCAGTAGATCTCAACAGCAGTTAAAATACTCAGTAAAGCATGCTGTAAACAGATGTACTGGCATCTAGGCTTTGTTCTATTTGTAGAGCACAGGCAGAGTAGATTTAGCATAGTTAATTAGGGGGCCTAGGATTTTTGGACTGGGAAATGGGCATTAGCTTCACCAGCTGCACAAGCCCTTAATAAGAGTGTCAGCCTGTCCCTTAAAGCTTTGAAGCCAGGCATTGACTTCTCCTCTCTAACTCTGAAAGTCCTAGATGGCATCTTCTTCCAATAGAAGCCTGTTTTGTTGACATTGAAAAATCTGTTGTTTAGTGTAGCCACCTTTGTCTATGGTCTTAGCTAGGTCTTCTAAATAACTTATTGCAGCTCCTACATCAGCACTTGCCTGCTTCACCTTGCACTGCATTTTGATGTTACAGAGATGGCTTCTTTCCTTAAGCCTCATGAACCAACTTCTGCTAGCTTCAAACTTTTCTTCTCCAGGTTCCTTGCCTCCCTCAGCCATCACAGAATTGAAGCGAATTAGGGCCTTGCTCCTGATTAGACTTTGGCTTAAGGGAATGTTGTGGCTGGTTTGATCTTCTAATCAGACCACTCAAAAACTTTCTCCATATCAATAGTAAGGCTGTTTTACTTTTGTATCATTAGTGTATTCACTGGAGTAGCACATTTAATTTCCTTGAAGAACATTTCTTTGGCATTCACAACTTGGCTAACTATTTTGCACCAGAGGCATAGCTTTTGGACTATCTCAGCCTTCAATATACCTTCCTCACTAAGCTTAGCCATTTCTAGCTTTTGATTTAAAGTGACAAATGTGGGGCTCTTTTTTTCACTTAAAAAGCTGGAGGCCATTGTAGGGTTATTAATTGGCCTCATTTCAATAGTATTGTGTCTTAGAGAATAGGGAGGCCTGAGGAGAGGGAGGGAGTCAAGGGATCAGCCAGTCAGTGGAGCAGTCACAACACCCACAGCATCTATCAATTAAGTTCACCGTCTTATATAGATGTGGTTCATGGTGCCCCAAACAATGATAATAGTAACATCAAAGGCCATTGATCACAGATCACTGACACATAATAATAATGAGGAAGTTTGAAATAGAGTTGCTTATTGCAGGGTTGCCACAAACCCTCAACTTGTAAAACAAAACAAAAAAACACAAAAAAAAACCACGATATCTGTAAAGCGCAATGAAGCAAAGCACAATAAGGCAAGGTATGCCTGCAGAATAACTGCCTGTTCACACACAGACAAAATGGGAAAGGAGTTCAGAAACAACACTCAGTAGCCTCAGAGGGCTGAGTCACGAGCAAAGAGAACTTGAATTACGCCAAGACTTCCGGCAGGAACACAGGATTTGGAATGCAGTGAGAGAATGTCCTCCATTAACAGGAAGCCGACCTGCTGGGAGAAGAGGTGTAGTAATGTCTTATGTGTAACTAGCTTTCAAAAGAAGGGAAAATGGATGCAAAGAACGCGGAGTATGAGAAAATAACAGGTCTGAGGAAAGCTGTGCCCCCAGTGTATGCTGCTGACATGAATGGGCTCTTCCTTAACCGATGAATACCTGATATAATTTTTTGTTAAAATTTTTTAAAGATTCAGTCAACATTCTTTTGTGTGTTTCTTTGTGCAGTAGTATTCCTGTTTCTGAGGGCTAAATTCCTAGATATAGATTTCTAGATCAAACATTTTAATTTTTAATAAATGTTGCCTTTCTCCAGCATTTTACTAACTTTCCGTCCACCTTTCTTTACCATCGTTAAGGCCGGTTTGGTGCTTCAATCCTAATGAAAAACAGATTCCCCCCAGGTTTTTAAGTCTCCATATTCCAGGTCTCTTTAAATTTCATCACTACTATGTTAAAAATAAAATAATTAGGGTTTTTTTCTTATTAGAAAGATAAATTTACAAATGTTCTGCTTATTCAATATAGAAAAAATTTTAATGCAAAAAGTTAAAGAAAACTTAAAACACTTATATGCCATCATCCATGTTGACCATTTGATTGGTTTTCTCCTAGACTTTTAATCCTCATTTATATGCATTCTAAATACCAAATTAAAATTATATTATACATACAGTTTTATATTTGACTTTTCTTACTTGACATTATATTGTGAACATTTACCATTAAATCAGAGGAAAAATGCTACAAATCCTTCCATTTGCCTTTTCAACATACAGTTAGGTAATCCTTTCTTATTTTTGACATGTTTCCTAATTAATAGACAAAGTTTTTCAAAGTATAACATTCCAGTTTTTCTCCCCCAGAAGAAAATGCTGAAAAGTAACTAGTCTCAACATGAGTAATTTAAAAATATACATTGTAAAGTAAGTATAATAAGATTTAATCTTTATTTTTAACACTATAAGCATTTAATCCTGTAATAGTGTGAGAAGTCTGAATTTCCAAAGATAATTAAATTTGAACCTTTTCATTTCAGAAAAGCCACAGAAGAGGAATTGAGACTCGAAGAAGAAAATCGAAGGCTACTGGAACTTATGAAAGTGAAGGCAAAAGGCAAGCACAGATTGCTATGACTGATGATGTGTCATGGTATTGTTACTGCAAGCAATTGCAGTATTTCAAGTGAATTATAGACTGGGTGATCACATTTCCCAATTTGTCCATGAGAGCCCAGGTTTATGCCTATATTCTTGAAGTCTTTATAGTACCTTTTATTCTTAAAGTGTTCCAGTTTGTATACTAAATAATATTGTTACTGAAGTAATGGATTCATAGGAAAATGACTCTTGACAGAGATACCTACTCATACACCCTCTGCAAGTGATACACAGCAGAATAGCACACACGGCTTGTCTTTAAATCATTGCTCTTGACACAGGTGACACACAGCTGTTGGAATTACTTCGTTAGAACCATCCTACAGGAGTTGAGAAGACAGCAAATCTCTTATTACCCACTTACTCTCTTTATGATTAAACTCCCATCTTCATTATATAACTCACTGTAACAGTTTAAGATTGGAGTTTTTCAGTGGACTTAAACTACACCCTAGAGCAAATAGATTTTACAGATAATTACAGAACATTCTACCCAACAACTGCAGAATATACATTCTATTCATCAGCACATGGAATATCCTCCAAGATAGATCACATAATAGGCCACAAAACAGGTCTCAGCGAATTTAAGAAAATCAAAATTATACCGAGTACTCTCTCAGACCACAGTGGAATAAAATTGGAAATAAATTCCAAACTATACGAATACATGGAAATTAGACAACCTGCTCCTGAATGTTCTTTAGGCCAACAATTAAATCAAGAAGGAAATTTAAAAATTATTTGAACTGAACAATAACAGTGACACAACTTATCAAAACTTCTGGGATACAGCAAAAGTGGTCCAAAGAGGTAAGTTCATAGTATTAAATGCTTACATCAAAAAGCCTGAAAGAACACAAATAGACAATCTAAGGTCACACCTCAAGGAACTAGAGAAGCAAGAACAACCCAAACCCAAACCCGAACCCAAGATCCCCAAAACAGAAGAAAAGAAATAATGAAGATCAGAGCAGAACTAAATAAAATTGAAACAAAAAAATAAATAAATAAAAGATAAATGAAACAAAAAGCTGGTTCTTTGAAAAGATAAGCAAAATTGATAGATCATTAGTGAGATTAACCAAAAAAAGAAGAGAGAAGATTCAAATAAGCTCAATTAGAAATGTAACAGGAGGCCAGGTGTGGTGGCTTATGCCTGTAATCCCAGCACTTTGGGAGGCTGAGGAGGGCGGATCACTTGAGGTCAGGAGTTCGAGACCAGCCTGGCCAACATGGCGAAACCCCAGCTCTACTAAAAATACAAAAATTAGCTGGGCATGGTGGCTCATGCCTGTAATCCCGCACTTTGGGAGGCTGAGGTGGGTGGATCACCTGAGGTCAGGAGTTCAAGACCAGCCTGGCTAACATGGTAAAACCCTGTTTCTACTAAAAATTTTTAAAAAATTAGCCAGGCGTGGTGGTGCACGCCTGTAATCCCAGCTACTTGGGAGGCTGAGGCAGGAGAATCACTTGAACCTGGGAGGCAGAGGTTGCAGTGAGCTGAGATCGTGTCACTGCACTCCAGTCTGGGCAACAGGCTATCTAAAAAGAAAAAAAAAAAGAGAAAGAAAGGAAGAAAAGAAAGAAAGAAAGAAAGAGAGAAAGAGAGAGAGAAGGAAAGAAGGAAAGAAAAAGAAAGAAAGAAAAAGAGAGAGGAAGGAAGGAAGGAAGGAGATATTACAGCCAATACCACAGAAACACAAAAGATCATTCAAGGCTACTATGAACACCTTTATGCACACAAACTAGAAAATCTAGAGGAGATGGATAAATTCCTGGAAGTAAACAACCCTTCTAGATTAAATCAGGAAGAAATAGAAGCCCCTAACAGACCAATAACAAGTAGCAAGATTGAAAACAGTAATTTAAAATTTTCCAACAAGAAAAGGTCCAGGACCAGATGGATTCACAGCTGATTTCTATCAGGTATTCAAAGAATTGGTACCAATCTTACTGAAACTATTCCAAAAGATAGAGAGAGAGGGAATCCTCCCTAAATCATTCTATGATGCCAGTATCACTCTAATACCAAAACCAAGAAAGGACATTAAAAAAAAAAGGAACCAGACCAATATCCCTGTTGAACATAGATGCAAAAATCATCAACAAAATACTAACTAAATTCAATAGCATGTCAAAAAGATAATACACCATGATCAAATGGGTTTCATACCAGGGATGGAAGGATGGTTTAACATACACAAGTCAATAAATGTGATACACTATGTAAACAGAGGTAAAAACAAAAATCTTATGATCATCTCAATAGATGCAGAAAAAGCATTTGACAAAATCCAGCACCCCTTTATGATTAAAACCCTCAGAAAAATGGGCATAAAAGGAACACACCTCAAGGTAATAAAAGCCATCTATGGCCGGGCACAGTGGCTCACACCTGTAATCCCAGCACTTTGGGAGGCCGAGGTGGGCCGATCACAAGGTTGGGAGATTGAGACCATCCTGGCTAACACGGTGAAACCCCGTCTCTACTAAAAATACAAAAAATTAGCCGGGCGTGGTGGCGGGTGCCTGTAGTCCCAGCTACTCAGAAAGCTGAGGCAGGAAAATCGCTTGAACCCAGGAGGTGGAGGTTGCAATGAGCTGAGATCATGCCACTGCACTCCAGCCTAGGTGACAGAGTGAGAGTCTGTCTCAAAAAAAAAAAAAAAGAAATCTATGACAAACCCACAGCCAACATTATACTGAAAGGGGAAAAGCTAAAAGCATTCCCACTGAGAACTAGAACAAGACAAGGATGCCCACTTTCACCACTGCTATTCAACATTGTACTGGAAGTCCTAGCTGGAGGAATCAGACAAAAGAAAGAAATAAAGAGCATTTAAATCAGTAAAGAGGAAGTCAAACTGTTGCTGTTCATTGATGATATGATCATATACCTAGAAAATTCTAAATACTCACCTGAAAAAGCTCCTAGATCTGATAAATGAATTCAGTAAAGTTTTGGGATACAAAATCAATGTACACAAATTAGTAGCACTGCTATGTAACAACAATGACCAAGCTGAGAATGAAATCAAGAACTCAACCCCTTTTACAACAGCTGCAAAAAAAAAAAAAAAAAGTATATATATGTATATACACCTAACCAAGGAGGTGAAAGATCTCTACAAGGAAAACTACAAAACACTGCTGAAAGAAATCATGAATGACACAAACAAATGAAAACACATCCCATGCTCATGGATGGGTAGAATCCATGAGCATGTGAAAATAACCATACTGCCAAAAGCAATCTACAAATCCAATGCAATTCCCATCAAAATACCATCATTATTCTTCACAGAACTAGAAAAAAAATCCTAAAATTCAAATGGAACACAAAAAGATCCCACATAGCCAAGGAAGACTAAGCAAAAAGAACAAATCTATAGGCATCACATTACCCAACTTCAAACTATACTTCAAGGATATAGTTACCAAAACAGCATGGTACTGCTATAAAAATTGGCACATAGACCAATGGAACAGAATAGAGAACCCAGAAATACAGTCAAATATTTACAGCCAACTGATCTTCGACAAAGAAAAAAACAAACAAACAAAACATAAAATGGAGAAAGGACACCCTATTCAACAAATGGTGCTGGGATAATTGGCAAGCCACAATGAAGAATGAAGCTGGATCTTTGTCTCTCACCTTATTCAGAAATCAACTGAAGATGGATCAAGGACTTAAATCTAAGACCTGAAACCATAAAAATTCTAGAAGATAACATCAAAAAACTATTATAGACATTGGCTTAGGCAAAGAGTTCATGCCCAAGAACCCAAAAACAAAAAGACAAATAGATGTGACTTAATTAAACTAAAAATCTTCTGCACAGCAAAAGAAATAATCAGCAGAGTAAACAGACAACCCACAGAGTGGGAGAAAATCTTCACAAACTACGCATCTGACAAAGGACTAATATCCAGAATCTAAAAGGAACTCAAATCAGCAAGAAAAAAAAATAATAATCCCATCAGAAAGTGGGTTAAGAACATGAATAGACAGTTCTCAAAAGAAGATATACAAATGGCCAGCGAATATATGAAAAAATGCTCAACATCACTAATTATCAGGGAAATGCAAATCAAAACCATAGTGACATACCACCTTACTCCTGTAAGAATGGCCATAATTAAAAAATCAAAAAATAATAGATGTTGGCATGGATGTGATGAAAGGGAAACAGTTTTACACTGCTTGTGGGAATGTAAACCAGTACAACACTATGGAAAACACTATGGCAATTCCTTAAAGAACTAAAAATAAAACTGCCATTTGATCCAGCAATTCCACTACTGGGTATCTACCCATAGGAAAAGAAATCATTGTTTGAAAAAGACACTTGCACACACACGTTTATAGCAGCACAAGCCTAAATGCCATCAACCGAGTGGATAAAGAACATGTGATATATATATATTCCATGGAATACTACTGAGCCATAAAAAGGAATGAAATAATGGTTTTTGCAGCAACCTGGATGGAGTTGGAGACCATTATTCTAAGTGAGGTAACTCAGGAATAGAAAACCAAACATTGTATGTTCTCACTTATAAGTGAGAGCTAAACTATGAGGGCACAAAGGCATAAGAATGATATAATAGACTTCGGGAATTTGCAGGGAAGGTGGGAGGGAGATGAGGAATAAAAGACTACACATTGGGTACAGTGTATAGTGCTTGGATGATAGGTGTACCAAAACCTCAGAAATCACCACCAAAGAACTTTTCCATGGAACAAAACACCACCTGTTCCTCAAAAACTTTTGGAATAAAAAAATTTTAAAAAGATAAGACAGATGTTAAAAAAAAGACTGGAGTTCTTAACCTAGGGTCTATGGGTAAAATTCAGGGGTGTGTGAACTTAATTGGAAAATAATTCCGAATTTATTTTCACTAACATTTAACTGAAATTTATTATTTCCTTCAATGTGCAATTAATATAGGCAACAAACCACAATAATATTAGCAATACTTTGACTTTGTCACCAAAAGAAATGAAGATGTTTTCATATCACATTATAGTTTTACATATCTTTATATGTTTATCACTGTTCCAAAATTGTGGTAGTTATTAAACCGGCTACTAGTTCTGGGTTGTTTGTTTGTTTGTTTGTTTTGAGCCAGAGTCTCATTCCATGACCCAGGCTGGAGTGCAGTGACACAATCTCAGCTCACTGCAACCTCCACCTCCTGGGTTCAAGCGATTCTCCTGCTAAGCCTCCTGAGTAGCTGGGGCTACAGGTGTGTGCCACCACACCCAGCTAATTTTTGTATTTTGTATTTACATTTAATATATTGATTAATATACTACATGATTTATTATTTTTAGTTAGCTGTAAGAAAATCAATCATTATATATATAATCTAACCTGGTGCTACCCATTAGAAACATAATATAAGCCACACATGGAACTTTAAATTTTCTAAAAGTCACATATTTTATATTTAGTTTTTCATATTAAATCTTTAAAATTCACTGTATGTTTTATACTTACAGTATATATCAATTTGGACTAGCCTCATTTCAAGTACTCAATAGCCACATGTAGCTAGTGGCTACTATATTGAATGGTGCTGATGTAGCCATTTCTTTGGACATTGGGCTATTTCTAGATTTACTGTAAGGATGTTTGGAACTGCCACAAACATTTCATTTTTGAATGAACCCCTAGTCTGGTACTCATACAGAACTCTGAGCAGATGACTATCATCCTTTACCACTACATGTGAATAGCTATAATAAATAGATAATTTTTCTATCTCCCCCATTAAACTACATACTCTAGGAGGGCAGGGACCATTTCATATTCTTTGTTTGGCTTCAGCACTTATCAACACCCAATAAATATTTGTTGACTTCAACCAAATGATAATTTATTTCTTCAAATTTTTTTAGAAGCTGAAGAGACTGATAATGAGGATGAAGAGGAGATTGAAGGTGATGAGTTGGAAGTTCACGAAGAGCCTGAGGCATCTCACGATACCCGAGGGTCATGGTTACCTGAGGAGTTTGAAGCATCTGAGGTCCCTGAAACTGAGCCTGAAGCAGGTTAGACTTTATTGATAGCAAGTTCTTAATTCTACTCATGTGCATTAATGTGTCTGTTTGGGTATGTGTATGTATACCTGTTGGTAAAATGGAAGCTGGCTGAGAATGGAGAGATGAGCCCCCAGAGAGCAGCCATTGAGTCCAAATCCCACAGTTTGAAGTGTGGTAGGAAAGCAGAGGCTGCTCTGCCCCAGCACTGGCACACAGGAGCACAGCTGGCTATGTAATTTGTGGGGCATGTTGTTCAAAAAGCAGGAAAAAAGTGTCATTAAAGGTAGTAAAATATAACGGTTTTTCCTTTCTTCCATAGTCTGTCTCTCAATTTGTCATGCTATTTTTTTGTTTGCTATTTAATGTTGCTCTAAGTAAAGAAAAATTAAATTAAAATTTTAAATTATTAGCATGAATTTTACAGTTCATCTTTATGGTGTGCAATGCCATTTTTAAATGCAAATATAAGAGCATTTTAAATGTTAATATGAGAGCATTAACTCTTTAAGCCCTACCTCAGAGGTCTCATTTGGTGGATGGGGCAAGGCAAGAAGGAGTCTATAGGCAATGAAAACCACTCCAAGGACTAGAGAGTGGGCTTAAAGCAGGAACATAGGGTACCCACCTGTGGTGGGAATGAGGCTTGCAAATGCTTTCAAGCAGAGTTAGTATTGAATCTGAAATTCATCCTACAAACTAAAAGGTCTTCAGATACCTGTAACTGGATGCTAGTCTGGAGCAGTTAAGGGCCTGGAACTGCTGTGAGCTTATAAAAGAAGCAAGACTAAGGGAAATTAATGAAAATTACACAATTCATATTTCACAGCTCATATGTGCATGTGTTTCATTCTGACAAGTATATTAAGTATTATGCATATCTAAGAGCCCCAGGCTGGTTTGTTCACTTAAAAAGATATTGAAGCCCCAAGCATCTTCTTTCCTCCTGTACTTCTCTCCAGTATCTGACTCCATCCTCACGATCCATAGGTGGCTGCTGCATCCAGACACAATGTCTCCTCTTGCAAGCTTTTACTTTTTATTTCTAATTCAAGAAATAGATAGTTCACAGAGACTTTCACCTACATTTCATTGAGCAGAATATTGTATCGTCATCTACCCCTACTTGCAGGGAATCTGGGAATTTAATTTGGACTTGGCTTCCTTGCCTAGATGGTAGAAGCCAATGGAATAGAAGACGAGAGGGGGGTTGAGGGAGCCAACCAACAGTATCTACCATACTGCCTTTCCACAGATGCAGGTTGCAGGAATGCCTAGGCGCACATTCATTATTTCACCCAAGAAATAAGTAATCATCTGCTCAAATTCTTAAATGCTTAACTGAGACTTTAGAGTTTCACATAAAAGAGAAATATTGTTTCATAGTATAGGTGGTAGATCAGCTGTATCAGAATCACCTATGGTTCTTATTTTAAGGTAAGCCTCTGAGCTCTATGCAGGCTCTGGTTCAGTAAGTCTAGGATGGAATTTAGGAATCTACATTTTAATGAACACCCCAGTGATTCTTATACATACTAACAGTTGAGAACTACTGCTATAGGAAAAACATTCTGCCTGAAAAATAAGTTTTGTCAATTATTCCTTATATCATGGAAAAAGCACAGTAGCATACCTGAGAAAAATCTGATCCTGAAAATAAAAACTCTAGAATCATTTGGCTGTACACTGTATCTGCAGGTCAAAATTAATGAATATATTGAATAGAAATTTGAAAAATGTCTATTAAAGACAGTGATCGTAGTTTTGATACAGTTGATGTTGAACGGTGTGTTTCAAAATCATACATCCATCCAGGTTTGATAAAAATATGTGCTAACTATAGAAAATACAGAAATTATACAAATAGAAAGATGGGGGAAATCATCATTGATCTGACAACAAAAGGCAATGATACTTAACATTCTAATGTATTTCCTTTTAGCTTTTTTAAGAATGGTGTTTTGTTTTGTTTTTATCTAACTGTGATCCAATTAGACTTCGGCTTGAGAGAAAGGTTTCCTCTCGGACATTTTTAAAGTCCTACAAGAGAGTTATTTTCAATAAACAATAACTATATGGAAATTATTTGTTTATAAACTTCCTTCAGATAGCATTTTGGAAAGAGGCATAACTTCTCCACATTGTTGAATGCTCATGAGTGTGGCCAGTTTTGTCCAGTCCACTAGAACAGGCTGTGGATTTCTGTAGCTATGTGGTATTAGGATAATGATAATTCCATTTGGATTTCTCCCAAATTCCACATGACCCTATTCTTGAGATTTTAATTTTGATTCATCTCTTAGTCATCTGGTCTACATCTTTGAGCAACTTTTTAAGGATCCAGCGTGGCATATTTTGTAATTTTTCTGCAAATCTATTGCTTTCACATATATAAAACAACTTAGAGGCTATTAAATCATTGTCATAACCTTTTCTTCTCAGAATTCCTCATGTTGACATTGCTTCATTGTCTTCTACACATGGAAAAGTCAAGATATTCCCTCATTTCTGTTCTTTTCGTTCTTTTCCTACAGGGGTGCTCAAAGGATCCTTTTCAATGCCATTATTTGTTAAAACTTTGCTGGTATGTGAATGATTTACCCGGGAATTCATTGAGCTCTTCTTGTCTTCATATCACAATCTTTGTCTAGCTCAAAATGCCTTTCTTCAGTTATTGCTTCAGATTCCTTTTTCAGGATCATTTATTATTTTTGGTCAGATAACTATTGTTTCTCAACCACGTTAATCTTCTTTTTCCTGATAGTTCTCATCTCTTTGTACTTTTTCTCTGGATTCTTCAGAGACTTGTTATCCTCCATGTCACTGGTTTACCTTCTCCACCTTATTGCCTCTCTCCTAATGCATTAAAAAATTTTTTTATTTCAGTAGTTTTAGGGGTACAAGTGGGTTTTGGTTACATGGATGAATCACATATAGTGGTGAAGTCTGGGGTTTTAGCATACCTATCACTCAAATAGTGCATGTTGTATTCTATAGGTGGTTTTTCTTTTTTTTATTATTATTATACTTTAAGTTCTATAGAGGGTACATGTGCACAACATGCAGGTTTGTTACATGTGTATACATGTGCCATGTTGGTGTGCTGCACCCGTTAACTCGTCATTACATTAGGTATACCTCCTAATGCTATCCCTCCCCCCTTCCCCCACCCCACGACAGGCTCCAGTGTGTGATGCTCCCAACCATGTGTCCAAGTGTTCTCATTGTTCAATTTCCACCTATGAGTGAAAACATGCAGTGTTTGGTTTTCTATCCTTGTGATAGTTTGCTGAGAATGATGGTTTCCAGCTTCATCCATGTCCCTACAAAGCACATGAGCTCATCCTTTTTAATGGCTGCATAGTATTCCATGGTGTATATGTGCAACATTTTCTTAATTCAGTCTATCATTGATGGACATTTGGGTTGGTTCCAAGTCTTTGCTATTGTGAATAGTGCAACAATAAACATACGTGTGCATGTGTCTTTATAGCAGCATGATTTGTAATCCTTTGGGTATGTGCCCAGTAATGGGATGGCTGGGTCAAATGGTATTTCTAGTTCTAGATCCTTGAGGAATCGCCCCATTGTCTTCCACAATGGTTGAACTAGTTTACAGTCCCACCAACAGTGTAAAAGCATTCCTATTTCTCCACATCCTCTCCAGCACCTGTTGTTTCCTGACTTTTTAATGATTGCCATTCTAACTGGTGTGAGATGGTATCTCATCGTGGTTTTGATTTGCATTTCTCTGACGGCCAGTAATAATGAGCATTTTTTCATGGGTCTGTTGGCTGCAGAAATGTCTTCTTTTGAGAAGTGTCTGTTCATATCCTTTGCCCACTTTTTGATGGGGTTGTTCGATTTTTTCTTGTAAATTTGTTTAAGTTCTTTGTGGATTCTGGATACTAGCCCTTTGTCAGATGGGTAGATTGCAAAAATTTTCTCCCATTCTGTAGGTTGCCTGTTCACTCTGATGGTAGTTTCTTTTGCTGGGCAGAACCTCCTTAGTTTAATTAGATCCATTTGTCAAGTTTGGCTTTTGTTGCCATTGCTTTTGGTATTTTAGTCATGAAGTCCTTGCCCATGTCTATGTCCTGAATGGTATTGCCTAGGTTTGTTTCTAGGGTTTTTATGGTTTTAGGTCTAACATTTAAGTCTTTAATCCATCTTGAATTAATTTTTGTATAAGATGTAAGGAAGGGATCCAGTTTTAGCTTTCTACATATGGCTAGCCAGTTTTCCCAGCACCATT
Source organism: Homo sapiens (assembly GCF_000001405.40). Taxonomy (NCBI): domain Eukaryota; kingdom Metazoa; phylum Chordata; class Mammalia; order Primates; family Hominidae; genus Homo; species Homo sapiens. The sequence goes on along the minus strand of NC_000006.12, from coordinate 109,569,198 downwards.
TATTAAATAGGGAATCCTTTCCCCATTTCTTGTTTTTGTCAGGTTTGTCAAAGATCAGATGGTTGTAGATGTGTGGTATTATTTCCAGGGGCTCTATTCTGTTCCACTGGTCTATATCTCTGTTTTGGTACCAGTACCATACTGTTTTGGTTACTGTAGCCTTGTAGCATAGTTTGAAGTCAGGTAGGATGATGCCTCCCACTTTGTTCTTTTGGCTTAGGATTGTCTTGGCAATACGGGCTCTTTTTTCATTGCATATGAACTTTAAAGTAGTTTTTTCCAATTCTATGAAGAAAGTCATTGGTAGCTTGATGGGGATGGCATTGAATCTATAAATTACTTTGGGCAGTATGGCCATTTTCACAATATTGATTCTTCCTATCCATGAGCATGGAATGTTCTCCCATTTGTTTGAATCCCCTTTTATTTCATTGAACAGTGGTTTGTAGTTCTCCTTGAAGAGGTCCTTCACATCCCTTGTAAGTTGGATTCCTAGGTATTTTATTCTCTTTGAAGCAATTGTGATTGAGAGTTCACTCATGATTTGGCTCTCTGTTTGTCTGTTATTGGTGTATAGGAATGCGTGTGATTTTTGCACATTGATTTTGTATCCTGAGACTTTGCTGAAGTTGTTTATCAGCTTAAGGAGATTTTGGGCTGAGACGATGGGGTTTTCTAAATATACAATCATGTCATTTGCAAACAGGGACAATTTGACTTCCTCTTTTCCTAATTGAATACCCTTTATTTCTTTATCTTGCCTGATTTCCCTGGCCAGAACTTCCAACACTATGTTGAATAGGAGTGGTGAGAGAGGGCATCCCTGTCTTGTGCCAGTTTTCAAAGCGAATGCTTCCAGTTTTTGCCCATTCAGTATGATATTGGCTGTGGGTTTGTCATAGATAGCTCTTTTTATTTTTAGATACGTCTCATCAATAACTAGTTTATTGAGAGTTTTTAGCATGAAGCGCTGTTGAATTTTCTTGAAGGCCTTTTCTGCATTTATTGAGATAACCATGTGGTTTTTGTCTTTTGTTGTGTTTATATGCTGGATTACGTTTATTGATTTGTGTATGTTGAACCAGCCTTGCATCCCAGGGATGAAGCCAACTTGATCGTGGTGGATAAGCTTTTTGATGTGCTGCTGGATTCGGTTTGCCAGTATTTTATTGAGAATTTTTGCATCCATGTTCATCAGGGACATTGGTCTAAAATTCTCTTTTTTTGTTGTGCCTCTGCCAGGCTTTGGTATCAGGATGATGTTGGCCTTATAAAATGAATTAGGGAGGATTCCCTTTTTCTTTTTTTTTTTTTTTATTTTACTTTAAGTTCTAGGGTACATGTGCACAATGTGCAGGTTTGTTACATATGTATACATGTGCCATGTTGGTGTGCTGCACCCATTAACTCGTCATTTGCATTAGGTATATCTCCTAATGCTGTCCCTCCCCCCTCCCCCCACCCCACAACAGGCCCCAGTGTGTGATGTTCCCCTTCCTGTGTCCAAGTGTTCTCATTGTTCAATTCCCACCTATGAGTGAAAACATGCGGTGTTTGGTTTTCTGTCCTTGCGATATTTTGCTGAGAATGATGGTTTCCAGCTTCATCCATGTCCCTACAAAGGACGTGAACTCAGAGGATTCCCTTTTCCCATTGATTGGAATAGTTTCATAAGGAATGGTACCAGCTCCTATTTGTACCTCTGGTAGAATTCAGCCGTGAATCTGTCTGGTCCTAGACTTTTTTTGGTTGGTAGGCTATTAATTTTTGCCTCAATTTCAGAACCTGTTATTGGTCTATTCAGGGATTCAGCTTCTTCCTGGTTTAGTCTTGGGAGGGTGTATGTGTCCAGGAATTTATCCATTTCTTCTAGATTTTCTAGTTTATTTGCGTAGAAGTGTTTATAGTATTCTCTGATGGCAGTTTGTATTTCTGTGGGATTAGTGGTGATATCCCCTTTATCATTTTTTGTTGCATCTATTTAATTCTTCTCTATTTTCTTCTTCATTAGTCTTGCTAGCAGTCTATCAATTTTGTTGATCTTTTCAAAAAACCAGGTCCTGGATTCATTGATTTTTTGAAGGGTTTTTTATGTCTCTATCTCCTTCAGTTCTGCTCTGATCTTAGTTATTTCTTGCTTTCTGCTAGCTTTTGAATTTGTTTGCTCTTGCTTCTCTATTTCTTTTCATTGTGATGATAGGGTGTCAATTTTAGATCTTGCCTGCTTTCTCTTGTGGGCATTTAGTGTTATAACTTTCCCTCTACACACTGCTTTAAATGTGTCCCAGAGATTCTGGTATGTTGTGTCCTTGTTCTCATTGGTTTCAAAGAACATCTTTATTTCTGCCTTCATTTCGTTATGTACCCAGTAGTCATTCAGGAGCAGGTTGTTCAGTTTCCATGTAGTTGAGTGGTTTTGAGTGAGTTTCTTCATCCCTATAGGTGGTTTTTCATCCCTCACTCCCCTCTTACCCTGCTCCCTTCTGAGTCTCCAGTGTCCATTATACCACTCTGTATGCCTTTGCATACACATGGCTTAGCTTCCACTTGTAAGTAAGAACATTCCCAATGCATATGTTAACTCTACTATTGCATTTTAGATTTCCTTGCATTGTTTTCTTATTTCAGTTACCCTTCCTGTATTTCTGCCTTTATTTTAATCTATCTTTATGCCTCGTGATTTTTATTTCATAGACTCAGTTGTTATCTTGTGTTTTTTAGTACTCCAAGCATACATCTTGTAAAATTTACTCTGCTTTATATAAGAAATTGTCTTCAGAAGTAAAATTTTCATCTGAATCTTTGGATCAATACTCTCTTTTGCTTCGTCGATTTTGTTTTTGTTGTTTTTGTGGACTTATTCTTGGATGAAGCAGAATATATCCAACTCTTGCATTTACCAACAGGAAGGGTAGGTAGAGTATTTATAAGAACTCTGTCCCCCTACCCTGACTCCCACACACGTGTACTTTTCACTTAGACTTCTTGCCTGGCATTCTCAGATATAGACCTGTTATATCTGATATAGGTTAATGCAAATCAACCTAGTTCAAGTTGTAATATTTAGTAAGTACTCATCTTGTATGGCTCTTCTAGACTGAGGCTAGATCTTCACCCCCAACTATTGCAGTCTTTGATTAAGCCAGAGAAGCTAAGGCATTGTAGAATTATCTGTATATTCTTGGTGTTCTTTTCTCTTCCATGGTTTGTAATGATTTTCTTAATTGAGCAACCTACAATTAAACATGCCACCACCAGGCCAGTCCCAGGCTTGTCCCCTTCTACTTCCTGCTCTATTGAGTATTAAACATTATAGATCCTGTTGAAAGAGGACCCAAGTATTATTTTAGCTAACTCAGAAGACAGTTTCCACCGTGTTGCAGAATGTGTGTGTGTATATACATACGTATATATGCATATAGATATATGTACTTTTGTCTATGCAAAACTTGTGTTTCAGAACTAGGAGCAGACTAGGATGAAAAGACAGATAATTAGTCCTGCCTTCCCTGAAACTACCTCTGCTGGATCTGTATGTGCAGCATGTCTTACATCCTTCAGGAAAACAGTTTTCAACCTATATCTTCAACCGTGAAATTAGTTGAGAGTCTCTTAAATCTCTCCATGCCTACACCTACAGCTGGGACTTTGCAATATCATCATCTCTCACTGCCAGTTTGTGGTCTTTTTTGGTGTATCTTCTTGAAAAAAAATTTTTTTTTAAAGAGATGGTGTCTTGCTCTGTCACCCAGACTGGTGTGCAGTGGCACGATCATAGCTCCCTGTAACTTGAACTCCTGGGATCAAGTGATCTTCCCACCTCAGCCTCCCATGTAGCTAGGACCACAGGTGTGAGCCACCATGCCTGGCTAATTTTTATTTTTTGTAGGGATGTGGTCTTGCTGTGTTGCCTAGGCTGGTCTTGAACTCCTGGCCTTAAGTGATTCTCCCACCTCTGCCTCCCAAAGGCTAGGATTACAGGCACAATTCACTATGCCTGGCTTCATGGGTATTTTTAATAAGAAATTAAAAGGAATATCAGGCATTGTTAGTCTACTGCCAAATTAAAAGAAGTTTGATTAATATTTAACAAATTATCAGCCAGAATTGTATGTGCCATGTGTCAATTATTATTCTAGTCCATGTCCTTTTATGTGTTTAAGAATATTCTTTATTTTCTGCCTTTTTTATTATGTATTCTTATGCCGTTCTTTCCCTAACAAGAACTTTGCTTTCTATTAGGCATTTCATATACAATTTAAGCTATATTTTGAAATGTTCTTTGTGCCAAAACTTTCATAAAGGAATAATGTTTTCAAATTTAAACACTAACTATTCGATTTCTTTCTTAAGTATCTGAGCCTATCGAGGAAACTACAGTGGAAACAGAAATCCCAAAAGGATCCAAAGAGGGCCTGGAAATTGAAAAATTATCTGAAACAGGTTAGACTGTAAAATGAAAGTAGTTCTTGCATAAAAGTACTTTTCATATTTTCTTACAAAGGGTCCCTAATTTTAGGCATAGTAGGTGCGTCATACTTATTTCTTTCTATGTTGTATGCTAATTGACATACATAAATATTTGGCTTACTCCATTAAAAGTGTATCAAACTAGATTATAACACTGGTTTTTACACAAATTTGTTTTATACATTTTTTATTAACCGTTAAAGTTTCCTTAAGAAACTCATGTTAATTATCCAAAAGCTTGAGTTTTAGTAACAGGTAAATATATATCTACAGCAAATATAAGAACAAAGCATAATTAAATTATGAATTTATGAATGTATATTGTTGCTTAGAATATTATTTTTTTAACTGTTTAAAAAAATTGCAAAGTATAAGCTATTTTGGCAATATGGCTAAAGATAGGATATTTAAAGCCCCTTTTTTCTTTCCTTTGTCTTTTACTCCAAAGTTGTACTACCTGAGTTTCCAGAAGACTCTTATCCTGATGTTCCCGAAATGGAGCCATTTAAAGAGAAGATTGGTTCTTTCATCATCCTCTGGAAACAGCTAGAAGCAACAATTAGTGAGGCTTACATTAAAATTTTAAACTTGGAGATTGCTGACAGAACTCCACAGGAATTACTTCAAAAAGTAGTTGAGACTATGGAAAGTAAGGGCTTTAATCATAACATTTATTATCAACAGCAGGTGATAGTATTAGAAGCATTTTGAAACTTGAAAGCCTTCTTTGATGGTTTATGAAGTAAATGTTCAGTATATCCAAGGCTGATGTATAAAATACTTAGCAACTATCACTGTGCAGGTCCTGACCAATCAGAACAGCTATGTGGCCCAAACACCTCTGGCCATACTGGCCAGTTGTCACGTAAGGAACTTATAAAGGCCTATTTGCATACATATTTAATCTAAGAGACTAATAATAATAATAATCAATTTTCCCAACATTTGACTATAGTAATATGCTAATAACCTTTTTTACTAAAAATATTTTCCCCAATGATTCTCTTTTTCTCCAGAACCATTTCAATATACTGCATGGGAGTTAACTGGGGAAGATTATGAGGAAGAAACAGAAGACTACCAGACTGAAGCAGAGGTTGATGAGGAGCTAGAGGAAGAGGAAGAGGAAGAGGCATGATTCTTTTATTTCTACTCATTCTCATTTGTGAAGTCATTGAAAATATGCAAATAAGAGTGGTAACTATCACTTTTGGACCCCAAGTGAACAGACATTCTCATTTGCACACACATTCTCCCTCTGCCTCAGCTTCACTTGACCCCCCTGAAATTCCAGGCTATGTAGTATGAAAAAAGACTCATGAAAAGATAAAAGGAAACTATTTTGCATGGAAAAAAAGTTTAAGTTTTAAATACATAAATATTGTATAAATTTAGCAGAAGTGGTTGTTGTAAGTAAAAGAGGCTGCTTGCATGATAATAATGTGCAGTGTTCTCAGTTAGGAGTAACCCATATTCAGGCCCCATCCACTCCCTTGGCATCAGAATTTGGACAACCATTCTCATTTGATAGCTGCCCAGTTCAGACATCTATCAGTAATGAAACAGGAAGCAGTTCTTTTCATTTGAAGCTTTATAAGTAAAAAGTAATATTATTAAGTTATATAAACATAGACTTGTGATTAACTGGGTTAAGTTGCCTGACTTAAACCCAAATATATATGTGTCAAACAACAAACAATATGTAGTGTGATTCTGATAACAGCTTTTAGTACTTTATCACTAAGGAACTGGAGAGCCTTTCTTTGGGATGGCTAAAGGATGCGGGTTTTGTCCCACTCAGATTCAGATTCTTTTCTTTCATCATCCATCCTCTGCCATGTCTGCTGTTGTTCTTCTGTGTCCCACTCTGGTGCACCATAAAATGGTCTCTGGTATCCGCAGACAATTATCAGGCCGGCTGTAATACTCAAAGCTTATATTTTAAAGTATAGTCTTCATTAATAATATTAAAAAAAAACCCTCCCAATTCACAGAGCATTGGGTAGGGTACTAACAAGAGCCTAGCCTTAGGAATGGGGAATAACTAGACCTAGCATAAATGAAACTTTGGCCCCCCCATCAAAAAGCAAGAGCCAAAAGGATCAAACTGCTTCCAAGTAATTTAACTGTGTCCAAGAGCAATGCTCAAGAATATTTATGGGAATATAAAGTAAAATTCTAGCAGTCACTGAAGGATTGTGTGACCTGCAAACAGGCAGAAAAATATGACTCACAATGAGGAGAAAAAGTAATCAACTGAAATGGATTCAGAACTGACGAAGGTGTTCTTAGAATTAGATGACAAGGACGGTAAAACAGTTGTTATTCTATATGTTCAAAAAGTTAAACAGAGATATAGAAGATATAATAAATACCTAAGTTGAACTTTTAAGATTGAGAAGTACAATATATGAAATGAAATATACATTAATGGTATGACCATAGTTTAGCCACTGCAAGAGAAATAGCAATAGAAACTATCCGAAATGAAACAACAGAGGAAAAAGATTCTGAAAAAAAATGAGAAGAGCATCAGTGATCTGTGGGACAACTTCAAGCAGCCTATTATACAGAATGCTTGGGACCAGAAGTGTTTCTGATTTTAGACTTTTTCAGATTCTTGAATATTTGCACAATATATACCAGTTGAGCATTTTTAATCTGAAATCCAAAATGCTACAGTAAGCATTTTCTTTGAGTGTCAGATCACTGCTCAAGAAGTTTCAGAGTTTAGAGCATTCCAAATTTCAGATTTGGGGATTAGGGATGCTCAACGTGTACATATAGTTCAGATCTACAAAAAGTATGTGTGAGGGGAATTGAAGAGAAAATGGCCAAGTTTTTTCTAAATTTTGAAAAAAATTACAAACTCTCAGATTCAATATGCCCAATAAATAAATATGCTCAAGCACAAGAAACATGAAGAAAATATTATAATAGCACCAAGTACATCATATTATTCAAATTGCTCAAAACTAGTTTTAAAAATAAAGGAGAAAACATATGCCACATACACAGGAACAAAGATAAGGATAACAGCATATTTCTCATCAAAAACAATGCAAGAAGAGAGTGGAGCAACATCTTTAATGTATTGAAGGGAAAAAAAAATGTCAGCCTGGCACAGTGGCTCATGCCTGTAATCCCAGCACTTTGGGAGGCCAAGGCAGGCACATCACTTCAGCTCAGGAGTTCAAGAACAGCCTGGGCAACATGGCGAAACCCCATCTCTACAAAAAATACAAAAATTAACCAGGCATGGTGGTGCACACCTGTAGTCCTGGCTACTCAGGAGACAGGTGGGAGGATCGCCCGAGCCCAGGAGGTCGAGGCTTCAGTGAGCTGAGATCACACCTCTGCACTCCAGCCTGGGCAACAGAGTGAGACCCTGTCTAAAACAAAACAAAACAAAACATAAAATAAACTGTCAACCTAGGATTCTAAGTCCACTGAAACTCTCTTTTAAAAACGAAGGCAAGCTGGGCATGGTGGCTCACGCCTGTAATCCCAGCACTTTGGGAAGCCGAGGCAGGCGGATCATGAGGTCAGGAGTTCAAGACCAGCCTGACCAACATGGTGAAACCCCGTCTCTACTAAAAATACAAAAATTAGCCAGGTGTGGTCATGCGCACCTGTAATCCCAGCTACTCAGGAGGCTGGGGCAGGAGAATCGCTTGAACCTGGGAGCCGGAGGTTGCAGTGAGATCATGCCATTGCACTCCAGCCTAGGCAACAAAGTGAGACTCTATCTCAAAAAATAAAAATAAAAAAATAAAAACAAAGGCAAACTGAAGACTCTGTTAGACATACAAAAGCTGAAAGAAAGCAGCCAGACACAGGTGGCTTCCCTGATGAATTCTGCCAAATCTTGAAGAAAGAAAGAAAACCAATTCTATACAAACTGTTCCAGAAAATTGAAGAGGAGAGAATACTTCCTAGTCATTCTATGAGATCAGCATTATTCTGATACCAAAACCAAAGACATTAAAAGCAAGGAAAGAAAAACAAACTGCAGTCTAACATCACTCATTAATATAGATATAGACATTCTTAACAAAATTTTAGCAAATCAAATCCAAAAATACACAAAAAGAATAATACACCATGACCAAGTGGGGCTTATCTTGGAAATTCAAGGTTAGTTTAACGTTTGAAAAGCAATCAATGTAATTCATCATATTAACAAACTGAGGGGAAAAACCATGATCACCTCAATAGATATGGAAAAAGCATTTGACAAAATTCAAAATCTATTACTGGTAAGAAAAAAAAATGAAGGGAACTTCCTTAGCTTGATAAAGGGGATCCACAGAAAGTCTCTAACAGCTAATGTCATACTTAAGGGTAAAAGGCTGAATGCTTTTTTCCTAAGATCAGGACAAGGAAAGGATGTTCATTCTCACCACTTCTATTCAACACTATACTGAAGGTTTGGTTACTGCATTCAGACAAGGAAAAGAAATAAAAGGCATTCAGATTGAAAAAGAAAGATGCAACTATCTTTATATGTAGGAGATAAGATTTTCTATTGTGATAGGCTGAATAATGGCACGCCAAAGAAGTTCATGTCCTAAGCTGTGAATTGACACTTGTGAATGTTACCTTATATGGCAAAAAGGATTTTGCAGATATGACTAAATTAAGGATCCTGAGATGAGGGAGTTATCATGGATTATCCACGTGGACCAATGTAATCACAAAGGTCCTTGTAAGAGGAAGACAGGAAGTCAGAGAGAAGGTGCTTTTAAGCCGGCTTTGAAGATAGAGAAAAGGACCATGAGCCAACCCTAGAAGTGGAGAAGCAGGAATGGATTCTCTCCTGAGGCCTCCAGAAAGAATTAACCCTGCCAACAAATTCACAGTAGCCCCATAAAACTCTCTGGGATTCTGATCTCCAAAACTGTAAGAAAATACATGTTTGTTGTTTTAAGCCACTATATTTGTGGTAATTTGTTAAGCAGCATTATGAAATTAATACATCTATGTAGAAAAGCCAATGGAATCAACAAAAAAAGCTACTAATAATTGAATTTAGCAAAGTTTCAGGACATAAAATCAGTATTCAAAAACCAATTTTATTTCTATGTGTAAGCAATAGACAATCAGAAATTGATTTTTAAATGCCTTTCAAAATAGGATCAAGAATATGTAATATGAAGGGATAAATTTAGCAAAAGATCCAGGAACAACACACTAAAAACTACAAAACTGTGCTGAGACAAATTGAACAAAGCCTACATAAATGGACAGATAGATATACCAGGCCGGGCACAGTGGCTCACGCCTGTAATCCCAGCACTTTGGGAGGCCAAGGCGGGCAGATCACGAGGTTAGGAGATCAAGACCATCCTGGCTAACACGGTGAAACCCCATCTCTACTAAAAATACAAAAAATTAGCCAGGCGAGGTGGCAGGCACCTGTAGTCCCAGCTACTCGGGAGGCTGAGGCAGGAGAATGGCATGAACCCGGGAGGCAGAGCCTGCAGTGAGCCGAGATCGTGCCACTGCACTCCGCCTGGGCGACAGAGAGAGACCCCATCTCAAAAAAACAAAAAAAAAAACAGATAGATATACCATGGCTGAGTATGGTGGCTCACGTCTGTAATCCTAGCACTTTGGGAGGCCGAGTCAGGCGGATCACTTGAGGTCAGGAGTTCGAGGCAGCTTAGCCAACATGGCGAACCCCCCCTCTCTATTGAAAATATAAAAATGAGCCGGGCGTGGTGGTGTATGCCTGTAATCCCAGCTGCTGGCAATGCTGAGACACGAAAATCGTTTGATCTTGGGCAGTGAGCCAAGATTGTGCCACCGCACCCCAGCCTAGGCGACAGAGCAAGACTCCATCTCAAAAAAAAAAAAAAGTAAATATACCATGTTCATAGGTCAGAAGACTTAATATTATTATATCAATTCTCCCCAAATTTATCTACAGATTCCATATAATCAAAATTAAAAACCCAGCAGACTGTTTGGTAGAAACTTATAAATTGATCCTAACATTCATTTGAAAATCCAGAGTACTTAAAATAATGAAAACAAATTTTAGAAAGAATAACCAAGTAAGAGAATTAATACATTTGATTTCAAGATTAATTAATTATAAAGTTATAGCTATCAAAATAGTGTCATTGGCACAAAACAGCAAACAGATTAATAGAACACAAGAGAGTCCAGATATAGAGCCACACATATATGGACAATTGATTATTGACAAATCTACAGAGGCAATTTAGTGGAGAAAGGACAGTAGTTTTAATAAATAGTGCTGGAACAATTGGAGATCTATATGCAAAATAATGAACTTTGAACCAAACCTCACATGATATACAAAAACTAACTTAGAATGTATTATAGGCCTAAATGTACATTACAAAACTTCTGGAAGAAACATAAGAGAGAATCTTTGAGACCTTGGATTAGGCAAAAATTTCTTAGACATGACACCAAAAGCAGAATCCATAAAGAAAAAGAATGATAAATTGGCCTTCGTCAAAAGTAAGAACTAAACTATTTTAAAAAAAACACTATTAAGAGAATGAAAAGACAAACTTGGATAAAATATTTACAAATCACATATCTGATGCAAGTCCTTATATCCAGAATAGATAAAGAACTCTTAATACTCAATGAGAAAACAACCCATTTTTTTAATGGGCAAAAGATTTTAACAGACACCAGATACTTCACCAACTAAAATATACAGATGGCTAATAGGTACATGAAAAGATGTTCAACCTCATTAGTCATTAAGGAAGTAAAAATTAAAATCACAATGAGACACTATTAGATAGTGATTAGAATGCCTAAAATCAAAGACTGACCATACCAAGTGTTAGCTAGGATGCAGAATAACTTGAACTCTTATATACTGCTCGTGGGAATATAACTTGGTACAACCACTTTGGAAAACAGTTTGGCAATTTCTTAAACAGATAAATATACACCTACCATAGCACCCAGTCCTTCCACTCCTAGGAATTTATCCCAGAGAAAGGAGAGCACATGCCCATTCAAAGACTTGATGAGTGGTCACAGCAGCTTTATTTGTAATAGCTCCAAATTGGAAACCATTCAGTAATTCATCAACATAGGAGGAGGGGTGACTGCAGTCTCTGCAAACCAGCAGACTTAGCCTCTCCTCTTGGTAGTTCTGAGGAATCCAGGCAGCCCAGATGAGTGGGTTTCCCTTCAGCAAAACATACCCTCTCCACCAAGGGACAAAGTGCTTCTTTAAATGGGTCTGGCTCCCTGTGCCACCCAACTGGGTGAGACCCTCTAACAGGGGTTGTTAGACATTCTATACAGGAGCGATCCTACTGGCATCAGGTTGGTGTTCCTCAAGGTCAAAAGTCCCAGAAGAAGGAGCAGGCACCCATCTTTGCTGCTCTCTAGCCCTCTCGGTAACATCTTCAGGCATGGGGGCAAATCAGATGAGTAGTGTCTGAAGTGAACCCCCAGCAAACTGCAGCAGCCCTACGGAAGAGGGACCTGACTATTGAAAGAAAAACAAACAAGTAGAAAGTGACAACAACAGCATCAACAACAACAAAAAGGCCCCCACAAAAACCCCATCCAAGGGTCAGCAGCCTCAAAGACTGAAACTTGACAAACTCACGAAGATAGAAAGAATCAGTGAGAAAATGCTGAAAACCCAAAAGGTCAGAGTGCATCTTCTCCTCCAAATGATTGCAGTGTTTCTCCACCAAGGGCACAGAACTGGATGGAGGATCAGATGGATGAACTGACAGAGGTAGGATTCAGAAGATAGGTAATAAAAAATTAAGATGAGTTAAAGGAGCATGTTAACCTTGATAAAAGGTTAGAGCAATTGCTAACTAGAATAATCAGTTTAGAGAGGAACATAAATGACCTGATGGAGCTGAAAAACACAGCATGAGAACTTTGTGAAGCATACACAAGTGTCAACGGTTGAATTGACCAAGCAGAAGAAAGGATATTGGAGTTTGAAGAACACCTTACTGAAATAAGACCTGCAGACAACAATAGAGAAAAAAGAATGAAAATGAATGAACAAAGCCTCCAAGAAATATGGGACTTCATAAAAAGACCAAACCTACAATTGATTAGAGTACCAGAAGGAGACAGGGAGAATGGAAACAAGCTGGAAAACACACTTCAGGATATTATCCAGGAGAACTTCCTCAATCTAGCAAGAAAAGCCAACATTCAAATTCAGGAAATACAGAGAACACCATTAAGATACTCCATGAGATCAACCCCAAAACACATAATCATCAGATTCTCCAAGATTGAAATGAAGGAAAAACTGTTAAGGGCAGCCAGAGAGAAAGGTCAGGTAACATACAAGGGGAAGCCCATCAGACTAACAGTGGACCTCTCAGCAGAAACTTTACAAACCATAAGAGACTGGGGGCCAATATTCAACATTCTTAAAGAATTTTCAACCCAGAATTTCATATCCAGCCAAACTAAGCTTCATAAGCAAAGGAGAAATAAAATCCTTTCCAGACAAGCAAATGCTGAGGGATTTCATTACCTCCAGGCCTGCCCTGCAAGAGCTCCTGAAAGAAGCACTAAATATGTACTGGAAAGGAAAAACTGGTACCAGCCACTGCAAAAATACACCAAAATATAAAGACCAATGACACTACAAAGAAACTGCATCAACTAGTGTGCAAAATAAGCAAATAGCATCATGATGACAGGATCAGAGTCACACATATCTATACTAACCTTAAATGTAAATGGGCTAAATGCCCCAATTCAAATGTACAGAATGGCAAGCTAGATAAAGAACCACGATCTATTGGTATGCTGTCTTCAAGAGACTCATCTCACATGCAAAGATACACACAGGCTCAAAATAAAGGGATGGAAGAAAATTTACCAAATAAATGGAAAGCCAAAAAAAGCAGGGGTCACAATCTTAGTCTCTGACCAAACGGACTTGAAACCATTAAAGATCAAAAAAGACAAAGAAGGGGACTATATAATGGTAAAGGGAACAATTCAACAAGAAGAGCTAACTATTCTGAACATATATGCACCCAATACAAGAGCAGCCAGATTCATAAAACAAGTTCTTAGAGACCTACAAAGAGACTTAGAATCCCACACAATAATAGTGGGAGACTTTAACACCCCATTGTCAGTATTAGATCATTGAGACAGAAAATTAATGAGGATATTCAGGACTTGAACTCAACTCTGGATCAAGTGGACCTAGTTGACATCTACAGAACTCGATACCCCAAATCAATAGAATATATATTCTTCTCAGTGCCACATGGCACTTATTTTAAAATCAAACACATAATTGGAAGTAAAACACTCCTCAGCAAATGCAGAAGAACTGAAATCATAACAAACAGTCTCTCAGATCACAGTGCAAGCAAATTAGGACTCAGGATTAAGAGACTCATTCAAAATCACACAATTTCATGGAAATTGAACAACCTGCTCCTGAATGATTGCTGGATAAATAATGAAATAAGGCAGAAATCAAGAAGTTCTTTGAAACCAATGAGAACAAAGAGACAATGTACAAGAATCTCTGGGACACAGCTAAAGCAGTGTTAAGAGGGAAATTTATAGCACTAAATGCCCACATCAGAAAGCTAGAAAGATCTCAAATCGACACCCTAACATCACAATGAAGAGAGCTAGAGAAGCATGAGCAAACTAATCCAAAAGCTAGCAGAAGACAAGAAATAACTAAGATAAGAGAAGAATTGAAGGAGATAGGGACACAAAAGAACCTTCCGAAATACCAATGAATCCAGGAGTTAGTTTTTTAAAAAATTAACAAAACAGATAGACCATTAGCTAGACTACTGAGAGAGAGGAATCAAACAGACACAATAACAAATGACAAAGGGGATATCACCACTGACCCCACAGAAATACAAATTGCTGGGCTGGGTGTGGTGGTTCACGCCTGCACTCCCAGCACTTTGGAAGGCCAAGGCGGGCAGATCACCTGAGGTCAGGAGTTCGAGACAAGCCTGGCTAACATAGCGAAACCCTGTCTGTACTAAAAATACAAAAATTATCTGGGCATGGTGGTGCACGTCTGTAATCCCAGCTACTCGAGAGGCTGAGACAGGAGAATAGCTTGAGCCTGGGAGGTGGAGGTTGCAGTGAGCAGAGATCACACCATTGCACTCCATCCTGGGCTACAGAATGAGACTTTTTCTCCAAAAAAAAAAAAAAAAAAAAAAAGAAAAGAAATACAAACTGCCACCAGGGAATATTAACACCTCTATGCAAATAAACTAGAAAATCTAGAAGAAATGAATAAATTCCTGGACACATACACCCTCCCAAGACTGAATCAGGAAGAAGTTGAATCCCTGAGTAGACCAATAGCAAGTTCTGAAATTGAGGAGGTAATTAATAGCCTACCAACCATAAAAAGCCCAGGATCAGATGCATTCACAGCTGAATTATACCAGAAATACAAAGAGGAGCTGGTACCATTACTTCTGAAACTATTGCAAACAACTGAAAAGGAGAGACTCCTCCCTAATTCATTTTATGAAGCATCAGCCTGATACCAAAACCTGGCAGAGACACAACAAAAAAAGAAAGCTTCAGCCAATATCCCTGATAAACACCAATTCAAAAATCCTCAATAAGATACTGTCAAACAGAATCCAGCAGTGCATCAAAAAAGTTATCCACCATGATCAAGTTGGCTTCATCCCTGGGATGCAAGGCTGGTTCAACATACACAGGTCAATAAACATAATCCATCACATAAACAGAACCAAAGACAAAAACCACATGATTATCTTAATAGATGCAGAAAAGGCCTTTGATAAAATTTAACATCACTTCATGTTAAAAACTCTCAATAAACTAGGTATTGATGGAACATATCTCAAAATAATAAGAGTATTTATGACAAAGCCACAGCGAATATCATATTGAATGGGCAAGAGCTGGAAGCGTTCCCTTTGAAAACCAGTGCAAGACAAGGATACCTTCTCTCACCACTCCCATTCAACATAGTATTGGACGTTCTGGCCAGGACAATCAGGCAAGATAAAGAAATAAAGGGTATTCAAATAGGAAGAGAGGAAGTCAAGTTGTCTCTGCTTGCAGATGACATGATTTTATATCTAGAATACCCCATTATTTCAGCCCAAAAACTTCTTGAACTGATAAGCAACTTCAGCAAAGTCTCAGGATACAAAATCAATGTTCGTAAATCACAGGCATTCCTTTACACCAACAATAGGCAAGCAGAGAGCCAAATCATGAATGAACTTCCATTCACAATCACTACAAAGAGAATAAAATACCTAGGAATACAGCTAACAAGGGATATGAAGGACCTCTTCAAGGAGAACTACAAACCACTGCTCAAGGAAATAAGAGAAGACACAAACAAAGAAAAACTTTCCATCCTCATGGATAGGAAGAATCAATATCATGAAAATGGCCATACTACCCAAAGTAATTTATAGATTCAATGCTATTCCCATCGAACTACCATTGACATTTTCACGGAATTAGAAAAAACTAACTTAAATTTCATATGGAATCAAAGAAGATCCTGTATAGCCAAGACAATTCTAAGCAAAAAGAACAAAGCTAGAGGCATCACGCTACCTGACTTCAAGCTTGCTGCAAGGCTACAGTAACCAAAACAGCATGGTACTGGTACCAAAACAGACATATAGACCAATGGAATAGAACAGAGACCTCAGAAATAATACCATATATCTACAACCATCTGATCTTCAACAAACCTGACAAAAACAAGCAATGAGGAAAGGATCTCCTATTCAGTAAATGGTGCTGGGAAAACTGGCTAGCCGTATGCAGAAAACTGAAACTGGACCCTTTCCTTACACCTTATACAAAAATTAACTCAAGATGGATTAAAGACTTAAATGTATAACCCAAAAGCATAAAAAAACGTAGAAGAAAACCTAGGCAATACCATTCAGGACATAGGCATGGGCAAAGACTTCATGACAAAAATGCCAAAAGCAATTGCAACAAAAGCTACAGTTGACAAATGGGATCTAATTAAACTAAAGAGCTTCTGCACAGCAAAAGAAACTATCATCAGAGTGAACAGGCAACCTGAAGAATGGGAGAAAATTTTTGCAATCTACCCATCTGACAAAAGTCTAATATTCAGAATTTATGTTGAACTTAAACATATTTACAAGAAAAAAACAAACAACCTCATCAAAAAGTAGTCCAAATGTATGAACAGACACTTCTCAAAAGAAGACATTTATGTGGGCAGCAAACATGAAAAAAGCTCAACATCACTGATCATCAGAGAAATGCAAATCAAAACCACACTGAGATACCATCTCACACCAGCCAAAATGGCGATTATTAAAAAGTCAGGAAATGACAGATGCTGGTGAGGCTGTGGAGAAATAGGAATGCTTTTACAGTGTTGGTGGGAGTGCAAATCAGTTCAATTATTTGAAACACAGTGTGGCGATTCCTCAAGGATCTAGAACCAAAATACCAGTTGACTCAGCAATCCCATTAGCACTATGTTTATTGTGTTTATTATAGACACAAGCACACATATGTTTATTGTCGCACTATTTACAATAGAAAAGACATGGAACCAACCCAAATGCCCATCAATGATAGACTGGATAAAGAAAATGTGGTATATATATACCATGGGATGCTCTGCAGCCATAAAAAAGAATGAGATCATGTCCTTTGCAGGGACATGAATGGAGCTGGAAGTCATCATCCTCAGCAAAGTAACACAGGAACAGAAAACCAAAATCACATGTTCGCACTTATAAGTGGGAGTTGAACACTGAAAACACATGGACACCAAGAGGGGAATAACACACACCAGGGCCTGTTGGGGTTAAGAGGAAGGAACGTAGAGGATGGGTCAATAGTTGGAGCAAACCACCATGGCACATGTGTACCTATGTAACAAACCTGCACGTTCTGCACATGTACCCCCCTTTTTTTTTTTGGAAGAAATAAAAAACTGAAAAAAAATTATAAGGACTTGAAAGGATTTTACCCCAAATAAAATCAATTACTAAAATATGGGCTTAGGAAGAAAGATAAAAGCTAAACCAAAATAATAGGTGGGGGAGGCTTTATAGGTCATTTCTTACATACACCTTCATTGATTAGATAAGTCCCTGTATTTTTTGAACATCATAGGAAAAAAATCATTATTTTCCAGCTCGTTTTGAAGCTTGCATTTTTTTTTTTTTTTTGAGATGGAGTCTCACTCTGTCACCCTGGCTGGAGTGCAGTGTGCCATCTCGGCTCACTGCAGCCTCCACCTCTCGGACTCAAGTGATTCTCCTGCCTCAGCCTCCTGAATAGCTGGGATTACAGGCACGCGCCACCATGCCTGGCTAGTTTTTATATTTTCAGTAGAGAAGGGGTTTCACCATGTTGGCCAGGCTGGTCTCAAACTCCTGACCTCATGTGATCCACCCCGCCTCGGCCTCCCAAAGTGCTGGGATTACAGGCATGAGCCCCCGCACGCAGCCAAGGTTTGCATATTCTGATATTAATATCAAGTAAGAATAGTAAAAGGAAAGGTTAGTCTCATTTTTGCACCTTTATAGAAAGTTTGTTGTATCTTGTTTTGTGGAAAGAAGTATGATGTAAATAAGTATGTAAAGTATTCCCTTTGTATTTTTAAAAATACTATATATGTGCCTAAATATATATCTATTTTTATAGGCATATTGGTAGGATTTTTTTAATGAGTCTGGGAGATAAAACTATTAAGAATGCTAACATAGTACTGGAAGAAAAACGGTGAAAAGAGATTTTCACTTTTTATACATTGTGATGTGTTTTGAATATTTTTACAGTAAGCATGTATTTTACATCATAAAAAACATTTTTTAAGTGTATTTCCCTTGCTTTAAATAAATTGAAAGAATCCTTAATGGACTTTGCAATATTTTCTTTATCATAAATGAAAATACATTTTACACTTTCAATTGAGCTAAATAGGATATTTCCAAATTATTATTTGATCATATATCCACTTAATACCAAAGTAAATCCTGAGGCATCTCTCATTTAATTTGCCATGGGTAAGAAGTTGTGACCTTGACTCAGCTTTTACTTTTAGGGAATAATTCTATTTTAGAAACTGACCTCACAATGACCCAGCATCAACACATCCCGGAGTTTTTCATTACATCTCTGTTGGTAGAGGACTGGAGGCACCTTCATTCTCAGTGCTGCTTTATTTTCCTCATGAAAATAAAGAAACTTAGAATGTGCACTTAGAGTAATATATGAGAAACTGATTTTTAATTAATTAAAATAATATAAGGACTGGCTTTTTGTGGATAGTTTTCAAGTTGCTACAGATTAAATATTATTCAAGAAGCATTTTAAAAAATTATCTGCATCAAAATACTTTTTTAGTTTAATGTTCTCCAAACTTTGAATACCGTTTCTAGGGTGAAGATAAAATGAAGGAGAGAAAGAGGCATTTGGGAGACACAAAACACTTTTGTCCGGTGGTCCTCAAAGAAAACTTCATCCTGCAACCAGGAAACACAGAAGAAGCAGCCAAGTATCGAGAAAAGATCTACTACTTTTCAAGTGCTGAGGCTAAAGAAAAGTTTTTGGAGCATCCTGAGGATTATGTGGCTCATGAAGAACCATTGAAGGTGAGACAGTATTCCTATCTTAATGATTGCTCCCACAGGATTTTTTTGGGACTGATTACCAATCACCATCAATTTACTTAAGGGTGAAATCCCCAATCTGATATTACAATATAAAGAAAATATCTAGGCCGGGCGCGGTGGCTCACGCCTGTAATCCCAGCACTTTGGGAGGCCGAGACGGGCGGATCACGAGGTCAGGAGATCGAGACCATCCTGGCTGACACGGTGAAACCCCGTCTCTACTAAAAATACAAAAATTAGCCGGGCATGGTGGCGCGCGCCTGTAGTCCCAGCTACTTGGGAGGCTGAGGCAGGAGAATGGCGTGAACCCGGGAGGCGGAGCTTGCAGTGAGTCGAGATCGCGCCACTGCGCTCCAGCCTGGGCGACAGAGCGAAACTCCGTCTCAAAAAAAAAAAAAAAAAAAGAAAATATCTAAGTTCAAAGAACAACTTTTTGGAATATAACATAAAATAATTATCTATTTTGATTTCTTTAGTAATGACTTGTGTCAAACCAGCACTTAATATCTGCCTTTTTAGCTGAAATAAAAATAAAACAAAACACAAACACAGACAAACCCCACAGATGGATTAATTCCTTACTATAGTGAGGCCAGTCATTCTGGTTAGTCTTTCAGAGCAGAGCAGGATGATGGTCTTTTACAGGATTTTGGAGAAGAGTGGAATTCAGGGATTGGTGAACTTTCAGAGGCATAAGTGGGTTGACATCTATGGAAGTAAGATTACTCTAGTGATGCTGCTGTTGACTGGTTCACACTCAGAGAATTGTTATAGGGGTAAGTCCATCCTGATTGGTTGAGTTTCGAGAGTGAGGGCTGACACTGGTTGGTTGGATTGCAAAAATGTATTCCCTGAAGTGAGTTTACCCTGATTAATTAAACCAATTTAAAATTGTTTGAGTGGCTATTGTTACCATGGCTATACAATAGTCATTTTTTAGTGGAGCATTGTTATAGTGGAGAGGGACACTTTGGTGAATCTTCCCTGGACATTTTTCTGTTACAGCTTTGGCTGACTTTCTCAAAGCACTCTCATCATAAGCAGATGTTATTGCTCTTTGGCCCTCCAGAAGCTTAACAAGGAAAATGCATTGATCCTCAAAAAAATAAAGCTGTTGCCATGACCTTTGTGCTTGACCAGTCCACTTTTGCTTTGACTGGACCACTGCCACCTCTTAGTAGCCATTGCTTTGATTGTGCTTTGTCTTCAGGATCATACTGATAAAGCCATGTTTCATCTCCTCTACAGTTCTTCAAACAAATGCTTCAAGATTCTGATCCCATGTGTTTAAAATTTCCATCGAAAGCTCTGTTTTTGTCAGCAGATGATCTGGGTGCAACAGTTTTGGCAATCATAGAGTAGAAACTTTTTTCAACTTTAATTTTTCAGTCAGAAAAATTGTACACTGAGCCAACCTAGATGTCTAGGTGTTTTGGCTATTGTTTCTGCTGTTAATCATCAGTCCTTGTCAATTAGGCCACAAACAAGACAAATTTTTTCCTCACAAATTTAAGTGGATGGTCTGTTACTGCAGGCTTCATCTTCAACATTGTCTTGTCCTTTTTTCAAACAAATTGTCCATTTGGAAACTGCTGATCTCTTTGGGGCATTGTCCCCGAAACTTTCATAAAGCATCAATGATTTCACCATTCTTCTTCTCAAGCTTCACCATAAATTTGATGTTTATTCCTACTTCAATTTTAGCAGAACTCATGTTGCTCTGATAGGGGCTGTTTTCAAACTGATGTCTTATCTTTCTTAGTGCCTCAAACTAGATCCTGTTCAGATATGTTATAACAAGTTCATATGAGTTTATTTGGTGCAAAAAAAAGTGAATCCATGCATAGTTTTGTCATAATATGCATTTTCTGTCAACTTTTCGAAGACCCCTCATATTTTTAGATTTTTGAGAAAATTCCATACTGTTTTCCATAATGGCTTTCCTACTTTACATTTCCACAACAGTGTACAAGTGTTCCCCTTTCTTCACATCCTCATCAGTATTTGCTATTTTTTTTGTCTTTTTGATAATAGCCATTCTAATTGAGGTGAGATGATATCTCACTGTGGTTTTGATTTGCATTTCCCTGATGATTAGTGATATTGAGCATTTTTTCATATACCTGTTGTCCATTTGTATGTGTTCTTTTGAGAAATGTCTGTTCAGGTCTTTTTTCCCCATTGTTAAATCAGAATATTTGGGTTTTTTTTTTTTTTTTTTTGCTACTGAGCTGTTTGAGTTCTTTATATATTCTGGTTATTAATCCCTTGTTGGATGGATACTTTGCAAATCTTATCTCCTATTCTGTAGGTTGTCTCTTTACTATGTTATTTTCTTTGTGATACAGAGGTTTTTTTAGGTTAATGTAATCCTATGTGTCTATTTTTGCTTTTATTGCCTGTGTTTTTGAGGTTTTACCTGGAAAAATCTTTGCCCAGACCAATGTCCTGTAGCACTTCCCCAATGTTTTCTTCTAGCAGTTTTATATATTCAGGTCTTCCATTTAGGTCTTTAATCCATTTTGAGTTGATTTCTGTATAGGTGAAAGATGAGGATCTAGTTTCATTCTTCTGCATATGGATATCCAGCTTTCACAGCACCATATATTAAAGAGACCATCCTTTCTTCCACGTATTTGGTGCTTTTGTAGAAAATGAGTTGGCTATAAGTGTTTTGGCTTTCTTGAATTACTTTACTACTGTGCTATGCTATAGCTCCCTGGGATAGGATTACTGGAGCAAGATATATACATCACAATATATTGCCTTATTACTTTTGATAATATCAATGCCTTCTTAAAATGAACACATGGAACACAATCTAAGCTCTTCTGTATAATTTGGGCCATTTTCATGAACCTCAATTTTTTATATAGTGCCCATGAGACTACTGAAGTATGTGGATGGTTGTGCCCTCACAAAGAAGCCCCAATCCACTGGTGTTGGGGGTCATTTAAGGACTGTGGCCACTTACCCTTTTCTGTTGTTGTTGTTTTCAGCTGTAATTTCCGCTTAGTCTGGTTTGCTGTTTGTGATCTATTGCCTTGTTTTACACAAATCCATATGGATAAGATCCTGAAATCCTGACTGTATTTCCATAGTTTTGCAAAGCATAAAATGAACTGGGTTTTCCAGAAACATTTCCCTTCCCTACCATAGGGTACCTGAATACAGTCTGAGCACCAGACAGCCCTAGTTGCGAGACGTTTAACTGGTGGGTGAGTGAAGTGTTAATCCGGTAGTTTTATCACGGAGAGGTTTAAAATGTGATTTAAAAGTATGGTGTGAGGCTGCAGCTATATAATTTCATGTCATTCTAATTTTTCTCCTTCCCCTTGCAAAAACTCCAGCCCCTTTGAGGCTTATCCTACTCGGATATATCAAGAAGCCCCGTTCCTCCTTGCTGCTGTCACCTACTAATTTCTTAGTATTTCCTCACAATCACAGAAGACTTAGCTGCTGCTTCATTCCAGTACTCACCATTGTTCTTGACAGTTTCAGCATCCCGTGGATGATCCACACAATGTGAGTCCTGAGATTACTGTAATAAATGGAGAAGGCTGTAAATTTTTATTATTAGTGGGCTTTCTGTTTGATAGATTTATTTTATTATGTTAAGAAAGTATCTTTCCATTCTGTATTAACTAAAACTTTTGTCAAAAACAAAAATAAGTAAACTCTATTTTATTAAATGCCTTTTGGCATATGATACCAAGATAATCATATATGGTTGTTGGTGCTCCCTGAGGACCAGTGTTGATGGAACTAATTATGTTAATTGAAATCCTAATATCTAAGCATCCTTGAGTTCATGATGTGATCATTCCTACCCCATCTTAGGGAGGGCAGTTAATAAGTCTTATGTGTTCTAAATTACTCAAAACTGCTTTTCCTTCACTCTCCCTTTATCCCACCCCTCCCTGACCCACCCCCTGTGACAGGCTCCTCCATTAAGAATATGCCTTGTCGGCCCCCAGGGCTCTGGCAAAACTATGTGTGGAAGACAGTTGGCAGAAAAATTAAACATTTTTCACATTCAGTTTGAAGAAGTTCTTCAAGAAAAACTACTACTCAAAACTGAAAAGAAAGTGGGACCTGAATTTGAGGAAGATTCTGAGAACGAGCAAGCTGCCAAACAAGAACTTGAAGAGCTTGCAATTCAGGCCAATGTCAAAGTTGAGGAAGAAAATACAAAAAAGCAGGTAGTAATCTCTTTTTTTGTTTTTTGTTTGTTTTGTTTTTGCTGTTGTTATTGTTGTTGTTTTTGAGACAGGGTCTCCATCTGTCACCCAGACAGGAAGGCAGTGGCACAATCACAGCTCACCAAAGCCTCAACTTCCCTGGGCTCAGGTGATCCTCCTGCCTTGGTGTATTAGTCCATTTTCACACTGCTGACAAAGACATACCGAGACCAGGCAATTTACAAAAGAAAGACATTTAATGGACTTACAATTAGTTCCATGTGGCTGGGGAGGCTTCACAGTCATGGCAGAAGGCAAGGAGGAGCAAATCACATCTTACGTGGATGGCAGCAGGCAAAGAGAGAGCTTGTGCAGGGAAACTCCCCGTTATAAAACCATCAGATTTTGTGAGACTATTCACTATCACAAGAACAGCATGGGAAAGGCCTGCCCCCATGATTCAATTACTTCCCACTGTGTCCCTCCCATAACATGTGGGAATTCAAGATGAGATTTGGGTGAGGTCACAGTCAAACCATATCACTTGGCCTCCCAAGTAGCTGGGACTACAGGTGTGCACTACCATGCCCAGCTAGTTTTGGTATTTTTTGTAGAGATGGGGGTCTTGCTATGTTGCCCAGGCTGGTCTCAAATTCCTGGGCTCAAGCCATTTACCCACCTTGACCTCCCAAAGTGCTGGGATTATAGGCATGAGCCACTGTGCCTGGCAGTACTAATCTATGCAGACAGCTGTGCTTACTGGTGTTAATCTGGGGTAGTGGTAGTATAAAACTCTATAAAGTTTCTAAGAAGAGAAAATAATTAGCCCATAAAAGTCATTTAAAGAGTCATATTCATCATATGCTAAATACAAATCTTCCAGCTCTTCTAGAATATAAAGTACTGAGTTTTATATGACTCCAAAAAAATTCAGAAAAATTTTCCTTGACAAGGCTGTTTTATAGCATTTATTTGGAAGTATGATATTTGGTATATCTGACTTAGACAATAAACTTTTCCATTATTGTGTTCTCTGATTTCTATCAAATAGCATAAAAATCTGCCCCAGCCTTAGTGGAGATCTCAAAATATTAATTTCTAATGATGTCTTACCAGAAAGTTTGTACTGTATTAATCTGTTCTCTCGTTGCTATAAAGAAATACCTGAGATTGGGTAATTTTTAAAGAAAATAGGTTTAACTGGCTCGCAATTCTTCAGGCCATACAGGAAGCATAGTGGCATCTGCTTGGCTTCTGGAGAGGCCTTAGAAAACTTACAATCATGGCAGAAGGTGAAGGGAGAGCAGACACATCACATGGCCAGAGCAGGAGAAAGAGAGTGAGGTGGGAGGTGCCACACACTTTTAAACCACTGGATCTCATGAGCACTCACTCACTACCGTCATGACAGTACCAAGGGGGTAATGGTGCTGAACCATTCATGAGAAACCACCCCCATGATCCAATCACCTCTCACCAGACCCCACCTCCAGCATTGGGGATTGCAATTCCACATGAGATTTGGGCGGGGAAACAGATCCAAACCGTATTAACCTCTTACATGGCTTCTATCTGGAGTTATACAATGAAAGTTCTTCATTCTAACTCACATTTTAACCATTTCTGATATAGATAGGCCATTTGTTCTCAAATGATCCAAATGCAGTTATATGTAACACTCAAAGTTGAAGCAGGGTTGGATAGTGAGTGACATATGGTGTTCTAATAGGTAATGAAGTACCTGATCAGACATATTCTTTTTTCTTTTTGAGACAGCATCTCCCTCTCTTGCCCAGGCCAGAGTGCAGTGGTGTGATCTCAGCTCACTGCAACCTCTGACTCCTGGGCTCAAGCGATCCTCTCACCTCAGCCTCCTAAGTAGCTGGGACTGCAGGCATGCACCACCATGCCAGGGTAATTTTTGTATTTTTTGTATAGATGGGATTTCATCATGTTGCCCAGGTTGGTCTCAAACTCCAGACTTCAAGTGATCCACTCACCTTGGCCTCCCAAAATGCTGGGATTACAGGCGTGAGCCACCTGTGCCTGGCCTTCAGACATATTCTTTAAATGTTTTTCAGCTATATTTAGTAGCGTTCAGGAGAAACTGATATCCTATTAATTTAAAAAATGTATATCGGGACAGGCACGGTCGCTCACGCCTGTAATCCCAGCACTTTGGGAGGTGGAGGCAGGCAGATCACTTGAGGTCAGGAGTTCAAGACCAGCCTGGCCAACGTGGTGAAACCCCGTCTCTACTAAAAGTACAAAAATTAGCCAGGCGTGGTGACACATGCCTGTAATGCCAGCTACTCAGTAGGCTAAGGCAGGAGAATCACTTGAACCCAGGAGGCGGAGGTTGCAGTGAGCCAAGATCGCACTGCTGTGCTCCAACCTGGGCAACAGAGCAAGACTCCATCTCAAAAAAAGAAAAAAGTATGTCAGTCCAGATTTTTTAACTTAACAAGTCTAGATTTTAAAGTGCAACAAATATCTCCTGCTTGTCTACAGTTTTTTGTTTGGTTTTCTTTTATTGTTTTCTGAATAACTTGTCAGAAAGCAATTAAGGGATTTTATTTTTAGGTAATAAAATTAATCCTGCTTCCCGGTAAGCAGCAGTTTATCATACCTTAGCTATTCAGTTTTAGAATTTTGGATGACAAAAGTACTCAACAAAAATGTTTCATTTTTGTAAGAACTGTTGTTTTTTACTATCCATTCAAGGGTGATCCTACTTTAGAGAGACTTGACCTCAGTTAATTATCACAATGCTTTCTATTTGTTATTACATTATAATCCTCTTCTAGTTTGTATTTCAGATGGCTGCCTGTTTGGCTTATCCCATAATCAGGATCTAGGTTGGAGAGATAATACTGTAAAATTATAATATAAATAACAAAAATCAGTTAAGCCTTATAGGCGTGTGTGTGATAAATTGAAAAAGGTTTAGCAAAAAGTAATGAGATATGACCCCAAGGCCATGTATGAAAATCAATCATATTATTACTTATAATTTATCTTAGCTGTAGTAAATATTATTTACTATAGGTTGGTGCAAAAGTGGTTGTGTTTTTGCCATTACTTTTAAAGCAAAAACCGCAATTACTTTTGTACAACCTGTATTTCTAACCACATTAAATAATTGGTTTATAGAAAATAGCCCAAATTTTTAAATGTTTATAAGCAACACTATAAAAAAAGACCTCAGAGAAAATAACAGGTCTCATTCTAATCAGCTACGTAATACCATATTGTTTATGAATATAGATTTTGGGGTTTTCTAAATTGGTATTTGTACATATTTATGGGGTACCTGTGATATTTTGTTACACACATAGAATGTATAAGGATCAAGTCAGGGTATTTATGATATCCATCACCTTGAGCACTTATCATTGCTATGTGTTGGGAGCATTTCAAGCCCTCTCTTCTAGTTATCCTGAAATACACAATACATTGTTACTAACTATAGTTTCCCTCTGTGCTATTGAACATTAGAACTTACACCTTCTATCTAACTGTATGTTTGTACCCATTATCCTGCCTCTCTTCATGTCCTCTATCCCTACCACACACCCTTCCCTGCCTGTGGTAACTTTCATTCTACTCTCCACCTCCATGAGGTCCTCCTCTTTAACTTTCACATATGAGTGAGAACATGCAATTATTAGCATAGAGTTTTAAAACTTGTTTTGTTTTCTGATTTTTGTTTTTAGCTTCCAGAAGTACAACTTACAGAAGAAGAAGAAGTAATCAAATCAAGTCTAATGGAAAATGAGCCCTTGCCTCCTGAAATTCTTGAAGTAATTCTTTCTGAGTGGTGGCTTAAGGAACCAATACGGTATCTTAATTTATATAGAATTGTACATTTATTTGCTTTTATTTGTTTTATTCTTAAAAGTTAAAAATGTAGTTTAACATACATTTAAGAACTTTCTCCTTTATATTCATGTAAGCTGGTGATTTTTCACTTGAGATACACATTAAAAACATCTGTAGAGTCTTTAAAAATACCGATTGCAGGACCCCACACCAAAATAATTGAATTTGAAACTCTAGGAGTGTGAGCCTGGGATATTTTTCAGTACCCTCAGGTTATTCTAAAGTGCATTTGTGGTAAAACTGTAAAAACCTAAACAAAATAGCTAAATATTATGCACCATTAAAATTTATTGTAGGGCCGGGTGCAGTGGCTCATGCCTGTAATCCCAAAACTTTGGGAGGCCAAGGCGGGTGGATCACCTGAGGTTGGGAGTTCGAGACCAGCCTGACCAACATGGAGAAACTCTGTCTCTACTAAAAATACAAGATTAGCTGGGTGTGGTGGCACATGCCTGTAATCCCAGCTACTCCGGAGGCTTAGGCAGGAGAATCACTTGAACCCGGGAGACAGAGGTTGCAGTGAGCCGAGACAGTGCCATTGCACTCCAGCCTGGGCAACAATAGTGAAACTCCATCTCAAAAACAAAAAAATTATTATAATGAATAATGTGTAATAGCATAAGAAATGTTATTACATAAAGTTAAAAAGATGTAAAACTATAATATAATAGAGAATGCACACATGAAGAACCAACTAGAAAGAAATAAACTTTTAATAACCTCTGAGATATGGGATTATGGATAATTTTTGCCTTTTTATTAAGGCCTTTCTCTATTTTTTCCATTTTTCTATAGTGTGACTTACTGCTTTTATAATCAAGGGGAAAATAACACATTTTGAAAAGGTTATTGCATTAGTCCCAGAGAGATATACTAAGGGGCTTGAACTAAGGGAGAATTACAGAAATAGAAGTGTGAGTACAGAGGAGGACATGCCAGGACTTAGCTATTAAATGTAAGAAGGAAGAGGGAGCCAGGGGAGAGGGCCAAAGGTCTCTAACAGGTAGCACATGAGTACTAGTGGGTCAGAAGGAAGAGCAGTTTGGAAGGCTAACAGTATGATTTTTGACAGTATAATGTGTGTATAATTCCAGAAGGGCATTCAGATGGAGAAACTCCACAACTTTTTGAAAATTTGGAATCAAAACTCAGAAGAGAGGTTGGGTGTAGAGGTAAAGATTTGGAAGTCATTGACAAAGAAATGACAGCAGGAACAGTAGGAATGAAATTGACCCTGCCAGAGAGACCAGACTGAAGGCACCTCTAAAGAAAAAAACATGGAAATAGCTCAAGTCTACAGCTCCCAGTGTGAGCGACGGAGAGGACAGGTGATTTCTGAATTTCCAACTGAGGTACCAGGTTCATCTCAATGGGGCTTGTCAGACAGTGGGTGCAGGACAGTGGGTGCAGCCCACTGAGCGTGAGCCAAAGCAGGGCAAGTCATCACCTCACCAGGGAACTGCAAGGGGTCAGGGAATTCCCTTTCCTAGCCACGGGAAGCTGTGACAGATGGCACCTGGAAAATCGGGTCACTCCCACCCTAATACTGTGCTTTTCCAATGGTCTTAGCAAACAGCACACCAGGAGATTGTATCCTGTGCCTGACTCAGAGGGTCCCACACCCACAGAGCCTCACTCATTGCTAACACAGCAGTCTGAGATCAAATTGCAACATGGCAGCGAGGCTGGGGGAGGGGCACCCACCATTGCTGAGGCTGCAGTAGGTAAACAAAGCGGCCAGGAAGCTCTAACTGGGTGGAGCACACTGCAGCTCAAGGAGGCCTGACTGCATCTGTAGACTCCACCTCTGGGTGCAGGGCATAGCCAAACAAAAGGCAGCAGAAACCTCTGCAGACTTAAATATCCCTGTCTGACAGCTTTGAAGAGAGTAGTGGTTCTCCCAGCACAGAGTTTGAGATCTGAGAACAGACAGACTGCCTCCTCAAGTGGGTCCCTGACCCCCGAGTACCCTAACTGGGAGGCACCCCCCAGTAGGGGCAGTATGACACCTCACATGGCCAGATACCCCTCTGAGATGAAGCTTCCACAGGAACAATCAGGGAGCAACATTTACTGTTCAGCAATATTCACTGTACTGCAGCCTCCACTGCTGATACCCAGGCAAACAGGATCTAGAGTGGACCCCCAGCAAACTCCAACAAATCTACAGCTGAGGGTCCTAACTGTTAAAAGGAAAACTAACAAACAGAAAGGACATCCACACCAAAACCCCATCTGTACGTCACCATCATCAAAGACCAAAGGTAGATAAAACCACAAAGATGGGGAAAAAACAGAGCAGAAAAGCTGAAAATTCTAAAAATCAGAGCGCCTCTCCTCCTCCAAAGGAACACAGCTCCTTGCCAGCAATGGAACAAAGCTGGACAGAGAATGACTTTGACAAGTTGAGAGAAGAAGGCTTGAGATGATCAAACTTCTCCGAGCTAAAGGAGGAAGTTTGAACCCATAGCAAAGAAGCTGAAAACTTTGAAAAAAGATTAGACGAATGGCTAACTAGAATAACCAGTGTAGAGAACTCCTTAAAGGACCTGATGAAGCTGAAAACCATGGCACGAGAACTACGTGATGAATGCACAAGCTTCAGTAGCCAATTCGATCAACTGGAAGAAAGGGTATCAGTGATTGAAGATCAAATGAATGAAATGAAGCGAGAAGAGAAGATTAGAGAAAAAAGAGTAAAAAGAAATGAACAAAGCCTCCAAGAAATATGGGACTATGTGAAAAGACCAAATCTACGTCTGATTGGTGTACCTGAAAGTGACAGGGAGAATGGAACCAAGTTGGAAAACACTGCAGGATATTATCCAGGAGAATTTCCCCAACCTAGCAAGGCAGGCCAACATTCAAATTCAGGAAATACAGAGAACGCCACAAAGATACTCCTCGAGAAGAGCAACTCCAAGACACATAATTGTCAGATTCACCAAAGTTGAAATGAAGGAGAAAATTTTAAGGGCAGCCAGAGAGAAAGGTCGGGTTAACCAAAAAGGGAAGCCCACCAGACTAACAGCGGATCTCTCGGCAGAAACTCTACAAGCCAGAAGAGAGTGGGGGCCAATATTCAACATTCTTAAAGAAAAGAATTTTCAACCCAGAATTTCATATCCAGCCAAACTAAGCTTCATAACTGAAGGAGAAATAAAATCCTTTACAGACAAGCAAATGCTGAGAGATTTTGTCACCACCAGGCCTGCCCTACAAGAGCTCCTGAAGGAAGCACTAAACATGGAAAGGAACAACCGGTACCAGCCACTGCAAAACATGCCAAATTGTAAAGATCATTGATGCTAGGAAGAAACTGCATCAACTAACGAGCAAAATAACCAGCTAATATCATAATGACAGGATCAAATTCACACATAACAATATTAACCTTAAATGTAAATGGGCTAAATGCTCCAATTAAAAGACACAGACTGGCAAATTGGATAAAGAGTCAAGACCCATCAGTGTGCTGTATTCAGGAGACCCATCTCACGTGCAGAGACACACATAGGCTCAAAATAAAGGGATGGAGGAAGATCTACCAAGAAAATGGAAAACAAAAAAAGGCAGATGTTGCAATCCTAGTCTCTGATAAAACAGACTTTCAACCAACAAAGATCAAAAGAGTCAAAGAAGGCCATTACATAATGGTAAAGGGATCAATTCAACAAGAAGAGCTAACTATCCTAAATATATATGCACCCAATACAGGAGCACCCAGATTCATAAAGCAAGTCCTTAGAGACCTACAAAGAGGCTTAGACTCCCACACAGTAATAATGGGAGACTTTAACACCTCACTATCAACATTAGACAGATCAACGAGACAGAAAGTTCACAAGGATATCCAGGAATTGAACTCAGCTCTACACCAAGTGGACCTAATAGACATCTACAGAGCTCTCCACCCCAAATCAACAGAATATACATTCTTCTCAGCACCACATCACACTTATTCCAAAATTGACCACATAGTTGGAAGTAAAGAACTCCTCAGCAAATGTAAAAGAACAGAAATTATAACAAACTGTCTCTCAGACTACAGTGCAATCAAACTAGAACTCAGGAATAAGAAACTCACTCAAAACCGCTCAACTGCATGGAAACTGAACAACCTGCTCCTGAATGACTACTGGGTACATAACAAAATGAAAGCAGAAATAAAGATGTTCTTTGAAACCAATGAGAACAAAGACACAACATACCAGAATCTCTGGGACACATTTAAAGCAGTGTGTAGAGGGAAATTTATAGCACTAAATGCCCACAAGAGAAAGCAGGCAAGATCTAAAATTGACACCCTATCATCACAATTTAAAGAACTAGAGAAGCAAGAGCAAACACATTGAAAAGCTAGCAGAAGGCAAGAAATAACTAAGATCAGGTCAGAACTGAAAGAGATAGGACACAAAAAACCCTTCAAAAAATCAGTGAATCCAAGAGCTGCTTTTTTTGAAAAGATCAACAAAATTGATAGACTGCTAGCAAGACTAATGAAGAAGAAAAGAGAGAAGAATCAAATAGATGCAATAAAAAATGATAAAGGGGATATCACCACCAATCCCACAGAAATGCAAACTACCATCAGAGAATACTATAAACACCTCTACGCAAATAAACTAGAAAGTCTAGAAGAAATGGATAAATTCCTGGACACATAGAACCTCTCAAGACTAAACTAGGAAGAAGTTGAATCCCTGAATCACCCAATAACAGGCTCTGAAATTGAGGCAAGAATTAATAGCCTACCAACCAAAAAAAGTCCAGGACCAGACGGATTCACAGCCAAATTCTACCAGAGGTAGAAGGAGGAGCTGGTACCAATCCTTCTGAAACTATTCCAATCAATAGAAAAAGAGGGAATCCTCCCTAACTCATTTTATGAGGCCAACATCATCCTGATACCAAAGCCTGGCAGAGACACAACAAAAAAAGAGAGTTTTAGACCAATATCCCTGATGAACATTGATGCAAAAATCCTCAGTAAAATACTGGCAAACAGAATCCAACAGCACATCAAAAAGCTTATGCACCATGATCAAGTGGGCTTCATCCCTAGGATGCAAGGCTGGTTCAACATACGCAAATCAATAAACACAAACCAGCATATAAGCAGAACCAAAGACAAAAACCAGATGGTTATCTCAATAGATGCAGAAAAGGCCTTTCACAAAATTCAACAGCCCTTCATGCTAAACACTCTAAATAAATTAGGTATTGATGGGACGTATCTCAAAATAATAAGAGCTATTTGTGACAAACCCACAGCCAATATCATACTGAATGGGCAAAAACTGGAAGCATTCCCTTTGAAAACTGGCACAAGACAGGGATGCCCTCTCTCACCACTCCTATTCAACATAGTGTTGGAAGTTCTGGCCAGGGAAATCAGGCAGGAGAAAGAAATAAATGGTATTCAGTTAGGAAAAGAGGAAGTCAAATTGTCCCTGTTTGCAGATTACATGATTGTGTATTTAGAAAACCCCATCATCTCAGCCCCAAATCTCCTTAAGCTGATAAGCAACTTCAGCAAAGTCTCAGGATACAAAGTCAATGTGCAGAAATCACAGGCATTCTTATACACCAATAACAGACAGAGAGCCAAATCATGAGTGAACTCCCATTCACAATTGCTTCAAAGAGAATAAAATACCTAGGAATCCAACTTACAAGGGATGTGAAGGACCTCTTCAAGGAGAACTACAAACCACTGCTCAACTAAATAAAAGAGGACACAAACAAATGGAAGAACATTCCATGCTCATGGATAGGAAGAATCAATATCATGAAAATGGCCATATTGCCCAAGGTAATTTATAGATTCAGTGCCATCCCCATCAAGCTACCAATGACTTTCTTCACAGAAGTGGAAAAAAACTATCTTAAAGTTCATATGGAACCAAAAAAGAGCCTGCATTGCCAAGTTAATCCTAAGCCAAAAGAACAAAGCTGGAGGCATCACGCTACCTGACTTCAAACTATACTACAAGGCTACAGTAACCAAAACAACATGGTACTGGTACCAAAACAGACATATAGACCAATGGAACACAACAGAGCCCTCAGAGGTAATACCACACATCTACAACCATCTGATCTTTGAAAAACCTGACAAAAACAAGAAATGGGGAAAGGATTCCCTATTTAATAAATGGTGCTGGGAAAACTGGCTAGCCATATGTAGAAAGCTGAAACTGGATCCCTTCTTTACATCTTATACAAAAATTAATTCAAGATGGATTAAAGACTTAAATGTTAGACCTAAAACCATAAAAACCCTAGAAGGAAACCTAGGCAATACCATTCAGGACACAGGCATGGGCAAGGACTTCATGTCTAAAACACCAAAAGCAATGGCAACAAAAGCCAAAATTGACAAATGGGATCTAATTAAACTAAAGAACTTCTGACAGCAAAAGAAACTACCATCAGAGTGAACAGGCAACCTACAGAATGGGAGAAAATTTTTCCAATCTACTTGTCTGACAAAGGGCTAATATCCAGAATCTACAAAGAACTCAAACAAATTTACAAGAAAAAAGCAAACAGCCCTGTCAACAACTGGGCAAAGGATACGAACAGACACTTCTCAAACGAAGACATTTATGCAGCCAAAAAACACATGAAAAAATGCTCATCATCACTGACCGTCAGAGAAATGCAGATCAAAACAACAATGAGTTACCATCTCACACCAGTTAGAATGGCGATCATTAAAAGGTCAGGAAACAACAGGTGCTGGAGAGGATGTGGAGAAATAGGAATGCTTTTACACTGTTGGTGAGACTGTAAACTAGTTCAACCATTGTGGAAGACAGTGTGGCGATTCCTCAAGGATCTAGAACTAGAAATACCATTTGACCCAGCCATCCCATTACTGGGTATATACCCAAAGGATTATAAATCATGCTGCTATAATGCCACATGCACACGTATGTTTATTGCAGCACTATTCACAATAGCAAAGACTTGGAACCAAACCAAATGTCCATCAATGATAGACTGGATTAAGAAAATGTTGCACATATACACCATGGAATACTATGCAGCCATTAAAAAGGATGAGTTCATGTCCTTTGTAGGGACATGGATGAAGCTGGAAACCATCATTCTCAGCAAACTATCGTGAGGACAAAAAACCAAACACCGCATATTCTCACTCATAGGTGGGAATTGAACAATGAGAACATTTGGACACAGGAAGGGGAGTATCACACACTGGGGCCTGTTGTGGGGTGGGGAGTGGGGGAGGGATAGCATTAGGAGATATACCTAATGTAAATGACGAGTTAATGGGTGCAGCACACCAACATGACATGGCACATGTATACATATGTAACAAACCTGCACGTTGTGCACATGTACCCTAGAACTTAAAGTATAATTAAATAAAAATATATATATATATTATGGCCAATATATGGAAATTTGCTTCCTTACTAAGAAAGGAAAATTCACATTTTTGAATTAACAACTTTGAAGGCTGAAACTGTCAAATGTTCATGAAAGTCCTATTTGTATTAAGAAGAAAATATATATTTAAATATAAATATTAAAAACAAACCAAATTTCAGATAAGCAGGAGAAACAAATTCTACAGGAACCAGTATTGACTCTCTCAATTAAACAAAGCCAAGTTTTCAAAGCTTGGTTGTTTTATAAGTGCTCTCTAATTAAAATAAATTAAAATAAATAAAATAAAATAAAATAAATTAAAATAAGTGCTCTAATTAACATTCCAGTTATTATCCTGATTCTTTTTTTTTCTTTTTTTTTTTTGAGAAGGAGTTTCACTCTTGTTTCCCAGGCTGGAGTGCAATGGCATATTTTCCTGATTCTTAAAGTCTCATCACACGTGGGCAAGTTTGACAATCCCATTTGAATATAATCATCTTGCCCATAGGAACCAGGATACATACATTAACAATTGTCATCAGTTACAAGGAGACCCAGGGAGGTGGGTATGAGTTGTCTCATGAAAGGAAGCACTGTTAGAAGAAAAACTGCCAAAGGTGAGGGCTCCCACTACAATTGGGCTGGCCAGGTGTACTCTTTAAATAAAGAATACCACATTCATTAGGCTGGGCACCGCTCCCAAACAGAGAACTTATTTTCTCTTTTCCTATGGTCTTCTCACAACTTTTAGTAAACTTTCAGTTAATAGTAATTGTCTGTAAACTGATTGACTACAATTTTATATTATAAATATATGTATGGAATATTATAATTTTAATCCAACTTGATATATTTTGAAAAAGAAATGTCACATATACAACTAGAAATATTAAAAGAAATAAAAGAGTAAATTTTTAAACTATTCATTACATACAGATAGTTGATATTTATCAATACTTTTTTTTACTGTATTTTTTTCTTTTAAAATATGTCATTGACAAGTAAAGAATGTATATATTCAAGGTGTAATGATGACTTAATATACCTTGTATAATGATCATTACAGTCAAATTAATGAACACATCCATTACAACATTTTAATGAAATAAAGTAAATTATGAAAATTTCCACCAGTTCCACAGGTTTTATATTAGATGGTTTCCCACGATATCCAGAAGAGGCCCAGTTTTTGGGAGATCGTGGATTTTTCCCAGATGCAGCTGTTTTTATACAAGTTGATGATCAAGATATTTTTGATCGCCTCCTTCCTGCCCAAATTGAAAAGTGGAAACTAAAACAAAAGAAGAAATTAGAAAGGAAGAAACTGATCAAAGACATGAAGGCAAAAATCAGGGTATGTATCTAGCAAAAATGCATTGAATAAATCTGTTCAGCATCTGTTTAGTGATCTATTATAAAGTGATCTTCACAAAAAATATAGTATTCTAATTTTAATACCACAGTAAGCATGAAATATTTTTCATCGAATATTAAGACTATAATAAGAGTTAAGAGTTATTTCAGGCTTTTGTGGTGATCAATGTGTTAATGCTTCTCTCTTTATGGCAAATGAAAGGTAGTGGTACTGCCAAGACTTCCCTCTCCCAGACATGGGAGCAAAGTGGAAGAGGTAACAAACAGAGATTTGAAACACAAAGAAGTAAAATTTCAGAGGTCTTTTTCGCTGCCCCTGGAGCGATGACACCATCCATCAAAGACATGTGAGCCTATAGTGAAACCAGACCAAATTAGGTTAGAACATTGTACCTAAACCTACATTCTGAGGAGTATTCCATAAGATGTTCAAAAGTGTCACAGGGAACCAGCAATTCCACTCCTGGGAATGTATCTAACAGAAATGAAAATATATGTCCACATAAAAAGTTATATGTGAATGTTCATAACCATTATTCATAATAACCAGAAAGTAGAAACAACCCAAATCATCAGCTGATGAATAGAAAAATAAAAGGTGGTATATCCTTAGAATTGAAAAACTACTCAGCATTAAGAAGGAATGACCTATTGATACATCCTGTAACATGGATAAAAATCAAAACCATTGTGCTGAGTGACAGAAGCCAGGCAAAACAGGAGTGCATCCCGTACAATTCCATTTACATGACATGCCCTGAAAAGGCAAACCTGTAAGTCTAGGCTGAGGTAGAAAGAATGGGCTTTTGAGTCTGGACCTAGGATGGCCCAGATGAAGCATGAGAGCAGTGTTAAACGTCTGAAGGGCTTTCATACCGAAGAGAGCTTGGAGGTACTCCACGTGGCCTCAAGGGAAAGAACTACCATTGGTAGGAGGAAGGTACAGGGAAAGTATATTTCATTCTTAGCAAGACATTTCAAAAAGAATCAAGACTGAAGGCAGGGAGCTCCTTGCCAATAAATAAGCATAAACTAGGCGAACATTTGGCAGGGGAGAATGGAAAAATGTGTCAGAGAGCTCATCTATTAATTTCAATTCTGAGATACTAAGACTTAAATTATGTAATACATTCTCACATCTTAACACCAATTAAATTACAGACTGCCAAAGTGTTAAAACCAAGCAGTTCCTCTTTCATTGCTCAGACATCGTTTTCAAATTCTTTTCATCTTGGGGTTAGCCAGAGGAAATCCCTTCAAGGCCATTGCCATCCATTCCTCTCCCTCACCACACTAAGGTTGCATGTCCCAGGCCATCACTGGTCTGCACAGTATCAAGACAGGCAGAGTTCTTAGCCATCTGAGAACTATGGATGTGAGGAGGGAGACGTGGGAAGATACGTGGCTCCACACTGTTCTTGATGACGTTCAGGCCAAACTGTCTGCTATGCGAGAGATTCTGTAAGTATGAGAATGGAAAAGAAAGAGCCAAAGATGAGAGCCTACCAAAGCACATTCATATGTTGTCTCACTGTGGGGCCTGGAATATCTAGGCCAGTGCTAACACAGAAATCTCCGTGATGACAGAAATGTCCTAGATCTGTGCTGTCCTGTACAGGAGCCAGTAGCCGCAGTGGCTGTTGAGCACTTAAAATGTGATTAGTGTGACTGAAAAATCAAATGTTTAATTTTGTTTAATTTTAATATAAATAGCCACACACAGCTAGTGGCTGTTGTACTGGACAGAACAGCTGTAGGGCAATGAAGCCACATCCTAGATATCACATGCTTTAAGAATTTTAGGGACCTAGAATAGGAAAGCAGCAGGTTTCTGGAGCTAGTTTATCACCCCAGGCATTTGCCCCTTCCTTTCCTCACCCAATAACTCTATCTCAGTTCAGAGCTTTCTTGGCTGACACCAGCGCTCCTACAGTGACCTAATTGTCCTCCCTGGCTTCATCTCTCTGCCTTCCAGACCATCCTTCTGACTACCTCCACACGAATTTTCCTAAAACTCCATTTTGATCAAGCCACCCCATTAAGGTCTGAATTCTCAATCTTATCCCAAATTCTCTAATTTTTTTCTCAGTATTTCTCAAATACAAACCCTTCTCTGCAGCAGCCACCACATTGTATGCTTTGGCAATCCCGTATCTGGTAGTTTCTTTTCTTTTCTTTTCTTTTCTTTTGAGACGGAGTCTGACTCTATCGCTAGGCTAGAATGCAGTGGCGCAATCTCAGCTCATTGCAACCTCCGCCACTTGGGTTCAAGCGATTCTCCTGCCTCAGCCTCCCAAGTAGCTGGGACTACAGGCATGCACCACCATGCCCAGCTAATTTTTGTATTTTTAGTATAGACGGGGTTTCACCATGTTGGCCAGGTCAACAGATCGAGACCATATCTGGTAGTTTCTAAAAGCATCCTCACACTAATTGTGTGATATTACGTGAGTTAAACTCTGAATTTCTGTTAACTCACCTCTAGAGTGGAGTAATGCCTTGCAGATATGTTTTGAGCAGAAAGTGAAAGAATATATATTATAGTGCTCAGGACAGTGCTGCCATCTGGGAGATGTACAATAATTAGTTAAACCTCACTGACTATTTGAGTGAAAGGAGCAGAGGAAAAGTAGACTCGGAATGTGTATGAGTGCTATTGTGTATAGTTTGCAATTTTTTGGTAATACAGTGGTCTTTATGTTTTATGAAAACACAAAAGAGACTATGTTTTCACAACTCCACATTTAAAGAACCTATGGTAAAAATATGTTTTTATAAAATGAAATAATGGAAGTTTTTGTAAATTCTCACCAGTTAAGAGCCATAGAATCTTTCTGGGGCTCATAAACCAAATGAATTTTATTCAGTTCAGTTTTATAATTCTATCTACAAATAATTCTTGCATGCCTACAAGGCATAAGTTCTCAGGAATGTGTACTCAATAGCAACCAGATGAAAGCACCCAGGTTCTGCTCATCTGCACCAGAGCCCCAGAGCATGTCCTCAGGCACCACTCTATCTTCCCGGTATTTAAAGGGAGACCAGTTTACAGAGTCCTGAGCCAATAAGCCCCCAAACCTGAAGAAAGCAGATTAGTTTTCATGGAGACCTTGGAGACCTATCAAAGGGGATCCATTGTGTTAGATTTAGAGGATTCTGGGAAGGTTGGAGGACTATCTATATATCAAGTCTGTGACTGTCTGCCAACCACATACACTTTCCCCATGTGGACATATGTATTTTTAGGTTTGTTAGGCCAGGGGTTCCCAACCCTTGGGCCATGGATGGATACCAGTCTGTGGCCTATGAGGAACCAGGCCACACAGCAGGAGGTGAGCAGTGAGTGGGCAAGTGAGTGAAGCTTCATCTGTATTTACAGCCGCTCCCCATCACTCACATTACTACCTGAGCTCTGCCTCTGGTCAGATCAGCAGCACATTAGATTCTTATAGGAGCACAAACCGTATTGTTAATTGTGCATGCAAGGGATCTAGGTTGCACACTCATGAGAATCTAATGCCTGATGATCTGTCACTATCTCCCATCACCTCCAGATGGGACCATGTAGTTGCAGGAAAACAAGTTTAGGGCCCCCACTGATTCTACATTATGGTGAGTTGTAAAATTATTTCTTTGGATATTACAATGTAATAATAATAGAAATAAAGTGCACAATAAATGTCATGAGCTTGAGTCATCCCAAAACAATCCCCATCTTCGGTCCATGGAAAATTGTCTTCTGTGAAACCAGTCCCTCATGCCAAAATGGTTGGGGATCGCTATGGTAGGCTATTTAATAGTGTGTTAAAAGCTTACCATTTTCAGTGAATTGCCTCCACGTATTTCCCTATTTCCTGCCACCAAAACCAAACAAACAAATGAGCGATAAATTTTGAAAAGGAGTTCTAAACTTTGTGGAAAGAGTAACTGACCCCAAGTGCTGTTTATCCCTCTGGAAGAAAATAGCTGATCAAGAGGTTCAGAGGTACAAGGATGCAAGCCAAGCAACATGATTACCGCCATCACATCCTTTCCTGCAAAGTTCACTGTGCTTCTGCCCAAACGTTATTCCTACTTTATATAAAAATATATGAATACAGAGAAAGCCACTTTTATCATTCTCCATTACAATTTTTTAATGTCTCTTTCTTTAACAGGTTGATACGATTGCTAAAAGAAGGGCTGAACTTATATTAGAGAGAGATAAAAAAAGGAGGGAGGTAAGTAGTTTTGTTTTTTTTTTCAAAACAGGGTCTCACTCTGTTGCCCAGGGCAGGGTACAGTGGCACAATCATAGCTCACTGCAACCTCGAACTCCTGGGCTCAAGGGATCCTCCCACCTCAGCCTCTCAAAGTGCTAGGATTACAGGCATGAGCCATCACACCCAGCCTTTGCCTTCTGGCTTAAGACACTCTTGTAACAGCTTTTCAAGGCTGACCCTCTTGTAACCTGATTTCCATCTGTATAAAAATGTCCAGCCAAACAAGGAGAAGAGAAAAAGAGGAATATCAGAAAATACAACTTGCTACAAGTGCAACCACATGTCACCCTGGTGTGAATATGCTGGACTTCCGTACAGAGGACTGCTGATATTGTACAGTGCAACTGCAACTGCAACTGCAGGCACAAAGCATTGCAGAAGCGGGGCCAAAGTAATTGTTGCTTTGTCAAAACAAAATATTCACAACCAAAAGTAGATAAGAAAAAACCATTGGACTGAGAAAATTATGGCACCATGTAAGAATAAGAACCCTCCTCTTAATTATTTGCCTCGATTTTCATTCATTTATTCATTCAGTCCATCAGCAAACATTAATTGAGCTTTGTGTCTGACACTGTTTCAAATACTGGCAAATCAGCCATGAGCAAAACTTACAGAAATCGTAGCCTCATTATAATGCTCATTTCTCTCATCAAACATGTTCTGAAAGTTTGCTCTGTTTAAGGTGTCATGCTAATGTTTAGGATCAAAAAGATGTCCTAACCTGGAATTAAGTACAGTTAACTACTTTAAGCCCTTGGGAGTCCCTAGTGGTCCCCTTCTGAATCACTTCAAATGTTTCAGCAGTGAAGGAGTCCAGGCTTTGCAGTTAAACACACCTACGCAGTATCCCTTCTCCAGTTCTCACTGACTTTGTTCACTGCTCTCCAGTGCCTGGTGGAGTGCTGACACATGTGACATTCAACTTCAGTTGTTTCGCTGAGGTTGTATAACATTGAGTAAGTCACTTAGCCTCTGTAAACCTAGGGCTTTTTATTGTAAAATGGGAAAAATTAATACATTTAGTTTCCCTAATTAATAATAATTTAATTTCCCTTTGCTACTCTTCAGTTAAATCTTCTTTTCTTAAGAATTAATTTTCAGGATAAACTTTAAATGTTCTTTATAATTTTTTCATTTGTTAACATTAGAATGGTGTGATTTCTTCTGATTTTTCATTCGGAAATTCAATATTCTATGTAGAGGTTAAATAGGATTTTGTAAGTCAGCTCTCCTGAGACTTCATGTTTGTAAAACTGTCTGTGTATCCCACAAAACTGATACAAACAAACTCGCAGCACAACTCCTGAGATGTTTGATGAATAAAAAATTAAAACTGTATGTGGGGTTTTTTTTTTCCAACTCCTTTGATGGAAATTTTATATGTCCT
Source organism: Homo sapiens (assembly GCF_000001405.40). Lineage (NCBI taxonomy): Eukaryota > Metazoa > Chordata > Mammalia > Primates > Hominidae > Homo > Homo sapiens. The sequence goes on along the minus strand of NC_000006.12, from coordinate 109,527,578 downwards.
GCTACTGACTCAGACAATAAAGTAGACAAAATATAGCATCTCAGGGATGAGTTAGTGTGCTTGTTACTATTGGTCAGTGTGCCACCCTAAGTGGCATCCATCCCGACTCCACATCTATACTGGAGCTCACTTCCATGAACAGATCCAGGGGGGTTTCTCACATTTGCCTTCTTATGCAGAATATGCAGTTCTGTGACTTGCCTTTTTCAGACTAACTGGGGAATCCCTGGCGGAGAAAGCCCTTCCCAGGTTTGTCTTCTTGCCCTAAACAAAATCATTGTCTTTACTGTCTTTTTAGCACTGAATGGGACATTTCCAACATTAGAAATCACTTCAATATCCCAGTCATTACTTGCATTAATTTCATAGGGAAATGTCGCCATCTTGTGGACCTGTAGTCTCAGAATGTGACTGTAAGGCAGCCCCTGGCCTTGCTTGTAATCCTCCCTCTCTTCCTGTCCCCTGGCTCCGTCTCTGGGTCTCCATTAGGTGTTGGGTAGCCACTGGGAGGTGAAAGCAAGGGAGGGCCAGGACAGGAAGCCCGGGGAGCAAGTGAGCACAGTGTCAGACTACGCCTCGGAGAAGAGTAATAGAGACACATTGTTCATAGGTACTGAGGGAAGGCCCAAGTCAGGGTCCACATGAGGTTGAAACAAGGGTCTGGACCAAGTACCAAGCCAAAACCATCTCCAGGATCCTCTAGGGAGAAGACAGAGTGTTTAGACCCAAAGGTTGATACACAGAGGGCTCTTCAGGTTGAAACAGCAAGCAAAAGTGTGCATGGGTATACGGGTTGGAGACAGATTCAAAGCACTGAAAACCAAGTAGTTCACAATAGCTGCTCCACAGGCAGTGTCAGTCACACCACAGCATAATAAAGAAATTTGGGATCTAGATAATGAGCACCTGTGTCAGGAAGCCCTGAGAACTCTGACAGGTCTTTTACTTCTTCTTCCATTTCTTCATGCTTTCCTCTTCCGTCACTTCTCTAATCATAAAAAAATCCATCGCTCTCCTGGCACAAGCTTCTGTCCAGATGTAGCTTCCCCTGTCTTCCCCTACCAGTAGACAGTTGTAACACAGCTTACCCCAAATCTAGTCCTGTCTCTCTGAGACTATGAATTTATTTGCTTTCTGCTTGTCCCCTCTGTTTTCTGTTTCTCTGTTCCCCTTTTCCGGCCTTCCTTGGATTATTTGAATATATTTTAGAAATTCATTTTAATTATCTATTGCCTTTTTTTCTTTTGAAAAGTGTGTAAAATTTTTATTTTATTTTTTCTTTTTCAATTTGTATTTTAGGTTCAGAGGGTACATGTGCAGGTTTGTTACGTGGGTAAATTGCATGTTGCCGGGGTTTGGTGTACAAATAATTTTGTCACCCAGGTAGTGAGCATAGTACTCAATAGGTAGTGTTTTGACCCTCACTCTCCTCCTACCCTCTACCCTCAAGTAGGCCCCAGTGTCTTTTGTTCTCCTCTTTGTGTCCATGTGCACTCAAAGTTTAGCTCCCACTTATGAGAACATGCAGTAGTTGGTTTTCTGTTCCTGTGTTAACTTGCTTGGGATAATGGACTCCAGCTCCATCCATGTTGCTGCAAAAGATATGAATTCATTCTTTTTTATGGCTGCATGGTATTCCATGGTATATATGTACCACATTTTCTTTATCCAGTCCACCATTAATGGGCATCTAGGTTGATTGCATGTCTTTGCTATTGTGAGTAGTGCACTGCATGTGTGCATGTGACTTTTTAGTAGAACGATTTCTATTCCTTTGGGTGTATACCCATTAATGGGATTGCTGAGTTAAATGGTAGTTCTAAGTGCTTTGATAAATCTCCAAACTGCTTTTCACAGTGGCTGAACTAATTTACATTCCCACCAACATTTCCTTTTCTTCATAACCTCACTAACATCTGTTATTTTCTGACTTTTCAATAATAGTCATTCTGACTGGCATGAGATAAGACACCACTGTGTTTTCGATTTGCATTTCTCTAATGAGTAGTGACATTGAGCATTTTTTCATATGCTCGTTGGCTGTGTCTATGTTTTCTTTTAAGTGTCTGTTTATGTCTTGTGCCCATTTTTTAATGGGGTTGTTGTTTTGGGCTTGTTGATTTGTTTAAGTTCCTTATAGATTCTGGATATTAGACTTATGTTGTACGCATAGTTTGCAAATATTTTCTCCCATTCTGTTGGTTGACTGTTTCTTCTGTTGATAGTTTCTTTTGCGTGAAAAAGCTCTTTAGTTTAATTAGGTCCCACTTGTCAATTTTTGTTTCTGTTGCAATTGCTTTTGGAGACTTTGTCATAAAATATTTGTCCAGAACCAAAACAGCATGGTACTGGTACAAAAACAGATACATAGAGCAATGGAACTCAGAAATAAAGCTGCACACCTACAATCATCTGATCTTCGACAAGGTCGACAATAACAAGCAATGGGGAAATGACTCCCTAGTAAATAAATGGTGCTGGGATAACTGGTTATCCATATGCAGAAGAATGAACCTGGACCCCTTTCTTTTACCATATACAAAAATCAAAATGGATTAAAGATTTAAATGTAAGACCTGAAACCATAAAAACCCTAGAAGAAAATCTATTGCCTTTTTAAGTATAACTCTATGCTTCGTTTTTTAGTAGTTATGCTAGAATTACAAACACATCCTTGGCTTTTCACATTCTACTTAGGGTCAATATTATTCAATGTAATATTGTAAAAACCTTAGAACTGTCTAGCTCCATTTGCCCCACCCATCTCCAACCCACTAACATCCTTTATGCTCTAGTTGTGATGTGTTTTACAACTGAATACATTACAACCCTCAAAAGAAATAGTTCTAATGTTTATATTAAATAGTCACATGTATTTTCAAAAAATTAATAGGAAAGTAAGCCTTGTTTTCCATTTATCCAGATATTTACTATTTCTGATGTTCTTCATTCATTCCTCTGGTATGATGGAAATCAGAAGGATGGGAATGCTGGACATCTGAATTATTGTTCACCTATTGTCTTTCTTTTCTCTGTATCTTTGCTTTTCAACAGTTTGGTTATGGTGTACCTACATATCATTTTCTTCATATTTAGTTTGGAGTTCACTAAGCTTCTTTAATCTGTAAATTTGTGTCTTTCACTAAATTTGGAGAAACTTTAGACATTATTTCTTTAGACATTTTTTCTGCCTCATTTACTCTTTGTCTTCTCCTTATAGTACCCCAGTTATACATAGGTTAGACCTTTGCTGTTGTTCCACATGTCCTGGGAACTTTGTTGATTTTTTTCCATCTTTTTTCTCTCTCTTCTTTAAGGTAAATAGTTTAAGCCCAACCAACAATTTTTTTAATTTCAAATATTGTATTTTTAGTTCTAAAATTTCCATTTGGTTTGTTTCTATATTTTCTATTTCTCTCCTGAGATTTCCTATCTGTTCATTTATTATAAGTGTATTTTCCTTTTCCTCATTGATCATTGTAATAATAACTGCTTTAAAAGTTCTTGTTTGGTGATCCTAACACCTGGGCTGGGTATTTGACAATTATCTTTCTTTATGAGGATGGGTCAAATTTTCATAATTCTTCATATTTTGAGTAACTTTGGATTATGTTCTAGAATTGTAAATGTTATATTGTGGGGATTCTGGACTTTGTTATGTACCTCCAAAGAGAACTGAGGTTTTTGTTTTAGCAGGCAATTAACTTGGTAAGATAAACTTTAAAATTCTGTCATGCCTGCAATGAATGGCAGCTCAGTGTATACTGTTCTTGAACCGCCCATATGTACATGGTTCACAGGCTAGCCAGAGTCTTGGACAAATTGACTTTGGTATTTCCTTCTCTGGCTCTCTCATCTCTGGCATTTACCCTCACTCTCCAGTGGCCCTGGTTTTGGCTCCTTTCTCTGGTTGCTCCATCCAGAAAGTCAGTTGGCTTTCTACCAAAGTTTTAGTCACACCAAACCACCACTACTCTGAAACTGCCCTCTCGGCAAATGAACAAAATCAGAAAACTCACCCTATGCCAGTTGCTTCCTCCAAATTTTGACTGCTCTTCAAAATCTGCTTTTCTTGCTCCAAAGACCTCAAAAATAATAGAGAGAGAGGAGTGTTGTTTACAGTTTATTATTATCTGCTAGAGGTTAAATAAACTTATTTCATCATATTTGAGGCAGATCTTCAAGGCCATGAAGTTTAGAATATACATCTTCCAACTTGAGGACTAAGAGATGCGTGATGTCAGGGAAAACAACACTGTTCTACAAGATTAAATGACCATCTACAGAAAAATGAAAAAAAAAATTTCCCTAGGAAGAATTAACCTGAGAGTCTCTTAGATGATCTTTTGTGAAGATTTTTAGGATATTTTTAGGATTTTTTTAAAATCAACATTGTACTACAGGTGTGAGCCAAAGCAAAGTAAGAAAAAGAAATAGCATACATATTAAAAAGTAAGAATAAAACTCATTATTTGTATATAATTTGAATATCTAGAAAGTGTAAGAGGGTAAATTGCAGAAAAATTCCTTAAGGTCACCTCTACCAGCCCTTCACTTAACAGCGACATTTGCCCCATAAAGAAAAAAGGTAAATCATTTCTAAAGGGATGAAATAATCTGTCTGGAAGATTCTAGGTCCACAGAATGTTGGTTGATACCTTTTATTTTTGGGGCAAGATCCAGGCTTCCTGCATCTTCTCATCTTCACATCTTAAATAGAAGTGTGATACAACATTACCTGCTCATATACAGACAGCATGCAGTTGCTCTGAACTAATCAATTTAATCCTTCATTTATAAAAATGAATAGCCAACCAAGGGTTACCATATACTTGAGGAAAATCACCAACAAAAGGAAAAACCAACATAAACAAACAGAACAATTGATCATAAAACAAGTGGACAACCCAGGAAACATCATTAAATATTAAAAGAATTTCACTTTCTCTCAGAAAATTCAAGAAGAAACTTGTATCCATAAAACAGGAAGAAGATGCTATAAAAAGTGAGAGAACAAAAAAGAGTTAATGAAAACTAAAATAAGTTAAAAGTTAAATTGAGAAAAAGGAAAAGTCCAAGAAGTTTCTCAAATATAAAACAAAGTGCAAGAGATAGGAAATACAAAAGAAAAAAACTGAAGATCTATGAGGTCAATCCAGGAAGGTCAACATCCAATATGCATTTCAAACAATGGAAACAGAAAATAAAGAAGGAAATATTCTAAGAAATGTTAGAAGAAAAGTTCCCAGTATTGAAGAGAGCAGGAGGTCTTCAAATTGAAAGGGCCCATGGAATGCCAAGCAGAATAAATAAAAAGAAATGTGCATTAGACACATCCTTATGAAATTTGAGATTGGCGGGTATAAAGAGAAGCTCCTACTTGTTTCTAAAATTTTAAAAGGATATCTACAAAGGAATGGAGGTAAGACTTGTATCAGACTTCTCAGTAACAATACTGGATAGTAAAAGACAAAGACAACACTTGTAAAATTCTAAGTGAAAATGGTTTTCAGCCTAGAACTCTGTACTTAGCCAAACTGTTTATAATGAGAGAAATGAAATGGAAAAATTTTCAGATACTTAAGATCAGTGAAAATTAGCCTCTTTTATATTCTTCCTGAAAAGAGTAGCCAATTGATATGGTGAATAACACTGCTTCTGCTCACAAAATAAACAACAATAAAACAAACGAAAAAACCCTAGAAACATGGGGGTGGGGAGAGACAATAAGAGTATTATTCAAATATGGGGCAAATGTAATTGTAGCATGATTTTGAATAAGAAGAAAAAATGATGCTTGGTCTTGATACTAGAAACATTCTACTTAGAATAGTGCATGTTTCTTGATACAGAATTGCATTCCTTGTATTACTAACTCCAGCTGTAGTGAATAAGGGTTATGTAATTTAACATAGCAGGTGCTGTTTATTGGATTTCCATATTCAGAATCAATCAAATGCTGTTTGCTTACTTTTAATTTTTAGAATCAATTTCTACATGAAGCACCAAATACTGATCTCCAATTATAGGACAGGGACATAAATGTAGTAATATTGGAGACAAAATACTTAGAAACTGAAGAAAGGGAGACTTGGAAGGAAGAGTAAGGACATCTTCTTGATGGGGAATCAAAACAGACATCTAAAGAGGACAGCTCAATAAAACAGAGATTTGGAGATAATATTTAAAGTTATAAGCACTCGATTACAAAATAAAGAGCAAAAATATGACTAAAACTGGGCAACAGGCAGAAAGAGGAGTGATGTAAGTTAGCTAAATTCCTCATCATCACTGGCAGGAAAGAGGAACCAAATATCACAAGGGTCAAAAGAGATTACCGTTTACTGTTTGTTTTGTTACTTTCTAAACTGGTTTCTATAGAAAAAACACACATTTTTAAAAGAGAAGAATGATTAAATGAACTGTGATACTATGAAATACTATGTGGCTGTTAAAAATATTAAGATGCAAAGAACAATCAGTGAAGAGAAAGAAACGCATCCAAATAAGAAAAGAAGTTAAACTATCTCTTTACTGACAATATAATTCTATACCTGTAAAACCCTAAAGACTCTGCCAAAAGGTCACTGAAACTAATAAACAACTTCAGTAAAATTTCAGGATACAAAAATCAATGCACAAAATTAGTTGCCTTTATACTAGTAACATTTAAGCTTAGAGCCAAATCAAGAATGCAATCCCATTTACAATAGCCACCAAAAGAATAAAATACCTAAGAGTACAGCTAACCAAGGAAGTGAAAAATCTCTCCAAGGAGAACTACAAAACACTGCTGAAAGAAATCAGAGACAACACAAAACAAATGAAAAAACATTTCATACTCATGGACTGGAAGAATCAGTATTGTTAAAATGGCCATACTATTCAATCTACAAATTCAATGGTATTCCTATCAAACTACCAATAACATCCTTCACAGATTTTTTAAACTATTCTAAAATTCATATGGAACCAAAACAGAAGCCCCAAATAGCCAAAACAATCCCAAGAAAAAAGAAGCCAGAGGCATCACACTACCTAATTTTATACTCTTAGATTACAGTAATCAAAACAGCATGATACCAGTACAAAAACAGACACATAGACCAATGGAACAGAATACAAAACTCAGAAACAAAGCTATACACCTACAACCATCTGATCAACAAGGCCAACAACAACAACAAAAAATAATAGAGAAAGGATACCCTATTCAATAAATGGTGCCAGGTTAGCTGGCTATTCATATGCAGAAGAATGAAACTGGATGCCTACCTTTCACCATATAAAACAATTAACTCAAGATAAATTAAAGATGTAAATGTGAGACCTCAGACTATATGATTCCTAGAAGAAAACCTGGGAAACACCATTCTGGACATTGGCTTTGGGAAATAATTATGACTAGGTCCTCAAAAGTAATTGTACCAAAAACAAAAATTGACAAGTGGGAGCTTAGCTCCCACAAGGACCTAAGACTATGGAGCTTCTGCACAGCAAAAGAAACTATCAACAGAATAAACAGGCAACCTAAAGAATAGGAGAAAATATTCACAAACTATGCATCTGACAAAGGTTAATATTCCAAATCTATAAGGAACTTAAACAATTGAACAAGCAAAAACCAAATAACCCCATTAAAAAGTGGGCAAAAGGTGTGAACAGACACTTTTCAAAAGAAGACATACATGCAGCCAACATCTGAACAAATGCTCAGTGTCACTAATCATCAGAGAAATGCAAATCAAAACCACAGTGAGATACCATCTCACACCAGTCAGAATGGCTATTTTTTTTTTTTTTTGAGACAGGATGGAGTGCAGTGGCACCATCACAGCTCACTGCAGCCTCAACCTCCAGGGCTCAAGCAGTCCTCCTGTCTCAGCCTCCAAGTAGCTGGGACTGCAGATAGAAACACAGTTAGCTATTTTTTTATTTTTTACTTTCGGAGAGACAGGGTTTAACCATTTTGCCCAGGCTGTTTTCAAACTCCTGGTCTCAAGCAATCTGCCAGCCTCAGCCTCCCAAAGTGCTGGAATCACAGGTATGAACCACCATGCCTGACCTAGAATGGCTATTATTAAAAAGTCAAAAAACAACAGATACTAGTGAAGCTGCAAAGAAAAGGGAATACTTATACACTCTTGAGGGGAATGTAAATTAGCTGAGCCACTGTGGAAGGCAGTTTGAAGATTTCTCAGATAACTCAAAACAGAAATACCATTCGACCCAACAATCCCATTACTGGGTATATATACAAAAGAAAATAAATTGTTCTACCAAAAATACACATCCACTCATATGTTCATCATAGCCCTATTCACAATAGCAAAGACATGGAATTAACATAGGGGCTCATCAGTGGTGGACTGGGTAAAGGAAATGTGCTACATATGTATAATACCGTAGAATACTACATGACCATAAAAAAGAACAAAGTCATATCCTTTGCAGCAATGTGGATGCAGCTGGAAGCCATTATCCTGAGCAAATTAACACAGGAACAGAAAACCAAATACCCTGTATTCTCATTTATAAGTAGGAGCTAAACACTGGGTACTCATGGACATAAAGATGGCAATAATAGACACTCAGAACACCTAGAAGGAGGAGGGTTGGGGAGAGGGTTGAAAAAATAACTATTGAGTACTATGCTGACTATCCGGGTGACACAATCAATCATACCCCAAACTTCAGCATCATGCAATATACCCTTGTAACAAGCCTGCACACGTACCCCGAATCTAAAATAAAAGCTGAAATTTTTTTTAATTCATTGAAAAAAAATTGAGATGTATGTTCTGATATGGAAAGAAATTTAAATATATTGCTAATTTTTTTAAAGTTGTAGAAAATAAAATAATCCCATTTATGTTTAAAATATGATGTAATTAAATATATATATAGTAAAACATTTGTAAGGATCCTAACCAAATTGTTAACCAAAATTAATTCCAGGTAGGAGGGTAGAAATAGAGATAGGAGTGTGATGAAAGACTTCTACTTTTTAATCTTATACAATACTATATAATTTAATTTCTTTATAATAAAAATGAATTTCTTTTTAAAATTGTACAATTTCAATTTTTAATAAAAAGTTGTAGGAGCTATTCAGTGGAGCCAGAGAGGTGAGAACAAGTTCATCTGGAACTAAGATGTCCCAGCTTGTAGTGTAGACCTATCCCACTATACTTGCAAAGATCCTTAGAAAATTAAATATCAGGATAGAAAATTGACAAGATATAATAAAAAGGAACAAGTCGTAAGGAGGCTAAATGATCTGAAACTTCTTTAAAACGAACCAGAACTGAAAAACCCTGCTCCATAGCCAAGCTCCTTTTGGAGAAAGGGGAGCTTGGGCAGGAGCAGGAATGGGTCCTGATGCTCTCATCTTCCTCCCTGCCCTCACACACCCGAATCCCATCTCCAGGCACTTTTCACTAAACTAAATGACCAGAGGCCTGGTCATTTAGAAAGATTAGGAAGTAGCCAGAAGATTGCAGGCAAGAGACAATGTGAAGGCAGACAGTGGAGAGGGGCCACAAGGGAGGGAGTGTTGAGCATTATTTAGGATTACAGTCCTTTGTAACCCCCCATCCCTTCCCACCCAGGACTCTCATCCTGGGAGTCTAGATAACTCCCAGGTTTCAGGCTGGAGGGCAGTTCTCCAACTGAAACAAGGAATACTACAGGGAGAACGGTGTGGAGGCAGTGCAGAGGATGATTATTATAGGGTTCAGTTTTGTGCAAAGTGAACTATAGCACTTAAAGCCTACACAATACGACTTAGTACCAATATCCTGTCATGGTCTTTAATAATCATTAATGTATTATTCTCGTTTTCTCAGATAGGCTATAGCCTCCGAAAAGGCATCTGCTGTTCTATTTGTACACTGCTTTACACAAAGTGACAATAATAGCTATAAGAGCATAATAATAGGTAACGTTCACATACTTACCATATGCCAGACATTTTTCTAACGGCTTTGCATGTATTAACTAATTTAATGCTCCCAGCAACCCTGTGAGATACTTTTATTATTCTTATTTTACAGGTAAGGAAACATCTTGTCCCAGTTAAGATAGCTAGTGTTTTATACTCTTTGAACTGCATTAAATATTGTTCCTGAAGACCATCAAAAACATGTAACATTTTGACAATCATAGACATAAATAACATTTAATATTTTGTCTCTGTATTTATTTATGGGACCACTTTGGGGCCAGAGTCTTGAAAGTATTAAAATTCTGAGTACCAAAGAAATTTTTAAACAATTTTTCCAAGATGGCAGGTTGGAGGCAGTGTTAGCATGCCTCCCCAACTTGGAAAGACAAAATAGGGTGTAGAGATACACACTGAACGTTTTTCAAAGAAGCAACACAGGAACTTAACAGGAAAACTGAAAGAAACCACAGACCCTTTGAAAGAAGCAGTGGGCTATAGCCTACACCAGGAGCCAGGCAGAAAACTGAGACAGTGAACCCGCTCCACATTGAGCACACTGCTACTACAACCAGCAACTGAGAAAGCCATCATCCAAAGACTACCACCAAGGAACTCAAGCACAGAGGCTTCACCAATGAAGGAACGCAGAAGTTGCAAGCAACTATAAACATAAAGTCACATCCTCAAGGAGAAAAAAAAGAAATTTTTAAAAACCAGTCAAATCCAAAATAAATTCAAAAATAATTAGAAGAAATAGTCTACCTAAATGAGAAGGAACCAGAAAAATAATTCTGGCAACGTGACAAAAAAGTGTTCTATAACACCCCCAAAAGTGTCAGATATTTAAAACCTTATTGCGTTACTAGATGAATGTCAACATGCAATACCAACCAATATCGAGCCATTACAAAATATTCCAGATGATTTGTTAATAGTGTCTTTTGTTACATATTTTATATGTATAGTAAAAGGGAATATTTTCTTCCTTAGAATGTTGTTAGAGATGATGAAGAGATTAGTGAGGAAGAACTTGAAGAAGACAATGATGATATTGAAAACATCCTTGAAGATGAGTTTCCAAAAGATGAGGAAGAGATGAGTGGCGAGGAAGATGAAGAACAGGAAACTGATGCAATTGAGCGCCTGAGAGGTGAACTAGGAGAAAAATTTGAAGCAGATACACATAATTTACAAATAATACAGGTTATTACTTTTCCTTTGCTTTTTATAATTCAAAAGTAATATTTGAGAATCAGACTAAAGCAATTTAGTTCATGCCATTTCTTTAAACATTTAAAAAATGTATATTTTAGGGCTGTATTTCCTTTTATCGGTATCATTTAACAATTATGCAATAAGTCCATAAATTAAGAGCAACGTGGAAGCCACAGAGGGTCAGAGTAAGTTTAGTCACCAACATGCAGCCACTTGGAAGCTGAAAAATATTTGTGTTCTGGACTGAAGTAGTCAGTCACCAGCAGTGTCTACATGCTGTGACTAAATACTACCAGCCTTTTTCTCACTAAATATATTTGTTTTTATGACTTTTCTTATCAGGATGAACTTGAGAGGTATTTGATACCAATAATTTCCATTAATGGAGCTCGGAGAAATCACATTGTACAATATACATTGAATATGAAACTGAAACCACTGGTGGAAAATCGTGCAAGCATTTTTGAGAAATGTCATCCAATACCAGCACCCCTTGCCCAGAAAATGCTCACCTTTACCTACAAGTATATAAGCTCATTCGGCTATTGGGACCCTGTAAAGGTAATTTCAGCAAACGCACCTGAAAGCCATGTTCCTTATTTATTTTTTTCAAAGGTATGTCTTTTTTAAAGGAAAAAGACTGGATAATTTCAAAAATTGTAAGTATTGTGTAGTAGTCTCATCTAGCTATAAAAATACTTTGGGATTTAAAATGGAATCATTAAACTTTCAGCTTTTCTTTTATCACCAACTGTGTAACATAGAGCAGACACCCCTACCTCCCCCTGAGTTTCTCCTTATCTCTAGCATTTACTCCCATCCATGAACTTCACTCTAGCCCAAGAATTATAATGTTGACACTACCATTGATCTGTAACAACTGTCTTGAGGTAGCTCTCAGGGAGGAGCAATATTGCCATACTGTTTCACACCTACTCTGTCAAGTTCAGGGATGGCTGACACTTGCCCATCTGATGCTATAAAAAGATATTCAAACGTAGCATTGATCAATTGCCCAGTCTTCATCATCACCAGTGCAAAGATGGGGCACCACTCCTCCAACTTCATTCCTACCCACACCTTAGGTTGCCTTTTATGGGTATTTTTCCCTTTCATGATAGCTCTTAATGTTTATGTGAGTGGGATTTGAACTACACAAAAATATAGAAGAGAACCCAGTGGGATTTGCCCTACTAGTATACCTCTAAAAGATAACCCAAGAACCCAATCGTATTAGTCATCTCTGGCTGCCGTTACAAAATACCACTTGGTAGCTTAAACAACAGAAATTATTTTCTCACAGTTCTAAAGGCTAAAAGTTCAAGATCAAGGTGCCAGCAGGGTTGGTTTTTCTGACAAGGCAAGACCTCTCTCCTTAACTTGCAGTTGGCCACCTTCTATCTGTGTCCCCACGTGGCCTTTTCTGTGTGCCCACCCTGATGTCTCTTCCTCCTCTTGTAAGGACACCAGTCCCACCAGATTCAGGTTCCATCCTTCTGACTTCATTTAACCTTAATTTCCTCCTTTATTAAAGGCCCTGTCTTCAAATATAGTCACTTGGGGTGCTAGGGCCTCAAACAGAAATTGAGGAGGTAAGGGAGAAACAATTCAATCCATAACATCACCTTAGGAATGGACCTCTTTGTGAGGATGAATTGGCCTGTGAATAAATGCAAACAACCTTAGGCTGTTTGACAGAAACATTCAGTATACACTAAACACACTATAAATGAAGTAGAAGGACTATAATTGTCATAAACTGAAGGCCAATTAAGAACTATTGCATTCATTACATACGGCTGTAAAATAATGTGTACTTTTCCACAGTTGTTTAATATTAACCTTTGATTATAATTAGTTTTCTTATTCTGTAAGGAATTTTTTTTTCTTATGTCACGAATTGTTTTTTTCAAATATGTTTCAGGGAAGTGCTGTAAAAATTCAAACTAACTTTCAAATTCAACTGTGTATATGTTGCAGCTAAGTGAAGGAGAGACAATCAAGCCAGTTGAAAATGCAGAGAATCCAATTTATCCTGTAATCCATCGTCAGTATATTTATTTTTTATCTAGTAAAGAAACAAAAGAAAAATTTATGAAGAACCCAATCAAATATATCCGCCAACCCAAACCTAAGCCTACTGTGCCCATTAGGATTATAATTGTGGGGCCTCCAAAATCTGGGAAAACTACAGGTGAGCGTATGTTTGCCTTTGTTTTCCTCAAGCATAAAAGAATCTGCTTGTACCCAATGCACATGGCAGGTCAATTCACCAAGACACTGGGTTGCAGCAGAAAAAGACATTTAATCGTAGGGTGGCTGAGTGAGGAGACAGGAGGAAATCTCCAATCCGTCTCCCTGAGGAATCTGGGGCTAGGGTTTTTAAGAGTTTTGGAGTGGGCTGAATTGAAGTGCAAAAATCATTGATTGGCTGAAGAATGCAGGGTGAAGTCATGGGACAGGGAGATGAAGAAACTGACTTCTCCTGCTGATTCGGTGGGGGTTTTAAACCTCCTGTTGGTGTCAGCTATTCTGCTGGCATTTAGGTTCTGCTTAAGGAATTCCTTAACAATAGCCTTATTATTCTAACATCAGAGATCCTATCTATCTTAAACAAAAGCCTTGTGCATCTGACATCAGAAATCCTATTTATAGGAATGATGGGGATGCCAGTGGTCAGTAACTACTGCTATGTGACTTTCAGTTACAAGGAAGTGGGTCAAAGGTGCAGCCTGATTCAGGCTTATTTTAACTGTATTTCTGTCTAGAATTCTTGTTAATCCTGTGAGAATGACTGAAAACTAGTGCCACTTCTTCAGAAAACCAACTATCAAGACTGACTCAAAACGAGATAGAAAACCTAAATAGACCAATAACCATCGAAGAGAAGGCATTCGAAAATATAACCCAACTCTGAAATGGCCCAGAATCAAATTGTTTTAGACAAAAATTATAGGAAATTTTCAAAGAACTAAAAACTCAAGAGATAATGCCTGTATTTTTATAAGCTCTCCCATAGGCAAGGGGAAAGAGTAAGTTTCCCAAGTTATTTTTATTTTCTTTTTTATTAAGGAATATGGTTCATACAGTCAAAAAGGCATATAGGATACAAATCCATTTTTTAATTAACATGACCCTAATATCAAAACCTAACCAAGACAATACAAGAAATTACAAACTAATATTCATAATTATAGTCAAATATGTTAAGTATATAAAGTATATGAAAATATTTTATAAATATAATTTACTATACTAGGCACAGTGGCTCATGCCTGTAATCCCAGCACTTTGGGAGGCCAAGGTGGGAGGATTACTTGAGCCCAGGAGTTCAGGACCAGCCTGGGTAACATAGTGAGACCTCATATCCATAAAAAAATTAAAACATTAGCTGGGAATGGTGGCACATGCCTGTAGTCCCAACTATTTAGGAGGCTGAGGTGGGAGGACCACTTGAGCCAAGGAAATTGAGGCTACAGTGAGCCATGATTGTGCCACTGTACTCCACCCTAGGCAACAGAGTGAGAGCCTGTCTCAAAACAAGTAATAATAGTAAATCAATTATCTTAATCATTTCTGGAAAGGCATTTGATAAACTATATTCCTGTAATGTTTTGTGTAACTTTGGACTTTAAGGTAAATAGTCCAAAACTTGGTTGGTTGTAGTATTTCAAGATGACATGATAACAACAAGAACAGTGGGTGGTCACAATGAGAACAGAATGGAAAGGGCAGATATAGGATACATTTCCAAGGAAAACAATAAGTCTTAATGACTGACTGAATAGAGAACAAAGAAGAGAGATAAGGGAATTTTATGTTCCAGCTCTTCAGATGAAAAGTTTATTTTGGCTTTATAAAGTTCTTAACATGACAAAAGAGTCTATAATTGTTACAGGAAAGGGGTCCAGAACCAAACCTCAAGAGAAGGTTCTTGGATCTCGTGCAAGAAAGAATTCAAGGCGAGTCCATAGAGTACAGTGAAAGCAAGTTTATTAGGAAAGTGAAGGAATGGCTACTCCATAGACACAGCAGCCCCCAGGGTTTCTGGTTGCCCATTTTTATGGTTATTTATTGATGATATGCTAAACAAGGGGTGGATTATTTATGTCTCCCCATTTTAGACCACATAGGGTAACTTCCTGATGTTGCCACGGCATTTGTAAACTGTCATGGCACTGGTGAGAGTGTGGCAGTGAGGACAACCAGAGGTCACTCTCATTGCCATCTTGGTTTTGGTGGGTTTTAGCAGGCTTCATTACTGCAATCTGTTTTATCAGCAAGGTCTTTATGACCTGTATCTTGTGCTGACCTTCTGTCTCTTCCTGTGACTTAGAATGCCTTAACTGTCTGGGAATGCAGCCCAGTATGTCTCAGCCTTATTTACCCAGCCCCTACTCAAGATGGAGTTGCTCTTGTTTGCACGCCTCTGACATAATCATATCCTAAATGTTCACAAAGATAATGATATTTTCCAAAGACAGCAGAACGTTGACATGCAAAATAAGATCCCACATCCAGAGCACAAGGTGAACATGTAGATTACCTGATATCTCATTTTTTTGTTGAAATGGTGGTTGATTTTTAAATAAGGTGTCAAATTTTAGGAGCCTAATTATTGTTAGAACTTTAAAAAAAACAGATTTCGTTCCAGCATTTGTGCAAAGCTGAAGTTATATGCTCTGTGGCTCTCATAGGAACTTCTTTATTGGGTGGTCCTGATGGTGGTCCCTGGTCAATCATCGTCCTTATGGGATGAGTAGGGTTCTGAGTATCCTCCACCCACTGCTATCTCCACACAGTGCTCAGGCAAGGAATATACACACAACAGAGCACACCCACATTTACTAGCTACTAGAAGCCATTTGTCTGTTGTCTCACTCAGGAGAAGCCAGTGTGAGTCTTCTTTCAGCCAGTGGCAACATCTATGTAACCTTGGACAAATCAGTTCCCCTCATCTATAAAACTGGAATTTCAATATCCATTCCACCCACCTGATGAAATAGTTAAAAATATCAAATAAAGTCACAGAAGAAAAATTCCTCATAGGCTGTAAGTCACTATTAAAATGTCAAGTGTGCCATTATACATTTTAAAAATTATTTCCTAGAGGATTAACTGAGATCTAACTGTATAGGGTATGCTATGCTGGTTGCATCATGGAGTCCATAAATGGACAGAAAGGGGAATGATACAATTCAGTGAAACAGGAATATTATATTGTTATTTGGGGCATACTACCAGATAGTAAGAGTACATAAAAGATGACTTGCAAAGCTCTCAAAAATTTTGCCACCTCATGCAGAAAAAAGAAAACCCTTAAAATTGGTTTGTTAAGGAAAAAAAAAAAAAAAAAACAAGCAGATTTGGTTCATTAACCAGATCTATCAGCCACATACCTGAAGTACTGTTAATGACTGACCTTTGACAGTTATTAGTTCTGTAAAATAGGGCAATTTTAATTTTTGAAATTTCATTGAGAAATGTGAAAATTAGCTTGCTGTTGATATCATTAGCCAGAGTCTAAAACTAAGGTGAACTGATAAATTTGTGAAATGAAATAAATTTAGAGTTTTGTTTTTTACTATCTATTGGGTACTACTGTTCTGGTATCTTTGGGTTGGATCTTTTCTGGCTTGAAACCTCTGTGGCTGCAGCACTTTTGCCCAAATTCTTGTCCTGCATCCAGGAAGAATGAGGTAGGCAGACAAGTGAAGAGTGAACAAGACAAACATGAATTGAGTGTTGTAGCAGCTCAGAGGAGACCCACAGTGGGTGACTCCTCTACTTAGGCAGGTCATCTGTCCAGTGTTCAGTTCTCAGCAGAGAAGAGGCCCTGGAGAGGGTAGCTCCTCTCTGCTACTGGTTGTCCTGATGTCTGCTGCTCTCAGCAGAGAGGAGGCCCTGGAGAGGGTGGCTCCTATCTGCTGGCAGGTCATCTCTGCAGCTCTCAGCAGAGAGGGTAGTTCCTCTCTGCAACTGGTTGTTCTGTCATCTCCAGCTATCAGCAGAGAGGAGTATCCTCTCTGCAGTTGGTCGTCCTGTCCTCTCCAGCTATCAACAGAGAGGGTACTCCACTGTCAACAGAGAGGGTACTCCTTTCTGCAGCTGGTCATCCTGTTATCTCTCTGCCCTCTTCATCCTCTGGTCGTCCTCTCCCACGCTCTGGCTGAGCCCAGGGCTTTTATAGACCTCAGAGGGGAGGAAGTGCCTGCTGATTGGTCCATGGGTGGCCCTGGGTAGGCCCAGAAGAGGCACCACGAGTCCCCACTCCTGTCCACAGACCGGCATCCCAGCCCCCAGCCTTCAGGCCCTCCCTGGCCTGAAGCTGGGGCCTTACTGGGGACCCACCCCCTTCTGCCCAGGAATCAATCTGCCAGGAATCAATGGCCCCTGGGGCTTGGCCCCAACCCCTGCTCAGAGATGGGAGTAGGGCCAGGAGCAGAGAGAGGCCAGGCAGCGGGAGCAGACACCCCTGAGCCTGCAGGGGTTGGGGAGGTTCCCAGGCCCCTGTGGATGCAGGCTGCAGAGATGCAGAGATGCCTGGGTCCTGCACCTGGGAAAACCCCCCAAGCTGCACCCAGGGAGCTCCCACCCCACCAACTCACAAGGGGCAGGGTTCCTGCTTGTCCGCAGCTCCTGCCTGCTCCATGGAGCAGGAGGCCCAGAGCTGCAGCCGTGGGTCAGGTGGCTGCAGCTACACCCAAGAGGGCAGGTCTTACCTGCTCCTGGCTGCCTCCAAGAGCACAGGGAGGCTCAGACCCATAGCCGCAGTTTAAGTGACTGTAGCCACACCCAGGAGGATGAGGCTGCTGCCTGCTCCATAGAGCAGGAGGCCTGGGTCTGCAGCATGGTTTGGGCAGCTGCAGCCAGTGTGATGGCAGCAGCCACTGCCATCACTATGTTTGCTACTTGGGGGACAGGATCATTAGAAGCCCAAACCTGAGCATCACACAATATACCCATGTAACAAAACTGCACATGTCCCCCCTGAATCTAAATCATTTAATTTAATTTAAAAGTTTTATGTTTTTCAGTTGCCAAAAAAATTACAAGTGAATATGGGTTAAAGCATTTATCAATAGGAGGAGCTTTGCGTTATGTACTAAACAATCACCCGGAAACAGAGCTGGCACTTATGTTAAATTGGCATCTTCATAAAGGAATGACAGCACCTGATGAACTGGCTATTCAAGCCTTAGAACTTTCTCTGATGGAAAGTGTGTGCAATACTGCAGGGTAAGTGAATGGGGTGAGAGGATGGGACAGAGGGAGTTAAATCTTTCAAGAAACTGCTCGCTCGTGATTTAAAACACTTACATGGGGCTTAAAGCTCTTATAAAGGGTGTGATCTACTTCTCTCAAACTCTGGGCACCTATATGGTTACATATTTGAATTTTCTGTCAAGCAAAAACTTGGCTTGAAAATTCACATGCCAGATTAGCAGGCAGGCCCCTTCACTCTCTCCAGCAACCCCTGAGTTGTCCAAAAGCCTTCAGACTTCAACAAAGGAGGCTGATGTGACTTCCACACTCCAGGAGTTCTTCTCACTGCCCCATGAAGTTATGGAGAAGTGGCCCTCCCCCATCCCCCAGGGGCTGGTCCAGTGGAGATGGTCTATGTCTGGCCCAGCTCTCTGCACGGGTAGCAGTGCCTCTCCCTTAACACCACATTTGGACAAGAAAGCTATGCACTTGAGCTGTCTCTTCCATTTACACTTCTCACCTTTGCTCCTCCAGCACAGCCACGGGCCATACCCAGTAGTAAAAGCCCTCCCCATGAAACCTGAAGCCCTGGTCTTGAGCACAGGTCACTGACCTAGAACCCCCCTGATTTACTCAAGGTTTTCTATTAGAAGCCTCTTTGACTTTCCTTGTCTGTGACCCATAATTAAGTCCTTGAACAGTTCTCGAGTTCATTTACTGGGGAGCAGCTTCTGGGGTGTCAGACTTTATCCCCAGAAAAGGCCCGGGACTTACCCAGATTGAATTACCTCCTCCCTGGTGTTCAGCTTTGCATAAGAAGGACCTCAGTGAGGCAATCATGGTTGAGTCAAAAAGATTTCATTCCACCTTAATACCAGGACAATGACTGCTCATTCACCCTGAATTTCCCTAATCCTGAGGGTCACTCAAGTGACTCTTCACAGGACAAAGAAGTTGAGCTACTCTTGATTAAAAAAACAACAATTGCACCCTCATACATTCTCTATGAGGCCAGCCTAGCCAACAATCCCCTCTGCTGTAGAATTGTAGGCCAGTGCCTAGAGACTCAGCTGTTATAAAAGAAAAACTTCAGCTGAATTAAATTCAAAGGAGTTTAAGCAATGAACAATTCACAAATCGGGCAGCCCCCAGAATCACAGCAGATTCATGGAGACTCCAGCGAAGCCACATGGTGGAAGAAGATTTATAGACAAAAAAGGGAAATGATGTACAGAAATTGGCAGTGAGATACAGAAACAGCTGGACTGGTTACAGGTTGGTGTTTGCCTTATTTGAACACAGTTTAAACACTTAGCAGTCTATGAGTGGTTGAAGTATGGCCGCTGGGATTGGCCAGGACTCAGTTATTGTTACAGGCACATACTCCTAAGTTAGGTTTTCAATCTTGTCTGACTATTAAGCTAGGTTACAGTTCATCCACAAGAACTCAAATATAGACGTATGGCCGTATTTAGTTTGCTTTAACAGCTGGAAAGCACTGAGGCAGGGGGTCCTGTGGCTTAGGTCAAACCAAACTTCCTGATGACCACCAGCCAGCATGCCCAGCTTGCTCCCACCTCACAGGGAGTTTCCTGAGCTTGGGGGCCACTCCTCCTGGAAGCTATAACCAGCCTTTTTTTTTCCTCCTCTCAGTTTGATAGTGACAATCTCATTATCTCAACCTATTGAACTAGTTTAAATTTTCCTTGTCATTTCTGCTCAGAGGCATGCATCATAGGTCCTGATGGAATGATTCCCACTCAAATATTATAGGGCCACTCTCACCAACTCTCCCCCAGCTGCACTCCCAGCCTCCTCACAGAGCATTTACTACAAAAAGCAAGCATGGAGCACACTTTTTTTTTTTCCATATTGGCTTAGTCTCTTACTAAAATACTACTTCTTGAGCATCTAATATGTACCAGGTCCTACTCTAGTTGCTTTACATACCTGATCTCCAATCTTTAAAACAACTCTAAGAGTTAAACATCATTTCCTCTTAGAAAGTTCAAACCAGGTTTTAAATCTAAAGTTATCTGCCTCTAAAGCTATACTCTTTCATGTTTAGATTAACAGCACCAGTTGAACACAATATTCAAGGTACTGTGGGAGTTATCTGTCAAATTCTGCCAAAATCTATCTCCAGCATGCTGAGTGTAGAAATTCAGAGCTCTCTCCTACGCCCACCTTCTGAACTGTGTTTGGATGTGTCCTGCCCACCTCATGGCTCTTGGCCTGACTGAGATTAAAGATGTAGAGATGAAGAGGGCAAAGTGTGAAGAAAATAAATTGAGTTACATAAGGAAAATCATGAGCTACTCCTAAAGAGACAGACTGGTTCTGGAAGACAGAAAGGAAGTACGAGAGAAAAAGAAATGTGGAATTTTTATTTTCATGTTTTTCCTTGTTAGTGTTGTCATCGATGGATATCCTGTAACTAAACATCAAATGAATCTCTTGGAAGCTAGGTCAATCATTCCCATGGTCATCTTTGAATTGAGTGTGCCTTCCAAGGAGATTTTCAAAAGATTGCTCCTAGAAAAAGAAAATGAACAAAGGTAATGTACATGATGAAGACAACAAAAAAGGAATAAACTTTAATCATACGGGGGAAAAGATATGTTTTTAACAGCTTTTTCCATTCCTTCTCTGTTTCCCTATTAGATTGCCTTATCCATTGCACAATAGTGCACAAATTGTAGCTGTCAATAATGTAAAGTATCGCAAAAATATTGGTGAGATTAGGCAATATTATCAAGAACAGCATCAGAACTGGTATGTGATTGATGGATTTCACAGCAAATGGTGGGTATGGAATGAAGTCATTAAGAATGTTCAAATGGTGAATAAATACATGCAGACATACCTGGAAAGAATAAAAGCAGGTAAGATAGCACTTTTTAAGGTAGAATAAAATATTAATTTCAAGTGTAAACATGCCTGACTCATGTTACTGTAATTCATTCCATTTGAACATGAGTCAGGCGTGACTTAATAAGTATTTCAATACTTATTATCCAATACTATATATAATAGTATTATCCAATTATTGTGATGCTATGGTCTGAAATTTGTATCACCCAAAATTCATATGCTGAAACCGAATCCCCAGTGTAATAGTATTAAGAGGTGGGGCCTTTAGGAAGTAGTTACATCATGAGGGCTTGCCCTCATGAATGGGATTAGTGCCCTTATAGAAGAGGCTTGAGGGAGCCTGCTTGTCCCTTCTACCACATGAGAATACAGCAAGAGAGCACCATCTATGAGGAACAGTGCCTCTCCAGATACCAGATTTGCTGGTACCTTGATTCTGGACTTCCCAGGCTCCAAAACTGTGAGCAATAAATCTCCGTTGTTTATTAATTACCCAGTCTGTAGCATTTGGTTATAGCAGCCAAAATAGATTATGACGTGGGCATGTTTGTTCTAATAAATGACTGCCGCTACCCAAGCTATCATTTATTGAATGCCTATGTGAATTTAGGACATAAAAATAATGCATGATCTCTCACTAAAAGGGTATATAGTGTTTGGAATAGTAAGAAGCTATTTTTCAGAATGTGTGCAGTAGTTATACGGGTCCATGATTGCAGAGTGACACCTGGCAAAATTTTATTTAGGAATCTAGAATTAAAATTATTTTTACTATTTACACCCATTATAGTATGATATAAATGTTGAGTCCATAAAAAAACTAAGCTTGTTCATTAAAATGTCTTTTAATCTATATTAGGAATTCACAGAAGCACATGTTTGATTATATATTCTTGTTAAATAGTTTATTGACTGTTCTCTGAAAATACACAAAATACAAGGAAAGTTATCTACATCTGATATCTCTAAAAAGAGTGATGACTACAAAGATGTGATCTGTAGGGGTCTCACAGACATCTGTTTAATGATTGTGTTTAACTTCAGAAACTACACAGAAGGTATGATGAGGTTTATGGGAGCAATGTGACTAAGAGAGTCCTATACAAAGAAAAATGCAGTGAGGATTCCAATAATAACTGCAGCACTGTATCTTGATTTGCTTCACCATGTGGGCATAACCAGTATTTCTGGTTCCTGTTTGTTTACAAATTGGGAATCTGTTTTCACCTAAAGATCATAAGGCATGAAGACAAAAGTGCAAGGGAAGGGAGAATTGAATTTTTAGAAATATCTCAATAAGCTCTGGATGGGATCGCACTGGGAAACACTCCACAGCAGACTTTGAAAGCGAAAGCTGTGCCTCATTCATCTTTCTGTTACTCTATTTCAGCCTCCCTGTCTTAGACTGGGTTCCCTAGAAACAGACTCAAGATGAAAAGTCACGTGCAGAAGTTTTATCAGAAAGTACTTTCAGGCGTAGAGTTGCCAGATTTAGCAACTAAAAATACAGGACACACAGTTCTTTTTTCTTGAAGGAGTCTCACTCTGTCACCCAGGCTGGAGTGCAGTGGTGTGATCTCTGCTCACTGCAACCTCCCCTTCCCGGGTTCAAGCAATTCTTGTGCCTCAGCCTCCCGAGTAGCTAGGACTACAGGTGTGCGCCACCATGCCCGGCTAATTTTTTGTATTTTAGTAGAGACAGGGTTTCACCATGTTGACCAGGCTGGGCTCAAACTCCCGACCTCGGGTGATCCACCCTCCTCTGCCTCCCAAAGTGCTAGTATTACAGGTGTGAGCCATCATGCCTGACTGACACCCAGTTAAATTTAAATTTCAGATAAACAATAATTCTTTAGTATAAGTATATCCCAAATAATTGCATAGGGTATACTCATACTAAAAACTATTAATATTCATTGCTTATCTGAAATTCAAACTTAAACAGGTATTCTTTAATTTTATTTTTTATTTTTTGAGACAGGGGCTTGCTCTGTTTCCCGGGCTGGGGTGCAGTGGTACAATCATAACTCACTGTAGCTTTGAACTCCTAGTCTCAAAGGATCCTCCTGCCTCAGCCTCTCCAGTAGCTAAGACTACAGATGCATGCCACCATGCCCAGCTAATTTTTTAAATGTTTTTATAGAGATTGGAGGGGGCAGTCTTACTTTGTTTCCCAGGCTGGTCTCAAACTCCTGGCTACAAGCGATCCTCTCACATCAGCCTCCCAAAGTACTGAGTTTATAGGCGTGAGCCACTGCACCCAGCAGTGTCCTTTATTTTATCCAGCAACTCTAATCAGGAGATACACCTGTGGACAAGTCAGGATGGTCAAATTGGGCAGAGGGAGAAACTAACCTGCAGTGTGGTGGGAACAGAAGCCCTCAGTAGATCCTGGGGAAACACTGGTGCTGGGAGGGACCTTCAAAATGTCCCCAAAGTGGGGGGAGGGTCCAGGCTTTGTATCCTCTCCACCCTCGCATCAGCCTGTCATTGACCGCAGGCCACCCCGGGAGGGAGTATAACTTGCGTAAGCTGTGACAGAAGGGCAATTTCCAGTCCAGCTGTGAGCAATCAGTGCCAGGTGCCCAGCAGCTGCAGGGTGGGTATGTCAGCCCTAGAGAGGGAACTAAGGATCCACTACATGATTCCAGTGCCTGCCTCTCTCACACATAGTTTCATCTCAGTGAAGTCTGTCCTGTTCTCTTCTGCTTCAGCGTCCGCCTGATAATCTAGCCTGTACCTGATTGTTTGAATTTAGTTTTGGTTTTTTTCATGCTCTGTTTCCTTTGTTTACTGTTCAAATGATCCTCTCCTACCAGGAGGCCAAGGTTTACCCTGATCAGTGAGATGGTACAAGGCTGGGGCTTAGAGAATTAAAGAGATTCCTCCTGCCACGTTCCAGAAGAGGGTACCTAGACATTGCCAGATGTCATCCAGAATATCCCAATAATTAGAAAAAGAGACATTTGGGTGTCTTTTGAGACTTGAAGTTACACGATTCTAAATTACCCTGTCACTAAACCTGTCAGGATTGGTGAGGTTCAGTACATCTGAGCTAAAGAGCAACCAAGAAATAGATAGTATTAGAATACTATAGCACCATGTAGTATAATATAATACTTTGTATTATAATACTATATACCTTAATAATACTATATATTATTGTACTATAGTACTACATATTATAGTACCACTATAGTATCATAGTAGTGTAATATTCTTTGTAGAAAATCAATATTGGAACTTCTTAGCCTTTTCATCTGTGTCATAAGCAACAGATAGAATAGTGTATTTGTTATCTATTGTTGCATAACAAATTAGTCCAAAACTTAGCAACTGAAAATAATACACACACACACACACACACACACACACACACATACCGTTCCTGTGGGTCAGAAATCTGAACACAGTTTAACTGGGTAGTCCCTTACAAGGCTACAGTGAAGGTGACAGCCAAGACTATGGTCTTTTCTGAAGGCTCAACTGGGAAAGAGCCCACTGCCATGCTCACTCATGTGATGTCGGTAAGATTCCGTTCCTTAAGTGTTACTGGACTGAGGACCTCAGTTCCTTGCTGGCTGCTATTGGCCAGAGGCCACCCTCAGTTCCTTGCCATGTGAATCTCTCCAACATGGCAGCTTCCTTTATCAAGTGAACAACCTGAAAGGGCAAGAAAGAGTGTCCATCTTTTGTAATTGTTTTACTTAGGGCTGCTGAAACAAACTGCCGCAAACTGGATGGCTTAAACAACAAAAATGTATTGTGTCACAGTTTTGGTGGCTAGAAGTCCAAAATCAAGGTGTTGACAGGGCCATCCTCTGCCTGAAGGTTCTAGGGGAGGATCTATTCCATGCCTTTCTGTTTTTCCAGTGTTGCCAGAAATCCTCAGCATTCCTGAGCTTGTGGACACATCACTCCAGTCTCTGCCTCTGTCATCACATGGCGTTCTCCATGTGTGTGTCTTTGTGTCTTCACATGTCATTCTCCCTTCCGTATCTGTCTGTTTGTGTGTATTTCTCTGACCCTATTTCCGAATAAGGTCATATTCATGGGTACTGGGGGTACTTCAATATATCTTTTTGGGAAACGTAATTCAGGCCATAATGGTAAACTAATCTTGGAAGTGACATCCCCTCACTTTTGCCATATTCTGTTTATTCGAAGCAAGTTACTCAGTCCAGCCCACACATGGGGGAGGAGATTACACAAAGGCAGGAACACCACAAGGCAGGGATCAAGAATACCACTGGAGTCATGTCAGATCAGCCCACCCTGTGGCTTCCAGTGATACACATGATATGATGATATGGTGAAGGAATTCACAATCAGATTTATGTTCAGATTAATTGGGCAATTGGGAATGTTAAGTGACAATAATTTTATGTGGTAAGGTATGGTAAGGTTCAAAGTCATTTGTTTTAAGGCCAATAATGCTCTCCTAGAAAGCCCTCTGTTAACTCTGTGAAACAGGCACAAAGACATTCAGGAGATCCCATCCAGCTGGCTCTCAGCTCTTCAGAGAAGACCAGAACCTAATGATATGGTCAGGATTCATTCATGGCTGGTAGCCTTTCTTCTGGGACTCAGAAGTTGAGTTGGGGATTCTAATTGACCTCTGCTGACTCTGATGAGTCTTAGATGTTACCATTTGGAAAATACTGTCACTTTATCAGTTTATGTCCTAAAGACCTTGTTAGGAGTAGTGCTGATGCCACACTGATGATTCTTTGCCTGCAAGAGATGAATAGAGGATGAGAGCCAATAAGCAATGGTTTTAAATGCCTGCCTTATTGAAGGAGGGCTGTGATTGCTTAAAGGAATGCCAGTTAATAAAGATCCCTTCATGTTGTGTATGTTCCTTTCCCCCTCTCCTACTCCCTGTTTAAAAGCAGGATTGTGGAGAGATTGCATAATGGAAACCTCTTTGGGCACGGTTTCCCAACCATCTCCTTTTCAGGATTACATGTGGCCTTTTGAAGAGTGGAAATGGTAGTTGGTATCAGGGGACATCATCTCCTGGACCCCCACACCCTCCTCCCCAGTACAGGCAGGCAGATCAGTGAGGCAATCAAGTGACATGACACCTCTGGCCTGTGATTCCAAAATCCAAAAACCTCTAAAAATATCAAGTTTAGTTATAAATCATTTGAGGGCAAAACTTCACATGAGCTGACATATGGCTATTTACAGTCTTTTTATGAAACCCAGTAAGTGGGGAAGGGTCAACCTATTTGGTTGCAGAAATTTCATCTTATCGATTACAGGGTGCTTCTCCAGACACTGTGAGGGTGTGATGTATTTCTTTTCTTTCATTTTGTTTGTTTGTTTGTTTGAGAGTCTCACTCTGTTGCCCAGCCTGGAGTGCAGTGGCTTACTGCAGCCTCCACCTCCCAAGCTCAAGTGTTCCTCCCACTTCAGCCTCTCAAGTAGCAGGGACTACAGGCATGTGCCACCACAGAGGGCTAATTTTTGTATTTTTTGTAGAGACAGGGTCTCGCCATGTTGCCCAAGCTGGTCTTAAACTCCTGGACTCAAGCGATCTACCCACCTCAGCCTCCCAAAGTGCTGCGATTACAGGCGTGAGCCACCACACCTGGCTGAGTGTGATGCGTTTCCAAAATCTAAAATATTCTGAATTATCCAACATTTCTGGCCCCAAGGGTCTTAGATAAGGGATTACAGTGCTGTAATAGTACATTGCAGATGAGATCATTTCTATCCTAACAAACAAAAAACAAACTATGATTTTTGCTTCATAATTTTATGGTTAATTTAGGACCTTCCTAGGCATAATCTTTTAAAAAGGTAAAACTTTGCCTTGGTAAAACGACAACTAACAAAACGTACTGGCTATAATAAGTCCACTCATTATAACTAAAATGTATTTAAAAAGTAATTTTATTTTCTATAACATCTTATATTGCTTTGAAGTCCCCATTCCAGTGGAGTATTAGAGAGAAAACTCTCTTTTTTATGTGTGTACTTACATTTTTGTTCTGGGTAAGCATAGAGAGAAAACTCTTAATCTTGTTCATTAAAGGAACTTGGGCACTTTCTTTTTAAAATCTACTCTTTAGAATAAAGCCAATCACTTTTGGATAAATGTTTGTTTTCCTTCTCTTGGGTGGGATCTGGGCACAGGGAGAACTTTGTGTGAGTAACATCATGTCAACAAACTATTTGCACTTCCTGAAATCTAGCCCATAGGTTTTTTTTAAATGTAGCAAGTTTATAAATGTGCGGGTATACACAGGTATAAATTGTGTGTGTGTGTGTGTGTGTGTGTGTGTGTGTGTGTGTATCATATATATAGTCTATAATAGCTAAGAACTAAAACGGCCAAAACATTCACCAATAGATAAATGGTTGAGTAAACTACATGTATGTTTATACAGTGGAATACTATGCATCGATTAAAAAGAATTAGGTAAATTGGCCAGGCACGGAAGGCTCATGCCTGTAATCCCAACACTTTGGGAGGCCGAGGTGGGTGGATCACCTGAGGCCAGGAATTCGAGACCAACCTGGCCAGCATGGCAAAACCCTGTCTCTACTAAAAGTACAAAAAATTAGCCGTCTGTGATGGTACACATCTGTAATCCTAGCTACTTGGGAGGCTGAGGCACAAGAATCACTTGAACCTGGGAGGCTGCAGTGAACTGAGATCGAGCTACGCCACTGCACTCCAGCCTGGGTGACAGAGCGAGACTCCATCTCAAAAAAAAAAATTAGGTAAATTATATAAGCTTATATGAAAAGAGGTCAAAGACCATAACTGACTGATAAAAGCAAGTTGCAGAATAATGTTTATAGTATAGTGGCACAAGCATACTATATGCAAAAAAGTATGTATGTGAAGGTATAGAAAAAAGACTGAAAAAGATACAAATCCAACAGTGATGATTACCTCTCAGGTTAAGTATTGGATTGAAACAATGGAGATGTGAATAGTAACTTTTACTTTTTACTCTATTGTTTGGAATTTTATAATGTGTATGTATAGTGCTGTGTAATTAAAATTATTTTAATTTCTAAAATCATTGCGTTCTCTATGAAAAATATATACATGATAATAGTTAATATGTTAATAATAGGAAAAGCTGCCTGCATTGACAAGTTATGTATCACACCTCAAGAGCTGCTTTCTCGCCTGGGAGAATTTGAACAGTTCTGCCCTGTCAGCCTGGCAGAATCCCAGGAATTATTTGATTGCTCTGCAACTGACTCCTTGGAATTTGCAGCAGAGTTCAGGGGGCACTACTATAAAATGAGTTCTCAGGAAAAACTGAATGTAAGTTTGTTCCTAACTCCAAATATTTACTAAAGAAAGAAAATGTCTTATCTTGGAATCAATCAATAGGAAGGGATAGGCACCCAGAAACTTGGGACTAGGAGCCCCATTACTGGAACTTGTGACTCTGGGACCAGTGAAGCAACTCAGCAGTGAGTTCCAAAACTGCATCCCAGGATATAATTTGAAACATTGCAGGAGTCCAGGGTCATTAATTGGCTGTTGGCCTAGGCCAGCCTAACGGCTAAGGAGAGCCAACAGTGAGCCCCATCAATGGAAGAGATGCTGAACAACAAGGACTCAGCCCACTGAGGATCCAGGGGATTCAGCACCCAGGGGTGCTGAAGGGAATCAGAGTCAGTAGAAATGAAGCAAGAGCTGACGTATGTCTCCTTTGCTTTAATTTTTTTTCTATCACTAGAACTCTTTGTATACCTTATATTTCTGCTTAATGGAACAGAAAATAGATTTCGTCTCATATTATAATGTCCAAAATTTGATGATTTTAAAAGATTGGTAGTTGAAAACAACAACAAGAAAAAACAGATGCCTCTGAACATTTTATTTCCTTGCAGAATTAGAATTGTTGTTCCCTTTATTATGAGATATTTATTTCTTCCTGCTTACTTAAATGGTAATCATAGAATTTTTAAAACTGGAAGTGACATTAAAGGCCATGTATCTGGCCCACCCCCTCCATTTTACAGAGCAATACCTGAAGCTGGAGAAGTTAACTCACCTGCCAAAGGCACCCAACCGGTTAATTACACAGCAGGACAGGAATACGGGCTGGCAGGGGCCTGCTCTCTCCAGTGACTGTAGTGTAGTAGGAGCGCAACAAGTGTTTTTTGTAGGAATGAATGAATGAGTGACTGAGATGAGGATAAATCTTGGATGTGATCACTTGGGAGTATTCCTGTAAGGAACTTCCTTTCAGAGGAGAGGTTATTTACAGTTTGAGGAGCAGCAGAACGCTGCTACTGAAAATGGGGAGGGTGCAGGAGAGCCTCGGTGGCCTTCTGATTGGCATAGCATTTCTGGTTTAAATCATGTTGCTACTGGAATTCTTTTTTAATAGAAATTCTTGGAGAACCCAGAATTGTACGTGCCTCCCTTAGCACCTCATCCACTCCCATCTGCTGACATGATCCCCAAAAGACTGACACTGTCAGAGCTGAAGAGTCGATTCCCTAAGTGTGCGGAGCTCCAGGGCTACTGTCCAGTGACCTATAAGGATGGAAACCAAAGGCAAGTCCTGGCCTTCATGGAAGTATAGAATGATATTGCTACGCCAAAGAAGTGGTTCATGTAATAATCTTAACATATTGGTCAAAAGTTCGCTGTTGTTTAATTGGAAAAATATTCTATTTCTTCCTTGAGCTACATAGGTAGAAAAATAAAATACTTTTGACTTTTTATTTACACAGGACTGCATATTAATTATACAATAGAGGTTTTGTTTTGTTTTTTGGTCTTCCAGATATGAAGCTCTAGTACCTGGTAGCATTAACTATGCTTTAGAATATCATAATCGTATATATATTTGTGAGAACAAAGAAAAACTCCAGAAATTTTTGAGGTGAGACCATTAAATCACAAATATTTACTGAAAATCTGTGTTGCATGCAACATGCTGGGAACGGGGGAGAGGAGTGTGTGAGAGAGAGAGAGAGAGAGAGAGTGTGTGTGTGTGTGTGTGTGTGTGTGTGTGTGTGTGAACAAGCACTGGTCCCTGCCATCCCAAAGCTGTCCAGGGTAAGATGGATTTTGAGTGCCTGGTAACAACAGAATGTGATGGACTTTAGGGTGGGGAAATGCCTGGACTTCTGAGAGAGTGTAGCCCAAAGGTCTAACTGAATTGTGTGTGGGTGTAAGGTCAGGATAAGGAGTGGGAATTGGCTAGATGAAGGAAAAGAGGGACATGTTCCAAGCAGAGGGACCTACAACAAACCTGGTCTAGGGTATTCCTGAACTGTAAGAACTTCAGCATAGCTGGATGTGATGTGGAGAGGGGACGGAGTGAAGGCGAGGCTGGAGGTGGAGGGCAGGGTCAGAGTGTGGAAGGTCAAGTAAGACCACCATGAAGCGTTTGCGGTTTCATGGACTCATGCTGTGTACACAGTTTGTGTCCTCATAGTGATCCTGAGGGCAATCTGAGCACATTGACTGATTGTAAGTGAGGTCCGTGTTGGAATCAAATTTGCTCTGGGGTCAGACCACTACTAAAGTGTAGACCATGGATTGGACTACCAGTGATGAGGCTGCCAGAGTGATCTTGTCTGAAATATGATAGCATGTTTGAGCTCATCCATAGTTATGTGGGGAAGGCAGCGGGCTTGGGACCACACCCTGAGAAACACCAATGCATGAATGTCAGAAGAGCTTACAAGAGAAACTGAGAAAGAAGAACCACAGAGACATGAAAGGAGAGCCAGGATGAGGAGGGTTGAGGGAGGCGGAGGGGAGGGATGGCATGGCAACAGGTTTAAATGCTCCTCAGAGGTCAAGCAAGACAAGGGCTGAAAAGCGTTTGAGATTTAGGGTGTAACAGGTCATTAGTAATCTTGCCAAGAATGGTTTTGTCAAGTGATGTGAGAGGACGTGACTACAGAGCTCCAAGGAGCAGAGCTGAGGAAACTGAGCTCTTGCCTGTAGTCCAGAGGCTACAAACAAACACAGTGCCTGCAGCAGCCAGGAGGCGAGGGACCTGAGGCAAGCAGGCTGGGTGTGAAGACACAGGAGTCAGGGGGCCTGGTGCAAACCGGACTGCACACGGCCGGCTGAGGGGACCAGAGCTGCCCATCTACTGCTGGAAGAAGCTGGAAAGTATTATTGCTGTTTAAATTGTTCACATTCCTAAACATCCACATCTGATTCAAATTTAAAAATAAAATACATGTGGATCAAATCCCATCTGCAGATAAAATTTGTGTGGTAGCTTGCAATCTCTAGTGAAGCCACTGTTTGAAGAAGTTTTAATTATAAAAAGAGAAGAGATGTTCGTTTCTGGAAGGCATATAGGATTTAAGGAGTAAAAATGGTTTTTCTTTTTTTTTTTTTTAAATGGGGAATTATGAAGATGTTTAAATGCATATGCACAGGAAGGACCCAATAAGGAAGTGGCAAAGATGCCAGGGCAGGGAGCAAGCAGGTGCTGTAGTAAGATGCCTGGAGAGAGGGAGCGGTGGGACCAAGGGACCTGGTCTCAGATGGGAGGCACCTCCACCATGGGAAGAGAACAAGTGGGTAGCTCTGCTTGTGATGGGCTGAGGAAGTCCCATCCTGATGGCTTCTCTGAGTACAGCATGGCATCTGCCTGGGGGTGAGGGGGCATTTGGGAGAGTCAGAAGTTTAAGGAAAATAAAGAAAGTTTTATATAATTGCTGTGAAAAATGAGAAAACTGAGTCGAGGTGAGTAGGGCTGGGTACCCAGTTGACATGAGTGGCTGTGCACTTCCAGGAGCCCCAGCATTCCCACTTGTATCATTTTCTCCAGTGCAGAAAAAGTAGTGAACTTTATCTTCTAATAGTCTCTTGTCTATTCCTATCTATACACACTGAGTATAACTGTGAGCATCCATCTAATGAACTTTGTGTTCTTAGGTCGCCACTGAAATACTGGGAACAGAAGCTTCCACACAAGCTTCCCCCATTAAGGGAACCGATACTTCTTACTAGTCTTCCTTTGCCTGGATATCTGGAACAGGTTCTTTTACTTAATTTTCTGTTATATATGTTAGAAGAATACAATGACTTCTTCTTTTTAACACTAATTTTCATTTTGGGAACAATAAAATTCAAGGCAGAGTTTTCTGATTTTAAGCTGCAAATTCTCTCAGCCTATTTTGTTTATATGTAGTGGTTAAAATAAAATGTGTGAAAATCCCCTGCTTCCATAGCTAATTCCCAAATATCTGCACTAAAGTGAAGAGAAAGTAGAGCGCCACAAAATTGTTTCCATTTGAATTAGATATGTAGTTTGGTTCTTACTTTTGAATTTCAATGTCTGTGAAACTTTTCATAATTTGAAATGTGCAGATTCAGTCCGTGAGAGGATCATTCACTGACTACCCAAAAGAGTTACAGTGACACAACCAGACCAAAAAGCCCATATTTTGCCCCACATCCAGATAAAGTCAGTTTTATTTACTGTTATTTATTTATTCTATTTAAGTTATACTTTATTTATCCAAGTATAACTTTTTAAGAATAGCAAAACTTAGCAGCAGCCAACTGCTATCTTTACTATTTTATTTTATTTTTACTATTTTTAAAGCTTTTTTTAAAAAAAGTCTACAAAATAAATGCTTAGGGCACAATGTCAAACCTTTGTCAGCAATTCTTAACCACTCTGATTTTTTCAACTTGCCTATAAGGTTAGCCTTCAGTCTTGTTTAACATCAAAATGCCAGATGAGGCCCACCCATAGGGGAGTATTCTCATGAAGGCCAATTTTTATCAGGAGGGCCTCTTACCTTCTTCTGGGCTCTGGAATCTTGCCAGCACTGACTACTGTGGTCTCTGGAATTACGTGTCAGGTAGCCAAGGGTCCTCAGAGTGGGAGGCAGTCTGGCCATTTCTGAGAATGAAAGCAGATACGGGCCAAGATATCGCAAAGCCTAGGGTCCCCTTCTTTCTTCTCTTAACTTTTTGTTATAAAAAATGTCAAACATATAAAAATAGAGAGACTTGTGTAATGAAGCCCATACTCCTATCCATCACTTAGCTGACACTAAGTCAGTTTGTAATTTTCATTTTTCCTAATCAAATGTATTTTGTATTTCTTTCCTGTTGGCTAACTGGTCATCTAACCATATTTATAAGCCCCATCCCCACTCCAGGGGGCTATTTGAGGCAAAGAAATAATATTTGCCTGTTTATCTATTGGCACTAAGAAAAGAAACCAAACTCAAGTATACACAGAATTTGAATTGTTCCCTCCCTGCAGGGTATTGCAACTTCTCTAATTAAAGCAATGAATGCAGCGGGATGCTTAAAGCCCAAGTTCCCCTTTTTAAGTATAAGGAGATCTGCACTGCTATATATAGCACTTCATCTCAAAGGTATGTCTTTTTTAATTATTTACTACTCAGAACAAATTTAACATTAATGGTAGTATAAGTGATGAATAGGATTGTTAAACTGTGTTGCCTGCTTGGTGAGAGAGAAAGAGAGAGTGTTAGTAGCAAATACAATACAGGGCAAATATTTTAAATAAAATGTCAAAGTTAAAATTCTATTTTCAAAGTAGGGACTAAGTAATACAGTCAGCTGTCAATAATCCATGCCATAAAGAAGGGTGAATAGAGGCAATTATGACCTAAAACAGAATAATCTCCAGATTTTATTTGGGATTTGGATATCTTCTCAACCATAACTGTGTAACTAACTCAACCACACATCCAGGTCTCTTTCATTTAATGACTCACTAACTAGCAGAAATTATTCACAGTTCTGTGAAATTTTCTACAGCATTTAATCCCAAAGGTTCCGAATACACAAGAAAAAAGTATAAGAAGAAGATGGAGCAGTTTATGGAGAGTTGTGAACTCATAACATACTTGGGTGCCAAGATGACCAGAAAATACAAGGAACCTCAGTTCAGAGCCATTGACTTTGATCATAAGTTAAAGACCTTTCTCTCTCTCAGAAATATAGACCCAATTAATGGGTAGTTTACTTAGGTGATAGCAGCCTGAATCTCAAGAGTTATCTGAAAGTGATAGAGGGAAACTGAGAGAAGTAGATTGAAAATCTGGGCCTCTTGGAAGTACTTTTGCCTCCTGAGCAAGGTACCATGGCTGCCAGACTTCAGGTGAACTCAAAGGTCTGCCAGCCAGGAAGGAGCACTCTTATGGAAACAAGTTTTAATACAATTTTAAAATGTATTGCTCTTTGCCTGAACTTTGATGCTTTAACAAAATAAACATTCTATTTATAATTCCATATAGAAAAGTTAAGTGACTTATTTAATAAATGTATTATTTTCCTTTTTAACATTTTCAGTAGAAAAGTCAGTCTCTGTTAAAATTACTCATTAAATGTTAGAAAGCTTTAAGACATTTAACATTGTTATAAATGAAACCAAAATATGGGTTATACATTTTACATACAAAACTGTTTGTGAACTTTGTGAACATAAGATACTATCATTTTCCCAATAAAATAAATGGATTTTGCAACAACTTACTGGCTGCCTCTTTTCTTTTTCTTAAGTATTCATTGAAGCATGCTTTATACCTTATTTTATAATTGGAAATTACCTGGAATTTTAAGAAGGATGAAATCTAGAGTCATTATATGACTCAGTATATGCTAGAAGAAAACTTACTAAATTGAATTTAATGAGATTTTTAAAATAACAATTTTCAGCAGCAATATAAAAGGATCTGGAATAGGAAACAGCAAGATTGACTCTTAAAAAATAAAAAATATGACCATTAACTGTGTAACCTTGGGTAAATTTCTCTGAGCCTTCATTTCTTAATCTCCACGATAAATGGTTTAGCTCTTTGATCCCTATA
This sequence comes from Homo sapiens, assembly GCF_000001405.40. NCBI lineage: Eukaryota > Metazoa > Chordata > Mammalia > Primates > Hominidae > Homo > Homo sapiens. Next base: position 109,492,519 of record NC_000006.12, on the reverse strand, counting down.
AATTCAATAATGTTAATTAAAAACTAGAAGCCTTTTTATATATCTTTTGCATTATATATTTCATAATAAAATGATTTTTAAACAAAAGCTGGAAGCCTATTGCCAAAGTTAGGATAAACCTCAAAAGCCTTTACTTTTTCAGGAGGCTGGGAGTTGCCAATAGCTACCAAGTTTTGCTGGCAACTTAAGCCCCATTTTTGCTCCCTGCCCATTTCTTAATGCCTGTAATTTACCATCTTTCTATCACCAACTGAAATCTACTGGCTTTTTCATTCTTGACAAGATATAAATGTTCTCAGGTCTCTTCAGCCTATGGGTATGATGAGTTTGCTTTAGCAGTTAAACCCAAACTTCATTGCTTCAGTGCCCCTGCCTTTACGAAGGGCAGCAGTCCCTGCAGAATACCGCTGAGTGTTTCTTGGGGTCTCCAGGGAGTGTCCCATGTGCTCCAGAGAAAGTCCACACCCACTGCACATCTCCTGGGGATGAAGTTCTCTAGTATGGCTTCGCCCTGAGAACTCTTATGAGCCCAAGGATGCTGTCTTCTGAGCTCTAACATCTCATGCATCATTGTTCTGGAGCTGCTGAATTCTGCACAAAACTAGGGCAAATGCCCTTTATCTTCTTAGTAGGAAGAAGCTCAGTCCCTGAGCTGAGTCAGCAACCAAAAGCCATGTGATTCTCCCTTTTCACCTCTCTCTCCATAGAGTTTCTTCCTCTGAGTAAATATATACAACAGAGTATAGCAGGTAGGAGGAGTGGGGAAGGAGTAAGGAGTCAAATTTCCTAGAGTAGCTTCTAGTGCTGGACACCCCAGGTCCCTCCCATTCACATGCAACTACAGTTAGCTACATTTGGAGCCTTATTTAGAATAACTACTGACACAGCTACTATTTCCCAGCTGCTTTCTATGTGGCCAGAGAGAGCGTGCTAGTGGCTTTTCATGCATTATCTCATCTCATTATTACACATGAGAAGAGCTTCCTACCCAAGATCACATAAGTACTATCCAGATTCAGACCCTGATCTGCCTTACTACAGAGCCTTGCTCTTACCCCTACCACTTCCTGCACTGTAAGCACATCTTGCAAACCACCATCACAGTGTCAGTGTTCTTAAGTAGTGTCAGTAGTGTCCGTGTGTGTCTGTGTGTATGTGTGAGTGTACTTTAGAGTACAAAAAAAATACGGGAGACCCTTGGGAAAGTCGTCTTGTTGGAGCCTGAGAACCACTCCCCTCCAGGCCCATTACATACGTGCACTCACACCCACCTATCATGTTTGCTTTCCTTCTCAGGGGAGCAAGCTGTGTTTTCCATGTCAAGGGGTCTGTGTCCCTAACAAGGGAGAACAACATTTCTGCAATAAGAACATGTATCCTTTAAAGCTTCTTATTGAAATTCTGCTTTTGTTTAGAAATTATGCTTGCATATTATTACAAATAATCCATTAACTAGCGTCCCAAATATGATGAAAGAATATTCTGAATGGGTGTCCAGGGACCCTTAAACCTTCCCTATGTGAAACAATAACAGAGTGGGTGGCCAGGCCACGGTGCTCACTGAGGCTGAGAGAGACTCCTTTTTGCCCACCCCCATCCTCCAGCTGCTGCCCCAATCCTGACTGCTTCAGGAAGAGGCTGAGGCAGTGCAGCTTTAAGGGCAAGGGAAACTCCAACCAGCCTATGCCTCTCCATGGCTTGTCTAGATGTCATTTTCACAGCAACAATAACTTCACCCAAGAAGGAGAAGCAGTCTCCATTTGACAGATCCTAAGTCAAACAGTAAATGAAATGTGGAAAAGTAGGAAAAGGATTTTGGAGTACTTCCTTTCCTTTTTTTTTTTTTTTTTTTTTTTAACGGTTACACTCAGATCCACACTGAATAGATACGCTATATTTGACCATTCCTATTGCTGGACTGTGTACTGTTGTACTAAATTTTAAAATACTACGTTGAGGTTGGGCACAGTGGCTCATGCTTGTAATGCCAGCACTTTGGGAGGCCAAGGTGGGAGCATCACTTGAGCTCAGGAGTTTGAGACCAGCCTGGGCATGTCTCTACAAAAATTTTAAAAATAAATAAAATACTGTGTTGAATCTTTCCCTCTTATATTTAGGATTATTAGCCTGATATAAATTCTGAGAAATAAAATTGCTGGGTTAAAGGGCATGACTATTCTTAAATGGATATTCACAATTCATATTACCAAGCAACTTTCCAAAATAATTACAGCAATTTATACTGCTTCCAGGAGCACCCAAGAACACCAATTTCAATACTTCTTTACAATCACTTGGCAGTATCTTCACATTTTTTTTTTCTTTAATGGGTGAAAAGCAGAACCTTTTTGCTTTAATCTGAACTAATAGTGAGATTGTATATTATTGCATATGTTGGTCACCAGTTGCATTTTCTCTTTTGTGAATTATTATCACATCCTTTGCCCTCTAACTTATGCAGCGTTTAAAAGTTGTTCTGCATGAGTTCTTTATGTAATATAGACATCAACCTTTTGAAGTACATATATTCCATTTTTTAGGTATTAACATAAAACATGTTCATCATTGCTTTCTAATTTTTTTTTTTTTTTTGAGATGGAACCTCGCTTTTTCGCCCAGAGTGCAGTGGTGTGTTCTCAGCTCACTGCAACCTCTGTCTCCCAGGTTCAAGCAATTCTCTTGCCTCAGCCTCCCAAGTAGCTGGGATTACAGGCACCCACCACCATGCCTGGCTAATTTTTGTATTTTTAGTAGAGATGGGGTTTCACCATGTTGGCCAGGCTGATTTTGAATAGTCTTCTAAGCTCTGGAAATTCTTCAATCTCTAGAAATGGAATATTCCATTCTGTTTTATTTTACTTATTTGTGTTTTAAAAAATATATATTTGGCCGGGTGCAGTGGCTCACGCCTGTGATCCCAGCACTTTGGGAGGCCAAGACGGGCGGATCACGAGGTCAGGAGATGGAGACCATCCTGGCTAACACGGTGAAACCCCATCTCTACTGAAAATACAAAAAATTAGCCGGGCATGGTGGCAGGCGCCTGTAGTCCCAGCTACTCGGGAGGCTGAGGCAGGAGAATGGCGTGAACCCGGGAGGCGGAGCTGACAATGAGCCGAGATCGCGCCACTGCACTCTAGCCTGGGCGACAGAACGAGACTCCATTTCAAAAAAAAAAAAAAAAAAAGGAAAAATAAATAAATAAAAATAAAGATATATATTTAATTCTTTAAGTCCTCTAGAATTTATTTCAGGATATGGTGTGAACTGTGGTTTTAAATTCTTCAAAACTCAAAGTACAGTAATAAATACTATATTTTTTAAACGTTCTCAATTTTATTATATATTTTTCACTTTATTTGCAATTCATTTGGTAATTTGTTGAATTCAGGCAATTCATTAAAATTTCACAAATTCAGTGATGAAGGGGAGGAAGTTCAAGAACAGGATAGGCTGGGCGCGGTGGCTCACACCTGTAATCCCAGCACTTTGGGAGGCCAGGGCGAGTGGATCACAAGGTCAGGAGTTCGAGACCAGCCTGGCCAACATAGTGAAACCCCCATCTCTACTAAAAATACAAAAATTAGCTGGGCATGGTGGCGCACACCTGAAGTCCCAGCTACTCGGGAGGCTGAGGCAGGAAAATCGCTTGAACCCGGGAGGCGGAGGTTGCGGTGAGCCGAGATCAGGCCACTGCACTCCAGCCTGGGCAACAGAGCAAGACTCCGTCTCAAAAAAAAAAAAACAAAAAAAAAACGGAAAGAACAGGATAGGAATGAGAGATATATTTTACACATGAACGCCTTTGTCTAGTTGTGGGTGATTTTTTTTTTTCGTTTTTTCTTTTTTTTTTTTTTTTGGTTTGTTCTTACTTTTACAAATGAAGATCCGGGTTAAAGAATATCAAGCTACAAAGCCTGAGAGCCCTTAACTATGGGTGGTTCTGGGAAGAATTATCAGAGGGAGTGACACCTGAATTAAATGGACTTTTTAAAATCAAAGCAGGTAAAATTTTAAAAAAATAAGTCAAATTTGAGATTATAACCAGGGGGTGAAAAACATTCCAAGAATTAATTTGTGAGCACACGTATTCACCAAACCTGTGAGACGCATGTTGAAGACTGCTTAGCATATGCAAGCATGTGTATATTTACAAGAATTCTACCAGTCTGTGTACAGTAGGAGATTAAAATATAAGCAGATACATGCCCTGCCCTTGTGTAGTACAGGACACATGGGATCTGGAAATTGGAGCACTACTGGATTAGTGCTATAAAATCCCTCTAAAGATGCACTATTGGCACTGAACATTGACAATTGTCCTTCTGTTCTCCCCAAATCCCTTTAAGTCATAATAAGCCTTGGACTATAGTTCCTTCCAGCCACAGTTATCAACCAACCATCCCAGGCTACACACATATTTTTGATGCCCTTCATCATGACAAAGGACTTCCACTAACCTTTAATTGCCAGATGATCATGACCTTCTCCTTCCTCCAATCTGCCAGATTCTCCATTGACTCAATACAACTGGAAGCTAGCCGGCACAGGACTTTGATGATGAAGTCCTTGAGTCCCTGTAGCCTCCCAGGGCCAAAAAAAAAAAAAAAAAAAGGAGAGAAGAATGGAGACTACATTTGGAGAGGAAAGAGAAAAAATCTGGATCGCCTTTTATCAATATTCACTCTGTAACTGATCTTACTTACAACAATTTATAATCTATGCTCTGATAACTCCATTATTAATATCTCAATTCTGTTCTCAGCTCTGAACTCCAGATTGTTACCTATGACTGCCTACTGTACTTGGTTATCTAGTTAACATTTCAAATTTAATATGTCCACCCCATACTTGTTATCCAACCCAACTTCTCTTCTTCCAGATCAGTTAATGGTAACACCGTACACTCTGTTGATTTAGCCCCAAACCCAGGAGTCAATCTTGATTGCATTGTTTCCGTCACTCCGCACATCTATTCTCAGCAAGTCCTCTCAGAAAGACCTATCCCCCAAATCTACCTTGAATATGGGCTCTTCTTACATTTTACACTGCTGTCACCCTCATATCCATGCCTCCACTCATGTCCCTCCAGGATCTACTCTTCATCTAGCAGCTGGAGTAATTTTTAAATACATAAGTCAGATTCAACAGTCCTTTTGAATAATCTTCCAGTGGCCTCCTATTTCAGTTAAAATCGAAACTCCTTTTTCTTGGCATAAAAGACTTTACATGATCTGGCTCTTCTTGCCTTTAACATTCTCTCCATCCTTCTCTTTCTCTCTCTCTTTTTTTTTATTATTTTTTTTTATTTTTTATTTTTGGAGACAGAGCCTTGCTCTGTCGCCCAGCCTGGAGTGCAGTGGCATGATCTCAACTGACTGCAACCTCCGCCTCCCGGGTTCAAGAGATTCTCGTGCCTCATCTTCCTAAGTAGCTGTGCCACCACGCCCGGCTAATTTTTGTATTTTTAGTAGAGACGGGGTTTTGCCATGTTGGCCATGCTGGTCTTGAACTCCTGGCCTCAAGTGATCCGCCCACCTTGGCCTCCCAAAGTGCTGGGATTACAGGCATGAGCCACTGCACCCGACCTGGCATTGACCAATAACTTTGAAATGCCATTATCTCCTCTACAGTGTTTGAAGTATGCACTCTATTTGTACCAATTAAGTGGCTGTCCCTTACTCTTTCACCATGTATATGTAAAGCCTCAAGGTAATCAATAGCTGTACCCTTAAAACACTGGAATACTGATAACCAGCTTCCCATCTTAAATGGTATTTTCATTCAATATTTTAGATCTACTCTATTTGTTTACTCTCCGAATTAGACATTATTTTGCATAATCAATGTTTGTTTAGATTTCCTTCATACTTACTTTTTTCTCTTTTTTTTTTTTTTTTTGGCTTACAACTCCCTCTTATACCTCAGACTTTCCTCTTGGTGTTATTTTCCTTCCTATGGTATGGGTTTGTTGGAGGTTAATACTTTTATTTTTTGTTTGACCAAAATTGTCTTGATTTTGTCCTTTTCCATGATAATTGTAGTCTATAAAAAAGATTTTAGGTGAATTTTGAAAGTATCATGCCACTAACCTCTGGCTTCTACTATTGCTGTTGAGAAACCAGCTGTCATTTTAACTGGTTTTCTTTTATAGGTACAGTCATGCATTGCTTAATGACAGGGATATGTTCTGAGAAATGCATCACTAGGTGACTTCGTCACTGTGCAAACATCACAGAGTGAACTTACACAAACCTAGATGGTATAGTCTACTACACACCTAGGCTCTATGGTACAACCTATTGCTCCTGTGCTACCAACCTGTACAGAATGTTATTGTACTGAATACTGTAAGCAGCTGTAGCACAGTGGTATTTCTGTATCTAAACATATCAAAACATAAGAAAGACACTTAAAATACAGTATACTGATGGCTCATGCCTGTTATCCTAGCACTTTGGAAGGCCTAGGTGGGCAGAGCACTTGAGCCCAGGAGTTCAAGACCAGCCTGGGCCACATGGCAAAACCTCATCACTACAAAAAATACGGAAAAAAAAAAATAGTGGAGTGTGGTAGCATATGTCTGCAGTCCCAACTACTCAGAAGGCTAAGTGGGGAGGATCACCTGAGACCAGGAGGTAGAAGTCACAGTGAGCTGAGATCATGTCACTGCACTCCAGCCTAGGCAACAGGGTGGGATTTTGTCTCAAAACAAAACAGTATAAAAGAAAAAAAAAGTACACCTGTGTAGGGCACTTACCATGAATGGAGCTTACAGGAATAGGAGTTGCTCTGGGTGAGTCAGTGAGTGAGTGGTGAGTGAATGTGAAGGCCTAAGACATGGCTATACACTACTGTAGACGTTATAAACATTGTACGCTCTAAGCTACACTAAATTTATATGAAAAAAAATTCTTTGTTGGCTGGGTATAGGTGGCTCATGCCTGTAATCCCAGCATGGGAGGCTGAGGCAGCATTTATTTTTTTAAATGGGTGTCCTGTGTCTTTATTTGTGAAATCTGGCAACTCTCCACTCCATCTGCTGCCCCTCACTCACTGTGCTCCAGCCACACAGTCCTTGCCGTTCATCAGATGCTCCTTCCCAGTCTGAGCCTTTATGCTTGCTTTTCCCTTGCCTAGAACATTTTTATTCCAGATCTTCCCACAGCTGTCTCCATGTCATTCAGATCTCAGCTCAAATGTCACCCTATCCTGATTTCACTTCCCTGTCAGTCTCCATCATCATTCTTTATAAAATTTAACACTTTCTGAAACTATTATTCATTAGTTTACTTGTATATTTGTCCTGTCTCCCCTTAGTAGAATGTAAGCTTCATGAGAGCAAAGGCCTTGTTAGTTGCTGTATCCCCAACACCTGACGCCAATGTCTGGCTCTTAGTAGACACTCGATAAATATCTGTTAGATGAATGTATGACACCCCAAATCCTGTTCTGCAAGATTTAAATTTAAGAAGACCTGTTAGGGGTAGACCGGCTGGCCTTAACAAGAACAAAAGTTTTGAAAAAGTCAGTATGGATCCAAAACAAAATTGCCTTGAAGAAAGGGCTAGTCTGTGTTGTGGGTGGCTGATGCTGGAAGATCCTCCAGACTCAGTCTTTCCTCGCAGGATTATGCTCCAGTGAGCAATGATTGAATGAGGAAATGGAAGTACCTGGCTTACCTTGGCACTGAGTCTTCTTATGCCGTTGAGGACCTCTGGAGGGACAGTGATTTGACTGCAACCCTCGTAGCAGCAAGAAACAATGAGGTAGCTAACTTCCTGCTGGTATGCAGAAGTCAGGGAGCGCTCCCCATCCCACTTGTACCCCCACAAATCCAGAGGACTTAGAGACAATTCAATATGAAAGGGAAACCTCAGAGAAGGAGCATGTGTGGCTTGAGCTAGTTTTAATAAAATCTAGTAAAAATGTAAGAGCCAGGTTGCTAATTACACCTCCGGTTCAAGATCAGGGAGGCTATAGATGGCATGTTGGGAATCTGGAAATGGGCAGAAAAATAAGTAATTAGGTATTGGCTAAGAGAGAGAAAATGCTGAAATAAATGGATGGAAGCAGGTGGGGAGTAGATCTGGATGGGGCTTGTAGACCACATTAAGAAGCCTGGACTTTATCCAGAGGGCATGTGGGAGCCACATGGATTCTAAGCCAAGGAGTGACTCTAGTCTCTGGATCTCATATGTACTTGGAGAAATCCTCTGTACTTCTGCGAATTAAAGAGAACAACGCTGCAGCTGAGACCAGTTAGAAACAGTCTATTGAACAAAGATGATGAAAGTTTGAATAATAATGATCATTTTAATCACAGCAGACGAATTAAACCAGGCATTTCCTAAGCCCATTACATACTTAATTTTGTTTATGCAATAGCAACCCTACCAAAGTGGCACTAGTGTTAACATCTCCATTTTACAGGTAAGGTAAAGAAGTTGTGAGGGTAAGTAATTTGCCCAAGATCTCTCAGAACCCAGGTTTCTCTGACTGCAGTGCTCTCTTCATTCCCTTAGACTAAGGCATCAGGAGTGGGGAGGAAAAGGAGGCAGATGTGAAAAACATTTAGGAGGTAAGTAATAGTTATTATATTAGCACTAGATAATGACGATGGTGATGATGATGACAATGATGATGACGGTAAGGGGGATTTCATGCCTTTATACATTCAAGAACAACACCAGATTCGGTGTCGGAGAAGAGATAAAATTAAGGTATTGGCGTTGAGCTAACAGTTTAATACGATATAAAACTTCCCAAAGGGAGGGGTCACAACGCCTCTCCTGTCCATTGCCCCCAATTCACCGCAAAAGTCGCTCCTGCCTGGGCTCCCCGGCAGTGCCACACGCAGGACCTCGGGCGCCGACACCGCCCCGCCCCTGGCCGCGCCCCGCCCCGGCCACTGTCCCTCCTCCGAAGCCGCGCCCCTCCCCGCCCTGCCCCGGCCCCGGCCCCGGCCCCGGCCCCAAAGCCCCGGGCCTGCCATCTCGCCCCGCCCTGCCCCGCCCCGCCGCGGCTCCCCCGACCCCAGGCCTGCATTCTCGCCCCGCCTTGCCCCTCCCCTCCCCTGCCACGCCCCAACCCTTGAACTGCCTTCGCGCCCCGCCTTGCCCTGCCTTGCCCCGCCTTGCCCCGCCCCGCCCCGCCCCGCCATCTCGCCCCGCCCCGCCCCTCACCTCCCTTCCCCTCCCCGCCGCTCTCGTGGCCCCCACCTCCAGGGGCGCCTCTGCGGGCCACGTGGTTCGGCGTCCGCGCGCAAGCGGCTCTTGGCGCCGCGCTTCCGGGTTGGCTGTGGCTGTGGCTGCGGCGGCGGCGCAGGAGCAGAAACCGGTGCGGCGCAGAAGCCCCAGAGGCGGGCGGGGCGGAGCGGAGGGCCAGCGGGCCCCGGCGTGGGTCTCCCGCCAGGCCGCCGGGTGAGTTGGCAGCGACCCGGACCCCACCGGGCGCCCCTGAGCGGTAGGTCTGCCGCGCCGACCCCTCCCCCGCCGTGTGCTCCCCAGTCGGGCCCGCGGGGCCTGGGCGGGGAGGTGGGGGTCTTTCCGCGCCACCTCTCCCTGCTGGGACCACCCGGGGCTGCGGGGGGCTCCGCGCCGCCCCTAGTGTGTCTGGCGGCCCCACGCAGCTTAAGTTATTAGTATTTTATTGCAGCTACCTCACATTCACTTTGCACGTGCACATTTCTTCACTCTTCACATTGGTTCCCACATACGAAATGGCTAATAATCTGGGAGATGGAGGCAGCTTCGTTCTCCCTGAAATAGTTGTGCAACCATAGAAAGTTCGTGCTTGCGGAGGATTTTGGAGATGGTTAATCCCATTCCTTCATTTTATAGAAGGTAGACCCTGAACCGTTCCATGAATACTGGAGAGTCACTCAGCTAGTTAATGTGCGGCAGGAGGCTGAGGGAGAGAATTGCTTGAACCTGGGAGGCGGAGGTTGCAGTGAGCCGAGATTGCGCCACTGCACTCCAGCCTGGGCGATAGAGCGAGACTCCGTCTCAAAAAAAAAAAACCGCGAGCTAAGTTGTTTTGTTTTTGTTTTTTGAGGTGGTGGTCTCGTTCTGTCGCCCAGGCTGGAGTGCAGTGGCACGATCACGGCTCACGGCAACCTCGAACTCCCAGGCTCAGGTGATGCTCCTGCCGCAGCCTCCTGAGTAGCTGGGACCACAGGCGGGCGCCACCACGCCAGGCTAATTTTTGTATTTTTTGTATAGATGAATTCTCTCCATGTTGCCCAGGCTGGTCTCAAGTGATCCGTCGGCCTCGGCCTCCCAAAGTGCTGGGATTACAGGCGTGAGGCCACTGCGCCCGGGCCCAGAGCTAAGTTTGTAGACAGACAAAAATGGTAATGGTAAAATTCAGTTAATGATGTGAAGTGAATAGGAAGTTCATGTGGGCTGGCATTAACCTTTTAGACAGTGCTTTCTCCTTTTTAAACCTTGTTTTCTTATTTCAGATTTAACCCTTAGTGGCTTCTGAAGAAAATGGCAGAAACATCGCCAGAGCCTTCTGGGCAGCTTGTTGTACACTCAGACGCTCACAGTGACACTGTGCTGGCCAGTTTTGAGGATCAGAGGAAGAAAGGCTTCCTCTGTGACATTACTTTAATCGTGGAGAATGTACATTTCCGGGCCCACAAAGCCTTACTTGCTGCCAGTAGTGAATACTTCTCAATGATGTTTGCAGAAGAGGGGGAAATCGGCCAATCCATTTATATGCTGGAAGGCATGGTTGCAGACACCTTTGGTATCCTGCTGGAATTTATCTACACAGGTTATCTCCATGCCAGTGAGAAAAGTACAGAACAAATCCTGGCTACTGCTCAGTTCTTAAAAGTCTATGACCTGGTAAAGGCTTACACAGACTTCCAAAATAATCATAGCTCCCCAAAGCCAACAACTTTGAACACTGCTGGTGCCCCAGTGGTTGTTATCTCTAATAAGAAAAACGATCCTCCAAAGCGGAAACGGGGAAGACCAAAAAAAGTCAATACATTGCAGGAGGAGAAATCAGAACTGGCTGCAGAGGAAGAAATACAGTTAAGAGTGAACAATTCAGTTCAGAATAGACAAAACTTTGTGGTTAAAGGAGACAGTGGTGTACTGAATGAGCAAATTGCAGCAAAAGAAAAGGAAGAATCGGAGCCTACTTGTGAGCCAAGTAGAGAGGAGGAAATGCCAGTTGAAAAAGATGAGAACTATGATCCCAAGACCGAGGATGGCCAGGCAAGCCAGAGTCGATACAGCAAGCGGAGGATTTGGAGATCCGTCAAACTTAAAGATTACAAACTTGTTGGGGATCAAGAGGACCATGGTTCAGCCAAGAGGATCTGTGGAAGGAGAAAGCGCCCTGGAGGCCCTGAGGCCCGCTGTAAAGACTGTGGCAAGGTCTTTAAGTACAATCACTTTTTAGCAATCCACCAGAGGAGCCACACAGGTAATGATGTTTTCAAAGCTGATTGCAGTGTGTTGCAGAATTGGGAGTAGTGATGATAATAATAGCTTCCATTTACTGTGCAACTTCTGTGTGATGGGCATTGTAATAAAGCCTTTATACATGTTATTGCAGTTAATTTTCTCCACAATCCTGCAAGGTGGGTAATATCCTCATTATACATTGTATGATTAAAATCATATTTACTCATATGTAAGAGAGGGTTGCTAAAGTGCATAGTTTACAGATGAAGCAACCAAGTTCTAGGGAGCTTAAATAACTTGCCAGAGTCACCCGTTAGTGACAGAGCTGGGATTGAACCCAGGTAGCCTGGTTCAAGAACCCCTCTCATTTGTAGTTGTTGAATGAATCCTTTAATGTCCACTTATCAAGATCTAGCCCAATGTACCCTGCTTTCTGATTCTTGAACATTCTTCATCTTGACCATAACCATGCTTTTGCCCAAGTCTGTGTAGATCACTTTGTAACTCAGCTATCTAGCTTTAAATACCTTCTCATTTTTGGTCCCTCTAGCCCAGCGCTGACCAATGGGACCCTTCTGTGATGATGGAAATGTTCCTACATCTCTGATGTCCAATATGGTGGCCAGTAACCACATGTGGTTTTTGAGCACTTGAACTGTGGCTAGCGTGACTGAGAAACTGAATTTTAAATTTTATTTTAATTCATTTAAATTTGAATAACCACATGTGGCTAGTGGCTACCGTATTGGACACTGCAGTCCTAGTGAGAAATCCCTTCCTCCTTTGAGCCCTTTCAGGTGCTTAAAACCCACTCTGCTTTGGATCAGATTGTTGTTACCACTTGTATATCCCTCAACTTAATTGTAATCTTAAGTATAGGGACTGGGGCTTAAGTCTTCTCCTGTGATCCAGCAGTATCTGGTGCTGTGGTTCTCAGCCTGCAAATTGGAATCACTTAGGGAGCTTCTAAAACTACCAGTGCCTAGACCTCCACCCCAGAGCTTCTGATTTAGTTGTCTGGAGCCTTGGTGCTTTTAAAAGCTCCCTAAAGACTTTAGCTACAGATAGGTTGAAGAGCTTGAATTCAGGTACTTCGAACAAAGTGGATACTTGAGAAATATTTGTTGAACTGTAATAGGTTATATTTTAGCTTTTTTTTTTTTTTTTTTTTTTTTTTTGAGATGGATTCTCGCTCTGTCACCCAGGCTAGAGTGCAGTGGCGCGATCTCGGCTCACCGCAACCTCCGCCTCCCGAGTTCAAGTGATTCTCCTGCCTCAGCCTCCTGAGTAGCTGGGATTACAGGCACACGCCACCACGCCCAGCTAATTTTTTGTATTTTTAGTAGAGACGGGGTTTCACCATGTTGGTCAGGCTGGTCTCAAACTCCTGACCTCGTGATCTGCCTGCCTCAGCCTCCCAAAGTGCTGGGATTACAGGCGTGCGCCACTGCGCCCAGCTGGCTATTTTTATCAAAAATTTTATGTGCATAGTTTAGAGTTAAATCATTATACAAGACTTAAGAAAAAGCATGTAGGATCGTTCTTCCCTTATGTCCTCAGTACAGACAGTCCCCGACTCACAATGGTTCAATTCATCTTTACAATAGTGTGAAAGCAGTACATGTTCAACAGAAACTGTACTTTGAATTCTGAGTTTTGATCTTTTCCCGGTCTAGTAATATTCAGTATGATCCTCTCATGCCATGCCGGGCCACACAGTCACGTGGGTAAATGACCAGTACTCTGCATTTGGTGCATTCATACAGTACTCTGTATAAGTGCATTTTTCCTTATGATATTTTCAGTATGATGGGTTTGTTAGATGTAGTCCCATCATAAGTCAGGAAGCATCTGTATTCTGAATTTTGCAGCCCATCACTTTAGTATGGGTCTGTTTTCTTCCATCTGGGTAGATAACAGGTAGATTCATAAGGTTTGGAAACTGTCTTTCAGTTCTGGAAAATCTTGAGTTATTTCATAGATGATTTCTCCTCTCTGTTTTCTCTGTTCTCTCTAACTTTATTTTCTCTTATATTTTCCATCATTTTTGGCCCCACCCTCTGGGGGATTTCCACTTTGTTTTTCAGCCCTTTGAGGTTTTCTGTTTCAACTCTTATTTTTTTCCCCCTTTAGGAGCTCTTTTTTTTCTAAATGTTTTAATTTGAATGATCTTTTTATTTCACAATGTATTATCTTACCTCTATGAGCATGTTAATGATAACAACATTTTCCTCACTGGAGGCAAGTTGCTTTTTTTTTTCTTCTTGCTTGTTTGTCTGTCACTATTACAAAAGGCTCTCCTTGAGTGCCTGGTGTTTTTTTTTTAAATCATATGTAAGGGTGGGTTGCTAAAAGCTACTGGCAATGCTGCATGTGTGGAGAGAGCCTGTATTTTATTTATTTCTTAGGCTGTTGCCCAGGCTGGAGTGCAATGGCGTGATCTCCGATCACCACAACCTCCGCCTCCTGGATTCAAGTGATTCTCCTGCCTCAGCCACCCAAGTAGCTGGGATTACAGGCACGCACCACCATGCCTGGCTAATTTTTTTTGTATGAGAGAGTCTGTAAAACTGTGACCTTGTTCCCAGATCACACTGAGAGTCAGGCTGCTATTTCTCGTGGCCCAATAATGAGATGCAGATGAATTGGAGAGGAAGAGAGTTTTTATTTCTGTAACCAGTTATAGGGAGAAGGCCTGGAAATTATCGCCAGACCAACTCAAAATTACAGAATTTTTCAGAGCTTATATACCGCCTAAGCTGTATGTCTGTCTGTAAGTGTGCATTCCTCTAAAGACGTAGGTGATTAACTTCTTTTAATCTATATCCAAGGTCTGCGTCCCAAAGACCTTCTTCTGGAGCCTCAGTAAGTTTACTTAATCTAAATGGGTCTAGGTGCTGGGGTGATTACCCTTATCTTCTGCTAAATCACGGAGATTTGGGGAGTTCCTTCAGATCCCCAGTAAAACTTGTTTAATCCTAAGTGGGCCCTGTTAAGAATTCCTTCGTTATTTTGTCATGCTTTAAGGCCCAGGAGAAGCCTAGGGGAAACTCTTGGTGGGCTTTTGTTACATTCCAGCCTTTGTTTAAGGGCACTGGCTTTTAATGTTTAACTTAACCACTCAGTCAGTACTGAAACAGTTGTATGGAGGCCTGTCATAACCTCACTGGAGGTGGTGTGGCTGTGCCCCATGTCCTTACTGGTGCCTGGCTTCCACATCTTTGCTCTCTCACCTTGGACCTCTCATGTTCCACTGGAAGACGCTTCTGCTCTCCCACTTGGAGGCACTAGGCCTGGCTGCTGGCCTGTGTCTAGGACAGGATGGGGAAGAAGGAGTGGGGGAGTCTCATCATCCCAGATGGAAATGTTGACTTACTCTCCCTGTGGTGATCCCAACTCAACTGTGCCTAGAAACTCCTAATCCAAAGACCCCTTTTTCTTAACCCTCCTCAGTGAACACTCTCCATTCTCTTTTGGGGGAGGGACAGTCTCCTGGCTGTGTAGAGTGGAAGATTTGATCAGGGGTCTAAGCACCTTTGAAACAGACTTTCATTTACCCTCCCTCACCCCTGTTTCCAGAGATAGCAGGTGCCACCAATTCCTGAGCCTTAGGAGATTGTGTCTTAAAAATTAGGTTGTATTGGGCTGGGTGTGGTGGCTCATGCCTGTACTCCCAGCAATTTGGGAGGCCGAGGCAGGAAGATTGCTTGAGCCCAGGAGTTGGAGACCTGCCTGGGCAACATAGTGAGATCCCATCTCTAAAAAAAATTAAAATTACAATTAAAAAATTAGCTGGGTGTAGTGGTGGCACATGCCTGTGATCCCAGCTACTCAGGAGGCTGAAGTGGGAAGATCATTTGTTCCCAGGAGGTTGAGGCTATAGTCAGCTATGGTAGCGCCACTGCACTCCAGCCTGGGTGATAGAGTGAGACCCTGTTACAAAGGAAAAACAAAAAATTAGGTTATGTTAGTGCTACTCACTGCTGGCTTCAGATTCATCTGTTCAGCTTCCAAAATTTTATTGCTGATGTCTCTTGTGTTCATTGTTGGCCTTTTGGATGTGTGCCTTTTAAGAAAAATCCTTTATTGTTTTTTTAATTTGGGAGAGACAGAAAAATGTGTGGATTCTTACTTATACCATGCTTCTGGGGCTCTTCTTCCAGGGGAGCGACCTTTCAAATGTAATGAGTGTGGAAAAGGCTTTGCCCAGAAGCACTCGCTACAGGTCCACACCAGGATGCACACAGGCGAGCGGCCGTACACCTGCACCGTGTGCAGCAAGGCTCTGACCACCAAGCACTCACTGCTGGAGCACATGAGCCTGCACTCAGGTAGTGGGGCTTGCCCAGAGGGCCAGCTTCACCAGATTCCCATTCCCCAGGGTGGGCATTACCAACACCTAAATGGTGTTTTCTCAGCCTAGTATCATTTCCAACGTGGTGTCATTGAAAGACAGGATTTTGCATCTGTCTGAGTGCAGTTTAGAGTTCTGCACGGATCATTAAACTAGAGCTTATAAACTGGCTGCTGGGAGTTTAGTGTGCAAGCATGTTTTATTAAACCACCAAAGTTTAGAATTGTTTTACTTTGAACGCCTTTCGGGGAAACTTAAATTCTCCAGTTCTACCCCAGTCTCCAGTACTCCCGATTGCCTTACATACCTTTGCACATTTATGTTTCTGTGGTAGATTGAAGGCTTCTGGGTATGTAAACAAGTCGCTTGTATCATTTGTAGAAAATGGGGACCTGGACCCACTGTAGTATTTACCTTATTAGTGAGCATTCCAGTTCTTTATAATTTTTTACATGTTTTAGTGTTTTGGTTTTTTTGGCAGGACAGAAGTCTTTTACCTGTGATCAATGCGGAAAATATTTCAGCCAGAACAGACAGCTAAAGAGCCATTACCGAGTTCATACAGGTACGATAAAGTGAGAACATTTAGATTGGGGGGGAAGAAATGCAAATAAGAATTGTTTCTGAAACATTAGGTTTATATTGTTCTGCTCTTAGCACATATCGTTCACATAGGGTATTTAGGGAAAAGTGCCTTAAGAGTCTAAATTACATGTTTTTATGTTATTGTCCGCCACCATGTGAATTATGTTTTATTTGTATACTACAGTTTTGGTGCCACACACAGAAACCCTACAGAATTGGCATCTTTCAAAAGTGCCACTTGCACAGGGGAGCTTCAGTGAATGGTTGTTAGTGGTGCCTGGGCAGAGACATCATCATCCCATGGCTGTCAGCCCAGGCTTTCTCTCCCCTGGTTCTACCTGTTGTCCTTTTTCTTTCCTGCCAACTGATAAGAAATGAATGTGGGTTACGAGTGTCATTTGAGGTCATTTGTGGCCTCAGTCACACCAATACTTTGAGGAAAAAAGGAGAGACTACATTTAGAATTGGAAGGATCCTAGCTCTCTTGGAGGAGGCAGTGAGTTGAGGTGCTTAGGAAAATATTAACAGTTACCAAATTAATGAAAAAATTTTTGTGGTTAAAGTACTATATTTAAAGTGATTATTTTTCAGGGAAGTGCTTTAACACAAATCACTGAAGAAAAGGCAGGGAGAGCATGTATGCACTGACACTTTTTTTATTGTTGCGACAAGGCCACTCATTACCGGAATGCAAAGACTGCCATCGCAAATTCATGGATGTGTCTCAGCTAAAGAAACATCTGCGAACACACACAGGTAAAACTCCATCTCGTCTGTCCCCCCAGTACACGGGATGTTTTCAGGAGAGTGAAGAATGAAGTTCTCTGAGTGCCCTGCTAAGCCTGTGTTTGGAAATGTTTATTATAAATTGGATGGGAGTTGTGTAAGAAGATAAGTTAAAAGTTGGAAGGCAGAATGTTGTCAGCACTGTCTTTGGGGAAATCACATCTCTTGTAGATGAGCAAAATGGAGATCACTTACTGAGGACTATTCGTATGTCACAATTCATTTAATACCACAGAATAGTGAGTCTGAGTCTGGTTCTATGTTTCACTCTTAATTTACTTCAGCATTGAAGGTGATATCAAGACTTTTTTTTTTTTTTTTTTTTAAAGATAAGGGCTTGTGCTGTCATCCAGGCTAGAGTGTAGTGGCACGATCACAGCTCACCACAGCCTTGACCTCCTGGGCTGAGGTGATCGTCCCACCTCAGCCTCCTGGGTAGCTGGGACCACAGGTGCAAACCACCACACTACCTAATTTTTTATTTTTTAATTTTTGTAGAGATGGGTCCCACTATGTTGCCCAGGCTGGTCTTGAACTCCTGGGCTCAAGCAGTCTTCCTGTCTGAGCCTCCCAAAATGCTGAGATGACAGGCATGAGCCACCATACCCAGCAAGATAAATTTTTTTTTTTTTTTTTGAGACGGAGTCTCGCTCTGTTGCCAGGCTGCAGTGCAGTGGCACGATCTTGGCTCACTGCAACCTCTGCCTCCCGGGTTCAAGTGATTCTCCTGCCTCAGCCTCCCTAGTAGCTGGGACTATAGGTGTGCGCTACCATGCCCAGCTAATTTTTTTTGTATTTTTAGTAGAGATGGGGTTTTACCATGTTGGCCAGGATGGTCTCGATCTCTTGACCTTGTGATCTGCCCACCTTGGCCTCCCAAAGTGCTGGGATTACAGGCGTGAGCCACTGTGCCTGGCCCAAGATTATTTTTTTAGAAAAGACAGCCAAATGTAACAGACACAAATGTAGCATAGACACTGAGAATGTTTCCACTTTCTCCCCTAGAACCAACACTTAAACTTAAGCAGCACCACCTCCAGAAAAATCAGTTTCAGAGATGACGAGGAGGCAGCATTGATTAGGGCAGGTCAGTTTTTTTATGTAAGATCGGAAAATTGGATCTTTTATACCTTTTGTCAAAGAATGTATGTTAAAAATAAGCCTATTCAGTTTTCTAAGAAAAACTTGCCATTACAGGTTATTTAATAATTCTGTTGTCTACTGGAATTATCTAAATAGCAAATTGATTTATGGTGCTTTGGACTTTTTTTTTTTTTTTTTTTGGAGTCACTGTCTCTGTCGCCCAGGCTGTTGTGCAGTGGTGCTATCTTGGCTCACTGTAACCTCTGCCTGCTGGGTTCAAGCAATTCTCCTGCTTCATCCTCCCGAGTAGCTGGAACTACAGGTGCGCACCACCACGCCTGGCTAATTTTTGTGTTTTTTTTTTGTAGAGACAGGGTTTTGGCATGTTAGCCAGGCTGGTCTCGCTCAAACTCCTGGCTCAAGTGATCCACCCTCCCAGCCTCCCAAAGCGCTGGGATTACAGGCGTGAGCCACTGTGCCTGGCCTGGATGTTGTTTTTTAAATACAAGTTTTTCTTCTTAAATTCAGTAAACATCTCATAGGATATGGATTTTAACACATGTACTGAGCACTTACTGGGAACCAGACATTGTTTTAGGCTTTGAGGATACAGCAGTGAATGAGATGGACAGGCCCCTGCCTTAAGGGGCCAACATTCAATAGGGAAGACAGAGTACAGACAAGTATATAACACATTTGGTGTTGTGAGTGCGTTGAAGAATAAAATGCAAGGTAAGGGGGCGGGATGCCGGAAAGAGAGTTGCTCTTTTATGCATGGACTGGTTTGGGAAGGTCTCACAGATGAGGTGGCATCTTGGATGGAGATGAGAATGCAGTGGGGGAGTGAGCCAGCCGGCCATTGAAGATGTCCAGGAGAGAGCATTCTAGGCAGGGGGAGCCCTGGGCACAGGGCCCTCAGGCAGGAATAAATGTTTTTGACAAGCTGGAGACGTGCTGGGAGGAGCATCAAGGCAGCCAGAGAGCTGGGAGTAGGAAGTCATAGTGTAGGTGGATGTTCTCAATTTAGCTGCATGCTTTTTACCACCTGGGAAGCTTTAAAAAAAAGCCTTGTCCCAGCTGCCAAGATTCTGATTGACTTCACCTGGGCAGAGCCTGGGAATTGGTGTTTTTTAAAGTACCCCTCAACAGTTGTAGGGTGCACTCGGGCTGAAGTACTTTGAAGGCCACAGTAAAGATTGGATTTTATTCTGAGGGAGATGGCTTTACTGAGATGAGTGACATGGCATGACTTAGGGTTGTAATAGGGTCACTCTAGCCACCCTGTGAGGTGGGGGCGAGGCCAGGGTGGAGGCAGAGAGACCCATCAGGAGGCTGTGCAGTAGTGGGGCTCGGAACAGCACAGTAGCAGCAGAGGTGGTGTCAGGTGGTCCAGTTCTGGAGATAGTCCAGGGAAGAATTCATGTGATTCGCTCATGATTGGATGTGGGAGTTGAAAGAGGAGGCAAAAGCCACTGTGAGGAGGAAAAGCTAGGGAAGACTAAGAAGAACAGATCAGGAGTTAGATTGTGGACTGGTTGGTGTCTATTTGACATCCATGTGCAGGTGTGGGGTAGATCATTAGATTTCCAGGTCTGGAGAATTCGGGGGAGAGATGCAGCCAGAGCTCTGGATTTCCACAGGTGCACATGTGCCTGCAAATAGTGGGTGGCGCTGTGCTGAGTTCCCTAGGGAGACAGCGGTGGTGGAGGAGCGTGGAGCTGGCTTGGTCATGCTGAGCAGTGCCAGAAGAGGCACTTCCCCTTGGTTCTGTTGCCTGAGCATAAGGGGGAGTGAGGTTTCTGGGCTTTGTGAGTAGCAGTAGGACTTGAAGTGGGGATGAAAAGGAACAGAAGACCTCCCCCACTATAATTCCAGCAAACTCTTCTCAGCCTGTCAACTTTGAGAAGCAGAACAGAAAGTGGAAGATGTGTGATGAGTTAAAAAGGAGACAGACGGGCCTCTGTGGTTTGCATGACTTAGAAATATGAAAAGAAATTGAACCTATCAAAAAATTGGGGTTCTTCAAGAGCAGCAACTATGACCCATCTGTCCCTAGCATCAGCATGGAGAATCTGCTTGAATGTTGGTGAAGGGCATTGGCGTGCCATTTCCCTGCTCCCTGGGCATTCAGAGTGAGAAGTGCCAGTCCTACTCTCAGGGCCATGCTCAGCTGGAAACCAAGACTTCATCTCTTAGAGATGAGCTGTCATTCATCTCTTAGATCTTTAGGCACAAACTCTCTGGGTTAGATGTCCTGCACCAAGCACTGGAGAAGTCAAAGGCAAATTAGAGATGTTCCCTTTCCTAGGAGTGCATCCCCAGTGAGGGAGGTGAACACATTTTGACATGGAGGCAAAGTGTCAGGCAGACAAGCAGTACCTGCCAGGTCACCACATCTCAGGCCCTTCTGCTCACATCTTGTCCCCATACCTGGCACTGGTCAGGTTTACAGGGACCCAATCAAGCCAAATGAGTTCACAGGACAGATAAACCAGAGGATATATCAACTCAATAGAGGGATTACACCTTTCTGTTGCCCACAGCACCTCCTTCCTCACATTAGTGACCCGAAAGCCAAGTTAGTGATCAGAAGATTGCATGGTGAGCTGGGAACAAGTCAAGGGAATTAGCCCAGGTCACAGAGAAGCCTGGTGAGTGACCTCTGACCCCACAGCACAGTCCCACCCCGCCAGTGTCCCTGTTCCTGGATGGTGTTCCATAAACACTGATTCTGCCCTGAGGGTTCCTACTCACAGGTAGATGGCCCTGTCAGGGAACAAATGATAAAGTTCAGTAAGTCACAGTTCTGTTCACAGCCTCATTGTGGCTTGAAGTTGAAGCTTCCCAAATCTCTTCAACTGTGTGTTGAGACCATCCATTAACGTTGAGACCTGGGGGTCTTCCCATCTTCCTGAGACCTGGGGGCCCCTCACCATAACATGCCCTTACAGAGTCTACGTGCCATCTACTATGAAACAGTATGGCGTGGTCAGAGCCACAGCAGAGGTGTGAACACAGGACAGGAAACAGCTGAGAAGACCATATAGGAATGCCAAGTACACAGGTGTCAAACCATGCTATCCACAGTTATCATGGACATGTGTCCCTTTTTTGCCAAGATTGGCAAGTACATGAGGAAATGCACATCTTTATTTATTGTTGGTGGGAATATAATTTGGGAACCCCCTGGAAGGAACTTTTGCAATACTTACCAAAACATAAACTGCACAATTGTGAAAAGATGTTTGCCTAAGGATATTCATCATAGGCAGCATTGTTTATAACTTAACAAGCTTAACAGCCACCTGAATGTCCCAGGAGGGGATTAGATAGGTAAATTTGGGGCAGTACACACAATGGTACACAGCACAGGGTTTTAAAATGGTGGTGTGGCTTTACTGATGTGACAAACGGCATGCATTGGATGACCTCACACAGTAAGACCGCAAATAAACAGATTTGTCTGTAAAGATATTCGCCATTGTTAACTGGTTGTCTCAAGAGATGAGAATAGTGGAGCAGTTTTAATATTCTTTGTATTTTCAATATTTGATTCTTTTACAATGAACACAGTAATTTTTTAAGAAAAACAAAGCCGTGGTCCACAGTGGGAGGCAGGATGCTGAGGGGTCCACACGGACGGAACTGGACTGCCAGGTGAATGTGACAGCTGAGGGAATGGGAGGTGTCACTGTGATTGTTGTGCCTGGCTGGACAGGGGCTGGGTGATGTTGTCATTAACATGTCATGCCCCATGTTATTCTGGGTTTCAGCAGGTGGGCATGGGAAATCCAGCTGTGATGCCAATAAGCAGTGACTCATCGATCCTATCTGGAGTGGGGTCCGGGATTTAAGTCACTGGGGAAGGGTAGGGGTGGGATCGGTGGAGTAACTGCTGAGAAGAGGATCTGGAAGTACACCCTGGAGCTGTTTCAGTACTTCCGTTGACATCACCCTGGGTGGGTGGGATTGGTGTAGTAACTGCTGAGAAGAGGGTCTGGAAGTACACCCTGGAGCTGTTTCAGTACTTCTGTTGACATCACCCTGGGTGGAACCTTTCATCACACTCCTGTCTCTGCCTTTTCCTTTAATCGCTATTGTCTAATCCTCTTGTAACACACTTCTTTCCGGTCCCCATGCCTCTCAGGCCCTGTCCTATTACCTTATCCTTCTCCGTCTGCCTCCTGCCACCTCCTGGTCCAGGCCTTGTGCATAGCCTGTTAGAGGTCCTCCTGCCTCTAGCCCACCCTCCTCATCATTCCCAGGTGTATTTTCTTAGTACTTTCAGCATGTCATTCTGCTAAAAACTTCCAGAGGCTCCACAGGTCCCCTGCCTGGATTTCATAGCTCCTGTTGCCTTGGCCTCCTGACTCCTGACAGTGATCCTTGGTCACTGGTGCACACCGTGTAGTCATTTCTGACACCAGCTTCTGCTCATACTATTTAGACTAGTACCCTGGCCCAGGCTTCTTTCCAGTCTAGCCAGATCCTGCCCACCCCATCCAGCACCCTGTCTGCACTCAGAATTGTTGACGCCACTCGTTTTAATGTTCAGTGAAACACAGCCCTATGTTACTTAATTAGTTTGTGCATCTCCTCAAGTAGATTAGAAAAGTTTCTTTTTTGTTTCTTAGCTGTGTACTTTATTGATGGTCTATCAGTGTTTGAGAACTAAATAAATTTAAGGAATGGGTGTCTCCATTGAAGGTGGTAGAGCTGTGCACAGGGGAACAGATCAGAAACCACTAAGCGGGAAGACCCCCTGCAGATTGACCTTGGCTAGGGAAATTTGCCTTCCCACTGTCCTGCTCACTCCCTCAAAGAGCTTCCACTGCAGGATGTTGCTCCTGCAAACACTTACCCTCAAAAAACATTTGCCATCAGACAGACTTTCTGAAATAGAAACTCAGCTGGAGCTGAATGGTATAGTTAATGTTGTTATGGATGATTGTTGCTGTTCTTTCTCTTAAAAACCTGAAAACTGCAACAAGAATTTTACAATCACAAGCAAACAGCAGGTACTCAGTCTTTGAATCTGGAGAGGGAGAAAACCAACCAAGATCAGAGAAGGCCCCAGCTCTGATGTAGAAAGCTATAGACAGATTATGGCAGTTGCCTGGTTTTAATCTTTGTAGTGGTAAGAGTTCATGATGCAAAGATGCAGATTCATCCGAGTTGTTACAGCTGTCCTCTGCCTCGATGGAGCTTGGAGAAATGTCTTGCCTGAATTTTCCAGTAGATGCTGTGAAAGGGAAGCTCACTGACCATCTTCCATTTCAAATTGTACTTATCCTTTGCTGTTCTCCTGTTCTCCAGTTAAGTGGATTTTGCTGCTTGCTTTTTTTTTTTTTTTCTTTTTTTCCAATTTAGTTTTCTTGCCTGCATTGGATTACTTAATTTTGTTTCTGGGGAACATGAACAGTCTGTCATTGTATGTTCAGCATGCAAACACACTGAATAAGCACTTGCTGATGTTAGTGAAGCCTGGTGGGTTCTGGAGCAGTTATAGCATCTCAGGTGTGCCACTCCCATGAAGTTCATTCAGCAGGGATTTCTGAAATGGCATGCCAGGCCAGATTCTCGGCACTGGGGTACTAGGAGCAGACATACCCACAAGTTATCTTAAAAAGGAAGAAATGGATAATAAATAACTTATACATTATATGAGGCAGCAATAGCATTGTGGAAAAACTAAATTGGAGAATTGGACTAAGGAGTGCGTGGCAAGGTTTGTAGTGCTCTTGGTGGTGATGGAGCCTCACTGATAAAATAACATGTGAACAGAGACTTGAAGGAGATGAGGAGAGTGAACCATGCTGGGAGACACCCTGAGATGAGATCCGGGAAGTTTGGGGTGAGGAGTAGGGTTTATGGGGTACAGATCTATGATCGCTTGTAGGGCAAGAACTTTGGGTTTTATCCTGGGGTGGGAAATCATCAGAACATTTGCAGCCCAAGCATAAAATGACCTGACTGCATCAAGGCTCACTCTGGTGGCCATATTGATAGTTTATGGCAGGGAAGCAAGAGCAGAAATGGAGACCCCATAAGAGGCAAGAGATGGTGGTGGTGTGGACAAGAGAGTGGCAGTGGAGGTACTGAGCAGTGGTCAGATTCTGGATATATTTGGAAGGTTGATATAAACATGAATAATACATAACTCACCCTAGCACACAGGAGTCCTTTCAGGGTCAAGTGGGCTACCTAGCCAAGCAATAAGGCAGGAGAGCATAGGTGCTGTAATATCTAAGGGGAGAAAACAGGAGTAAATACAGTGTAACTCACTTCCTTGTTGCAGTTTTCAGGTTTTTAAGAGAACCATGCCTTACGATTTCTGTGTATGCTCTTGGCACTCGGCACACAGTGCTTAGGTTAGTTACAGAGTAGATATTTGGTGAGTGCATCATTCGTTTACGCTTACGGAGGGGATTGCCTTTGTTCTGTTTATATTGTGAAACCGAAGTGTTTTTTTAATTTTGTCTTATTCTGAATGTATATTGTTAAATGTTTTTTTGTTTTGGGTTTTTTGTTTTTGTTTTTGTTTTTTTTAGGTGAGAAGCCATTTACTTGTGAAATCTGTGGCAAATCTTTCACAGCAAAGAGTTCTCTTCAGACCCACATCAGAATCCATCGGTAAAGTTTTGCAGATATTTTTCTCGCATGGAGGCCTCATTCAGTTCTGCTGTTCAGTGAGGTGACATGTGTTACCTATATAGTTTTCTCCCAGTTGTTACTTTGCAGAATTTTGTGTGCAGTTTATTACTTTGGCTTTGTTTTGTTTGTTTGTTTTGAGACAGGGTCTCACTGTCGCCCAGGCTGGAGTGCAGTGGTGTGAGTGGAGTGCAGGTGGGAGTTCAGGCGATTCTCCCACCGTGGCCTCCTGAGTAACTGGGATACCACACCCAGCTAGTTTTTGTATTTTTTTGGTAGAGACGGGATTTCACCATGTTGACCAGGCTGGTCTCAGACTCCTGACCTCAAGTGATCCGCCTGCCTGGGCCTCCCAAAGTGTTGGGATTACAGGTGTGAGCCACCACACCTGGCCTATTTTGTTTTATCTTTTCAATAATGAAATTCCTCACCTAGGTAAAAAGGAATGCTGATTCTGGCCAGTAAAAGTTTACATTACTGATTTCATTTATTAAATTTTGATTGGGGCTACGGATTGGTCCAAAGCTTAAATCTTCAATCAAAAATAAGTATTAAATTTGATGTTTTCTGAATAAATGTTTTTGTTTACACAGTTATCCCCAGGTTGGACTTAGGAGTTCTTCTGACAGCATCACAAATAATTAGAGGATGCTTAAATTTTTTAAATTGACATTAATCATAGATACTTATTGGGCCATTAGAGTCTAAAAATTGGCTCTGAAAACTAAGACAAAACAAAAGAGAACTATATGTTTATTGTATAAATATTTACTCTCTTTTCTTATCTGAAATACATACTGTGGAATCATAAAATTTTATCATATATAGCCGTGCCCCATCTGCCACCCTTCCTCAGGCACCACCCACACCCTATTTTCAGATTAAAAACTGCCCATGGAAGCGAGACTTGCTTCAAGTCCTTGAATTAGTAGGTGAACCCATGACTTATGACTTGCAGTCTAGTTAATTTTCCACTACTCTTGATTGCTTCCCCCTAAATAATCAGGAAGTAGTAAGTAGGTATTTCCATTTTAAAAATAAAATGTTTATTTTCTTACAGAGGAGAAAAGCCATACTCCTGTGGCATTTGTGGCAAATCCTTCTCTGACTCCAGTGCCAAAAGGAGACACTGCATTCTACACACTGGCAAGAAGCCTTTCTCCTGCCCTGAGTGTAACTTACAGTTTGCTCGCTTAGACAACTTGAAGGCTCACTTGAAAATTCATAGCAAGGAGAAGCATGCTTCAGATGCCAGCAGCATTTCTGGCAGTAGTAATACAGAAGAGGTCAGGAATATTCTTCAGCTACAGCCATATCAACTCTCTACCTCGGGAGAGCAGGAAATTCAGCTTCTCGTAACCGATTCTGTACATAACATCAATTTCATGCCCGGTCCTAGCCAGGGAATCAGCATTGTGACTGCAGAGAGTTCCCAAAACATGACTGCAGACCAGGCTGCTAATCTTACCCTGCTCACGCAGCAGCCAGAGCAACTGCAGAATTTAATTCTTTCAGCTCAACAGGAGCAAACAGAACACATTCAGAGCCTCAATATGATTGAAAGCCAGATGGGGCCCTCACAAACAGAGCCAGTGCACGTGATCACTCTGTCCAAGGAAACACTGGAACATCTTCATGCCCATCAAGAGCAAACAGAGGAGCTCCATTTAGCTACAAGTACTTCAGATCCAGCTCAGCACCTGCAGCTGACACAGGAGCCTGGTCCGCCACCACCCACTCACCACGTGCCCCAGCCAACGCCACTTGGCCAGGAGCAGAGCTGACCTGTAAACACGTTTGACTGCTTGATTGGGCTCTTCTTATAAGCCAGCTCTGACTGGATTTTGAACGCTTGAAATCAGGCTCTCCACACCATTGACTTGCAGATGCTTCTGTGAGAGCTGTGATGGCTAACTGATGTTTATAATGCCCTCCATCCAGGTAGCAAGATGTGTGTATGTCTTGTCTAAGGTACTGATTTGTATTGAGCATTTCAATATTATTGAATGGTTTTCATTTTAATCTGCAATGTCTCATAAAGACTCGGGTAGTTTTTCTTTGGGGGCATTGATCTCAGTTTTTCTGTAAGGTTTAAATGTTCACAGCCATAGGTTATGGTCTTGCCAACCTCCCCAGTTATGTTTTTTTGTTTTCTAGGACAAAGGGAGTCATTTTGGTTGAACTGGGCAGAATGGTTTGTTCTATTTTCTTATTTTTCTTAGGCAACACAGTTGTTACCACAAGACAAGTCAGGGCTAAATATGACAGATCACAATGTATGGGGAATTTGCCCTTTTAATAATTTCCAGTCCCCTAAGACAAAGTAACCCTCAACGTTTTATCTTTATGCAGTACAGTGGGCTTATTGTGTTAACACTTCAGAAAGATTCAAACTCATAAACTCAGTATTTTAACTCAAAATTCATGTAACAAGATAGCCAAAAGCATAGGATTTCTTAAAATTCTGAATTCGTCTTTTCTGAGAAACATAAATTTACATATTTTTCAACAGAAGGCTATCAAAATTTTAATTAAGTTTAAAATACAAAATTGGATCAAGACATTCACCCTAAATTCTGAATTTTTGTCAGAAAAGAGATTTGATTTTCATGAAGGTAAAGCTTTCTTCACTATTCTGGAACATAAAACTTTATTCAGTGTAATTTAAGTCTTATATATACTCTACTGAATTCTAACTGATCTCCTGAAAATGTTGATCTACGTGTTGTGTCTGATAACTTTCTGGAGATGGAAGCTTATAATTCATTTTTATTGCAGACTAGTTAAATCCCACAAAGTGAATATCTTCTCCTAATCTTTCCTTTTTTAGAGACAGGGTCTCACTGTATCACCCAGGCCAGAGTGTAGTGGCACAATCATTGCTCACTGTAACCTCGAATTCCTGGGCTCAAGCAACCCTCCCACCTTAGCCTCCCTAGTAGCTGGGACTACAGGGATGTACCACCACACCCAGCTAATCTTCATCTAATCTTAAAACTTTGAGCCTCAGAGACTTTGTAGCCAGCATGTGTCTGTAATTGTATGATTTTTAAATCATCATCAAAAGATTAAATTATGTTTGGGTTAGGTTTTCAAGCTAAGCTTATTGAATTCTTTTACCACTTTCATGTAAGCTGGTAGGGGATTTTTGAGAAAAGAAGGTGGGCACTAGTATATCTAAATTAACAATGCTGATGGGGAGTAGGGGGTAATCTACTCTAAAATTAATAGAGCCTTTCCATCAATTGTTTTGTTTTAGACATCCTTGATTTCTCCCTAAATCAAATAAGTTATTTGGAGGTTAGAGTAATAGAGAATTCTTCAGGTTTGAGAGAAGATAAAAACATTTTGGTTGCATATTTGCTAAGCTATATTTTATTATATGTAATTCACAAAACTTCCAAAATGATATATATCTTATATGTATCAACCAAACTAATGTTAAATCAGGCCTGACTAGAGCAAAGATAACAATTTTTTACAAACACTGTTAAGCCCTAAGTATTATTTCAGGTTCTCGTTTAAACTGTTTAATTTTATTCTTAAAACACAAAGTTTTTACCAACTTTTCAAAGCCCACCAATCCACATTTTCTCCAGGAAATTAAATATTTAAGTAAGTGAGTGTTTACTCACTCTGGATAGCTAGGTGATTATTCAGAAAATACGGTTACATAGCTATTTATAAGTCAAGTTTCACTGGCTCTATAACAGTCTACCTCTACACTAAGAGAACTATAACATGAACAACATAGGTCACTTTAAATGTTCTAGTAGCAACTTTTAAAAACATAAAAAGAAGCAGGTGAAAATGTTAATAAAAGTTTATTTAATCCAACATTTGCCAAATATTTCAACATATAAAAATATATTAGTGAGACATTTTACATTCTCTTTTTCATACTAAGCTTTCGAAATCTGGTGTGTATTTTACACTTTCTGCACATCTCCATTTGGATGCTAATGTTCATTGGACATACTTGATCTGTATTTAGATTTCATACAACTTACAGTTGAAAACAGATTCTCATATCAAGTAGCTAAGACAAAAGTTTTTTTCAAGAATTGAAATAAGTATCAGTTTAAAAATTTATATTAAATTTATTAAAATTAAAATCCAGTTCCTTGTTGCATGGGACACAGTGCAAATGCTTGATAAGCACATGTGGCTAGTGGCTGCTATATTGGACAGCATGGGCCACCTGTTTCTAACTTGAGCATCAGTCCTAGCTATGCCTGAATTATTTGACCAGCTGTCAAAGAGAAACAAGGAAATGATAGCTTTGTTAATCTAGCCTCTTTCTTTGTCCCACATATACATTCTACCCCTTTGAATAAAAAAGTTCAATGACGCCGGGCGTGGAGGCTCATGCCTGTAATCCCAGCACTTTGGGAGGCCAAGGTGGGCGGATCACGAGGTCAGGAGTTCGAGGGCAGCCTGACCAACATAGTGAAACCCCATCTCTACTAAAAATACAAAAATTAGCTGGGCGTGGTGGTGTACCCCTGTAATCCCAGCTACTCGGGAGGCTGAGACAGGAGAATCACTTGAACCCAGGAGGCGGAGGCTGCAGTGAGCTGAGATCACGCCATTGCACTCAAGCCTGGCGACAGAGCGAGACTCCGTCTCAAAAAAAAAAGTTAAATGACTTGAGTACCCAAAAGAAATGTCGTGAACATGAAAGTACTTCTCATGTGTCCTTGAGAAATGATGTTGCTAGTGCAGTGTTTCACAATTCATTTTCTACTAAATGTGTACCATTTTTTAAATTGTTTTAACAGAAATATAGAGTGTGTTTCTTAGGAAATAGAATGTTATGCTTTGGGGCTCCTGAAACACCTCGTTTTGAAGGTGAATCTTTGGTTTTCTCCCAGAAGAGGGTCTGCCTTGGGATGATTGGAGCTCTTACCATCAAAATCAGTTATTCAAGTGCTTGCCCAGTGCTTCTTGAAACTCACCTCTACTCTGTATTTTCTACAGTTGGTTCTTGTGTTATAAATGTTGTGAGCAACAGATTAAATGATGCTGAGGAATGAAAAAAGATTCTCATTATAAATGCTTACCTAGGATTCTCATTATAGATGCTTATCTAGGTTTTCATAAATGGGAATGTAACAATATCTTCCAAATATGGAGTCCTTACTATTGTCCAGGAGCCAAGCCAGGTCTGTTAAATCTGTATCATATCTTACTGGGTCTCAAACATCTTCCATGTCATGGCACACAGATTTACAATATAGCACCCTCTGGTTGGAGGACTCCAGTCCCCTCTGTTCATGACTGGTATATTAGTTTGCCATGACTACCATAACAAATACCACAGACTGGGTGACTGAAAAAATAGAAAGTCCAAGATCAACGTGTCAGTGGGGTTGGTTTCTTCTGAGGCCTCCCTTCTAGTTGTCTTCCCCTGCCTGTATCTTCACATGTCCTTCCCTCTGTCTTACTCTCTTTTAAGAACACCAGTTGTATGGGATCAGCCCACATTAATGTCCTCATTTAATCATCTTTTCAAATACAATCCCATTCTGAGATGCTGGGTATTAGGACATCAACATGTGAATTTGGAGTAGGGGGACACAATTTACCTCCTAACAACTGGCATCTGAGTGAGGAGGGGAGCAGTGTCTGGGACACACCTTAACCACTGGAAGCATGTCTCATCTTAATCTTCATGACATTCTGGTGAGGTGAGTAATTATTATGCTTATTGGACAGATGAGAACATGGAGCCCAAAGAGAAAGTCTGTTGCCAAATGTCATACAGTAAGTGGTAGAACCAGAACTAGGGCACAGGCTTTTAAAACTTTAAGCTGGATTTCTTATTCCCAAGGTTAATAGAACCAAAAGAAAAGGACAATTTTCTTATTAAATAAGTAATTTCTTATTTATTATTAAATACATAATTTATTTCCCACTTATTAAGTTCTTATTAAAAATTACATATTTAATAAGAACTTACTAATTAAAGAATGTGACCTGCTTAATGTAATAGAAGTTTTTGACTAAAATTGAGGGTCTATGTCTGGAATTATAGCATACTTTTTTCTTTTTTTAAGTGGAGACAGGGTCTCACTATATTGCCCAGGCTGGCCTCAAACTCCTGGCCTCAAGCAGTCCTCCCACCTTGGCCTCCTAAAGTGCTGGGATTACAAGCATGTGCCACCTGCATACAATTATAACTTTTTTACATAAAACAATAGTAGTGAAAGTTACGGTCTACAGAAATTCAGTAACTACCATATAATCATGTTAGTGTTTCACTACTATTGATTTAAAGCTTAATTGGTAAGAAAATGTGGCACATATACACCATGGAATACTATGCAGCCATAAAAAAGGATGGATGAGTTCATGTCCTTTGCAGGGACATGGATGAAACTGGAAATCATCATTCTCAGCAAACTAACACAGGAACAGAAAACCAAACACCACATGTTCTCACTCATAGATGGGAATTGAACAATGAGAACACTTGGACACAAGGCAGGGAACATCACATACCAGGGCCTGTCATAGGGTGGGGGGCTGGGGGAGGGATAGGATTATGAGAAATACCTAATGTAAATGACAAGTTGATGGGTGCAGCATACCAGCATGGCACATGTATACCTATGTAACCTGCATGTTGTGCACATGTACCCTAGAACTTAAAGTATAATTTAAAAAAAAGCTTAATCGAAATTTGCCAGTTGGATGAAAGTTACTGGTAAGGTGAAAATGTCTTAGTTAACAGGAGCCTCTGTAAGTGAGCCCTTTTTTCAAATTTTTGACTGAGGATATTTTAAGTTTAGGGTAGGTTTGTTTTATTTTTGTTATCCTTAATAAGCATTAAGGTAAAATTTCATTTTCAGTTTCTAAACTTAAGCCTAAACTCTTAAGAATTGAAAGAAAACTCTTTGTTTTGCTTTTGTAAATAGCAGATAAAGAGGAATGACCTGTGAAAAATCTGCTTGCCTTGCCTTTTGTAAATAGCAGCTCTCAAGGAGTGACCTCTAAAAGAAGCTGGAATGTTGTGATAGTTTATCCTGCTCTCAAATCCTTTACACATAATTAAGCAGCAAAAGACTTTAGCTTACTGGAGTGTGTGTGTGTGTGTGTGTGTGTGTGTATTTATATATATATTTCATTCTAACTTGAAACATGGGACATCAACAGCTTTTAAACTAAAGCTCATTCGATTACATTTCTTTTTTTTTTTTTTTTTTTACGTAGGGTCTTGCTCTGTCACAGGCTGAAGTGCAGTGGCATGATCATGGCTCACTACAGCCTCTTAGCCTCCTGAGTACCTGGGACCACAGGCATGCACCACCACCACACTCAGCTAATTTTTAGATTTTTTTTTAGAGACAAGGTCTCACTACGTTACCCAGGCTGGTCTCAAACTCCTGAGCTCAAGTGATCCTCCCACCTCAGCCTCCCAGAGTGCTGGGATTATAGACACAAGCCACTGTACTCAGCCCACATTCTCAGTAATACAAAATGTAGGAATTTAAACACATTTTGGTAACAGCAAGGGATCTTAGCTTTTTTATGAGTCTGAAAAGTGGTACTATATTCAGTGTGAAGTGTGAAAAAAGGAAAAAATTTGAGCAGGGGTCAGGATAGAGAACTTTTATTCTGAATTCATAATATCCATAATATGTCACTTTAAATATAATTCAAAGATGATTTTCCAAAAGAATAGTTTGGGTATTGGTTTTAGTTCATTCATATGACTATCCTTGTTAAATGAAAAGTCAAACTGAAGCTTCCTTAGACTAAATCAGAGTTAAAAACAAAACTACATTTTAAAAATCCACCTGTCAAGATAATTTTAGTTTGGTTAATTAAGTGGCTTCTGGATAAATGTTTCTTATAATCTTAGTGTTTGAAGGGCAAAGGCAGTCTTATTACAAAAATATGGGCAAGTATTTAACTGATCCTGAACCTATTTATGTGTTTAATCTTTGCAGCCTCTCAAGGTAGAGTCCTTGTGTTATCTCAGAATCTATGAAATCATAATTGTGCTTTGACTTCTGGGGAAGGTATTGAGTAAAAAGCAGCATACAGAGGAATAAGGTGGGAAGGAAAAATAGGAAAGAATGGGGGCCCCAAGTTTGTGATTTACCCACTCCAAGCCAAGAGACAAAGCTGGGTGTCATTCTTGAAGGGGCCCACCTGACCCCCACACCCAATTCATGGCCATGTTATGTCAGTTTCACCTTGAAATATCTTTTGACTCCATCCACTTCTCCCATCCTCACTATACCATGTCACTTGCCTGTACTCCTGACAAAGACCTGATTGATCCTTTCTACCACCTCCTGCTGGGCTTTCTCCACTGGAAGTGGTGATCTGTTTGGGCTCACCATTGTACCCTTAGCTTAGCATCAAACAGAGTGCCTTGCTGAATGAATGGATTTGCATTAGTTATTAAGATAAATATGACCGTGTCTCTGCTCTGCTTAAAATCCTTCTACAGAGTTTCCATTGGCCTTTAGAATAAAATCTCCAACTTCCTCTTGGGACCCTCTTCCCCATTCTCATTTCGTCACGTGGTTCCTTGGTGTTCCCCAAACATACCCAGCTCTTTCCTGCCTGAAGGCTTTGTGGCAGGTGGTTTCTCAGCCTTGAAAGTTGTCTGCCCCCACTCTGATTCATGAGTACTCATCTGTCCTCTAACCTCAATCAAACCATGTTGTCACATCCTCTCATGGCACTCTCTACACCTTTGGCGCAGATGTCACTTTTTAAATCATGGGCTCTGTCTCTGGCTATACTGCAGCCACAGCTTCCCGGCCCAGGACCATGGGTTTGTTGCTTGAAGATACTGGCCTGCAGGTACAAAGCCATATTACAGGTGACTTAAACATGCCACCTACAGTACTAGGGACCCAGTTTCTGGGCCCAGGAGATAAGAAATTGGGAGGTGACAGAACATGGTATGGGGCAGAGGAAGGAGGATCCTGTCGTAATGGCTCAGGTTTTAACCTAGGCTACTGCTAGGTTTTACCGTTTGCAAAAACATTAGAATGGGACTCCTTTTTTTCTTTTTTTGGACGGAGTTTCACCCTCGTTGCCCAGGCTGGAGTGCAATGGAACGATCTCAGCTTACCGCAACCTCCACCTCCCGAGTTCAAGCGATTCTCCTGCCTCAGCCTTCCTGAGTAGCTGGGATTACAGGCATGTGCCACCATGCCTGGCTAATTTTGTATTTTTCATAGAGTTGGGGTTTCTCCATGTTGCTCAGGCTGGTCTCGAACTCCCGACCTCAGGTGATCTGCCCGCCTCAGCCTCCCAAAGTGCTGGGATTACAGGCATGAGCCACTGTGCCCAGCCTTAGAATGGGACTCTTTAAACTGACTTCATGTGTCACCCACTTATTTGATCCAATATGAATTGGCCAATGTGATTGTGCCAGTATTTTTAGTTCTACATACACATAATTTGAATCATGACTCAAGATTCTAATTAAGGAGAGAAATTCTTGTGGTTAATAAATAGCTTTAATAGAGTTTTTTTTTTTTTTCTTGGAAGAAATTCTAAGTAGAACTTGGTTTGGGTCTTCTAGTCTGTTCATTTCTTAGGACAGCATTGAATGATAGGATTTTGGAGTAGAAATGGGCTGAGAAGGCTGAGTAATTAAACTGCCTCCATTTAGAGATGGGCAGACGAAGTGTGGTTGGTGACATCCAAGGTCACACTAGGCTAGCGTGAAGCAAAGCTGGAATCCAACCAGACCTTCTGGATTCCAGAACAATGTATTCCCTGCTGCTTTATGCCCCCATGTTAAGTATTTAATTAGCATAAGTTGAAACTTCAAGTCAGCAGTTTTTAGCACTGATGAACTCATTATTGTTCTCTGATCTTCTTTAAAGACAAATTTTATGATGTGTCATTCATAGAGCCACATGACCCTGCTTGGCAAAAGGCATTGAGTCAAGCCAGACCCCACTAAGCCTTTGCAAAGTGGAGCGGCTAGTTGTAGCCGCTGTAGTTGTAGTAAGTGGAGCGGCTAGTTGTGTACCATCTGCTAGTGAAAGGGAAATGAGATTATTCTAGAAGCCAGGGACTGTCTCGGGATCTCTTATGGTCTCTGGATCTCTTATGGTCTCTGGATCTCAAGGACAGCAACCCTCCTCTTTATTCCTCGGTTTTATTAGTGTTTCCAGCGTGACAGTTCACTTCCTCTAAACAAGACATAGCTTCGTATAATGCCAGCCTTTCACGCATCATTTTGAATCAACCCTGGGGTGGTGGAGCCCAGGGTAACCCAGCTGTAGTGGACTTTAGAACGTTTTTACACCATGTATTTAAATATGGGTGTGTCTGATATTCGGCAAATTCATTTCAAGCCAAATGACGTGTCACACTCAAAAGCTAGGATGGGCCCAACTGAGAGGCTGCCCTAGTTTTCTGAGCGTGACCTGGCTGAATTCCCTCGCCTCTCCTGGCAGAGAACAGGCATTTCCCCTTGCTTTCGTCCCACTGCCTGCTTCTCAGCTCGAGCTGGGAACAGTGAGTGTTCAGGTCTTACTGGGTCTCAGATATTTTCCAGATGAAATGCAAAATGAGAATAAAGGGAGAGGCCCTATTCCCTCCCAGCTCTTTATGGTCTCTGGATCTCAAGGACAGCAACCCTCTTATTTATACCTGGGTTTTATTAGTGCTTCCAGTGTAACAGTATCACTTCGTCTAAACAAGAAACAGCATCTTATAATGCCAGCCTTTCATGCGTCATTTTGGGTCAACCCTGGGGTGGTGGAGCCGACAGACCTGGGCCCCCAAACAGCTCTGCCACTTGCTGTGTGCAGATCACAGAACATCTGTGACTCAGTTTCCTTTTTGGTAAAATGGGACTGTTGCAAGCACTGATGTTGAGGTAATACTCATAGGATGACGGTCAATAAATGAGACGATGTTTTTTAATATTAACTAGCTAAAAGACTGGACGCGTCCCTTCACTTTAGGCGCTGTTCCTTATCGGGAATACGACGAAGCTGATCCCAAAGGCCTCTCCAGCCCTTTTCAGCAGACAGTCCCGTGGGTCCTCACTCTAAGGCATTCTTTGAAGACTTGGTCTCTCTTCCACACACCCCTCCCATTCCCCATCTCTTAGTGGTGGTCTAACCCGCCCCGCCATCCCCTTCCCTCTCACTTCTCATATCCATTTGGAAGCTGCAGATTGCTGAGTTTCCAGGACTTTAATCCGCGCCCTTTGCCCTCGGCCCGGGCTTAGGGGTCGACCTCTGTCACAGGAGGCGCACTCTGCGCTTGGATCCATCCTGGGGCGCCCGGGCCGTGGATCTCCAGGTGGGAGACCGGAGGAGAGCGCAGACGTTCCGGCGCCACCCTCGGACCCGCCGGCTTTTCCAAACCTCTTGAGGAGCCTGAGCGCCCTCTCGGCCCGGCGCTGGGAGGCTGCCAGCGGACCTGGGACCGCGGCGGGGGCGGGTGGTCCTCGCCTTGCGGCGGGGAAAGAGCTAGCCTTGCACGCGCAAGCACCGGCAAGGAGCCCAGGCCGAGGGTGCGCGGTCCAGCACTGGGCGCCCTGACCCTCGAGCTCCTCAGCCCCCAACAGGCCAGACCCACCCAGAGGCCCCAGAGCGGAACGGGGTGTCCGCAGCGCCACGCCCTCGGGCGCCACCCTGCAGGCATGGGCGGGCCCAAGACTGTCCCCGCTGGAGGCGGTAGAGGGATCCAGAAGTAATGAGATGCTAATGAGTCGCGAATAAAGCCCGGGCGGCGCCCCGCGCCCCTCGCGGAAGCCCACACTCCGCGCGACTCCAGGCGCACGCCCCGGGCCGCCCCGCATCCCAGCATCCCCGCCCGATCTCGGCGTTTCCGCCCCCGCCCCCGCCCCCGCCCTCCCACCCGCTCAGACCTGGTTGCCAGCCCAACAGGAAGCGGCCCCTCCCGGCTTCGGAGCCGCCGGTAAGTCGTCCAGCGGAGCCGGCTGCGAGCCCCGCGGCCGGGTGGGGTGAGGTGGGGTGCGCTTCCGGGGAAACGCAGCTGCGGTCGCTCGGGAACCACGCCTGGCAGGTCAGGCAGGTCTTCCCTCAGCCCAGCCCTGCTCACGCCGCGTCCGGACTTTGCCGTCCAGTGTCGGGGACCCCCACCGCTGCCGCCCGCGGTCCAGCTCCCTCTCCATCCTTTCAGACCGCTCCACCCCTCTCACAGCCTTTGTCCTGGCGTTTCCAGGCTGGGTCGCTCCTTTCTCCCCTTT
Organism: Homo sapiens; assembly: GCF_000001405.40. Classification (NCBI taxonomy): domain Eukaryota; kingdom Metazoa; phylum Chordata; class Mammalia; order Primates; family Hominidae; genus Homo; species Homo sapiens. Next base: position 109,455,426 of record NC_000006.12, on the reverse strand, counting down.
CGCCGAGGTCTTCCTCCTTCCACCCTCCACCCCCAAGAAAGATCTTTGCCCTTCCGTCATGAGATTCCGTCTGCCCTCGTCCGGGCCACCCGCAGCGGGAGGCTTTCATCTCCTGTCTCGGCGCGGCGGGCTGGGAACGGAGGGGCAGCTGGATGGTGGAGGGGCCTGAGCCTCAGGGACCTGCCCCCACTGCTGCCATTCACCCTCCCTAACGCTGCCGTGGACACCCGCCTCCTCCATACCCTCTGATACCTTCTGGGCCCCGCGTGAGAAACCCCCTCGGGCACCCTTCAGGTGGCGTGGGAGGGGGCGACAAAGCGAGGCTTTGTCTCCGGAGATTCCTGGGAGAGCGCGCCCGGGCGCACAGGGGGCGGGGCGGGGTAGGGGTCGATCAGGGAGGGGGGAACCTGGGAGGGGCGCACCCGGCTGCGGTCGACCCCCAGCCCTACCCACGGCCCCCTGGAGTAGGGCACATTCACAGAGGAAGTGTTTTGACCACAGTGCGTCAGAAATAGACCCAGGCCTCCGTTCCCCAGTCAGTCGCAACATCCTCCCGCCGTTTGTTGAGGCAGTTTGGTGGAGGGAAGTGGAACCTACGCGGACAGAGGCTGTTTCTCTGTCAGGAGGCAAGCACGAGTGCTGAGGAAAACTTTGCCCTTGCCATGAGACACTTCTCAGACACAGCGTGGCACTGAGGCCATCAAGGGGCGCCGGCACAGGGACGCTTGGAGGGAGATGGGGCAGGATGTATGCTCAGCAGCTGGGGTTGTGGGTATCAGATCTGTCCCTGTGTTGCATGCAAAGGCAGCTCTGTCCTCTCCACATCTAAGAAATCCCCGCACACCCTGATTCCAAGGCCTAAGGAAGGCAGGCTAAGAATTCCTACCCCAGGGCTTGGAGATCCCTGGACAGGGAGGCTGAACTGGAGGCTCCCCTGGTGTCCCATGTGCCCTCTGTGCCCAAGACTAATGTTTTTCACTTCCAAATTTGGCAAATTTCACTTGGAGTGGACTGGATAGCAGCTGTCTCTGGAGCAGATGCTGGCAGGGGAATGGGCTGGGAGGAGCAGAGCCAATCACTGGTGAATCCCGAGCTCCCTGGGGACACCAGCCTGCTCTCTTCGCCTCCCCTTCCTTTTTATTTCTTCTGTTCTCCAGCCTCTTCCCCTTCTTTTTCCACCTCTCCAGCCACTCATCTCTGCCCAGCTGCTGCCCTCCCCAGGAGGCCTCCATGGCTTCACCTACCTCCACCAACCCAGCGCATGCCCACTTTGAGAGCTTCCTGCAGGCCCAGCTGTGCCAGGACGTGCTGAGCAGCTTCCAGGAGCTGTGTGGGGCCCTGGGGCTGGAACCCGGTGGGGGGCTGCCCCAGTACCACAAGATCAAGGACCAGCTCAACTACTGGAGCGCCAAGTCACTGTGGACCAAGCTGGACAAGCGAGCAGGCCAGCCTGTCTACCAGCAGGGCCGGGCCTGCACCAGCACCAAGGTGGATACACGGTGCCTGGGATGGGGTGTGGAGCATGCGGGGAGTCAGAGGACGGACAGGATGCCATGCCCTCACTGCCCTGTGTGTTCACAGTGCCTGGTGGTGGGTGCTGGACCTTGCGGGCTGCGGGTCGCTGTGGAGCTGGCGCTGCTGGGGGCCCGAGTGGTGCTGGTGGAAAAGCGCACCAAGTTCTCTCGCCACAACGTGCTCCACCTCTGGCCCTTCACCATCCACGACCTGCGGGCACTCGGTGCTAAGAAGTTCTACGGGCGCTTCTGCACCGGCACCCTGGACCACATCAGTGAGCACCACGTGGTGGCCTGGAGGGGCGGGTGAGCTTGGGCCTAGAGGCAGGCCAGTGGGGAAATGCTGGGACAGCCAAATGTCGAAGTGGACAAGATCCGTATCAGCCAGGTGACCTTGAAGATTCAGGTCCCCCATCTATAAGTGGGCTTTTGGGCTGAGTGATTGCTAAGGCCTTTTCCAGTCTGACCCTGACCAGGCACACACTGGTACATGGGGAGCTTGTGCTGCCCTAGGGTCCCTGTTCCTAATGTCCTCTCCCTTCCAGGCATCAGGCAGCTCCAGCTGCTTCTGCTGAAGGTAGCATTGCTGCTGGGGGTGGAAATTCACTGGGGTGTCACTTTCACTGGCCTCCAGCCCCCTCCTAGGAAGGGTAAGTATTTCTATGCTCCCTGGAATCTCCCCCTCCCCCATCAAGAACTTGGCCAGTGTCTGAAAAAGGATGGGCCAGGAGTGTCCTTTTCTGTTTTTGTTTTGAGACAGAGTCTCGTTCTGTCACCCAGGCTGGAGTGCAGTGGCATGATCTCGGCTCACTGCAACCTCTGCCACCCAGTTTCAAGTGATTCTCCTGCCTCAGCCTCCTGAGGAGCTGGGATTACAGGCATGTGCCACCATGCCCAGCTAATTTTTGTATTTTTTTAAGTAGAGACGGGGTTTCACTGTGTTGGCCAGGCTGGTCTCGAACTACTGACCTCAAGTGATCCACCCACCTCGGTCTCCCAAAGTGCTGGGATTACAGGCGTGACCCACCATGCCAGCCAGGAGTCTCCTTTTCTAATAGTGTGGCCTTGGGCAAGCCACTCTGAGCCTCAGATTGAGCATTTGCAAAACAAGAATAACACTTCCTTCCTCACCTGCCTTCCATAGCTGCTGTGAAGGTGTAATCTGATAGATAATATATCATTGCTTTCTAAACCAGAGAGTCCTTTACACGTTTTGATGATTTCACTGGTTTGTCCTGAGAGTATAGGGGCTCTTACGACTTCTACACCTTTGTGCCTCTCATACCCCCTGCCCTAGGGAGTGGCTGGCGTGCCCAGCTCCAACCCAACCCCCCTGCCCAGCTGGCCAACTATGAATTTGACGTCCTTATCTCGGCTGCAGGAGGTAAATTCGTCCCTGAAGGTGAGTGATCACTTCCCTCAAAGAAGCCAGCATCTCTGGCACATCCTGGGCCTTTCTAGATTGTTATAACCCCCTCCTCCTGCCATTGTTCACCTACCGCCACCTCTAGGCTTCAAAGTTCGAGAAATGCGAGGCAAACTGGCCATTGGCATCACAGCCAACTTTGTGAATGGACGCACCGTGGAGGAGACACAGGTGCCGGAGATCAGTGGTGTAGCCAGGATCTACAACCAGAGCTTCTTCCAGAGCCTTCTCAAAGCCACAGGTCAGGGACCCTCTTGCTGAATTTCCCCTCCCCCTGCCTGACTGTGGCCTGGCTCCTGCCTCTCCCTTCCAAACTTGTCCTCACTGCAAGGAACTCCACACTTTTCTGTTTTTTTGGTCTCAGCAGCAAAGGAGAAGGAACCTGTCCCCTCAGGGATTAAGCAAGCACAGCCCTAGTTGATCACCCAGCATGAAAAGTCCTGGAATCTCTCAGAGATGAACCTGTGTATGGGAGTTTTGCTTAAGTGGTACTTCAAGAAGGTGCCTCTGTTTACTTTGGTTTTGCACTGCCATGCGACCAGGTGGTGCAGGTCTCCCAAATGCCACCCCCCTCCAAGCTTCCCTCTTTGCTCTAAGTCCTCAGGCCTCCTGGGCCTGGGACAGATGGTTGTTTGTGTCATCAGGACTCGTGGGGTTCTATGCGTGGAGCACTCACCGCAGCCTAAGCTGGGATCCCAGCTCAGAGGTCAGGCCATGTTGGGATGTTTAGGGAAGGTGATGCATTATCAGGAGACATATCTACTGTCCCCTGCCCTGTACCCCCAGGCATTGATCTGGAGAACATTGTGTACTACAAGGACGACACCCACTACTTTGTGATGACAGCCAAGAAGCAGTGCCTGCTGCGGCTGGGGGTGCTGCGCCAGGTGAGGCCCAGTCCTGGCCAGGAGAGGCTGGGTGGTGAGCCCCGGGAGGCAGAGGCTAGGCTTGGACATAGTCGACACCTGGGTGTGGGGACCCCGTCCTCTCCTGCCTTTGTCCTGGCATTAACTTCACCTCTAAAAGTTCTCTTGGCCAGGCATGGTGGCTCATGCCTGTAATCCCAGCACTTTGGGAAGCCGAGGTGGGTGGATCACCTGAGGTCAGGAGTTCAAGACCAGCCTGGCCAACATGGTGAAACCCCGTCTCTACTAAAAGTACAAAAATTAGCTGGGCTTGTTGGCGGGCGCCTGTAATCCCAGCTACTAGGGAGGCTGAGGCAGGAGAATCATTTGAACCTGGGAGGCGGAAGTTGCAGTGAGCCAAGATTGTGCCACTGCACTCCAGCCTCGGCAACAAAGTGAAACTCTGTCTCAAAAAAAAAAAAAAAAAAAGTTCTCCCCTGGGATTTACAAGGCAGCAGGAATCATATTCTGGGCTAAACACCTTATACCAGCCACAGTAGATGTGTGTCAGCTCCATGAGGGCAGGCATTTCTGTCTCTTTGTCTGTTGCTTGCTGCTAATTGCCAGTACCTGGAACAGTGCCAAATACATAGTAAGCGCTCGGTATGTATTTGCTGAATGAATGAACTAGTTGAGTGCCTACCATGTGCTAGATACTGTGTTGAGAGTTAAATTTGCATCTCCCATCTAATTCTCATGAGTACCCTGATAAATTAGGCATGTTGTCTCTAAGTGATGGACAAACTAAAGCTCTTGAGTTTGTGGCAAGTATATGACAGTAATGATATGGGCAGAACAGAGCCTGGGACACCCAGCAGCAGGGTGAATGTTGAAGAAAGGGCTTTGAGAATTCCAGGCTGCTGGAATTCTAGTCCCAGCTCAGCCTTCAACTGCTGTGTAGTCTAGGGCAGCCCCTTCCTTCTCTGGGCCCCAGGATGTGCACCTTCTGCGCCCAAGGGGGTGGCACTGGCCCACTGACCCTGCTCTCAGAGGTCTCTGAGGTTCTGCTCTGTTGACCATACAGGACTGGCCAGACACCAATCGGCTGCTGGGCAGTGCCAATGTGGTGCCCGAGGCTCTGCAGCGCTTTACCCGGGCAGCTGCTGACTTTGCCACCCATGGCAAGCTCGGGAAACTAGAGTTTGCCCAGGATGCCCATGGGCAGCCTGATGTCTCTGCCTTTGACTTCACGAGCATGATGCGGGCAGAGAGTTCTGCTCGTGTGCAAGAGAAGCATGGCGCCCGCCTGCTGCTGGGACTGGTGGGGGACTGCCTGGTGGAGGTGAGGGGTTCAGGAGGCACAGGGGTTTCATGGTTAGGGGAGGGAGCTGCCTAGTATGGAGGAGGGGATAAAAAGGTCTGCCTGCAGAGGGGAGGAGCTAAGGGCTGCCTGGTGTGGGGATGGCCCCTTCTGCTGTGACCTGGGTGGATATCTGGGCTTGGGATGCACCTGTTGGATTCTCCCTGAGCTGCTTCCTATTCCTCTGACACTGCAGCCCTTCTGGCCCCTGGGCACTGGAGTGGCACGGGGCTTCCTGGCAGCCTTTGATGCAGCCTGGATGGTGAAGCGGTGGGCAGAGGGCGCTGAGTCCCTAGAGGTGTTGGCTGAGCGGTAAGACCTGAGTTGAGGAGGATGTGGGCAGGGCAGGACATGTGACAAGGTTCAGGAAGAGGGGCAGGGGTGCTGAGTGAATAGACGGAGGAATAGGCAGAAGAAAAGGCCTGGCAGTTCCTGAGAGGTGGGTGCTGACAGGTGCCCTCCCATTCATGCCCCTGCCCCTTACCCTCACCCCCTCAGTGAGAGCCTGTACCAGCTTCTGTCACAGACATCCCCAGAAAACATGCATCGCAATGTGGCCCAGTATGGGCTGGACCCAGCCACCCGCTACCCCAACCTGAACCTCCGGGCAGTGACCCCCAATCAGGTCAGACCCCCGACACACCCACCAGCCTTCCCAAGCCAACCCCCTTCCCCCAGGTCAGGCCCTCCCTGCCCAGTCGCTGCCCTTTGGGGTCAATCCTACCCCCGGCAGGCCCTTACCCCTGGACTCAGGGGCTGTGTGGCCAGCCTGCCTTGAGACCTGAGCGGGGCTGCCTTAGGTACGAGACCTGTATGATGTGCTAGCCAAGGAGCCTGTGCAGAGGAACAACGACAAGACAGATACAGGGATGCCAGCCACCGGTGAGCAGGCCTTCCTCCCAAGGGGTGACCAAAATATGTACTACCCAGCGAGGCCCAGGTGGTCCCTGCAAAGCAGCTGCAGCCTCAGGACAGGAGCAGCGTGCCGGAGCACTCATTGTTGGCTGGTGGGTTGGTTGGGGGCCTGCTGGAGGAACGGAGGGGCAGCACCGCACAGGCAGCAGTTGGCTGCCAGTCTGAATGTAAGCGCGTTAGTGTTTGAACCACCGTTACAGCCATAGTGGTGCTGGCAACCTCCCCTGCCCCCAGTTTAGTCTGCTGCCCTCTATGTGGCCAGTTGCGATTTCACTTTATTCACTCCTCTACTTTATTCCAAAGAGATTTTTTTTAAAAGAGAATTGGGATGGAGAGCTGCTGATAGTCAGCTTTAGGCTGGTGCCCTAGTAGAGGTGGGTCCCTGACTCCTCCTCCCCTACAGAACCCCCACATGCAGCAGCTGGGCTCCCTATATGCCTGGGATGGGCAGAGGGGGCCTTGGGCACAGCACAGCCTTCTTTCCCAGGGTCGGCAGGCACCCAGGAGGAGCTGCTACGCTGGTGCCAGGAGCAGACAGCTGGGTACCCGGGAGTCCACGTCTCCGATTTGTCTTCCTCCTGGGCTGATGGGCTAGCTCTGTGTGCCCTGGTGTACCGGCTGCAGCCTGGCCTGCTGTGAGTCCCTGGCAGACCCACCTCTCTCTCATGATCTCAGTGTAGGAGTTAGCATATCCAGTTGAATCCTAGAGACAGTGTGCTTCCCTGCATCTGCCGACAGTCTTGTGAGACTCTAATGCATTCAGATAGTGGAGAGCTTTGTGAATGGCACAGGCCCCCAAAGCCAGGAGTAGTGTCACTGGGTTGGGCACTGGGTAGCAGAGACTACACACCTACCTTCAAGCCTTCTTGTACCCCAGCTGCTGCTTGCTGTCCCTCCCCTCCTGCTGCCCTTCCTCCCCTCAGTGGGGCTAGGTTCTTGTCTCTAGTTGGCTTTTCTCCCTGACATCCCACAGGGAACCCTCAGAGCTGCAGGGGCTGGGAGCTCTGGAAGCAACTGCTTGGGCACTAAAGGTGGCAGAGAATGAGCTGGGCATCACACCGGTGGTGTCTGCACAGGCCGTGGTAGCAGGGAGTGACCCACTGGGCCTCATTGCCTACCTCAGCCACTTCCACAGTGCCTTCAAGAGCATGGCCCACAGCCCAGGTGACCTGAAGGAAAGGCGGGCAGGATAACTGGGATGGGGAGGTGTGTGTGTGTGTGTGTGTGTGTGTGACAGAGGGAGAAGGCGGTGTGTGTGTGTGTGTGTGTCAGAAAGAGGAAGAAGGCGCCCTCTGAGGGCCAGCCTGGGAGAGGTGTCCTTCTGGGTTGGAGAGTGACTGTCTGTTCTGAGAGTACAGTATTGGCACCCCCCATCCACACTGATGCCCTGGCTCTCCCCGCAGGCCCTGTCAGCCAGGCCTCCCCAGGGACCTCCAGTGCTGTATTATTCCTTAGTAAACTTCAGAGGACCCTGCAGCGATCCCGGGCCAAGGTGGAGAGTTTAGGCAGGGCTGGAGCTGAGCAGGGAGGAGTGGGCAGGGGGGTACCCAGTGGAGATCCTGGGGTGATGGTGAGGACATTCAGAAAGTGGGGAGGACTGGGACCTCAAAACATCACACTTAGAGCTGTTAGGACTTATTGCAGGAAAATGCAGAGGATGCTGGTGGCAAGAAGCTGCGCTTGGAGGTGAATGCAGGCAGGGGCGGGTCGGTCTCCTACCCCACATTTTATCCCCTTTCCTGGTACTGTCTTCCCTATTTCTCATCCCATGTCTTGTTCCCCACCCCAGGTCCTGTAACCCCCCCATCCAGCCTCCCTGCCTAGTCTCACTCCCCTTCCCTTCAGCCCCTTGTGTTCATCTGTACGCATCCCCTCCCAGCTGGCCCTGCCCCTCTACCCTCCCTGCCTGAGCACTTACCTCCTTAGATGGAGGCCGAGACCCCAAGTACTGAGGTGCCACCTGACCCAGAGCCTGGTGTACCCCTGACACCCCCATCCCAACACCAGGAGGTGAGAGCCAGGCTTTGTGTGCAGGCAGAGGCCCGGGGAGGGCAGGGCAGGGGCGTTTCATGGGAGGGAAAGAACTTTGGAGCTGGCCTTGGCTCCACCTGACCCTGTGTCCTGGGGGTCCACGCAGGCCGGTGCTGGGGACCTGTGTGCACTTTGTGGGGAACACCTCTATGTCCTGGAACGCCTCTGTGTCAACGGCCATTTCTTCCACCGGAGCTGCTTCCGCTGCCATACCTGTGAGGCCACACTGTGGCCAGGTGGCTACGAGCAGCACCCAGGAGATGGTGAGTGGGCCTGGGAGACCTCCAGAGAGACTCTGGGCCTGGCCCTGCTTGGGGGACACAGAGCTTGAGGTAGAGAGGCACAGGATGGAAACAGGCTCAAGATGGCACTTCGTTCTCCTGAGCTCAGGGTCTTCTCTGTCCCCTGCAAAGCTCCAGATGTGTGGTTCTGAGGAACAGGAGGCTGGCAGAAATTCACCTGCAAATCTGTCTTGTTTTCCCCACCTTCCTTCATAAACTGTTGCGTGTCTGGGCACTGGGCTGCCCACACCAAATGCCTCCTCCCCTCTCTACCCTTTCCAGGACATTTCTACTGCCTCCAGCACCTGCCCCAGACAGACCACAAAGCGGAAGGCAGCGATAGAGGCCCTGAGAGTCCGGTAAAGACTGAAGGCGTGTATGTATATTGGGGCATGGGAAGAGGAAGAGGGTCTCGTCAAACCAGCGCTTTGCTGGGGGTAACTGAATGTCGTCTTCTACTAGCATGTAAGCTCTGTGAAGGCAGGGATGCCTGTCTGCTTACACTTCTTGTTCTCTCAAGTATCTAAAACACAGCCAGACACTGTTTGTAAATGGTTTTAAGTGAATGAATGCCAAGGCTCACCTTTGCTCCGAAGGGGTGGCCTCACCCCCCGACCTCACTCCACATGGTGGCTTTTCCAGGAGCTCCCCACACCAAGTGAGAATAGCATGCCACCAGGCCTCTCAACTCCCACAGCCTCGCAGGAGGGGGCCGGTCCTGTTCCAGATCCCAGCCAGCCCACCCGTCGGCAGATCCGCCTCTCCAGCCCGGAGCGCCAGCGGTTGTCCTCCCTTAACCTTACCCCTGACCCGGAAATGGAGCCTCCACCCAAGCCTCCCCGCAGCTGCTCCGCCTTGGCCCGCCACGCCCTGGAGAGCAGCTTTGTGGGCTGGGGCCTGCCAGTCCAGAGCCCTCAAGGTAACCCATCCTCACAGATGTGCTGACCCAGGGTGGGACAGGGTGGGAGCACTGGCTTCCTGCAGAGGAATTCTGGGGAATACAGAGGGAAGTTGTGGGGATCCCAGGCCGTGGCAGCCTCTCCTCTGCTCCATTCTTCTCAGTTCCTCCCATGCCCCAACACATACATTCAGTCTTTACCAGACTTGCAGGGCCTCCGTCACCACCATGCTCTTTGTTGCCTGACTGGGGCAGGCGCTGGAGGCAGTAGAACGTCTCAGTTCTTCTTCTCAGCTCTTGTGGCCATGGAGAAGGAGGAAAAAGAGAGTCCCTTCTCCAGTGAAGAGGAAGAAGAAGATGTGCCTTTGGACTCAGATGTGGAACAGGTGAGTGGGCCAGCGTGCAGCCACAAAACGCTCTCCAGCCCACTACAGGAGAAACCTGCACTGGTCCACTGCACCCTTCTCTTGGAATGTCTTCTCACTTGGCCTGTCATATCTCTGGCCTCTACCTTTTCTACCAGAGCTTACCCCACTTCAGCACGGGTTATTTTCTGCCTTTCCAAACAACACTCCTATCCACCAGGGGGCCCAGGCCCTATCCCTGACTGGCCTGACCCTCCTATAGGCCCTGCAGACCTTTGCCAAGACCTCAGGCACCATGAATAACTACCCAACATGGCGTCGGACTCTGCTGCGCCGTGCGAAGGAGGAGGAGATGAAGAGGTTCTGCAAGGCCCAGGTGAAGCCCGGGGGTTCCCAAAATTCTGATGGGGTCAAAGTTCTGAGACTGAGATCAGAGTTCCTCCAGTGCTCTGTTCTTGAGCAACCTAGAGACTCCTGGATATTCTGTCTTGTACCCCTCAGACCATCCAACGGCGACTAAATGAGATTGAGGCTGCCTTGAGGGAGCTAGAGGCCGAGGGCGTGAAGCTGGAGCTGGCCTTGAGGCGCCAGAGCAGTGAGTGACAAGCTAGGACACCCCTCTGCCTTCTAGCACTGTGTTCAGCTCCACGCTCCAGCCCGTAGGAGTCCCAGTGGCTATGCCACACAGCTAACACATACCTGTGACACCCGGCTCTCCTGTCTCCCCTAAGCCTGTAACTCCTGTGGTGCTGGCTGGAAGCCTCCTGATCACCCTACCCATCTTCCTTCTTCTCAGGTTCCCCAGAACAGCAAAAGAAACTATGGGTAGGACAGCTGCTACAGCTCGTTGACAAGAAAAACAGCCTGGTGGCTGAGGAGGCCGAGCTCATGATCACGTAAGGGGAAGGGGATGGTGACAGTGGCCCATGGGCCAGGCTCCAGCCCCTTGGGCACCTTAGACAGCTCTGCTTCTACAATCCCTGACCTCCACAGGGTGCAGGAATTGAATCTGGAGGAGAAACAGTGGCAGCTGGACCAGGAGCTACGAGGCTACATGAACCGGGAAGGTAGGTGAAATGTGGGGAGAAGCAGACACATCCCAGGGATGTGTCATGCAAGCCTCATGATCTCAGATACTGACCAAGCAACATGATGCTCTAGTCTGTGTACCTCTGAGACAATTCAGGAGGAAGCCAGAGGAGGGGGCTCCAAAGCCCCTTCTCACTTCAGTTCAATCAGAGCTGCACAGTTGGCTTTTGTATAAGATCTCCTTCAAAAAAAATCGTGCTGCTCAGTAGTGCTAGAAAACCACTGGTGTTGGCAACCCTCCTAATTTGGCAGCTTAGGAAACAAAGCCCGGGTTATAGAAATCACATAGGCTGGGATTAGGTTGTGGCCCTCCTGCTTCCCTGCCCAGTTCCCTGTTCTCTAAGCTTTGTCTCCTCCTTTTAGAAAACCTAAAGACAGCTGCTGATCGGCAGGCTGAGGACCAGGTCCTGAGGAAGCTGGTGGATTTGGTCAACCAGAGAGATGCCCTCATCCGCTTCCAGGAGGAGCGCAGGCTCAGCGAGCTGGCCTTGGGGACAGGGGCCCAGGGCTAGACGAGGGTGGGCCGTCTGCTTTCGTTCCCACAAAGAAAGCACCTCACCCCAGCACAGTGCCACCCCTGTTCATCTGGGCTGCCTGGCAGAGAGCCTTGCTGTTTACAATTAAAATGTTTCTGCCACAAACAGCGTTCACACCGCCTACAGGTGGGAGGTGGGGGCGTGTATGGGGACAGGAGAAGATGTGTAGGAGCCTTAAGGTCTGTAGTGTGACAGTCACACTGACCCCTGGCTCCCATCGCCTCTACAAGGAAAAAGGCAGAGCCACTAAAGGGCCAAGCTTTATTGTTCTTTAGTTCTGTCCCCCTCCTGCTGCCCCAGGAGTAGGGCTGGCTGAGGCTCTGGGCCCAGATCCTGGGCCTCCCTTGCCCTTCCTAGCACATGCTGGAGCTCAGCCTGGGCCCTATATAAGCCATTGACCTCCTGTACGTGGAAGAGGTAGAATGCACCTGCCCACAGCACCAGCCCTACACTGGGGGTCCAGAGCAGTATGGCAGCTTCCCCGGCCCCTCCTCCAGCCGCCAGGACACACAGCAGTGCCAGGAGAAGCAGCCCCAGGCCAATCACATAGCTAGCGAAGGTGGCCCACCAGCGAGCCTGAGCCATGCCCAGACCCAGCTCCGTCCAGGCCTCCTTTAGCACACACATCAACGGCGACCTCTCTGCTGGTCCTACAACAGAGCAGGGCAGTGGGGCAGGAGAGAGTCAAGAGTGGAAGGGCTGCTTCAAGCGGGGCAAGGGCCAAGGAAAGGGTGGGGGTGACTCACCGTGGGTAGAGCTGGGGTTCTGCTGTGGGGGGCTGTGCCTCACAAACAGAGTAGCCATCAGGGCTTCATGATCAGAGAGGGGGGTGCCCCTGTGAGGGTCAAAGCCTGTAGTGGTTTCAAAACTCTTACAGGAGATGTAAAACCCAGAAACTGCCTAGGAAAAGTAAGGGCCAGAGAGAAGCTTATATATGAGGGCCTCTTCCCAGAGAACCAGCTCCCGGCTACCCCACTTTCCACCCATCAGTGGTCCAAGACTAGACTAGCTGAGCAAAGGATCTACACAGGTTAGTAGACAAAGAGACACAGCATATGAAAGCATGTTGAAGGGAGGAGCCTGACCTTGTAAAGCACGTAGTCAATGCGGACACCAAAGGGAAATGGCTTCAGCTCCTGCTGGCTGACGTAGCAGTTCTTGGGTACCATTGTGTTGCCTTCCTCAGAGCCCTAAGGGAATCATTGGCTCATGCTAGGATGTGGGGGAGAAGGAGGGAGAGAAGCTGGGGATATAGGTGGGGAAGTAACAGGCAAGTCCTCACCTTGAAGTCCCGAGTTTCAAGATAGGCATCATGAAGCCCTGTCCACTCCTTCAGCAGGCAGCAGCCCAGGTCTTCTGGGTGCATGTTGAGGTCTCCACACAACAGAACCACGTCTGCCTTCTTGGATGTGTGGCTGGGGGAACCAGGTTGGTGAGGCGGGAGTTCTTCCATCACCAGCTCTTCCCCATGACTGGGGCCTTGTTCACCCTCAGCCCCTGGGTCCCATCCCACTTCCCATTTCAAGCCCAGGCTCACACACTGGATGAACTGGGCCAATTCCCAAGCTTGGGCCACACGATGTGCTAGGTAGATGTCCTTCTGTCGATTGTATTCGGCATGGAGCTGAGCAAGATAGATGAGATCACAGCAGATAAGACTGAGGGTCCCAGGGGTATGTCTGAATCAAGCCTGTGTCTGTCACTTGGCATGGTGTTTGGTATACAATGGATAAGCCTTGCCCATTGCTTCCTTATAAGATCTTGCCCCCACACCTCATCCCCAGGTATGAGAGCTAGAGAAGTACCATCTCTCTGTCCCAGGACTGGGCTGCATGTCCCAGCCCTAGGCACTGCCAGCTTCACTCACATGGGTCACATAGGCGTTGAGCACCATGCCACTTAGATGGAGCACCAGCAGCCCCACAGCCTTCCCACTGAACCAGTCACCATGATGGATCTGCAGGCAGGAGGAGATAGAAACTCAGGGCACCGCCACCATCTTTCTGCCCATCCCCTGCAGCTCTCAGAGGGCTGCCTCCTCTACCTTGTATTACTGGAGGTGGGGAAGGGAGGTGGAAGAGGTCAAAGGTCTGCCTTACCATGTAGGGGTAGCCATTGAGAGTGTAGATGTGCTGGGTAAGCTCCTGGATTGGATGTTTGGAGAAGACACAGAGGCCACTGCCAATGATTCCGCTGAAAGCCAAGCCCTGCTTAATAACCAGAAAAACAGGGAGAGACACCCAGCCTTCTTCCCCTCCCTTGTCTTCCAGCTCTGATCAGCTATTTTTTTCTTTTTCTACTGCTGGGACTAGCCCTAGAACCAAGGCGACAGCCTTTGGAGGAGTATAGGGCAGCCAGAAAACAAAGCTGAAATGGGCTGAAGTCATAGGACCTTCTTGGTTCACCCTTCTCCTTCTCTCACATCCAGAGGGAGAGGAGGCTGGAGGAGACTGGAGAGTGCAGGCAGGATAGGGAAGGGCTGGCAGGGCCAAGAGCCTCCTGGGATGACAACAGGCTTCAGGCCAGTGGGCTTCTCACCTCCGGAAGTGGTGTGCAGCTGGGTAGGTAGGTGACAGCTTCTGTCTCAGGTACTGGAAGTCCTGCTCACTCCACACCTGAGGGAAGCGGTGAGGATGCCTGCTTGGTCTTTCCCCAGTGGGACGGTCTGTCCCTCCTCCCAGCCTGGGTTCCGCACCGTGCTGCACAATCTCACCTCCTCCAGCAAAGCCAGGTCGAAGCTCTCCTGGTTCAGAAAGTCTCCCAGGCGCCTCATGCGGTCGGCCCGGTGCTTGCTCAAGTACGGAATGCCCCTAAGGAAGGGAAGAGCGGGGCAGGGGAGGCGACTGCTGGGACCACCGGCGCTGGGGCCAGATGTGGACTTTGGAGGTTCGGGTTTTCCCTACACCCTGAGATCGTGGGGCGGGATAGGGGGAGGAAGGCTGCATGGGTGCGAACGGAAGGTGGCCCCCAGACCGCACTCCGCAGACGCACTCACCAGCAGTTGAGGTTGAAGATCCGCAGTCGCAGGGAGAAGTTGGGCTTCATGGTTGGGGAGCTCCAGGGGCGCTAGGCGGCTCGAACTCTCCAGCGACGGCCGCGGTGGGGACGGGGGCGGCCGGCGGCGCCTTCTCCCCAGACCGTTCCTTCTTCGCAGGCGGCGCGCACAGGTGGGCACCAAGCCCGCGTGGCTCAGGTCGGGCCCGACTCCCGCGTTCCCCCGGCAACCGGCCGGCTGTTCCCAATCAGGCGGGCCGCCAACCCGGAAAGGCGATCCGCTGCCGAAATCCGGGCGCCCAGGCTCGGTAAGGGCCGCGCGCTAGGACCCTGGGGGTCCGGAGAGCGCCCCCGGGTGGGCGGCTCCCGGTTCCTTTTCCTCCAAGCTCGTCCCCGGCGGTCGCGGCCGCCCGCGCGCCGGCGGCCCAGCAACAGGCGCAAAGTTGAGGAAAGGCCCAGCCGCCACGGGCCGCCCTCGACCCGCCCCTGGGCCCCGCCTCCTGCGAGCGGCGGAGGCGGGGCCGCGCGGTTGCCGGAGCGACGCGCAGTGTTTGGGGTCACCGGGCGTCCCCGGGCGCGGCCATGGCAAGGCCGCAGCCGTGCGGGCCCCCGCACGCTAGGTGCGGCTCGCCGTCGCTGCCGGAGCGGCCGCTGCAGGTGAAGGTGGTGGGGCTCTTCAGCTGCCCCAACTTTCAGATTGCGAAGAGCGCCGCTGAGGTAACCACAGAGAAACCTCCGTCGTGGGCGGCCCTCCCCGCTACCCGCTCTCGGCCGCGTGGACTGCAGGCGCCGCGCCTCCTCGAGGCGGCGGGGGTCGAGGCCCCACCGGCCGAGGAAGGGGCTGGCGTGTCCTGGCCGGGCGGGCTCCGTCTGGAGGACCGGGAGGAGAGTATAGGGGGGCAAGTGCGGGTCCGGGGGCGGGCGTTCCACTTGGCGACTTTTAAAGGGAGAACTGAGCGAAGGAAGGGTTCAGAACCGCGCTGGGAGATAAGGTAATCCCCTCCGAGACACACACACACACACCCGCAGATTTTGTTCTACGTCAATTTTTTCTTTAATTAGAGATATTTAAATTTATGGAAAAATGATTACTATATAACTAGCTAATTTTTACAACCCCGCCACCTCGGCCCAAGCGATTTTTGTTAACTATTCATGCGGGGAGATTCTTTTCTTTGAATTTTATAGAGCCGTCACTGCGTTCCAATCGAACTAGATGCTTCACAAGTGCTTTGGAAAATCATTTCTTTGTAAACACTCAGAACGATACTAAAGGAAAAGCACTTGAGGAAACTGGAAGAATTTGGCCAGATCAGTCATGCTGCAGCACACTTACAACCTGAAATGCAGGAGAAATGTATGAAATGTCGGCATGTAGAATTCAGCCCTTCTTACAGGGTTTGCTCCAGAAATGCTGTCCATGGCAAACTTCTCGCCGAAGCTCACTTGACTCCAGGACCATGCCTTAATTAATGTTTTTAACTCCCGAAGTACCCAGCTGGATACTTGACAACAAAATGTTCCCAAATAGAAGATATCTTGGCGCGGTGACTCACGCCTATAATCTCAGCACTTTGGGAGGCAGAGGCGGAGTTCTAGACCAGCCTGGCCAACATGGTGAAACCCCGTTTCTACTAAAAATACAAAAAATTAGCCGGGCGTGGTGGCGGTCTCTGTAATCCCAGCTACTCAGGAGGCTGAGGCACAAGAATCGCTTGAACCCGGGAGGC
This sequence comes from Homo sapiens, assembly GCF_000001405.40. Classification (NCBI taxonomy): domain Eukaryota; kingdom Metazoa; phylum Chordata; class Mammalia; order Primates; family Hominidae; genus Homo; species Homo sapiens. The sequence goes on along the minus strand of NC_000006.12, from coordinate 109,439,442 downwards.
GGAGTTTGCAGAGAGCTGAGATCGCGCCATTGCCCTCCAGCCTGGGCGACAGAGCCAGACCCCGTCTCAAAATAAATAAATAATAAAAAGAAAACAAGTGATCAGAAGTCTGTGAAAATAATACATGAATCATCAAAAGTAGAAATTGTGGTCTGTGTTGCTTGGGCAGACGGGATCAGCAACCTTTTATTACCAAAGTTAATGGCCATGAAGTTAATTACAAAGTTAATGTATTAATGAGTTTCAGAGATTTTTTTTCTCTTTTTTTTCGCTCTTTTTCTGAAGGCACATATTTTCTGTGCCGACTCCACATTGTAAAGAAAGTGTTGACAAGTTTTTTTCTGTAAAGTCCAGATAGTAAATATGTTAGGCCTTCTTGGCAATAGGGTCTCAGTCACACCTGTTTAGCTTTTTCCTGTGTTGCAAAAGCAGACACAGAGATGGAAATGAATGACAGTATTCCAGTAAAACCATATTATGGACACGAAATTTGACTTGCGTATAATTTTCACATAACGTGAAATACAATTCTTTTGATTTTTTAGAATTGTTTACAGGCCGAGCGCGGTGGCTCTTGCCTATAATCCCAGCACTTTGGGAGGCTGAGGCGGGCAGATCACGAAATCGGGAGTTCAAGACCAGCCTGGCCAACATGGTGAAACCCCATCTCTACTAAAAATACAAAAATTATCCAGGCATGGTGGCGGGCGCCTGTAATCCCAGCTACTCGGGAAGCTGAGGCTGGAGAATCGCTTGAACCCGGGAGGTGGAGGTTTCGGTGAGCTGAGATCGTGCCACTGTGCTCCAGCCTGGGCAACAAGAGTGAGACTCTGTCTTAAAAAAAAAAACAAAAAACTGTTTACAAATCTAAAAATTATTCCTCTCCAACCCCTGATGTAGAAGACAGTAGGTCGAGAAAACAATATCTTTATTGTATTAATAATGTCAATTTTCCCTTTCTTAAACTTTTACCTACTGTAGTTATATTCAAATATGAAAATTCAGCTAGTTTTTTTTTTCTTTTTTTGGAAGAGATGGGGGTCTCACTGTGTTGCCTAGGCTGGTCTTGAACTCCTGGGCTCAAGCAATCCTCCTCGACCTCCCGAAGTGCTGGGATTATAGGCATGGGCCACGGTGATGCCCAGCCTCTAGTTCTGTCTTAATAAAGGATATCTGAATGTATTCCTAACATGATAATTTGTGAGCGATCCCAGATGCCTGATTAACTGACAAAGATTTAGATTTGTGTTGAATGTTCCCAACACAAAGAAATAATAAATGTTTGAGATGATGGATATGCTAATGATAAGTATACATTATATGTATTGAGACATCACTACCCCATAAATATGTGCAATTATTATATGTCAATTGAAAAATAAAAAACAAAATGTAAAAACCAAACACACAAAAGATTGAAATTTGTAGAGAATAGGAACAAATATTGCATACATTTTCATTTGGATATAGTCCGTTCTACAACAAATACTAAATTACTAAAAAGACATGTGTTTCATTTGAAAACTGCTGGATTTATAGTTTATTCCAGATGGTTAGAAATAGCAGTCAACCGGGCCAGGTGCGGTGGCTCACGCCTGTAATCCCAGCACTTCGGGAGGCTGAGGCAGGCAGATCGCCTAAGGTCAGGAGTTCAAGACCAGCCTGGCCAAGACCAGCCTGGCCAACATGGTGAAACCTCGTCTCTGCTAAAAATGCAAAAATTAGCTGGGCGTGGTGGCGGGTGCCTGTAATCCCAGCTACTTGGGAGGCTGAGGTAGGAGAATTGCTTGAACCCAGGAGACGGAGGTTGCAGTGAGCTGAGGTCACACCGCTGCACTCCATCCTGGGCAACAGAGCGAGACTCCGTCTCAAAAAAAAAAAAAAAAAAAAAAAAGAAAAGAAATAGTAGTCAACCTGCAGTATTGCCTCAAACTGAGCACAGACACTGGAACTGAGAAACAAGATGCGTCAGCTATTGCTTGGGGACAGAAGGAAATGGCCTAATTATTGTTGCCCTCTTCATGAGTATTCCCAAAGTAGGCCACACTCACATCCTGGTTTTCTCCCCTTGGAATACTCACCCCTGATGACCTGTGCTAGGCCAGCACCCTCTTTTGGACCATGACAGGACCTCCAAGCACTGTCCCTAGCAGGGAAGTGCCACCTGCAGCAGCTGTCACTTTTCCCTTTGGTCCATCTACTTCCCAAACCCACTCAGAAAAGAGGCCTGTTACTGCTTCACCTGTGTTCTCTTGCTTTAGAGGGAGACAAAGTATAACGAATATCAAGAACCAAGCCTGGATTGCTAACCAATAAGAATTTTCTCTGATTCCTGCAGACAATCTATGTCAAACTAGAACATATTCCGTATCTAAACCTAAACTGATTTCGTACTTCTCTTTTTCCTAAGGGGTATAACCACAACGTTATTATCTTTTTGGTCATCCCCCATTCATCAGTGAATTAAAGCAAGAACATTTATTTATTTATTTTAGTTATAAGTAAAGTATCTGTAGATCCACCGAGGTTTAGCAAGAGTTGTACTTAGGGAAAAACTAGTCTTAAAGAACATAGCATATCACAAAGCTATTGGCGTTAACCCATTTATGTATTCCTCTCTTTATTCAGCTGCTGTGTGCCAGAGATTGTGGCAGGTGGGAATATAGGAATACTAAGACAGAGTTTTTTTTGTTTTGTTTTGTTTTTTTGTTTTTTGTTTTTTGAAATAGAGTCCCACTCTGTCACCCAGGCTGGAGTGCAGTGGCGTGATCTCTGCTCACTGCAACCTCTGCCTCCCAGGTTCAAGTGATTCTCTTGCCTCAGCCTCCCAAGTAGCTGGGATTACAGGCACACACCCACCATGCCTGGCTAATTTTTTTGTATTTTTAGTAGAGACACGTTTTTGCCATGTTGGCCAGGCTGGTCTCAATCTCCTGACCTCAGGTGATCTGCCCACCTCAGCCTCCCAAAGTGCTGAGATTACAGGTGTGAGCCACTGCGCCCAGCCTCTAAGACATAGTTCTTGGCTTCGAGGCACTTATACAAATAAGCTCCCTGGACTGGGGAGCAACTTGGAGGTGAACACAAGGGCCTCTGACAGCGAGCAAGGAATATCTCAGTCGGACTGCATGGCCTGGGCTTGTGTTGTATAAAACTTCTGGAAACCCCGTAAAAATTGGGGAACATGATTTTGACTTTAAAAGAGAACTAACTCTAAAATAATTATTCTATTTCGAAATCCAGAATCTGAAGAATAATCATCCATCCAAATTTGAAGATCCTATATTAGTTCCTCTTCAAGAATTTGCATGGCATCAATATCTACAGGAGAAAAAAAGGGTAAAGGATATTTGGGGTGTGGGGGATATAGACAACAAGCCAAGTTTTGCCTGAATTATTTATGCATTGTTTTGGAAAAACTGAAAGAGTAATTTTAGTGTAACTAGATTTTATTTCTCTACATTACGTACTTTTCCTAAATTGTATTAATCATTTACCAAGCTAGGTGTTTTGTTTTTGAGACAGGGTCTCACTCTGTTACCCAGGCTGGAGTGCAGTGGGGCGATCTTGGCTCACTGCAGCTTCAACCTCCTGGATTCAAGCAGTCCTCCTACCTCAGCCCCGCAAGTAGCTGGGATTACAGGCACACGCCACCACACCTAGCTAGTTTTTGTATTTTTTTAACAGATGGGGTTTCACCATGTTGCCCAGGGTAGTCTCAAACTCCTGAGCTCAAGTGATCCACCCACCTCGGCCTCCCAAAGTGCTGGGATTACAGGCGTGAGTCACTGAGCTCGGCCACCAAGCTGTTTTTTGTTCTTGTTTTTGTTTTTGACTACAACATTTGGGCTGGGTGTGGTGGCCCACACCTGTAATCCCAGCACTTTGGGAGGCCAAGGCAGGCCGATCATGAGGTCAGGAGATCAAGACCATCCTGGCCAACGTGGTGAAACTCCGTCTCTACGAAAAATACAAAAATTAGCTGGGCATGGTGGCGCGTGCCTATAATCCCAGCTACTTTGGAGGCTGAGGCAGGAGAATCGCTTGAACCAAGAAGTCGGAGGTTGCAGTGAGCCAAGATCCCACCACTGTACTCCAGCTTGGTGACAGAGTGAGACTCTGTCTCCAAAAAAAAAAAAAAAAAAAGTGCAACATTTACAGAATTTTCCTTTGGAAAGCATGAGATAAAGGTAAAATCAATGGTGCCGTTTGCCGCTGATGATGGTTAGTTACCCTGTCTCCCTGCACATCACTTATACTTCCTCTCACACCCTGGCACCGAGCTGGTTAATGTGGCCTGGCCCTCTTGGCCCTTAAACTCTGGAAAGTGTTGATGGTGTACATCACAGAGACAGCCAGGGGCTTCTGTGGGACTGTTGCCTGGGGAAGCTCTGATGACAGACACCAAGCTCCCACAGGGCAACCCTGTCCTAGTTGAAGCTTCCTTCTCTGCATTCTCCCCTCTATCTATACCCTCAGAGAACTCCACACCTTAGGGCTAGCAGAGCTTGTCCAGGGATGATAGTTTTCCTGTTGGGTGACAACCTGTTCAGTTGGTAGTGCTGCCTGGAGCATGTGATGAGAAGAATGCTAAGGTGGCATCCTGGCTTAGCAATATCCTGTGTTGGGGAGGGTGGGATGCTTGTCACCCCTGGCCTAGTCTTGTAGATGGTCCCAGTCCTAGTTTCCCTGCCCCACCCCATCTCCCCCATGGCTGATGAAACCTCATTTCCCTTGACCAGAGCAGTTTCGATTGTTCTGTGCTGGGTTGCACAAGGATGTCCTGTGATCCTGTGATTAATTATCATGGAAGCAGCACGGTTTTATGAGACCACTTCATTCTCTGTTCAGTCACATGAATGGTGCAAGACTGAATAAGAATACCATTTGTTAAGCCTCACATGTTCATAGCCTTAAAAGATTCTCATTGGAATTCAAATAGAACCAAACACTTACAATTCTGCTTATTATATGACAGACAGTATTCTAGACACACACACACCCACACACACACACAAACACACATATATATTCTTTTTTTTCTTTGTTTGTAGAAACAGGGTCTCGCTATTTTGGCCAAGCTGGTCTCAAACTTCTGGCTTCAAGCAACCCTCCTACCTTGGCCTCCCAAAGTGTTGGGATTACAGGTGTGAGCCACTGTGCCCAGCTTATATACATAAATTATAATCCTTCCAACAACTCGGGTGACAAACGGTCCTGGTTTGCCTGGGACTGAGGGGTTTCCTAGGATGTGGGAATTTTGGTGCTAAAAGTAGGATAGTCCTAGGCAGACCAAAACTGTTGGTCACCCTAATATAAAACAATACTTTTTTTTTCTTTTTTATCAAACTTGTTATGTGACCTACCAGTGTCATGCTCTCCACCCACAGGAAAACTGTCTCATGGTTTGTGGTTTGCACCCACTCCTCTTTTGAATTCCCACTGGACTCTAGGAAATTGGTGTGGATTCTATTCCCCAGTTTCCCTCCCCTTTCAGCCTAGGTTACCTCAAGATGTTTTGTGTTCTCTTCCTCCTGCCTTTCTCATGGGTCTTGAATGAGGCTTTCCAGTTCATCATTGCTGCTTCGTTCCACCTGTGATATTCCTTATCCTTCCTTTCATCCCCCTCCCTCCCTTCTCCTCTGGCTGTTTGTTACCTTAACCTTTTCTTCCTTCTCAGGTAGTCCCTTGTCCTTCATCAATGTAAGTATTGTGTCTTGTGTCATAAGTAGTGCTTCTTAGCTCATTTGGTCTCTCTGAACTCACTAGGTTCAACTGGCCTTAGGCTTCAGCAGAATGAAGTGCCACCCTAAGTGGATGGCTTCAGGGCCATTGGGAAGGTCCCTCTCTCTGCTCCAAAGAAGGCAGCCTCATACTCTTAGTGCTGAAGGCCCTAGAAACCATCAGGTCCATGCTGTTCACATGAGGCAGGCGAGCACGCCTCCCTAAGTATAGAGGAGACAGAGGAAGGCATTTACATCTTTAGCCTCCAAATAAAACATACCTTCTACTGCATTTTTCCTACCAAGCTAGCTGAAATATCCACAGTGACATTTTTTTCTCCCGTTTAGAAAGTTCTGGGTCCTGGCAGGGTGTGGTGGCTCACGCCTGTAATCCCAACACTTTGGGAGGCCGAGGCGGGCAGATCACCTGAGGTCAGGAGTTTGAGACCAGCCTGGCCAACATGGTGAAACCCCATTTCTACTAAAAATACAAAAATTAGCTGGGCATGGTGGTGGGCGCCTATAATCCCAGCTACTCGGGAGGCTGAGGCAGGAGAATCACTTGAACATAGGAGGCAGAAGTTGCAGTGAGCTGAGATCACACCATTGCACTCCAGCCTGGGTGACAGAGCAAGACTCGGTCTCAAAAAAAAAAAAAAAGAAAGTTTTGGGTCCTGTAAAATATGGTAACACTGATAAATTTAAACACTCCAGGAAGTATCGACCAACTGGCTCTATCAGTGATTTATAGCTCAGCATAAGCAAGTCTCTTCTCTGCCTAGAAGCAGGTTTTGATAAGGGCATAGGAAGCAAGCAATAGGATATTAAATCTGCTGAGGAGAATGAAGCAAGTTGGCAAGTTGAATGTAAACTGTTCCTCAAACTAGTGTTTCTCCCAAGTGCAGTCTCTAGAACAGCAACATCAGCACCTCCTAGGAGGTTGTTAGAAATCCACATTCTGGCGGGTTACAGTGGCTCACACCTATAATCCCAACACTTTGGGAGGCTGAGGTGGGAGGATCTTGAGCCCAGGAATTCAGGACCAGCCTAGGCAATATAGTGAGACCTCATCTCCAAAAAACAAATAAATAAATGCAAATTCTCAGGCACCATCCTAGAATCAGAATATTGGGGGAAAGGGAGAGGGGACTCAGATTCTGTGATTCTGAGAATCTGAGATCAATGAGAATCTCAGATTCAGTGATTCTCATTGCCCACGAAAGTTTGAGCATGGCTGTTCCAAATTATTCATGGTTTGCCTGGCTGGTACTGGGTAATAATAAACCAGATCTCCTCAGAGGGGAAGTCCCTCAAGCCCACCGGAGATTTAGAAGGTTTACCATCAGCGTTGTGTTGATGAAAACACTAACACACTGCATTTTGAGGGGCTGAAGGCACTGTGCTGAGGAAGGTGAGTTTTCTTCCTCACTGCTCCTAGTTGTGCCCCAGAAATCCCTGTTGACCCTCGTAAGTCATTTCCTAACCTTAAGCCCCACACTACCCAAAAAACATTTTCCCAGTCCTCTGCATTGAACCCCATGTCTTACCTGGACCCCCTATCCTTTCCAAGTATGCACACAGTAAAATGTGCTTTAGGAATGAAGACAGAGACTGAATTTTGTTTGCAAGTTAATATATTAACAGGTATGCCAGGCTCATGATGATTTTTGTTACCAGATTACCATTTATCTTCTATTAATGTGTCGACCTAAAAGGAAGAAGCTGAAACAAAATTAATATAGAGTGTTAATTTGGGCCAAGGTTGAGGACTGCAGCCCAGGACACATTTCCAAGTTGCCTTGGGGAGTGCTCCAGAGAACAAAATAGAGGCTCAAGTGTTTAAAGAAAAAAGAATGAATCAGAAGAAGGGCGATTACAAAAGCTGTTGGTCAGGAATTGTCATTGATTTACAGAAATAACATTGGTTAGCAATTGGCTATATGTTGTTGAACTATAGGGTGGATGGCTTTTTATGGCTGTTTGGTGTCAGTCTAGAGCCCACATAGTAAGTGGAGGTAATTATTTAGCTCAAGGGAGAGTGAGACATAACTGCTATTACATTTTAAATGCCTTTCTGGGCATGATAATTTAAAGGGGCTCACATTCCTCAGATAAATTTTTTTTCATTTGTAACATTTTTATGATACTTTTTAGATCATTCTTTACTTTTAGTGATGTCAGATTCTTAAAAATGTTCTTAAGTTCTTTCTGAGAGCAAAATTCTGAAGGACGATAAAAACTTATTTTTAAAAGATTCAATACTAGAGTTGACAAATTCAGACCTAGAGTTGATCCTAAGCTCTGGCTTATGGGTTTAGCAAGTTTTCCCCCCACTTCTTACGTTTTTTTTTTTTTTTGTCCTTTTCCCTTACAGGAACTCAAAAATGAAACCTGGGAATATTCTTCCTCTGTGATTTCTTTTGTTAATGGTCAGTTTCTGGGTGATGCATTGGATCTGCAGAAATGGGCCCACGAGGTGTGGGATATAGTTGACATTAAACCCTCTGCACTTTATGACGCACTCACTGAGGATTTTTCCGCTAAGTTCTTAAGAGACACCAAGGCAAGTTATACTAACTTTTAAAGAAAAATTGTGGAATCTTTGACCCTTTATATTGATTCAGCATTAATTATTGATGTCCTAATGAAGGAGATTATAAAAAAGTAGGAGACTAAGTTTAAAGCCTAGTTCCATTTCCATTTGCAAAAGATTGTAATATGGTGGTATGTAAAGCAAGTGTGTCTCACAGCCCGTGGGCTGCACGGGGAGATCATCTCTGTGCAGACATTTTTACTTCCCATTAGAGATTTATATGCATGAATTACCTATTTTAAAATATAAAGACCACCCCCTCAGAGAAGGTAAAACCTATCATCCATTCATCTTGAGTGTGAAATATTTAAATTAAGACTGTCCAACATCTAGGCAAGAGCTGCTGAGCTAAGAGAATGGAAAGTTGTTTGAAGAAAGGTGACATTTTAAAGCATGAACACAGGCCGGGCGCGGTGGCTCATGCCTGTAATCCCATTACTTTGGGAGGCCAAGGCAGGTGGATCACAAGGTCAAGAGATCGAGACCATCCTGGCCAACACGGTGAAACGTCATCTCTACTAAAAATACAAAAATTAGCTGGGCGTGGTGGCGTGTACCTGTAATCCCAGCTACTCGGGAGGCTGAAGCAGGAGAATCACTTAAACCTGGGAGGTGGAGGTTGCAGTGAGCCGAGATCGCACCACTGCACTCCAGCCTGGTGCAGAGCGAGACTCCGTCTCAAAAAAAAAAAAAAGCATGAACACATAGTTAGCAAGAGCAAGCCCAGACAGGCTGTGCCAGTGGGGAGGTTTCCAGTGGCAGAGGATAGTCATGAAGCATGAGGTCCAGGGATGAGAGATAGTTATCAGGATGTGATGGCAGTAGGGGTGGAGGTACTTTGCAGTCCTGCTCAGAAACCTTCTTGTAGCAACAACTGCATTGTGCAGAAAATCATTTCATGCCCATGGCGGCCTGTGCCTACAGTGAGCCAATGCTAAGATCTGAGTTGTGCATAGGTAAAGGCCTTGTCTCATTCATCCTTGTTGAACCACTGCTCAAACAGACCTGAAACATAATAGGTGCTCAGTGCATGTTTGATTGAATAAACAGTGCACTTTGACAATGCTAGAAACTCTGGGGTGTGGGGAGGCATTTAATGTTCAAACAGTTAATTCCCAAAGGGTCAGGAGTCTAGCTGTACATGCCCTGGGAATGGCAGGGGGACAGCAAGGAGGCCAGAATTTGTGGGGAAAGAAGCTGGGAAGATGAGTTTCAGTCAAGATTCTTGGTGCCAGCATTACCAAGCTCCTCTGATTGATCGAAGGCGAAAAGGTGTGTATTGAAAGGATGCTGTTATCTCACAATTGACAGGAAAGCTGGACAACAGCTTTGGAAAACAGGCGGGAACCAATGAGGCCTGGCAGCAGGAAGACATGGCCAGAGTCACACTGCAGGGATGTGCTGCCAGGGAACTGCCATGGCACTGCTGGCCCTTGTTCACACCTCCACCTTCAATGAGATTAACTGTTCAATGCTTCAGTGTCTTTTCATCACTCCCTGGAGACCTAAGCCCAGGCAGGAGCACCTAGCTGGCAAGGCTAGGTCATATTCCCAAAACCTGGTGCTCTCAGCATGGGGAGAGGGAGAATCTGGCCCCTTTAGGTTCTAGTGAAGGTGGTGGGACCCTGTGAGGAGTTCCCCAGATAGGAAGGGTACTCAGATTTTAATTAGGAAAAAAAAAATCCAATAGATCCTAAAGAAAGATTGAGGCTGGGTTATGATTTATTGTCCATCTGAACGAAGGAGTTGGATTTTATCCAGAAGGAAACTGAACCAACAGAGCTTTCCATAAAAGAGTATGACGTAATCCTCTGTTTTTCTGGAAAAATGTTTAGGTCTGTGCAGAAGCAGGCTGGAGTAGGGGAGAGCTTGGGAGCAGGGGATTGGATAGCAGCATGGGCTGGACATAATGAAAGCCCGAAATAATTCGTGGCAGTGAGGATAGAGGATAGTCATGAAGCGTTCCAGAGACAATAGATTTTTTTTGCACAGAGGGTGGACTTTTCTTCCTGAATAAAACCCAGGGATTTGTTTACTTCCGGTTAGAACCATATGGTAGATAAATATGCTTGCCTGTTTGGCTGCTAGATGACTGGGACATTACCTTGTGTTGCATTCATTTGAACTCTTATTGGCATTTTCAGAACTATCTATTCTGGACTATCTCATAAAGATAATATCTTGATGCGCAGGGAAGTTTAATGGTGTCTGAATGGACAGTAAGTCCATTTCCTAAGTCAGCCATGATTTCCAATATATCCTCTTTATCCTCCTGAGCCTCTGAAGTTTACTATATTATGCCTCCTATTCTTTAGTTACACTATTCTGTTTTATACTTAAAAACTTGTAGTATAGAAGCTGAGAGGCACAAATTAATTATAATTAGTATGGATGGAACAGTTCATTGCTAGATGCCAGATAGCACAATATTATTTCAGTCTTTTCATTAAAAAAAAGTTAGAGTGACATAAAAAATATGATACATTTAATTTCATGTTTCCTAGATTCTTAAGAAAGAGGACAGGACAAGTTATGCACCTTGCTCAATAAGGTGGTTTTTTTTTTTTTTTTTTCTTCATAGGGTCTCACTCTGTCACCCAGGCTGTAGTGCAGTGGCACAATCATAGTTCACTGCAGCCTCAACCTCCCTGGGCTCAGGTGATCCTATTGCCTCAGCCTTCCAAGTAGCTGGGACTACAGACACATGCCATCATGCCCAGCTAATTTCTTAATTTTTTTGTAAAGACAGGGTCTCACCATGTTGCCCAGGCTGGTTTCAAACTCCTGGGCTCAAGGGATCCACCCACCTTGGCCCCCTAAAGTGCTGGGATTACAGGCATGAACCAGGGTGGCATTTTAATGTAGGAGAATGGTGCCCAAGACTTGAAATGTACTCCATTAAATGTGCTTTAGCCCCTAAATGAATGCTATTATGTTGAAACTAGCATTTTCATTTTGAATGCCTCTTTGTAGGGCTAGACAAGGTCTCACAAATGTTTTCCTCTATGAGAAAGGATATCAAGTGAAGACAAGCTGAGGGCATCTGTGCACATGAGGGTATTATTGAATATAACTTGAAAGCCCAGCATCCTTCTCTTCCCTATCTCTGGTGCTACACCTGCTATGGATATAGGGACCTGATTTTCCCACTCAGAACAGATGTGGCCTGGCTCTGGTTAGCTAATCTGTGCTGTCTCTGAAAATCCAGGACGCACAGTAACCAAATCCATGATGTTCATGATGGATCCTTCCCAAAAATAGGAAAGAAGCGAAGTAGAGAAGAATCCCCTGTCTGTTTTCTTCCCCACACTAGGTGTGGCTATTTCCACACCTAGTTGTGATGTGGTAGATATCTAGGCCATGTGTTTCACTCCTGTGAGATAGGTTAATGTTCTCCAGAGCTTTCACTCTGGAAAGGTTTTTAAAATGTATAATGTGGGCTGGGTGCGGCGGTAGCTCACGCCTGTAATTTCAGTACTTTGAGAGGCCAAGGTAGGCGATCCCTTGAGCTCAGGAGTTCGAGACCACCCTGGGCAACGTGGTGAAACCCCATCTCTATCAAAAATACAAAAATTAGCTGGGCCTGGTGGTGGTGCATGTGTGTAGTTCCAGCTACTTCAGAGGCTGCGGTGGGAGGATCACTTGAGCCCAGGAGGTTGAGGCTGCAATGAGCCAAGATGGTGCCACTACACCCCAGCCTGGGGGACAGAGCCAGACCCTGTCTCAAAAATAAATAAATAAATAAATACAATAATAAAAATTAAAATGTGTAAAGTGGGTTATAAAAACTTGATAAAATGAAATAAACTAATACAAGTCATTCACTTAATTTTACTGTAATATTATCCATTGGTAATGTTATTGAAATCTTTTCACTAAAAATATTGTATCTGCTGTATTTTTGGTCATTTCTGAAAACTTTCTTGTAAGACTTTGACCTGCATTATATGATTCTCCTTAATCTTCACAGCATGATTTCGTGTTTTTGGACATTTGTATTGATTCTTCTCCAATTGGAAGATTGATTTTTGAGGTGATACTTTTTTTTATATGTAAGTTTGTGGGGGTAGGATCTATAACTGTTGGAGTGTTAAATATTTAATCTTTGAAACCTTTTGTCTTTATTTTGTAGCTATACTGTGATGTGTGTCCCAAAACATGTAAAAATTTTCAGGTCTTGTGCACAGGAAAAGCAGGGTTTTCTCAACGTGGCATAAGACTACATTACAAAAATTCCATTTTTCATCGAATAGTACAGAATGGCTGGATACAAGGAGGGGGTAAGTTTAAAATCTTAAATACGAGTTAATTGCAATATCAAATGAGAAGGTCCAAACTTTCATTTATCTTTATGAAATGTATGTAGAATTAGATATACTTAAAATTAGACGTATTTAAAGAATGCTTTATATAGCCAAATAATGAAGTAAGATATTTGTATTCTTTAAAAAACACCCTAATTATTAAAATAAATAAATCTAATTTATGTTACCAGGAATATTCCAAATTCAAAAATGACATAGGAGAGTAGGGTGACATTTTATTTTACCAATTTTATTTTTACAAATTTTAAATGCTCACCTAAATACATAGTACCTAGAAATACAGCGGTTTTAATAAGTATGCTAAGAGTGGGAATTTGAAAATATAGTAAATGGAAAACAACTTATTTCTCACCAAACATGTTACATTATTACAAGTAAAAAGAAATGTCTAAAGGATTTTGGTTTCTATGTTCTCTTTCTTTTCAGGTCAGTCCTTTGGTTTTACATAGACTAGGTGTCTGATTAAAAGCATGGAATTGAATATTGGGCGCCTTTTGGGGGATAGTCCATAGGAAGCAACCAGGCAGTAATTTACACATAATTGGCTTAGTGTCAAAGGAAATTTGCTTGAACTCGATGACACATGGAGAAGTTTAAATTAGTTTTTACCATTTTTTATATGATCTGGAACATTCTGAGGCTGACGAGGAGAAAAATATAGATATATTCCAAGCATCCTACATGTTAAAGCAGGTATTTTCCCTTTGGTTTCTCCACAGTGAGATCATACCACAAATATTGTTATCTAACCTCACTTTCAAGTGTTTTTCCATTTTGTGTCTTTCCACTGAATATGTGGTGTCTATCTAACCATGCCAATGAACATAAACATACAAAATGTTTAGCATCTGCCTAGTTTTTTTTATCATATTGCTATACCAGTTTAATTAATTCCCCATTGGTGAACATTTAGATGGTTTTCTATTTTTTGTTAGTATAAAACATTTCTCAAGGGGTCCTGTTAATATTAGGGGCTCCTGACAATGAGTTCAGTGTTGACTCTCATGTGCTAGGCTTTCAGATGCTGTGTTCTTTTTTTTTTTTTTTTTTTTGAAACGGAGTCTCGCTCTGTCGCCCAGGCTGTAGTGCAGTGGCACGATCTCGGCTCACTGCAAGCTCCACCTCCCAGGTTCAAGTAATTCTCCCTGCCTCAGCCTCCCGAGTAGCCAGGATAGCAGGGGCCCACCCCCACACCTGGCTAATTTTTGTATTTTTTTAGTAGAGACAGGTTTGCCATGTTGGCCAGGCTGGCCTTGAACTCCTGACCTCAGGTGATCCGCACGCCTCAGCCTCCCAAAGTGCTGGGATTACAGGCATGAGCCACCACACCCAGCCTCAGATGCTGTATTCTTTTGTTTCGTTTTATTTTTGTTTTTGCTTAGCTCCCACCACCCTTGCAAGATTTGGGAAAAGTAGGTCATATTATTTGTTTGTGTTTTTATTTATTTAAAGTAAAATTTCCAAATAGTAAAGTGCACAGATCTTGGGTCATATTTTCAAACAGTGAGACAGCAATGTTAAGGACGGCTTGGGAAAAAGTTGGATTGCTAGATTCAAATCCAAGCTCTGATTCATGTAAGTTATACCATCTTGATAAGCTGCTTAGCCTCTCTGAATCAGTTTCTTAATCATAAAATGGGGATAATGATAAGAATATCACAGGATGTGGTGAGGATTCAATGACCTGGTGTGTTGGAAGTGCCAAACTCTGGAAACATCCTCTCTCCCTACAGATGTCCAGTTCCCATGATCCAGACCCCAAGAGAGGGTTCTTGAATCTCTCACAAGAAAGAATTCAGGGCGAGTTTGTTGAGTAAAGTGAAAGTAAGTTTATTAGGAAAGTAAAGGAACAGAAGAATGGCTACTCTGTAGACACAGCAGCCCCTGAGGGCTGCTGGTTGCCCATTTTTATGGCTATTTCTTGATTATATGCTAAAGGTGGATAATTCATGCTTCCCTTTTTCAGACCATACAGGGTAACTTCCTGATGTTGCCATGGCATTTGTAAACTGTCATGGCGCTAATGGGAGTATAGCAGTGAGGACCACCAGAGGTCACTCTCATCGCCATCTTGGTTTTGGTGGGTTTTGGCTGGCTTCTTTACTGTAGCCTGTTTTATCAGCAAGGTCTTAATGACCTGTATCTTGTGCCAACCTCCTGTCTAATCCTGTGACTCAGAATGCCATAACCATCTGGGAATGCAACCCAGTAGGTCTCAGCCTCATTTTACCCAGCTCCTATTCAAGATGAAGTTGCTGTGGTTCACGTGCCTCTGATACCACGGGACTATGTAGAATTTTGGAGGACAGGAGCTAAACGTGGTTTTGTGCTGTGCCTTAGGATGCCTCCAGGCACTGTTGCTTGCCCTTTGGGACTAACAGGCTGTACCCAGTCAACACTGCCTGCCCCTCCTCCTCACATCTTATCTTCTGACCTCTTACACACTCGGTTGCACACACAGCCTCTGGCTGCCTCCTAAGCACATCAAGCATGCATTGGCCCTGAGGCCTCGTTTATTTTGCCTGGGGCACATACCGCCCAGCCTGTTCCTGCAGGTATCCCTTGTTTCACCCCCTGCCCCCAACCCCACTGTCTGTTTCTGATTATTGCCCAGAGATTGTCTGGGCAAGGCCTTACCGGACCACCCTATATGAAACTGCCATCTTCCTGTCCACACACACCGCTCACCCCTCCTGCCACCCTCCTACTCCTTACCTTGTTTTATCTTTCTTCCTAGCACTTTTCATCATTAGACATACTACCATATGTTTCTTAGTTCATTTGTTTATTGTCTGTTTCTCTAAATTCCATGGGGGCAGAAATTTTTATCTATTTTATTCACTATGGTATCCCACGTACTACAACAGTGCTTGAGATATAGTAGGTGCTTAATAAATACTTGTAGAAAGAAAAGAAGGAAGAGAGTGTAAGAAGGAAAATAGGTGGTTAAACAGGAAACATACATTCTCTGCATTTTTAAAGTCCAAAGTTAAGATAGCAAGTCATTATACCACTTTGGTTGGATTCCCCCTCTGGCTCCCTCGAGGCCTACTTCCTTCAGAAGGATTAAAAAAAATTGATACCAACACTTTGTTAATCAAAGAAAATGAAATAAACTTTTTTACACAAAAAATGATCATGTTTTACATAAGACTAAAAGATATATATATATATAAAATGGGTGAGGATATCCAGGACCCACCAAATAATTCCAGTAAGAAAATTCAAACACTTAACAAAGATTCATTTTTCAATAGCCCATTAGTCACAGAACAATTACCCAACTATTAACAATTAAACCTACCTGTATATTAAAAATACATTTCATTTCACCCATACATCCAACACACTTTAAAATGGATAGAGGAAAATTTTATTAACTGGCTTTAGAAAAAAAAAAGTACCTATTGAACTCATATATTATTATTATTATTTTGAGGCAGAGTTTCGCTCCGTCATCCAGGCTGGATTACGTGGCACCATCTCAGCTCACTGCAACCTCCACCTCTGGGGTTCAAGTGATCCTCCTGCCTCAGCCTCCCGAGTAACTGGGATACAGGCACGCGCCACCATGCCCAGCTAATTTTTTCTATTTTTAGTAGAGATGGGGTTTCACCATGTTGGCCAGACTGGTCTTGAACTCCCAACCTCAAGTGATCTGCCCACCTCAGCCTCCCAAAGTGCTGGGATTACAGGCATGAGCCACCGTGCCCAGCTGAACTCATATATTATTGCTTAAAGAGAACATACCAAATTCTTACCTCAGTGTTCCCTTGTAAAAAAAAGTGGAAATCCATAGTCCAGAGAGACTCTTTAAGAATGAGCGCTGCTATGGTGTGAGTTGGCTGAAGGTTAAGAGATATGAATGAAAGTAGTAAAAACAAATAAAAACAGAAGAATGAGCCGCTGATAAGTACAATATGTTTATAACTCATAAAACATTTCATGTTGTGAATTTTCTCGAGCATACCAAATAATTAATATGCTTCAGGCTTTCCATTTGACTTACATTTATAGGATTTCTTTCCAGTAGGAGCTTTCACACGACTTTTAAATTAATTGTCTAAATGAACTTTTCTGTGTTTTTCTAACTACTAGGGTTCTAATCAAGTGTGCATTTTTATGTTCATAAGGTCCATCTCCAGTGTATATTATTATGTGACTTTGAATGGATTTGAGAGAAATGAAGACATTCCCACATTCTTTTTTTTTTGAGACAGGGTCTTGTTCTGTCGCTCAGGCTGAGTGCAGTGGCACAATCACAGCTCGCTGCAGCCTCAACCTCCTGGACTCAAGTGATCTTCTCAGCCTCCTAAGTAGCTGGAACTACAGGCACACATTACCATGCCTGGCAAATTTTTAAAAATGTTTTTGTAAAGACAGGGTCTCTGTATGTTGCCCAGGCTGGTCCTGAACTCCTGGACTCAAACAATGAATCCTCTTGCCTCAGCCCCACCAAAGTGTTAGGAATATAGGCATGGGTCTTAGCCTGTCACCCAGGCTGGAGTGCAATGGCACAATCATGGCTCTCACTGCAGCCTTGAACTCCTCCCACTTCAGCCTCCCAAGTAGCAGGGATTACGGGCACATGCCACCATGCCCAGCTAATTTTTAAAAATTTTTGTAGGCCAGGCACGGTGGCTCACGCTTGTAATCCCAGCACTTTGGGAGGCTGAGGCGGGTGGATCACGAGGTCAGGAGTTCGAGACCAGTCTGGCCAATATGGTGAAACCCCCCTCTCTACTAAAAATACAAAAATTAGCTGGGCGTGGTGGCATGCGCCTATAGTCCCAGCTGCTCGGGAGGCTGAGGCAGGAGAATCGGTTGAACCCGAGAGGTGGCCGTTGCAGTGAGCCGAGATGATGCCACTGCACTCCAGCCTGGGCAACAGAGCAAGACTCTGTCTCAAAAAAATAAATTTTTTTTGTAGAGACAGAGTCTCACTATATTGCCCAGGCTGGTCTTGAACTCCTGGCCTCAAGTAACCCTCCCACCTCGGCCTCCCAAAGTGCTGGGATTACAGGCATGAGCCACCACACCTGGCCACTTTCCATACATTCAGAGCTCTTCTCCAGAATGAGTTGTTTTATGTTATCAAATAGAACTAGAACACCAAAGGCCCTTACCGCATTTCCTCTATTCATAAGACGTTTCTTCAGTGTGAGTTCAGAAGGATCTTTTGAGATAAATTTAATGCATTTTATTATCATCATCATCATATTGAGCAGAATGATGAAGATGATGATAATGAGAAGGGGCATTCTAGAAGCATGTGATGCTGCATGGGCATGACACTCTGCCAAACACTGCCTGAGTGCTCTACCTATGTTATTTCATTTCATCCTCAGAGCTACCTGTGAGGCAGTTACCATTATCCCTGTTTGTACAGATAAGCAAACAGGTTTGGAAAAAGTAACTGACATCAGCATTTTAATCAAAGATCATCTGACTTTAAAGTTTGCTTTTAACCACTATTTGGCATCTCTGAATTTGTTGTCAGAAGTATAGCAATAATATCAGATATACAAGGCTGAATTCAAGAGGGTGGATATGGCCACAAAAAAGAATAGTAAATACGGATTGAAATGGTGTCAATATAAAATATTCACCTAGGAGATCTGAAGCAGAGGACAAGAGTAATGTTGGTGGGTGTGGGAGGGAGGGGGCAAGGGAATGTGACCAACGGGTAGGTAAGTTGGCAGGGGAGAAGACCACCTGGGTGGATTTCCCTGAGAGAACCAACCCCTAGGATCTGAAGGGATTGATGGTGGGGGGGCCCTCAGCTTCCCCATTTCCAGATTCAGCCTTCAGCCATGACAACTTCCTTTCAAGAGCTGCCTGGGGCTGGGTAGTGAACCATGGCTGAGTTTTAGGTGAGTCAGGTTGGAGACTTAAGGCTTGTCAATTAACTTCTGAGCCAGCTTTCTGAGTAGTATAATTTAAATGCTGCATGGCCTTTCTGGGATAAATTCTCTCTACATGCTTGGTGCTGCATCAGTTTTCTTTGAAAAATAGCACACACACTTTTATTGTAGGTAAATTGCTCATACTGACTTTAAAAAGCATAGTCCTTCAATAAATATTTATTGAGCACTGTATTAAAGGAGGCAGCAGAATAGAGCTGAAGTTAGTAGACAGATACTGATGGGGAGGATGGGGGAGAGAGGACAGACCTCAGAGCCCGCTCTTTTCACTAGAGTTAGCTTTGCTCCTCTTTTAGCTGTGGATAGATAAAAAATAACTTGTTCATGGAGTCTTTTTATAGTGGGAGCATTGCCTAAACCAAAATATGCGTAGCATGTGAACACCTGAAAAAAACCTTGTTACATTATAGGAAACTTTATTTCCAATATGCTAGGTAAATAAATGAGTTATCACTATAGGATATGAAATTTTGAACATGAATTCTGTTTGCAGCACCTATTTTTTATTCATATTCTTTTTTTTTTTTTTTTTTTTTTTTTTTTTTGAGATGGAGTCTCACACTGTCGCCCAGGCTGGAGTGCAGTGGTGCGATCTCAGCTCGCTGCAACCTCTGCCTCCCGGATTCAAGCAATTCTCCTGCCTCAGCCTCCCGAGTAGCTGGGATTACAGGCACCAGCCACCACACCCAGCTAATTTTTGTATTTTTGGTGGAGACAGGTTTCACCATGTTGGCCAGGCTGGTCTCGAACTCCTGGCCTCAAGTGATTTGCCTGCTTCGGCCTCCCAAAGTGCTGGGATTACAGGTGTGTCACCGCGCCTGGCTCTATTTTTTATACATATTCTAAAAATAACTTACTTTTCCTGTTTTAGCCTCTTAGTTTAATCTTGATCTCAGAAAAACAAGATAGACTGGAATAACTTATGAAGAAAGCAGAATTTATGTGAACATACTTTTGAAAAATTGTGACCACAATTATAATTTAATGCTTCATCCTTTCAAAAGTTTGCATTATCATGAATGTAAAAGTGCTTATAAAATACAAGTGAAATTATTATAGTAATATTTTCATAGTGTGGATATTGAATAATTAGGTAACTTATTCTATTCATTGGTATAAGTGGAATCATATTGCATTCTTTTGTTTTTTTTTTTGAAATGGAGTTTCACTCTCGTTGCTCAGGCTGGAGTGCAATGGCGCAATCTCGGCTCACCGCAACCTCCACCTCCTGAGTTCAAGCAATTCTCCTGCATCAGCCTCCCTAGTAGCTGGGATTACAGGCACATGCCACCACGCCCAGCTAATTTTTGTGTTTTTAGTAGAGACAGGGTTTCACCGTGTTGGCCAGGCTGGTCTCGAATGCCTGACCTCAGGTGATCTGCCTGCCTCGGCTTCCCAAAGTGCTGGGATTACAGGCGTGAGCTACCATACCTGGCTGATTCCTCTTTTTTTTTTTTTTAATCGAGATGGAGTCTCATTATGTTGCCCAGGCTGGTCTCAAACTCCTGGGCTCCAGTGATCATCCCACCTCAGCCTTGAAATCATCATTGAAAGCAAAATTTTTTCCCTGTCATTATTGTATCCTAAATCTTTTCATCTCAAAATTCTAATGTTTATTTGTTGCTATTTCTCAGATATAGTGTATGGAAAAGGAGATAATGGAGAGTCGATTTATGGTCCAACATTTGAAGGTATGTATCTTTACATTTTGTTAGTTATATATTAGTTGATTATTCAAACTTAACAGGACTGGACAGTTTCACAATTCCAAATAAGATATCACTGGGGGCAATACTTACAGTACAAGCAAGAGGTAAAAATGAGCAGATCGGGGGGAAGCGCCCTAAGGCCCGACCAGAGCAGCTTCATACACACATATTTTTTTCACTTACCTAATGATATTATTTCTTTAGGGTAAATCCCAGAATTAGGATTGTAGAGTCAAAGGGAATTTATATTTTTAGGGCTTGTAATTTCCCGTGCTGATACTTAGAACTGGTACCTTGATAATCATTCTATTTAGATTGCTGTCAGGTGGCCAGGTATGGTGGCTCACGCCTATAATCCCAGCACTTTGGGAGGCCGAGGTGGGTGGATCATTTGAGGTCAGGAGTTCGAGATCAGCCTGGCTAATATGGTGAAACTCCATCTCTACTAAAAATACAAAAATTAGCCAGGCATGATGGCGCACGCCTCCCAGATCCTCAGGAGGCTGAGGCAGGAGAATCACTTGAACCTGGGACATGGAGGTTGCAGTGAGCTGAGATGGTGCCACTGCACTCCAGCCTGGGTGACAGAGTGAGACTCGGTCTCAAAAAAAAAAAAAAAAGAAAAAAAGATTGCTGTTGGTAGAAAAACCCTGTATAACATTTACAACAAAAGCAGGTGACAAGGTATCTACCTAAATTCCACAATACAAACAGTTAAGGACAAACAACAAACCAACAGCCATGAAATCTGCACAGTATCAGCATCTGTGTAGGGGAGGGCAGGGCTTCCCAAGAATAGGGTACTTAGGATCCCCTAAGTAGCCAATAGTGTGTGAGTACAGGGGGCCCCCAGGAAGGTTGGAAGAGGCAGGAGCAGTCTAACCCCTGTGTACTCTCGAAACTGATCTGACAAGGCTCTCTTCCAGGACAGGCTCCCATGCAGATGGAACTGTTGGGAATGGCATCAAAATTATCCAGGATACAGGGACAATCATGACAAAGAGGGAATAGGAACAGAGTCAGAAATTTAAGGAAGAAAGCCACATGCTTCAATATGCAAGATTTTCAACATGCAAGAGGGAGCTTTTTGAAACTAGAAAATCTACTTTCTTTCTAAAGACACATCTTCTAAACATTTAGGAAAACTAATGTCACCCTATATAACAAAGAGAGTTTCTCTGAAAGAAAATAATGTTTATTCAGGAATAGGGTATTGCTGTAGGCATATATGTGCCATAGGAAACGATGTGCATATTCAGGAAGGTAAAGGCAGACAAAGGGTTTTAAAGGAAAATTGGGGAAGATTACGTAATTGTTTTGAAATGATTATCCTTGGCTATAGCGATCAGTAACAAGAGTCCAAGGTTGGACTGGACAGGTGTCCCTGCAGAAGTATTAATATTTCCTGCATAAGGTCGCAATGGCCTTTATGCAAGGTTGTGGCTTTTGTAGTTCTTTGTGATTGTTTTGCTATCAGGCATACAAGTGTGAGAGTTCTCTGTTCATAGCTTTCCTTGGCTCTATTTGTCAGCATTTTTTAAACATGACTACATTTTGATTCTGACCACTATTACACTAATTTTATATTAGAATGAACAATAGAAGTTTCAAGGTGATTATAAGAATAAAGAGAATAAAGAGCAGAGTAACATCAGCATTGATAGTGAATGTACCCTAGAAAGACATGCTCATAGGATACAGTTGACCCTTGAGCAACATGGATTTGAAATGTACGAGTCCACTTAAAGAAACTTACAGTCAGTTTCTTTAAAAAAAAAAAAAAAATAGAGACAGGGTCTCACTGTATTCCCCAAGCTGGACTTGAACTCCTGGGCTCAAGCAATCTTCCCACCTTAGCCTCCTAAGTAGGTGGGACTACTACCTACTTGGAGGACCATTTTTTGGAGAAGCTGCCACTGCAGCTATACCATCAGGTGTGAAAACCTTGCACTTTTTTGTGAAATACTTTTACCTTTTTTTTTCTTTTTTTTTTTTTTAAGAGACAGGATCTCACTTTGTCGTCCAGGCTAAAGTGCAATGGCGTGATCATAGCTCATGGTAACCTTAAACTCCTGGGCTTAAGGGATCCTCCTGCCTCAACCTCCCAGGTAACTAGGACTACAGGTGCATGCCACCACGCTGGCTAATTTTAAAAAAAAGATTTGTAGAGATGGGGTCTTGCTCTGTTGTCCAAGCTGGTCTCCAACTCCTGGGCTCAAGTGGTCCTCCTGAGTTGGCCTTCTGAGTCATTGGGATTACAAGTGTGAGCCACCAAGCCTAGCCTGCAAAATACCTTTTTTGTCTTGTATTGAAAATGCAGCTTTTATGTGGGCACAGGATGGCTATAAGAAAGGCAGACCTGTAGACTCTAATATGATTTGAGAAAAATCAAAGCTATTATATGACAACTTAAAGCAAAAGGAAGGTAAAAGATCTAAAACTGGATAATTTAATTCCAGCAAAAGATGGTTTGATAATTTTAGAAAAAAGTTTGGCTTTAAAAATGTCCAGATAACAGGAGAAGCAGCTTCTTCTGACCAAGAGGCAGAAGATAAATTCCAAGATGTCATTAACAAAATGAGAAGAAAAAGGATATCTACCTGAACAAGTTTTATGGCAGACAAAAGTGACCTATTCTGGAAAAAAAAAAAAAAAAGCCACAAAAAGGCCAGGCGCAGTGGCTCACACCTGTAATCCCAGCACTTTGGGAGGCTGAGGCGGGTGGATCACCTGAGGTCAGGAGTTCAAGACCAGCCTGGCCAACATGGTGAAACCCTGTCTCTACTGAAAATATAAAATTTAGCTGGGAGTGATGGCAGGTGCCTGTAATCCCAGCTACTTGGGAGACTGAGGCAGGAGAATCACTTGAACTCGGGAGGCAGAGGTTGCAGTGAGCCGAGATCACGCCACTGCACTCCAGCCTAGGAGACAGAGTAAGACTCTTGTCTCAAAAAAAAAAAAAAAAAAAGCCACAAAAGACATTTATTAGTAAGAGAAGCAAGCACTATCATTTAAGGCAGGAAGGAATAGGCTAACTGTACTGTTGTGTGCCAATGCAGTTGGGTTTATGATCCAGACTGCTCCTAACCATAAAGCTGCTAACCTAAACACCAACTGCCAGCCTTTTGGTTGTACAAAAAGGCCTGGACAATGAGAACCCTTTTTCTAGATTGGTTACATCAATACATTCTCCCTGAAGTTAGGAAGTACCTTGCCAGTAAGGGACTACCTTTTAAAAAGTTCTTTTGATATTGAACAATGATGCCCCTGGCCACCAGAACACCATGAGTTCAACACCAAAGGCATCAAAGTGGTCTACTAGTCCCCAAACACAACATGTCTAATTCAGCCTCTAGTCAGGGGGTCATAAGGACCTTTAAGGCTGATTACACATGGTACTCTATGGAAAGGATTGTCAACATTATGGAAGAGAACCCCAATAGAAAGAACGTCATGAAAGTCTGGAAGGATTATACCATTCAAGATGCTATTGTCGTTATAGAAAAAGCCATGAAAGCCATCAAGCTCAAAACAAGTTTCCGCTGGAGAAAATTGTGCCCAGATGTTGTGCTTGACTTCACGGGATTTATGACAGAGCCCATCAAGGAAATCATCAAAGAGATTTGTGGATATGGCAAAAAAGATGAGGGGTGAACGTTGTCAAGATATGGATCTTGGAGAAATTCAAGGCCTAATATATACCACAGCAGAGGCATTCAAAGATGAGTTGATAGAGATGAGTGCCTCCGAACCAGTGCCAGATCATGAGGAAGAAGACGTAGAAGGAGCAGTGTCAGGAAACAAACTGACACTAGACAATCTGGCGGAAGGGTTCCAGTTACTCAAGACTACTTTTGACTTCTTTTACAACATAGACCCTTTTATGATAAGAGCAATGAAACTAAAGCAAAGAGTGGAATAAGGATTGATACTGTATGGAAACATTGCTAGAGAAATGAAAAAGCAAAAAGTCAAACAAATTATAATGTATTTCCGTAAAGTTAACACTGAGTGTGACCACCTTTCCTGCCTCCCCTTCTACCTCGTCCACCTCTCTGCCTCTGCCACCCTGAGACAGCAAGACCAACTCCTTCTCTTCCTCCTCCTCAGCCTACTCAGTGTGACAAGGATGAAGACTGTTATGATGATCCACTTCCACTTAATGAATAGTAGATATATTTTCTCTTCCTTATGATTTTCTTTATAACATTTTATTTTCTCTAGCTTATTTTATTGTAAGGATACAGTATACAATACATGTAACACACCAAATATATGTAATCGACTATTTATGTTATTGATAAGGCATCTAGTCCATTGCAGACTATTAGTAGTTAAGTCACTGGGGAGTCAAAAGTTATATGTGGATTTTTGACTGCTCCGAGGGGTTGGTGTCCCTAACCCCCCGCATTGTTTAAGGGTCAACTGTAGATCAAAACTGTAACAGTCTATATCAAAATAAGCTAAAAGAAGCCTGGGCAACATGGCAAACCCCATCTCTACAAAAAATACAAAAATTAGCTGGGCATAGTGGCACACACCTGTAATCCTAGCTACCTGGGAGGCTGAGGTGGGAAGATTGCTTGAGCCTGGGAGGCAGAGGCTGCAGTGAGCCAAGATTGCACCACTGCACTCCAGCCTGGGCAACAGAGCAAGACCTTGTCTCAAAAAAAAAAAAAAAAAAAAAAAAAGCTAAAAGACATTAAGAAAATGATACAAGACATGAAAGAGCTCATAAATCAGAATTAGAAAAAAACATGATGCAACAGAGCTGAGGAAAGAAGGGCTGAGGAAAGCAATGAAAGAAAAATAATTTCAGAAGTGAGTAAACTACAAGGAACATAAGAGGAAATAAAAATACAACATATGTCCTAAAAGAAGTACAAGGTAGGCAGAGGAATTTTTTTGTTTGCTTTAATTTTTGTGGGTACATAGTAGGTGTGTATCTTTATGAGGTACCTGAGATATTTTGGTACAGGCAAGCAATGTGAAATTATCACATCATATAAAATAGGGTATCCATCTCCTCAAGCAGTTATTCTGTGTGTTACAATCCAATTATACACTTTTATTTTAAAAGGTACAATTATTATTGACTATAGTTGCCCTCTTGTTCTATCAAATACGAGGTCTTACTCATTTTTTCTTTTTTTTTGTGCCTATTAACCATCCTCACCACCCTCCTTTAACCCTCACTACCCTTCCCAGTTTCTGGTAACCATCCTTCTACTCTCGTCTCCATGATTTTATTTGTTTTGATTTTTAGATCTCACAAATAAATGAGAACATGTTATGTTTGTCTTTCTGTGCCTGGCTTATTTCACTTAGCATAATGACCTCCAGTCCCATCCATGTTGTTGCAAATGACTGGATCTCATTCTTTTTTATGGCTGAATAGTATTCCATTGTGTATATGTACCACATTTTCTTTATCCATTCTTCTGTTGATGGACACTTAGGTAGCTTCCAAATCTTGGCAATTGTAAACAGTGCTGCAACAAACATAGGAGTGCAGGTATCTCTTTGATATAATGATTTCCTTTCTTTTGGGTATATACCCAGCAGTGAGATTCCTGGATCATATGGTAGCTCTATTTTTAGTTTTTTGAGGAACCTCCAAACTGTTCTCCATAGTGGTTGCACATTAGTTTACATTCCCACCAACAGTGTACAAGGGTCCCTTTTTCTCCACATCCTTGCCAGCATTTGTTATTGCCTGTCTTTTGGATAAAAGCCATTTTAACTGGAGTGAGATATCTCGTTGTAGTTTGGGTTTACGTTTCTCTGATGATCAGTGGTGTTGAGCACCTTTTCATATGCCTGTTTGCCATTTGTATGTCTTCTTTTGAGAAATGTCTGTTCAAATCTTTTGCCCATTTTATAATCTGATTATTAGGTTTTTTCCTGTAGAGTTGTTTGAGCTCCTTATATATTCTGGTTATTAATCCCTCGTCAGATGGGTAGTTTGCAAATATTTTCTGTGGGTTTTTGTTTGTTTGTTTGTTTGTTTTGAGACAGAGTCTCACTCTGTCACCCAGGATAGAATGCAGTGGTGCCATCTCAGCTCACTGCAACCTCCGCTGCCTGGGTTCAAGCAATTCTCCTCCCTCAGCCTCCCAAATAGCTGGGATTAGAGGCGCACATAACTACACCTGGCTAATTTTTGTATTTTTAGTAGAGACAGGGTTTCACCATGTTGGCCAGGCTGGTCTTGAACTCCTGACCTCGTGATCCACCTGCCTCAGCCTCCCAAAGTGCTGGAATTACAGGTGTGAGCTACCACGCCCAGCCATGTCTTCACTTTGTTGTTTCCTTTGTTGTGCAGAATCTTTTTAACTTGATATGATCCCATTTGTCCAGAGAGTTTCCTCGATGTTTTCTTGTAGTAGTTTCATAGTTTGAGGGCTTAGATTTAAGTCTTTAATCCATTTTGATTTTATTTTTATATATGGTGAGAGGTAGGGGTCTAGTTTCACTCTTTTGCATATGGATATCCAGTTTTCCCAGCATTATTTATTGAAGTCTTTTCCTCAGCTTATGTTCTTGGCACCTTTGTTGAAAGTGAGTTCACTATGAGTTTGTGGATTTGTTTCTGGGTTCTCTATTGTGTTCTGATGGTCTATGTGTCTGTTTTTATGCCAGTATCATGCTGTTTTGGTTACTATAGCTCTGTAGTATAATTTGAAGTCAGGTAATGTGATTCCTTCCGTTTTGTTCTTTTTGCTTAAGATAGCTTTAGCTATTCGGGGTCTTTCATGGCTCCATGTAAATTTTAGGATTGTTTTTTCTATTTCCATGAAGAATGTCATTGGTAATTCCTTTTTAGAAGAAAACAGCTTTATTGAACAGGCAGTGTTACAGCTCCAGTGGTGTTATAGCTCTGTGACTGCTCCTGCAGAGCAGAGCTACCCTGTAGGCAGAGAGTAGCAGCTCAGGACAGTTTTACAGTCACATTTATACCCACTTTTAATTGCATGAGATTAAGGGGCAGTTTATGCAGGAAAGGGATAGTAACTTTTGGATCATTAGATGCCATGGAAAAGGCCAGTAACTCCCAGGTGTTGCCTCGGCAACAGTAGATTGACATGGCACATTGATGGACAGGTCTGATTGAAAGGTGCTTTCGCCCTGGCCCTATTTTAGCTAGTCCTCAATCTGATCCCCACCTCTGGAGTCCTCAATCTGAGCCCCACCTCTGGAGTCAAGTCCTGCCTCCTACCTCATTTTCCCCTCAGAAATTAGATCCTCCTCCTTAATATTAAGAGGGCTGCAGAAGGGTGAAGGCCAGTCTTCTGTAACTGCTTGCTGCTGAGCTCATGGCCATAGGCCCTGCCTAGCACTGGAGGAGTAAAAAAATCTCTGGATACCTGTTGTAACGGGCCCACAGGCAGGACACTTTCATTCTCCAGGTCAGTAGATGGGATAGGTTGGAAGCCTTGTGCCAGCATTGTTTTTTACCTGGAACTGTTGTAATCTAGAAAACACAAACTTTTACTAAGAGGTTAAATAAGCAAGGGCCAAAAATTGGAAACAAGAAGATAACTATCCAAGGTTCTATGAGAGGTAAAAACCAGGTGAGACTTGGGAAAGCACTTGATAATTGACCAGCTATAGTTGGGGTCAGTGCCCTGGTTATATCTGTGTAACCAGGTAGCTTGTTCATAGATCTTTTGAATGTTAATCTCAACTTGCCTAGAGTTGTTAAAATATGTGCAGCAGGTTTTATTAATAACTACACAGACTCCACCATGTTCAGCTAGTAAATAATCCAATGCTAGTCTGTTAATGAGAACTGCATTTGCCAAAGAGCCTAAGGACTCTTGAATTCCCTTTAATGCCTGACCTGTGTTGGTGGCTAAGGATTCTAGGGATTGAGTCAAGTTCATTAGAGTTGGCTCATGGTAGGCAAAGCTGCCCCGGGGTGCTGCTAGTCCTATCACTGCCAATTCCTGCCAGAATTACTCCTATTACTCACTTACTTCTGGTATTCTTGGGTGTTATGCGGTTATAGACAGTGACTCCTGGAGGGGCAAGAGTGGCCAGCATACATTCACCTCTGTTCCAAGTTTTTGATATACAAGGGAAAGCTACTCCTAAGGGAAAAGGTGACTTCCTAGGGAGTTGGGAGCAGTTCAGGTTGTAACTTCTTCCCATTCATGCCACAAACAAAAATGAGCCGGTTGGGGCACAAACAGAAGCCCTATTGGGATGTGGTATTTATGCTTTACTGTGAAATTGTGTCTAGAGAGATATTTTTCCCCTGTTCCGATGGGGGTGGCGGGACACCCTTTGTTTTCTGGAAGGGGGCAGTACTCCCACCTTCCCAGACTAGGCAGTTGTTTTTCCCTTATATGTTCTGATCCAGAAGGCACCATATGTGGTCTCCTCACTTACAAGTAGAATCCCATTTACCTTGCTGTGGCCTTGGGAATGTGGCAACTAAAGTTGAATCAGAGCATCACAGGGAGGCTTCCACTCTTGTGTCATGAACACAACAGTGAATGCAAAAGATAGAATCATTAGTGCGCTAGAGATATAGATACCCAATTTCCCAGGTCCAGGTAATGTTGGCAGGGGGTTCAAGTGGAATCCGTTAAGTGGGGGAGAGTTCCATTCAACAAGTAGGAGTTTGGGATTTGAAGATCACTATTTTAGGAGGTCAGCGGGGATGGTAGTGAGGTTTCTTAGGTAAGCCAGAAGACAGAACTCTCTATCCTGGGAATGTTCATGACAATCCAGCAGCCATGAAGATGATTCCCTGATGCAATACTTGTCGAAATATTTATTATAGAGTTGTGTTCCCACCCATACTGGACCAAGGTGATTAGGAGAGCAAACAGGATGAACAGTGACAACATGGTGTTCCGTTGGGCCTTAGCATGGCCTCTACACCCAACAAGGACAAAAGAGGTGTTTCCCAGGAGCTTGGCTAAAGCTACAGAAAATAAGTATTATAATCAGGAAGAAGAAAAATATTAAAGCTCCAGCAGAAATGGTGCCAACTGATCTTCCACATGGGACACGGGTGAAGATCTCTCCAGGATACCTCAGCTGCGATGGGCTCAGCGAGGCTGCCTCAGTGGGAGGGGCTTGCATCAGGTGGTAATCCATGGGTCTGCTGGTCAGAGAAGCGGGCCCTACACGAGGCAGATGGCACTATGGCCACCCTGCTAGTGGGCTGTCATTGGTATTTTGATAGAGATTGCATTGACTCTAGATTGCTTTGGATAGTATGGACATTTTAAATAATATTGATTCTTCTAGCCTATGAACATGAAATAGCTTTCCATTTTTGGGGCATCCTCTTCAGTTTCTTTCATCAGTGTTGTATAGTTTTCATTGTAGAGATTTTTCACTTTGGTTAATTCCTATTAATTTAGTTTTATTTGTAAATGGGTTTACTTTTTAGATTTCTTTTTCAGATTGTTCAGTGTTGGCATATAGAAATGCTATTGATTTTTGTATGTTTTTGTATCTTGCAACTTTACTAAATTTATTTATCAGTTCTAATAGACTTTTGTGTGGAGTCTGTAGGTTTTTCTAAATATGAGATCATGTAATCTATAAACAAGGATAATTTGACCTCTTTCTTTTTTTTTTTTGAGATGGAGTCTCACGACACTGTCGCCCAGGCTGGGGTGCAGTGGCGTGATCTCAGCTCACTGCAACCTCTGCCTCCTGGGTTCAAGTGATTCTCCTGCCTCAGCCTCCTGAGTAGCTGGGATTACAGGCACCTGCCGCCCTGCCTGGCTAATTTTTTTGTATTTTTAATAGAGATGGGGTTTCACCATGTTGGCCAGGCTTGTCTGGAACTCCTGACCTCAAGTGATCCGCCTGCCTTGGCCTTCCAAAGTGCTGGGATTACAGGCGTGAGCCACCGCACCTGACCTGACCTCTTTCTTTCCAATTTGGACCCCCTTTATTTCTTTCTCTTGTCTGGTTGCTCTAGCTACATAGTACTAGGAGAACTATACCCAGTCTTTTGAGGGTTTTTAATCATGAAGGGATGTGAATTTTATCAAATGCTTTTTCAGCATTAATTGAAATGATCATATGGTTTTTATCCTTCATTTTGTCGATATCACATTGATTGATTTGCATACATTGAACCATCCTTGCATCTCAAGGATAAGTCCTGCTTGGTCATGATGAATGGCCCTTTTAATGTATTGTTGAATTTGGTTTGTAAGTATTTTGTTGAGGACTTTTGCATCAGTATTCATCAGAGGTAGTGGCCTGTAGTTTTCTTTTTATGATGTGCCTTTGTCTGGTTTTGGTATTCAGGGTAATACTGGCCTTGTAAAATGAGTTTAGAAGTATTCCCTCAGGAGGAGGAAATTTTTTTAAACCAAAAGTAAATGAAGAAAGGTAAAAATTATTTACAGGAAAGTGACAAATATTAAAGAAAGAGGAGATTTAACATTTAGATGATACGTATCTCTAAGGAATTAAATTAATGCAGGGGAACAGAATGAATGCTAAGACTATAATTAAAGAAAACTTCCCTAAAATATAAAAAGGATTTGAGGTTCTATATCTTATTTTAGGTGGTGGTTATACAGCATCAAACTGATCATCAAATATGTATTTATTAAATTTTAATAAAATGCATATATCTTAGATGTTTGATGCATTTTGACAATTGTGTATACCTCAAGCATATGTTTATACCGTAAGTAAAAATATTTATATATCTCAAGTGAAAATGTTTATACCTCAAATAAAAGTATCTAAAAAATTGAAACCACTTATTGAAAATGCATACCATGAACCTGACAATTTGAAGCAGAACAACCAACACCAAGACATATTTTCCTAACATTATTGGACATTGAAGAAAAATTATTTGGGCATCTAGGGAAAAAGAGCAAGTGATTTATAAGGGAAAGAAAATTAGATTATCATATTCTTTGACAGCAACACTTTATGCCAGAAGAAAATGGAATAATATATTTATGAACTCAAGCAAAGGAAATGTGAGCAAGGATTTTATATCCAGTCAAACTGATGTTAAATTATAAAGGGCACACAGGTTTATCAACATGCAAGACTTCAGGGAATAGTGTTGCCATGAGCCCTTTCTGCAGAATCTCCTGTAGAATGAATTTCACACAACCAAATATTAATAATAAGAGAGACCTTGACACACAACTGGTGGTGAGCATTAATCATATTATTATTTGTGAATTTATTATATTCAGTGAGGAGTACGCCAGGTGTGGCAGCATGCACCTTTAGTCCCACCTACTTGGGAGGCTGAGGCAGGAGAATTGCTTGAGCCCAGAAGCTTGAGACCAGCCTGGGCAACATAGCAAGACCCCATCTCAAAGGGTGAGAGTATGCTGTATGATGATATGCTTGGGCAGTGGAGACAAAGTCTATTTAAAAAATAGAAGAAAATGAATATATACAAGTTTTATTTTTTAACTATTCTCAGTAAAGTACACTGGTGATGGTATTATTAGTATTGTTATTTTGAGACTGTTGTATATGTAATGTGGGATAAAGTCATTGAGTAATTATGGAATATAAAAATTTCATCATTTTGTTTGTCCTTGAGAATCAGGATTCTCAATGTGGAAGAAAGAAGATAGAGATGAAATGTAATAGAGGCTAATAAGAATATTCCATAGTCCTGGCCGGGCGCGGTGCCTATAATCCCAGCACCTTGGGAGGCCGAGGCGGGCAGATCACGAGGTCAGGAGATCGAGACCATCCTGGCTAACACGGCAAAACCCCGTCTATACTAAAAATACAAAAAATTAGCCAGGCGCGGTGGCGGGCGCCTGTAGTCCCAGATACTCGGGAGGCTGAGGCAGGAGAATGGCGTGAACCCGGGAGGCAGAGCTTGCAGTGAGCCGAGATAGCGCCACTGCAGTCCGGCCTGGGCGAAAGAGCGAGACTCCATCTCAAGAAAAAAAAAAAAAAGAATATTCCATAGTCCTGAACATGACTTTAAACTCAAGAAGTATCAAATGTGTATATATATAGCTCTATCCACTGAAAAGGTCTATAAACAATGGCCACAACCCAGTAGCAATGTGTAGTCCTAGAATTTAGATTGTTGTTTTGAAATGTCATTTCTTACTTAAAGAAACCAGAGTCTCTGGGAGAAATGGCAGATGCCAGATCTCACGGGGGAAATCTACAAAATGAGCCTGGAACCTCATGTTCTATTAGATAGCAAAAGTGGCCTTTGTTGTACGATGCTGCAAAGTGTGGAGATTTCTTTTCTGAAAGATTACTGGGGTCATGTCAAAAGGCCTCAGGAGCCAATTTGAAGAGGGTCTCACTGACCAAAGATGGAGTAATTGGAGCTTCACAAACAATAATAATTGCAGTTGATCAAAACCCAACAAATATCTCAAATCTGTGAGTTTATAATGATATTATAAAATAAAGGCTAATGGGTTACCTTTGGAGGAATACTAGAAAATGAATTTATCATGAAAAGTGGTATGTATAGGGAAAGAATCAAGCACCACCTTTCCTATATGAACTGTACTAAATTGTAGGTAAGGGGAGAAACATCTCTTTATAAAAGTATTGCCACTGATAAATGAAAAGGAAATAATAGAATTGGAATGTCACCATTTTGCTGCCCCCAGTGAAATAATGGATCTAAGCATTTGCTGCATCAATCTACTAATTTCACAAAAACAGAGACAACCAGACATGATGAGGCTTCTGTTGAAAGAACACACTACCAAAGAATATGAGTCTGACTAAGCCTCTGGACTCAGCTGCCGATTTGCAAGAAATACAGTCAGTTCTGTTGTATTGCGACATATGTGTTCCTAAAAAATCTCCACACTTTGGCCAGACATGGTGGCTCATGCCTGTAATCCCAGCACTGTGGGAGACTGAAGTGGGAGGATTGCTTGAGCCCAGGAGTTCAAAACCAGCCAGGGTAACATAACGAGATCCCATCTCTTAAAAAAAAAAAAAAAATTAGCTGGGCGTGGTGGCATGCACCTGTGGTCCTAGCTACTTGGGAGGTTGAGGTAGGAGGATCTCGAGCTGGGGAGGTCCAAGGCTGCAGTGAGCCATGATCATCATGATCATGGAGCCATGATGGACTCCATCCTGGGTGACAGACTGAGACCCTGCCTCAAAAAACAAAACACAAACCAAAAAAATCTACACTTTGCAGCATTGTACAACAAAAACCACTGAGTTTATTGTGAAAATGAGGTTTAAGAAAAACTTTCTTGATGGCATTAAAAAACAGGATAGTAGCCCAAAAAACCCAGCAATACAGTTTTACATATGTTAAATGGTCACGAAACATACATACCTTGCAAAAGACCTGAAGTTCATGAAGGTGGGTATGGAAAGAGTTGCAGCTTTTGAGCAATTTTGAAGTGGCGGAAGGAGGGTTTTCTGCAATCAGAACCCTAGGTGTGGGTGGGAGAGGCTCAGAACAGCTCCAGGGTAGCTGGTAGATATCTGAGGTGTGTGTGTTCCTATGTGGCTCCATGTAGCTGAATGCAGTTTTCATTTCCCTAGTGTTTCTCATGGTGGAAGAATGTAAGTGGGGGCGAAATCCATAATGTACAAGGCTTTCCCTAATATATCCATCAAGTTGAAGCAAATGTGCATTTTCAAAACAAGTATTATAGCAGAACTGACAGGACAGAGGACAGAGCAACATGCTGGACTGTACCATGTGTGCAATCAACAGACTCCAGACTGGGAGAAATTCTCGAGGTTAAACAGCTCAGGTTCATTAGTAATAGATAAATGTAAGGAAAAGAAAGGGATGGAGGTAAGAACCTGCAGATTAAAAGAAGCTTAAAAGCATAACCAATTTTTTTTAAATGGGAAAGACTAAACTATAGTGCTTAGGAATGCATATTTGGATGTTAAAACTATAAGGAAACATTAAGTGCATGGTTATATAAAAGTCGGGGGAATGATTCCTTTTGGGTGAGAGAGGGGCTTGACAAGGAACTTTGGGCAGAAGCCAGCAAAGTTTCTTTTCTTGGCCTGAGTGGTAGTTAAAAGGGTATATGCCTTATGATAACTTTATACATTAGTTTTCTGTGGCTTTTTGTGTCTATATTTGAATAAAATGAAAAGGTTATGAAAAGATATCTTTTTTTTTTTCCTTTTTTGAGACGGAGTCTCTCTGTCACCCATGCTGGAGTGCAATGGCGTGATCTCGGCTCACTGCAACCTCCACCTCCCAGGTTCAAGTGATTCTCCTGCCTCAGCCTCCTGAGCAGCTGGGATTACAGGTGCGTGTCACCATGCTCAGCTAATTTTTTTGTATTTTTAGTAGAGACGGGGTTTCACTGTGGTGGTCAGGCTGGTCTCAAACTCCTGACCCCGTGATCTGCCCACCTCGGCCTCCCAAAGTTACAGACGAGAGCCACTGCACCCGGCCGAAAAGATATCTTTATTGAATCGATGGCCAAAGTGAAAGGGAAAAAGTAATAGCTACTTTCCTTCTGAATTCCTGCAGACAGCTCTATCAAATGAAAACATGCAAGTGACACCATTCCTTTAGTCATTCATAAAATACTAAACTCCAAAGTAGGTGCTCACATGGTGCTAGGGCCTGTGGCAACAAAGATGGTATAACCGAGTTTCTACTCGGAAGGCTTGTAGTAGTTTTGTGCAGACAGATGTTAAAACAGATCAACTACAGGTGCTGTGCCAGTTGCTGTTAGAGAGGAGGGAACTGAGTGCTGTGGGAAAAGAAAGAATAGCTGCCTGGAGAGTTGGGTGCGGCAGCACAGAGAAGCTTTGAGTTGGGTCTGCAGCAACACGTTGCAGATGGAGAAAGGACTCTCCTGGCCCCAATCCCTGATGAGAATCCACTGTACCTCTCCACCCCACAGCCATTATCAGAGCACCCAAATGCTTTGTGCTCGGAGGCACAGCCTCAGATGGAACGTGGGCCTCCTGTCCAGTAGGAGACTGATCTGTTCACTCATCTCCTTGCCTGACCTCCTAGACACCCCTGAGTCTCTGCTGATTATCCCTCACCCCATCCTTAGACTGTTGTAGTATCTGCTCTCCAGATAGAATCTTTGCTGTCCTCACTGTGCCCATGGAGTCCCAGTGCATTCAGTGAAGTTTTTATTATTCGGTTGGTCTGGTAGGACAAAATTAGAAAAAATCCAGGAAGCAATCAAGTGGGAAGAAGAGATGTTCCAGAAGGAAAGATGAGTAACTGTGAAAGCGAGAGCACAGCTAGTCCTCAGAACAGCTAAGGCATGGGTCTTTCTCCCTCATCCCTTCACCTGCCTGGGAATGTGAATGCAGCAGCCAGCCAGTCCTTCCTCCACATTTCTCTCATGGGTTCCTACTTCCATGAGATGCAGAATTAAAACTGGGGCTGTGAAAAACTGCAACCACAAAACTCACTTTTGTTAAGCTTAACACAAAAATAATGCAATAAGTAATGTATCATTTAATTAGATTATCATTTTATAAACGAATTAATTTTTTTTTAACCTAGGGAAAGTCTGTTTTGCTTTGTTTTGAATCACAACTTTTAAAGTCCTAAATAAATAGGCTCTTTCTACTTAGGCAAGTTTCAGCTATTGGTTTCTGTGTAGGTTGTTCCCACACATACTTTATCCCTGGCAGAAGCACTCAGGAGAAAATAGGCTTGAATCAAACCTATTTACTGACCAGTGGCCTCACTCCTCACCAAACAAAGAGGACAGAAATTCCTCTATGGGGGCTTTCACTCTGTTTAAACCTAAAGAGGCTCAGCCCCCTTCAGCAGTGCTGTTTACTGCCAAAGGGTGCATTTTGATATCATGGAAGTATAAAGCAACTTAATGTTTTAAGTGTTAAATGAAATGTACCAAAAATTTACTATTAGAAAAAAAATCAGGGAAATTTATGTTGGTAAATAATTTTTTTAAAAAAAATTAGAGCTAGCCAGGTGTGGTAGCACACACCTGTAGTCCCAGCTACTCAGGAGGTTGAGGCAGGAGGCCTTGAGCCCAGGAGTTCAAGACTAGTCTGAACAACTAGCAAGATGCCTTCTCTAAAAAAATTTAATTTAATTTAAATTTAAATTATAGCTCTTTAATTTTAGAGCTTTATGGAAGCTTGAAAAGAAGTGTAAAGAGGCAGAAGGAAAGCAGAGGGGTTGGAAAGATCGAGAAATACCGAGGTGAGCAGACGATTAAAGAGTGAGTCAGAGAGACACGGCAGAACAAAATAACACGTAAATTACCCTTGTCTTGTAATACTTTATGTCTGCAAAGCTAGTTAGAGTTAATATTTAAAACGGTTCTTTCTTACACATCATTTTATTTGATGCATACAAGATCATGCCAAGTAGGCCAGTTACGGCATGACCACTGAGCGATTTCCGTAGGCCCTGGCATTACTGCCTGGCTGGAAGCAGCATAGCCTCGGGTTCTTAAGATTCACATACACATTCTGGACTTAGAGAATCCACACACAGTCGTTTAGTTTTCACACTTTTTTTCAGGTCCATACATTTTTAAGTTTCTAAGTCAGGGACTACCTGCACCTTTTAAAAATATAATTTATTCTGTCCCTTTATAGCAATGGTTCTCAAATTGTCTCTAAGGATTTCCATGCTGTCCTAAATAAATGTGTTCAGGAGATGAGAGGGCTCTAGGCACTTTTTTTTTTTCTTGAGACCGAGTCTTTCTCTGTCATCCAGGCTGGAGTGCATTGGCGCAATCTCAGTTCACTGCAACCTCCGCCTCCTGGGTTCAAGCGATTCTTGTGCCTAAGCCTCCTAAGTGGCTGGGATTACAGGCATGCACCACCACACCCAGCTAATTTTTGTGTTTTTAGTGGAGACGGGGTTTTGCCATGTTGGCCAGACTGGTCTCGAACTCCTGGCCTCAAGCGACCCACCCACCTTGGCCTCCCAAAGTGCTGGGATTACAGGCATGAGGCACTGTGCCTGGCTGCTCTAGGCACTTTTTGCACTGTTTTATACATGGGTTTTCACATAGGTAGCAGTTTCTTTGATAGGTATTATGATTAACTGCTTTAAAATTATCCCACAATCACAGAATTTTTTATAAAAATGTTACAACTCATCAATTTTCTTTCCCAATTTTTAAAGAATTTAAGAAAAATAAATCAGAATATGTAAAAGCAATGACAAATACCATTCTGTTAAAACTCTCTGAATCTGGGCCGGGCGCGGTGGCTCACGCCTGTAATCCCAGCACTTTGGGAGGCCGAGGCGGGTAGATCACGAGGTCACGAGATAGAGACCATCCTAGCAAACACGGTGAAACCCTGTTTCCACTAAAAATACAAAAAATTAGCCGGGCGTGGTGGTGGGCGCTTGTAGTTCCAGCTACTAAGGGAGGCTGAGGCAGGAGAATGGCATGAACCCGAGGCGCAGCTTGCAGTGAACCAAGACCGCGCCACTGCACTCCAGCCTGGGCAACAGAGCGAGACTCCATCTCACAAAAAAAAAAAAGAAAAACTCTCTGAGTCTTTGCTGTGGGCAGATTTCCATTTCATGCAATTTTCTGTGAAATTATGAGTTTTTTTCTTTATTTCACTGAAATGAATAAGGAGCATCAGCGTAATTATATAGACTCATTTGTACAAACATGCCTCATCAGCATTTCATAAGGTTTCAGGGGTCTTTATTCAGTTTTCAACTTACCAGGCTGAAAGTAACTACCCAGATATGGCTTAATCACTT
This sequence comes from Homo sapiens, assembly GCF_000001405.40. Classification (NCBI taxonomy): domain Eukaryota; kingdom Metazoa; phylum Chordata; class Mammalia; order Primates; family Hominidae; genus Homo; species Homo sapiens. The sequence continues at coordinate 109,401,497 of NC_000006.12, read as the reverse complement.
AGTTTGCTTAGTTTTGAAACTTAATAACAGCAGTTGCAGTTTAATAAAATCTTATAGACAGTTAATATTCATATTTCTCAGTTATTCTCAGAAATTTATGAAGTTATTGAATGAAAAAATTCACTGAATTTCTCATCCATTATTTCCTTCTGTGTATTTGAACTTGGAGGCAAAGCTGGGAATGGTACGTCTTCAAATTGGTAGCCTAATAATCACCATACAACTCTTTTTACTTCTAAATCTTACACTAAAAAAGCTATTGCTTTCCACAAAATCTTGGTCAATCCAAATAAGGTTTCAGATTAAAATTTATTTGAAGATTGGCCAGGCACGGTGGCTTACGCCTGTAATCCCAGCAGTTTGGGAGGCCGAGGCAGGCGGATCATGAGGTCAGGAGATTGAGACCATCCTGGCCAACACAGTGAAACCCTGTCTCTACTAAAAATACAAAAAAAAAAAAAAAAAAAAAAATTAGCCGGGCATGGTGGCGGGCGCCTGTAGTCCCAGCTACTCGGGAGGCTGAGGCAGGAGAATGGCGTGAACCCGGGAGGCGGAGCTTGCAGTGAGCTGAGATCGCACCACTGCACTCCAGCCTGGGCGACAGAGCGAGACTCCCTCTCAAAAAACAAAAAAAAAATTTTATTTGAAGATCACTAAAAATAAACAATTAATTTCCTTTCATCATCAACATTTTTAAACTACATGGAATGGGAAAGTACATGGAATGGAAATCTGCCCAAACATTTAGGGCCACATTTATGCCAATTAATGTGCTGAGAAGCCTGGAGCTAAAGCCATGAGGAGACAAGGTTCCTGCCTTCACCTACTAGAGAAGAAATGCCATGTAAACCAATAATTACATCGAGTGTTATAAGGACTGTCCAAGAACGATGTGTAAGATGCTTGGGGGGTTCGGGGGAAAGGTCAGGTCCACAAAAGACTTCTCAGAGGAGGTGTTTTTAATGAGTATGGTGGTAGTTTGAAAGAAATACCAAAACAGCACGAGAAAGTTTGCTGACCTTTATTCTTGATTAGAATACTGTATATATTTCCTTGTACATTATTAATTTTCTTAGCACACTTGTTTATGGTAAAGACAAACTAAAGCTGAATGTTCCAATAGTTCTAATAAGGTTTTACAGGTTTTTTTAAACAGCCCATTTGCATGTTTGAAAATAATTTGAAATGAATAGAATATTTACAATTTGGAATCCATTGATAAATATGATTGAGAGTGTTACCAAGGGTTCTATTTGTTCCTTATATGTTACAATAAATTGAGATAATAGAAATGTGCTAATGACCTACTGATTATTGTCTTTCCTAGATGAAAACTTTTCAGTTCCTCATAATAAAAGAGGAGTACTTGGAATGGCCAACAAAGGCCGTCACAGCAACGGGTCACAATTCTATATCACACTGCAAGCAACTCCTTATCTAGATAGAAAATTTGTGGCTTTTGGGTATGTATATTGTAGATCTATTTATATAATATTCACACCTGTAAAAATGTCATTTAAAAATATTTGGATAAGTATTGTATATAGTGTATAGGTAGCTAAAAATAGGGCTTAAATGCAAAAATAATACAAATAGAGACAAAAGTATTTAAGAAATATTTTGCAAGAAGTTTGCTATCTATAAAAACACAGAAACTGGCCAGACACAGTGGCTCAGGCATATAATCCCAGCACTTTTGGAGGCTGAGGTGGGAGATTGCTTGAGCCCAGGAGTTCAAGACCAGCCTGGGCAACATAGCGAGACCCCATCTCTACAAAAAGATTAAAAATTATCTGGCTTGGCATGGTGGCTCATGCCTGTAATCTCAGCACTTTGGCAGGCCAAGGCAGGTGAATTACTTAAGGCCAGGAGTTCCAGAGCAGCCTGCCCAACATGGTAAAACCCCGTCTCTACTAAAAATACAAAAATTAGTCAGGCATGATGGCATGTGCCTGTAATTCCAGCCACTCCGGAGGCTGAGGCAGGAGAATCACATGAACCTGGGAGGTGGTTGCAGTGAGCCAAGATCATGCCACTGCACTCCAGCCGGGGTGACACAGCAAGACTCTGTCTCAAAAATAAATAAATAGGCCGGGTGCAGTGGCTCACACCTGTAATCCCAGCACTTTGGGAGGCTGAGGCAGGCAGATCACTCGAGGGCAGAAGTTCCAGACCAGCCTGGCCAACATGGCGAAACCCCATCTCCACTAAAAATACAAAAAATTAGCCAGGCGTGGTGGCATGCACCTGTAGTCCCGGCTACTCGGGAGGCTGAGGCAGGATAATTGCTTGAACCCAGGAGGCAGAGGTTGCAGTGAGCCGAGATCGTGCCACTGCACTCCATCCTGGGCGACAGAGCAAGACTCTGTCTTAAATAAATAAATAAATAAATAAATAAATAAAAATTAGCTGGGTGTGGTGGTGTGTGCCTGTAGTCCCAGCTACTGAAGAAGTTTCGGTGGGAGGATTGCTTGAGCCTGGGAGCCATGATTGTGCCACTGCACTCCAGCCTGGGCAACAGAATGAGACCCTACCTCAAAAAATATATAAGACAAAATAAAAAAATAAAAACAGAAACCATTTAGGCATAGTCACAATAATGTTCTTTCTGTGTCTCTATCTATCCATCTATCAAATCTTCAGCCTTAAGGATATTATCAATTCTTTATTACTATGAATCATACCACAGTGCTTAATAATATACTAATATGTAGAAGTGAAGAGGTGAAGTCATTTCAATAATTGTCCATGGACATCATGAAGAGGTAGATGAAAACTATTCAAGTTACATATAACTTTTTTTACTGAACGATTTTAAATATGAAAACATCACAGGTAATAGTTATTATTAGAATATTATTAGCAAGATGCTTAAAGCCATGTGGACCTAAAATGGATGATAGAAATACTTTTCATCACTCCAGTGTTTCATCTCTCTCTTTAATTACTGAGTGAATATGAGGCAGGGCTTACTTCTTCTTCCCTGAGATAATGTAAAGTGTTTGTATTTTTCTGAATAACTGTTAGATTTATTCCACCCACTCCATAGGGATAATTATTGACTCTCCAGCACCTGGAATGTCATGCCAGTGTTCATTTTAACCACAGTAATTCCTTTAGTGTAATGCTTTCTGTGATACTTCCAGGTTGAAAAAATAGAAAGTGTATTTTCATCCATAGGATATCTTTAAAGAGATAACATTACATTAATAGATGCATAACGTAAAACAATGACTTGTCTTAAGTTTTCCCTGGTCCCCAATAAATTGTATTCTGATTTCGAAAATGCATTATTAAATTAGTTTTAAGGCTGGACGCGGTGGCTCACGCCTGTAATCCCAGCACTTTGGGAGGCCAAGGCGGGTAGATCATGAGGTCAGGAGTTCAAGACCATCCTGGCCAACATGGTGAAACCCCATCTCTCCTAAAAATACAAAAATTAGCTGGGCATGGTGGCACACACCTGTAGTCCCAGCTACTCAGGAGGCTGAGGCAGGAGAATTGCTTGAACCCAGCAGGGGGAGGTTGCAGTGAGCCGAGATCGCACCACTGCACTCCAGTCTGACGACAGGGTGAGACACCATTTAAAAAAAAAAAAAAAAGTTTTAAATCCAAATAACATTTCTTGAATCATTTAAATCCAAATAACATTTCTTGGACCATTTAAATCTCTGTCATGTTGCTGACAGTCTCTGTCCTCTACCAACTTCCTGGTGATCTTTTATATCTCAGCTAAAGGTACCTTTCTCAAACACAAACATGACTACTTTAAAACATTTAGTGCCTCCATTACCACCTCCACATCTGCACAGCCTGAAGTCTAGAGTGGCATTCCAGGTCCTCTGGCCCCACATCCTTTGTTCAGCCTTCACTTCTGCTGTTTTCCCAACTCATTCAAGCAGAATTTCTTTAGGCACCTGCAGTATGCCATTCATGGTACTCAGTGCTGGGGAAAAAGAGCGACAAGGTACAATCCCTGCTCTTCAGCGAGCTTAGAGTATGTTATGAAAACAAGGTCAAATAGCCAATAGCTATGTGACAGTGAGACATGGGCCATGCAAACTGTGTACAGGGTGCATTGGGAGATGGGTAAGAAAACACCCTCCAACTCCCTTCACCAAAGCGAACACAGAGCGTTACAGGGCGGCAATGGAGTGGAGAGCACTCGGTCTCCTTTTGATGGTTCCTGTTCTCTATGATCCACCTTCCTCTTGGAGAAATCTCTAATTTTTGTTATCACCACTCTGTCCTCAGGGAGGCACTGCCCTCCTTCTATTCTGCTATTCTGCCTCAAGTATGATCTCAGTGTATTCCTTAAATCTCCAAATTAAAAACAAAGTCTCCAAATCACAGTTGGGGCTGGGCTGGAATATTTAAATAAGACCTTACAGAGTGCTAAGGGAGAAGCAGAAATGTAAAACATAATAGGCAACTAGATAATCTAGTTAAACTAATGAAATAGAACTCCTTCAGGGATACCTTCCTTCCCAGTTGTAGGGCTGCCTCTTCCCTATCATCTCTCAGTATCCCCAGGTGTGTCTGAGCTTTTGGAAGCCCAGACATGGTTAGCAAGGTCCAGAGAGATAAAGAATATTCCTCTCTGATCCAAGACAGGCACTCCTTCCAAGCCCAGTTTCCAGGTACATGAACCTGCCGCTCTCTCAGATGGATGACACTGGGAATGTCCTTCAGGAAAGACTGTAGCAATCCACAGAGCATGGCTGGCCCAGTGGGCTCATAGGGAAAGAATATCACAAAACAAGCCTGTAAGCTCTCCATTCACGTGCACCCATTGTAGAAGGGGTTTGGGGGAGGGGGAATTATTTCATTTTAAGAGACTTGTAAGGTGGGAGGGGGTCATGGAAAGTTTCATGAGAAGGTGAGCTGAGGAGTGAAATGTCACGTAGAAGTTAGCCAGATAGAGAAGCTAGAAATCACAATGAGTCAAATCAGTTTTAGGAAGAGTGAAGAGGTTTCGCAGAGAGGCCCTGAGGAGTAAGAGAGCATCTTATCTACAAGTCATCTGTTCTGGGCAGAGCTTGGTACTTAGGGGAGAATGGAAAGGGTGGAGGCCGGATAAGAGGGTCAGCAAGGGTCCAACTCCCAATGGACTGCGGGTGCCATGCTGCTGAGCAGGAACCTCACGCAAAGGTGATGGGGGCCATGGGAGAATTTTACATTGTGAGCGACATAACCAGCTTCTCATTTTGAAGAAAAAATCTCTTTAGCAGAAGTGAGGAATGAATTGGCAAAGAATGAAAAGGAAGTAGCAAGACCACTTAAGAAGCTATGGTTATAACAGGCCATAAATGAAGTCCTGCTCTAAAGCATCAGCAGTACAGATGAGCAGGTGATAAGTGGACAAACTCAAGACATTGAGAAGTTAGAGTAGAGAAGCACTTTGGGAGTCCGAGGTGGGCCGATCACGAGGTCAAGCGATCGAGACCATCCTGGCTAACACGGTGAAACCTCATCTCTACTAAAAAAAATACAAAAAATTAGCCGGGCGTGGTGGCAGGCGCCTGTAGTCCCAGCTACTTGGGAGACTGAGGCAGAATGGTGTCAACCCGGGAGGCGGAGCTTGCAGTGAGCGGAGATCGCACCACTGCACTACAGACTTGGTGACAGGGTGAGACTCCGTCTCAGGAAAAAAAAAAAAAAAAAAAGAGATCGAGACCATCCTGGCCAACATGGTAAAACCCCGTCTCTACTAAAAATACAAAAAGTTAGCCACGCATGGTGGCAGATGCCTGTAATCCCGGCTGCTCGGGAGGCTGAGGCAGGAGAATCGCTTGAACCTGGGAGGCAGAGGTTGCAGTGAGCCGAGATTGCGCCACTGTACTCCAGCCTGGCGACAGAGTAAGACTGTCTCAAAAAAAAAAAAAAAAAAGAAGTTAGAGTCGGGGGTGAGGGCCTGAGAGGAGTCCAGGCCAGCACTGTCCAGTAGAACTCTCTGTGACGATGGAAATGTCCTGTATTCTGCACGGCCCAGTATGACAGCCACTGGCCACATGTGGCCACTGGGCACTTGAAATGTGGCTAGTGTGACTAAGGAACTATATTTAATTCTAATTAAGGGTTTTTTTTTTTTGAGACAGGGTCTCACTCTGTCACCCAGGCTGGAGTGCAGTGGTGCGATCTCAGCTCACTGCAACCTCTGCCTCCCGGGTTTAAGCAATTCTCATGCCTCCGCCACCCAAGTAGCTGGGATTATAGGCATGCACCACCATGCCCAGCTAATTTTTGTATTTTTAGTAGAGATGGGTTTTCCCCATGTTGGCCAAGCTAGTCTTGAACTCCTGACCTCAAGTGATCCACCCGCCTCAGCCTCCTAAAGTGCTGGGATTACAGGTGTGAGCCACTGCAACTCCCAGCCTATAATTAAGTTTAAATAGCGATATGTAGCTAGTGGCATCCATATTGGGCAGTGCAGGTCTAGAGTAACTCCTAGGATTTGGGAACTGGTTGGAGGGGTGGTACCATTCACCAAGATAGAGAATATAAGGAGGAGGATTTGGGAGAGAAAATCATGAGTTCAAGTTGGACAAGTTTCATATTAGGATACCTATAGGATAGCCAGTTGGTGGCATCCCAGGAGGTGGATATTCAAGCTGAGTCAGAGCTGGAAATGTAATTTGGAAACAATTTGTAGACTGGCAGCCAAGCTGCAACCAAACCATAGTACCATCACTCCAAGAACAGTCCCTGTGCCTTTGCTTATCTTGTCTTGTTGGAGAACAGGCTTCATACTCTCTTTGGACAGAAATGAATCTATTTATCCTCTGCCCTTCATCCTCAGAATGTTGTCCTGTGTCATGGTTTTTTATTGGGATGGCAAAAATAGAGCCCAAAGGCAAAGAGAGGGCTAGAGTACACTTGGTGTCGGCACTGACCATGCTCCTATAAAGGCTCATGAGATGGAAGTTGCACCCTTCCCCTCAGCCACTGTCCAAGCCCAAGCACTGACAGAGGGCACCAGTCCTATGTCTTGGCCTGTCTCTCTGCCCTTTTTTAATTGAAAGAACCATCAGAAGTCTAGCTCCACTCCCCAGGAAGTTCTAGCTCATGGCCAGCAATTGTCTACAGAGATGTAAACTAGCATGGCTTTTTTTTTTTTTTTTTTTTTTGAGATAAGTCTCGCTCTATGGCCCAGGCTGAGTGCAGTGGTGCAAACTCAGCTCACTGCAACCTCCACCTCCTGGGTTGAAGCAATTCTCCTGCCTCAGCCTCCTGAGCAGCTGGGATTACAGGTGTGCACCACCAAGCCCAGTTAATTTTTGGTATTTTATTAGAGACAGGGTTTCACCAGGTTGTCCCCAGGCTAGTCTCAAACTGCTGTGCTCAGGCAATCCAGCTGCCTTGGCCTCCCAAAGTGCTGGGATTACAGGCATGAGTCACCACATCCAGTCGAAACTAGCATGGCTTTGAGCTGTCTTTTATTCATCACTCAGTGGATGTTGTCAGGTGCCTGGTAGTGCCAGGCATTATGCTAGGCACTGAGCCTGAGCACAAGCATGATCCCTACCATCATGGGAGAATTAGAAATCAATCAAAGAAGCATACAAATAAATGTAAGGTTTCAACCCTGGGAACTTCTCTAAAGGAGCGACAGAGAACTTAATATAAGCAAGGTGGCCTGGGAAACTTCCCCCAAGGAGGTGATGACTGGGCTGAGGTCTGAAGGAAGACCAGGAGGTGACCATGCCAAAGGGTAGGGGTGGGGGAGTAATGCAGGAGCTGTGGAAGAAGGGAGTGTGGAGCTCTTGAGGTACTGAAAGCCAGTCTGGCTGTAGCAGAGAGCAACAGGAAGCATGTGGCCCGACCTCCCCGAGAGGCCGTGGGAGATAGACTGTGCAGGCCCTGGTAGGCAATGGCAGGGACTTATAGTCTTCATCCTAAGGATAATGGGAAATTACTGTCGTGTTTTGAGCAAGGAAATGAAAGCAGATTGCTATTTCTAAAAGACCATGCTGGCCAGGTGTGGTGGCGCACACTTATAATCCCAGCACTTTGGGAGGCCAAAATGGGAGGACTGCTTGAGGCCAGGAGTTCAAGACCAGCCTGGGCAACATAGCAAGATCCTATCTGTACAAAAATAAATAAACAAAAATATTGGCCAGGCCTAGTGGCACACACCTGGTAAGCACTGGCTACTCAGGAGGCTGAGGCAGGAGGATCACTTAAGCCAGGAGGTCAAGGCTGTAGTGAGCTAAGATCATGCCACAGCACTCCAGCCTGGGCAACAGAGTGAGACCCTGTCTCAAAAAAAAAAAAAATCACCCTGACTGCAGGGAGAAAAACAGAGGGGAGGGTGCCAAGCAGATGGAGGAAGCCAGCTTAGAGCTGCGGCAGGAGGCCAGCTGCCTGGATGATGGCCCTGGATACTGCAGGTGTGGTAAAGTGCACACATCCAGAGAGGTTTAGGATACTTAGAGCTGATGTTCATTCAATTTGTAGGAAATAGTCTTAGCTATAGCTGGGTAGGACCCCATTTCGGAATGTTAAGCTAAATATGAAAACTTATGACTGACTAAATTTTCCATTTTTTTCTCCTATGTAGGCAACTGATTGAAGGAACAGAAGTGCTTAAACAACTAGAATTAGTTCCAACACAGAATGAAAGACCAATACATATGTGTAGAATTACTGACAGTGGAGATCCTTATGCTTGATTTTCATATCAATATTTTCTGTGATAATTTATTACTTTGTATCTGATCAGCTGTTTGTGGATTTAATTAAAAAGTACTTGATAAATTGTAATTTGAAAGCCGTGGCAGACACTGTAGGTTGCCTCATCTACACCCAATCCCTCCCCATCTTCCTTTCCTGTCTCTGTCATAGAGACTGTGAAAGGGTGGTACTCAATTTCCTAGACTCCTTTGCAGCCACGGGTGGCCATGAGAGATGGTTCTGGCCAGTGGGACAGGAATAGAACGCCAGTGGTCCTGCCCCTTCCCCTTCATCCAGTCTGGAATGTGGAGAGGCTGGAGCTACAGCTGTCATCTTGTGGCCATAAAGAAAAGGCTGAGGCCAGGTGTGGTAGCTCACGCCTGTAATCCCAGCACTTGGGAGGCCGAGGCAGGTGGATCACAAGATCAAGAGATTGAGACCATCCTGGCCAACATGGTGAAACCCTGTCTCTACTAAAACTACAGAAATTAGCTGGGCATGGTGGCATGCACTTGTAGTCCCAGCTACTTGGGAAGCTGAGGCAGAAGAATCTCTTGAACCCGGGAGGCGGAGGTTGCAGTGAGCCGAGATGCCGCCACTGCACTCCAGCCTGGCGACAGAGAGAGACTGTCTCAAAAAAAAAGAAAGGCCAAGTACTGCAGAGATGTCAGCCCCAGTCTCTTGAGCTGCGGGACCAATACCAGCAACCACCTACTCTGGACTTCTTATTATAGGAGACTAACAGAGCCCTGTGTTGTGTTGTTTATGTTACTGTTGGTTGAGAATTTTGTTACTTGTGGACAAAAAATTCTTAATTTAGCAACACACCTGATAGCCTAAGACATTTGTAATAGAATTATGTTCTTGTTTGTAACTACATGTACTCCTAGGAGAAACTTGGTAAGTAACCAAATAGGAATGATGCAGAAGAAAAAGCAATTCATTGTAATATTTCATTGTTTATACCAGCATTCAGAAAGAGTATCTACACTTTGGATGTTTTCATATATGACATGAACATCATCCTTATCTCTCTGAGCCATACCAACCCTATGAAAACCAAGGGCTTGTTTTACAGTGTCCGTGGTGGCTGACTCATGTGATGTTATTGGAGATTCAGCTTTATCACTACTCTGTAATCTAAAGTTCTCAAGCTCATATCACCTGGGGAGCTTTTAAAATGTAACCTAACAGACCTTGTCCTTGACCTACTGAGGCAGAGTTCCCAGGCGTGGGGCAGAGATTCTGTGTTCATTTGGTTCTTTCCCCAGGGTTCCCAGGCGTGGGGCACAGATTCTGTGTTCATTTAGCTCTTTCCCCAGGGTTCCCATTTAGACAGCTGGGCACTAGTCATCTGGGAATCACTGCAAGACATAAGGAACTGGTTCCAGTCCCCATGGTGTAATGTAGTCAGCAGAGTGCTTGACTCTGCTATTGGTGACCTTGCTCAGCTCCTGTTACCACCACTACCCTGTGCCCCTGCTCTGCCCAGACTAAGAGTGCTTTTCTTTTTTTTTTTTTTTTTTTTTTTTTTTTTGAGACGGAATCTCACTCTGTCGCCCAGGCTGGAGTGCAGTGGCACAATCTCGGCTCACTGCAAGCTCTGCCTCCCTGATTCATGCCATTCTCCTGCCTCAGCCTCCCGAGTAGCTGGGACTACAGGCGCCTGCCACCACGCCTGGCTAATTTTTTGTATTTTTAGTAGAGATGGGATTTCACCATGTTAGCCAGGATGGTCCCGATCTTGTGACCTCGTGATCCGCCCGCCTCGGCCTCCCAAAGTGCTGAGATTACAAAGGCGTGAGCCACCGCACCCGGCTGAGAGTGCTTTTCTTACCCTAAGCAGAATGAGGTTTGTCTTCCAAGAACAATCTCTATTTACATCAGTCTTAAAGAGGCAGGCTTCTAATGGATATGAGGCTTGCCAAAAGTAGGCGTAGGCTTTTTTAACTTTTTATTTTGAAATATAGATTCACAGGAAGTTGCAAAAATAGTACAGAGCAGTCCTGTGTACCTTTCACCCATTTTCCCCAGTGGCTACGCTTACAAAACGGTAGTACAATATCAAACCAGGCAGCTGACATTGGTACAATGTGTGTGATGCCATTTTATCATGAGTATATTCATGTAACCAACACTATAGAGAAAATATAGAACCTTTCCAGCACCTCAAAGACCCCCTTCCAGTACCCCTTTACAGTCAACCCACTCCCCTGCCCTCTGCCATCCCTAACTCCTGACAACTGGCATTTGCTTTTCCTTTTAATGACAGCTTTATTGCTATATGACATATGCTTTATGCTAAGACCTGAGGTGGATGGGAGGAAGCAGACCGCCTATGTTACATTCTCAACTGACCCAGAGCAACATAGTGTTAAGAATGTGTGTTCTAGGGCCAGAATCCTGGCTCTGCCATTCCCTAGCTGCACAAACTCAGGCAAGAACTTTTCTGTGCCTCAATTCCTTCATCTGAGAAACAGTGGTACCTACCACATAAGATTGCTGTGAGGGTTCCATGAATCAATAATTTCTATAAAGAACCTATAAGAGACCTGGTCTGCTGTAAGCACTCGATAAATTTAATAATAAATTACTAATGTGTAACCTTCAGGGTGTAGCCTCAGAGCTTGGACTTTTTGAAAGCTCTCCAATGACTTTGATAGCCAGATTTGGGAATCCCTGAGGAGAGTCTCCCTCTTCCTGTACTCACAGACTTCTGGGCAGTCTGAGAACTCGGGTGATTTGTCTAGAGCTTCCAGACCCTCTCGCTGGGCCTTTGCCCAGGTTCCTCAGGTCACACTGGGGACATCTCAGACAAAAGGGAGCTGGGCTTGCCACCAGGATTCAAAACAATTGGTGAATGAAAACTGATTCTTTGCAAGGAGCCCGGTTAAAACACATGACAAGCGTTACTCATGTAATAACAAACAGCAGGGCAGTTCTTACTGGTGATGAACCTATATATTAATGGCATTAGGCATTTTATCTGATGTTGTGAAAGAACTGGGATATTTGTGTGGGTGTAAGAAACTGATTCCAGCTCCCTTTGTCAGCAGCAATAGAAAGGTAGAACTCTGCCAGTCTTCTCAAGGATGGCGAGTTCATGGTCCCTTTGTTCACTCTAACTTTCCACTTCTGGGCTGTGGAAACCTCAACCACAGATCCATGCAGTGGTTCTTATCACCAGCACTTAAAAGTATACACACTGATACTTCTGTGCTAGAATGATTTGTATGTTTAACCTCATAGTTGAAGAAACTGATTGTTAGAAGGACTCAAAAGTTTACTCCAATGAACTCCACATGTAAGACTTTGATTTAACCAAACTGAAATACACTAATTAAACAGAAGGGATTCTAGATTTTTCCACATCTACAAATAGGACAATAAAGGCCTTCTGATGATTTACACAAAATGCTAAGTTATATGTCTAAACTTGCCCTAATTGCTGATATGGCAAAGTCAAGTACATACGCTTTATCTTATACTAGGCCGTGTGAATAAGGGAGGGCATATCTAAACATTTTTCTTATATGGGGAGATTTGAGGTAAATATTTAAAATTCTATCCAAGGAATTTGTTTGCCCCTACTGCAAACAGTGCCAGTTATTTGTTAAGGAATGGATAATCTGGCAACCTCAGGATTCCAGACCCTGAGTTTTTATACATATTTTAAATGAAGCATTATTTGTTTGAGAACCACCTGTCCAGCAATGTGATGGTCAAATCACTTAACCTTTCACTGTCCCCATTTGTAAAAATAACAGAAGTTGAGTTGCTAGCTTTCTTCTGGCTCTAAAACTTCAGTGATTATTCTGAGGAAACGCATAAAATCAACAATTTTAAGTGAAATGGGGGTACATCTGTCTCAGTGTTCTGAGGATTGACACAGCAGGTGAATCTATTCACAGCAGGTGAATTATGAGAAGCACAGCACAGTGCTTCTAATAATGCTTGGCACACAGCAGATATTCCTTAAGAATTAGTTTCCCTTCAGAAATGTCTCCCCACGGAAACCAGTCAAGCTACCACTGACAGAATATCATCATCCTAATTTCAAGAAATATCAAGCTCTTTTTATACTGAGTATTAGCAGTTCTCACATCAGATTAACTTTCAATCAACTGAACTAGTTCAAAGGTATATCTTTAAAATTAAAATTGGTCTCTACCACACCTAGCAATATTCTCCCTTATGGAGACTCATTTTTTAAACTATATTGATCTTACCATCCCCTACACTTCCCAAAGTGGAATCACCACCACTTAAATCTGGCAAGTCTTAAGACTTTTGTATATCATACGAAATATTGGTGACTAACTCAGTAGTAATGTATACAACATGAATTACAAGTTGCATATTTGATAGAGGGCTTTGTAAGGTGATAAATCACAGGTTCTTTTACTTTAGCATGCATCAGAGTGCCTGGGCCTGTCAAACAGATTGCTGGACCTCAGAGTTTCTGATTCAGTGGCACTGGGTTGGGCTGGAGAATTTGAACAAGTTCAAGGTGATGCTGCTGCTGCTGCTGTTCTGGAGACAACACTTTAAGAACAGATGGGATATATTAGATCTCTCATAGATCTGTGGCACACAGGTATGTAGAAGAGAAAAGTCATAACAGTAAAGTGTAACCTACAACAGAAAAGGAAGAATGAAGGAAACTGACAAGAAACCTTGATTTCATCAAGGCAGCAGAGGAGGTACACATACGTTGACCAATTAGACAGTGACCAGAATTCTGTTGCAAGGTCCTGAGGTTCTTAGCAGGGCCAGATGTGAGACCTCCAGGTGCTGGACAGTGGCAACGTGGTAGTCAGATCCTTAGGAAGGGACTTGGACACTTGGGCCGCTCAGGACACGCACTTTGCCAGTCAGTACAGAATTACTAGAATATTTTAATAACCAGAGTGGCCATGAGGTGTCTTCTGGCTGAAAATCAGCTCTCCAAGACAGGATCGGGAGAAGCACAGTGAATACCTAGGGACAAGGGGAAGCCATAGCTAATCCAAGATATCAGCAAGCCGCCTGAGGTGTAGTTTAGCTTGAACTTGGAGGTTATTCCTAAGGAACAAGTCAGGAAAAGGTTTCATTTCCTGAAGGACCAAGAGACGTAATGCAAAGAGCTCTAGCAGACCCAGGGTTTGAAGCAGAATACAAATAAAAATCATGCATCTCGGGTGCCAGCCTTAAGGGAACCTGGGCTGGGCTCCCTGACTCCTGCACATCCAGGAGGTTTGTGCTGTTTGTATGCTAACCTTACATATGTTTGTAAAGAAAGAAGCAAAAACAGTATATCTTGATGTAATTTTGTAAATGAATCACTGTTAAGAATTGCAGGCCTGGCATGGTGGCTCATGCTTGTAATCCCAGCACTTTGGGAGGCCAAGGGGGGAAGATTGCTTGAGCTCAGGAGTTCTAGACCAGCCTGAGCAACATGGTGAAACTCCGTCTCAAGCAAAAATACAAAAAATTAGCCAGGTGTGGTGGCGCACCCGGCTATTCAGGAAACTGAGGTGGGAGGATCACTTGAGCCTGGGGAGGCGGAGGTTGCAGTGAGCCGAGATTGCGCCAGTTTGACTGAAATAAGCCAGTTTATTTATTCATTTTTTTCTCAAAAAAGAAAAAAAATTGCAGCAGTTCAGGATAGAATAGTTCTGTGCAAGTCATAGTGTAAAGCAGTGTTCTCCAACTTTTTTTTTTTTTTTTTTTTTTTTTTTTTTTTATGAGATGGAGTCTCACTCTGTCGCCCAGGCTGGAGTGCAATGGCACGATCTTGGCTCACTGCAACCCCCACCTCCTGGGTTCAAGCAATTCTCCTGCCTCAGCCTCCCAAGTAGCTGGGATTACAGGCACCCGCCACCACACCTGGCTAATTTTTGTATTTTTGGCAGAGATGGGGTTTCGCCATGTTGGCCAGGCTGGTCTCGAACTCCTGACCTCAGGTGATCTGCCGCCTCAGCCTCCCAAAGTGCTGGAATTACAGGCGTGAGCCACTGCATCCGGCTGTTCTCCAACTTTAATACTTTACACATGTACATATCTTCTGGGAATCTTGTTAAAATGTAGGTTCTGATTCAGGAGATCTGAGGGGGAGGCCTGAGGTTCTGCATTTCTAGGTGATATAAATGATAATGGTTTGAGAACCACACTCTGGAAAGCAAGAGTAAAGCACTGGTTTTCCACCTAAGCTGCAGATTAGAAACACCTGGGAAGCTTTTAAAACTGCTGATGCTCAGACATTACTCCAGACCAATTAAATCAGTACCCAGGCACTAGTATCAATATTTTTCAACACACACCACCACCACTGATGTCACTAGGTAGTTCCAATGTGCAGCCAGGGTTAAGAACAACTGCTCTAAAGTGTAATGCTCCCCTCTGGCGCCCTGGCACACTTTTCAAAGAAACATCCACAGTCAAAGTGGAGAGCCTCCTAATGACAATATCTCCAGAATTTTACCCTTAATCTTAATCACAATATTAAGACTCTGAATATACAGTTTTAGCTAATATTTGATTTATTCCAATCCTTCTCTTTGTCAAAACAGATTCAAATACTACTAAATGAGCTTTAATATATGCTGTTAAAACTGTCTTACAGATGCCAGCCCTTGTTTCCCACCCATACTCCTCTAGATGAATCTACCCTGACCCACAGCTGAAGAGTTCAGGGAGTTATTTGTAGCAGCTGCCCTCCTACGCTTTTATTTTATTTATTTTATTTATTTATTTTTTTTTTTTTTGAGGCAGAGTCTCACTCTGTTGCCCAGGCTGGAGGGCAGTGATGCAATCTCGGCTCACTGCAACCTCTGCCTCCTGGGTTCAATAGATTCTTCTGCCTCAACCTCCCAAGTAGCTGTGATTACAGGTGCTTGCCACTACGCCGGGCTCCTCCTGTGCTTTTTAATGCAGCTAATTTTTGGCAAGGGTGGACAACTGACTGAAATAAGCCAGTTTGTTCATTTATTCATTTTTTTTTAATTAAGTGCAGGGAATAAACTGGTGAGCACTATTTCTGAGTTAATCTAGTGAGAAAGACAACTGCTATATAATGCAGTATATGCTTTGTTATGGGCAAGTCCAGGGTGCACAGAGCAGGAACACCTTTTGTAGTCTGGGAGTGGGGAGAAAGGGGTAGTTGAATATTTTAAGGATAGCTTAAGATGGGAGTGACAGCTTAGCTGAGAGACCTCAAACAAGTAGGAGTTGGTCAGATGCCAGAAGGGAATAAGAATGTTCTAGGCAGAAGAAATAGCATGGATGAAGATCCACATGCAAAAGAAAACATGACCAGTTAGGAGAACTGGAAGTTCAGGGAGCTCTAGTGTAGACTGCATGGATGGAGTCAGAGCAGAGAGTAGGTAACAGACAGGTTGGGAAGGCATGGTACTCAGTCAAGTTATCTCTTCCAAGAGCTATATAACTGGAATACTGGGCAATGGAGATGATTGGCTGTGGGTCTATAGATCTGGCAATGTCCTGTAGGGTTGAAGCCTGAAACGAAGTCCTAGCAAACCAGCTCCACGTGCTAGGGATTCCTCCTTTTAAGTTCAAGTCTCCCTTGGCCCTCACACACTTGATTTCCCACCCCTGAATGCCTATAAGATTTACTGTCATATTCTTACAGTGAATGGATTCCCTTTAACATAAGCTAGTACAAGGGGGTTTGTACTTCTTGCTATCAAGTAGTGGAGGCAAACCTCTGATTATTAAGGGGCCACTGGATGTTAGTTATAGCTAGAAGGCAGGGTCCTGTTTGGAGTGTTGATCTGTTTATTTGGGGAAAGGTACTGACACAAGGCTGAAGCATTGTTTAAAAATCTGCTGTTTAAAAAACTTAGAGGGAGCTTATACTGCTAGAAGATTCACAAGCGCAGAAGCACTCTGTCTTGCTGCTTTCAAGAAAATAAATGGTTAAGAAGGTCGCTCTAACAACCAATCGACAATCTAATTGCAAGCAATGTGTCTAAGAGGAAATAACCTGAGTGATGGCTGACCTTGCACACAGAAGAACGCTCTGAGGGTGCCTTTCAATTGTGATTTTACCCCCAGGAGACATTTAACAATATCGGGAGATATTTTTGGTTGTCACAACTGAGAGGTGGGGTGCTTCTGGTATCTAGTGTGTAGAGGCTACGAATACTGCCGAATATCCAACAATGCACAGGACAAGCAAGAATGAGTCAGCCTGAAATCTTGATAGCGCCAAGATTGAGAAACCCTGCTCTATGACAACAATAAACAGAAGCTTACTGTCAGGAACTGAAAAAAAAAAAGCTGTCTCTCTGAAATGGTGAAAATGACTTTGGAACTCCCTTGATCTACCTCTACAGTTGCCATGCAAAATAAAATAAACCAATGGTTTTCTAGTCTTAAAACAAGAGCGTGAAATGTCCCTTTATCAGGACTGAGGAATATCTGAGGACTAGAGTTAAACATCCAGGTGACAAATTGTTAAACAATGGTCTGCACAGAGGAGTGTGTTTATCCTAGGGTGGAAAGAAGATAACACACCAAGCTCTGAGAACAGAGCTTCTATTTACATTTTTTTTTTTTTTTTTTTTTTTGAGACGAGTCTGGCTCTGTTCCCCAAGCTGGAGTGCAGTGGTGTGATCTCGGCTCACTGCAACCTCCGCCTCCCGGATACAAGCGATCCTCCTGCCTCAGCCCTGCTAGTAGCTGGGATTACAGGCACGTGCCACCATGCCCGGCTAATTTTTGTATTTTTAGGAGAGACGGGGTTTACACCATGTTGGCCAAGCTGGTCTCAAACTCCGGACCTCAGGTGATCCACCCGCCTTGGCCTCCCAAAGTGCTGGCATTACAGGCGTGAGCCACCGCGTCCGGCCCCTATTTACATTCTTAACCTTAAAAAAAAATTAAAGTTGCCTTGCGCTTTCATTTGGTCTGGGTGCCAGATAGTCAAGTGTTAAATATAGAGAGAGGCCTCCTGAGAGAAGAGCAGACACTTCTCTGAAGGGCTTATGGTGGGAGCTCACTTCCCTGACAGCATTCTCATGCTTCTGGGCTGGATCAGTCAAAACTATCAGCTTTTTGTTTACATCCAAGCAACACTACTCCAACTAGCGTAGTCATTGGAACAAATGTTCATAGTCCTGAGGGTACAGAAGGACGACACTGAAAAGATCCCAAGGGGAAATAAAATCTTTCTATTTGAGCAAAAAGGTAAAAGCACTATGTAGTCATCTTTTTTGGCACATCAAAAAAGTCATCGTGGCACATCAAGACAGACCTCACGAAAGCAATTAATATTCCTATATTATTAGGATAACTTTGCATAATTAAAATTACATAAGTGTACAACAGCTGAAAACACAGCATTAAATACAACTTTTAAAGTCTAATTTTTACCATGTGATAACCGTATCAAATTTTGCGAATATTTTGTGAGACTTGGCAGTAGATGGCGCTCACCTTTACTAAAAGTCTGAGCAGCGCCTTAACACTAACAGGAACTTAAGAATCCAGCTCTGATGTCAGGCAATCCCGTGTCCAGGTCAGGTCACTTTTTTAAGTCTCAGTTTCCTCACTGGTAATGTGGGGGTGGGGGCCTCCCCAATGACCTCGCAACTCAGACCGCTTTTGATTCTCTGACTACAGTGGTGGAGTTGAGACAGGTCGGCTGCTGCAACCGCCGTCTGAAATAGCAATCCGGAAAAGTCAGGTTGGGAAAGTGACAGAGTAGACGCCCTGCGGCTCTGATCCGGGCGGCGCCTCAGCTGCCCACACTATGTGGGCGGCAACGCACAAACTCCTTAACCACGTGGTGCCTCCATTCCCCTAGGGAGTCCCATCACAGGATAACTTCTAGCAAAATCAATCTTCAAGAAAAAAAGAAGGGGTCCTGCCGAAGATATAAGGAAGCTCCCTGGGGATCCCGCAGCACAGCACAAACTTAGTTCTTGAGAGCCGCACAAAACCAACTTCCGCCCCAGTGGAGTTGCGTCCGGAAGGCGCGGCCCCGGAGGTCACGTGGGCCCGCGGAATTACAGCCTGGCGGGGCGCTCAGGTGGAAGCAGTAGGCCACATTATGTCGACTGTTCCATGCAAGTCAGGGTGGGGGCCGTCCCTATCGCAGGCATGAGACAAGTCCAGCTGCGTCGTGTCTGGTAATCTGAGGGCAAGAAGAACGATTTGCAGAAGCTCCCAGTTTTCTTGGCTGTGGCACAGTCGCTTTGAGGGCCAGGTTCCTTCGGCTTCCTCCCGACTCCCCTGCTTCCCCCCGTAGGATTCCCGTTGGTATCGTCCGAGCCCCACCTCCCTCCTCTTCGCCCCCGCACGCCGAAAACAGGGGCCTCTCACGTGACCCCTGCGCGCTCCCGCGGGGGAGCGTAGTCTCGGAGGCGGCGCCGCAGGGGATTGAGGGGTTGACTGAGCGTTGCGAGCCTTAGCTTTCTCCCGAACGCCAGCGCTGAGGACACGATGTCGCGGCTCTCCCGCTCACTGCTTTGGGCCGCCACCTGCCTGGGCGTGCTCTGCGTGCTGTCCGCGGACAAGAACACGACCCAGCACCCGAACGTGACGACTTTAGCGCCCATCTCCAACGTAACCTCGGCGCCGGTGACGTCCCTCCCGCTGGTCACCACTCCGGCACCAGGTGGGCGCGGGCCCTGTGGGCTTCCCGCCCTCCCCTGCCCAGCCGAGCCGCACTGCCTCCTCGCCGTGCGGGCGGGGCCCGGGTTCGGGCCACGGTCGGGCGGGCGGGCCGCGCTCGGGGTGCGGCGGCGACTCCGGCAACATGGCGGCCAGCCTGGAGTCCACTCGTGGCCGGGCCGGGTGGGGAGCGCGCTGGGGGGAAGCGGACGCGCGGTTCCCAGTGGCTGCGGGGCTGGGGCCCCCCTCGAAGTGTTGCAAGTCGAGGTGCCTTTTAAAAGTGCATCGTAATTCCTAGCCTCACTTGGGGTCGGAAATGGGGACGTGGCTTCCTTCCGCGGGGGCAGCGGTGGGGTTGAGGATGGGGCCGGGCGTCGCGCCTCTGAGGTTGGCGGTGGGGCCGAGCTGCCTCTCCCTGCCACTGGTTGTTCACCCTCCCGGCGCCTCTCTCCGGAGGTAGCCTTCTCCGGAAGTCCGGGAAAGAGAAACTTAAAGACGGTAATGCTCGTTCGTGTCTCAGACTTGAGTCTGAGAAGGTCGCTTGAGATTTAATTACATTGGTTTTGCAGATAGGAATAGAATGTAGCTGACGTTTGAGCACGTAGTTAGTGAAAACTTCACACTTCAAAGTATGCGAAAAGGAAGAAAAGTACCCATGTATGTACCGGGTGTTTTGCGTACGTATCCTAAGGCTAAACTGGAAGGTAGGTAGTGAAACCTAGGAGGTAGATGCAGAGACGGAGATGAGTAAACTCTCCTGACATTGTATGTTTATTCTTTTTTCAATTGTTTTTAAAATTTTCTTAACTATGTCCTGTGCTCAGATAGCGTATGTTTAGTAGGTCGTGGAACGGGGGTTTGTGCCCAGGTCTGTGGGTTTTCTAAAACCCGATCAGGAGCGTGTCTTTTGTTATGTGCAGTCGCATAGGGCTGGTTAAGGCATACATACATTTTAAAGCAGAAATTGCCATATACCGTGACAACACAAAAGAGAGAAGGAAGATAAGTTTGAGGTAATAAGCGGGAGAAACACTAGAGGTTTAAAACCTGCAGTCTCGTATGATTGGTTATTCTAGTTAACATTAGTTAAGGAGTAATGTTTACGTAGTTAACATTGGCTTCTTGACCGAAGAATGCCGAAGTGTAATGATTTTTATCACGGCATTCATATTCTACAAATTCTCCTCTAGTTTTAGTATTTTATAAAAGTTTAATAAAGTATATAGTAAACTTAATGTTTTGTTTTTAGTTTAAGGAAGATGTAATGGTAACATTTCAAAACGAGGGAAGTAAATTGCAGTATAATACTGGGAATTCTAACCGCACTATTTTAAGATGATAGAGCAGAATATGTTTGTCTCAGTCTTAATTTGACAGTTTCCTTTCAGAATTGTAGTGTGTGTGTAAGAGAAGGTTGGAAGTATCAAATTAATTTGTCTTTGTGTAATTGAAGTGCGTGCAAAGGAGGTATGTATTTTCTGGAAATCATAAGTGGATGTAGTGTGGTCTGAAAGGTAGCAAGTTTAGTTCATTGTAAAGAACATTTCAGACATTTCACTTTGCTACACCCGTCAAGCACAAAGGTTTTTAAACAGCATGTTTTATCTATACAAACTTCAGAAAATTTATTTTTACTTTATGAACCCTTCCCCACCCCACCGTACATGTCCCAGTCTTTAATAAGTACTAATGATGAAGTATTGAAAGCAGTGCCTCTGCAGAACTATTTTTTAGGCAGGAGCAAAGCAAACGAGAATGTTTGGAGGCATCTAGTTTCTAGGAAAATGAATGGAGCCCAATTCTTTTTTTTCTTTTATTTTGCTGCTTTTTCTCACTGGAAAATAGAGCCCAATTTTATAGTCCGTTCTTCTCCAGAAATTGAATTATGGTGATGAGTACTTGTTTCTGGATTGTTTGGCCTAGGATGAACTATTGACAAATACCTTGTTAACCTGAATTGTATGCACTTGAATATGGGCTTTTAGATGTTGTCTCCAGTTGTGGAGGATCCTGTCGAGAGTGGATCATTTATGAATCGAGAATCCCTGGGAAATTATCTTTGTTTGCAGCAGAATGGGCATCATCAGTGCTTGGGTTCAACCTGTTAAACTACTACTGTTACTACTAAAAATCTCAGGGTTTTATCTGATGTTTGGGGGTAGTGGTTTTCCTATGTGTAGTGTTGGTATTATATCAAAGCCTTTTTCTCGATATTTTTATGTATTAAGGATGCTTTGAAATGCCTAAATCCTTAGTGGCTGTGGGTGTCTTCCAATAGTTGTCCTGTGAAAAAGGATTGGTTAGACAGATACCATCAGGCACTGTACTGAGAGTGACCACTAGCTTGTTTTTCTAATGCGTTTACTTACAGCTTTGTAATGATTGGAATTTCTTAGTAAACCAGTATAAAGTTTTATCATTTATCTGAATTAGTAATTTTGATGCTGTATGTAATGCTTATTGTTCAAAAAGATAAGTAATACAGATTCAAATAAGATACTAATAAAATCATTGATTTCATGCATCTCTCCCCCCAACTCCCCAGAAACCTGTGAAGGTCGAAACAGCTGCGTTTCCTGTTTTAATGTTAGCGTTGTTAATACTACCTGCTTTTGGATAGAATGTAAAGGTAAGAAACTTTGGGGATGCAAAACTGTTTTGTTATAGCATTTTAAAATACAGTAATTCTTGAACACTTGAAAGTTATGTAGGACATTTAGGATATTGTGCACTATTTATTTTGCAAATCCAGTACTCCTTTAAAGTGCCAGTTGCCTCGCACTCCCCCTGAAAATCTCTTTTTGTCTCCCATCCTCCCTTTAGATTCCTTAAGACTTGATAATTAAAGCTCAGTCGTTTGTTTTTTATGAGATGGAGTCTCCTGTGTTACCCAGGTTGGTCTTGAAATCCTAGGCTCAAGCAATCCTCCAACCTTGGCCTCCCTAGTAGCCAAGACTACAGATGCGTGCTTCCTCACCTGGCTTTTTTTAAAGCCTGTTCTAAGGATTGAGAGTACTTTAATACACTGGAATTAGCTGTGAGTGAAGGTTGTGTTGAAAACTGTGTCCTGCAACATGAAATATAAAGAGACCTTATGAAACTGTTGGATGCTTAGGTGTAGAGAAGAAAGAGGTAGGGAGAGTTGACTTCCTGTGCTTTTGTTAATACAAGAGGTAGAGCGCTAAAGGGACGTACATTGAAATTCAATAAGATTCTTATTAGAACCATATTACTGCATACATTATTTTAATTGTTTTTTAATGTAAAGTGGTTGCACTTATCAGTAAAACAATCTAGTTGTTTTGGCGGTTTTTTTTTTAAGTAAAAACAAACCATAAGTTTTTTTATTTGGTAAAAATTTTAATAGTTCTAGAAATTATATCACTACATAAATTTCAAAAAGCTCTTTAAGGTATTAACTAAATTGGGCCAAATTAACTTTTTTGTTATAGAAGTGTCTCTTTTTTTTAGGTCATAAAATGGGATTTAAGGGCGTACTCTTTCCCCTTTATATGGGAGTATGTAAGAGTTGGTGAATTTTGGAGATGGAATGCTCTACTTTAAGATTTGTTGGGAAAGGTTCTCCCCTTACTCTTGTTCCAAGTCTACCTATCCAGGAAAGTTGTTTTAGAAAGTATAGAAGACTAAAGCAGTGAGATTTGGAATAGAGTTTCTACAGTGTTATGGGGTGCCTCATCTGTTTACTAACCTCTTAATACAGACCCTGACCACTTCAACTTACTGTCTCCGCCTTTTTTTTTTTCCCTGAGACAGAGTTCTGTATTTTTGGTAGAGGCAGGGTCTCACCATATTGGTCAGGCTGATCTCGAACTCCTGACCTCAGGTGATCTTCCCACCCTGGCCTCCCAAAGTGCTGAGATTATAGGCGTGAGCCACCTGCCCACTTTTTAGATGATGGCTGCCTTTCTTGATTGTACAGTAGTCTTCCCACAATTCTGAGATCTAAGTGTTGCAGATTTATTTTTTCAGTATATTAATGTGGATTTTTAATGGATAAAAGTTAGAAGGATCCTGCGTAATCTCTAAGTCAGTGGGAAAAGGAGAATGACAGGGTTTGGTCTGTGGGTTTAACTTTAGGTCAAAACACCTAAAGTGGTTCCCCCTGCCCACTTCTAAAGTGTTTGGGTTTGATTTCATAGAGCTTAGTAGCAGAGTCAAAGATAATACAAATGGGTGGTTGATGCTGTTTGTCTCTTTTCCCCTGCCCCCCAACAGATGAGAGCTATTGTTCACATAACTCAACAGTTAGTGATTGTCAAGTGGGGAACACGACAGACTTCTGTTCCGGTAAGTATTCATATTGGCTGCTTGGAAGCTGACCGCAGAGAGGTGAGGAAGATCATTGCCTCAGAAAGCCTTGTTTCAGTGCTTTGTTTGAAGCATTGCCATAATTCTCATCTTGTTAGAATTGGAATATGAATAGTATATTCATATTGATTGATTAAAGGATGATATTTGAAGCTTGGTTTAGTGATTTAGCTATAGTGTGGATGCTGTAAGTGTGGATGCGTTGTCTGCCCCCACACTTTTTTTTTTTTTTTTAAACTTTTCTAGGAATTCATCACAGTTTAGCCGCTATGTTTGCATCTTGCAGGTCTGGGAAACCTCATTCTGGCACTTTTGGTGTTGCGATACTGGGGATTGTTGATTGATAAATTTATTCTGCAGCATAGTTGGTGCTGTGGTTAAATGAGCTTTTCTATACCCATCCATTTTCTGTATTTTAATCTGAGTAACTTGATTAATTTTTAACCTTTACTATTCGTCCAGCAAAACGTTAAAATTCTACTTGAAGCTGCTGATTTTTCCAATGAGATTGTAAATCAGTGGGAAAGGCATATTCCTAATTTGATGCATAGATAATAATTGAATAGGAAAAAGATTTTTGTGCAGTGTGTCTAACCTTGAAAGACTACCTTTGACTCTTTAATTTTGGTAGGGGTTGCCCCATCCCAATGTGAATTTTGTAACTGAACATTTCATTAGTATTAGATCAGTTTTACTTCACACAGGGTGCATAATATAGTTAGGTGGTACACGAACAAACTTTTTTTGAGACAGTCTCTTTGTTGCCCAGGCTGGAGTGCAGTGGCACAATCATAACTCATTGCCACCTCATATTCCTGGGCTTAAGCAATCCTTCTGCCTCAGCCTCCCCAGAAGCTGGGATTACAGGTGCATGCCACCATAGCTGGCTAATTTAAAAATTTTTTTGTAGAGATGGTGTCTCACTATGTTGCCCAGGCTGGTCTTGAACTCCTGGGCTTAAGCAGTCTTCCCACTTTGGCTTCCCAGAGTGCTGGAATTACATGCTTGAGCTACTGGACCTGGCTGAAACATTTTAAGTAATTACTTTAATATGTGTTAGATAAACTAATAACTGTCAGACCTGTGGTTTTGTAATATTGCTTAGAGACAAGATTAATGAAGATTTCATTAGTATTAGAACGTTTTTGAAAACTGATTTAAAGGAAAACTGTATTTGTACTGCTGCATATTTGATGATGTACCAGTTAGAATTAGTTTCAGCTATGAAGGACATAAACCCCCAAATTACAATGGCTTAAGCAGTGGACTGATTTACTTTTCTCTCATGTAAAGGAAGTCTGGACTAGAGTTCAGCTCTGCAACCATTAGGGACTGAGGCTTCTTTAGGTTTTTACTCTTTCACCTCTCAAAAATGGCTTTGACCCTACTGTCCAAGGTGGGTCCTTATGTTCCAGCCATCACATTGATTATTTTCCTGCCAGCAGGATGAAGAAGGGAATGAAAGAGGCTTGTATCTTACTTTAAGGATGCTTCCTAGAGGTTATGCGTGATGGCCTGGAAGCACTGGAGACTAGGAAATGTCTTTTCAGGAGGAAGGGAGGTGTTGATAAAAATTGGTGATTCTATTTCTAAAGAAGAGACTGGTATTTGGGGGCAACTGTCAGTCTCTTCCACAGGTAGTATTTAAGTGTTGTAAAAATTGTGAAAAGTACTCAAATGATTGCAGGTCAGGAACTAGCGTTATAGATTGTGATATTTTAAATAGCTTTGATGTATATGGTTTTTCTTTTTTCTTTTTTTAATAGTTTCCACGGCCACTCCAGTGCCAACAGCCAATTCTACAGGTAATTCAAGATGACTGTTTTCTTCCTTTTCCTTCAGTATTTTTAAGCTTTCTTGATGGATTAGTTTTAAATAATTATGTAAAAGTTGTTAGTATAATTTTAAAGATGAGTAAAAACTTAAAAGTCTTGGACCACAGCAATTAACGTTAATCTCTACCTTTTGTGACAGTGACACATAGCTCCAGTGTTTTATAGTCGGTGAATGTGAGCAGATTTGCTGAGGCTGTGTACATTGAGTCTATAAAGTACTTTTTATAGATTTAGTGGAAATCTTGGGAAATATAGAAGCCTAAAGCAAATTATAATTCTCATCATCCAGAGCAACCAAAATGTTTTCAGTGATTAATTTCTTCTAGTCTTTTTTATGTGTATCTAAATAAATACACTTTTTATGAAATTGTACGATAACGTTCATGCACCTTTGTATTTCTTTTTTTCTTTTCTTTTTTTTTTTTTGGAAGCGAAGTCTTGCTCTGCCGCTCAGGCTGGAGTGCAGTGGTACGATCTCGGTTCACTGCAACCTTCCCCTCCCAAGTTCAAGCGATTCTCCTGCCTCAGCCTCCTGAGTCGCTGGGATTACAGGCACCTGCCATCATGCCCAACTAATTTTTGTTTTTTTAGTAGAGTCACGGTTTCACCACATTGGCCAGGCTGGTCTTGAAATCCTGACTTAAAGTGATCCGCCTACCTCAGACTCCCAAAGAGCCGGGATTACAGGTGTGAGCCACCGAGCCCAGCCTGTATTTTCTCTCTTAATGTAAGCATTATGGTATACACTTTACCCATCCTGCTCTTGATTAGAGAATTAGGCCGTCTCTCATTCTCCATGCAGTGAACATCTTACATGGAATTGCATTTGTATTTATCTCTGATAGGTTTGAGTCAAACAGAATTTCTAGGTCAGAGGGTATGATTATTTTAAGGCTCTCCAGAAAGATTTATTATTTTCATTCCCATCAACCTGGAAAGTTTTTACCGTGCCCTCAACAGCATGGATAAGAACTCCTTAAAATTTACTAACTTGAGAGGAAGAGTAAATATTAAATACTTAACATTTTACCAATATTAAATGCGTCTATTCCAAGACAAGTACTAGGGTAAATGGTAGGGTTAAGCCAGCATTTTGTCTACTGTAGGAACAATGAAAGATCTCAGTGAGCACAGCGTATTGGGAAATTTGTAAGAAGGAATGTGTATTGGGTGGGATGCAGATGTGGTGATAGCTTGGTAGTGAAACTGCACTGGAAAACTTGGAGAGAGCCTCTGAAGTGGAGCAGCGGGTCAGCACATGCGGAGGAGATGTGAAGTAGTACGGTGAGTTCAAAGAGTGTCCCATCCTGTACAAGGTGAGAAGGAGTTAAGCTGGTCCATCACCAGTTGCTCACCAGGTGAGCAGAATTGGGAAACACCTTTGTATGCCTTGCTGGTAGACTTAGATGTTATCCTGAAAGATTTTAAAGTTTATAGGTCATATGATCAGACTTGCATTTTAATAAAACAACTTATTCTGGCATTGTGGAGAGTAGATTGGAACGATGCCAGAAGGAACTCAGGAGATTAGATAGCCTGTTACAATAATTCTAGAGAACAGATAGAGGTGGGCTGCAGATGTTTGCAAATAAGTTTAGGAAGTAGAAGGGGTAGGACTTCATGACTGAGAGGAGGAGAGGTAGAGTGATAGGGAGAAGGGGAGGAATTTTCACCAAAGTAAGCAAGAAAGAGGAAGAGCAGTCTATTGATGGTTGGGCCTGTCATTTGGGATTTTAGTTTAAGATACCTAGAATCCATTTAAGTGGGATCTGTTCAGTATTCAGGAAACTGCAAGTCAGGCAAGAGCTCTTGGCTAAAAATATAAATAGGCATAGGCAGTAGTAGAGGCACTGGAGGAGCATATAGAAAGAAGGGATGGGGCTTGAAGACCAGACTCTAGGAAACAGTAATGTCTAAGGGCTAGGAAGAAGACGGGAGGAAATAGGGATGGGGGTAGGGTAGTAAAAAAGCCCAGAGAAGTATGTGCAAGAAACTAACAGTATGTGGTTGTGGGCGTAGTTTTTCAAAGGAAGAAGTAGTCAAATGCTGTAACAAGGACAACTCATCTTGAAACACTTACGCAGTGGTGTGTGGAGCTGGCTTGGACCAGCTTTTGCTAGCCAGTTATTGTGTAGTAGCTCTTCCCAGCCCATGTTCAGTGATACCATGTTGGTAACTTGAAACTGGTTACCATGGAAATAGTCATGCCATGGAAGTCTGCAAATGATACAAAACTTATTTTGAGCTGATGATTATATGGTGATGTGGTCGTAAATATTTAACACTCATTAGAAGACATTGACTAAGTAGGATGTTGAAGGTTGCTGAAACCAGAGGTGTTTGGAGAAAAGTAATTTTCAGAAGGTTGGTTATGAAAAGAAAATGGGGTGCAGGGAGTGGGGGAACAATTTATTCAGAACTGTTGTTCATTTCTTGAGAACTGGGTTCACTCTTGATGTAGTTCTCTGCAGCTTTCTCCACCCTGGGTCCTCCTGTGAATTGCCATGAGTCTTTTGTGCTATAGCTCTCTTTGGTGCTGTAAAGGGGGAAAGCAGCAAGGGCTTATCTGCAGAAAATGCATCAGTTGACTGACACTAGTTGAAGAACAAACCTTTAGGCGGTTTCTTTTCCGGGCATGTGTACCGTCTGCCGAAGAGAGCAAGTGAGAAGTGAAGGGGTAGTTAAACAATGCAAAGAGAATCTAATTTATATAGAAGGGTGTATAATGAGGTTAATTATAATGGCCCTCCTTCAGTACAAATAATAGAATAGCCAAAATATGTCAGATACAGTGGAAAATGTTCATATGAAGTGGAAGATGAACTGTATTAAGCAATTGTAATACAATTTTAGCTCTTGTTATATACATGCCTAGAAAAATGGCAAGAAGTAACCTGTTACTCTGATGGGACTAATTCAGTATTTTTTTTGGCATTTTCTAGATTTTCTTACCACTAATAGCAACTTTTATAACTTATGATTATTATTATTTTTTTTTAACCTTTCCTAATGAATCTTTTTTTTTCAGTAAAAGAAACAGTAGGTCAACAGAGGTATATTCCCTAAGTGGTGCTTTTATTTTGAAAATATTGTCAATGCAATACTTTTTTCAAAATCGAAAATAAAATATTTTGCCTACTTATTAAAAAGAAATAGTTTTTACCTTGTTCTGAGGCTGGGTAATGAGAACCAAATTGCAAATTTGCAGAATTTTTTTCCTAACATTGTCAAACAATTGGTAATAGTGTTTTGAGATTGAACAGAATTTGATGTGTTTAATTTGTAAAGTGTATTTTTTTGTGGTTACACAGAAGCAGTAAAAACCTTGACAGAAATAATGAGCTTTAACATAACCACAGCCTCTAATCTAAGAATTCTGTGTAAGGACCAGTCTTACCAGAGATAAGGTCAAATATTTTCCTGTAAGATTTTCTCAGCATGGAGAGTTGAGAGAACTGTTTAATCAAGAGCAGGATGGATGGAAGTATGTACAACAATGCTTGAAGTAAGAGGGAAAAAAGAAAGCAAATGGGTCTGAACATATCCATCAGTATTATTTGTATATCACCTATTAGCTTCTAAGTAGTATCAATATTAATAAAAGAAGTCTTAAGCTCTCTGTGACTCATGGTCATGTGAAAATTAGAATACCTTAGTTTCCTAGGATTCAGTCAACCTTGGGATTATGGGTAGTCAGCCTGTTACGAGAGTCCTGGTCTTTAAAGATCTACTTTTAGCAACAATTCAGGTATTTAGCAATATCTGAAAACTGTCAAGCCCTGCTCTTTTAGTGTATATTTACTGTTAAAGCACAGAACTTCCTCTTTTATATTAGTAGAATTTGGGAGGATGCTGATTCCTATTGAGGTTTTTGTTCGATTGTTTGAAAGTCTAATGCAGTGAAAAGATTACTCATTTCTGTGCTTCATCAACAGTTATTTGGCACCCTTTCCCTGTCTTTCGTGGGTTAAGCATATCACTTTGAAGTCTGTTCAGTTATGTACTTTAAACAGAAGTAACATTTGTTTTCCAAATTCTCTTTAGCCTTCAAACCCTTTTTTCTGAAATAGTACAAAAATGAATGTTTGCATAGCACCTTACATTTTTATAAAAATATAAATCTCATATGATTAATCTTCCTCATCTTTCCCCAGATCATCCCTAGCGGCCCACCAGCATAAGCATATCCTCATATTGAAGCCCTTGCACTCTGAAGCCTGACTTACCTAATGATTTCCTGAGACAAAATAAGCTCTCTTAGCTAGTGACTCCTATAGTGCACTTTCCAAAAATTTGAACCCTACCCTTAGGACAACCTCTTAATGAAACCTTTCTCAAATGCTCCAGCAAACTTTGAATTTATTTGGTAGCCATTTGGATGTTAGAAAAAATGTTAATTTGTAGAAACTATATTCACATCCTTCCTTTCTGAAAGCCTTGGTCAGACTTCTATTAGTATTCATACTACCAATAGAAACTTAATAGGTGATATACTGGCTGGACGAGGTGAGTCATGCTTATAATCCCAGCACTTTGGGAGGCCAAGGCGGCAGATCACTTGAGGTCAGGAGTTCAAGATGAGCCTGGTCAACATGGTGAAACCCTGTCTCTCCTAAAAATAAAAAATTAGCTGGGTGTGGTGGCACATGCCTGTAATCCCAGCTACACAGGAGGCTGAGGGAGGAGAATCGTTTGAACCTGGGAGGCGGAGGTTGCAGTGAGCTGAGAATGCACCATTGCACTCCAGTCTGGGTGACAGAGCGAGACTCCATCTCAAAAAAAAAAAAAGAGTGCTTTAGTCCCTAAAATGATTTTACATTCAAACTAATCCTTCTCAGAGTGTACATTTCTTTAGCAGTATCATCAGCTATTAGGTTGGTGCAAAAGTAATTGCAGTTCTTGCCTTTAGTAATGGCAACTCAAATAGTATTTTGGCCTCATGCAGTGTGGTGGACTAGAGCTTACTTAACCTTGGGCTCTTAGAATCTTACGTTGGGGAACTGTGGGCCCAGGGCCCCTGTTCTTATAAAGCTTTATTGGAACATACCATGCCCATTCGTCTGCATGTTGACTTTGGCTGCTTTTGCATCACACAGTGCCCAAAGAGTAAAATATTTGCTTTCAACCCATTTAAGAAAAGTTTGCCAACTCCTGAAGTGAAGAAGATAGGCAAATCTCAATACCCTTGTAAGAGAGAACTTACGACTTTAATAGTTTTTGTCTTAGGAGAAAGATTATGAAGAACCTATAGTTTCCTCACCTAAATGTTCTTGCCCTTGGCAGTGAGCAAGATAAGAGTTTTCGCAAATTTTATCCAGATGTATACATAGATTTTATACAAGATAGATACATAGATATTAACAATTTTATGATTGCTTATTGTTTTAAAATACACTTAAATCCTAGTATTCTTGGGTGCATAGCTATGTTAGTGAACCATTAACTGAAATTTGGCTTTTGGTCTCTAAAAAATTGAAAGCATGTTGAAGTTGGCAGGATTATTTTTTAAAGCTGTTAGATAACTGGGAAGCTAGAAATTTAAGGTTTTTTAAAAAGACATTTTGTTTTCATTCCAGCTAAACCCACAGTTCAGCCCTCCCCTTCTACAACTTCCAAGACAGTTACTACATCAGGTAATTGAGGCTTTTTAGATTAGCAATGATGCAGGATGTGTGCACGATGTTGCCCTTTACAATTTCTGCCATCATTTTCCAGCTTTCTTCGTTAATGGTTATGGAACTGAAATTCTTCTCTTACTCTTAGGGGGGATCAAGGTAGTGCTTTGTTAACACAATAATGATAGCTTTGCTGAGATTCCTCTTCTCATTTTTAAATGTGTAATCACATTTGACGTGACACTTTAGAATTAAGTAATAATGTTTTTCCAAACATTTCAGTACAACTTGTATGTAAAATCTAATTTGTAACTTCTGATTACCGTTAGGGATTGGTTGTGTGCTGTATGAGAGAGCATGGCGATTTGAGGGAAGATAATATATCCGTCCTTTTCACTGAGAAAGGTCTAAAAAGCCAGAATCACTACCAGATGTGCACCTCACTTTCTTAACCATTTCTTAACATTGCTCAGTAATGTGAAAATTAGCTTGTTATTAAATGATGATTTGACATAATCTAATTTAATTCATAGTTAGGTTACGCCACAGGATACTGTAGGTACACAGGTTAGGAATCCTTTCCTCCCTCCATATTTTTAAAAAACTGATGCTAATGAATCTTCTACCTGCTTTTTGTGATTTCTTTTTCTTCATGCTTATGCCACCTTTTTCTCAGTTTCAGTGAAGCCATTCTGTCTTCACGAGAAGGAATACAAAACAGTTGTCATTAAAGTTACCAACTTGTACAGCCACCAGAACCAGTGTTCTTTGATAACTGTTACTTTTTTCTTAGATTATTTTAAATGGAAATCGCTTTTTCTGTTTCCTCTTGAAACATTTTACTGCCTGAAAAGAATTCAGATATTTGTTTTTTCCTTATTACTTGATAATACTTTCTCATGTGAAATTTGTTGGCAGGATATGCCTTTAAAAACAGTTATTTTACTTGTTGAAATTATAAATTGCATATTATTAAGATTATTTTTGTAACATGAAAAATTGCAACCAAATATTTTACCTTATACTAGTAAATTCAAAAGTCATGTGAATTCTCAGCACTATTGACGTTTACACTCACAATTAACTAAAAGTACATAGTCTGAAGAAATTGTTGCATATTTTAGAAGTGTTTGATACATTCCCAGGGCACAATTTATGTACTAGGAGAATTTTTCCCATTGTTTTTATATTTGTACTAGTACAGTAGCATTGACCACTTTGTATCCTTGGGTGGAATGAAAAATGGGATATGGTTGTCTTCCTCAATTAGGGATAAATTCTAGCTGTAAAGACTTGAGGAAATACTTTATAGAATTTAACACATGGCAAAATAGAGGCTCAGGTGCATCTTTAAATTACAATAGAGGACCATGAAACTTAGGATTGTTGTTTCTTTTGTCTTATCTAACAGGTACAACAAATAACACTGTGACTCCAACCTCACAACCTGTGCGAAAGTCTACCTTTGATGCAGCCAGTTTCATTGGAGGAATTGTCCTGGTCTTGGGTGTGCAGGCTGTAATTTTCTTTCTTTATAAATTCTGCAAATCTAAAGAACGAAATTACCACACTCTGTAAACAGACCCATTGAATTAATAAGGACTGGTGATTCATTTGTGTAACTCACTGAAGCCAAAATACTATCTTTTAAGATGTCCCACATGGAAGACGCTATTCCAGGATCTTTAAATTTCCATGGATGCATATAGGATGTTTGGGAGCATCATCCGTGAAGAAAAAATCAATTAAATCATTGTGTTCAACAGGAATATTTAAAATATTCTGCATGAATCCTGTGGCTGTCTTATTTTAAATAGCTGCTGCTGTGGGATTATATTTTTTTTCCTTAACATGCCAAATATAACTTTCTGAAAGTGATGGAAAATGTTGTCTTGTGCAGACAACATCATGGCTCTTGGCAGTTTAAATTTAGTAATTTTAATTTAGTGAACAGAATTGAGAAGAACGTGCCAAATGAGAATCAATTAGGTGGATTTTTGGCTGTCATTTCAAAAGTGGAATAAATTTATTAATTTAGTAGTACTAAATGGTATCCTTAGATTAAAATTTTGTGCTTGATAACAGCTGTTTTTTCTACATTAGAAATAAGATGCCACACAAGGAACTACATTCCAGATTTAAAGAAATGAAAGGATACCATTAGTGTGTATAACAGATTATTGTTCATACTTGTAAAGCATCTTATGTCATTGAGAATATAAAGAACAGTGCCTTAGAAGACAGTGAAAGGTAAGCTCTAGCTTAATGTCTATGATTTGTTCTTTGACATTAAGGAAGGTAAGGATTGGTCAGAGGATGTAACTTGATGTGAGCAGTAGTAAACCTGTTTTAGATATCATACTGTTAATATTTTATTGAAAATTTATTTCAGAGCGGAGAAACTTAAGCTAAAGTCTGTTATACAGAATTGAAAGCCTTCGTATCTTGAACCTCCCAACATTTTTCTTATGGCTGTTGAAAAGTATAGAGCTAAATTGATTTAATTACACTTTCCTTTGTACTTTAAAAAAAAGTATGCTAGCACTATTGTACCTTGAAAGGATTTCCACCAGACTGTCTTGAGTAGTGACTTCTTTGGTGAGGCAAGAAGGATATACATTATTTTAGAATCATTTACTATTTAAATGAGACAATCATATTATTTTAGAATCATTTATTTTAAATGAGACAATCATTTTAAGTTTTAAGATAACAGAAGTGACCAATGTAATTTCACAACACCTAAGGATTTTTTGGTTGATCAGGTTACTGTAGATTTTTACTGATTGTCCTGGATGAATAGACTGTGCTTTTTCTTTTTCTCTCCCTTCCTTCTTGGTTTCCCATAGTATAATAAGCATGCATACTTTAACTTCTATAGTTTTCTCCTTTAGAGGGTCGTCTTCAGTTTTAGAGGTTTACTTCTCCCTTGCCTTTGACTCATTGGACTAGTGCAGAGGCTTTAAGTAGTTTAAAATGGGCTTTTGCTTTTCTAGGTCATTAACGTTTTTTATTTAGTTTCTTTAGCCAATAGTGGCTGAGTTTCGCACTTGATTTTCAATATTTTATAGTAAGAAATGACAAACTGCTTTGTTTCATTTCATAAACAAACTCTGCATTTAGATAACTATTAAAGGTTGTTAAGATGAAGATTTACTGTTTCTTTGTTACTCGTTGGTACAGCTGTTTGTTTTACTTGCACATTTGTACATATACTTAATGTTTTCAAGTGCCTTAATTGTTTAAAATCTCTGGCTTCAAAGTTTCTTGGGGAAAGGTCGGTTTACCTCACATTTTTTGTTTCCATTAGTAATATTCTAGGTACCTCACAAAATGTATTATGGTGCCATGGCTGTTAGTTTTTAGTGAGTGCTGTAGGATTAATTCGAAAATAGGCAGAATTCCATTCCTCCCAAGGTGGCAAAAATTAGCTATACTGATGTAATTGTCATTTACCTGGGTATGAATTCCCTGACACACATTCATGTCAACATATGTAGCAAATTTTGTGAAAACATAACAATTTGAAGCTTCTGTAATTTTGAGCACTGCTCTAACAACAAGCATAATATAAAATTAGTTAGATTTTGCAAGTCTACAAATGAGCTCTTGCAACAGAACTCACAGCCTTTTTACTTTTTTCCCCTAACTTTAGCAATGTAGTATCTTGAGCCATTAATTTTTGGGTTTTTTTAAAATCCAGAAGGTATATAGAAACCTTTTCAGATTTTTCATCTGATTTGTTCTTGCAGATGTTCTTCTATCAAATACCTTATTTTACCTTACAGATATTTGTTGCACAGGCAGATACTGCTGTATTTAGACATTTCTATTTCAGTTCATTAAAAACTGCAAAACCAATCTGTATCATGTACCAAACTGACTTAAAATAAATCTACATGTTTATTGAATTAATAGTGTGTTACTGCGTTTTGCTTATAAAATTTAATGCTTAGTGGATTTATCTTAGTCCGCTTGGGGTGGGCTTTCTACTCATTTTATTGCACCTCTAGACCAGCCGATAGTAACTAAGGCACATGTTCATATCAATAGAAAGCAGAGCCTTGGAAGTAATAGGTGGAGGGAGGACTTGGTACACTTGTGGGAGTGATTTGCAAGTTGATCTTCCACAAATCAATAGAAATTATGCTGTAGTTTTCCAATAATTTTTGAGAGGAATACTATCTTGGTTTTATAATCTGAAAGCTAGTTTGTGACTTTCTGCCTTTTTAGTTCATATTGCATATAAAGTAAAAACCAAGAACTATTTGGTATAAATTACTATCAAGCCACATGCTGTGACTTTGAAGTGTGGTTCTTGTTATTTTGTGGGCAAAATTATGTTCTATTTTATATCAGTGGACTTGAACTAAGAATTTACTCCTCTGTAAGCCTTAAAACCTGTAAGGGTGGACTGAATAATTCACTTTAGAAATCATGAATTTTGGGTTTTGTATTAGCCTTAAATATAGTCACATTTGGTTTAAGTAATACAAAACTTGATGCTAAGCTTAGTGACTCTGGTAAACATTAGAAACAATTTTTTTTTTGAGATGGAGTCTCACTCTGTCGCCCAGGCTGGAGTGCAGTGGCGCGATCTCAGCTCACTGCAGCCTCCACCTCCCAGGTTCAAGCGATTCTCTTGCCTCAGCCTCCTGGGTGGCTGGGATTACAGGCACCCGCCACCATGGCCAGCTAATTTTTGTAATTTTTAATAGAGATGGGGTTTCGCCATGTTGGCCAGGCTGGTCTCGAACTCCTGGCCTCAGGTGATCCACATGTCTTGGCCTCCCAAAGTGCTGGGATTACAGGCATGAGCCACTGTGCCTGGCCTTGTCCAGTGTTTTTTAGTCATTCAAGAATCCAGCCTCATTTCATCCCAGCTGGAAGAAAAAGTTCAACATAGTGTTTATAATGTATTATTTTTAAAATTTTCAATTAGTACATAGATTTTCTTAAATATACTTCTTAGAAAAGAAATTGCATTTAAATATTATAGATGTGGTGTCAGTCTGCTTTGACCATCCCCAGCCCTTTTCTCCTCTTGCCTTCCTCCGCTTACCAGAGTGGTGATACAGAGGTAATCACTGTAACTGGTTTACAATTAATGGATTTATAATCACATAATTGTATGTACCTTTGGAAAATAATGTCATGTAGGTTTTTTTTTTAATCCTGTAATGTTCATTCACTTTTTGGAGATCTTTCAAAGGTAGTGTATGTGGCTATACCAAGTTGTTTTTTTTTATTTTTTAAGTTCTAGGGTACATGTGTACAACATGCAGGTTTGTTACATAGGTATATGTGTGCTGTGTTGGTTTGCTGCACCCATCAACTTGTCATTTACATTAGGTGTTTCTCCTAATGCTATCCCTCCCCCAGCCCCCAATAGACCCCAGTGTGTGATGTTCCCCTCCCTGTGTCCATGTGTTCTCATTGTTCAACTTATGAGAACATGGGGTGTTTGGTTTTATTTTCTTGTTTTCTGTTTTGCTGAGAATGATGGTTTCCAACTTCGTGTCCCTGCAAAGGACATGAACTCATCCTTTTTTAATGGCTGCGTAGTATTCCATGGTGTATATGTGCCACATTTTCTTTATCCAGTCTGTTATTGATGGACATTTGGGTTGGTTCCAAGTCTTTGCTATTGTGAATAGTGCCACAATAAACATACGTGTGCATGTTCTTTATAGTAGCATGATTTATAATCCTTTGGGTATATACCCAGTGATAGGGTGGCTGGGTCAAATGGTATTTCTAGTTCTAGATCCTTGATGAATCGCCACACTGACTTCCACAACGGTTGAACTAGTTTACAGTCCCACCAACAGTGTGAAAGTGTTCCTATTTCTCCACATCCTCTCCAGCACCTGTTGTTTCCTGACTTTTTAATGATTGCCATTCTAACTGGTGTGAGATGGTATCTCATTGTGGTTTTGATTTGCATTTCTCTGATGACCAGTGGTGAGCATTTTTTCATATGTCTGTTGGCTGCATAAATGTCTTCTTTTGAGAATTGTCTGTTCATACCCTTTGCCCACTTTTTGATGGGATTTTTTTTTCTTGTAAATTTATTTAAGTTCTTTGTAGATTCTGGATATTAGTCCTTTGTCAGATGGGTAGATTGCAAAAATTTTATCCTGTTCTGTAGGTTGCCTGTTCACTCTGATGATAGTTTCTTTTGCTGTGCAGAAGCTCTTTAGTTTAATTAGATCCCATTTGTCTATTTGGCTTTTGTTGCCATTGCTTTTGGTGTTTTAGTCATGAAGTCTTTGTTCATGCCTATGTCCTGAATGGGCTATACCAAATTCTTAATTTCTGTGTTGGTATATGTAGTATGGATACCATAATTGACACAGGTATTTACCTATTGAAAGACAAGCTTTTTGCAGTTTTTAGTTCACAGCAACAATTTTACAGACCATCTTTGTACCTGCCACCTTGTTTATGTGTGACTTCCTCCAGAGTAGAAGTGGAGGCGTGGAAAGCTGCTTCATAGGGTTTCCTCACTGAGGATTTTCACAGAGATTGCTTTCCACTTCTCACCAGCAGCAGATCACTTGATATGTGAACAGTTTTTAAATTTCAATATTCTGGTGAGTGGAATGATTTCCTTGGTGAATCGTCTATTTTTCTTTTTCTTCTTATCAATTTGTAGGGGTTTTTGTTTTGTTTTAATCTGAAAATATGCCGGCTGCTAATCCGTGGTGAATAGATTTTTAAAAATATTTTCTTGGCCAGGTGCGGTGGCTCACACCTGTAATCCCAGCACTTTGGGAGGCCGAGGCAGGCGGATCACAAGGTCAGGAGGTCGAGACCGTCCTGGCTAACACAGTGAAATCCCGTCTCTACTAAAAATAGAAAAAATCAGCCAGGCGTCGCGGCGTGCACCTATAGTCCCAGCTGCTTGAGAGGCTGAGGCAGGAGAATGGCGTGAACCCAGGAGGTGGAGCTTGCAGTGAGCCAAGATCGTGCCACTGCACTCTAGCCTGGGCAACAGAGTGAGACTCCTTTTCAAAAAAAAA
Organism: Homo sapiens; assembly: GCF_000001405.40. Taxonomy (NCBI): domain Eukaryota; kingdom Metazoa; phylum Chordata; class Mammalia; order Primates; family Hominidae; genus Homo; species Homo sapiens. Next base: position 109,363,403 of record NC_000006.12, on the reverse strand, counting down.
AAAAAAAATTCAAGTTTGTGTCTCTGATAATGGTTTGTGTCAACCAGTGTACGATCAGGAGACAAGCCACACAATATAAACAGGAAAAGTTTGATATGAAGAGATATTAGCTATAACAGTGGTTTGCAGTGATGAGGCATATTATCTGCAGAATTTTAAGAAATTCATGAAGCAGTAAAAAGAACTTTTTTATTTTTTATTTATTTTATTTTATTTTTTTGAGACGGAGTCTTGCTCTCTTGCCCAGGCTGGAGGCTGGAGTGCAGTGGCACAGTCACAGCTCACTGCAACCTCCACCTCCCAGATTCAAGCAATTTTCATGCCTCAGCTTCCCGAGTGGCTGGGATTATAGGCATGAGCCACCAGGCCCAGCTAATTTTTTTGTATTTTTAGTAGAGATGGGGTTTCATCATGTTGGCCAGACTGGTCTCGAACTTCTGACCTCAAGTGATCCACCCGCCTCAGCCTCCCAAAGTGCTGGGATTACAGGCATGAGCCACCTCACCCAGCCAAAAAAGAACTTTAAAGAATACAGAGATAGCAGATGTAGGAAGCAGCCACCCACCCACTCCCTCAAGCTGAATTTCAGAACTCATTAGCGAGCATACAGTCCTGGCCCTCCGGGTGGGGAAGCTCATGGTAGGTGCAAATCCATCTGAGAGAGTGCCAAGGAAGCCATCCATGTTTGTCACACCAGTGGCAATCTTCTGGGAAGTCATCCAAGGTGGTGAGGGGTAAGCCATACATAGGAGGTTGCCACAGTAGTGGCATTCCACTGTAAAGCTGTGAGCTGCTGGAGCAGGGCACTGAGGGTGTCTCCCTAGTGGAGCAAACCAGAGCCAGGAAAAGAAATCCTTCCAGCATCCTGCCAGTTCCCTTACAAAACATCATGCTGCTTCCCCAATACTGAGGCCAGACTTCCCTGAGGAGGCTTTCTAGTGTGGCTTAGTAGGAAGGACCAGGCTCAATTCCTAGCTTTGTGTGAGCTCCAAGTACTGTTTTCTCTAAACCTTTTCCCCAGCCTTGTGTATAAAAGGAGAAATCGTCATATGGTCCAGTGTCGTCATCACAGAGCAGGCAATGACAGGTGGATTGGGAGCTGAGGCAAGAAGTTGATAATAGTCACAGTCCACCCCTTTGGCTACTCAGCTTCCACATTTGCCCATCTACACACTTTGACGCTTCTGAACAACAGTGGAACAGCTCTACATTTCCACCTAACAGGATACAGCTATACTTTATTACAAGTCACGTTTGCTCCTTTCCCCAACACGAGAAGCCCAGTACCAGCAGTCATTGTATCCATTGTTGGCTATATGAATTACTCAAGTTCTGTCACTTCCACCAAATGCTCTGTTATCAAAAGACTGATTTGTGGCCAGTGCAGTGGCTCACACCTGTAATCCCAACACTTTGGGAGGTCGAGATAGATTGGTCTGCATGATACATTGGTTTCATCCAAAAGTGGAAAGCTAAAGCACTGCAGCCCCACATCCAGACCAGTCTGTCTTGGGCAGATCACTGAAGGTCGGGAGTTTGAGACCAACCCGGCCAACATGGTGAAACCCCATCTCTACTAAAAATACACAAATTAGCTGGGCATAGTGGCAGACACCTGTAATCTCAGCTACTCGGGAGGCTGAGTCAGGAGAATCACTTGAACCTGGTAGGCGGAGGTTGCAGTGAGCTGAGATTGTGCCACTGCATTCCAGTCTAGGCCATAGAACAAGATTCTGTCTCAAAATATAAATAAATAAATAAATAATAAACCTTATTGTCAATTTAACCTCCAAAAACGTGTATATTAAATTAAAATGGAAGGAGAAAATGAAAATGGTTAGAACATACGAATAAATACATACAAGAGGAAAATGGGAAACATTCAAAGCTACTATAGCCGTCATTTCTACAAAGCTTCAACCTCTTTTAACTCCCTATTTGAGATTTATTTTGCCCTTGGCCAGAACCTCAGCTGGTCAGAGTTCTTAACCTGGTGGAGTGACCCAAATACTCAAATTACTGAAGAATCTTGAGTCCTCCTGTGCTACCTGTTTTGGTTGCTGTAATTTTTCATGAGCCTTTACTATTGGATGTGGAAATACTCAGGCACCCAGAGAATCTCCTGTGTTCCAGAAATAGTCCTTTTTGCCTCCATTGTGTACTAGCAATACACTCACTTTGGTAATCAGGATTGATCATTCCTACCAGTATAGTTACACCTTTTGTTTCTTATTGGTTCAGTGGCATCAGAAACCCAGATGGCAATCTCATCTTAGATCCTACATCAGTGGAACAATTGTTGTGTCTCTGATTGAAGGATCCCCTGGGAACTAAGACTGCCAAACCAGCAAGCTTGAGTTTGCTAAAGTAAGAAGTATAATCATGAAAGGAGCCACTCCCACTTCCACCCTGTGATTCCTAGAACTGTATACTCTGGCTCAAAGCATGTACTGTCATGTGGAACTCCATCCTTTCACTGTGGTATCTGCCAGCTATCATCATAAGTGGGTATTCAGTGAACCATTCCACCTTTCAATTAGATTAACCACTTCTGGGTGTTGGAGTATGTTAATTTCATAGGCATGAGCTCATTGCAGCATTTCATTTGCTGGGAAACTGATTCCATGCTTAGAAGGAATGCTATGGGAAATGTCATGGTAGTGGACAAGGCATTTTGTGAGTAGGTGGATTGGATAGTAGTACTGGCAGAAGCATGAGCAGGGAAGGCAATCCATATCCAGAATACATGTCTATTCCAGTGAAGATGAATCTCTGCCCCCTATATGATGGAAAAGATCTGATGTAGTCAGTTTGCCACCAGGTAGATGGCTGTTACCCATGGAATTGGTGCCATATTGCAGCCTCAGTATTGGTCTTGGCTCTTGACAGATCGGGCAGTTGGCAGTAGTGCCTGTCAGCCTTGGTAAGGGGAATCCCCTGATGTTAAGCCCACACACAGCCTCTGTCCCTGCTACTGTGGCTGCATTATTTATGGACCCATTGAGCAAGTGGTGTAGTAGCTGGGGAATGTGCACTGATATTATAATTAATGTAACTGATAACCTCAGCACATTGTTTTGTCAACTTGATTAATAAGAGCCTCCTCTGCTATGGATGCCCTTTGGTGGGTGTATTAGTCCAAACCTGCTGATAGACATACCTGAGACTGGGCACTTTATAAAAGAAAGATTTAATGGGCTTACAGTTGTTCCACATGGCTGGGGAGGCCTCACAATCATGGCAGAAGGCAAGGAAGAGCAAGTCACGTCTTACATGGATGGCAGCAGGCAAAGAGAGAGCTTGTGCAGAGAAACTCCTGTTTTTAAAAGCATCAGATCTCATGAGACTTACTATCACAAGAACAGCATGGGAAAGACCCTCCCCCATGATTCAGTCATCTCCCACTGGGTGCCTTCTACAACATGTGAGAATTATGGGAGCTACAAGATGATATTTGGGTGGGGACACAGAGCCAAACCATATCAGTGGGCATTAACCTAGGGCACAGATATCTTCAGTCTGCGCCCATTCCCAGAGGTCCATCCACAGATAATTCCCAGACTTCCTTGTCACCAGCCTTCCAGACCTGTTTCTTCTAAGTCCCTATCTAGCCAAGCCATTAGCAGCTACCCATTAATTAGTGTAAGTCTGTACTTCTGGCCATGTCTCAGTTCAGACAAGTGGCCAAAGGTACTCCTTGAAGTTCTGTTCCCTGGGAGGATTTTTTTTTTCTTTTTGACCACTGTCCTTCAGGGTGGCCCTTGGGTGGGGCTATAGTGTTTTAGCTATCCACTTTTGCATGAAACCAACATATGCAGACCAATGTGTAAACCAGACTTGATTTTTTTTCTTTCTTGGTCAATTGGTTGTGAGAACAACCCCCAGGATACCATAGGTATGGGTTGAGGGAGAGAAGGCAATGAAAGCGGAGTTGGTGTTGAAAGAGTCTCAGCCACCTGTTCAAGCAAGCTACGCTACTTCTGTTTTCAGACCTGCTAAAGCAAGCTAAGTCTATTGTGTACCATTTCTGTCTGATGATAGATTGCTGCTTTGCATGTCCAAGTTCATGACTAGGCTAGCTAACAACATCCACATTATGATGGGAAGCTCAGGCCACATGATCCCCTGCCATCCCATGGTTAGGTATTGTCTCTACCAAGGCACAGTAGTAAGACAGACTTTCTTAAAAGCAGAGTAGTAATCTTCAGAAGACATAGGTTTGCTTCCCTATGATTCTACTGGTGCTAAAAGAGCCTCCACACAATATCCCTATAGGCCGTGATACTTTCAGTATCGTTGGATCTGCTGGATCATAAGACCCACATGGTAGAGCAGCTTGTGCTATAACTCAAACTTGCAATAGAGCCTTTTCTTGCTCTAGTACCCACTCAAAAATGATAATCTTACAGGTGACTCTAGATGGGCTGAAATAGCACACTCAAATAAAGTATATGTTGCCTTCAAAATTCAAAATGACCTACCAAGCATCATGTCTCTTTAATCATGGTGCACAGTGTGAAGTGCAGCAACTTATCTTTCATTTTGGAGGGGGATATTTTAATTTGTTCCAAATCATTGAACCCCTAGAAACTTCACTGAGTTTCTGAATTATGGGATTTTTCTTTCACCTTTTAGTTTTTATATGTTTTATTAAGCACCTAAGTACTTGCCACATCCTGCTCATTATTTCTAGTCAGCATAATGTCATCAGTGTAGTGGACCAATGTGATATTGTGTGGATTATCATGATGAACAAGGTCTCTGTGGACTATATCGTGGCAGAGAGAAGGAGAACTGACAAAGCTTTCAGGCAAGACTGTAAAGATATACTGTGGCTTTGCCAGGTAAAAGCAAACTGCCTCTCATGGTGCAAAAGGCTTTAAGGAAATAACTGCATGTCAAGTCCCAGGAGCATATTAATTTGTTTCAGTAAAGATACTAAGTCTGTGACAGCAGCTGCAGTTGAAATCACCACCTCATTAAGATGTGGAACTGATACTCCCTAGTTATTTTCTAAGATCTGTCTTCTGCACAGGCCAGAGTGGTGAGTTAAATGATGAAGGGATGGTTGTCATCACTCTTGCTTCTTTCAAGTCTTTGATGGTGGCATTAATGCCCAGGGCCATTTCCCCAGGGTTATGGTATTGCTTCTGTTTTGCTTTTTTGATAGGGAGGGCAAGTTCCAGGGGCTTCCAGTAATCCCTTCCTACCATAATTGATTCTTAGCTCATATGTCAAAAAACCAATATGGAAATTCTTCATATTGTTAACTGTATTTGTTCTAATTAATTATTCACTCAGAAACTGGGGACGTAGTCACAGGGTGGGTCCATGTACCAATTTGGTCCATTGTAATTCAGACCTGAGCTATGACTCCTTCTATATCACCTTACCACTGTAAGCCTTCATTTTGACTGGTAAGCCACAGTGGTGTTTTGGGTACCCAAGAATTAGCATTAATTTAGGCCCTGGGTCTAGTAACCACCAAAATGTCTGGATATTTTCTTTTCTCTGAAGAACAGTAATTTAAGAAAATGATTGCAGGTCCCTTAGGGAACGATTTGGAAGAAGATTTATAACATGAACCTGCAGCAGTGAAGGGTCCTTCCTCAAGGAGATCCATCCTCCCGTTTGGTCAAGGGCCTCTGGTCTGTGAATTGACTTAAATCTGGAACCTGGGTCAGAGGCTGTGACTCTTCACTGTGGTGACTCAAGTTTTGGCTACTAGACCTATAGATTTTTCTGTTCCATACATTAAGCAATTTTCTGTTATATACAGTAAGCAATCTTATATACATTAAGCAATTTCTGTTATATACATTAAGCAATCTATGATTTCATACCTGGGGACACATTAACTACCAAAGATCTCTGCAGGCCAAGGGATTCTGACTACTGATACATCCCTATTGCCCTTTATAATGGATGTGCCCGCCTTGTCTTTTGCCAGTTAAAGCCTGCCACTTCGCTCTTCCACTTTGGAATTGCATTTTCTTCATTGAAATCACAGGGCCCATCTCAATGGCAATGAGAAGCTTGATGAGCTTATAAATACAACTGTCACTGTAATTTAGCATGCCCCTAATAAAAACTTGTGCTTGATTTTTAGCAATATTATCCCTGTGACTATGAGAAATAAGAGATACTTTTAGGGGTATCATGGAAGCTCTCTGGTTTCAGACGATGAATTAAGCCTAGAATTAAAGGTCATGACTTGTCATTTTCTTCCAGAAGTGCTGAAGTGCATTCAAAAAAATCCACCTCACACCACAGTTTCTGTAGTCAGCATGACTACCATTATAGTCAATGTAGTAGCAATTTAGGCTCCTAAAGGCACATGCTTCAGCAGGTACTTTAGCACAATCGGCCACAGGTAATAACGTGATTGTGATGCCACTGCATGCAAAGAATACTAACATTCCAATTTCCTGTTGGCTCAGCACTGTATTCAAGCCTAAGGTTGCAACCAACCAAATCCCAAGTTCCATCTGTGTTCTGTTTCAGTACATTTTCTGTTGTTTATAACATAATACCTGAAATGGGGAAATTTGGGAAGAAAAGGAATTTATTTCTTAAAGTTATGGAGGCTGGGAAGTCTAAGGTTGAGGAGGCACATCTGGTAAGAGCCTTCTTGCTGGTGGGGACCCTCCATAGAGACCTGAGGCAGCACAGGGTATCACATGGTGAGGGAGCTGAGCATGCTACCCAAGTCTTCCTTTCTTATAAAGCCACCAGTCCCACTCCCATGATAGTCCATTAATTTAACAACCCACAAATCCATTAATCCATGAATGGATCGATCCATTAATCCATGAATGGATCGATCCATTCATAAGGGCAGAGTCCTCATGACCCAATCACCTCTTAAAGGTCTCACCTTTCAGTACTGCCACATTGGGGATTAAATTTTAACATGAGTTTTGGAGAGGACAGACATTCAAACCATAGCAGGTCTATCCTCTGGGAACACCCTGCTCCTGGTACCAGTTCTATATCAGTCATGGGCCATTCAGGAGACAGAAAGCACACAGTAATTCAAACAGGGAAAGTTTGATATAAAGAATTATTAACTATAACAAAAGATTGGCATACTGCTTGTAAGCAATAAAGAGAACTCTAAAGAATACAAGGATAGCGGATGTAGGGACCAGCCACTACCCTTCAGGGCTGAGATCCAGACCTCATTGGAGAGGATCTGGCCAAAGCTTATTGGATGGCTGAGAAATTCACAGAGACTGCAAAGCTATTCAAAGGGGTGCTGGAGGGGACCCGTCACAGGAGGTGCCATGCAAGTGGCACTCTACCATGGAGCTACATGCATCACTGGAGCCAGGCACCACAGAAACTGTATATACTACAAGAACCTGGTGCTGCAGAAGCCATGCACACTGCAAGAGCCTGCCTAGAGGAGCACAAGGTAACCTGGAAAAAAACCCTGCCACCTCCTACAGGGTCCCTCCAGCACCCTCTACTGAGAGCTTAACTTCTTGCCAGTTGGCAAAGAGGAAATATTTATAGGGTCCATATTTGTTATTGCAGAACAGACAATAAAGAATGAATTTGGAGCTGAGATATAAGTTGATAACTGATACAGTATTTTATCATACTGAAGTTTTAGTTCTGATACCAAAGTTACCAATTTTCCTATTGGCTTTTATATTCTGTTTAAAAAATCAGTTTGTGCATGTGTGGCATGTGTGTCTGTATGCATGTGTACGTATGTGCATTTAGATCTTTAATCCATTTGGGATTTATAGTGTATGGGGTAAGGTGATGATTTAATTTATTCCAAATAGCCTCCATGTTCTCTTTAGTTTGAAAAGCCACATACATCGTATTTAAATTTATGCATGTAAATATGTTTGTCTGTTCCATTCATCTGTTTATTAATTGCTTTACACAAGACAGATTTTCTTGTCTGAACAAAGGACTTGGATTAGGACTTTATACTAAAGTCTGAGGAAGTATTTGGCATTTGTAGGAAGAATGAAAAGATTGTTAATAGAGGATGGCAAATTTGTTTTCTAAGAAGTGAAACAAATGCTTTAACGTTCATTTGTGTTAATCTCTATTAACATACTTTGGTTTTTCACTTGTTAGTAAACACTGCTTAGAAGCAAGGGCCTCCATCTTAGCTTTCCTGCTTACCCACTAACTCTAGAATTCGTATTCAGAGGCTGCTGGCTGACCAGAGGCAAAGGCTAGCTTGTAGAAATGCAAATCAATGCTTAGGTTTTAAAGTCTGGGACCAACCCCTACTTCACCTGGGGTTGGTTCAAGATGTAATCATCTTAGTCCTTCAACCCTGTCTTCCAAGTACAGATAAGAGAATTTCATACATAAAATTAAGTAAGAGATTTAATGGCATTTGGAGTCATTTTTATTCATTCAAATACTCATAGAAATAAAGGTTGGAAAAAGAAGATATCATCACCAGTCAGCTCTAAATGGGAATCTGGATGGAGCTGTTTGAACCTGAAAAGCTGTCAGTTGAACATTTTCTGCCATATTGGGTAGGAAAACATCGTCAGTTCTTTTTTTGTGTTTAATAGGTACCTGTAATATAAGTAGATATTGGTGTTAAGAACATGGTGAATAATTCTTGTTATAGCATCATAAAAAGTCACTGTTATTAATGAGACCAAGATCATTGATTCAGTCTGGGTTAGGCCATATAGTATGCCTTCTTGTCTGTATTTTGCCATTGTCCTAAAGGGAATTGGTCAAGAATGAATCCATCAGTGGAAAGCCATTTCCAGTTAAGGAAGAAAACACAGCTCATACTTCAAGTAATCTAAAAATTCCTTAATTTTTTATCATTTGTGTTAGTGCAGGGCTAATTTTTAGAAAATTAACTGTGTTCTTACATTTCAGCCATGTATAAATTCCTCTTCAATGAGTATTTATCTGACTTGTCTCATAGGCCTTGCTTAAGAAGTCAGACCTGAGATCTGAAGTTCCAGCTAACTGTGTACCTTCCCTGGCCTTGAGGTTTTTTGCTTGGGGTTCCCGTATTGTACATAGCCACTGGGCCAATGGGCCCACAAGACACTTCACTGTAGGGTTTATTTATTTGGTAGGGCAATGTTCATCAATTAGCTTTAGCCTATCACCCTTTTGAATCTCTCAAATATAATAAATCTTCACTAATGCACTTATCTGCTTAGCAGCCTTTTCAACAAGTCACGATCACCAACACCCCCATGGTATTGCAGCTTTCAGGGTGAAATGGAGATGAAGTGATTCTTGAAAGCCCTTGTGATCCCACACATACAAAGTGAACTTTGCTTCTTTTTGAAAAGGGCTTTTGCGGAAACATAGACATATAATACAATTTCACATTTTCAAGAAAGATGACTGCACAGAGATTGGTGAGTCAAGCAAATGGTGGACATTAGTAATGTGGCCCTCACTTGGTCAAGATGGTGTTTGGGTATCTTCCCAACCTGTCTTTCCCCCTTCTTAACTGCATGTTTAGAAATCTTGAAACTTTTGATCCTTATAACTAGACCATCAGCTGCGGAATTACACCATCGAATGACTTGGAATGGCATACTTTTCTCTGAAGGAATGATTAAATATTTTCCTCTTAATTTTTCATCAGGTAATGGGAAATAATTTTTTTTTTTTTTTTTGAGATGAAGTCTCACTCTTGTTGCCCAGGCTGGAGTGCAATGGCGCAATCTCAGCTCACTGCAACCTCTGCCTCCCAGGTTCAAGCGATTCTCCTTCCTCAGCCTCCCGAGTAGCTGGGATTACAGGCGCCCGCCACTATGCCCAGCTAATTTTTGTATTTTTCATAGAGACAGTGTTTCACCATGTTGGCCAGGCTGGTCTCAAACTTCTGGCCTCAGGTGATCTGCCTGCCTCGGCCTCCCAAAGTGCTGGGATTACAGGTGTGAGCCACCGTGCCCAGCCAGGAATTCCTAAATGTGTTGATTAGATATGTGAATCTCTAGAAGGGATTCTGAAAGAAAATGCAGCAAAGAGTAAAATACTTATTAAAGCAGTAGAGAGGAGGCAGTGGAAGAGGAAGTATATGTTGTTTTACATAAACTAAAAACTGAAACATTTTACGAGTTCTTCAAATACATGCTAATCTGCATCCCAGGAATTTTCTTGGAGGGTAGATTTCTCACGTGTTTTAAAATGACTTCCGAAACTTATTTCTGCTCTGTTGGGGAACTCAGATAAGGAGTCTGATGCTGCTAGTTAATTGTTGAAGATGATTGGGGGAAAAAAGAAATTCAGAGATGGAACACAGCAAGGTGTTGGTACTGATTCCACACCCATTTATTGACTTGTAATTTAGAAGGTGCTGTTATAGGATTATTTCAACATCAGAATTTTCTTATCCAGATTCAAGGCATCTACATAAGCTCCTGATATATAATTTTTCTAATGTAAGTCTGAAGTGACCCAAAAACCATGAAATCAAATTGTAAGGCTTTATTGTTTAATGCATGTAATCAATCTTATTATTACTTACAGTCTGTGGCCTTTGAATCCATCTTGTTATTTTACTGCCTTTGAGATTAGTCTTTAAAAAGCGTTGCTGGGAGTATCTGGATGATGTGGAAGCAGAAGTTGGGGAGTATTGAGCCTGGGATATAAGGTCTATAAAGTTAAAAATGTTAAATTATATCTCTGGTTGCAATGGATAAACCTAGATTATTTTGATTTTTTATTTTTTTGAGAGTGGGGGCCTCACTCTGTTGCCCAGGCTGGAGTGCAGTGGCACGATCGTAGCTCACTATAACCTCAAATTCCTGTATCTAGATTTAATTCATAAAATTTAGGGCTTAAAATTGGCATCTAACTCAGCTTATTTTTCAGCTTCATCAATTTTGAGCAAATGTGTCAAAACTTGGAGAGAGTTTTTTGCCCAATAGTCGCATGACCAAGTAAAAGTGAAGGAGGTGACAAGAGACTTGGACTGTGGTAGGTAGAAGCGGATAGACTGAGAGCTACTTAAATTAGTAGGAGTTGAGAATTAACCAGATTTGCAGGGTGACAAAGAATAGCTCCCAAATTTCTGGCTTAAGCAACTGGATATTTGGCACTACCATTTGCTGAAAGAGCATCTCCCCCACCCCAAAAGTAGGAAGGGAGAAGGATAGGAAGACGGGTTCCATTCCTGTTGAACTTGTGAGCCTGAGACACGTGAACGTAGACATTATTCACTGGACATATGGGTCACTGGATATAGGGGTCTACAGCTCAGAGGAGAGTTTTGAGCTGCAGATGTAGACTTAGCAAACAATGATTAAAGCTGTGGGAAATATGCAATTATTTGGAGACAATGTGAGGTGAGAGAAGAAGGGGCCAGAAAGATCCCTGAACAACTTCAGTGTTTAGAGGTTGGATACAGTAGGAGGAACTAGAAAAGGAGGAGATAGAAAAAGCAGCCAGAGGAAGAGGAAAACCACAAGGAGCAGTGCCAGGAGAATAATTAGGAGAAGGGTGTGGTCAGCTGTTTCAAATGCTGCTGAGACATGAAATCAGTGAGAACTCAGTGTCCTTTGGACTTGGAGACAGAAGTGAAGGTGATCTTGGCAAGAGCAACTGCAATGAAATGGTGGTAAGAAAAATCAGATTGCTGGTGGTGGTGCAGAGACCTATTCTTGGCCCCCAATTGCAAATCTCTCCTCTCTTCTTAGAAATAGACCTCACATTTTTTGTTCACGGCATCCTAGAATAAAAACTACATTTCACAGTCTCCTTTGTGTGGTCTTGGGGCTAAGTGCTGGCCAATGGAATGTACGCAGAAGTGTCACAAGTGACTTCCAGGAAGCATTCTTCAAGCTTCAAGGGAGGGGTGGGCCCTTTTTGTTGCCTTCCTCCTTCCTATTGGCCAGAAAGCGTAAGCATCATATTGGACCATGAGGTAGTGAGGAACATTTGGAAGCCACAAGTTGAGAATGGCAAAACCTGAGAGAAATTAAGTGAGGTGAATCACGAAAGTGAGTATAGGCAGCTCTTTTAAGAAGTCTGACTGGGAAGAGAAAGACCAGCAGCAGGGGAAGGAATATGTTGTCAAGGCAGTGGGGGCGGGGGGAGCTATTTTACAGTGGATTTTATGATCCTGGCACATACATGATCAATAAGTAATTGTTGGTTGCAAGATTAGAGGGATGCATGGATGGGAAATCCAAGTATGTAGAAAAGAAGCAGCTAGTTCAAGGCCCCTGAGAAGGTAGCAGCAGATGGGCCCTTTACATAGGGATTGCCCTGGGGAAGAAAAGGGACATCCTTTCCATGTTCACAGGAGGGAAGGAGAAGCAGCAGAGTACAGATGTAGGTAGGCTGGGAGACAGGGAGAAGATGGCATTCCTGTCTGAGGGTTTCTAATTTCTCTGTGAAGTGGGAGATGAAAGGATGAGGTGTTGGGGGGAGCGTATGAAGATCTGAGGAGACAAGGCAGATTTAAAACAGTTGCTGCAGAGAGGAGGAGACAGCGAGCTGACCCAACCCTCAGCTCCAGTGGAGAAGCAGGTAAGCTGGGCCTAAGCCAACCAGACATCTTAGTCTGTGGCTCCACTAATTTGTTCAAAATTGGCAACATGACCCAAGTCAGTCCAGGCAGAGCCCAATTCTTTTTGACTGTCCCATCTCCATACCCTGCTCCTGCCATGCTGAGCATGAACAGAGACGGAAGCTACGGAGGTGGCTGCCATCTTGCTTCCAAAGAGCCTTGCTTCCTTTCTGCTCCCAGCCTCCTCAGAGCCAGAGATGGAGAGAGTGAAAGCAGTCCTCATGAACTAGGTCAAACCTTGATGAAGCTACCTTTAGCCAGGCCTCCTCTCAACATTTTACAGTTTTATGAGCCAAGTGATTTCATTTTTTCTTAAGCATGTCTAAAATAATTGATTTAGAAAAAAATCTTCATTTCTCAGGAGTTGCAAAATCCTAGGGGAATCACGTTAATGGCAAGGAAAGAGAGCTCGCCCTTTGAGTGCACCTATGCTTCCAACATGGGAGGCAGGAATGCTGCCATGGCTGCTGCTGCAGAAGACCCCTGGGTCACTTTGAGACTCCAGTTGGGCAACAGCGGAGGAAGGAGGAGTGGGAATATGGCTGACTTTTACTGCTTAGCATTAACAGTATGGTGATAGCTGACTGTGCCCTCAAACCCCTCCTCTCCCTGCACAGGGAAACAGAAGAGGGCTGAGGCCCGGGAGTAACGTCTACCTCTACTTCCTGGGAAAGAAGTTTGCTTCCCACTCCTGCTCCCACCCCAATCCTGGGAATTAGGGTCTCCCCCACCTGCCTCGTGCCTCATTCTGGTTCTCCTTCACAATAGGCAGGTGTTGGAGGATGTGGATGGCAGTTCACTAGGACGCATTATCCCAGGAAGGGATTAGAAAGATGCTTGGCTAAGCTGCAGGCAGAGGTGAAAGGGAGAGAAGGAAAAAATCCCCTGGCACATGGAGAAGACAGTGTAAGGTACCGAACTGCATAGGGTCAGGTGCCAAAGTAGGGCCCTTGTGTGCTCTTGATGCCCTTTATGTTGGGGCTGGGGCAGCAGCAATAACCAGTAGCTGGGGCAGGGGACACCAGCTCCCAATGTCAGGTCCAGGCAGCAACCCAGAAGCAGGAAGGAGGGCCCTGTGAGCTTTACTGCCAAGTCCAGCTCTGCTCTTAGTAAACCCAAAGTAATTTCATCTGTGACTCTGTGCTCCTGAAAGGCTGTTTGCTCAGCTCATTCACGCTGGAAGGTAGCCAAAAGGAAACACAGATAAAGGGCTAAACACATGTATGCAAGTATAGTAACCAACACTTGCACAATTACTAAGTGCCACTATACTAAGGTGTCAAGACAGGAATTATTTCATTTAATCTCAGAGCAAGCCTTTGAGGTGAGTATTCCCATTTTACGGAGAGGCTAATTAAGGTCTGTCTAAGGTCATGTGGCTAGCAGTGACAGAGCCAGAGCCTGAATTCTGGCTGTTTCACTCCAAAGCCCATATACTCAACTATCAGGCTATGTACAGAACAGGAAAGAAGAGACATGGCCAATCATAACAACAGGCCAATCATGGTTAGTGATATTTGGTGATATTTCTAATAGATCTAGAAGAGAACTTAGAATGTATTTAGTCCTCATCTTATAGAGGAGGAAGCTGGTTTAGAGACATCCTGGGGTCTGGTCTCAGCTCCATGCTGCCTGCACTGCTCAGAGAGCTATTTTGATTATTTTCAAGGACACCCCAAACCCCCAAGCATTAAGATGTCTCAAAATCCAATGAACTGGTTCTGGGACCAGTTTTTTTTTTTTTTTTTTTGTGTGTGTGTGTGTGTGTGTGTGTGTGTGTGTGTGTGTGTGACAGAGTCTCGCTCTGTCATCAGGCTGGAGTGCAATGGCACCATCTCAGCTCACTGCAACCTCCAACTCCCAGGTTCAAGCAATTCTCCTGCCTCAGCCTCCTGAGTAGCTGGAATTACAGGTGTGTGTCACCACACCCAGCTAATTTTTGTATCTTTAGTAGAGACGGGGTTTCACCATATTGGCCAGGATAGTCCCAATCTCCTGACCTCGTGATCCGCCCACCTCGGCCTCCCAAAGTGCTGGGATTACAGGCGTGAGCCACCGTGTCCAGCCAAGACCAGTTTTTTATGACTGAAACCTTTTAGTGTTGGATGTCAGTACTCCAAGGTACTAAAGTAGGAAGTTTTGACTGTAAATCAGAATTAAGGTTTATCCGTTTATGTGTCATTCAACAAACATTGTGGAGGACCCACTCAATAACCACTGGATAGTTACTGATTCGGTCCCCCCTGAGTCTCTGAGACCCTCCTCAGTTCAGACCCCAGAGACTGGGAGGGTTTTCTAGCCAGAGCAGGGGTTATCCTTACCGCCTGACGAGCCCATGGGGACAGCTGACCGCTGGGCATCGTGAAGCTGACCCTGCAGCTCCTCTGCACGCTGGAGAGCATCCAGCTTCACACTGCGCTCCTGGGCAAGCCGGCTTCTCATCTGAGGGGAAAATGAGAAGCAGAGATTCTTTGTGCTCACTTTCATTTCCTCAGTTCACAGGGGGTTCCTAGGGAGAATGGGTGTCCCAGGCTACCCTGCAAAGAGAACTGGCTCTTAAAGTCCTGATTAGGCTGAACTCAGCCTTCT
Organism: Homo sapiens; assembly: GCF_000001405.40. Lineage (NCBI taxonomy): Eukaryota > Metazoa > Chordata > Mammalia > Primates > Hominidae > Homo > Homo sapiens. Next base: position 109,348,279 of record NC_000006.12, on the reverse strand, counting down.
GAGAATCAAGAACTTCAGGAAGACCAAGAACTTAACCAAAAAGGAACAGTCCGTGGAATCCCTTATACCTTATAATAGCTAGGAACTTATTCACAAGGTTATATCTTTCATGTTTATTTCATCAGATAAGTAGAGGAAGAGGGGAGGGAGGGCCCAGTGCACACAGGGCCTTGGAGGCCTAGCCACTGCATCTACAGTGAGGACCTGTCAGAGCCCCTGGACAGTTTCAAACAGAGGAAAGACTTATCTATCTCCTAAATCTCTGCTCTCAGCTCAGCATCTGCCGGGAATGCCCTGTTCTGACAAGCCCATCTCCAGAAGCAACCTTTGTATTGACTTATATGGCTCTCCCCGTGCACGGCTAGCCCACACTCCCCAGCCAGGCAGTGCCCAGGTCCAAAGTGTATCTCATCTGCACAGATGACAGGTGGTTTTGCTTTTTCAATTTATAATCTCCTAATTGTTTTTACTTGTAGAAAAGTAATATATACTATAGTGGTTTGAAGAGTACCCCCCAAATTTCATGTCTACCTGGAACCTCAGAATGTGACCTTATTTGGAAATAGGGTCTTCGTAGATGGACTTGTTAGGATGAGGTCATACTGGATTTAGGTGAGCCCTGAATCTAATGACTGTTGTCCTTACAAAGAAGATAGGATAAGGATACAGAAACTCAGAGGAGCACATAGGAAGAAGGCTCCATGATGACAGAGGCAGGATTGGAGTGAGGTAACTACAAGCCGAGGAATGCCAGAGACCAAAATGTGACTAAGAAGAGACATGGAACAGATTCTTCCTCAGAGCCTCCAAAAGGAACCAGCCTTGCCAGCACATTAGTTTCAGGCTTCTGGCCTCCCGAGCTGTGAAGGAATACGTTTTTATTCTATTAAGCCACCCAGTTTGTGATAATTTATTAAGGTAACTCTAGGAAATGAATACACGTGCTAATCTCAAGCATTCAGCCATGTGTATTGTACATCCCACTCCGCCTATACAGACCCAGCCAGAAGGCCCCTGCATAGTATTGCCCTAAATGTTAAAGTGGGCTCTTCCTTATGTCGGGGGGCCCCCAAGCATAGTTTAAATTTCAGAAGATTACCAGAGCTCCAGAGTTAGGAAAACTTCCTAATATAAAGTAGGTCCAAAGCCCCTCTCCATACTGTAGGGATTTGTGTAGGATCCTCATTCCCTACGGGCTGGTGCCAAGGAAACATATCAAGATTTCCTGAGCCAGGCTGGCACTAGGAAACCTAAGAAACACCAGCAAGGAAGCGTGCTTCCTCAGGACCTCCTTGTGTTAGGTCACTCACCCCAATGTCACAGAGGCTGGTGAAGTGACTTGCCCAAGGCCACACAGCCAGGATTTGAGTCCAGGTCTACCTACCTGTTTCCAAGGCTGTCTACCTTCACATTCCCAACAAAAATATAAACAGCCAACATTTACTGAGAGCTATGTATCACACCGTGATTTTGCTGTTGTTTGTTTTGAGACAAAGTCTCTGTCATGCAGGCTGGAGTGCATTGGCACAATCTTGGCTCACTGCAACCAGGTTCAAGTGGTCCTCCCACCTCAGCCCTCTGAGTAGCTGGGACCACAGATGCACACCACCATCCCTGGCTAATTTTTGTATTTTTTGTAGAAACAGGGTTTCACCATGTTGCCCAAGCAATCCTCCCACCTTGGCCTCCCAAAGTGCTGGCATTATAGGAGTGAGCCACCGTGCCTGGCCTGTTTATTTTTGTTAATTTTTTACTTTTTATTTTTTAATTTTATTTTTTAGAGACAGGGTCTTACTCTTTCACCCAGGCTGGAGTATAGTGGCATAATCTTAGTTTACTGCAGGCTTGAACTCCTGGGCTCAAGCGATCCTCCTGCCTCAGCCTCCCAAGTAGCTGGGACTACAGGCATGCCTGTTTTAGGCCTGGTTTTAAGGGCTTTATTTAAATTACCTAATTCCCTAATTTAATCATCCCCCAAATTCAGTGAAGTGAGTACATTGTTTCCATTGTAATGATGAAGAAATCAAAGCATAGAGAAGCCACAGACCTTGCCCAAAGCCACACCGCTGGAGGGCCAGCGGTATGAACCACTCAGTTCCACTCCAGGGCCTGTGCTCTAAATCACTGGTCCCCAACCTTTTTGGCACCAGGTACCGGTTTCATGGAAGACAGTTTTTCCACCGGGTGGGGACAAATGGTTTCAGGATGAAGCTGTTCTACCTCAGATCATCAGGCACTAGCTAGATTCTCATAAGGAGCAGGCAACCTAGATCCCTCACATGTGCAGTTCACAATAGGGTTTGTGCTCCTATGAGAATCAAAGGCCTCCGTTGGTCTGACAAGAGGCGGAGCTCAGGCAGTTATGCTGCCAACTGCTCATCTTCTGCTGTGCAGCCCAGTTTCACAGGCTATGGACCCCTGCCGGTCCACAGCCTGGGGGTTGGAAACCCCTACTATAAGTGACCTCAACCAGGCGCAGGCAGCAGGTTAGGACACTGAGGCTCTCCGAGGTCAGACAGTGAATTATCTGCCCATGGAGTCAGAGGCCGGAGATAGATTAAAGAAGCCACTTCTGGCTGGAAGGGGCCGGGGGGTGAGGGTGGGGGGCTCGGGTCTTGCTGGCTGAGGATTGCTGTTTAGAGTAGGTAGGCGCAGGGACACTTGAGCTGTCAGGAGAGCTGGAGGTGTACTCTACAAAGGGCCAATGGCTTATACGTACATATGGTAAAGTGCACATTTGTTGAGAGAAACCTCAAAATATTTGTTTTGACCACCTCTAGAATATCTGCCATGAAACAAATAATTAACTAGAGAAAACCTTGAAGAAATGAATCTACGAACTTCCCTGTTTTTGTGGTGGCTTTTAGAAAAGCATGATTTGTAACACAAAATTGGGATGCCAAAGTTTTCTTATAGGTTGAGTCATATTTTTGTTTACTTTTCAGGCAATAAATATGAAATTCTAATTTTTATTCTAAAGCTACTCATTTTCTCCCCCCATTTCTATATATTTTCTTTAACTCAATTCAAATTTTAATCTTTTTTTGTCATTTTTGTAGATAGAATTCTCCTTATTGATCTCTTCCTTGAGCACTTAATTGACCAGGGGCCGGGTGCGGTGGCTCACGCCTGTAATCCCAGCACTTTGGGAGGCCAAGGCAGGCGGATCACCTGAGATCAGGAGTTCGAGACCAGCCTGGCCAACGTGGTAAAACCCCGTCTCTACTAAAAATACAAAAATTAGCTGGGCATAGTGGCTCATGCCTGTAGCCCCAGCTACAAAGGAGGCTGAGGTGGGAGAATCACTTGAATCTGGGAGGTGGAGGTTGCAGTGAGCCAAGATTACGCCACTGCACTCCAGTCTGGGTGACAGAGTGAGACTCTGTCTCAAAAAAAGAAAAAAAAAAAAGAAACACTTGACCAATAATTTGTCTTTCAATTTCCATCTCCTTCTATCTCTGATGAATGAGTTCAGTGATTTGCTCATTCAATGGATATGTGTGAGGTGCCTGCTTTGGAAATTACTTTTTCCTTTTTTATTGAATTACATTGTTTTCTGCTTTGTTGAAACTTGTATTAATCCACATCTACATTCTAGTATTATTCTCTTCTATTTCTTTGTTGTTAGGTGTAGTTAACAAAATACATTGGATCTGCAAACCACTTTTGCCTTTCATTTTTGTCTCTGCAGTTCCTGAAACACTTGAATAAAATCTTCTTGTCATAGCCTCCATTAACACTTGCTGCTTTTCCAGGTTACTGCTTGGAATTTTCTAAAAGATTCCTAGTTCAAAGATGAGAGCTGGGTAGAAACAGGTTTTTCCAGTAGGTTACAGGGGTGCTGAGATTCTGAGCCCTGAGGCAGCCAAGCCACCATGGCCTGCCCAGCAATCCCTGTGGTGTGGGGAGACACTGTGGGGAGAGTTGCTACCATTCTCCTGGGCTGCCTATAAGTGACAGAGGTTGAGAAATACTGTTGTGGGGGACAGGAGAGAGGCATGGGCACGCAGGGGAAGGATGCAGCAGCCCTCGCTGGGGCACCAGGTGCACTCTGGTTGGACACTCCCTCTTACTGAGGTTTACCTGGTGGAGGTCCCTCTTCATTTTTTTCTGCTGCAGTTGGCCCAGCTTAGAAGCCCTCTCAGCCTCTTTGCTAAGGAGCTGCAGTTGCTGTTCTTTTTGCCCCACATCTTCCAAGAGCTTCTCCATCCTGGATGTTTTCATAAAATGCAGCTGCTGCTGGGTGAGAGCTTCCTGGGTCACTCTATGTTCTAACTCCTTCAGCAGTTGAGCCTGTGGCAGGAAAACGCCAAAAGAAAGGAGAAGGCAGGGAGCCTTTCTTCCCAGCAGAAGGGGGGAAGAGGTTGGAAAGCATAATAACCATCCCCTCCTTTGGGGCTCAGGGACACAACTACATGGTGTATTCCTGGGCTCTAGAAAATGCGGCCCAATGATTCTGTCCTGTGCTAGCCAGAGCACCAGGATCTAGCCTAGCCTGGCGTTTACACTGTGAGCCCTGCAGTGACAGTCAGAGGGAAGCAGAACAGACACCAAAAGCCAGGCATGCGATCACGCCACTGTACAGCAGTGCCAGGGCAAATAATTTGGTCTTTTAATACCCAGATTTGATAATATGTATGTTAGCTTACTAACCAGATAATCATATCTAGCACAAACAACATTTACATTGTCGTGGAGCCTTTGTCAGGAGGTAGCCGTGGAAGCGTTTAACACCAAGGAGATGGGGCCATGCCATACACACAATGGGCGAAGAAAGGAGGTTCTGATTTAGGCTCTGTTTTCCCTTCCAAAAATCTGGGGAAGTCAGACTCTAGATAGTTAAAGAAGGATAAGGGTAGAAATAATTTCGTTCTGTTCCAAAGTTTTTCTAATAAGTATTATCCTAAGTACTAGATGGTCAATACTTAATTATTATTCATATCTGTATGATGACTTTACAGTTTATAATGTACTTTACATAGTTAACTCATCTGATGCAGAATCATGGAGGAATTAGGGTCCAAGATGAACAAATTAAATTTCATGCTTTAAATACGCCTAGCTTTCCCAGGCTGTTACTTTAACTCAGCTGTTCTCACTCTAAACCTAGAGTCCCCCTGCTTCATTCATGCCCAGAGGGTTGGCACAGTAAGGAAATGCTTAGGCTTAGAATGCCTTTATTTTGGTGCCGGCCCCTATCGCGCAGCAGTAACTTCTGAAAGTGAGACACAGTATGGATCACTGGGAAAGGATACAGTCTCGCATGGGGGATAATACTACAAGGCTGGACCACACTCTACTTGCCAAGGATTGTTGTCAACTGGAAGCGTGCTTGCCCCATGAAAGCCTGTGTTCAAGGCAGAGGCCTAGATCCCAGGATCCCAGGACAGCCTCTAGCAAAAAGATCCTCAGAGAAATGGACACACACACACACACACACACACACGTATGTGATAATGATCTTGCTTAGGAGTAATATTTTCTCAGCCACATGAGTAAGAACAATAGCCTTTTGGCCACCGCCCTTGGTTTCTGGGCTGGAGAGGAGGGAGGAGAAGGGAAGCCCAAGTCCAGGCTATCTTTTCCTGGCTGTGCCATCTGTGTGGCTTCAGGCTGTGGTGCTCTGGTGACTGCTCCTGACAGCCACAGCACCAAGTGTGGTGGCCACGTTCAGCTTTGCAGAGTTAACTGCAAAGGGAATGAGGAAGAGGCTCTGAGGTTCAGATACCTGGCTGTCCTGCTGCTTCCACATCCTCGCGCTGTCAGCCTGTGCCCTGGCCAGGGCCTGCCTGAGAGCCAGGACCTGCTGACGAAATAAACCCACTTCTCGCTCTGCCATCAGCTTGATGCGCAAATACTCTTTTTTACTTTGAATAGATTCCTGTAAATATCCCAAACACAGTAAGATAGGAAATAGGTTTCCTTTCCAGATGTTTAGTTTCAAAAGCAGTATCTAAACCACTTTCCCATCCATTCTTCTTTCAAACTTCCGGTAGAAGGGAGCTCCTGCTAGTCACTGCTTCCATGATTTTATTTTATTTTATTATTTATTTATTTAGAGATGGAGTCTTTCTCTGTCAACCCAGCCTGGAGTACAGTGGTACAATCTTGGCTCACTGCAACCTCTACCTCCCAGGTTCAAGCAATTCTCCTGCCTCAGCCTCCTGAGTAGCTGAGACTACAGGTGCCCACCACCACACCCGGCTAATTTTTTTGTATTTTTAGTAGAGATTGGGCTTCATCATGTTGGCCAGGCTGCTCTCAAACTCCTGACCTCAGGTGATCTGCCCACCTTGGTCTCTCAAAGTGCTGGGATTACAGGCATGAGCCACCATGTCCAGCCTGCTTCCATGATTTTAATTCAGAAGAGGGTAACATATGAGAGTAAATACTTTCAGAAACAGGATGTGAAAGTTTCCAAATAGCTATCAATATGAGCTTTGGACTCAATTTACCTTAAAGCAGATTTCTCACTTATTATTTTGTGACTTCATTTTCCTCAGATACTCATGTATGAAACCCAAAGATATGCGGTATTTTGACAAAGCAGCCTCAAGGCCTTGGTGAAGCCTTTCCTCCATCTTTTCACTTCCTTCCCTTATGCTGAATTCTCTGATCTGTTTTTTGTTGCCCCCTTTGCTTCTGCCCCCTTTCTGTTTCTCCTGAAGTTCTCACATGGCCTGTTCCCAGGAAAAATCGCCAACCGTCGGGTCCTTCAGGATGGTTGGCCCTACCACCTGACACCAGTGCCACTCACAGCTACAGTGACACCATGGCAGCTGCAGCCATGGAGGCTTGGGATCAGCCATCCTGGGGACTGTCTGGGTCTCCCCCACCAGAGCTCACCTTCTCTGTCCTGCTCAGCTGGGCCTGGAAGCACGCCTGCTGCACAGCCAGCCTCCAGCGGCCCAGGCTCCTCACTTTGCACACCAGGTTGGCCAGGCTGCAGTTGTCCTGCTCCAAGGCCCACAGCTGTTCCTGCTAAGAAGGCTCATTTTCAGGAAAGGCTGCCCCCAACATTTTCATAGGAAGGGCACAAACCCTAACATCAGAAACATGCCTTCCAGAAGATGACACAATTGTGCAGTGCGTCCCTGTGCCCCCTTTAAAATGCCTGATGCAATGCTTTCTCAGGGAAATCAGGCTGGAATGCTAACAGGGTGAATGGTAGAGTCAGATGCTAGGATGAAACGCTGATATCCCATTGCTAAATGAAATCACATACTTTGGCTGGGTTTTCTTTCATTCCTTCATCGGGGCTGGCAGAGCACCATTTTTTCTTTAGGTCCTTCATATTGTCAATCCCTTCTGTTCTCACTTCACCGATGAGCTCACACACTTTCTGGATCAAATTAAGCTGATTATCATCCAGCTTCTCCTGCAAATTGCAGAATCAAGTCAAGGAAGTAAAATGGATTTGGGTAGTGTGAAGGGTAGTTGAAGAAAAGCCATTTTGCCTTCTACAACTTAACTTTTGTAAGTAATTTCACATTAAGATATCACCTCCTCAGACAATTATTCTGACATGTACTATAAGGAAGTCACACTTAGCAGCCCCCTGAGTGCTGTCTTTTATTCACAGGGCTTCATCTTCTGGACACCAGCACATCTTAGATTGTGCCTTCCTTGTCAACACCAAGGCAAGCTGAGCCAGGAGGATAGTGGAAGGTCACACAGGTAGAAAACCTGCTGACCAAACTGCCCCTGGTAAGAGTTACTTGGGAAGCTGAACCAAAGATTTTTGCTGCTATGTTGACTCACAGTAGAATGTGAGCAGACAAGACACTGTAGATGAGCCACTCCTGAGGAGCTCTGTTAAATATAGATAAAGTGGAGGAGGGAGTCAGGCTGGCTGCCTTCCTATTTAGGATCTAGCAGAAACCCCATTAGGAAATATTCCGTTCTGAATGGCTTCTGGCTAAATGGCTTGTGAGGAAACAGCCTGATCAATGGTAAGTACGACTGAAGACCCAGTGCTATGGACTGAATTGTGTCTTCCTCAGATTCATATGTTGAAACCCTAACCAGCAATGTGACAGTATCTAGAGATAGGATCTTTAGGAGGTAATTAAGATTAAAATGAGGATATAAGGGTGAGGCTCTATTGCAATAGACTGTGGCCTTATAGGAAGAGGGAGAGAGAGAGACCTTTCTTTTTCTCCCTCTCTCCCATGTGAGGACAGTGAGAAGGCAGCCACCTGCAAGCCAGGAAGCATGCCCTCAGCCAGAAGCAGACCACACTGGCACCCTGATCTCAGACTTCTGGCTTCCAGAACTGTGAGAAATATACTTTCTGTTGTTTAAGCTGTGCAGCCTATCATATTTTGTTATGGCAGCCTGAGCAGACTAAGACACCCAGTGTCTCTGGGGTGAGAGGTAGGGTAGGGGTGTCCTCTCACTTCTAAACCACTTCCCTGGAGAGGAAGGCAGGAGGAGGGTGCCCAGCTGGGAGCCACGGAGGGAAGCCTGGCTCTGGCCACACAACACAAGCTTTAGCAACTTCGTGGGACCCTGGAATATAACAGGGATTCCCTACTGTAGGAGGCTTGGTGGAACTACTTCAGCCTGGGAAACAGAGAGAATCTACTTTTTAACTGGGAATCTGGCAGAAGCTAAAAGGAACTTAAGACATTTCTCAACAATCTCACACCTGAAAGATGGCTTAGCAAATTCCAGCTGTCACTGTCTGCCCATCCTTCTCCTGCAGCACCAGACCTAATACATTTTGGGTTCGATCCCTTAATATGTGTAAGCATTTACACTGCAAGTAAGAGGAAATTCTCGCTGGAATGACCAGGCCAAGGTGAGTACTGGTGGAAGCTCCTGTTAACCTAACAACCCTCAGGGCCATTCTGCAATCCCTGGGGAGAGACTCAAGGACCCAAACGGGGCTGGCTTTGGGGTGTATCCAATAGCAGGGAAGGGGACAGGGTTGGGGGAAGCTGTGGACTTGCAGGTGGTAGGTTGCACTGAAATTCACACTGGTGAGTCAGCTGGACCAGTCTCCCTGATGGCCCATTTTAGGCTTGGGGCATCTATCTTATGGCTGTGCAAACATCACATGAAAGCGATTGGCTTCCACAGTGCTGCGGGTGCATGCGTACCCCATCACTTCTGCAATGGGTCTTTGCTGACAGGTCAGCAGTTTGCTGACATTGAATGTGAGAGTGAGGCTGGCAGGCATTTTGAGGGTTGGAAAAAAATGTGGAAGCTGATTCAAATTCTGAATGTGTCCAGGGAGTTCTCCAGAGGCACCTGCTGCTACCTACGTAAGGTCCGGCCTGGCCCAGGCACTGTAGTCTGGAAAGTCACACTAACAGATAAAATGGTGATAGAAACTGGGGAGGTGAGGGACTGTGGGGAGCAGAACACTCTGTCCTCCCAACAGCAATCAGACAGTGACAATAGCAACTGTCAATAGAGGGTAAAAGATAGACTTCTATATTATCCCCAAATTCAGTGTCTATCGTGGTTAATGACAACCCATTGCTGACTCTCTTTCTGCAGTGAAAGCTTAGAGCTAGAAAATTCTTGGGCCTAACAATCTCTTGTTACTACAAAGCCCATTATTCTGTCATCGATCCCTGGGTGTGCAGCCACCATGGGAATCCGTTACACTCGGCTACCCAATGGGTGGCCCAGATGTTCAACACGGGACACTTACTTTTATGTGTAAACAGGTCTCAAACAAAGCTCGGACTAATGCTTCATATTCTTCTTGGACTTCTTTTCTAATCTGCTTCTTGAGATTCAGATTCACTTCTTCCAAGTCTGTGAGTTGGGCTCTCAGAGTGGTGATTTCCATGATCATATCATGACTGAGCTCTGCAATCTAGAAGCATGAGAAAATGTGTGTGTGTGTGTGTGTGTGTGTGTGTGTGTGTGTGTGTGTGAGAAAAACAATTTAGGAGTTTCAAACTGCTACTACAAAATAGTTTCTTATAGATCAGTATTGAATTTCACTTCTATTTTAAACCTAATGAAGAGAGTGAACATTCTGCTAAATAAATGTGGGCAGAAGAATTTAAGGACAATTCAAAGGTCCCAGAACAGTGCCAGACACTGACTGGTGAATAAGTGACCCCAGAAAAGCCACTACATAGGCCCTTTTCAGTTAGAGAAAAATACTTCAACTGTCTTGGCCTCCATTTCCAAACTGGCCTCCCCTTGACACCTCAGCCCAAACATCCCTTTTCTTTTTTGGAATGCATTTTATTTTATTTATTTATTTAGTCTGAGACAGAGTTTTGCCCTTGTTGCCCAGGCTGGAGCGATCTTGGCTCACCGCAACCTCCACCTCCCGGGTTCAGGCAATGCTCCTGCCTCAGCCTCCCGAGTACCTGGGATTACAGGCATGCTCCACCACACTTGGCTAATTTTGTATTTTTAGTAGAGACGGGGTTTCTCCATGTTGGTCAGGTTGGTCTGGAACTTCCGACCTCAGGTGATCCACCCACCTCAGCCTCCCAAAGTGCTGGGATTACAGGCGTGAGCCACCGCGTCTGGCCTGGAATGCACCTTAACTGGCATCAAAAGAAAACAAGAAACAACAACAAAACTCCCCAAAGTAACAACAAAAACAGAACAAAACAAAACCAGTACAAAATAACAAAAGCGACCAAAAAACTCAAGAAAAAAAAATGCACCCTAAGGAGGGTTGCTCACCAAAAGTGAAAGCACACTCCTTGGTGTTCCTGCAGTGGACCTTCACTGACGGGACTTCTACAGGTGACACAAGCAAATGACTCTAAGGCATCCCATAGCTGGCTAGCCCTGAGAGTGTGGATGTGAGAAATGGAGAAGAGAACCTTTTAATAGGAAATGACCTACCTGGCCAGCACTGTCTTCAGGTGGACCCTGGCCTCTTTGTGTAGCATCTAATTCCTGGGCAGGAGAAAGCAGTACACAACCAAACTCTAACATTTAGTCTTCCAACCATGGCTCAGGTCAGTACAACACATTCCAAACACCTCCTATTTGTGTTAATGGAGCCCCATTTTGAGAACCTTAGGCTGTGCCTGGAGCTGAGACTGTGTGAGTTGCCCCACTGGACTTCAGGATGCCTAACACAGCCTCAAAAGACAACATTGACTTCCAGGTACCCACACTGATGCCAAGAACTGAGTAATGGGGATAGCCCAAAATAGGGGTGGCTCCAAGGCTCGTTGTTCATCATTTCAATGCTTCATTTGGTGTTTTGGCTAGTGGTTTAGACTTTTGAACTTTTCTAAGGTATAAACTAAAATCACACTAAATCTCTGATGCAATCTACCTTCACAATAGTGGGCAGCCCAGGGCAGGAGGACTGACTCTTCCATCCCACCAGCAGGCTCATATTTTAAGGAAGTCTCCCAGTGAGACTGACCCATGACATGCATCCTGAAGAGAGAGTTTACTCAAGGATCCTGGCTTCTTTCCCAGACCAGGAACAGCGCACGGTGCCTTGTGTTTGCTGAGGGTGGAAAGGACAGCTATGTACCTTCCCCTGCAGGGCCAGCCCCTTTGTTGCTCACCTTTCGTATTCTCCACTGGACACTTCCCAAGCACATAACCTAGTGTGCAACTGAGAATACCAGAGCCCAGGAGAATGATTGAGCCAATGAGTAGAGAGATTTGAGGGTACCATTCACCCTCAGTTCTGGCATAAGAACCACTGTATGTATCCCAACCCCCTCAGTTTTACTTTTCTCTTCTGAGTGCCTCCTGAGCCTCCCTGCCCATGCCCATTCCCCACTGCAGTTCTTCTCTCTCTGGGAACCTACTTGCTCTTTCTGGCTGAGCCTCTGCCTAGCATGATGCAACACATGCTCATAGCACATGGAGTAGGTCTCAAAGTTGCTGCATTCTCTTGCCATCACATCACAACCCAGGGAAAGGAGGCAGGCCTCAAGGTGATCTTTCCTGAAAGTGATCTGAAAGGAAAGAGGCATTCATTATTCACAGCCACTCCAGCAGTGCAGCCTCATCATGCCAGGGCCCCAGGCACTCTTTGCCTTGGCTCACAGACCCACTTTTGTTTCTCCTCTATATCCAACCATGGGCTCTAGCCTTGCAAGCCTCTCTTTCAAGTCAGCTTTGAACATTTGTAAGGACACGAGGACAATGGAAGCCCACATAGCGCATGTCAAAACATTGAAAGGTTATAAATCAAACTAACAAAATATCAGAATGAAATGTTTAATTCTCCTACCTTGAAAAACAGACCTGAAAAATGACCTGGAAAGCCAGATTTGAATTTATTATTCCTGGACTACTCTGAGTTTTTTTGTTTTTTTTGGTTTTTTTAGACGGGGTCTCACTCTGTCGCCCAGGCTGGAGTGCAGTGGTGTGATCTCAGCTCACTGCAGCCTTCACCTCCCAAGTTCAAGCAATTCTTCCACCTCAGCCACCCAAATAGCTGGGATTACAAGGGTGCACCACCACACCCGGCTAATTTTTGTATTTTTAGTAGAGATGGGGTTTCACCATGTTGGCCGGGCTGGTCTCAAACTTCTGATCTCAGGTGATCCAGCTGCCTCGGCCTCCCAAAGTGCTGGGATTACAGGTGTGAGAGTCACCCGGCCGACTACTCTCAGTTCTATGCTGTAGTGTGGTGACCTGGGGAAGGCTGGTCCCCAACCTGTAGTTTACAGTGTGACCCCCTTCTCTTCCCAGCTCTGGCCTCATGTCATGCTGTGAGGTCTTCACATGCCTGTGAGTGGACATCCTAGCCTGCATGTCCAAACTCCATCCACACGCCCAGTCGCCTCTTGGCCACTTCCAGGCCAGGGGTGTGCACACTAGTGATGAGGTCCACTCTCACTCGGGGGAAGGTGATCCAGGGAGGAGGCCCATTCAGGCCAGGGACTCAGGGAATTCCAGGTCCCAGGTACTTGGAGCATGGTCTAAAATGAAGGCCAGGGCTCTGAGTGGATATGTCCCTGTGGCCCAGGGGATTTCTTACCTTGTGGGGAAGGTCATGGCTGGAGAAAGGCCAGAGAGGGGCCCTCTGGTATATGGGGTATCTGGCAGGGGCTTCTCTTGCTCTGGTCTAAGGGCCACACAGCTCATTCTCTAGGCAATTCCACTCATTCCCTTTCTCCAGGAGATTGAGCATACTTTTTGAATAGGTGGCAATTAAGGAACAGCCCAACCTTCCAAGGCAGGCTTAGATTTAGGTTCTGGAGAGAAATGGGAGCCAATATTTGGAAGGTAGGACAGACCTACCTAACTAGGACCTGCATATCTATGCGAGTGTGTTTGTCCCTCTGTGCATCAATGAGTGTGTGTGTGTGTGTGTGTGTGTGTGTATCTATCTGCAGGGATGGGGGGTGAGAAAGTTTATGGGGCCAAGTCTAAGACCCAGCCTACACTGTAACGTGAGTTTTATCTGTGACACTTCTGGGGTCAGGCCGGCTCCTGCTCCCTGGCCATCTACCATTGAAGCCAGCCTGTCCTTTGAGCCTAGGGGATCCTCCTGGCTCTGATTTGCTTGTCCTGGAAGGCCCAGGGCACTGTCCTATCATTGCAACCCCAGTGCTCCACTGACCTCCAGTGAAAGCCTACCATGGGCTTGGCCAAGGTAAGTTATTGAGGCAAACTAGCAGAGATGGCAAATAGCAGTAAGACGAGCCCTGATGGAGGAGAGTAAGGACAGTGGCTCACTCGCTGCAGCTGGGGAGAGGAGACAGAATCTATTTTGGAGGCAAGCTGACAGAATATATGACAAGATTTTACATGCTTGTGACTTTTGACTTAGTAGCTCCTCTTCTAGGAATTTAGGGAATAAAAGTTATCCACAAAAACATACGTAAACAGATGTTTATGTATGTTTTTATATTTTTACATATTTTACATATGTCTTTATATTTTTTCCAATAGAAAAGAAAAATGGAAACGACCTAAAATGCCTAACAATGGAAATGAGTTGAATCCATCTGGCTCATAGACATGACGAAATACTGAATGGCCACCATAAATGGACATATGTTTATTGATGAGGAAAGATCTTTATAACATATTGTCAAGTGAACAAAAAAGCATGCTATAAAAAAAGGTCATGCAGAATAATCTTATTTTGTAAAAAAAAAAAAAGTGTGTATTAGTCCATTTTCACACTGCTGAAAAAGACATACCTGAGAATGGGCAATTTACAAAAGAAAGAGGTTTAATGGACTTATAGTTCAACATGGCTGGGGAGGCCTCACAATCATGGTGAAAGGCAAGGAGGAGCAAGTCACGTCTTACACAGATGGCAGCAAAGAAAGAGAGCTTTTGCAGGGAAACTCCTGTTTTTAAAACCATCAAATCTTGTGAGCCTCATTCACTATGGTAAGAACAGTGCAGTAAATACCCACCCCCATGATTCAATCACCTCCCACTGGGTTCCTCCCACAACATGTGGGAATTGTGGGAGTTACAATTCAAGGTGAGGTTTGGGTGGGGACACAGCCAACCTATATCAAAGTGCATGAGTAGAAAAGTGTTATAAATAAAGTTTGGAAGAAAATATGTCAAAATAATAATAGTGGAGGCTAGGTGCTGTGGCTCACATCTGTAATCCCAGCACTTTGGGAGGCCAAGGAGGGATTGCTTGAGGCCAGGAGTTTGAGATCAGCCTGGCCAACAAAGTGAGACCCCATCTTTACAAAAAAGAAATACAAAAACTAGCTGGGCATGGTGGTGTGTGCCTGTAGTCCTAGCTTCAGGAGGCTGAGGTTGGAGGAGCACTTGAGCCCAGGAGTTTGAAGCTGCAGTGAGGTATGATCAGGCCACTGCACTCCAGCCTGGGTGACCTGTCTCTTAAAAAAAAAAAATAATAATAATAATAATAATGGTTATCAATGAGCACTAAGATTATGAGTATATTTTCTACTACAATATAATCATAAAATGTATATAACTAAAATAATTATGTAAATATATGTAAAAATAAAATGCATATAGTAATCTAAAGATAGTTGAGCTTTTTAAAAAGTCATCAACTATATCAGCTTGGCAGGATATGATCAAGATACGGGCAATAAAGCAGCAGATGGAAACCTCTGCTCACGCTGCATTTAATGAGCAGTGGATGGGGCAGTGAGGGGCAGGAACTCAGTGTCTCCCACTCACACTCTAGGGCCCTCCTCAAGGGGCTGCATTAGTGGGTGGGGTGAGGGCAGGATGACCTGCCCGTTACCCTTCTTGCCCCACCCAGTCTCTGGAGAGCAAGCACCAGGACAGCCATGGTTTAGTTGCTGACACAAGGCAAAGAGAACTCAAGATTCTACCCCTGGACCTTGACCTCCTGGTGAAAGGGCAAGGCTACACGGGTTTGGTCATGACAAAGGAAGCACTTCCTGGTTTGACTGTAATGAAAGCCTGCAGCCATGAGAAGTCACAAGACCCTACTGGAGTTCAGCAAGGTGTGGCCAGTGACCTCTTCTGGGCCTAGTGCTCTGAGCCAGCCACAGCAACTCAGTCTTTACTATCCTGGGTATGAGTGCCCAGACATGGGTGTGCCAACAGGGCATCCAACAGCTCTTATGCAGGGCAAACACTTCTCATAGTAATGCCACCATAGCCTCTGCAGATATAGGATCCCAAACCCACAGAAACGCACAACTGGACCACAGTGGCCCTCTGCCATGCCCTCTGAGCCAACATGATGTTTTACCTGGCCAGCAGGAGGAGTCTGTGGTGAGTCTGTATAACACCAAAGAGGTGGGAAAGGTAGGACTCTCCTTGAGCATCTCCAGAGGCCATAGAAGTTCTATTGCTTCCTTCTCTCAGAGCTCTACTGAGGCCTCAAGAGGTTGAGCTGAAAGCACAGCTCAAGGGGAGAGAGGCTGGAAGCAGGGAGAGGGAGAAGGGTGCAGGCAGAGTACCTGCAGGGGACATGGGACAGGGAGCATGTCTGAGGAGGGGCAGACAGGAAGCAGTGAGTGGCCAGTGAGGGAGGGGTGCAGGGAGGCTCTCAGGCTCCCAGCAGCCCCTCTCTCCAGGTAAGCTTTGGTCTTGCACCCTGTGCACTTGGCCTCCTGGAAGCAGCACATGAAGCAGCCGGTGTGGCTTCCGTGGGCTCAGCCTTCTCTGGGCTCTCGGAGCAATTTATTTCCTAAAACTTGCTCTGCAACCTACCCCTGCCTCCCTGGGTCACTGTAAATGTCACCTGTGCTTGTGTCAAAATGCAGCGTGAGTGGGTACCATTGGCCAGTTTCTTCTCCAAGACCCTGGCTGGCATAAGAGCTGCAGACTAAGATTATTGGCCCAGTTCTGCCCAATAAGCAGCACCGCCTTCCACTGGGCTGTTCTGTCACCATCATTCAAACCTGAACCATGATGGATGGCACTGGGTGGAAGAGCAGCAGATTACCCCAGGGATTCTTCAAGAGAACCAGCCTGGGGTGAAGCATGGCAAGCACTGGGCCTTGTTATGGCCAAAGTCTAGCCCTGAGGCCTGCCAGCAGCAATTGAGTTTCTGTGGTTTGCTTCATCTTGGAATCCCTTGTAACAATTTGTTTAATATCAGGCACACACGAGGTATCTTGAGGATGTTTCTAAAACACCCACCTCTGCTGACAAAACACATCAGTGGGCTGGGGGCAGTGGCTCACACCTGTAATCCCAGCACTCTGGGAAGCCGAGGCAGGCAGATCACTGGAGGTCAGGAGCTCAAGACCAGCCTGGGCAACATGGTGAAACGCTGCCTCTACTAAAAATACAAAAATTAGCCAGGTGTGGTGGCATGTGCCTGTAATCCTAGCTACTTGGGAGGCTGAAGCAGGAGCATCACTTGAACACAGGAGGTAGAGGTTGCAGTGAGCCAAGATTGCACCATATCCATGATGGAGACAGGGGGTGGCTGGAAGAGTAAGTTCCCTGTTACTGCAGATGATCCAGAAAAGGCTAGAAGCCTACCAGGCACAGACTTTGGAGAGGCTGGGGCATCCTGAGGACCCTGACTTCAAGACACTGGCAGGCTGACACCAGCCTCTTCAAGTGTGCCCAGAGTGTGGGGTGTACCTGATATGGGTTTGCTCTGCCTACTGACATTCATGCTTCTTTCCCACAAGACCTCAATGTTGGGGTGAAGCATACAGATAAGAAATGAGAAGGACTTCAGTCACTAAACTGTTGTTTTTATTGTGTTAAACATAAAATTTGTCACTATACCATTTTCAAAGGTACAGTTCAATGGCATTAAGTATATTCACATTGCTGGGCAACTATCACCACCATCCACTGCCAGAACTCTTCATTTTGTAAAACAAAAATCCTGTACCCGATAAACAGTAATTACCTATTCTTTCCTCTCAGCCCCTGGCAACCACCATCCTTTCTGTCTCTCTGAATTTGGCTACTCTAGGTACCTCATATAAGTGGAGTCATAGCGTTTTTGTGCTTTTGTGACTGGCGTATTTCACTTAGCAATAATGTCTGCAAGGTTCATCCACATTGTAGCATGTATCAGAATTTCCTTTTTTTTTTTTTTTTTGAGATGGAGTCTCACCCTGTCGCCCAGGCTGGAGTGCCATGGCACAATCTCGGCTCACTGCAACTTCCACCTCCCAGGTTGAAGCGATTTTCCCGCCTCAGCCTCCCAAATAGCTGGGACTACAGGCGCGCGCCACCACACCCGGCTAATTTTTGCATTTTTAGTAGAGATTGGGTTTCACCATGTTGGCTAGGCTAGTCTCGAACTCCTGGCCTCAAGTGATCTGCCAATCTCAGCCTCCCAAAGTACTGGGATTACAGGCATGAGCCACCACGTCAGGCCAGAATTTCCTTCCTTTATAAGGTGAGCCACAAAATTTTTCCATCCATTTTTCTGATATGCCCCACCCTAACCACTTCCTTATCTCAAGGATGGGAAACTACTTCACCCACTCAGAGTACCCAGTACCATGTTTGTTTATGATTGAAAGCTTAAACTAATACATGTAAGTCATCAAGTTCTGAGGAAAAATGTATCCCCAACCAAGCTTGTGAATTCTCTACCTCATAAGAACTGAGATGTGTATTATAAAATAATGGAGAACATTTGAAGAACTTGGAAAAATGTAAATTTGGAGAAGACATTTAAAAAAATGAAGTATGTTTTGCCAAGTCAAATTTCTTTAAATGGTTGAGTTTCAAAGGAAACTGGATTCACAGTTACCTAAAAGCACTTGTTAACACTCCACAAAACTCTGTTATGGTCAAATATCTACGTCTACTCTCTTATCCTGCCTTTTCAGTGGGTTGCTTTGATTTAGCAAGGCACTTCCTGCCAAGAATAAACATGTTTCAAAACTCCAAGGACTGTGTATATGCATGTGTGTATGTATTAAATGTATATTATTATTTAATATAATATATAGAGTTGTCACGGATTTGAATATTTTTTCTGGAAGGACACACACAGATTGCTGAAGCTGGCTTCCTTTGCAGAGGAAGCTGGAGATGGTGGCATGGGGACAGGTGAAAATGCTAGCTTTCTGTGCTATTGGCTTTTTTTCATATGCTACATTTTAATGTTTTCTAGGTAACAGCATTATAGGCTATTTTGGTTTTCCTCATTCAGGCTTTCCATACTAACAAATCAACAACAGAATATGTTGCTAAAAACCAACTCATTCATAAACAAACTCCAAGGTTACTTTAAAAAAATTGACCAAATTTGAAATTTGCCAACGTATGTATTCTAATTACTCAGATCTTTAGTGGAAATCAATTTTTTTCCAAAATTAAAAACTAATGATTACAGCTGAGCATGGTGGTGGCTCATACCTGTAATCCCAGCACTTTAGTAGGCCAAGGCAGGTGGATCACCTGGGGGTCAGGAGTTCGAGACCAGTCTGGCCAACTTGGTGAAACCCCGTCTCTACTAAAAATACACAAAAATCAGCTGGGTGTGGTGGCACATGCCTGTGGTCCTAGCTACTCAGGGGGCTGAGGCAGGAGAATCGCTTGAACCCGGGAGGCGGAGGTTGCAGTGAAGCCGAGATCGTGCCACTACACTCAAGTCTGGGAGACTCCATTTCAAAAAAAAAAAAAAAGGAAAAAAATAACTAACAATTGCTCTACTTTGGGCTTAGCCTCAGTATTCATATAATCATTCTTAGGGAATAAGGGAAGCATTAGGAGATCCATTAAATGAGAAAGTTTTCCTTGTTTGGGATGATGTTATAAAAACCAACAGAATGACTAATTTTCAATACATACCTCTACTCCATCATCCTGATAATTCTACATTAATCTCTGTATAAATTTTTCAACTATTTGTGGTCTTGAGACTGAAAAGTTTTCTTTCATGACTTGGTGTTTCCAGAGATCTAGGGGGAAAAACATACTGGCACTAGTACCACAAAACATTGTGCTGTCATTAATGGCTATAAAATGGCAACTCTCTGAGACAGAACATGGGACACAATAAGCTGTTTCTAAACTCAGCTGCCCCTTGATACATGCAGGGGACTGGGGATTGTTCCCAGGAACACCCTCAGATCCTGAATCCATGCATATTCAAATCCTGCAGTCAGCCCTGGGGAGCTCGTGGATACAAATATCTGCCCTCTGCACACGTGGTTTTCACATCCCGAATGCTGTATTTTCTATCCTCATCTGGTTGAAAAAAAATCTGTGTATCAGTGGACGTGCACAGTTCAAACCATGTTGTTCAAAGGTCAACTGTATGCAAAAACTAATGGGGGCTGGGCAACTGGGGATCCAAGACCCTCTGGAACATGGGAACTAGGAAGATCTCTAACCTGACTCCTAATGCAAAGATTTGGAAGAGCACCTATGAAATCCAGGGAATATTCCATTACCATAACTAAAAACCCCAAATCAAATATTAGTATCAATCCTACATCATCTTTATTTTTATTAAGGCCTTCTATGTATCTGCCAATTATTTTGGTCTAAAACAATGATCAGAAATAAATGAACAGCTATTATATTTATCTGCTTAAGTTCCTAGTGCTAGAGGGCAAAATTAACTTGAATATATAATAGTGATAAAAAAGGAGAGGAAATTCAAAAGAGAGAAGTTAGAGTTACAGATTAGAAATGTTGACAGACTGAACTTTAGCTCCAAGATTGAAGCAGCAATATGGCTGACACAGATGGGATGAGGCATATACAAAGTTCACTTGAGGCCAGGAGTTCAGACCAGTCTGGGCAACATAGTGAGACCCCATCTCCACAAAACATTTAAAATAGACAGGCATGATGGTGCATGCCTGTAGTCCTAGCTACTTGGGAGGCTGAGGTGGGAGAATCCCTTGAGCCCAGGAGGTCAAGGCTACAGTGAACCATGATTACATCGCTGCACTCCAGCCTGGGAAACAGGTTGAGATCCTTGCTCTAAAAAAAAAAATTAAAGGGGTTGCACGTGATCAGTAGCTGCAACACTAGAAAGATGGCAGAGCAAGAGCGAAGAAAAATCCCTTTGGTTCCAGAAAATCTCCTGAAAAAGAGGAAGGCTTATCAAGCTCTCAAAGCCATCCAGGCAAAGCAGGCACTTTTGGCAAAGAAGGAGCAGAGGAAAGGAAAAGGGCTCAGGTTTAAATGACTGGAATCATTCCTACATGGTTCCTGGCGGCAGAAACGTGACAAGGTGCATCTCAGATGACTAGAAGTGAAACTTCACACTTTGGAATTGCCAGATAAACATCCTTTGGCCTTTGTTGAACGCATTGAAAGGATTAATGGTGTGAGTTTACTGGTGCAGAGAACCATTGCAACACTTCACCTAAAGAAAATTTTTAGTGGTGTCTTGTAAAAGTAACCCCCCAGAACCTAAAAATGCTGCGTATAGTGGAACCTTATGTTACCTTTGGATTTCCAAATCCGAAGTCTGTCTGGCAACTCATTTTGAAACATGGAGAATCCGAGGTCAAGAATAAGACCATCCCTCTGACAGACAACACAGTGATTGAGGAGCACCTGGGGAAGTTTGGCATCATTTGCTTGGAAGACCTCATTCATGAAATTGCCTCCCCAGGGAAGCATTTCCAGGAGATGCCATGGTTCTTGCACCCTTTCCACCTCTCAGTGGCCTGTCATGCTACCAAAAATAGAGTGGGCTTCCTCAAGGAGATGGGCACACCTGGCTATCGGGGTGAACGCATCAATCAGCTTATCCGCCAGCTGAACTAGACCCAGGTGCCAAACTGCAGTAAATTTTTGTCAATGAAGTGGAAGCATGTGTTTTTGTTTTTTGGGGAATTTTTATCAAGTATGTTCAGAGAAGATTATTTCCTGCCTTATCTTCAAAAACTGGAAAGGAAGCGCCAAAGAAAAGACAGCAGCTGGCCAGGCGCGGTGGCTCACGCCTGTAATTCCAACACTTTGGGAGACTGAGGCAGGCAGATCACCTGAGGTCAAGAGTTCAAGATCAGCCTGAACAACATGGAAAAACCCTGTCTCTACTAAAAATACAAAAATTAGCCGGGCGTGATGGTGCACACCTGTAATCCCAGCTACTCGGGAGGCTGAGGCAGGAAAATCGCTTGAACCCGGGAGGCGGAGGTTGTGGTGAGTCAAGATCGCACCATTGCCCTCCAGCCTGGGCAACAAGAGCAAAACTCCGTCTCAAAAACAAAACAAAACAAAACAAAAAACAACCCAAAAAACAAAAGATAGTAGCTTATGTTCACGGCAAGCACCTCTCATCACAATCCAGTTCCAAGAAAAAATGTTAGTGTTTTCTACATTGGCTGATGCCCCGTCTGAAATCAGCACATTCCATGGAGGAAGGCGTCCGCTTTGCTGCATCGTCTATCCCAGGGTTTAATGTTGGTAAATGAGTAACTCTAGCATCTGTACAAGGCTCCCTAAGACTCCTGCAGCAGTCGACCAAGCCCAGGGACATAATTGAATCTAGAGATTCCTGGGGCCTTGCTTTGAAAAAGACTTGAAATACACATAGGAAGAAAGGCACAAAAATAAATGTTCACTTGTCTCTGCAATAAAAAAGGTAAATAAATTTGAAAAAATATAAAAATTTAAAGAAAATAACCAGAGTTATTCAGAGGAACATTGGTTATGGCAGCAAAAGCTTGGAAGCACACAAGTGTCCACCCTTCAGGGCGTACTTAAACTATGGCATATCCTTCCAATGAAATAGTACGCAGCTGTGAAAAAAAGAAAAATTCTCCATATACTGTTATGAAAAGAAGCACAGATTGTTAAATGAAAAAGGCAAGGTGCAGAACAGTGGCCATAAAATGCCACATTTTATAAGAAAGATAACTAAAATGATAATAAAGGGGGAGGATATCCCCTCAAGCCTACTAGGATTACTACCCCAGAAACTCCCCTTTCTTCTCTATCATCATTTCTCCCCTCTTTCCTGGATCACTCACAATAGTATACATTATTTCTCTCGTCTCATAAAAACCTTTCTCTTGACCCCACTTCACCCATCAGCTATTGCCTCATTTCTTTGTACCCTGTTGTAGCAAAACTCCCAGATAGAGAAGTCTATACTTAAACTGCCTTTGACGTCTTACAAATTCTCTCTTAACCCCACTTACCTGGTTTTCACCTCCACCACTTCACTGAAACTGATTTTGTCACAAACACCAGTGATCTGCACGTGGCTAAAGCCAGTGGTTTTACTCAACTACCAGCAGCATTTCACACAATTTGTCGCTTCCTCCTGCTTGAGAAATCTCCTTCACTAGGCATTGGGACACTGCGGTGCCCTAGTTTTCCTAACTCAACGTTTGTTCTTTCTATTCCTTCTAGATGTCTTTTGCTATTTCTCCTCCCCCACCACCCCCAGCTGTTAACATTAGAGTGTCTCAGGGCTCAGCCGTGGTCCACCTCCTCACTTCTATATATATTCACTCCCTTGGCGTTCTCATCTCGTCTCACAGCTAAATACCATTCATATCCTGACAACTCGCAAATTTAGATCCAATACTCACTTGGCATGTCTTCTTGGATGTCTAAAAGGCATTTAAAACTTAATTTGTGCATAATCAAATTCCCAATCTTCCCTCCCTAACTTGCTTCACAGTTTTCCTCTCAGCTGATAGAAATTCTATCTTCCCAATTGAGAACGCTGGAGTCATAATTGGTTTTTCTTTCTCACATACCTAATAATACTGAACCCATTAGTGCCTACTTCACAATAAGCCCAGAGTTTGACCATTCACTATTTCCACTGCTCCCAAGTTTGAGCCACCATCACTCCTTTCTTCAGTTATTGCAGTAACCTCCACACCAGCTTCTTTCTACTTTCACCCTTTCTTCCTTCACAGCCTATTCTCCACACCTTAGCCAGAGAGATTCTGTCAAAATATAAGCCAGATCATGACACTCAAAATCTGAGACTTGGTCCCCACTGCATTTAGAGTAAACACAAAAGCCTCAAAAGGCCTTGCATGGTCTGCCCCCCTTCCCCCTCCCTCTCTGACTTCAACGCTTACTACTTTTTCTCCCTCACGGTCTCCACTCCAGCCACACTTAGGTCCTTGCTATTCTTTGAATATAATAGGCGTGCTCTGCATAGGGCCTTTGTATGGCTTGTTCCTTCTGTCTGGAATGCTCTTCCCTTAGATACCCTCATAGCTCAATTCCTCACCTTATTTCAAACTTTTGCTCAAAACATCACTCACTCAGTGAGGTCTACCCTAATCACCCAATTTAAAATTGCAGTGGACCCCTTCAAACCGCCGCAACACCACCCTTCCTTACTCCATTGCTTTCCTTTTTCTTATGTTATCGCTTGTTGTCTACCCCTTCCTAGATTATAAACTCAATGAAAGGAAGAATATATTCCTAAAATATTTCCTAAAATATAGTAGCCTAGGACATGGAATAGTTCCTGTAATGAAAGAATGTAAATATTTATTGAATAGTTATTGAATGAAAGAATGAATATATGCACAAAGCAGCACTGAAAGAACATGCAGAAAACTAATGAAAGTGGTTACGTACAGGTGGCAGACTAGGATGCAAGGGGGTTCATGGTGACAACAAGACTCTAAATGTATATTTTTCATCATTTTGAGTTTGGAACCATGTGCATATATTATCTGTTAAAAATAAGATACTTAAAAATAACATGACAGTGGTGGAACGATGTGAGAATGTCAACACTGCTTGACTTCCATCCACGTGGAAGAGCAAAAGCACATGTGCACGTTAATTACAATGGTAAGAACTGGCTGGATAGTGCCTACCTCCTCGTGGTGGTCCCAGGGGAATACTGAAGGGAAGCGATCTATGGAGTTGGACTTAGGAGCCACGCTCCACCTCACTCCGTTTTCTGTTAATGGGGGGTGCTGGTCATCAGCAGGGACACCTGCCAGCCTGCTCCTGCCCCAGCTGTTTCTAATTTCAGATGAGACTTCCTACCTGCACACTCAATTTACTGACAGGAGGCTCAGTGCTCCCAAGACGAAACACCTAGCACAGTCCACCCAGAAATGTGGGCACAACAGAGCCAGAGCCTCTGGTATTTGTACTTACGCTATTTACTGCCAAGTCCTGGTTTTGAAAATGGGATTCTATGTTTCTTTAACAATTGACTACTTTCCATAATAAACATATAAATCTGTTTTTGCTTTTCCTTTAGGAAATAAAGGCCAGAAGACACATTGCCACTGTCCCAGTACAGCTGAAATGGAAAATCCAAGAGTTAATGTGCCCAGCAATTCACACTTCTTAAGATGTTTAAGACTTTTTAAAAGTCTAAGCTATGACAAGACAGGGCTCATGCGTATTTCAGATGAGAAGTTGGATATCTTTTCCAGGGTGCTGTTGTGGCAGGTCTCCAGCTCACAGATAAGCCTGGTGAGGGACCACATCTGTTGCACACTTCTAGTATGGGGACCCTCACCTGGCAGATGTCCAGTGAGCTGGTTTGGGGTTTAGCTCTGCACTCAGCTGAAGGGAAAACTTAACAGAGCGCTCGGCCGCACTCTCTCCTTGCTCGTGAATTCAGGTTCAGACATGCATTTGCATCTGCAGGCAGGAGTCAGGGAGCCAGGAAAAGCAGAATCCATCCAAAAGAAACAATTCCTGGCAAAGAGGAGTTGGCTGTCTCCAAATGGGTCTCATTTTCAGTGTGTGTTTGGTCATGGCTTCTTTAAGAGGAGGCAGCCGTTTTTGACAGAAGCATGGAAGTAGGAAGGAGACAGCACACTGGGGGTTAAGTTGGGACTCCATTTTCTCCTCTCACTCTGTTCCAGGTCATTTGACTAGAGGAAACTTTGACTTCCTGTTAGCCAAACCACTTCCCCTCTCTCCTTCTCTGCACACCACCCCCAGGCCTCCTTCCTCTAGGAAGGACATCTTGGCTGGGTAACATTCCACTTCCCTAACACAACCACTAGCCTTTGGTGCCTCAGTGGTTCCTGGGTCCCAAACCAAGGCAGAACTGAAACTTGAAGACATATGACTGCCAATCAAGGCTGTTCTCCCAACCAGCTGGGGCGCCCCAATAAGTGGGTAGGTTGAAAGCCTTATTGCAGAGTATGTATGCATCTTGTACTCTTGTGGTTTTCAAACTGCTCCCCAGAACACTAATTCTTCGTGTTGATAATAAATGTTTCCAAGGAGAGGAAAAGGTTCTATGGTCAAATAAATAAAGAAGTAAATAAAATAAAAAATAAAAAAACATTGCATATTCTCTCTCCTTTGGAGATTCACAGTGCACAGTTGGATAGTAAAGGCTCTAGAGTAGAGGAAACTGTTTAGCATTATTTACCCTGAGTTTCCCAAACTTATTTTGAACAAAACACAAATGAACAAAACCCTTCTCCACCGACCCTGAAAAACATGGTAGAAATCCTCCTATCCAATGTACTCAAGACTAAGAGTTAGTTGGTTAGTTAAAAAAAAAAAAAAAGTCAGTTAAAGCAGAGAATGCTTTACAAATAACATGTACTATCTAAAACATTTTATTTAACTTAAAATACATAAATTTACAAACATCTGCCAGTCATCTAACATAGGGCCTAGGCCTTTTCTTTGTAAGTACCCACTGACCGAAGTTCTGCCCCATCTTTCTTCTATAAATCTTGGTCTATAGTTTCTACTTTTGTTTGTTTGATTTTAGAGAAAGAAAAAGACCATGAAAATCCAAACACATCATTTTGCACAATTTCACAATTTTACCTAGTCTTTTCAGTCATCTGTCTCATAACCAATTTGATAATTTTTCTTTTTTCTACACAACTAGCCTTTTATTCAGGTTTTCCAAATCCTTTCAACGTAATTTTTATTTTGTTTTCTTTTTCCTTTTCTTTTTTTTTTTTTTTTTTGAGACAGAGTTTCGCTCTTGTTGCCCAGGCTGGAGCACAATGGCGCAGTCTCAGCTCACTGCCTCAGCCTCTTGAGTAGCTGGGATTACAGCTGCCCTCCAGCACGCCTGGCTAATTTTTGTATTTTGAGTAGAGACAGGGTTTCACCATGTTGGCCAAGACGAAGTGCTGGGATTACAGGCGTGAGCCACCACGCCCGGGTGTTTTACTTTATTTTCTTTTTCAAATACATTTAATTTTTTTAGAGCAATTTTAGGTTCATAGCAGAATGGAGGGGAATGTATTGAGAGTGCCCATAAGGTCCTCACACACATTCTCCACCATCAATGTCCTGCCACAGAGGGTGCATTTGTTACCATCAATGAACCTACATTGACATGTCATTATCATCCAAAGCCTATAGTTTGCATTATGGTTTACTGTTAGTGTCCTACATCCTATGGGCTTGGATAACATATGATGACATGGATACACCATGTTAGTATCATACAGAATAGTTTCACTGCCCCAAAATCCTCTGTGCTCTGCCTATTCCTCCTTCCTACCCTCCTAAATGGTGGCAGGCACTGATCTTTTTACTCTCTCCATAGTTTCGCCTTTTCCAGAATGTCATATTTGGAATCATACAATATGTTGCCTTTTCACATTGGCTTCTTTCACTTAGTAATATGCATTTAAGCTTCTTCCATGTCTTTTCATGGCTTGACAGCTCATTTCTTTTTAATGCTTAATAATGTTTCACTGACTAGATGTGCTACAGATGATCAATTTCAATTTAGTTTTTCTAGAATCAACAGATCTCTTTCTTTTTGTATTCCTATTACGCTGGTTTACATAGTTTTTAATTAAATTATCTCAATACAATGACAGTTAAAACCGGCACAAACAGGTTTGGAGCAAACAATGATCAGAGATGCTAGGTAAAATACATGCAACCCAAAGCCTGTGATTAGTGAGCACTTTGCTGCCTTATGTTACCAGAAGAACGGAAAGCGTCAGGTAACCCAGAAGCCTGTTAGCGAAGAAGGGCTGGGAGAACTACTGCTGTAATATCTTGAGGAACTTGTGTTCCATCGCACTGCTGGGGAAATGCTGGCTGACACGATGCTCTTGTAAGAACTGTTTTGATATGCTCTCTTGAAGCAAAACATTGTTGATCTCTCACTTTTAATATATGTACACTTATATTTTGATTATATTTATTATCCTATATTATTATATTTTTATATTTTATTTTATTTATATGTATTTATAACTACCTACAACACTACCAATAGCGAATATCACAAAGCATGATATACTTAGGGGAGGATTCATCAACAATGAGAATGGATCTCAATCCGCATTCCCAATAGTTTCCTTGACCTTTTACAATTTTTTTTTGTCTGCCAGGCAGGTGGCTTACACCTATAATCTCAGCACTTTGGGAGGCAGAGGTGGGAAGATCACTTGAAGAGTTCAAGACCAGCCTGGGCAACATAGCAAGAGGATGGCTCTACAAAAAATTTTTAAAAATTAGTTGGGCATGGTGGTGTGCACCGGTGATTCTAGCTACTTGGAAGGCTGAGGTAGGAGGATCGTTTTAGCCCAGGAGTTCAAGGCTGCAGTGAGCTATGGTGGCACCACTGAACTCCAGCCTGGGTGGCAGCATGAGATCGTATCTTTAAAAAAAAAAAGAAAAAAAGAAAAATTTATTGTCTGTCTTCTTATCAGACATGATTAGATTATCTTTTATGACCTCAGAATGTGGCTGAGGATAAGCATGCACTAGGATTACAGTGTCACCTCGACTATTTTCTCATTACTTGTGGATTGCCTGCCCATGGTCACTTCAGGACACCTCAGTGTAGAGTGTGGCATGTGACTCCTTACATATGGCTCTAATCTATTTAGAAGTTCTCATATTTTCTTCCCACACCCCTGGGATATATGCATTCCACTTTGGAGACTGTTGGCCTTATAACTACCCAGAGAAAATTAGAAAATCAATTAAAAATCACTTCAATGCCAAAACATCAAAGATGAGGGATGGCAGAATCTTTGTGAACCAACGGGGCCATTTCTGCTAAGATAAGCCCCGGGGCTGAACAAAGATGTCTGGATCAACTTTAGATAGTTTTCAGGGGACTACTAGTTCAGCTACCGAGACCTAATACAAGGGCCAGGTCTGGATGCCACATCCTCAGAGGCTCAATGACAAACCGGAAACTCATTCAGAAGCTGTATGATCAAGCTCCAAGACAAGGTGAGGGGGAATGAAGGAGGGAGAGGGAGAGAAGTATTCCAGGGTTCCTTTTTTTTTTTTTTTTTTTTGATACAGAGTCTCACTCTGTCACTCAGGCTGGAGTGCAGTGGCACGATCTTGGCTCACTGCAGCCTCGACATCCTAGGCGTAAGCGATCCTCCCACCTCAGCATCCTGAGTAGCTGGGACTACAGGTGTGCACCGCCACACCCAGCTAATTTTTTTTCCATTTTTTGTAGAGTTGGGGTTTTACCATGTTGCTCAGGCTGGTCTCAAATTCCTGAGCTCAAGTGATCCGCCTGCCTCGGCCTCCCAGAGTGCCTTTGGGCTCCAGGAGTGAGCCACCATACCTGGCTCAGGGTTTCTTTTTGGCAGTTGTAAATGTAAACACCAGAGTCAGTCAGCCCATAGGGAAGGAGAAGACCCTGAGGAAAAGGATAAGGGCTTTTGCTGTCCCCCTGGTTCTCAATACTCTCCATTCCTAACTTCCTCTGGAAAAACCTCCAGCCCCAAGCTAATCTTGACTACAAAGGGTGATCTCTGCATGAAGAGGCAGCCCTTGCTTGGAAGCCCTGGCCACTATGGCTACTTCTTGCTGCCAAGATAAATAGTAGGTAGGTGGGGATTCCAATATGTTATTGCCTTCTTTGAAGGTACCAAGCCCACAGAGGTCTCAGGAAGATGACACTGAATAAATGTATACCAAAGCACCTTGGCACACAGTAAGGACTCAATCGCTTGAATTAGGAGAACTCAGTAGAGGTGGAGATCCAGGTCTCCACACTGAGTCATGCCTGACAGACCAAAGAACAAAACAAAATAGAACCAGAAACAACAACCCTTCCCCTTTGACATTGGCATGGAGTTTAAAAGTCTTATAAGTATAGAATCAAACAAGAGTTTAGAACTGGCCAGCACACTCCAGCCAAAGTGAGGCTTGGTAATATCAACCTAGCCACTGTTAAAAATAACTCTACCCCTCCCCTCTGCCTGCCCCCCACTGCATTGAAGGCCCTTTGCAAGCACAGCTGACAGGCACCCTATGCAAGGCAGCACAACCACAGAGCAAAGATGCTTCCCCACAGCCCCTCACCCCAGGTGTCTCATAGGAACCACGGCCCCAACATGTGCAGATGGCTGCACCTGATGCAGGCTTGTGGATTTTCTCCAAGGACTCGGAAGGGAGCCGCCTGGATGCAGCAAACACAGCACAAACAACAGGCGCTTTGTGTCTTGTTGAATGTTCTGTAACTAGAGCTCAACCACACTCAGCTCTCTGGTGGCATTAGAGACGCCCAGCTGGGGAGAGGCTCGCGCTTTCATTGCACAGGGCCCTGTTTACAGAATTCGGTTACTCGAAGCACTAATAAAACGACTATGTCTTAGGTGAGGACAGAGGTTATTAATTAACACTACAATGTCTGTGGACTTTGTCTCAAAAGCAAAACCTAATTTAAGTTCGTAGTCAGACAACTCCTCCCTAGCTCAAAGGTTATGAATTTCCTACAGAATATTCAAAGTTAGGAATAGATATTATAGTTCAGACAGGACTAGCTACATAACGCAGGGGCCTGGCGCAAGATAAAAATGTAGGACCTCTTGTTTAAAAAGCAGGAAAAAGTGTCACACCGACATTAAGAGATAAACCTTTTCCCTTTCTTCTGCAGTCTCTCCCTTGACCTGTCATGGTGTTTTTAATTTGCTTTTAACGTTGCGCTCTCTTGGTCATGGGAATATGTGCAGGGGAAGTGAGACCCCCATAAGCACCCAGTGGCCCTGCCTGTGTCTCAGTGCATGAATACGCATGACCCGCCAGCTACCAGACTGAGGCACCGGGCCCTGCCTGGGGATGAGAAGTTGAGTCAGGCATCTCCCCTTCCCACCACCCCAATCCACTGTGGAAAGGCAACC
This sequence comes from Homo sapiens, assembly GCF_000001405.40. Classification (NCBI taxonomy): domain Eukaryota; kingdom Metazoa; phylum Chordata; class Mammalia; order Primates; family Hominidae; genus Homo; species Homo sapiens. The sequence continues at coordinate 109,317,899 of NC_000006.12, read as the reverse complement.
CCCAAGAGTACTGCAACCTCTGTCCTGAGAGACTCTAGGTACCCAAGGTGGGCAGGAGGCTTGCCCTCACTGAGCTACCCATTGAACACATGGTGGTGCTGCCAGCCTAAGACCCCTGAGATGCTGCCAGGTGCACACGCCTGACCTTGACCCTCCCTGTGCCAAGGTCCCCGTCCCCTCTGGGTACAGGGAGGGTCAAGGTCAGACGTGTGCACCCGGCAGCATCTCAGGGGTCCCAGGCTGGCAGCAACACCATGCGTTCAATGGGTAGCTCAGGAAGGGTAAGCCTCCTGCCCACTTTAGGTACCTAGAATTGTAACTTTGAACAAATTCAAAGGTAAACCATTAAAAGTTTCAGGATGGTGATCACAGAACATGAAATCTCAAGTGCCCCTCTGCATCCTGTGTGTCACATGCCCGTGAAGTGGCCCCAAGTTTGGACCTCAGATGGAAGGAACCATTCTGATTGCCTTCATACCCTAAATATACAAATTTGACATATCATAACTTATATATGTTACAAATAAGAAAGGCTTTAGGTTTCCCTTCATTTCAACTTTATTTCAGTTATGAGTTAATCAGTAGAGTTGAAACTGAAGTGAAACTATGTTTTCCATTTGTTTAAAAAAGCCTTTGTACAGGGAAAGAAATATACCAAAGGGCTTTGTGTCTTGTTGCAGGTTCTGTAACTAGAGCTCAACCACACTCAGCTCTCTGGTGGCATTTAGAGACACCCAGCTGGGGAGAGGCTTGCCCTTTCATTGCACAGGGTCAAGGGTAAAAGGTCATTTTTATATCATTTTCCGGGCATCGCACCGATGTTTTGGTTTTTGCTTGTTTTTACAACAAATGTCGATACATGAATTGCTTTCGTAATTAGGAAAAACCAATAAACATTATTTTGTGAAGTAACAAAATAAATGTACTTTACCTGTAGGGAGAGAACACTCCTCCTTGCACTTTTCTGATAAAACCAGTGTCATTTCTCTGTTAACTTTTCTTAGTACCTCTTGGATCATTTGAATTTCACAATTTTCCAGAAGTTTTTGAAGCTAGAGTAAGCATAGGTTGAGGGTCACTCACTACATTCAGATTATATTTTGGGTCCCGTGTCACATTCCTGCAGAAGGGCTTTGGGCTAGGGCCTGTCCCTCAGCTACTCTCCCGGGAAAGAAGGAACACTTCCCTTCTAGGTCTCCCAAGTGCTTCTGGGGGCACAGATGTACCTCCCTGGAGACTAGCACCTTTTCTTCCTGGCTCACATCCTCATTGATAAAATACAATCCTTTTTTTTTTTTTAACCAAGTTTTGCTAAATTGCAAAGTGTCTAATCCCTGGGGTGACCTCATGTCTTCCGGGGTCTCTAAATGTGGCTAGGATTCTGTGAGTTCTCATTACAAAAGAAGCTCTCAGCCGGGCACAATGGCTCACACCTGTAATCTCAACACTTTGGGAGGCCGAGGCAGGTGGATCACAAGGTCAGGAGTTCGAGACCAGCCTAGCCAAGATGATGAAACCCCATCTCTACTAAAAATAAAAAAATTAGCCGGGCGCCTGTAATCCCAGCTACTCGGGAGACTGAGGCAGGAGAATTGCTTGAACCTGAGAGGCGGAGGTTGCAGTGAGCTGAGATCGCGCCACTGCACTCTAGCCTGGGCGACAGAGCAAGACTCAAAAAAAAAAAAGAAGCCCTCAGGTATAAAACTTGATTTAGATACCAAGGAAGATTTCACAAGATTTAAAACTCCATGTAGGACCAACAGTAAAGTCTTCCAAAAACTGTGAGCCCTCACTCAATCCATTATGCTTGCAGAGTGTAGGTTTCTCCCTGTTGAAGGCCCCCAGGTACTGGAAAGGAATAGGGCTCAGAAGGGTAAGCAGTGAGCTTGGCACTGGGGCCTGACAGGGGCTGACTTCTCCTTGTTGCTCAGTGGATGAGCATCTGTGCATTGACAACCGAACAGCCGAGGCTTTGCTTGCCTGGTACAATAAGCCCAGCCACAGAGCGCGTGAGTCCCAGGATCAAGCTGAACAAAGACTCGGGAAAACAACTTCTCCACACAGATCATCTTACACATACCAAATGGGCATTTTCTTATTCTCAGAAAAACAATTACAGGGAGCTTTTACAAATATTTCATTTCCATGTGAATACTTGCATGCTAAATTTTATGCTTAAGATAGTGGTTATGTTTTCTATGATCATTCTTATGAAGGTACACATCAATTTGAGGAAAATCAAAATGATAAAAATCCAGACTTATAGAACAGGGACATTAAGGGTAGTAATTTGCTTCATCGAAGCACCACATGGCTTTAAATACTTAGTCCTGCCCTCCCTCCAGCCCATTCAATGATTTACAACCCTGCAATTTACACTCAGCTTCTTGGAAAAAATACCATTTGGGTATGCCTGTAGTTTTACATGCTAATGCCATAAAGGACATTTTCAAAGGCAAATTTAAAATATATCCTGCATACTTGGTGAGTTTTTATTTCAACTTCTGAGGCTCCACTGGGGGGAAGAACAGACTGATTATTTACTATAAATCCTTCAAATTCATCTTCTTTCCCCATCTGCCTGGCTATAGCTTTCATGCTGGGGTAGAGAACGTCAGTTCTATTAAAGAAGAAAGACAGAAATTAGCAAACATATTTTTTCTCATTTCAATTCTCTGATAATTATTTTCATTCATTTTCTCTTTCCTATCATCAGTATCCTAACCCATTCACAGATACATCAACATTTAATTCACCACAGTTATCATTCCTTAGCCACATGAAATCGTGAGGCTTTTTCCCATTGGGTGCATATAATTTCAGTCCTCATTCTTCAAAATATTGACAAGTCTTCACCTTCCCTAGTTATCAGGGACACTGACTATAATAATTTCACAAGATAAACAATCTGGCTGTACCAAAGTGAACTTTTTGTTGTTGTTATTGTTGTTGTTGTTGTTTGTTTTTGTTTTTTGAGAGGGAGTTTCACACTTGTTGCCCAGGCTGGAGTGCAATGGTGCGATCTCAGCTCACTGCAACCTCCGCCTCCTGGGTTCAAGCCATTCTTCTGCCTCAGCCTCCCGAGTAGCTGGGATTACAGGTACCCACCATCACACCTGGTCAATTTTTTGTATTTTTAGTAGAGACAGGGTTTCACCGTGTTGGCCAGGCTGGTCTCAAACTTCTGACCTCAGGTAATCCACCCGCCTCAGCCTCCCCAAGTGCTGGGATTACAGCTGTGAGCCACCACGCCTGGCCTAAAGCAAACGTTCTTAAGCTTGGTAAGGCCCAGGGTGTATGGGGGTGCTTAGCAAATGTTCGTTTGTTAACAGACACGTGGCAGAAGCAACACGCCTTCCCAGCCAGCTACGTCATTCGAGCCAGGGCCTGCAGCTGCTAGAATGCCTCCCATTCCTCAGACTTGTGCCGCATGTGCCATCTGTATATCTCTGGCTGCAATGCCACAAGCTCTGAGAGACTCAGTCCGTGGGTCTAACGGGTCATATTAGGATTCATGGACCAAATCTCGCCCTCAGACTAAGGGCAGGAATCTGCCATCCCCCAGGTTCTAGTCATGGCCATGAATTTCAGCATCAGCAACACTCACTCATAGAGCTCTGAAAACCGTTTGTGGAGAGAGACAGAGTTGATATCCTGGCCTTGCAGCTTGAGTCGGCCCCAGTGCTCCTTTAGCACTTCCAGCTGCTTCCACAGTATCAGAAATGATCTCAGCAAAGCAAAGGACATCACCGCATCGCACAGGCCCTCCAGCAGCTCAGAGGTCTTTGGGCTGCTTCGGAACTGACTTCTGAATCCTGGCACTTTGGACCAATCTGGCTGAAAGCATTATGGAAATCCTTCTTTATTGATCATGGACCAACACAGGCTAACCTTTCACATGCAGCCTGTGCAAAACAAAGTCTTTGGAGAATTAACTTTTTCCCCAGGAGGAATGGTTTACAGGCCCACAGCACATATAGAGTTGAGAGAGGTTGACCATCCTTCATGAACAGTTTATGGAAAGGATAGGAATGTCTCAACTGCAGCTTTTTGCTTGGGTCTGGAACCATTCATTTTGAAAACTCGCTTACTTGCATACTAACGTTTTATCTGCCTTTGAAAAACTGAGCCTTTTGTGTTTTCCCTCTGCATTCTGGAAAGTGCTCTTCAATATACCTGAGATTAAAGTTCCCATCACGGTGGGGCCAAGAAGTAACTTTCCATTCAGGATTTTACCCATCTTATGGGTAAAGAAATAGAAAGTTAATTTATCCTACCTCCTGTTTCTTCTCCTCTTTTAGAAGTTAGGCAGGAAACATTTCTCTTAATTAGAATTTATCATTCAATAAGAAAGATTACTTTAAAATTATGATTTCTTCATTTATTCATTGGTGCTTTCCTTAAGTAAATAATTGTGGAGGGGCTGCTATGAGCCCTGGAGGACATGGAGGAAACAAGGTATTCAGGTCCTTGTTTGTCCTGCTGTCCTGCAGCCAGCGGTCTGAGGGCCAGGGTCACCCAGAGTGAGGAACAAAATGAGGATCACGTCCAGGCCCACTGCCTGTACATAGTGTCTCAGTCACAGAAAAAGGAGCTCTTCTTGGCAGACCAGGTTGGCAAATCCCATGACGTTATGATAAAAAGAGGCTTAGAGAGCATTTAGGTGACAGTACCCGAGACACTCACGTTTCCTGGCTAGAAACAGGGAGAACAACCTGGTATAATTGGATCCTAGAGCAGTGGTATTAACATATCTAAGGAAAAGCCTGCCTGCCAGGAAGAGTATTGGTCAAATTGTCCAAGGAAGAATTGATAAGCAAGAACCAGGGGAGAGCGAGTTCCTGTAGACTGCTGGTAACTCCTCAGTCTTGTAGCCTGCCTCCCCAACAATCAGCTAGTGCATGGATTTCCAGATTTTATTTTATCCTCAGAGCTCTTTCATCAAATGAATTCTTACACACTGGCCCAAATATTCAACAGACCAAGGCCAAGCATGGTGACATGAAGGGGACAGCCTGGAGGCCATGTAATTGCCGCCCCCGCTCCCCAGCTCAAGAAGCCCCAGGGTATCTCTGAGGAACCCCAGGGCTCCTTGGACCACAATTTTAAAAGCCTTGAGCCAATTCATCACCTTTACTTTGGAGCTTTGGAGACTGAGGCCTAGTGAGATCAAAAAACTTATAGCATAACTGGGGCAGGAACTCAGGAGTCCTGACTCTCAGGGCAGTATAAATTCTACTGCTTCCTATTGTCTATGAATAGCTAAATACTCCTAAATAAAAACACACGAAATAAAATTAATTAAAATAAATAATAATTTTAAAGCAAACTTGTTTGTTAATATGTTCATATGATGAGAAGTCTTTTCTACCAACGTGCTTTAATTTAATAGACAAGAGAAGGAACAGGAGCCAAAATAAATAACAAGGTGGAGGATGGTGGGGAATGTCAGGAAAAGATGGTAATCCATCATAGACAGGGCCAAAATATGGCAAACAGAAGGACCTGAGGGCCCAGCATGTGTTTGGATCCTGGCACAATTTGGTCTATACCCAGCTTTGCAAATGATCACACTGGGTGAAGATCTAATTATGCTGTGGAATGTAGATGGCACATATAAAACCACTTCTTTTTCTACTAATTGGCCCCAAGTGGACTTGTGACTCAGTTTAGCTAAAAAGACACAAGGAAAATCTAATGGGGGGGCTTCTAGAAAATATTCCCCTCCTTGATAAAAAGCTAGATCTCCAAGGAGAAAGCTTTTTTGCTCCTGTTTTTATCTTACAAACATGAGGGAGATGTTTCCCAATACACCTAAATGGCAGAGCCTGAGTCCTTGAAGTCACTGTCAAGGGGCTACACCAACCTGAACTGCCTCCTTCTAGACGTCTTATTATGGAGGATTAATATGCTTCCCTAATTTAGGTTATAGCTAATGGAACAACCTGTTACTTGCACCAGAAGCACTCTAACTGGCACAGAGAAGCAACAGGGTAAGCGTGGATGATCAGAAGAAGCTTCCTAAAGAGAGTGGTTTGGAAGTGGAAATCTGAAGGATAAGTAAGAGTTAATCAGGTGATGAAGCAGAAAGAGGAAGGAGAGGGAAGTTTTCCACTAGAGTGACCAGTTTGGGAGAAGTACAGAAGAGAGCATGGTGCATTTGACAAATCGAAAGACATTGAGGGTAGAAATATTGGCAGGAGTCAAGTCACGAGGGGCTGATGAAAGCATTTGGACTCTTCTCAGGGCATCTGGAATCCATTGAAGAGTTATAGTAAAGGAAGTGATATAATCAGGCTTGCATTTAAAAATATTACCCTGGTGAATGGATTGGAAGGAGGTGAGAATAAGTGTATTGAATCCAATTGGAGGTCAAGATCATAGCCTAGTTAGTGATCAGGGATGATGATGGTTTGGACTCATAGAAGTGGGTACTGTGGGGGAACAGAGAAAGAAGACAAACTTGAAAGATATTAAAATAATTGATAGTAAAACTTGGTGACTGGTTGTGGGGTGTGGGACAGAAGTCAAAGATGGTGCCCAGAGTTTTTGGCTTGGCCAACTGGGCAGGTAGTGGTAAACGGACAGGGAAGGGCAAGATTTAGGGAGTAAGATGACCTTAGCTTGAGAAACGCTGTCTCTGAGATGGAATAAGTGGAGATATCCAGCAGGCAATTGAACATGTGAGTCTGATAGGATTGATATTTGGGCTAGACATACAGATTTGGATCATTGCATGTGAATGTCATCAAAGTTATAAAAGTGGATGGGTTTTCCTAGGGAGAGGGTGAGGAATGGAGCAACCTAGTAGAGAAGAGGATGAGGGAGCTCTAGGGCCAGACCGTTGGGTTGGAATCTGAGCTTCTTTCCTCATTAACCATGTGACTTTGGCCATGTTACTTAACCTTTTTAAGCCTTAGTATTCTTATCTATAAAATGAGAACAATGAAACAACCTATCTCATGGAATTATTGTGAGGACTAAATAAATGAATACATAAAAAGCAATCTGAACAGACCTCAACTTCTAGGCAATAATAGCAGTGGTATTGATAGTATTCAGGGCTGACTTAACAGCTTGGGCAGAGGAGGCACAGTGCCTCGGGCCCACAAAATGCTTTATTTTTTTTTAATCAGAAAAAAAGACCTTTTAGGCTAAATAAAATGCTTTAATATATGATATTAATATATTTTTCTTTGTACTAGCACAATGTTAAAATATAATTTTTAATGGTTTTTCATGGAGGAGGGAAGAGCCCACAAAGGTAAAAGTGTTAGGGACTGCGGAAGTCAAAATGTGGCCCTGGTAGCAGTGGTGGGATAGATTATAAAAAAATTTTAGGGTTGGCAGAGGTAGAGGACCCTACAGAAGGGTCTGAGAAGAGGGGCTCAGCAATGTTGGAGGAAAGCTAGGAGAGACTCATGCTGTAGAAGCCAAGGGCAGAGAGGCTTTGAGAAGGACTCTGTGTCAAATGCTGCCAAGGGGTTAGGTAGAAAGGTGACTGAAAGTACCCAGAGGATTTAGTGACAAAGACCATCTCTTGATGAGAGAGGTTTCAGTAGCAAGATTGGGAAGACAGACTGCAGTGCTTCGAGGAGTGGCAGGAAGGTAAGAAAATGGAGATGATGGGTTTAGGCATTGCTCAGAAAGTTTGGCTCGGACAGAAAAGCTCTTCAAGTGCGGGCACCAGCTAGTTTGTCTAGCATCCAAACATGTCTCTGCCTAGTTCCTGGATATATGCAAAATTGTTTAAAGTCATGACACTAGGAGCGCTAGTGGCCCTTGCACCTTAGAGCTTCAGAATGATAAACCCAGAGGAGGCAGTGCCTGCCCAGGAGACCATAGGCCAGTAGTTGAGTGATGAGGACAAGAGCCCAGGCCTGAGATGTCCACCTGGGGCTTCTATCAGACCCCTCTGGCCCTTCCAACTCCAGTCCTAGATGTATGACTCACAAAGAAAGCATCCAGTTGGCGCTTTTGTTTCATTTGGTTTCAATAGACCTCCCACAACTTTTGGCGTATTTTTAAAATTAAAATAGATGTATATACCATAATCATGGAACTTAGAAAATGCTTTGCAGTGGCTACCCCTGCTCCACTGTTGCTCCCAGGTGGTGTTGGCACAGTCCTGGGACCTACTGAGAGAGGCTGTGGGAAAACATGACTCCCCGGACCATCTCCCCAACAGAGAGGTCCTTCAGTTCAATATAGTACTATCAATATGGAAACGATACCCCCAGAATACCTGTGTATTTTTGCCCAGTGTGGCTTGCTGTCTTTGGGGGGCCTCCATGGTCACATGATAGCTACTCAGAACATCTTCCAGTAGCAGTTGCACACCCACCAGTTCTCCATGAGCCACCTTGCGGTCACGGTCACTCAGCCCACAGAGGCACAGCTAAAAAAAAACAAAAAAACCTTCCATTTGAAGACCATATATATATTTTACATATGGTTTTCAGGAAGAAAACTAGGAGTAACTGTATTTACAAGAACCCATTCCCTCAACTGCTAGAAAATTCATAAAAACCAGAGTAACATTTCTAACTTAAAGTTTTCTTTGAGCACATCAAATTTTGGCTCTGTATGAAAATGCCAAGTTTCCAGCCCTTACAGCAGATCTGTACATGGTGAATGTATAGTGTGATATCAATTTTCCCTTAAAAGTACAGATATAAACACACATATGCAGAGGGAAAATACCAGGGAAATAAAATGTGAACTGTAATTGTCTCTTAGTTGTGGAACTATGGTTGATTTTTTATTTTATTTTATTTTATTTTATTTTTTAAGAGAGTCTTACACTGTCACCAGGCTGGAGTGCAGTGGTACGATCTCAGCTCACTGCAACCTCCGTCTCCTGGGTTCAGGTGATTCTCATGCCTTAGCCTTCTGAGTAGCTGGGACTACAGGCGTGTGCCACCACACCCAGCTAATTTTTGCATTTTCAGTAGACACAGGCTTTCACCTTGTTGCCCAGGCTGGTCTTGAACTCCTGAGCTCAAGAGATCTGCCCACCTTGGCCTCCCAAAGTGCTGAGATTACAGGCATGAGCCACCACACCCAGCCATATGGTTAATTTTTTAAGACCACTTTTACTATTTTACTTAAAAAACCTGTTCTACTTATGGATAATTTTGAATATATAGAAATCAAACAGAAAAGTTCCCATCACCCAGCCCCAACAACCATTAACCTGTGGCCAGTGCTACCCCATCCCACCCACTCCCCACCTCCATATTGTTTTGAAGCGTTATTTATGGTTGATTTTCATGTTGTTCTTAATACTTTTCTAAGCTTTCTATTTTTTAAATAAAAACAATATTTACTTAAATAATCAGGGGAAAACATTTAATAATGAAAAGAATCAAACTATTTAAAGGAAGTTAACAGCAAAAAAGAAAACAATGAAAAGAAATTCTCCCTACGAGTCCTGCTTTAAAAAGTTCCCTTCCCACAACTGTTTATGGACAGGTCAGGAGTCACACATCTCTGAGCTGCCAGCCTGGGAGTTTCTCTAAGAGGCCCAGCCCATGACTGGAGATGACTGGCCATTCTCCCAGATCACTACTGTTACGAAAACTGCAGCTGAGTCTACAACCCAGGCCCATGCCAGTTGAGAGCATGCTTCCCTTCTATCATAAGAAAATGTGACTCACCTCGTGACCCTGGGTTTACAGCCTCAAAATCAAACACCCTGCTTATCTCACACATTATTCATCGTGGGTGAGAGTAGGAGGATCTGACCTGTGAACCCAATGGCAACCATCTTTGCAGTCTGCGCTCAGTTCTCTCTGCAACAATGGAGAAGACCTATCCTACCTGCATATTATATTCTAGGGTATCTGGGCTGTTACTCATAACTGGGAATGGTCCTCCATCTTCCAGAAATGCTCTCCAAGGAAACAGCTCAAATGCCTAAGAGAACAAAATAATAAAGATGATAATGTTGTACTTTGTGTTCAAAATTAATAGATATCTGTATATGAATAGGATATCTGTGTCTGTACCGCAAAACAATTTTGGATGACTTATTTATTATGTGTAAGTATTTCTTGATAGTTCCTAGAGATATAGAAGAGACAGCAATAATTTATTTTTTAAATTGTTTTCTCAGCAGATGGTGAAACACAGAAGAGTACTTAAGATTTCAGTGTAACTAATCAGCACCAGTGTTCAGAAGTTCCAGAACAGTATAACACCAATGGGACATATTTAAAATCAATAAAAATAAATTTACTCAAATGCTCTCAATATCAGGAACCTTAAAAAGTTGTCCTTCATCATTATTGTGCTCCAATTCTCGGTAACAACTCAAGACCAGCACCACAAATTATTACATGTGAGTCTCTGGCTCCTCCATATCACTAACCAACAGCTAAGGCATCCTCTGTCCTTTGTGACACCATCTGCAGCCCTGGAACCAGTGGGCCTGCCTATCTGACTCCATTCTACACTTCCAGACCTGGTTCTGGTTTTAGTCAAGTCCTGGAGTTGGAGTTGATTCTGACAGCAAGGAGCCGGGACTCCTATATCCACCTAATCCCAGGCAACACCCAAAGGAAGCAAGAGCAGATCCAATGGTCACGGTCCGACCCTGTCTTCTGGGTCTAAATGAGGGCCATGGCTTGGGCCAAAAGTCACTGTCTTGCAGCCACTGAAGGTAGAAATGTGGGACTTGCTTGAGGTTGATGTTGGTGTCCCTTGGCTTAGCATTATAAAATCAGAATATTAAACTGGAAATTTTGGAGTCAAAAGACCAGGGATTGTGAGGTAGTTTGAAAGAGATATCCACTAGTTCTTTGACACTCCTCCTGTAAAGAGGTGGAGCTTACTTCCCCTCCCCTTGAATGTGTTCTGGACTTAGTGACTCACTTCCAGTGAAAAGAATATGACAGAAGTGATGGAGAGTCTGAAATCTGGTAATAAAAACACTGCGACTTCCATCTTGGGTTCTCTCTTGGACTGTTTGTGTTGGGGGAAGCCATCGGCTGTGTTGCAAAGAAGCTCTGTGCAGAAGCCCATGTGAATAAGCCTGGAAGTGGATCTTCTGGTGCCCACCAGCAGCCATAGGAGTGAGCTTGGAGGCAGGTTGTCCTCCAGTTGAGCCTTGAGATGATTACAGCCCTGGCCAACATCTTGACTCATGAGAGACCCTGAGCCAGAACTACCCACCTGAGCTGCTCCCAGATTCCTGATCCTCAGAAACTATGTTAGATAATGAATGTCTATTGTTTTAATCTGCCAAACTTTAGGGTAAATCATTGTGCAGCAATAAGTAACTAATACAGCTTGCAACCTGGTGCTGCCATGATTCTGGAATAGTCTGATCTCTGGCCTTCCTGAATCTTGAACTCTTTGGTTGTAGAAGGTGGGTAATATTGTTCCTGCCTAGGAGCAACAATAGTTGCCAGGATTACCTTCAATAACAGGTGTTATAACCAGGGCTATTGAAAACCCAGCTACTGACGTCATTTATGTATTGCAATTGCTATCATGACGATTTATTAAGTGGAGAAGATTGTTTGTTTTGCTATCAACTGTGAACAGACAAGCTGTTGCCACGATCAGCCTGTTGAGTGTTTGGAGACAAAGACCCTGACTGGGAATCACAGCCGGCCCTGGGGCCCAGACTCTTCCACTGTGCAAGTGAAGCAGAGCCAGTGAAGACAGAGGGCATTAAAGTCTTGAAAGCCCCTGCAGAATCTAAACTAAATGGAAACAAACTGACTAGATTCCCTACACACTGCACACCATTTACAGTATAAAAATACATCTGAAACACACCTGGAGGCTCCGTGGATCCAGTGGCTGGGGCAGGCTGAGCTGTGAGGCAAAAATGCTCTTCCTGAGAGAGTTGCTCAGTGCTGGTAGCCCATGGCACATGCCGTCTGTGACAGACTGGTAGGCAGGAACATTTCCAGCTGCCAAAAATGTTCTTCTACCAAAACATGGGGGGGCATTTCATTAAAAGCAGTTACTTACACTTCTAAAGTTCAAAACTTTCCTCAAAGTTAGAGAAGCAAGAAAACATTTTGATATATTAACAGGTTCCTTCTTCAGCCACATCAACCCCCATGCCCCTTGCCCTCGACTTTCACAGTTCGTAGCCCTCACGGGGAGGGTTGGCATACTCTCGACTAGCAATGTCTGCCAGAAGAGTCTGCAATGGTGGAAATGTCCTATATTTGCACTGTCCAGTAGAGTAGCCTCTGGCCACGTGTGGCAGTTGTACACTTGAAATGTGACTACTGTGACTGAGGGAATGAATTTTTAATTTTCTTTTTCTTCTTTTTCTTTTTTTTAAGGGCTAGTCAAGTGAAGCAGTGTGAGTGGAGAAAGAATAAAGCAATCTGTAACTGGTTGTGATCAATTAGTTGTAAACACGACTGCACTCAGACCAGCTTGAATTTTTAATTTTCTTTCATTTAAATTAATAATAATTTTAATTAAAGTAAATTAAATAGCCACATGTGGCTACTGAACTGAATAGTGAAGCTGTAGCTCTAGAAAAAAGCTATCAATTGTTTATTGAATGAATTATTTTAAGACCAACAGCTGAGACAATAGTTCTTTATAAAAACTAAATTTTAAATTTTAAGCCTCCTTGGGGTTTGGAGGAGAAAAGTTCTTGTTTGGTTTTAAACAAAACATGGCTTTGTATATCAAGAACCACAAACCCTGAAGACTGGAGCATGAAATTTATACCATAAGTCAGAGAGAAGGAAGTATGTATGATAGATTAGAATGATTTTTCTTGCCTAAAAGGAAATAACAGTTAAACAAGGAAAGACTATTTCTAGAGCTTAGTTCTAGTGGATGCCTAAGGAAAGATGCTGGATAAGTTGGAGGAGGGTATCCCAGAGCAGAAGGTACCTTTTGCTTGGATTCTCTGTGAGGTGGCCTCCCAGGAAGACTGGCAGCCCCTCAAAGTGGGGAGAAAGACCTCCACATGTGGGTACCCAGAGGGGTGCTGAACAGCAGGCTAACCAGAAGAGGCCAGCTCACCCACAGCAGAGATAAGGGAAGTGGCTGTGTCTTCCCAACTGCCAGGAAGATTTGAAAGCACTGCCACAAACTTAGATCACCTCTGAGAGGATGGAAGAACAAGAAGAGTGTCATGTGAGCCCTAAACTTAAGGTCCAAAATTTGTGCTGCCTTGACTTCTGGCAAAATCGGGAGGCCTCAAATAGCTTAGCCACAAAGTTCCCCACTCCCCACTCCGCTCCCACAGATAAGGTCTCCAGGTTTAACGACCTTCCTTATCAAAGGAACCAGGTGCAATTCCTGCTTATCCCTGAGTAGTAGTTTCAGTTCCCTGCCAGACCACAGCATTATTCAAATCAATCACCCCTTCCTGTGTGAAGCACAGAACATCACACTCTCCTGATATTACAAAACCTGCCTCCCACAGCCCTTGCTTGTTCACTCTGTTCCCAAGTGGCCCTGTGTAGGGGGGCAGTGTCCTCTTCCTCTGGATTGTGTCTGTGACTAATAAATTACCATTCACCCCATCTGTCCAGGGTCAGGTGTTGTGTGTTCAGCCATCCCCATGACCCTAAGGCAGAACCCTTCCCTCTCCAGCAAGTGAAGAGGAGGTGATTAAAACAAAGGGGAAGAGGGAGAATCTTGAATTAACTGATTTTAAATCGCAAACGGATCACTTTTAAACTCCAAGTGTGAGTCAGTGATGTGGCATTGGAAAGTTTAATCTTCTTGCCATCAGTAAAAGCTATTTTGAACCTCAGGGAACTCACAGGGCACATGCTAGAGTTTTCCTCCAGGTAACAACATAATGAAACCTGGAAAGTGGCCCGGAGGAGGACAGGCAAAAGCTCTTTGCTTATCAGATACCAAAAACGAGGGCCGTGGCCATGAGTTCAGCACTGCTCATGTGAGGGCCCAGGCTCCTTTGTGTCTCCCAGGAATCCCCAGACAACCCAAAGCACACTTTATTTTTAATTTTTATTTCTTTTTGTGTTTAGAGACAGGATCTCTGATGCCCAGGCTGGAGTGCAGCAGCACAACCATAGCTCACAACAGTCTCAAACTCCTGGGCTCAAGGGATCCTCCCACATAGGCCTCCCAAAGTGCTGGGATGAAAGGAGTGAGCCACCACACCCAGCTGTCAAAGCACACATAAATATCTGCATGTTTAGAGAGAGCTGAGTAAGTGAGCATGAAAATAAAAACACATTCAAAAATGAAGAGAAGGCTGGGTGCAGTGGCTCACACCTATACCCAGCACTCGGATCACTTGAGGTCAGGAGTTCGAGACTAGCCTGGCCAACATGGTGAAACCCCATCTCTACGAAAAATACAAAAATTAGCCGGGTGTGGTTGCACACAACTGTAATCCCAGCAACTCGGGAGGCTGAGGCACGAGAGTCACTTAAACCTGGGAGGCAGAGGTGGCAGTGAGCTGAGGTCATGCCACTGCACTCTAGCCTGGGAGACAGAGTGAGACTCTGTCTCAAAAACAAAAACAAAAATGAAGAGAAAAGCAACAAACATTCAAGGAATGAGAGGCTCGTGTTGTTTTCTTTAGAAATTCCTTGATGTACTCCTAAAGCAGGCTTGCTGCAGGAAGGATTATATTATCAGGATATCTCTTCAGCTTTCTCCTTTTTACCCTAATCACCCTGAACATCAACAATACATTCAGACTAAAGGCATGTTTCATGCTATATATTTTATACCGTGCTATAGAGTAACTTTGAGGGACTTCTTTCTTTCCTTCTACCCCTAAAGTGCAAACGAATTGTATTCTTTAAATCAGGGGATAAAAAACTAAACTTTTTTTTTTTTGAGATGGAGTTTCGCTCTTTAGCCCAGGCTGGAGTGCAGTGGCGAGATCTCAGCTCACCCGCCTCCCGGGTTCACACCATTCTCCTGCCTCAGCCTCCCGAGTAGCTGGGACTACAGGTGCCCGTCACCATGCCCGGCTAATTTTTTTTTTTTTTTTTTTGTATTTTTAGTAGAGACGGGGTTTCACTGTGTTAGCCAGGATGGTCTTGATCTCCTGACCTTGTGATCCACCCACCTCGGCCTCCCAAAGTGCTGGGATTACAGGCTTGAGCCACCGCGCCCAGCCTAAACTTTTTCTTAAAGGACCAGATGGTAAATATTTTCATCTTTGCAGACCCTACGGACTCTGTGGCAACTATTCAGCTCCGTGGTTGTAGTGTGAAAGCGGTGACAATCCGTAAGTGAATGGGCATGACTGTGTTCCAACAATGTTTCATTTACGGACATGAAAATATGAACTCCATAGCATTTTCATGGGTCACAAAATACTATTCTTTTACACATTTTTTTCAACCATTTAAAGATGGGAAGGCCATCCTTAGCCCACAGACCATACAAAAATCGGCAGAGACCTCCAGCAGTAGTTTGCCAACTCCTTACTTAAATAGATGAGATTGGATAGAACTGCTTTGTCACCCAAGCATTTACCTTCAATGCAAATGACTAATTCACCTGGCACTAAAGATAACTCAATCCTCGGGCATTTCTTGAATTGGCTAATCAATAACTCCTGCAGGTTGGTGGACATGTCCAGAGATGAATGCTGGGCCCTGGTCAGTGTGATCCAACCCTTCGGATGACAGCTATCAATTTCCATCAGCCCTTTGGCTAGTAGAGGGGGGTTGAGACGGGCAGAGTGAAATGTTTTGTGCCTAGAAACATGCACATAGCCAGTACCCAAGATGATCTATGCCACAGAGAAGCAGGAGCCAAATTTTCAGCGACTTTACAGGGCTACTGTCCTGTCACCCCTGAGCAACATCCTTCCTCCCCCTATACCCCACCCTCATCTGTGAAGCATGCCGCCCTTATTCCAGGTAAGAGTTCAGTTTTTCCTTTGCAAATTCTGGAGAAGCCTTCAGCTTACATGGGCAGAAAATTCCTGGGGTAAACAGTCAGGTTTGCTCAGTCTTGGTGAGCTCCAGGAAGGGTCAGGGAACTGTCCCAAGCTTCCTATCTCTTTCCATTCTCTGAGGACTTCCCTTGTTTACAGGTTCAGCACTAAGTAAAACAATCAAGAGGGATGACATTTATCTTTTAGCTTCTCTTTTTCTCCTGCCTCTTGCCTTTTCTTCAGCATCCTCTTCTCTGTCCATGCTGCTGCTTGGTCTCCATCATAGATCTCGGGTTTTGGAGTCAAACACACCTAGGTTCTAATTCTAGTCTGCCACTTACTAGCTGTATAATTCCAAACACACACAATCTGAACAGCTCTGAAGAAAAAAGGCTGGGGAAATGTAACCAGTGGAGGACACAGTGGGGTGAACCATCTGGGTGATTCTCTCCAGAGGGTCACAGAAAAGTACATAAAACCAGAAATAGGACACAATGCCCTCCATTTCTGTAGACCGAGTGTGAGGACAAAGAAAGCCCTGGCAAAGCAATTCCAGGGGATTTCCTGGAAGCAGAGTGGTTCCCCTGGGAGAGCAGTACCAAACAGAATCCTTCATAGCTAAAATCCAAAAAGGACTTTTCTTCACCAGTATGTAAAATCCTTGCAAATTCTGACCTTGGGCTTTCAGAGCCCAGAGGACTAACAAATGGCCATCCTGATAATTGTCTGAGGCTTTACATCTTACCTGCTTGACTAAGCTACAGCTCAGGAAGCTATTTGTCAATATAAAGACAACAAATTAGCCTGATTTTTGTCCTGCTGAATTTACATTCTAAATCCAAGAGTCCTCTGATGTCAGAGTAAAGAAGATTGAGAGTAGAAAAAGAACAAGACAGTTCAGTGCAACCCCCACCTTGTCATTCTCCATGGATGCCCACAAGTGCAGTGGAAAGCAGCTGCAACCTACAGGTAAGAGCACAGACAGCCCTCTGAGGCCCTCTCAGTGGCTAAATACTCACACCGGGAGCTAACCCAAAAAAGTTAATTTTGACAATTAAAAAATAAGCAGAGACCTTTAGGGCTAACCCTCCTTCCCTCTCATACAAAACTTATTTATACTGGAAACATTATGAAACTTAATCCAAGCTAATTTTCCCATCAGCATCATGATTAATTAACCAATTGAAACATTCCTTTTGTATGTGGAGTACTTAACACAATAGTACCTACAAGGCTAGAGGTAGATGGATTTATTTATAAATTTAACGCTGGTAGCCAATTCCATTAGCTTGAGAGGGGCAGTAAAAATTCTGTCTCTTTGAAAGGTAAACAAATGTTGAAAAAAAAAAACCTAATCATCTTTAGAAGTACAAAAATGTTATTCCCAGTAGAACCCCCTGTACACTGAAAGCAGCAATCATTATATGAACTGTTCTGAAATTACATTTGCTAAAATCAAGAGTGTTATTAGCCAACAAGAACATATTCTCACAGACAGGCTTTGCGGCAGGTCATGTTTGGTAGCCATGGCGTTCTGGATCTGCTTGTGCCCATGACTATTTTAAGCTCATTATCTAACCTTGCCAAGAGTGGCCTCCCTATATGGTCACTCAGCAAACACCTCCGCTGCAGAATTTACTAGAACAGGATTAGTGCTCCAGCCCTTACCGGATGAGATGCCTTACTGCAGCGTCAAACTGCAAAAATATAACCTCCCTCCGGAGGAGGAGTGCCTGGGCCACCCGGATAGGGTCTTGGGGGCTCTGGAGGCTGTCAATCATGTTCTGCAGCTCTTGAAGCTCAGACCCTAGAAGATGGACAACATTTTAGTCTGACAGTGTGAAATATAGGCTACTATAGCTAAACCAGTAAACCAACATTTTGTCCCATACTTGTCACCTAATCAGACTTCCCTTGTTTTGTTTGTGGGTATACTAATTATATGTTTTGCAAGACCAGCAAAGCCTTATGCTGTAGAATCAAAGGTCTGATTTATGTCTCCTTCCTTCCTCAGGAAGATAAAAATTTGCTTGGCTTTTCAGTACAATAAGAGCAGGCCATGGAAAGAAAGTTTTAAAATTTATAAGGCCATGGTCTTGAAATAGAACAAAAAGGAGAAGTGACAGGAATAGGAAAGTCTAGTCCTTAGTATATCTGTTAGGCACTTGAAACCATCAAAGATTATGAATCAGCACTCATCTCTCATTGCCATGCTATATCCAAATCAGCACTCCCTGTCACTGGCTCATGGATTAAAGAAGACTCAAGACCATCCAAAGCAAGTAAAAAACACATGTGCATATGTGTATATATAAAGATATGCACACATATGTATACATACACATGCATATACATATGCATACATATCCCTCTAGGAGATTCTAGTCATTTTAGGAGTAAATGTGAGGGATCCATATTTGCCTTATTTCTTAGACCCTTACTGCAAGAGTAGGCTACATATACATAGATTTGTATTCATTTTGGGTAAAAATCTAACTTAGGGGCCTGTGGGTCACTCAGTGCTGGGATGTGGAACCCAGCCTGAGTCTGGATGACCATCCTAGCATCTAAGTATGTATATCCTAGTTACTGGCATAGAGAAGGAGCTAGTCAGAACAGGATAGCACAGTGGAAAGTGATGAGCCCTTGGGGAACATGGCTGGGCTCACACTTACAGGGCTACCAGAATGTCAGCTGGTCTGAAATATCCCTGTGAACATAGTGATCGTTTTCTACCCTGAGAGGACATCCCTGTTATTAGGATTGTGAAAACTGATCACAATGCCTCGACGTGCAGTCCAAGGCAGGAGTGAGACAGGAAGCCCACAGGGCATTTCTGGAGATGCTCTATCTTGACAGCTGGTCCACATGCAAGCAGCCTTCTTTCCTCCCTAGCCAAGTACTGGGCTCCAGCATCTACCGACTAAGAAAGCAGAAAGCAGAGAGTTGTGGGAGGGGGAAGCTGTCCATGAGAGCCTGATCAGGCAGATCCAGGGCTGAGAACGGTTGCTAACATGTATAACATGTGCTCTTGGCTTTAAGAACAGATGAGCAGATCAGATTTCATATCCATTTGCTGTTTTATACAATAAAAAATGTGTTTTATTTTTGTTTCCAGCCCCAAATAATAGAGTCCAATCAGCAAACTCTTTTATGACTCCTCTAAATCTGATAGTTCTATTGGACTGAAGAGTTCACCAGAAAAAGAGTCATATTAGAGTGAATTGTGCAAGAACTTTTGTGGTGGTGGGAAGGAGGAGAGGTGGTCAGGGAGCCTCATTTGTTCAAGGCCTAGTGTGTTCGGTCTAAAAGTAATATACTCTATCAGGCTATGCAGTAACCAGGGGAAATTTTTCTAATCCTCTGCAACGACAATGAAAAAAGGAGAATATAAAATTACACATACCTTATGGTTAAAGCTGGGTAAAATGTAAATATGGAATATATTTGGGCATGGGCTAGAAGGGAGTAAAGATAAATAAAATTATTTCACTTGTTAGAGTGGCTGGCTTACAGGTGATTTTTTTTTCTGTCATTTCCATCATTTATATACTACTGGCAGGTGATCGCTTCCCAGCAAAATTGTTGTATGTTGATATGTAGTATTATCATTAAAATACAGATGTGGAGGCAGGACTGCCTTTCCTTTGTTATTTTACTGATCTTTAAATCCTCATTCTGACTTTCCTTCCTTTGTGGAGTCAAGAGGCTTGGTGGGAGGGGAGGTGGCAGGACAAGCAGCCTGGCGGTGGGGACAGGGCAGAGGGTTGTTGCAGGCAGCGATGGTGGTGAGGCTAGGGTGAACCCTGTGCCAGGAAACATTGGGAAAGGAGCCTTTGCTCATGTCTTTCCCAAGAGGGTCCTGTTTGGGAAGTCAGAGAAGACAGACAGCCAGGCAGCCAGAGAGAGAGGGAGAGAGAGAGGAGTCACAGTGGCCCTGTCTCTGCATGAAGACTCAGAGCTCGTACACTTCATTCCTCGTTTGTCTAGAGAGTTCCTGAAACCCTAAGTTCAGTGTGAAGTATTTGGGCTTTAATTGGCCTCCTTATCCTTTGCAAAGGAAGTCACAGTGTAAACGTCCACATTCTGATTACATCCTCTGCTTCACGTGGACTTCAAAGGGAGTTACTGGCTTTCAGGGAAGGAGAGAATTGGCTGTATCCACAGAGCTGGTCCACAGTGTCTAAGAGCTGTTTTCGTCAGTCAAGGGGAGGACCAAAAGCTGAAATCTTGAGTTTCCCTCAAGATTTGTTTTAAAAATACTTTAAAGCATACAAATCCACAAAAGTAATTTGAACTAACTAAAAATTAGAACTAACAATTTAGAACGAACTCTAAATTGTTCTGAGATGGCTTAAAGAAACAGACTCTCATTTCATCTTTTCCCTTAGTTCTTCTTGCCTCCTCTGGGAAACAGGCCAGGAACTAAGCAGCCTAGTCTTTTTAAAAAGATTATCTTGGAGGGGATATATATTTTTTTAAGTTTGCTCTTTATTTTGAGCAAAGCAGAGCATGCAAAACTGTACATTTTCCCTGGAGCACAAATGTGTAACATGACAATGTGGGCCTCTCTGCATGCTTCAGAAAGCCTGGGCCCCACATATCTCAATGGTTTCTGGGTTCACAATGCAGAAATGGCAAGAAAACAATTCCCTTCTTCCTGAATTCTAGGTCCTCAACTTGGCCTCATTTCCCATTGTTCCTCAGAGCCATACTCATGGTTCGTTCACAGGTAGGTTCACTACTCTGGACTGGCCACGTGCAGTTCTGCCTGCTGCTTTCGCCAGTGTCCTTTTCTTATGTTGCTAGGACTGTCCCTCCTATTTTCTACACTGATCCAAGTCCACTCCTGTCCAGTCTGGGAAGCACCCCAGATCACCTCCCTGCAGATTTTGCCTGGGGGCGCCCTTTACTCCCAGCTGCTGTAGGACTTCCTAAGTAGTGACTTCACCAGGAAACATGGCTCTGGCTCTCTCGGTTCTATCTCATCTCCATGTAACACCTGCCTCCCCATCTCAACGGCAGGCAGGACATTTCTCTTGGCCACACTCCTTCTTCCTGTGCGTTAGCTAAAGCTCAGCCCCCACACCCTCCTGACATCCAACAGCTCTCCGAAGAGTGTCTTAGCTTATTTTCTGAGTAAGCCCCATTTACAACAGTCCCCAAACTAGTAAAAGGAAAGGACCTAAGAGTGCTTTGGAGCTTCTTTAATCGGATGCTTATGTTGAAGACTTGTGAGTCACTCTGAGAGCTCATTAGCCTGCAACAATTCTGTGCCTTCTGCTGAGGCGGCACCACTACCATTCTCCCTTCATCCTGCCACTCCTAGACACAGGCATTATCCTCCTCCCAGATCAGCACTCATGCCCTTCCCTATGTCTACATCTAAATGTTTACAGAGCCCTTCAGTGTTCCTTAGCACAATGCAAATATACCTGCCACCAGCTCCAAGGTCTCCCACAAATGTATTTCCTTTATGCACCAACCAGCCACAGGGGAATATCCTCAGATTCTCTGACATTTGTTTTAAGAGCAATTAGGTTTAAATAGGCATATTGCCTCATTTCGTAGGCTCTTCTTCTTTAAAATCCCTGGCTACTATAGTATTTTGCTATTAATTTATATTTACATGACCAGTGACATTATTTGGATGGTAGTCACATTATTAAGGCAAGATTACTTTCCCTGATTCTGATAAATGTAGCTTAGTAAACATTTTAGTGTCTTTAATTCACCTCATGTGTTTATCTTATAATATAACCTGTGCTGATGAGCACTGGGCGTATAAAACTACAGCCTCAATCATTCTTACCACAAAGACTTTTAGGTCATTGATAGCTAACCAAGGGCTGTTTACAAGCTTCTTAATAGGGAGTGATTGGCTCTGACCTTGCCATGTGAGTTTATGAAGGCCAGGAAGGAAACGGGAACGAAAGAAAACTAATATTTAATGGGGGCTTATATATCCTAGAATTTTTACATAAATTTCAATCCACAGAACATTTTTATGAGACAGATACTATCACCCCATTTTATAGATGGACAAGCAGAGACCCAGAGAGTAAAGTACCCAGCTTTCAGTAACCAAGTGGCAGAGGCAGAGTAAGAACCAGGCCTCCAGACTCCCAACTTGGTGCACTTTGGGGTATAGCCCGTGAATGTGGAATCAAACAGATAGCTGTGCAGTGTGGAGACAGTCTATAAGACAGTTTGGACTTTTCCTTTGCCCTTCTGATTGCTGTCATTTATGAGAGTATATTGTAGTTCTGTCTTTCCAAGTATTAAGAGCTTCATAGAACTTCCAGTGAATATTGAAGGTGATTTGAATCACCTTTAATCACTCACCAATGCCCTCAGTTCCTCCCCAGTCACCTCTCAAAGGGTTGGGACTTCGAGGAAATTCAAAACATGCTGGACAATTGCCAAGCTTAGCAAAACTGACAAGGTAGGCCACGATATCATGCAGAGGAGCTATCAGTTGTAGAGTTCGCTTTAAGGCTTTAAAAGCTGCCTGTGGATAAAATTAATACAAGGAAATACGTTTTAGGAAGTTTCTAAGAGGCATATAAAAATATATGAACACTGAATGGGGATGATATCTTTAAACAAGAATATTTCCATAAACATTGTCACAGTATATACAGGATAATATCAGAAAAAGAACAATAAACCTATTGATGAACCAAGGTTACATGCCCTTGGACAAGGGAACCCCTGTGGGGGGTTAAAGCAATGTGTTTCTTTGTTTAAAGTCACTGAAGGCCATGAACACATCAAAATGTTTGTATGGCCGTCAATGAATTACAAGGGTCACAAATCAATTCATAGAAGGGACTCATATTCAGACAACAATCTTGAGAGAATACCTGTAAGCAAGGTATAGATATTTATCAACATTGTTTAAACCAACACATGACTGAAAATCAAACCATGGATCTTATGTATCAATGTCCAAGTGGAGGAAAAGTGAAAAATTATGATCTAACTGCAGAAGGTAGTATTTCCATATTTTAAAAATAAAAGTCTGAAACTTCTTCAATGAAAGTAGGGGTAAGAAACCAAGGTTGCTAAACAAGATTTCACTTACAAAGAAAAATCAGAATATTCCCAAATGCCATTTTCAACATTGTATTTTATTTCTTTAGCAAATACTTATGTTTTATGTGTTTCTGTGTTTTCTTTTTTAAAAAAATTGTTACCAACATTGCCCTTAATCAGTAAGTGAGTTACACAGAGCACCCCTCAGAAAACAGTAACCCTAAGTTACAAGTGTGATCTCAACCTCTCATTAACTTCAGAGCACCAGTGGGGTTTTTTGGAAGGGTTGGAAAGAAATTGAAGATTAATAAGAAATGTCAGAGGCTTGAACTAATGTTCATTAGTGACCAGGGAGAAAGAGAAATCAAAGCATAGTGAGGCCCAAGACAAATTATAATAAAGCAGAAAAGGCTGCTGTGAAAAGATTTCAGTAGTTAGATGTCTGAATAAAAGAAGGGATGTTCTCTGGAATTGATACGTTTAACTGTGAGACAAAAACCAGCCAGTTTCCATTCTGGCACACATGCAAAAAAATACAAACCTTTTCTGGCAGAGTTTTGAACATAACCAGCACTTCAGAAGAATGGGGTATGAACCATCAATTGAGGAAGACTTTTCCATCCGCTGACAGCAAACATCGTGGCCGGGGCTGAAATCTTCTGCAAGTGTTAGAAAAAAGGACCCATAGCACGCATTGCCCTCTAAACAAGAGGCATCATGAATGACCCTGTTGAATCACCACCCTCCGTCACACAGGCCTGTCACCATAGGCCCAGCATCCACGCCCCAGGGCAGCAGCCCTTTTCATGCCACTCCCAGGTGGCCAGTTTATAAATAACTCAACAGGAAGAAGAGCAGTTAGGCTGATTTTAGCCAGAGCTGTGTGGGGGAAGGAGTGGGGATGGAGGGAGGGAAAAGGCATGGTAAGAAAGGACAGGAAGGCCATGAATTAGATGGCCAGCACCACACTAGGTGGTACATATATTATGTCACTTAATTCACCTGGCAACCTCAGGATGGATCTATTTTTGTTCCTCTTTCACAACTGAGGAAATTGATGCCCTGAGAGGTTATGGAGATCTACCCAGCTCCGAAAAGACAAAGTTAGAATTCAAATGAATATCTCTTTGGGAGGCTGAGGTGGGTGGATCACGAGGTCAGGAGATCGAGACCATCCTAGCTAACACGGTGAAACTCCATCTCTACTAAAAATACAAAAAATTAACCGGACTCGGTGGCAGGCGCATGTAGTCCCAGCGACTCAGGAGGCTGAGGCAGGAGAATGGCGTGAACCTGGAAGGCAGAGCTTGCAGTGAGCGGAGATCGCACCACTGCACTCCAGCCTGGGTGACAGAGCAGGACTCTGTATCAAAACAAAACAAAACAAACAAACAAAAAAGAATTCAAATGCACATCTATCTGTCCCACTGTAGAATCTGGGCTCCAGAACCAGGCTCTGCTTCCTCTTGCCTTGACATCACATTTGTTGCCAGGTTCTCCAGCTTCTGGTCTTCTTTTCCTTCTTTCTTCTCCTCTAAATACCATATTATTTCTTAATAAGGTTAGTCATCTCTTCGTTTAGTCATCTCTTTGTTGCAGGTTTATATACAAATATATTGTCCATATATGTCTGGTTTAAGGATTCAAACAAGCCCAGGTAGGTACACACCACCTGGCCTGAGAAAAGGAATGTTGCCAGCACCCTTGAAGCCTGATGTGCACTTCCCTGGTGGCCCCCAGATGAACCACCATCCTGATGATTAATTTTAAATAATTAAATTTGATTAAATTATTTATTTAATTTATTTATTTATATTTAATTAATTTATTTAATTTAAATAATTAAAATTGATTAATTTTACATTTATCAATGCCTTGTTTTTTTTGGTGGAAAATCCTTGGTGCATCCGTGCTGCTGCAAATGACTGATTTGTGGGTTATTAGGTTGATTCTATATCTTGGTTGTTGTGAATAGTGCTACAATAAACATAAGTCTCAGGATTTTAATCAGTTAATTCTAAACTCAGGAATAAAGTATGGTCTTAGTTTGGAGAATTGCCTTTCTTTTAGCAACCACAAAGTCAAACAATTCCTGTCCTGAAACAGATCAAAACCAGCGTAATCCAGTCTCATCTCTATTATTCAGTTCACCATGCTCATTCCTGCCCAGAGGTAACAATGAATATCAAAACTAAAAAGTTGCAGGGTCTGCATCCAGGCACATGGGACTGCAATCCACATGCTGGCAGGTGCTGCTAGCAGCAAGGACTGAACCAGTCCTTCCTTGGCCTCTGAGAAGCACATGTGTCCCTGGAGCCACTGGGCTGTCTACCAAGTGCTATCCTTTACTTCTTATCTGTTATTTCCTGCCATTTCCAGTCCTGCCTGCAGTGAGCAGCCGTCGGCTGAGAAGAGCAGAGATGACTGCAGAAAGCTTTAGGTGCTCAGTACATGAAGCATAGCCTGGTTCTCAGCCCCACAAGCAGACTTGCCCCTGCCCCTTGTGGATGGCCTGCCAATTATCTGGCCTGGCAGTTCCCCAACCTGCTCAACACTGTCCCCTTTCATTCCCCTTCAGCTGACCACTTCTGGGCCACACCCAAGACTTTATTATCCTCTGAAACCATATCACCTCCAAAGTCTTAACTTTCCCAGCTCCATATTTTATTCCTCCAGTTTTCTGAGTCATCCACTCTCACTAAACTTCCCTTCCTTTATTCCCCCAAAATAGGTCCCTTGACATCATCCAGTCCTCTGGTCTCCCCTTCCATCTGTCAGCTCCTTTCTGACCTCACTCCCTTCCCTACCCAGACTGGATCTCACAGTCAAGCATGCGAACCACTCTCTCCCCAGCACCTTCAATTCTCTGCTGCTTTGTACTCACAACCCACCTACCTATCAAAGCCCCAGTTCTGGGTCCCTCCAACCACTCAGCTTGCTGTTTCTGATGTCATGCTGCTAAGCACAGCTGGAGGAAATCACACTGCTAATTATACTGATGGAAATGGTTTCCAGCCTGAGGTATGTCACCCTGGAACAATCCTTTTCCTTTCCTTTGATCAGCTCTCGTGCCCATCTTCTTGTTTCATAATTCCAAGCCTTCTTTAAGGCCCCCATACCAAATTCCTGCCAGCAGATGATGACATGGTCTGCTATTTCATGATCAAATTAAAGGCCACTGCTGGAACTCCCTCCCTTTCCTGATGGCCTATTTCCCCAACCCCCACCCCTAATACACACATACCCTCCCTTTCAACCAGGGTCAAAGTCAGAGGTGCACACCTTGGATACAAAATGAAGACAGCCTCTCCCCTCCATGCTCCTACCTTCCAGAGGCAGCTGGGAACCATGACACTGTGGTAGCAGCATGGCTAATGGAAGCCTATGACAGTGCAGAGGACGCCCAACAAGAAGCACCTGAGCCTTGTTGGGAGGCTGGTGGAAGAAATTCACAGCTGAGGCTTCTGAGCTGTGATTTCTCATCTCCCTCCATATCCCTTTGTCCCAATGACATTGCCATCTTTTCCCCTCCATTAAGAAATTGTGGTAAAATATGCATAACACAAAATTTACCGTTTTAGCCTGTTTTTGTTTTTGTTTTTTTCAGAGCAGGAGTGGAAGTTTATTTAAAAGGCTTGAGGATTCTTTTGTAGTTCATGAGCCTGATGATTGGGTGTTCACACGTGTGTGTGAGATGTGCTATTCTCGAACCTTGTTACAACGTCGTCGCATTACCTGTCTGACCTCAAACTGCTACTGGGTGGACTGCAAGAAAGGTAAAATCTGTTACTCACGACACGTGGAATTTCTGTGCCGTTTATGTGTTGTGGGGAGAAACACTCAAATTCTCCCAATACATTGCGAGTCCCACAGAACAGGCACGCATTTGATGGCCTTGAAGAAGTGTTCGTTGTATTTGCTGAACCTCCTGAGAGGCCAAGCATGCCACCAACACATTTCAGATTAGTTAAGCGACAGGGCCAACCACGTGCTCCCCACGCCGCCTCTGCTCCAGGCGCGCTCACACAGGCTCCCCTAGAATTTCTCCAGGAAGCCGTTGGATAGGGCAGAGGTGGCAGCTCCGCCAGCAGCTGCTTCTTCACCGGCTGTGTCGAGTGAGAACGCCGCCTGTGCTTCCCGGAAATGGGCTTCAGCTCCTCTAAGGTCGTGGCGCAGCTGGACCCCAAGACTGAGTCGCCGTCCAGGAAGCGTGACTGGGCAACGGGGCCTGGGTCTGGCCGGGGTCTGGCCGGGGTCAGAGCTGAAACCGGAGTCCGAGTCAGAGGGGAAGCCGGGGCCGGGGCCAGGCTCCAAGAGGCCGCAGGGGTCCCAGACAGAGCTTAGCTCGACGTCACAAGGTTCGGGGCCGGGGAGGTCCCGGAGTGGGATCAGGAACTGGAATCGCTGCCGGGCGGGGCTTCAGGGCAGCCCTCGGAGCGGCGGCCGTCGCTGGGGCAGGGGCAGGGGCCACAGCCATCCCCGGCGTTGGAGGGGGACAACGCACCCCTGCCAGAGGTGGAAACCCCGGAGACCCCGTCTGCTGGCGCCACTGCCACACCGACTGCCTGGAGGCGCCGCTCTTCTTCCAGTGGCCGAGGTGGCAGGTGGACGCGCACCCCTGGATCTTCCTGCTGGCGCCCATGATGCTGACGGCCGTGCTGGGCGCCGGCTTCCTTCACCTTCCCAAGGACGAAGAGGAAGATCTGCAGGAGCAGTGCATCCCGGTGGGGAGCCCGGCCAAGGCGGAGAGACGCTTTGTGCAGGGCTATTTCACCACCAACGATTCCTACCGCCTCTCCACCTCCAGGAGGTGCACTCAGGCCAATTTCACCTGGATTCTGGTGGGCTCCCACAGCAACCCACTGCTGGAACCGGACATCTTTGCAAAGTCAGTAAATTGGACAGCACGGTGCAGGATCTACGTGTGGCACAGGGAAACGGAAGCCAGATCCAGTACGAGCAGGTGTGCGTGAGGTACAAGAGGCTCTGTGTGTCCTCCAACCCGTTCCTGGATGTCTGGCAAGTGGACAAAACGTTCGACCTGAGCTACAACCACAGTGAGCATCCCTCTGTCTGATCGGCTTCTTTGGAGGACACATCTTGGGATGTAACTGGCCTAGGTAATGGGCCAGTTCCTCCTGCAGTCCAAAGCCATGTGGCTGCTGAACTGCCTGAAGAGCACCCTGAGGACAACGTGCAGAGCAAGATGGCTCACCCATTCCCTCAACCAATTTAGCAACATTAAGAACAGTCTGGCCTTGAAGAAAATCGAGGTACCTGGTAGTTCAGGTTTACAGGGAGGTCAGGAGGATGTGGGAGGGATGAGGAAGACTTGCTCCGAGAACCCTAACAAAAGCACTGCATGACTACTTGATGGGGTCCTTGCCTCACAGCTGGGTTTGCTCTACTGTATTTGGTACTTAATCTGACTTTCTTTCTTTTTTTTTTTTTTTTTAAGGCGAGTCTCGCTGTGTCACCCAGGCTGCAGTGCAGTGGCACGATCTCGGCTCACTGCAACCTCCGCCACCCAGGTTCAAGCGATTCTCCTGCCTCAGCCTCCCGAGTAGCTGGGATTACAGGTGCCTGCAACCATGCCCAGCTAATTTTTGCATTTTTAGTAGAGACAGGGTTTCATCATGTTGGGCAGGCTGGTCTTGAACTCCTGACCTCAGGTGATCCACCTGCCTTGGCTTCCCAACGTGTTGAGATTACAGGCATGAGCCACCGCGCCTGGCCAATCCAACTTTCTTAAATTAACAATGTTGGGGCCGGGCATGGTGGCTCACACCTGTCCCAGCACTTTGGGAGGCTGAGGCAGGTGGATCATCTGAAGTCAGGAGTTCGAGACCAGCCTGGCTAACATGGTGAAACCCTGTTTCTACTAAAAATTAAAAAAAAATGAGCCAGGCATGGTGATGCACACCTATAATCTCAGCTATTCCGGAGGCTGAGGCAGAAGAATTGCTTGAACCCAGGAGGTAGAGGTTGCAGTGA
The DNA here is from genome assembly GCF_000001405.40 of Homo sapiens. Classification (NCBI taxonomy): domain Eukaryota; kingdom Metazoa; phylum Chordata; class Mammalia; order Primates; family Hominidae; genus Homo; species Homo sapiens. The sequence continues at coordinate 109,289,005 of NC_000006.12, read as the reverse complement.
GCCAAGATCGTGCCATCATACTCCAGCTTGGGCAACAAGAGCGAATCTCCGTCTCAAAATAAATAAATGAGTAAGTAAATAAATAAATAAATGAAACCGATGGATGCCAGAAATCGTGAATCCTTGGTAACATTCAGGTCGATAACACAAATTTTGTGTCCAGCATATGAGGCTGTTCAGTACAGACATTGATGTTCATGTTTGATGTGGGGGGTTGGTTGCTAACTAAATTACAGTACTTTGAAATTCTACTTTTAGTTGAAGTTTTCGTTGGTTTTGGGAAGTCCCCAAAACTTGCTTGGAGCTCACTGAGTATATTTTTTGTGGCAGGTGGTCCACTTTACATTGCTTTCCAGGCAGCTGGAATTTGAGGCAACTTCTATGACAGTGATCCCTTTGTTTCACCTGGCATACGTTCTAATCATACTGTTTGCTAATCATATTATTGTTGCTGCAAGTTCTGGATTGAAAGTATCATCTGTGAGCCTCAAGAGGAGGCTGAACTGGCCCACCCCACTCTCGCCGATGATGAGGATCTTCAGGGTGGTCAGCACGTCCTCGTCTATCCTGACCCTGCTTGGCTCCGAGCTCAGCTGGCCACCCCAGGGCCCACCTCTCAGCCATTTTAGCCATTTCTAAGTGTATAGTTCCGTGGAACTGAGTACATTCACAGGGTTGTGCAACTATCGCTACCATCCATCTCCAGGACTTTTTTCATCTTCCAAAACTGAAAGTCTGTGTCCATTAAACAATAATGGCACTGCTATCTTTTCATCCACCCAAGCCAGAGATTCTGAGTGACATCCTAGATTCCTCCGTCTCCCTCAGCTTCTTATTATATCCGCCATCTGGCCTAGCTGATTTCACCTTCTAACCGTCTCTTGTCTGTACAATTTTAGTAGCTTCCTACATAATGTCACTGACAATCATCTTGCTCCACTTCTCCCAGTGACCTGAAGGACAAACACAGCCTTCTGGCTCTTTCCTCACCCTTCGATACGTTCTACTTCCCATTGCTGCCCTCACATACTCTGGATATGAGTCCCACACAAGTCCACATGCTGTCTCACACCTCTGTTCCTTTGCACATGTGATTCTCCCAGCTTGAGCTGAATTTCTTTTCCCTGTCTCCCTGGAGCACTAGTTGTCATTCAAGACCCACATTAAGCATCCCCTCTTCCCTGGAGCCTTTTTTGCTCCCCATCTCCATCAACCCAATCCTTCAGATAATACTGTTTCTTGGTGGGTGCTTTCATTAAACATTTATTTTACTTTATTCTTTATCACAGTGTACTGTAATTACCTATTTCCCATTGCTGCGGAAGGACCAGCACTTGATACCAAGGCTGCCATATACTGTTGTTCAGGTTGTACCCTGAGGCAACAAGCGATGGCCAAGATCCAACCTGTACTTCACTTGCTAGAGGCTTTTCCCTGGGATGAGACCACACCTGCCCAGAGGAAGGGGTGCTGCCTTCTAATTTGCACAAAGTAGCTGTATGGGATGACAGTGGCTCTACCTGTCACAAAGTAAGAGCTCAATTAATCTTAGCATCCTCTCTCTGTTCATCAGCAAATGCAGCTTCTCCTGGAGTGGACTGAAGTGTCATCCTAGGCCCCAGACTCCAGTCTCCTCTGGGCCATGAAGGGAATGGAAGCCTCAAGGGACTTCCTGCTTAGGAAGAGGGCTCCCCTTTGCTCCTCCTCTACCGGGACAGGGGTATCTTTGCTAAACCAAACACACTACATTACAGCCTTTGCAGAATTAAGTAGGATTATAGAATTTTACGGGCTCTTCTAGTCAAGGATGGCAAACCCATAGCATGGAAATTACCTTTCTGCCTTTCCTTGAGCATGGCAGACATTGCCAATCAATTACAATTACTCTCACAAACTTGAGATGCCTCAGAATCCTCAGCAGGGCCACTAATGCATTGTTTGAACTGACATTTAGAATAAACCTTATTTCTTATCTTCATTCTAACTCAACCCCTTATTTTATGAATGAGATGAGGACCTCTTTCCTCTATGGCCCTCATTCCTCAACTCTGTCCCTTCATCTCTAGTTAACTCTGGCTAGGGATGATTCCTATTTGCCATGTCCTGAGCAGTCTTAAAAATGGCCCCTTTCCATAAAGTATTTCTTCAGCAGTCCTATTCCTTGCAATCATGCTCTAGATAACTTAGCCCCAAGAATCATAACATGTTTAACTTCAGAGAGCTGCTTCTTCAATTTCCTCAGTCATCAGACGAAGAGATTGAAAAAGCAGTCAAACAGCCTATAAACAAAGAACCCCTTTTGGGTTCAAATACAAAGATACTCTTATTCTTGGAGTATTAACTCTTCCTTTTGCCCTTTTGGACAAGAAGATCAAGGTCAAGTGCAGTAAAGGGAGCAAAGGTTTAATATTAAACTTAACATGCCTCTCCCCAGGGAGAAGTAGGGCCAGGGAAGGAGAGTAATAAACACTGAAGCAAATTACGCACCTGGGGTCAGCCTTGAGGCCCTCCTTGGAGTCTCTCAACCCCTTCTTCTCTTGTGGTTGCCCTACCATGAAAAAGGTGTCCCTGATGGTAGGAAAATCTTCCAGAAGATCTCTCAGGCTATTGCAGTATGCCATGATCTGACCCCGAAGAGCATAGTGAGACATGCGGTGGTTAAACCTGAAAGTCAGAAGAGAGGATGTCCAGAAGGAGAATCCAAATTCTTCCACCTCTCACAGAAGCTCCAGAATCTACATCCCTGGAGGACTTTTCAAGGAGAGAGTACTTCTATCAAGAAGGAATTTCCATTTGGGTCAGGTGGCTGTTGCCTGAAGGCAGAGGCATGAACCCCTTCCTAATGACCCCTATCCTTCACTTCCGATGCTTCTCTGCATGTCAAAGCACAGTTTAACTTGGTTTTACCCAATAAAACTGCCACTTATTACATTCAGAGTCAGAGAAATCAGCGTGTGTTATTCACATATACTATACTTACTTCTGACAATATTCAACCATAACATCTCTCTTGACTTTTCCAATTTCATCCTGTGATAAAGGAGAATGATAGTTTTAGTAGACAATTGGCTATAAGAACTCCCCACCCTAGTACATGTGTACAAACTTAAAGCAGACTTCAAGCAGGAAAAGGCTACAGAGCTGAGACATTCTTTCTGGGTTAAGCTTGTTGGGAGGCACTCCTGTGTCTCTCTCCCGCTCCTACCCATCTTGCTGAGTATGCCAAGGATGCAAGTCCCTGACCACACTTTACCTCACAACCATTTCTCAGGGTTGTGTTTGCAGAAAGCAATCTTCAGTGATAAGGTAATGTCTCTCTCCAGGAAAAAGAGCAGGCTTATTATAAAAGAGGTGGGTTCCCCAAGCTCAGTGCTTTTCACTTGTGACACAAGCCACTACCTGCATGTAGGCTCCTCCACACTGTCCCCGTGGGACTGACACGAACATGAAGATCACATTGCCTACTCTGCTGTGCATAATAAAATTCTTTGTCTCTGACAAAGGAGTCTTGTGTGCCTTCTGCCAGCATCCATGGAACGGTAACAGGTTAACTTATTAGCCAGTAAGTAGTCCCCAGACCCTGACAAAATTAATACAGGTAATTATATTGCCTGAGCTCTTTCTGATCTGATAGGTGTTGAATAATCCTGAAGGGCAGTTCATGAATGATTATATTTTTTCCACTTGGTCGATATTTTTTGAGAATTGCTTATTAGAAGGGACCCTTTGCTTCTATTATGGCTGAGCAGTAATTGCTGGCCCTCGTCATATCCCATCTGTAGAACTAGATTAGGTAAATTTAAGTCTTTCCTTTAAAGTCACAAGCAGGGAAGAAAGCCTAGAATTATAAATCTTGTCATTCTTCTCCTAAATAACAATGTATTACCATAATGATTTTCTCATCAAAAAATTAATAATGAAATGATATTCACAAAATTAAGGAATAATTTTTACTGATTAAAGTTTTGAGTTTTAGTATTTTTCAATAGATTAGGCTAATATAAAAACTTTAAATACAAACATAGTGGTAGTGTCTGAAAAACCAAGATAACCAGATGGTTATCAGGTGACCAGATGGTTAAGAGCCATTGCTTACCTTGTCTAATCCCCGAACCCCTGTGGGTCACTCAAGAGTAGGCTAATGTTCCAGTGCAGGTGCTGAAACTAGTTCATTTAGAAAGTGACAAAACAAAATGCGGCATTGGGAAAATGCATACATTTTTAAAGCATGACTGTAATCCACTTGAACTGATTCCTTTCTACTTCTTATTGAACTTCCCTTTTCACTTCTTTACAATATATTTTCAACAGTCCTAGCCAAATAGGTTGAAAGCATCAGATCACCAGATTCCAAGTGAAGAATTTTCATTTGCTCAGATGCAAAAGAGGACCAGAGCTTTAGGCAGCATTTCTCACTACACACTCACAGGGCTCTTCGTTCTGTCGGCCATGGTTTGTTTCCTCAGGAGGAAGGTGTTCAGCATCATGTCCCGCAGCCCCACCTTTTCCAGTTGAATAGACACAAAGGCCTCTGGAGCCCCGACAAGTGAACAGAAACATGGGAGCCCAAGGCAGGAGGTATATGGACATGGATCAGAAAGACAAGGTGTATACTGGGCATTGCAGCAGGAGGGCAGGTGGCTGTGCCTCCATGGTTCTTGCCTGCTTCAGGTGTTTCTGATTATTCACCAGGGATGCAGATGTGTCACCATCCTGCTTGGGGACCCTCTGTGCCTGAAGCATGCTTCAGCAGTCCTTTCTCAGTTCTAAGCCCAGTATTTGTACTACCCATCTCCCTTTGCATTCTCCTCGACTTGACTCTAAGGATATCTAGATTGAAGTGGCCTCCCAAGGGTCCTCTTGACTAGACATATTGGTCTTAAATCGTCCATCCACACATTGGAAATGTGGACTTTAATGCACTTGAACTCTGGCCATATGTCAGATTAACAGCATCTTGAGTAGTAGAGTTGCTTTGCCTGTTATTATTTTTTATTCTAAATTTGCCAGAATTCAAGTACAGTGTCATTGGTAGGCCCTGATAAAATACTCAGACTAATCATACTACAGAGTATGATTTACAGAGTATTCAGACAGAGTATCATACAGAGTATTACAAAGTAATTCATACTATAGAGTATGAATGTCTCTCTTTCTCTGTCATGGTGAAAAGAGATCCAGACAGAATAGGGCATCTCTGATTTATAGACATGTCTCTGGAGAGGTCGTGCCTCTCTGACAATAATTCACCATCCTATTATTTTAAGCAATGTTAGAACCTTTGTTAGAACAGTGAGGACAGGCTGGGCGTGGTGGCTCATGCCTGTAATCACAGCCCTTTGGGAGGCTGAGGCGGGCAGATTACTTGAGGTCAGGAGTTCAAGACCAGCCTGGCCAACATGGTGAAACCCCATCTCTACTAAAAATACAAAAATTAGCCAGGTGTGATGGTGCATGCCTGTAGTCCTAGCTACCCGGGAGGCTGAGGCAGGAGAATTATTTGAACACGGGAGGCAGAGGATGCAGTGCACTGAGATCAGGCCACTGCACTCCAGCTTTCCAGCCTGGGTGACAGAGCAAGACTCCATCATAAAAAAAAAAAAAAAAAAAAAAAAAGGGCCAGGTGCGGTGGCTCACGCCTATAATCCCAGTACTTTGGGAGGCCTAGGCTGGTGGACCATGAGGTCAGGAGATCAAGACCATCCTGGCCAACATGGTGAAACCCCGTCTCTAATAAAAATACAAAAAATTTAGCTGGGCATGGTGGCGCGTGCATATTATCCCAGCTACTAGGGAGGCTGAGGCAGGAGAATCACTTGAATCCGGGAGGTGGAGGTTGCAGTGAGCCGAGATCGTGCCACTGCACTCCAGCCTGGTGACAGAGCGAGACTCTGTCTAAAAAAAAAAAAATAGGGCAGTTCTGTGCTTCTCAATTTAAATAGATTTGGAGAATTTGGAAAGGCCTTCCTTGTGATATACACTCTTTGCAGTCTGAAAAATATACAGAGAGAGAAGAAGGGAAGTGAAAGAGAAAAGAGAAGAGGGGAGGAAAAAGAGAAGGGGTTAAAATGAGGAACTGTTCACTGTCCTTTATTGACTGGAGTATATTGGAAGGAGCTGAGCCCTCTCAGTATTCATACAAGGTCTTTATATAAGATGCTAGTCACTCTGAGAGTTTAGACTCCTTCAATCCCCCCAATACTATTTATTAATTGACTTAAAAGAGGACACTTTTGTTATTCTAAGTAGTATTCCTCCTTCCATCTCACCAGGTACAGTACCTTTTGGTAGCCTGAAATCTTTCTGGAGAATGAGTAAGTGTATCTGGGACTTTTGGAGTTGGGGCTATCAGCGAGCTGTCTATGCCATTCACAATTCTGGAATATCTTCTTCTGGTTGGGCCCATTCCACCATGATTTCTCAGATCTGAACTTATTTCCTAAAATATTTTAAACCAAAGTAAATTAAATTTTTGGGCATATAAGTCCTGAAGCACTGCTGTAAAATGATCTCACAGCCACAACTGATCCCCAACACATGTAAAGGCCTGGGTACATGTGACAGGGGAGTAGAAAGAAGAGAAGAGGAGGGGAGGAGACGGAAAGGGAAAAGAGTGGAGTGGAGGAGGAGAGATACCACTTTGCACAATTAAGAGGTGAGGCACTAAGTGTGATTATTTTCGGAAGAGAGTGCAGTTGTCTAAAGTGCTCTGAGAAAAAGATCTCCATTCTACAAAGTGGCTAGATAGTGTGCTCTGTATATAGTGGTCTTTCAAGGAATACCGATAATAGTTTTCACGGCTACAAGATCTGAAAAGTTCCCACAGGGCACCTAGGCAGATGGAGGTGGGCTTTATATGCCACCATGCACAACATAATGACAAAGAAGGGAGGGAGAAGGGAGACGGAGAAAAAGAGGAGAAGCAGGGAGAAGGGAATGAGGAATGGGGAAATAAAAGGGAAATTCATGTCTTCCAATATTCCAGCTCCATTGGCTATGGAGCTGCGGGGCATGTTGGATGGAACTCATTTATATTTTTCTAAACTACTCACTAAAAGAAAAAGGTTAAAGCTTTGAAGGAAAGATCATTCTTCAGTGAAAGACACAAGGAGTTACCCATAGCAGAATTACCATAGGAGACATAAGGAGAAAAAGAAAAAAGATCCTAGGTAAAAAACTCTAAGGTTTTCAACCAGATTTTTTTCTGAAGACCCTTGAGGTATCCCAGTCTCTTGGAAATAGGAGCATCTGCTAGTTCAGGGAACTGGGGAGGTCTTACAAGGTCATGAGTGAGGGGAGAGGGAAGAAAGCACACGCTCTGCAATCAGATCCTAGTGCTGACACTGAGCTGCTCATCTTGTCTCTTTTTCTTAACCTCTAAGAACCTGTTTCCTCACCCAGAAAAAGAAGGTAACACCCACCCACCCCCCATCACATGGGGCAGTGAGAGGACTCCATGAGTCCACCTATTTCTATCACCTAGCTTACTGCCTGCCTGGGCCACAGAAGCTGCTGAATTAAATCATTAACTCCCTGACCCACCACCTACACTCTCCATTCCAACCATGCCCAGTATTCATACTCATCTCTATCCTCAGTTGCTTCCTCTTGTCCAAGTCTCTTCCTACAAATGTGTTCACATTTTTTTTTATTCTTTAATCTTCCTACCCTTTCAAGTTTCTTCCTCAATTCTTAAAGAGCTACTATGGCCTGAATGTTTGTGTCCCTCCAAAACTCGTATGTTGAACTTCTAACTCCAAAGTGACAGTGTTTGGAGATGGGGCCTTTGGGAAGTAATAAAGTGTAAATGAGGTCGTAAGGGTAGGGCCTTAGTCTGACATGGCGCTGCACTTATAAAAGAGGAATAGACACCGGGGCTCTCCTTCACTTGCTTCCCACCTGTCCATCCTTTAGTGTGAACACACAGTGTAAGGCAGCCATGTACAAGCCAGAAAGAGAGCCCTCACCAGAAAACAACCATGCTGGCACCCTGATCTCAGACCTCCAGCCTCCAGAACTGGGAGAAAATAAATTTCTACCTCTTAGTCCATGGTATTTTGTTATGGCAGCCCTAGCAGACTAATACAAGAGCAATAAACACACACTCCTTCTACACATCTATCAGCCTCTTCTTGCTCCTTTACTCTGGCACTCTAGCTTTCACTCTGACTTCATTAGCAGAACTGCTCTCAGAGTCAGCAAGAAGTTTTTGTGGCCTCATTTTAATCCCTACCCTCCGAATTTTCTCTCTACATTCAAATCTATTGGATTCCTTCTTCTTCTTCTAAAAATAATAGCTTTATTGATACATAATTGACATTCAGGAAACAACACATATTTAAAGCATTCAATTGGATTAGCTTTGGCATATGTACTCAACTGTGTAACCATCATCACAATCAAATTATGACCATAGCCACCCTTCCCACCTTACCACTTCCTTAAGCAATCACTGCTTGGCTTTCTGCAACTATAGATGAGAATGCATTTCCTAGAATTTAATATCCATGGAATCATGCATTATATGCCCTTTTTTGTCTTCATATTATTGTGGATATAAATATTTTACTTCTTTGTGTTGCTGAGTAGTACTATTCTGTCGTATGGATACACTACAATTTGTTTATCCATTCACTTGTTGATGGGCATTTGGATTCTTTCCAGTTCTTGGCTATTATGAATAAAACTGCTATAAACATATTGTGTAAAAATGTTTGTATAGACATGTGCTTTCATTTCTCTTGGTTAAATACCTAGGAGAGGAATGGCTGGATCATATGGTAAGTATATCTTCAATTTTTTTAAGAAACTGCCAAACTGTTTTCCAAGGTGGTTGCACCATTTTGCATTGCCATTAGCAGTGTGTGAGAGGCCCGGGTCCTCCACAACTTAGCCAACACTCAGATGGTCAGTCTTTTACATTTTAACCATTCTAAAGGGCATGTAGAGGTTTCTCAATAGGGTTTCAGTTTGCATTTTGCTAACGACTAACAGTGTTGAACATCTTTTCTGCTTATTTGTCATCTGTACATCTTTGGTGACTTTTTCCTTCTTGAAATGTTCTCTTCCTTTGGCTTTGGTGGCAGTGCACAATTTGTTCTCCATCTCTTTCCTTTCTTACTCCCTTCCCTTTCTTCCCCTGCACTCTTTCATTGTCTCCATCATTTATTTCCCCTTATGATGTCATCAGTCCTCTTGTTGTTTCACACTTGTAAGAGAAGCAATGTGTGTGTGTATTACAGTATACCATTTTATAATGAAGTAGTCACAAAATGCATTTTAGTCAAGAGTCATAAACACATCCTAGAAGATACAATGACTGAGTTGAATCTTGGAGGCAAAAAAATAAAATGGGAGGGTGGGATGTGGTAAAGTAAGGTTAAAATTTTCTGAGAAATATGAGTAGAAGCAGAGAGACATGAAATAGCACCAAATGTTTAGGATACTTCAAATAGAGGGCAGGAGAAGTGACAGAATAGAGGGCTGGGGTCAGGAAGTGAAGGTCTTGCATGCCTAGCTAAGGAGGTTGAGTTTTGCTCTTTGATCTACAAGAAGCCACTGAAGGGATTTAATCAAGGAGGCATAGTTTCTCTGGTCACTGTGTGGAGGATAGATATGGTTGAGGGCAGAGGTAGTGGTGCAAGGCATGGACCCAGAGGGATGGAGGCCACTTAGAAGGCCATTATAGTCACACAAGTGAGATAATGAGAATTTGAACTAAGGCAGTGAGGATGGAGAAGAGGGGCCATATTCAATAAATATGTAGAGTGTGATATTGGCAAGAGGTAGTGCTTGATTGATCTAAAGTAAGAAAGCCAGAGGAGTTGAGGACAATACCCACATTTTAATCCTTTCTGACGGCTGGGCACAGTGGCTCATGCCTGTAATCCCAGCACTTTGGGAGGCCAAGACAGGTGGATCACCTGAGGTCAGGAGTTCGAGATGAGCCTGGCTGACATGGCAAAACCCCATCTCTACTAAAAATACAAAAATTAGCCTGACATGGTGACATGCGCCTGTAATTCCAGCTACTTGGGAGGCTGAAGCTGGAGGATCACTTGTACCTGGGAGGCAGAGGTTGCAGTAAGCCAAGATTGCACCATTGCACCCCAGCCTGGGCGACACAAGCAAAACTCCATCTCAAAAAAAAAAAAAAATCCTGTGTTACTACTCAGGTGGTGCTACCTTAACCAAGAATAGAAATACTAGAGAATTAGATGGGAGAAGAATGAGTTGCCTTTTGATACCGAGTTGAGGTGTTTGTGGGATATCCAAACACTATCTGTGAAGCATTTAGATACTCTAGTTTGGGGCTTGGGAGAGAGGTTCCATGAAGAGATGTAGATTTGAAAGTTGACAGTATATTGGAGGTTTTAAACCTCAAGAGTCGATGAGATCACCAAGGGAGAATATGAAAGGAGAGAATAGGAGTTCTAAAAAGAAGATCCAGGAAAACACCATCATGATAGAGATGGGTAGAGAAGAGGCCCCCAACTCCAGGAAATTGAGAAGGAAGAATCAAAGATGTAGAAGAGATCCAGGAGAGAACGGAGTCACAGAAGCAGAGGAAGAAGAGTATTGAGGACAAGGGAGTGACCAAGAGCATTAAATGAAGGAAAGTAGTCAAATATAACATCTTAATAATGTTCTCTGGATTTAACAATTGAGAGGTCATTGCTGACTCTAGTGAGAGCAGTTTCAGGGGTGTAGTGGAAGAGCAAGCTATATTACAATGAAAGGATATAGAGCTAGGGGGTTAAAGAACATCCTTTCAATAAACCTGAATAAGAAAGAAAGGTCATAATTAGGGTACTGGCCAGAGAAGCACATAGGATTCAGTTAAGCTTTCTGGAGAGGATGAAAACAATCTAGCCTGCACTTAAGTGGAATGTGGGAAGTACCTGTAAGTGGAAAGAGGTAATGGAGAAAAACACTGGAAGTGCAGTAGGGAAAGAAGATAACCAATGAATCAAGGCCTCAGAAAAGGAAATGGATTGAGAATGTTGGTGGGAGGCATTGAACTTGACTGGGAAGAGGAACACTTCACACTCTGTGGCTGGAGAGAAGCATGGTAGCAGGTGTAAGATACGTTTGAAGGGTGTGCATTTGAGGGTGGCAACCTGGTAGGAATCTTCAATCTCACCCCAAGCCTGTGTGCTGCATGCATTCCAACAATGCTGCTCACACCCATCCCTCCCGCTCATCCCCACAGCTGCACCCATGGCTCAGGACTTCACATCTTCTCGCCTTTTGGTCTCCCTAACTTACCTTTCTCCCCTTTAACCTGTCAAATGCAGTGAATATTCCTAATGAGAATCTCAGGTCAGGTCCTTCCTTAGCTCAAACACTTTTAAGTGTGAATTCAGCAATCACTCAACAAACGGTACTTATTATTTGCCTTTGTGTCTGTCTACAGCATTTTAAATCTCCAATAAGTGTGAATTCAGCAATCATTCAATGAATGGTATTTCCTACTTGTCTTTGTGTCTGTCTACTAGGCAGACACAAAGACAAAAAAATATACAAGGAGCCGTCCTTATAGTCAGTATAATGTGGAAAACATAATTGAACTACAAATGATTTTATATGTAGAAAATATAGTAACTAGTGATCTGAGAGACTAGGAAAAGGCTCTCTAGGGAGATGACACCTGGGCCGGTTCTTTCAGGGCACCCACATTATAGTCCTAGCCCACCTTCCCAGGCTGTTACCCTAATGCCTCCCTACCCTTCCCAATGCTGCAGGTCTTTCCAGGCTATCACTTTCCCACCTTCCACCCCTGTCCTGTGCTCCTGTCCAGTATCTTTTAACATGTGCTCCTTGGATTGATCTTAGGAAGTGACTTATAAGCTCTTAACCTTCACTTCAACCAGAACAGCCCCACTTACATCTGTTTTATATACTGGTATTCTTTATAAGATCAAATTGACTGAGTAAAGGATTCTCTATGTCAACTGTGTATGAAAATCATAAGTGGTTATCAAGTTGGGCTTCTCGTTTTTTCCTGGTCCCCATTTGCCCTTTCTGTCTCCCATGCCTGGGTATCTGAAGGGTCTTTCCTCTACTCAGAATGATCAAGTGGTCATCTCTGCCTGCCAAAAAACTCATCCTTCAGGGTTTTCCCAAATGCCCCCTCTCTGTGCTGCCCTTCCTGTTTTCCCAGATGTGTATTCTCATTTCTTTAATCTCCTTTTGTATGGCTTGTTGAACCTCTCTGTGCCTTTGTCTTTGAGCCACTTGTGGGCCTACCCCCCTTAAACACACCAGCCTAGAGGTTCATCAGGGTCAGGAATTGTACCTCAGTATTATCTTATGAGCCTAACTTACAATAGGCACTGAATTAAGATTTTGGGGGGTTGTATTTTTAAAAATCTATATAACTCACTCTATCCCTGTTTTTTGCAGCAGGTGATTTCTATGGGACAGAGTATTTGGCAGTAGAAGTATTTAGCATTCAATATTGTTGCCATACCCATAAATTTGTACTTTCCTATTAATATGAAGAGTACAGGCCAGGTATGGTGGCTCATGCCTATAATCCCACTGCTTTGGGAAGCCAAGGAGGGAAGATTGCTCAAGGCCAGGAGTTTGAGACCAGCCTGGGCAACATAGCGAGATCCTATCTCTAGAAAAAATTTAAAAATTGGCAGGACATGGTGGCACACACCTGTGGTCCCAGCTACTCGAAAGACTGAGGTGGGAAGATCAATTGAGCCCAGGAATACGAGGCTGTAGTGAGCTATGGTCACACCACTACACTCTAGTCTGGGTGCCAGAGTGAGACCCTATCTCTGAAAAAAAAAAAAAAAGAGAGAGTAGAAATGGGTAAATAGAGGTAGATAAATGTGATAAGGGGTTAATGTGGTGAGCTGAGTAGAATCCATGAGGCTTAAAGAATGTTTGAAACCATCTGGAAAGTTGATTTCTTAAAACCATATTTAATTTTACATGTAAGTTACATTCACTAGTATATACACAAAAGAGAATTATACAGTTGCAAAAAAGGGAAAACCTCTATGAACTGATTTGGAGTGATAACCAAGATATACTGTTAAGTGAAAAAAAACAAAATACAAAAAAAAAGTATATGTAGATAAAATCCAACCCCTTCACAATAAAAACATTCAACAAACTTAGAATAGAAGGGAATGTCCTCAACCGGATAAGAGGTATTTATGAAAAACTAATGCTAATATCACACTTAATGGTGAAAGGTTGACGGTTTTCCCCTAAGAGTAGGAATAATACAATAATATCTACTGTCACTACTTCTACTCAATCTTGTATTGGAGGGTCTAGCCAGAGCAATTAGGCAAGAAAAGAAATAAAAGGCATAAAGATTGGAAAGGAAGAAGTAAAACTATCTCTACTTGCAGATAACATAATCTTGTATATAGAAAATCCTAAGAAATACTACGAACACACACATACATACACACAAACACACACCTGTAAATTAGTAGAACCAACAAACTGGCTTTGTAAGATTGCAGGATACAAGATCAATATACAAAAGTCAATTTGTATTCTAATATACTAGTAATGAACACTCTGAAAATGAAGCTAAGAAAAACAATTCAATTTATAATCATGTTAAAAGGAATGAAATATTTTGGAATTAATATGTAACAAAAAAGGATAAAAGTTGTACCCTGAGGACTATAAAATATTGTTGAAAGAAGTTGAAGAAGAACTAAATAAAGGCATACCTCATTTTCTTGCACTCAGCTTAATGCAGATATTGTGTTTTTTACAAGTTGAATGTTTGTGGCAACCCTGCATTGAACAAATTATTGGCACCAATAGCATATGCTTACTTCATGTCTCTGTCACATTTTTGTAATTCATACAATATACAATATTTCAAACTTTTTCATTATTATGTCTATTATGGTGATCCGACATCAGCGATCTTTGATGTTACTATTGTAAATGTTTTGGGGTGCCATGAACCACACCAAATAAGAAGATGAACTTAATAAACGTGTGTGTTCTCACTGCTTCACCGACTGGCCATTCCCCTGTCTCCCTACCTCTCCTTGGATCTCCCTATTCCCTGAGACACCCTATTGAAATTAGGCCAATTAATAACTCTACAGTGGCCTCTAAGTGTTTAAGTGAGAAGCAGAGTCACACGACTCTCACTTGCAATCAAAAGCTAAATATGATTAAGCTTAGCAAGGAAGGCATGTCAAAAGCTGGAATAGGCCAAAAGCTAAGCCTCTGGTGCAAAACAGCCAAGTTGTGAACGCAAAGGAAAAGTTTTTGAAGGAAATTAAAAGCGTTACTCTAATGCATACAAGAACGATAAGAAAGGAAAATAGCCTTATTATTGATATGGAAAAAGTTTTAGTGGTCTGGATAGAAGATCAAATCAACCACAAAATTCCCTGAAGCCCAAGGCTAATCCAAAGCAAGGTCCTAACTCTCTCCAATTCCTTGAAGGATGAGAGAAAAGTTTGAAACTAGCAGAGACTGGTTCATGAGGGTTAAGGAAAGAAGCCATCTCCATAACAAAGAAGTGTAAGGTGAAGTGTGGTAAATGCTGATGTAGAAGTTGCAGCAAGTTATCCAGAACATCTAGCTAAGATAATTGATAGAGGTGGCTACATTAAACAATAGATTTTCAATGTAGACAAACCAGTCTTCCACTGAAAGAAGATGCCATCCGGTATTTTTATAGCTAGAGAGGAGAAGTCAATGCCTGGCTTCAAATCTTCAAAGGACAGGTTGACTCTTTTGTTAGAGATTAATGCTATTGGTGACTTGAAGTGGAAGCAAATGCTCATTTACCATTCCCCAAATCCTAGGACTCTTAAGAATTATGCTAAATCTATCCTGCCTGTGCTCTGCAAATGGAATAACAAAGCCTGGATGACACCACATCTCTTTACAGCATAGTTTACTGAACATCTTAAGCCCACTGTTGAGACCCACTGTTCAGAAAAAGAGATTCCTTTCAAAACATTACTGTACATTGACAGTGCCCAAGAGCTCTAATGGAAATGTACAAAGAGATTAATGTTTCTATGCCTGCTAACACAACATCCATTCTACAGCCCATGGATCAAGGAGTATGTCTTGTGTTTCTGTGTCGTATTGTGAAGTCATTATTAAGAAATACATTCCATAAGACTATAACTGCCATAGATAGTAATTACTCTAATGTAAGTTTGTCCAACCCATGGCCCACAGGCTGCATGAGGCCTAGAATGGCTTTGAATGCAGTCCAACACAAATTTGTAAACTTTCTTAAAACATTATTTTTGCATGTTTTTTTGCATTTATTTTGCAGTTTTTTTGCAATTTTTTTTAAAGCTCATCAGCTATCAGTAGTGTTAGTGTATTTTATGTGTGGCCCATGACAATTCTTCCAATGTGGCCCAGAGAAGCCAAAGATTTGGACACCCCTGCATAATGGATCTGGGTAAAGTAAATTGAAAACCTTCTGGAAGATTTATCATTCTAGATATCATTAAGAACATTCATGATTCATGAGAGGAGGTCAAAATATCCACTTTAACAGGAATTTGGAAGAAGTTAATTCCAACCCTCATGGAGGACTTTGAGGAGTTCAAGACTTCAGTGGAGGAAGTCACTGCAGATGTGGCAGAAATAGCAAAAGAACTAGAATTAGAAGTGGAACCTGAAGATGTAACTGAATTGCTGCATTCTCGTGATAAAACTTAAACAAATGAGGAGGTACTTCTTATGGATGAGCTAAGAAAGAAAGCGGTTTCTTGAGATGGAATCTACTCCTGGTGAAGATGCTGTGAACATTGTTGAAATGACAGCTAAGGATTTAGAATATTACATAAAGCACAGTTTGAGAGAATTAACTTCAGTTTTGAAAAAGTTTTACTGTAGGTAAAATGCTATCAAACAGTATTACATGCCAAAGAGAAACTTTTCATGAAAAGTAGAGTCAATTAATGTGGAAAACTTTATTTTGTCTTATTTTAAGAAATTGCCAGAGACCCCTGGCCCCCAACCTTCAGCAACCACCACCCTAATCGGTCAGCAGCCTTCCATATCAAGGTAAGACCCTCCACCAGCAAAAAGATTACAACTCACTAAAGGCTCAAATGATTATTAGCAGTTTTTAGTAAAAATATATATTTTTTCTTTTTTTATAACTTAATATTCTTTGGTCTGCAAGTGAATAATGTATATTTAATTAAGGTATATGTACATTGGGTTTTTTTAAGACAAAATGGTATTACACACTTAATTGGCTACAGTGTAATATAAACATAACTTTTATATGCACTCAGAAACCAAAAAATTTGCATGGAACCGTCTGGAACCAAACCTACAACATCTCCAAGGTGTGTCTATAAATAGAAAGCCATCCCATGCTCAAGAATTGGAAGACATAATATTGTTAAAATGGCAATCCTACTAAAATAAAATAAAATGGCAATACTACTCAATCTATAGGTTTGCTGCAATCCCTGTCAAAACTCCAACTTACTCTTTTTAAAGCCCCCAAAATTGACAAGCTGACACTAAAATTCATATGAAAATGCAAGGGACTCAAAATAGCTAAAGCAAACTTGAAAAAGAAAAACAAATTTGGAGGGATTATGCTTCATAATTTCAAACTTTCTACAAAGCTACAGTAATCAAAACATAGTAGTACTGGCATAAGAACAGGCATTTAGATTAATGGAATAGAATTGAGAGTCCAGTTATACATTCTTAACATTTATGGTCAAGTGTTTTTTTTTGCAAGGGTTCCAGGACAATTTAATGAGGAAAGATGAGTCTTTTCAACAAGTGGTTCTGGGAAAACTGATTAGCCGCATGAAAAGAATAAAGTTGGATCCCTACTTCCCATTATATAGCACAATTAAGTATAAATGGACCCTAGACCTAAATGTAAGAGTTAAAACCATAAATCTCTTAGAAGAAAATATAAGAGTGTTTTCATAACTTTGGATTAGGCAATGGTTTCTTAAATATGATGCCAAAAGTACAAGTAATGAAATAACAGATAAATGGAGATCATAAGACAATCCGTAGAATATATTTGCAAATCATATGCCTTATAAGGGACTTGTATTCAGGATATCTAAAGAACTCTTACAACTCATCAATAAAAAACCAAAACATCAAATTTTATAGAAAGGCAAAGGATTTAAATAGACATTTCTCTAAAGAAGACACATAAATGGTCAAGTCAGCAAATGAAAAGATGCTTAAGGTCTTAGTAAATAGGGAAATCCAAGTCAAAACCAAAATGAGATACTACTTTACTTCTACTAGAACAGCTAAAATAAAAAAACAATAACAAGTGTTGACAAAAATGTGGAGACATTGGAACCCTCATACATTGCTGATGGGAATGTAAAAAGCGCAGCTACTTTGAAAAACAGTTTGGTGGTTCCTCAAAATGTAAAATATAAAGTTACCATATAATCTGAGCAATCCAATTGCTAGGTATATACCCAAGAAGATTTAAAAATATATGTCCTCATAAAAACCTATACGTAGGCCAGGCGTGGTGGCTCACACCTGTAATTCCAGCTCCTTGGGAGGCTGAGGCGGGCAGATCACGAGGTCAGGAGATTGAGACCATCCTGGCTAATACGGTGAAACCCTGTCTCTACTAAAAATACAAAACAGTAGCCAGGCGTGGTGGTATGCACCTGTAGTGCCAGCTACTCAGGAGGCTAAGACAGGAGAATCGCTTGAACCTGGGAGGTGGAGGTTGCAGTGAGCCGAGATGGCACCATTGCACTCCAGCCTGGGCGACAGAGCAAGACTCTGTCTCAAACAAGATGAAACAAAACAAAACAAAAAAACCCTATAGATAAATGTTCATGGTGGCATTATTCCTAATGCCAAAAAGTAGAAACAAATGTGGTATATCCATATAATAAAATATTATTTAGCAATGAAGAAATGAAGCACTGATACATGCTACGGCACAGTTAAATTTTGAGAATATTATGCTAAGGGAAAAAATCCAGACACCAAAGGTCACCTGTTGTATGATTCCATTTATATACAATGTCCAGAATAAGCAAATCTATAGAAACAGAAAGTAGATTAGTGGTTGCTAGGGACTGAGGGGAGGGAGAAAAAGTAAGTAACTGCTAATGGGTACAACGTTTCTTTTGAGAGTGAGTGATAAAAATGTTTTGGAATTAGGTAGTGATGATGGTTGCACAATCTTGTGAATATACTAAAAACCACTGAATTATATACTATAATATGGTGTTTGTTTGTTTGTTTTGAGAAGGAGTCTCACTCTGTTGCCAGGTTGGAGTGCAGTGGCACGATCTCAGCTCACTGCAAACTCTGCCTTCTGGGTTCAAGCAATTCCCCTGCCTTAGCCTCCCGAGTAGCTGGGACTATAGGCACGTGCCACCATGCCCAGCTAGTTTTTTGTATTTTAGTAGAGATGGGGTTTCATCATATTGGCCAGGATGGTATCGATCTCCTGACCTTGTGATCCACCCACCTCTGCCTCCTAAAGTGCTGTGATTACAGGTGTGAGCCACCATGCCCAGCCTGTGGTATGTTTTATATCACATGAATTATGTCTCAATAACCAAAAAATAAGAAATACAGAAAAAAGTATAACTGAAAATTAAGAAATCCAATAAGGATTTGGTCATACATTGATTCACAAACAGGAAACAAGGAAAGGAAGAAAAAAGGAAAGTAAGGAAGATAAAGAGATAGGAAAGAGAAAGTAGGGGGCAGGGGAGAAAGAAAGGGAGAAAGGGAGAAGGGAAAAAAGGAAGGAAGAAAGGGGCAGCCTGACATTAGCTGGTGGAGGTGATGAGATGCCTCTGGCTTCTCTGTCATGCAGGCTGACCTTGACATTAGCAGGACAGCTCCCTTGAGGGGTGCAATAGAAGTACACCTGCTGGACAGCCGCCATCAAAGCATTTTTCTGAGCAGCTTGGCATGCAAGAGTCACCTGCATATTTTCCACTCCTGAATGCAGCAAAAGCTAAAGGAAGAAAATATGAAAAATATTAGGAATGTCTTGCATAAAGAAGTGAGTTGAGGGTTGAAATCACCACTTATTCAACATGTAAATATATGAATCAAACTCCCAAATGAGCTGGGATGCTTGCTACTCAGCCATAAGACTGAATCTGGTCTCTCCCTAAGCAGCATTTCATTCCAAGAAGGCAGCCTCCAGGCTTGATTTGCTCTATAGCTGGACACCATGAGATTTCACCAGTGGTCAGGAAAAGATGAATAGGCTCTGATGAACTAGCAAACATGTGCTCAGTGGCAGGCTCCTGTAAGCCAAGATTAGATCGACATTTTAAAAATACACATATAGAAGCAAAGAAATCCAAGTAGCAGATAAAAAATAGCACCAGGTTTAGAAAGACCAGATAAAAGCTCCAATAACAAATGTATATTTTTAAAACCTTATGCAAAGATTGTTCACTACATGTGAACTTCTTTTTTAGTACCTAACAGAAGTTATTATAAGTGGTGTTGCAGTCTCTATGGTTCAAACCAGGCTAATGTGCACATCAAATAAGGCAAGGCCATCATTATGGTTTGAATGTGTCCCCCAAAAGTTCATGTGTTGGGAGGTGATTGGGCCATGAGATTAGAGCCCTCATGAATGGATTAATGTCATAATCGTGGGAGTGGATTTCTTTCTCGAGAGAGCAGGATGTTATAAAAGCAAGCTTGGCTTGCTCTTGCAGTCTCTTTTGCATGTAATCACTTGCCCTTCTGCTTTTCTGCCATGTTATGATGCAGTGCAAAAGCTCTTGCCAGAAGCTGCCACCATGTCCTTGGACTTCCCAGCCTCCAGAATCATGGACTATCGGGGAACCTGCCCCGATAGTCACGTAGGTTCTTTTCTACTTTCCCTAAATGTCAGCTGGCTTGAGAAATAAAGGGACAGAGTACAGAAGAGATAAATTTTAAAGCTGGGCGTCTGGGGGAGATATCACATGTCGGTAGGTTCCGTGATGCCCCACAAGCCGCAAAAACCAGCAAGTTTTTATTAGGGATTTTCAAAAGGGGAGGGAGTGTGCGAATAGGTGTGGGTCACAGACATCAAATACTTCACAAAGTAATAGAATATCACAACGCAAGTGGAGGCAGGGCAAGATCACAGGACCACAGGACCAGGGTGAAATTAAAATTGCTAATGAAGTTTCGGGCACCATTGTCATTGATAACATCTTATCAGGAGACAGGGTTTTGAGAGCAACTGGTCTGACCAAAATTATTAGGCAGGAATTTCGTCTTCCTAATAAGCCTGGGAGCGCCATGGGAGACTGGGGTCTATTTCACCCCTGCAGACTACAGACCATAAAAGACGGGCACACCTAGGGGTGCCATTTATAGGCCTATACCTCCAGGCACGTATTCTCTTTCCCAGGGATGTTCCTTGCTGAGAAAAAGAATTCAGCGATATTTCTCCCATTTGCTTTTGAAAGAAGAGAAATATGGCTCTGTTCCGCCCGGCTCACCGGTGGTCAGGGTTTAAGGTTATCTCTCTTATTCCCTGAACAATTGCTGTTATCCTGTTCTTTTTTCAAGGTGCCCAGATTTCATATTGTTCAAACACACATGCTGTACAATTTGTGCAGTTAATGCAATTATTACAGGGTCCTGAGGCCACATACATCCTCCTCAGCTGACAGGATTAAGAGATTAAAGTAAAGACAGGCATAGGAAATCACAAGGGTATTGATTGGGGAAGTGATAAGTGTCCATGAAATCTTTACAATTTATGTTTAGAGATTGCAGTAAAGACAGGCATAAGAAATTATAAAAGTATTAATTTGGGGAACTAATAAATGTCCATGAAATCTTTACAATCCACATTCTTCTGCCATGGCTTCAGTTGGTATCTCCGTTTGGGGTCCCTGACTTCCCGCAACATCGGACCAAATAAACTTCTTTTCTTTATAAATTACCCAGTCTCAGGTATTTTGTTATAGCAAAAGAAAATGGACTAAAACAACCATTATTATTATTTATGAAATTGGAAGCTTTTCTTATATATGGAAGCTAAATTTATATAAAGTATTATGTCTTCTTAAAGAAATATGTGAGCAAATTGCTTTATTTTACTTTCATTTGCTTTTAAAAAATAAATTGTTTACCTTAAGAATGGCTTCCTTTGTGTAAAAACTAAATTTGCCAATTTGGTTATCATCCACCTCAGAGATGGCTAAGACAAGAGCAGTAGGAGAATATCTGCAACAAAAAATATGAAATTGTTTTGATGTAATATGCAACTAATCAAGAGACACCATTATGATGGAACAGGATGTCATGATCAGATCAGAAATGTCAATAATAATAGGAAATGCAACTTTTATGCAAGACTTGATATTTCCACTGAAAGCTATAAGGGCTCTGGGATCTTTTCTGTCCTTTTTGGACTTGATCTTTCTGTAGTTTGATTATGGTGACCACCCCATAGCGTTGGAAATTATTTTCTCTTGATTACCATTACACTACTCTCTCCCGTTTTTCCTCTTACCTTCTTTTTTTTTTTTTAAGCAAAATGTTTTTATTTATTCAAAGTACATATATAGTTAACTGGGCATCAAAGGTGTACCAAGTGACTTTTTTTTTTTTTTTTGGAGTCAGAATCTTACTCTGTCACTCAGGCTGAATGGCAGTGGTGCAATTATAGCTCACTGCAGCTTTGAACCCCTGAGCTCAAGCAACTGTCCCACCTCAGCCTACTGAGTAGCTGGGACTACAGACATGCACCACCACACCTGGCTCTTCTCACCTTCTTGACCACACTTGTTTAGGATCCCTCACTGACTCACTCCTTTGAGCACCCCCTAAATGTTGTCCAATTCTCTCTCTTTCCTATGGGTCCAACAGCTATCTAAATATTCTTTACAGCCATTTTTCCACCTTGAGACTTGGTACTTTGTCCATAACTATGAGACTTTGTCAAGTAACTTAATATCTATCAATCTTTCTTTCTTCATCTGTAAAGGGGATATCACCTATCTCACATGGTTATGGCAAATATTAAGAGGGATAATATGCATGAATGTGCTTTTTAAAATGTAAGTAACTATACTCATATTTGATCCAGTTGACCTTCCATATCTATGGGTTCTGCATCCATGGATTCAACTAATTGCAGATAAAAAATATTTGAAAACACAAAATAATAAAAAGTAATAATACAAAAATTAAAATAATACAAATAAAAACAATGTAGTATAATGACTATTTACATAGCATTTAAATTGTATTAAGTATAATTATAAGTAATCTAAAGATGATTTAAAGCATAAGGGAGGGAGTGCATAGGTTATATGCAAATACTATGCCATTTTATATAAGGCACTTGTGCATCCTTGGATTTTGGTAATATAAGGAACTTGTGCATCCTTGGATTTTGGTAACCGAGAGGATTTTAGAACTGATCCCCCACAGACACTAAGGGACCACTATATATGTTGTTGTTATAATGGCACTCCAAAGTGGCAACTTTAAGGAATTAACATACATAAAATAAATATGAATTCAATACACAAGTTCTTTGGATGCATAAGCCTTCCCTTGGTAATGCAGAAGGCTTCCTTATCTTGCGGCATCTCTAGGTCATCACCTGGAGGACCAATCACAGACCACAGAGCATCGGCCAGACCACAGGGCATTTGGGCAGTTTGTGCTGATTGGTGGATTCTGACTGAACAAAAATGTGATGCCCTATTTTCACAGCAATATAAAACACCAACCAAGGAGGCCCTTGAAGAACCAGAAAATAGCTTGGCTCCAGATGGTTTTTTTTTTTGTTTTTTTTTTGCCAATTGGAGACCCAGCATCACCTAAGGCCTGACCATACTTCCTGCCTTGGCTTCTGTGAACATCTCTGTATCCTTACAGTAAATTCTGTTTTTGGCTTAGCTAGTGTGACAGGATAGAGCAGGGGGAGGTTTTGCCCCCAGGAGATATTTGACAATGTCTGGGGACATCTTTGATTATAGAACAGTGTGTGTGGGGTGGGGTACTGGAATACTACCGGTATCTAGTGCGTAGAAGTCAGAAATGTTGCTAATGAACCTAAGACACACAGGACAGTCCCCCACAACAAAGATTTCTTCAGCCCCAAAGTTTAGTAGTGCTAAAATTGAGAAATCTTGGGATATTGTATTCTATCATCCTAACCCCCTCATTCCACCCCTGCTCTGTGGAGTCTTTTAGGATATTAACACTCAGCATTCTATTTTGAGCAGGGATCTGCATTAGCGAAACAAAGGTGCCGGTTGCCTCCTTGGAGTCACCTTTTTCCTTCCTTGGCATGGAGCCAGTACCAAGAATCTCCAGGGATAGAGGTGGGACCCTATGGGGAAAAGCAGATAGCAGAGAAGGAAAGAAGAGGAAGACAGAAGTTTCTCCTCCCACACGTCAAAGGTTAATTGTGTGAGAACAAAAGAAGATTCCTTCCCCTGACTGAGTAGACTCACCATATATTACTAGTAAGGGTATTTTCTTTCAAGCAATGGGTTGGACCTATGGGGCATGAGAGAGAAGTTTCACTGGTTTGCACTGGCTTCTGTCACTAGCTAATAAAGAAGGCTGCCTGAGATATTGCCTGCATGTTATATTTGTACCTTGTGTTATCCTTTCAAGGAAACAGCTGCTCTGAAAACTTAAGTGACATCTTCCTGGTCTGAAGAAAAGTAAGAGATGAGACCTGGACTTCTGATCCATGGCTCTCACCCCATTAGACCCATGCTGACTCCCTTTTCTACCTGGAAGCAACATATTCTACCCGGGAAGCGGCTGAACCTGTGATTTCATCTCACCTGAGTTCTTGGACAACCTGGTTCTTTCATTTCTCAGTTACTTGGTGTTTTTAAATGCTATTGTCCCCCTAAATGAGATCTTACTTTTTCCCTCTTATTAAAAGAAGAAAGAAGAAAAAAAACTGGCATCATGGCAGATAGAATATAAGAGAGAACTTAGAAATGTGATTGTTCTTGCATGTTGAATGGTGACAAAAATTATTTTTCACTGGTTATTCACTCAGCCATTACGTTATTTTTACCTCAACCCTCTCAAGGCTTACCTGTCTACCCGACCACTGTCCTCCAGCAGAGAGGTTATAAACACAGGAGGTGGCTGGTCTGCCCTGTCCCCGTGTGATGCAAATTCAAAGTGAACAGGCCTCAGATACAAATGGAACTCTTCAAAACCCATCTCCCATGCCAATTCTTTATAGAGCCTAAAAGAAAAAAAAGAGCCAAGGACATATGTTAGTGTTTTCTCCTAAAAAGAAAGCGAGTGATAAGAAAACTAAGACACCTGAACAAGAACCAAAGTAAAGTCCAACAAAAGCCCAGATCTGTGTGAAGTGAGCGAGTCAAAGAGGTCTTCTGCTCTGCACTTGCTGTGACAGTTACAGATGGTAGAAAGCAGTTCAAGTAGGAGATGTGCTTGGGTGTTTACTCAACTCTCATTTTCCACAAGCTGACTTCTGTCCCCAGAGCCCTCATGAGGTCACCAATGTTGCTGAAATGCAACACTCACCATCTTCTCTCAGAGCTCATCACAGTTGGCCTCACTGTCCCCTCCTTGAGGATCATCTTTCTCCATGTTCCTGCCTCATGACCGCTCTCTCTCATCTTCACTGGCTTCTCCTCTTGCTTATCTTCAAATGTTGGTGTTTCCTGAGGTTCTGAACCTGGTTCTCTTCTCATCTACCACATCCCCTCCTTGGGGGTTTGTGGGGGAGTCTGTTCAGCTCCACACCCTAAGACTTCATGTAACAATCTGTGACCCTTGTCTGTGTCCTGACTTAACTCTGAGCTCCAGTCCCAAGTCTGTCGCAGCATGGTTCCAGTTAGATGTTCCTCTGGAATATCAGCCTTACATCTTTACAATTCTTTCCTCCTTCCTTAACACTCTCTTCCTCCTCCTCCTCCTCCTCCTCTTCTTCCTCTTCTCCTCCTTCTTCTTTTCCTTCTGCTTCTTTTCTTCTTCTTCTTCCTTCTTTATTCTTCTTCCTCTTCCTCCTCCTCCTCCTTTCCTCCTCCTTCTTCTTCTTCCTATTTCCTCCTCCTCCTTTGTCTTTTATTTTTAGAGATAGGGGTCTTGCTTTATTGCCCAGGCTGGGGTGCAGTGGTGCAGTCATAGCTCACTGCAGTCTCAAACTGCTGAGCTCAAGCAATCCTCCCACCTCAGCTTCCCAAATATCTGGAACAGGCATGCACCACCAGGCCCAACTAATTTTAAAAAAAATTTTGTAGAAATGAAGTCTTGCTGTGTTGCCTATGCTGGTCTCAAACGCCTGGCCTCAGGTGATCCTCCCATCCTGGCTTCCCAAAGTACTGTGATTCCAGGTGTGAGCCATGGTGCATGTCCCCCAACATCCCACTTCTAATGCATTTCTCATCTTGAGAAGTTGGCACGTGAAGGCTGAGTTCTTGGCACCTGTATTAGTTTACTAGGGCTGCTGTAACAAAGTACCCTAGAAACACACAAAATATTAAACAACAGAAATTTATTGTCTCACAGTTCTAGAGGATAGAAGTCTGAAATCAAGGTGTCAACAGGACTGGCTCCTCCTGAGGGCCGTGAGGGGAGGATCTGGTCCTGGTCTCTCTCCTTGGCTCATTGATGACCATCTTCTCCCTCTGCCTTCACATGGTCTCCCTCTGTGTGTGTCTGTGTCCGAATTTCCTCTTCTTATAAGGACACCAGTCAAACTGGATTAAGTCCCACTCTAATAACTTCTGTTTAACTCAATTACCTCTGTAAAGACCTATCTCCAAATAAGGCCACATTCGGAGGTACTGGGGATTAGGCCTTGAACATATGAATTTTGGAGGGACATAATTCAACCCATAGCAGCCCCTCTTCTATGAAGCTTTCCCTGACCACTTAGGAAGAATGAAATACTCTCTTTTCTGTACTCCCCTAGTATTTTGTACATATCAGTAGAATATCATTGTTACCATGTATCATGGGTAATTTTTACATTATGAGCTTCCTGCCACCAAGAATCATAAATTATAGAGTGATGTTAATATCTTGACTGATAATTTAAATTCTGCCTTCACACTTTCTAGTTATATGCTCTTAGGCAAATTAACTTTTATGAGCCTCTATTTCCTTGCTGATAAAATGTTTGTAACCTACCTCATAAGGATATTCTGAGAATTAAATGAAATAATACACATAAAGTCCCCAGTAAAGACCCTGGCCACAGCGGGCCCTTGATAATGGTTGGTGGTAGGTAACTGGACTCTATGTCTACAGGGCCTTTTGTGGGGACCAGAACATTACAGCACTCATACATGTTTACAACAAACCCTTTAGTTCCATATTATTCCTGCTTGTAGGACATGTCCACTTGATGTCCTACCATCATCTCACTCTCATACCTAAAACGTAACTCGCTAATTTCTTTCTCCTATGCGCCGAGCCCGCCATACCTCTGTCTGACCTGGATGCTGTCACTGACTCATCTCTCTCCCATCTCTAGGCTCTTTCTATTCAATTTCATTACATTCAGGAGCAAATTCAACCAATATTCCCTGAGTGCCTGGTGTGGCTCAGGCCCCATACCAGGTGATGGTATGTCATGGTAAAGAATGTGGATAGGGCTTTTGTATTTAGGGAGCTTATGCTAGCAGGAAAGTCAGTAAACCAATAATAAGCAATGAAGTAAAAGCAAATGGGCTGAATGGAGGGGAAACCCAGGTGCCAGTAGAAGGGCTTAGCCTGGTTGAGTGATCAGAGAGGCATTTCGGGAGGCTCGGAAGAGAGAAGGAACAAGGGAGCAAGGTGATCGTGTTAGCCATTTAGAAAACTCTGGCTGCTCTGGGAGCAGAGAGGGGCAGGCTTGTAGGCAGGGAGTCTCATGGCCTGTTTCCCCCCATGTTTTGCTGCAAACCTTATATTCCACCTGGGTCCTCTGACCCCCACTGACCGAGCTAAGTGTGCACTCTCCAGGCTCATTTCTATCAGCCGGTGGCGGAGGGTCAAGAGTTCCAGAAGTTTGGAAAACATCTCCAAGAGCAGCACGTGAGAGTCTTGGTCTTGTTTCTGTCCTTCGTCTGCTGCAGACTTGAATGCCAGCAGGCCTATCTCCCCCACGAGAAAGGGATCTCCCATAACTTTAGCTGAAAACAGCTGAAAGAAAACAAAATATCCTTTAAAACATAGAAGAAGAATTTTCACATTAAAAAAATATACTGTCTGTCAGTGGCACAAACTCTGGATCCAGATTTCCTAGGCTCAAGTTCTAACTTTGCCACTTAGAAGCTGTGAGATTTTGGTAATGTACTCAATTTGGCTGTCTCTCAATTTTCTCATCTATAAAGTGATGATCAGGATAATAACAGTCCTTACTGTATGCAAATAGATACTAACTTCCTAATAGGGCTCTTGAGAGGGTTAAATGGGTTAACATATGCAAAAGTATCTGCTGTTATCATTATTATAAATGTTATGAGTCTAAATAAACAAATCCCTAGATATTCACTGTGGGGATACTTTGTCTATGCCAAAGACAAGCTAAATAGAAATAGACGTCCCTGATTTTTAAAAGTATTTTGGTGGCCAATAATAATTTTTTTTTTTTTTGAGATGGAGTCTTGCTCTGTCGCCCAGGCTGGGGTGCAGTGGCGCAATCTCGGCTCACTGCAATCTCCGCCTCCCGGGTTCAAGCGATTCTCCTGCCTCAGCCTCCTGAGTAGCTGGGACTACAGGCATGTGCCACCACGTCCGGCTAATTTTTTTGTATTTTTAGTAGAAATGGGTTTTCACTGTGTTAGCCAGGATAGTCTCAATCTCATGACCTCATGATCTACCCGCCTTGGCCTCCCAAAGTGCTGGGATTACAGGCGTGAGCCAGTACGCCCGGCCAACAATTTTTTTTTTAAATAAACCTCTCTAATTACAGTTTCAAAATTTCAAAGTATTTTTACATATATTAACGCATTTTTATTTTCACAAGATCCCTATGAAATAGGCGTCACAGGTATCATTATTCCCCTTTGTCAGTGAGGGATCTGAAGCAACATGAAAATTTCCAAGGTCACAAAGCAGTACCAAGAGTAAATCTGGGCTTCCTAATTCCAAGTTCAGCTGTTTTATAGTACACCAAACTGCCTTTCCAGCATTCTTTCACTCAGAGCTGGCTCTGGGTGATTTGTGAAGTAACCACATTGTCCTTTAACACCCTCCTGCCTTGGTGGGTACCTCTGCTCTAACATCTTTGCTGTCTTCGAATATACCACTCCCAGCAACCACCCAGTCTGGGGACCCCCCAATCTGCCTCTCTGGTTTGGCTCCCCAGGATACATAGGCTCCTTTGTCTATCCACTTATCTACCAAAGGACTGGGCTACTAAAGGATGCAATTTCTAGGCTCTTAAAGTTTTCCAAAGTGGTAACAAATAGACCTATTAAATAAATTCCTGTATGTCTTCTGAGGGCGTTTTCTGACCTAATATAAAATATTAATCTGAATATTTATCACTTGTAGGTCCAAATTTGGACAGATTTCAAAAATAATAAAACTGTGTGACAGCAATGGGAGACTAGACAGGTATCCCAGATATTTATTATAATTTATAAAAGGATTTCAAATACATCTTTTAAATGTGGTATCATAAGGCAATGTGAAAAGAATCTTCAATAATGGTAGCAGAATAAATTGCTGGTAATTTGAGGAAAAACTTGGTTTTGACTCATACATACCTCACATACCACACAGATGCATGCACACATACTCTCTTTCTCTTTTTCTCTCTCTCCAGTGAAATATTAAAAGAGTTAAATATTTTTATTTTGTTTATTTTTATTTATTATTTATTTATTCATTTATTTTGAGGTGGAGTCTTGCTCTGTCACCCAGGTTGGAGTGCAGTGGTGCGATCTCGGCTCACTACAACTTCCACCTCCCATATTCAAGTGATTCTCCTGCCTCAGCTGCCTGAGTAGCTGGAATTATAGGTGCCCACCACCATGCCCGTCTAATTTTCTATTTTTGGTAGAGATGGGGTTTCGCCATGTTGGCCAGGCTGGTCTTGAACTCCTGGCCTCAAGTGATCTGTCCACCATGGCCTCTCAAAGTGCTGGAATTACACTTGCGAGCCACTGCGCCCAGCAGTGTTAAATATTTTAAAAATAAAACCAAGCACTTAAAAATGAGAATCAAATAAGACAAATATGAAATATCTGGAGTAAGATTTTTTTTCTGAATTTAGGATAGAAGAAATCATAAAGAAAATGATTAATAGATTTGACTATATGAAAATAAGTTTATGTTAAAAAAAATGGAAAGACAAATGGGGGGGCTGGGCACAGTGACTCGTGCCTATAATCCTAGCAATTTGGGAGGCCAAGGTGGGGGAATCGCTTCAGCCCAGGAGTTGGAGACCAGCCTGGACAACATGGTGAAACCTCATCTCTACTAAAAATACAAAAATTTAGCTGGGCATGATGGTGTGCACCTAGAGTCCCAGCTACTCAGGAGGCTGAGGTAGGAGAATAGCTTGAGCTGGGGAGACTGAGGTTGCAGTGAGCTGTGATTGTGCCACTGCACTACATCCTGGGCAAGAGAGTGAGACCCTGTCTCAAAAAAAAAAAAAAAAAAAAAAAAAAAAAGGTGGTGGGGGAATGAATGGGGAAACATTTGTAGAAAATTATAGACAAAAAGAAGGTTAAAGTTCTTATTTAAGAGAAGCTCATGTAAGTAGATAGGACTAATGTTAGGATTCCAACAGATAAATAAATGAAGGGAAAGAACAAAATTCACAAAAAATATAATTAGCAACAAAACATTTGAAAGACTATTTAAGTTCAATAAATAGCAAGAAAATGCAAATTAACAGCATAATACCACTTTTTATGTATATGTGTATATTCGCACATACATCATATACTTTTGCCTAATACTACACAGTATAGCAGAACTGGTACTCAGAATATATAAGTGCCATTATAAATTGGCACAACTCTTTGGAAAGCAATCTGCCAATATGTATCCAAATATTTAAATTTTATTTTAGTAATTCTGCTTCCAAGAACCTATCAAAAGGAATCAATTCAAAATATGGAAAAATCTTTAAGTAAAAAGATATATCTTATAGCATTTTTCATAAACGAAGAATTGGAAACCACTTGAATGTCCATCAATAGAGAAATGATTAGAGAAGTTTTTATTCATCAGATATGGGAATTATGTGGTCATAAAGGTAAGTCTAAAGACTAGTTAGTGTTATGGAAAAATATGTAGTATAATGTTAACTGAGAAGAGGAGGAAATAACAATGGACAAAAACTATGGTTATAGCTGTGAACAACACACATATTAACAATACTTAAATTCAGAAAAATAATGATATGAATGCATTTGATTGGTGATGTTTAAATTCAATTTTGTTCTTTCTGCTTTTACTAGAATTCTCTGTGATTTTATATTATTTTGATCACTGTAAAATAAAATCAATTTTTACTTTAGGCAGGAGGGGATAGGAGGCCAAGGCAGACCTATAGAGCAGACAGTTTTGGCAGTGGGGGGCCCATGAAAGTTTCTTTGTCACACAGCAAGAACGCACACAGAATGAGGTCAAATTGGAAACCCAGGGGTAAACTTGACAGCCTTAACAGAAAAAGAAAATCATTAAAATCCAACTACAAACACCATATAAATCATTAACCCACAATTTTAACCATGGAGCAGTAGAGCTGAAAGGGGCTTCAGAGATCATCGAGCTCACCTCCACCTACCTCCCCTACCAAGTACACAAACATAGTTTTACAAAAAAAGGAAAGTGAGGTCAGAGAGGCTAAGATATATGCTCAGAGTCACACAGCAAGTTAATGGCAGGACTGAACTTGAATTCAGATCCCTGACTCCTTACTCAGTGCTTTCTGTCTTCTACCAGATCTTGACAAAAAGAACACATTTAGGAAGTGTCTTAGTGGAAAGAAAATATATCATTTTTAATTAAAATGTATTTGTTAAAATATAAATAATAAACCAGAAAACATTTCCCACATACCCATGTATATCACCTTTTAAATTTTAATTGTAGCAGTATGTTTATAAATGAGAAACTTTGACCCAATCCCCCAAAAAATGACATAAAAATGTTGACAAGGCCTATGACTGAGCTCTGTCTCTAGCCAAATAATGGGGGAATAGAGCCAAACAGAAAAACAAAGCTAAATAGTAACACCTGGAAAAAAACATTCTCCTTGCCAAGGACCCAACTACCCCCTTCAAAAAGAACTTACATCTTTCTGGAGCTGTGTACTGTACCAGGCCTCAGGCGTGGCTGGGGTGAGCCACAGGTCCAGGGCCAGCTGCAGGACATGTCGCTCCAGGGAGGCAAGGCCACTGGCTGATGTGGGTCTGCAGGCATGGCAGGCCTCTTGGAAGAGATGCTCTAGGGCTTTGGGGATAAGTGCTGCCAGGCTGAGGGAAGGGTGGAACTCCAGCAGATAAACATTTTTTGAAGCTGGGCTTGAAGAAAAGAACAACAAATGACAATTTTACACAACAAACTTAATCTGTTTCCGAAGATATTTGAATTTTATATTTTTAAAGACCAATAAAACAGCTTCTATATGTCCAGTGCATTATGAAAAACTGAGAGCTCAGAGGGACCTCAGAGTATGAGAACCAACAGGGTTGCATGACATGTTCTTTGTTTAATGTGAACCTTTCAAAACGGAAAGACACAGATGTATATTCTAGAAGCTCAATAAGAATAAGACTATACAGGCCGGGCACAGTGGCTCACACTTGTAATCCCAGCACTTTGGGAGGCCGGGCGGGCGGATTACGAGGTCAGGAGATCGAGACCATCCTGGCTAACACGGTGAAACCCCGTCTCTACTAAAAATACAAAAAAAATTAGCCAGGCGTGGTGGCGGGCGCCTATAGTCCCAGCTACGCAGGGGGCTGAGGCAGGAGAATGGCGTGAACCGGGAGGCGGAGCCTGCAGTGAGCCGAGATTGCGCCACTGCACTCCAGCCTGGGTGACAGAGAGAGACTCCGTCTCAAAAAAAAAAAAAAAAAGACTATACAGCAAAACTGTCAATAATCAATATTTACTCAAATATATAACAAAATAGCTCAAAAGTGACTACATAAAAAACAAATAATTTCCATGGTTATTAGTTTCTATTTTTCATCTGAATCTTTATCTCTGCTCTCCTAGAATGTTAATGGACAAAGACAATTTTTAAATGCTGTATGTAACTGCTGGAATCATTCAAATTGACTGTAAGGGTGTTATATTTCATAAATGGATGAGGCCAGAAGCAAAAAAAAAAAACTCATCTGTGGGTTATTTCTTTAGATATAAAGGGTTCAGCACAAGTCGAGGGTCCTTCTATACCTACACAGAACTGAAGAACATTGTAACTCCCTTTACATTGATGCAAATGGTATCTTTCTTAGTCCCGAATCTTTAAAAAAAAAAACAAAAAACAAAAAACAGCCTAAAGTCTGGAAAGGAATCTCACCAAGCAAATAATACTTGCTTTTGAGACTATTCTGGCAGGTTTTAGTATCCATATAACCCTAGCCTGTTCTGCCAAAAACCATTTCCTGAACAGTAAATGTTTGCCATAGCAAGCTGCACACACACAGCTGGTGTCTCAAGTTTATTACAGAGAAGAAATCAGTCCTGTGGAAGGTCTATGGGGAAAATGCAGAGTTTTGAGCCCGGGGCTCTTTCTCAAAAAATGAGAATCTCCCCTATTTGGTCCCGTGATGCCCTGCCTGCTCCCAAGATAATACCATAACCCATTATGGCAATTTCTTACACAAAGTCTGCCTTTACTGTTGGACTGTATACCTCACAGGAACATAGAACCATGCCTGTGTTGTTCATATCTGTGTGCTAAACAAATATCTGTTGGTTGTTGAAAGGAAGTATGTAATTTCTCCACCCATTTGGAGGCAATTGAGAGATTATGATCTAGAGCCACGCAGATCAACCTGGGGCTTGTCACCTGCTTCCCACTTTCCTCTACCCTCAAAGGTTAAAAGGGAATGAGGTAGATGGTTATGCTGCCTATCTAGGGGGTGACAAAGTGTGTACCCTCTCTGAGTGGTCACAGGAAATTTAACTCTGTTCCTTAAATTTAACTCTGCTGTGACCCTCCAAGGCAAATCTGCAGAAACCTCTTTAGTACACTTAAATTCCTTTTTAAGAAGCTTTTAAGCACATCCAAGTTTTATATGTGTAGGCTCGTGTGGTGCATCTGGTTAAATCCTGACAGCATCTCAAGAGTAACTGCTTTTTCCCCAGGCCTTTTCAAGAGAATAATGATTCTGTACCCAGTGGCATATGCTTAAATTCTAGCCTCCTATTCTTTATTATTCACAAAACAAACAGATATTCAATATACAAGGGAATCCCTCCTTCGTGGCCTTTGTACCTACTTCTTTCATCTCCCCCAAGCACTTGAGAAGTGCTTTATAGAGTAGTACTGAGATTTAACACTCTACCCTTAATTAATCTAGAAGATCACATGTAAAATGTCTAAAGACAACATCAACTTACCAGCTATTGTTGATGGAAATAAGTTGTTTGCAAACTATATTAAGGGGAAGTCCAAATGTATTGCTATTGTCCAGATGATCCTCTCGCCAAAGCCTCTGGACATACTCCCGCTGACGTTCTATCTAAAAATGTAGCATAAATATTAAAATTAGAAAAGTTAAACTTTCCCACGGCCATGAGTTATAAGCCTTGACATGAGAAGGATTTTGTCCCTTTGTGTCTCTTCATCATTTGACTAATTTTCACCCCGACATTGTTTTGAAGACTCTTTTGCAATGGGCTGGTTTCTCAGTCTGAGCCAGACAGCCAAGGGAAGCAAAGGCAACTGACTTCAGACAATTTTAAGAAGCAAAAGAGAAATCTTTCTGTTAAATAGTTGACTACATGGAAAAAATTTCAACCAGGTGGCAATAATCCTTTGTCTCTTGTTTGCTTCAAGCCATTAGCGTTTCCCTAGAGGACATACAATATGATGGTTTCTTTCAGTGTCCCAAAAATAATCACACTTTTTAAAAAATAAACACAATTTTATACATTAATGTCAAAAAGATATATCATTAGTTCTCCTTTCACTACAAATAAACTTCGCGATCTAATGAAAACTAAGGTCATCAATTCCTTGTGGACTATTAACTCTAATTAGGGGCGGAAATCTCTCTTTAAGACCATAGTTATACTGGGATTTCAACAATGCAAATGAGCTTACAAATAAGTCTGCTGTACATGCTGGCCTAGAAAACACAGATTCCAGATCTGCAATGGAAGGAAAACACTATTTTCATTTCTGGCCTGTGTTTTCCATCCTCTTCTCACATGCAGTCTTTTAAAACCCAACTACACTCACCTGCTGGTTGAGGATGCCCCTCACTAACTGCAGGTGAAGCCTCAGGCAGGTGCATTCCTCTTGGTAGGCCTTAATGAAATAGGGGTGGCTGAGATCAAACCTCGGGCGTCGGTGCACGATGTCCGTCATCACTTGTGCTAAGGTAAACCTCTCCTCAGGGTCCAACGTGTGCTGGTAGGCTTCAAAGTAACTGTCAAGAAGCTGCAAATAAGGTTGGTAGTCAGGGATCAGCAGAGGCAGCCTTGGGGCCCAGCAGAGCGACGGGAGGCCCCATCGTACTGTGGGCAGATGCAGTACCAATACAATGCAGTGCAGCTAGTAAACCTACAGACAGAGTTAGAGAGGGAAAGGGAAAGAACACATGCTTTGGAGCCAGACCTAGACTTGAGTTTGAGTTCCTGCTTCCATCCCCTCTTCCTCTGGTCTCCACAAATAAAAAGGGGTTATGTAATTATCATATATAATAATTATTAGCTCCAATGAGACAACACATTAAGACACTTAAATGTATTTATCTCCAACACCTTTCTCCAAGGACTCATTCTCCTTCTTCCATTTTATTCCATCACCAAAGCTAGGTAGGTGGTCGCCTGACTTCTACAGTCTCAGCCCCGCTTTTGACTCCTCCTCTTTAATAGTTTGTTCATACTTCACCTACACAAAAATGATACAGGTGGTAGAATGGAAGGCTGAGGGTAAATGTGCTTCCTATATACAAAGTGATTTATCCCAGACTCAACTCCTCTAGGTTGGGCCTTATAAACAGAACTCTCCAAGACATCAAGTGTCCAAAACCCCAGTGGAGCATCTGTTTTAGTGGAGTTCACAAGTCTTTTCTAAAAACCCAGAAAAGCTTCCAGACACTAACTGCTGAAGAGGGTTCTTAGTGTGGGAATTCAGAAAGAGATGCCTGTTGATTTTGCTTTTACATTTGTCTGTGAGCTTAAGGAATTCCTGTTCTGTGTGTAAATTCTATTTGTGTGTGATTAATCATGATGCTAATCAGAAAATGCTCTTCAGAGATCACTGGGTTGGAATTCCCAATTGGGACCCTAGGGCAAGATAAGTAGCTCTGATGTGTACAGTACATAATAAATCCCTTCTCCTGTTAATCTGTCTTTTGTCAGTTTCATTTTCAGGGCCCAGGCACTCAATCTAAGAAGGCAGAGGAAAAAGTTTTTCCTCCTCTACACAAAAGAGTTGAACCCTTGAGAATGAATAGCACACTAGGAATCAAATACTGCTTTATTAAGAGATACTTTATTATGGAGACCCAATGCTAAGGCTCAAGGAGGAAGAGCCTGAAGCACTTTATTCAGCACCTGGTTTTGTAGGCTATCCTTTGGGTATAAGGGACCTTGGATCAACCTTAGTATGAAAAGGGAAACACCAAAGGAAACTAAAAGCTCAGGTCACAGAGATGCTTCACAAGTCAGAAACTCACACATCAAGAGTGCAAAGTGAGGGAAGGTGGAGACCATCCTTGCCTTTAAATGAGCCCTAGGGAAAATGAGGCCAGCTGAGTGATCTTGGTTACCTTGTTCCATCCACCAACCTCTGCTCTATAATAACGCTCAATTATTACATAGCAGAAGACAACACAGAAATGAAGGAAGAATGACTGGATGGGGGTAAGAAGGGTGTCCCTCAGTAGCCCCAGGTGAAGATTAGGAAAGAAACAATTACTTCCCTAACCATTCTGGACTCACTTGAACCTTTTTTAGCTGGGCCAGGGCAATCCCAGAAGCTGATTTATCGTATTTATACTTCCTTGACCTGTTTTTGCACAAAGAGTCCAATTGTTTGGTTATTTAGCAGGAGGAGTTTGTGGGGAGTTGGGGGTGGAGGAAAGGTTCTGGGTGGTGATTCCAACCTGATGATACCAGATTGTAGAGGCCCATGCTAAATTGCCATTTTATTGTTATTGATAGGGCTGTCAGATTTAGCAAGTAAAAATATAGAACATTTAGTCAAATTTGAATTTCAAAAAAAAAATACTTTTTTAGTATAAGTATGTCCCAAATATTGCACTATTTTATCTGGTAAACCTAACTGTGGGGAAAGAAACTGTGGCTCTCTTTTTAAATTGATGAAGCTTCTTCAAGCTTTGTGCTCAACCTCGAGAGG
Organism: Homo sapiens; assembly: GCF_000001405.40. Classification (NCBI taxonomy): domain Eukaryota; kingdom Metazoa; phylum Chordata; class Mammalia; order Primates; family Hominidae; genus Homo; species Homo sapiens. The sequence goes on along the minus strand of NC_000006.12, from coordinate 109,252,521 downwards.
CTCTCAGACCGTTGCATAATTTTATTATGAATTCTTTCCCAACAGGGATGGGGCCAAGATCTTTCTGCCTCATGGGTTCTATTTATTATCTGTTTGCTAACTGGCCCATTTCCATTTCAACTCTGGGCTGGTATTTGTTTAAGAAGTCTTCCCAGTCTGTCAAATGTCACCTGTGTGTGTCAAGGGCCAACTCTCAGGCAAGAAAATATGTGATGCATGCTGATGGTAAGCACAAAATATTGGAGAAAATGGGAAAATAGACAAAATAAATAATCTCAAACCTTACTGTGTTTATATTCTTTTTACTTCAAATTTTTTATTTCTGGGATTTAAAAAACTTCTAAAATAGTATTTTAGGTCAAATGAAAGTGCAAAACAGAAAATCTTTGCTAGACCCAACTTAGCACAGGAAATTTTCTTTTTGGCTTTTCTAAGGAATGATCTTTTTATCCAGTACATGTGTCCTTCAGTAGCTGTAGAAAGACTTAGCAGATGGTACAGTGTCACTTTGGAGCTGGTACAGCTGATAACTGACTTTTCTAAGAATCCCTTGATCTACCTAAGTTTCTACCAGCTCTAATTTTATGAGCCTTCATACATAATATGGTTATTTTAAGGATTTAAAAGAACCCAATATGTTCAAGCAATTCTTAACCCTAGTGATACCAATATATTTAACAATCAAAAACAGCTGAGGAAACTTGGCTGTAGAAATAGTACCAGGGCAAATCAACTACTTTAGATAGAAATCTGGCTTATCCATTAAAAATAGGCTCTTTTGACAAAATTTCTGACTTGGCCATATTTTACACTTTTCGCACTGATAGCTCAGTTTCTACAGGGAATTTATTCTCAGGATAGAAATGAGGGAGATATTTTCACCAAATGTTTTTAAGTCAAAATAGTTTCATTTACCATAGAAGGAACTAGTGGACAATCCCGACACCTTACCACAGAATGAATCCTAAGATGAAGTGTGGAGAAATTGGTTCGTTTTTCAGTCTTCTCTGCCTTCCTCCTCTTCTATTGCCATTGAGTCCTGCCGGGCGCCTCCAAAGGAGGCCCAGAGGCATTGAAAGGGAAGGTAGGGAGAGAGAGTACAGAAAGTGGGGGTGCTGTTTAAAATTCATGCCTAGGCCGGGCATGATGGCTCACGCCTGTAATCCCAGCACTTTGGGAGGCTGAGGCGGGTGGATCACGAGGTCAGGACATTGAGACCATCCTGGCTAACATGGTGAAATCTTGTCTCTACTAAAAAATAAAAAAAAAGGGAAGAGGAGCCAAGATGGCCGAATAGGAACAGCTCCGGTCTACAGCTCCCAGCGTGAGCGACGCAGAAGACGGGTGATTTCTGCATTTCCATCTGAGGTACTGGGTTCATCTCACTAGGGAGTGCCAGACAGTGGGCGCAGGTCAGTGGGTGCACGCACCGTGCGCGAGCAGAAGCAGGGCGAGGCATTGCCTCACTTGGGAAGCGCAAGGGGTCAGGGAGTTCCCTTTCCGAGTCAAAGAAAGGGGTGACAGACGCACCTGGAAAATCGGGTCACTCCCACCCGAATATTGCGCCTTTCGGACCGGCTTAAAAAACGGCGCACGACGAGATGATATCCCGCACCTGGCTCGGAGGGTCCTACGCCCACGGAGTCTCGCTGATTGCTAGCACAGCAGTCTGAGATCAAACTGCAAGGCAGCAGCGAGGCTGGGGGAGGGGCGCCCGCCATTGCCCAGGCTTGCTTAGGTAAACAAAGCAGCCGGGAAGCTCGAACTGGGCGGAGCCCACCACAGCTCAAGGAGGCCTGCCTGCCTCTGTAGGCTCCACCTCTGGGGGCAGGGCACAGACAAACAAAAAGACAGCAGTAACCTCTGCAGACTTAAATGTCCCTGTCCGACAGCTTTGAAGAGAGCAGTGGTTCTCCCAGCACGCAGCTGGAGATCTGAGAACGGGCAGACTGCCTCCTCAAGTGGGTCCCTGACCCCTGACCCCCGAGCAGCCTAACTGGGAGGCACCCCCCAGCAGGGGCACACTGACACCTCACACGGCAGGGTATTCCAACAGACCTGCAGCTGAGGGTCCTGTCTGTTAGAAGGAAAACTAACGAACAGAAAGAACATCCACACCAAAAACCCATCTGTACATCACCATCATCAAAGACCAAAAGTAGATAAAACCACAAAGATGGGGAAAAAACAGAACAGAAAAACTGGAAACTCTAAAACGCAGAGCGCCTCTCCTCCTCCAGAGGAACACAGTTGCTCACCAGCAACGGAACAAAGCTGGATGGAGAATGACTTTGACGAGCTGAGAGAAGAAGGCTTCAGACAATCAAATTACTCTGAGCTACGGGAGGACATTCAAACCAAAGGCAAAGAAGTTGAAAACTTTGAAAAAAATTTAGAAGAATGTATAACTAGAATAACCAATACAGAGAAGTGCTTAAAGGAGCTGATGGAGCTGAAAACCAAGGCTCAAGAACTACGTGAAGAATGCAGAAGCCTCAGGAGCCGATGCGATCAACTGGAAGAAAGGGTATCAGCAATGGAAGATGAAATGAATGAAATGAAGCAAGAAGGGAAGTTTAGAGAAAAAAGAATAAAAAGAAATGAGCAAAGCCTCCAATAAATATGAGACTATGTGAAAAGACCAAATCTACGTCTGATTGGTGTACCTGAAAGTGACAGGGAGAATGGAACCAAGTTGGAAAACACTCTGCAGGATATTATCCAGGAGAACTTCCCCAATCTAGCAAGGCAGGCCAACGTTCAGATTCAGGAAATACAGAGAACGCCACAAAGATACTCCTCGAGAAGAGCAACTCCAAGACACATAATTGTCAGATTCACCAAAGTTGAAATGAAGGAAAAAATGTTAAGGGCAGCCAGAGAGAAAGGTCGGGTTACCCTCAAAGGGAAGCCCATCAGACTAACAGCGGATCTCTCGGCAGAAACCCTACAAGCCAGAAGAGAGTGGGGGCCAATATTCAACATTCTTAAAGAAAAGAATTTTCAACCCAGAATTTCATATCCAGCCAAACTAAACTTCATAAGTGAAGGAGAAATAAAATACTTTACAGACAAGCAAATGCTGAGAGATTTTGTCACCACCAGGCCTGCCCTAAAAGAGCTCCTGAAGGAAGCACTAAACATGGAAAGGAACAACCGGTACCAGCCACTGCAAAATCATGCCAAAATGTAAAGACCATCGAGACTAGGAAGAAACTGCATCAACTAACGAGCAAAATCACCAGCTAACATCATAATGACAGGATCAAATTCACACATAACAATATTAACTTTAAATGTAAATGGACTAAATGCTCCAATTAAAAGACACAGACTGGTAAATTGGATAAAGAGTCAAGACCCATCAGTGTGCTGTATTCAGGAAACCCATCTAACGTGCAGAGACACACATAGGCTCAAAATAAAAGGATGGAGGAAGATCCACCAAGCAAATGGAAAACAAAAAAAGGCAGGGGTTGCAATCCTAGTCTCTGATAAAACAGACTTTAAACCAACAAAGATCAAAAGAGACAAAGAAGGCCATTACATAATGGTAAAGGGATCAATTCAACAAGAAGAGCTAACTATCCTAAATATATATGCACCCAATACAGGAGCACCCAGATTCATAAAGCAAGTCCTAAGTGACCTACGAAGAGACTTAGACTCCCACACATTAATAATGGGAGACTTTAATACCCCACTGTCAACATTAGACAGATCAACGAGACAGAAAGTCAACAAGGATACCCAGGAATTGAACTCAGCTCTGCACCAAGCGGACCTAATAGACATCTACAGAACTCTCCACCCCAAATCAACAGAATATACATTTTTTTCAGCACCACACCACACCTATTCCAAAATTGACCACATACTTGGAAGTAAAGCTCTCTTCAGCAAATGTAAAAGAACAGAGATTATAACAAACTATCTCTCAGACCACAGTGCAATCAAACTAGAACTCAGGATTAAGAATCTCACTCAAAACCACTCAACTACATGGAAACTGAACAACCTGCTCCTGAATGACTACTGGATACATAACAAAATGAAGGCAGAAATAAAGATGTTCTTTGAAACCAACGAGAACAAAGACACAACATACCAGAATCTCTGGGACGCATTCAAAGCAGTGTGTAGAGGGAAATTTATAGCACTAAATGCCCACAAGAGAAAGCAGGAAAGATCCAAAATTGACACCCTAACATCACAACTAAAAGAACTAGAAAAGCAAGAGCAAACACATTCAAAAGCTAGCAGAAGGCAAGAAATAACTAAAATCAGAGCAGAACTGAAGGAAATAGAGACACAAAAAAACCCTTCAAAAAATTAATGAATCCAGGAGCTGGTTTTTTGAAAGGATCAACAAAATTGATAGACCGCTAGCAAAACTAATAAAGAAAAAAAGAGAGAAGAATCAAATAGACACCATAAAAAATGATAAAGGGGATATCACCACCGATCCCACAGAAATACAAACTACCATCAGAGAATACTACAAACACCTCTACGCAAATAAACTAGAAAATCTAGAAGAAATGGATAAATTCCTCGACACATACACTCTCCCAAGACTAAACCAGGAAGAAGTTGAATCTCTGAACAGACCAATAACAGGAGCTGAAATTGTGGCAATAATCAATAGTTTACCAACCAAAAAGAGTCCAGGACCAGATGGATTCACAGCCGAATTCTATCAGAGGTACAAGGAGGAACTGGTACCATTCCTTCTGAAACTATTCCAATCAATAGAAAAAGAGGGAATCCTCCCTAACTCATTTTATGAGGCCAGCATCATTCTGATACCAAAGCCGGGCAGAGACACAACCAAAAAAGAGAATTTTAGACCAATATCCTTGATGAACATTGATGCAAAAATCCTCAATAAAATACTGGCAAAACGAATCCAGCAGCACATCAAAAACCTTATCCACCATGATCAAGTGGGCTTCATCCCTGGGATGCAAGGCTGGTTCAATATACGCAAATCAATAAATGTAATCCAGCATATAAACAGAGCCAAAGACAAAAACCACATGATTATCTCAATAGATGCAGAAAAAGCCTTTGACAAAATTCAACAACCCTTCATGCTAAAAACTCTCAATAAATTAGGTATTGATGGGACATATTTCAAAATAATAAGAGCTATCTATGACAAACCCACAGCCAACATCATACTGAATGGGCAAAAACTGGAAGCATTCCCTTTGAAAACTGGCACAAGACAGGGATGCCCTCTCTCACCACTCCTATTCAACATAGTGTTGGAAGTTCTGGCCAGGGCAATTAGGCAGGAGAAGGAAATAAAGGGTATTCAATTAGGAAAAGAGGAAGTCAAATTGTCCCTGTTTGCAGACGACATGATTGTATATCTAGAAAACCCCATTGTCTCAGCCCAAAATCTCCTTAAGCTGATAAGCAACTTCAGCAAAGTCTCAGGATACAAAATCAATGTACAAAAATCACAAGCATTCTTATACACCAATAACAGACAAACAGAGACCCAAATCATGAGTGAACTCCCATTCACAATTGCTTCAAAGAGAATAGAATACCTAGGAATCCAACTTACAAGGGATGTGAAGGACCTCTTCAAGGAGAACTACAAACCACTGCTCAAGGAAATAAAAGAGGATACAAACAAATGGAAGAACATTCCATGCTCATGGGTAGGAAGAATCAATATCGTGAAAATGGCCATACTGCCCAAGGTAATTTACAGATTCAATGCCATCCCCATCAAGCTACCAATGACTTTCTTCACAGAATTGGAAAAAACTACTTTAAAGTTCATATGGAACGAAAAAAGAGCCCGCATCGCCAAGGCAATCCTAAGCCAAAAGAACAAAGCTGGAGGCATCACACTACCTGACTTCAAACTATACTACAAGGCTACAGTAACCAAAACAGCATGGTACTGGTACCAAAACAGAGATATAGATCAATGGAACAGAACAGAGCCCTCAGAAATAACGCCACATATCTACAACTATCTGATCTTTGACAAACCTGAGAAAAACAAGCAATGGGGAAAGGATTCCCTATTTAATAAATGGTGCTGGGAAAACTGGCTAGCCATATGTAGAAAGCTGAAACTGGATCCCTTCCTTACACCTTATACAAAAATCAATTCAAGATGGATTAAAGACTTAAACGTTAGACCTAAAACCATAAAAACCCTAGAAGAAAACCTAGGTATTACCATTCAGGACATAGGCATGGGCAAGGACTTCATGTCCAAAACACCAAAAGCAATGGCAACAAAAGACAAAATTGACAAATGGGATCTAATGAAACTAAAGAGCTTCTGCACAGCAAAAGAAACTACCATCAGAGTGAACAGGCAACCTACAAAATGGGAGAAAATTTTCGCAACCTACTCATCTGACAAAGGGCTAATATCCAGAATCTACAATGAACTCAAACAAATTTACAAGAAAAAAACAAACAACCCCATCAAAAAGTGGGCGAAGGACATGAGCAGACACTTCTCAAAAGATGACATTTATGCAGCCAAAAAACACATGAAAAAATGCTCATCATCACTGGCCATCAGAGAAATGCAAATCAAAACCACAATGAGATACCATCTCACACCAGTTAGAATGGCAATCATTAAAAAGTCAGGAAACAACAGGTGCTGGAGAGGATGTGGAGAAATAGGAACACTTTTACACTGTTGGTGGGACGGTAAACTAGTTCAACCATTGTGGAAGTCGGTGTGGCAATTCCTCAGGGATCTAGAACTAGAAATACCATTTGACCCAGCCATCCCATTACTGGGTATATACCCAAAGGACTATAAATCATGCTGCTATAAAGACGCATGCACACGTATGTTTATTGCGGCATTATTCCCAATAGCAAAGACTTGGAACCAAGCCAAATGTCCAACAATGATAGACTGGATTAAGAAAATGTGGCACATATACAACATGGAATACTATGCAGGCATAAAAAATGATGAGTTCATGTCCTTTGTAGGGGCATGGATGAAATTGGAAATCATCATTCTCAGAAAACTATCACAAGAACAAAAAACCAAACACCGCATATTCTCACTCATAGGTGGGAATTGAACAATGAGATCACATGGACACAGGAAGGGGAATATCACACTCTGGGGACTGTGGTGGGGTGGGGGGAGGGGGGAGGGATAGCATTGGGAGATATACCTAATGCTAGATGACGAGTTAGTGGGTGCAGCGCACCAGCATGGCACATGTATACATATGTAACTAACCTGCACAATATGCACATGTACCCTAAAACTTAAAGTATAATAATAAAAAAAAAAGAAAATTATACTGAGGAAAAGAAAAAAATAAAAAAAAAATTAGCCGGGCATGGTGGCAGGCGCCTGTAGTCCCAGCTACTTGGGAGGCTAAGGCAGGAGAATGGCGTGAGCCCGGGAGGCGGAGCTTGCAGTGAGCCCAGATTGTGCCACTGAACTCCAGCTTGGGCGACAGCGTGAGACTCCGTCTCAAAAAAAAAAAAAAAAAAAAAAATTCACGCCTGGACTGATAAACTTGTTGAGTTTAAGGATCCTGTCTTATTTATATTTCATACAGCCATTCCATTACTACACTGTGCATCTAAATCTCTCACTCAGTTGGTTAAGGTTCTGATGGGCAGATTAAGCCTCCAGACAAAGGCTGTAGAAGCCAGTTATCATTGAAAAGAGGAACATTTTTTCAAAGTCCAAGGCTTGCGCTATTTAAGCCCAGCCAATTGTTTTCCAAAGGGTGGGTGACCTACATCTCTAGGAGTAACAGACCAACCAGAGAGTAGATGAAATGGTGAAGCATCTATTCTACTAGAAAAACAATTCAAAGAAAACACTGCCATTTCCCCATCTTCTGACCACATCATAGTGCACTATAACCTGGTTTCCACCCCTACCATGCCCCTGAAAGAGTCCTGCAATGCTGCCAATGACCACCTGACCAAGCTGCTTGGTTTTTAGGAGTTCCTTTCTTGACGTTTCACAGAACTCCACAAGTAACCACCCCCTCCTAATTAAAACTTATTTTTCTGTTGGTTCCCACAATACTATTTCTTCCTTGTTTCTCTGGTCTATTTAGTTTCACTGCTTCTTGTTTCATGACCTGCCCCTTAAATGTAGGTATATTACTCAGGGTTCGGGTGTGGTGGCTCATGCCTGTAATCCCAGCATTTTGGGAGGCCAGGGCAGGTGGATCACTTGAGGTCAGGAGTTTGAGACCAGCCTGGCCAAAATGGTGAAACCCTGTCTCTACTAAAAATACAAAACATTAGCCAGGCATGGTGGCGGGCACCTGTAATCCCAGCTACTCAGGAGGCTGAGGCATGAGAATCGCCTGAACCTGGGAGGCAAAGGTTGCAGTGAGCTGAGATCGTGCCACTGCACTCCAGTCTAGGTGACAGAGCAAGATACTATCTCAAAAAGAAAAAAAAAAGTAGGTACATTACTTAGGGCTTCATTTCAGACACCTCTAGCTTCTCCCAGTTGTTTTGATTCATCATTGTGGTTCAACCTCTGCATTCATACCTCAGCTCATACCTGTTCCTGAGCTTCAAACCTGTAGCTCCCCACAAAACATTCACATCTGAGTTTCAGCAAACCCCCTCAAATGCCTTGTTGTCCTAGGGCCTACGTTATTTTCCTGTCTAAAGACACTCTTCCTCTTCCTGGGTTCAGTTTCAGTTAATAGCCTCCTCCCTAATCCTCAGGAAGTTGTTTAAATTCCACCCTTACTCTCTCGCCCCAACTTCCAGATCCAGTCTTCAAATCCTGCCATTTCCACTTCTGCAAAGTATTCTCAGGTCTGTTCCTCCTTCCTATTCTCACCGCCTCTCTGCCTTTCTATTCTTCTATTGTCATTGCATGTCCCCTCCTAATTTTTCAGGTCACTGTTGCAACAACTGCACTTCTTTTCTCAGGGGCTCTCTATTCCAATCCATTCTCTCACTTACACCCAAGATAGCTGTTAAAAACACAGCTATGATCATATTTCTCTCTATGGAAACTCACTAATGGCTCTTCTTTGTTTGTAAGACAAACTCTAAAATAATATAACTAGTAGGTCTTTTACAGGCTGCACCCAAAACACATGTGTGGCTTGTTGCCATCCATCATGCCTTTACATCCCAGCCATAACAGTCTTCCTACCATCCTCCAAGAAGGTAAGATTTTATTTCTCAAAATAAAATCCCCCAAGCTGGTCCTTCCCATTTACATTGCCCTGACATTCTAATGCCATTTCGTCTGCTTAAGAATCTTTTCTTCCCTGCCAGACAATATCTTACTCATGTTTTAGTATCAAGATTAAATATCTATTCCTCTGGAAAGGCTTTCTAGCATTTCTTCCATCGGACAGTGCTCCCCTCCCCCAGGACAAATCTCTCTCTCTGCAGAGTCCCCATGACTCATGAATGTATTCAATTATAAGCTGTTAGTAACTAGATTATAATTTTTGCTTGGAGATTGAATCAACTTTTATAGATGATAAATTCCTTAAAGATAAAGATCATTTTCACTTAGTTATCTATAGGTCCCTGAATGCCTGGAACAGTCCCTGGCGGAGTAAATACTTCATATTTGGTAAGTAAATGCCTAACAATTGGTGATTATTAGAAGGGCTCATAATCCATGCTAAGGGCACAAATGAAGAACAGTAAACCTGCAGTGTTTCATTCATTATTGGGATATGAACCATTCGTGATACAGTGATGATTTAGTAACTTGCTGTTTCATTGCTTTAAACTCACCCTCATAACATTGCACTCAGCACCCTGTCCAATTGCTTTCACCTACCCACATGTGGCATACGCTTCTAAAGGCCATGATCAGGTCAATTTGTCTGTAATTAGCAAAGTGAGCATTGTCCCTGTGACTGCACAATGAGCATGAATGAAATCATCATTCATTCTCACTAAAAACATACATATTATAAGAAGGAATTACGTAGCCCTCTAACAAATAATACCTGTAAGATAAAGAAGTATCTTTCACATTTTGTTTTTTGTGATGAACCTCAGTAAAGAAAATAAAATGTATTACATCCTTATAATTAGCTGAGATTATTTAAATAAAATAATTATTCTCTTGGTTGAGAGCTTTTCTAAAAGTCTAACTGGGTTTTACAAAAACAAACAAAAAACAGAAAAAAGACTGGATTTTGTAAGAATGTTTTTTTAGCAGACATTTTGTCTCCTAGGCAAGAATACCTGGCGCTTGTTTTCCAGAAGAGCTGCTTCCCAAGTCCACGTGTCATACAGCACAGCAAATCTGTCCACATCTGCATGGGCCCATCCCCACTCCTGGCCACTCTTTGGCTGGCTGCCCACTTTGTGACCTGGGAGAAAAGAGGGTGAGAATGTTTAGAGACAGGGCTTCCAAGGAACCTGTTCCAATTAGAAATGTGCCCCTTGGATTATCAGCTCCATCTCAGAAACAGAAATACTGAACCAGTCCCTGGGACAAAGCCTGACTTCATACTTGTTGACTTCTAAGTCGACAGGAGCTTTTGTTTTTATTTTTAAAATTCAGTTTCAAAGACTAATCTTAGAAATAGAGTCAAAATTTAGTTAACAAGAAATCTATGCTAAAATGTCCTTAAACCCACAATTTAAAGGCAAAGTATACATTTCTCCTTCTCTAAAAACAAACCCCTGGGGGTTTAACAACAAACTTAGTTTGACTTGCTATTTCCATCATTGTGAACCAAGTCGAAAATTTTCAGAAACGTTTCCAAGATATTCCTTAATTATGTTAATTACTAACTTAAATCAATGAAGTTAATTTTCATTATTCAGCTGATTTTTTTTAACTTTGTTCACGTTACTTTTCACTACTGGTATTATTATTGCTTTAAATTTTTAACTATTGTATTTCAGAATTAAATATTCAAAGATAAGATACTTTCATGTGCTGAAATTTAAGCTCAATAATTATCACATATCTAATGGGTACTAAGCAAGAGAAAGATGATCAAGAACTTCCGTAGCAACAGTTGGGAAATCATTTCACAATAGATGACTATACATTTACCAGCTCAATTGAAAAATGCCCATGTGGTTAAATGACTACTGACTAAGTGTCTCAGTCCAGTTAAATTCTTAGCAGCTAGAAATAGTTGCATGCTATTATAAATTAATATGGACCAAATGGTGCATTGGTTTGTAGGATAACCAGTAAAGATAAAAGCTAAGGGCTGAAATTAAATACCCTGGAATGTTGGATGCCATCATTGCGTCCTATGATTCAGATACCAATGGCAAAGACAGGACAAAGAGTTCAATCCTATATCAAATTAATTCTGTCTAGGATCTGAAAAGTTAGTTGTCAAACTTTCTTTGAGCAGCATTTTATAACAATATGAATGTGAATTATCTTTAATTACAGTCTACACATATTACAAAATAGCACAAACCCTGATTAAGTTTCCCTTTAGGTATTGCAATGTGTCTAGAAATTCTAAGCTCTTTGCAAGTGTAATTCCAATGCTGTCATAGTATCCCAAAAGAATATTCTTACCTCATTCATTTCTAAAATTGGATCGATTTGAGTGATGCCAAAAGGAAGAGAAAATACAGGTTATGGGTTACTTGATTACCCTGAGTAATGATTTCTTCCTCTGGGGCTTGTCTGGCATTTTCCTAGCCAGATGTTCTTGCATCCTAGTGGTTTCCTGTTAGGAACTCAGGGCTGTCTCTGCTGCTAAATGCAGTTTCCTCAAGGTCTACCACTTAGAAAAGTCATTTGTTTCACTTGCTTACTTTCCTTCCTTCAGGGTCCTGCACCACATCCCCTGCACCCAGTGGGTGACGCAGAAATGCCCCTGGGAGTAAAATCCCAATTCTTGGCTTAAGCCTGTTTTAGTCAGAAACCACCCAATTTAGCGTGCAGGTCACCAGAGTGGGTAGAGGGTCAGAGGTCAGGTCTTTGGCCCTGAGAAATGAAAATGCAGGGGCCGTGCTGTCCCTTGTACCTCAGGAGAGCAAGGAAGAAACTGGGCCTTCCCTGGCAGGGCTTCCTGCTCCTGCTTCTGTCTCCACTAGGCTTTCCCAGAAGGCAGCACCTGCTCCTCAGTCAAAGCACCTGCCTCGCACCCCTCCGGCCCCCTCAAGCCCACGATCTGCCTCTGAGTGTTGCACTAGGATTTTTATCGCTTAAAGTGTCTTAATTCTTTGTTCCCTGACACACAAGCCCTCTAGCTATTGAAGGGGAGATCATGAGAAACCTTCCAGGGAACCAGAGCACAGAATGACTGTTAGTTGTTTTTTCAAGTCTATATAAACATTTCAACAGATCACAAAGAAAACATTTATCTCTTCGGTCCTCGCAAGAGAAGTCAAAGGAACTTTTGTTTCTTATCAAGAGCCTGGACATCTTTGTCTGTCGTAACTGGAAAGAGCCTGTTGTACTGAAATCCTGTTATCATGGTGGATTTGATCTTCAGTGGCCAAACATGAAGAATTAAAAGCATAATTCTTGACTGAACTGGTGGGTGGGTTGAACTTTAGGAGTACATGGGCGGTCATTCCTGGCGCACATATCAGTGTGACATGAGCCCTGGAGCATGTCGTCCCTCTCAGCCCTGCTCCTTTCTGTCTCCTGGGGCCCAGTGACTGAGGCCTTACGCTAGAACTGTGTATCATCCAACTCTCCATTTATAAAGGAAACTTCCTGCTGCAACAACAAAAAAAAAAAAGAAAGAAAAGAAATGTCCCTGGTCAACAAACAGAGTCTGAATCACAGCAAGAATTACAACCCGGCCCTGAAAGAGTAGTCACCATCTCTATCAGAAGCAGGGCTTGAGCTGGAAACAGAACTGTGTCTCTCCTAAAGTGAATGCATTTTAGGGGTGGGGGAAGTGTGCGCTTATTGAGTTTTCACATACTATTGGATATGTGTTTATATTTTGGGGTGGAGAGTATTAAAAAGGAGCCCTTAGTGTTTTTTGTTTATTTAGGCAGTTGATTTTTTTTTTTTTTTAAATCTGACTTCTCACCCCTTTCTTTCTCAATGTAATGGCTAGCCACAAGCAGCAACTCTGCCTCTAGTTCCTTGAGATCACTCAAGGCTTCCTCATACATGACATGCACCCCTTGCTGGTCCTGGGTGTGGATGCAGCCAGCTTCTGTGCTGTAGTAGTCATCCTGGTTCTCCACTTCCGAGAACTCCATGAATTGGACGCTGTGGACCTGGAGAAAGAAAGCCAAGCCCAGATGTTACTGGAAAAAGGAGAGCTATATTTTGCCATCCCACATGGACAAGCAGCAGGCTTCTGCTCCCACACAGTGGGCTGCCAGTATGAAGCTGTAAATATTCTGAATGTATAAAAAGCTGTATGCAGAAAACATATTAACAAAGAATATTGGCAGGAAGAGGTAGTTCCTGAGGTGGATAACTAGCTGATTAGTTTGTTTTTCTGACAAATTCAGTAGCAACTGGAGAAAGGTAGGAAATAGAGCCTAGAGTGGTCTCTGGAGTCAGAATGCCTGGGTTCAGGCTCTGGCTCTGCCAGGATCTCATCCTGGGCAGGTCATTCAGCTATTCCCAGCCTCCGTTTCCTCATCTGTAACATGGGGACTGTGGAGACACTATAGACTATGTTAGCTGCCAGGAGTATGTGACTCTATGAGTGTAAGGCACTTGGAATCCTTAAATGTTAGGTTAAAACTATTTTTCTTGTAATTCTATAAGTACTTCTAAAATGTGTTAGCACAGTTTCATGGCTTACTAATGTACTAAGTTGAATAGTGTCCCCCAAAATTCATGTCTACCTGGAACCTGTGAATGAGAACTTATTTGAAAATAGGTCTTTGCAGATGTAATCAAGTTAAGATGAAGTCATACTGGATGAGAGTGGGCCTAATTCAATGACTGTGATCCTTACGAAATTTGGAGACAGACACGTAAGGGAGAAGGTCATGTGAAGACAGAGGTAGAGACTAGGGTGAGTCAAGGAATGCCAAGGATTGCCAAGGGTTGCCAGCAACTACCAGGAGCTGAAAGAGGCAAGGAACTATCACCTCTAGAACCTTCAGAGAAAGCACGGTCCTGCTGACACCTGGATTTTGGATTTGTGGCTCCAGACTGTGAGAGAATAAATTTCTGTCATTGTGAGACACAGTTTGTGGTACTTTGTTTTGATAATCCTAGGAATCGAATACAAGTAAGAAGTATTTCAATCATAATGTTATTTTTCTTAGAAAACTGAGTATCTGCTGCTTCCTGAGAATCGTTATTTTAATAATAATTTTCACAATTTCCAACCTCCACTCTCCTCAAGCCTCGGAATCCCTCCCTCCCAGGCGTAGTCTCCTCTTACTCCCAGGAGGAGCTCCTCTGCGCGCCACTCTCCGCCGCCTCCCCAGGGCTCACATCTCTCCCCTCCTCCTTCCTCCGCACAGTGGAGGACAGTGTTGCCCCCCTTCTCTAGGGCCGCTGCCTCCCACCTCAGCAGCATCCCTGCTCCTTCATGGATATCCCACTCCTCTCCGCTGGACTCTTGACACTGAAATGTGCACACGTCCCTCTCATTGTGAAACTTCCTCACACCCTTCCCCAGGTTCCACTGTGTGGCTCTCCTCCCCCTCACTGTCCAATCTCCCAAGATGTTATCTACAATCTCCATTTCTATTTCTTCACCTCCCACTCTTCAACCCATTCCCATCTGGCCCTTGGCTCCATCGAGCCACCCAAACCACCCTCACTAAGACCAACAATGACCACTGCTCTACATGCAACAAACTTTCTTTCATCATCTTACGTAATCTCTCAGGAGCATCTGATATAATTTAGTGCTTCCTGATTCTTGACTCACTCTCTTCTCCGGGCATCTGGGACTCCACGTTCTCCCTGATTTTGCCTAGTTTCCGGTCATTCTGTCTGACACTGTGAAGTGTATTTATTTTTCTCTACCAAGTCCTTAAATGATGGCCACTCTCAAGCCGCCTCCTAGGACCTCCTCTTTTCCTCCTCTGTTCCTTCCCTAGGAGGTGGCAGACATTTTCATAGCTGAGATTACCACCTTTAGACCATTTGCTCCCCAGTTTATGCCTCCAATCCAGACCCCCTAGAGCTCCGGACCCGCACATCCAATTACCTATTTGGCAACTGCTCCTGGGCATCTCAAAGCCCCCTCAATTTTAACAATGATCAAATCATTAAATCTTCCCCCGCAAACCCAGGCTATCTCCAGCCGATTTTACTAAATAGCACCACCACCCATCCACTTCCTCTAGCATGAATCATTCACGACATCTCTTTCTGCCTCGCCCTACTTGTCCAATCTATCACCAAGTTCTGTTAGTTTTACTTCCTGTCTCTCAAATACATCCACTTCTGATATAGGAGGTGGGTCAGGGAAGTGCTGAGTAGAGAAGGGTGAGGGTTCCACCCTTGGGCCTATGCCCTCAGACCTAAGGGAGAACAGGTACTCCTGCTTTTGTGCCCGAATGTTGCATTTTCCAAGACCACTCTGGCCCACCATCCTGTGCCCATATAAACCTGAGACCTTAGCGGGCACACACGCAAGAAGCTGAATGTTGAGAGGAACAGAGGAACAGAGCAGCAGAGAGAGGCAGAAAGCAGAGCAGCACAACAGAGAAGGAGGGAAGAGGCCTCTGAACGTCCAGAGGAGTTCTGCCGAAAACAGCTGAACTTCAGAAGATTATCTCCCCCACCCCTCCACCTCTAGCTTCCCATCCATCTCACTGAGAGCCACCTCCACCACTCAATAAAACCTTGCATTCATCCTTCAAGCCTGCGTGTGATCCGATTCTTCCGGGACACTGGGCAAGAGCTCGGGATACAGAAGGCTGTCGCACTGGCCGTCTGCCCTTGTGATAAGGCAGAGGGTCCATTGAGCTGATTAGCACTCAAGCCATCTGCAGACAGCAAAGCTGAAAGGGCTTTGTAACACGGGTTGCAGGCACCCACCGCTAGACACTAAGTGGCGCTGAGAGCACAAAGCACTTGCCCTGGCCTCTGCACCTGCCTGTCTGCATGCTCCTCCTTGGGGTTTGAGCGGCAGGGCCATGAAACAGGCGAGCCACATCCCTGTCACACATTCTACGAGGGGAAATCAGGGAACTCTCCCGTTTCACTTCTTCCCATCTCCACTACCCACTACCCTAGTCCAAGCTATTATATTTCATGAGGACTAGTCTAGGAGCTTCTAAACTGGCCTAGCCTCTTAAATGGTCTATCCATGACTCCTCTGGCCTGGGCTTTCCCTCCTCTCCATTTTACTCACTGCTGGCTGGGGAACTTTTACAAATGCAATTCTGATTGTGTCATTCCCCCTTCCCCCTTTTCTATCCCTAAGAGGCTTCCCATGGGCCACAGAATAAAGCAAAACTCCTTAACAGGGCCATACAATCTGGCCCATGCCTATCCCTCTAGTCCAGTGTTTTTCAGCTGAGAGTGATTTTGCCCTCCAGAGGACATTTGGCCATGTCTGGAGATACTTCTGGTTGTCATGACTTAGTGGGAGGTACTGCTGGCATCTGGGTAGAGGCCAGGGATGCTGTTAAATATCCTGTAATGGACAGGAGAGCTTCTCACAGCAAAGAATTATCAGGCCCCAAAAATCAATCGTGCCAAGGCTGAGAAACTCAGAGCTAAGTTCCATTGTGCATCACCTTCCACCTCGTGTCTGTGCCCCAACCACTCCTGTCTTTTGGTTTCTTATAGGTGCCATGATCCCTCTGGCCACAGGTCCTTTGCACAGGCTGTCCCCACTCTGTGGAAAGGTCTCCCTCTCCTTTTTACCTAATTAAAGACTTTTCATTTTCCAACCTCAGCTCAATCGTCACTTCCTTAAAACCCTCCTGCCCCAGCCTCCCTATAGTACCAAGGAGCTCTCAGTCTCTCTTTTGAGGAACTTGATGTCCCTGTTTTACATTCATTTGTGTGATTTTTGACCAATATTTATCTCACCCACTGGATTACAAAGTACTGTAAGGGTAAGGAACATGTCTATTTTTGTTCATCATTTTATTCTCATTGCCTAGCACAGGGCCTAACACATAGTAGGTGCTTAGAAAATATCTGTTAAATAAAAGAATGTATGAATGGTTTTTATATTTGCGCATATAGGTTTCTTTGAGTCTATGATTTGTAATCTCTACTTTTAACATATGCTTTTAACATATGCCTGTGCTTTTAACATATGCCCATCAAAAATCCTGTGTTTTGCCTTCATAGATTCTGATCTCATGTCACCACAGCCTAATACATACATTCTATATGGGGGGATAATGCCCAGGTGGAAAGTGGTTCTTGGAGGACAAAAAAAATCTTATTCTTTTTATATATGAAGCACAGATACACACATTGCACATAAGCAAATCTATGGCATATCTCTGGTGTTAATATTTCTTTGTAGGGGGAGAGTAGGGGAAAAAAAAAAGTTGAAAAAGGTTATTTGTTGGGGAAGCCATAATGGAAAGGAGGTTAAAAAACACTGGCCTAGATATCTATCATCTCTCTCTCTCTCTCTCTCTCTCCTCTCTCTCTCTTTCCTATCTATAGATCTATCTATCTATTCTTATTATTGTAAAATACACATAACATAAAATTTACCATCTTATTTTTTCATGTACAATTTAGTGACATTAAGTACATTCATGTTGTTGTGCAACTATCACCACCCATCTCCAGAATTATTTTCATCTTGCAAAACTGAAAATCTGTACCCACCCAACGAGAATTCCCCATTTTTCCATCCTCTGATCCCCTGGCAACCACCGTTCTACTTTCTGTCTCTATGAATTTGACTACTCTAGGTGTCTCATGTAATGTCCTTTTGTGACTGGCCTATTTTACTTAGCATAATCCCATCGAGATTCATACATGTTACAGCATGTGTCAGAATTTCCTTCCGGTTTCAGGCTGAATTATATCCCGTAATGACTATGGAACTATCACATTTTGTTTCATCTGTTGATAGACACTTGAGTTGCTTCCACCTTTTGGCTATTATGGATAATGCTGCTATAAACATAGGTGTACAAATATCTTTTTGAACCCCTGCTTTCAATTCTTTTGAGCATATACCCAGAAGTAAAATTTCTGGATAATATAGTAATTCTATTTTAAATGTTTGAGGAATCTGCATACTGTTTTTCATAGTAGTTACACCATTTAACATTTCTACCAACAGTGCACAAGGGTTCCAGTTTTTCCACATCCTCACCAACATTTGTTATTTTCTGGGGTTTTTTTTTTTTTTTTTTGAGACGGAGTCTTGCTCTGTCACCAGGCTGGAGTGCAGTGGCACGATCTCGGCTCACTGCAACCTCTAACTCCCTGGTTCAAGCGATTCTCCTGCCTCAGCCTCCAGAGTAGCTGGGACCACAGGCACATGCCACCATGCCCAGCTAATTTTTGTATTTTTTGTAGAGACAAGGTTTCACCATGTTGGCCAGGCTGGTCTCGAACTCCTGACCTCAGGCGATCTGCCCACCTCGGCCTCCCAAAGTGCTGGGATTACAGGTGCGAGCCACAGCGTCCGGCCTATTTTCTGTTTTTAAATATATATATAGTATATTTTTATATTTTAAGAAAAACAATCTGATTTTCTTAGTTGTTACTCATGAGTCATTTAAGCTATGGAACCACTGGCTCCCAATCTTTCATCTTATATCTATTAACTCTTATAAAAACTTTGCTAAGTAATCAGTTGTATAGAATCCATTTATCTATAAATTTTAAGCAATCATATCCTGGCTGTCTGAAGACCTATCAATTGTTTTGTTTATGTGGCCTTGCCTGTAGTACTACAGGAACACTCCTGGAATCTTAACAAACAGGACAGATTATCATCTGCTTAGATGGTTAATTGCCAATATCAGAAAGATGGATGGGGTCGCTCTTTGGGTCCCTTCACTTCTATGACTGTATAATTAGTTTTTATGGGCTGTTTCTTAACCATTCAAGCAGAAACATAGAAACCTTCCAATAAGTAAATGTGAACATTTCTAAATAATAGTTATAGTTCATAATATTTCATCAAAAGGATACTTCATAATTCATCATTCCTCTAGCAGCGTTTTTCGTTTTGCTTTGCTTTTTCTATGCTTTAAGCATACAACTTTTTTTTTTTTTTTTTTTTGAGGCGGAGTCTTGCTCTGTCACCAGGCTGGAGTGCTGTGGCACAATCTTGGCTCACCACAACCTCTGCCTCCCAGGTTCAAGCAATTCTCCTGCCTCAGCCTCCCAAGTAGCTGGGATTACAGGCACGCACCACCACCATGCCCAGCTAATTTTTGTATTTTTAGTAGAGACGGGGTTTCACCATGTTGGCCAGGATGGTCTCGATCTCCTGACCTCATGATCCACCTGCCTCAGCCTCCCAAAGTGCTGGGATTACAGGCGTGAGCCACCACACCTGGCACAACTTTTTAATAATTAGTAGCTTCCTTTGACTAGAATTCCAAAAATGAAATTATCTTTTTTTTTTTCAAATGGTGTCTCACTCTGTTACCCAGGCTGGAGTGCAGAGGTGCAACCTTGGCTCACTGCAACCTCCACCTCCTGGGTTCAAGCTATTCTGCCTCAGCCTTCTGAATAACTAGGATTACAGGCATGCACCACTATGCCTGGCTAATTTTTTGTAGTTTTGGTAGAGATGGGGTTTCACCATGTTGGTCAGGCTGATCTTGAACTCCTGACCTCAAGTGATCCACCTGCCTCAGCCTCCCAAAGTGCTGGGATTACAGGCGTGACCCACTGCGTCCAACCTGAAATTATGATTTCTTACAAAATGATTGGTACCAGTGGAAAATAGAAAAGATGCTGAGAAAAGGACATGTTCCATAAAAAAATTAAACAGCTAAGATATATAAATTACCATGTTGGCTTCTATTAGCATTTAGCTCCTGTCTCTTGTTATGTAAAATGAGCTTGCCTTTGAGGAAAAAAGAAACAACTTAATGTGTTATGCTTTATTCACTTTATTGGAAAAGACCTTTCCCAAAGTTCTTGTACAGAAGAATTTTATAAGTCTTTCAGGCAATGGCAATTGGATTAAGTTCTGAAGCTGATGAAAAGCAATAGTATTGTCAAGATGCCAACTTTAATGCCATCATCTATATTAGTGGTCATTTTTCCACTCTTCCCATCCACATCCCATTGTCCAAACCCTTTATATAGGCATACATATTCCTTCTCTTTCTGCCATAATTTGCTGTCTTCCTCCCTCAGTCCCATGTCTCTGAAATACATGCTTATGCCACAGGAGATACACTTTAAAGATCAGATGACCAAATTGCCTCAGTTACTTTAATGTTTCTTTATTTCCTGTTTATTTTCATTTTTTCCACAGTCATGTGGAAGACCCTCCCTCTAATGGTTTTGTGGCCTAGAGAGTTGATCCTTCAATATTATGTTTGGAGGAGTGGCAGAAGGAAGAGGGCAATAATTATCTGTTTGGGTAAGAAATAATATGACCTTTGCAATGATTCATATGTTTTTAGTTTGAAAATTAACCGATGCCAAGATAACTATTTGCTGAATATAGTAACTATAGGAAAATTGGTGGCCCATCATTCATTCCTTTCACCCTAGTGGCTTCTGCCATCACTTGTTAATGTGAATTTTAGGCCTTTTGGCAATATAGACAATATTTCTCCGACTAGTTTACCTTTTTGTAAGTCATCTTGCATTAATTTTGGATAATAATAGTTCTGCCTAAGAACCCCATCAAGATTTGTTGGGTGAATGACTCAGTCTATTGGCTATAATCTTTTAAAAAGAAAATCAAATATATTTTCTACTCTGCCTTTCTTTCTAGTCTGTAGAGTACGTTATTATTATCACAGCTAATTGTTCTGCATTTGAACAACATGATAACTTTGCAAAGCACTTTCATGTACATGGTCTTCTTGTAAGCATGCTACCATTCTGTTATAGGCAGAACTTTTCTTTTATCAAATAAACATTTGATACCTGCAATGTATCAGTATATATCCAGCTCTCTACTACCTTTTGCCACCTGAACATCTTGTTAAGCATCTCAAACTTTCCATGTCCTGTACTGAGATCCAGATCTTCCCAACAAATCTGCTTCAACCAAGTCTCAGTTGATGGCAACTCTAAACTTCCAAATGGTTAGGCCAAAGCTTTGGAATCAAACTTGATTTCTCTATCTGAAAATCATGCTGGCTGCACCTTTAAAATACATCCAGATTTGTTCAGGAAGTCTATGGAAGCTTTGGTGCCAAATCATTGAACGTTCTATATATGTTACTTATTTATTTAATGTCTGTATTTCTTCATGCAATAAGTCTCAAGATGGCAGAATTTGTGCCCATTTTGTTCACTGCTGAAATCCCAGTGCCTGGAACCGTGCCTAGTATATTTATTGGTCAGAATATTTGTGGAATGAGTGAATGAATGGATGAGTGATAGGCTCACAGCCTGTGGGAACAAACATGCCAACAGTCAAGCACAGCAATGTGCTCAGTGCTATAATGGAAGTAGACAAAGTCATGGCGAGAAGCACTTAGCTCTGCATTGAGATGTCAAGGAAGGCCCAGAAAGGTGATATTTGAGCAGACTCTGGATAAGAGTGCACATTTACCAAGGAAAGGGGAGGTGAGGGACAGAGGAGCCCAGAAGTACGGATAGCTCTGCCCATTCAGGGGAGGTCTAGGCCCAGCTCCCTAAGGATGGACATATAGGGACAGTGGAGATAAATGAGGTCTGAGAGGTTAGCAGCAGCCAGATTGTGCCCAACATTGTCAGCTTCACCAAGGAGCCTGGACTTTGTCTTGTGACAAACAGGAAACTCACGAAGGACTACAAGCAAGGGAATAAATGTGATTACATATGGGCAAAGATCCTCTGGAAATTTACAAGCCAATGAAAAGAGCCATTCTCCCATTTAAAAGAGTTCTCCGGGCTGGGCGCGGTGGCTCATGCCTGCAATCGCAGCACTTTGGCAGGCCGAGGCGGGTGGATCACTTGAGGTCAGGAATTTGAGACCAGCCTGGCCAACATGGTAAAACTCCATCTCTACTAAAAGTACAAAAATTAGCTGGGCATGATGGTATAGTCTCAGCTATTTGGCAGACTGAGGCATGAGAATCACTTGAACTCAGTAAGTGGAGGTTGCAGTGAGCTGAGATCATGCCACTGCACTCCAGCCTGGGTGACAGAGCAAGACTCTGTCTCAAGAAAAAAAAAAAATTCTCTGTTCTCCCACCAACCTTGGAATTAGTCCCCCACTCTAAGGAGAGCCTAACCCTTCATGATCGGGCCCACTTTTCTGCTGCCTCATCTCCTACCGCTTCCTCACAACAACCTCTGCTACCAGCACGTCAAGTCCCAGCAGATCCTGAACATGCCACAGGGTATCAGGCCCCCATGCCTGAGAAGACACAATCAAGGTCAACAGCCAGGTAAAGGCTGCTGGCTCTCATTCTGGGGCTCTTTCTACTCTGCCACATGCCTTTAAGTAGGCTTATAGAGTGGCAAAGTGTCCAAGACAGATGGTAGGTGCCTTTTTCTTCTGGCATTGTTGTTGAGTGAACATTCATTAATATTAGCCCAAGACTTTCAGCATGAGATCAAATTCACTGGACCCAGGAAAAGGGGTCTCCATTTTAGGAGCCTTCCTGAGGTCTGGTAAGCCCAGTGGTTTGCTCCCAGCAGCCTCAGCCCTGGGCTTGGTGAGTTCAACCCAACAGATTAACATCTCTGACTCCCATCCCCTCTGGGGGAAAGAATCACACCGTCCAGAGCTGGATATCCTGGTGTAAATATTGACAAGGCCACACCCATGGGGTGTAGCTAAACCAAGTAGTCCTATTAAAGACAGACAGAAGGCCACTTCCTTGAGTGTCTCATACTGAAGTAATAGCAGCTGGGAGCTATTAAGAACAAAAATAGGCACTGTTTTTCTTATCATTTATGAGAGCATAGGAAAGAAATATTGCATTAAGGCCGGGCGCGTCAGCTCACACCTGTAATCCCAGCACTTTGGGAGGCCGAGGCGGGTGGATCACCTGAGGTCAGGAGTTTGAGACCAGCCTGGCCAACCTAGTGAAACCTTGTCTCTACTAAAAATACAAAAATTAGCTGGGTGTGGGGGTGGGCACCCATAATCCCAGCTACTCGGGAGGCTGAGGCAGGAGAATCACTCGAACACAGGAGACAGAGGTTGCAGTGAGCTCAGATTGCGCCACTGCACTCCAGCCTGGGCAACAACAGCAAAACTCCACCTCAAAAAATATATATAAATAAAATGCATTACCCCGAGAAGTTCCTCCTACAATGAGTATGGCAGGACAGTATTTGCCTATCCTCTCCTCCTTTATATCTATCTCCTACCCAAACCCAGAACAGAGAGACAGAGAGGGCTCTTTAGTAAGAACATTTTCAAAAATATCCATTAGCATAATAACGTACCACAGCTGTGGTTGGATCAATACTAGTAAGAGAAAGATGTGCTTGTTTTGTAGCATGTTTGTATTAAAAGTGTCTTAACTCACCTCTCTAGTTCCACTGAGGGCCAAACTAATTGGGCTTGATGAGCTAGAACCCAAGGAGGAGGGCAGAGGGGTAAAGGAAGATCTGAGAGGAAGTCTGTGTGTCGTGAGGGAGTAGGAGTTGGTGGGTGCTTTTTAGGGTAGGAGACCCAAAAGAGAAGGGTGTCCTGAAGATTGAGTGAAGGTAGGACTCTAAGTGACTGGTTGGGAAAATAAAAAAAAAAATCCCAATATCTGAAGCTGAACTGTTCAGTACATGTGGCCTCTAGCCACATGTGGCTGTTAAGCCCCTGAAGTGTGGCTTGTCTGAGTTAAAATGTGTTATCTGTATATAAAATATACACCAGATTTTAAACACTTAGTACAAAAAATGTATAATCACTCAATGATTTATTAATATTGATTATATGTAGAAATGATAATATAGACATTGGGCTAAACAGATTATATTATTTAAAATTTCATGTTTCTTTGTACTTTTTAAAATGTAGCTACTAGAACATTTTAAATAATGTATGTGGCTTGCATTATATTTCTGCTGGCCACTGTTGCTCTAGACTGTGTGCATACGAACAACAGTTAAGAGTAAGATTTTACACTTACAGACACAACAGGCATAAGTCAGAGGTCACACTAGCTTAGAAAATGACTTGTTTTGTAGCTAAATAGATTTTATTTTTCACCTTTGTCAATCTAGCATTTTTAAGAAGATAAAATTCATATTAAACTCTATCTTCAGGAATAAACTCTCTAGGGATTGAGATTAAAATATTACAAGAGTGTCTACAATAGTCCAATAAAATATAAGCATTCTCAACTTTATTCTCAAAGAAAGAAAGTTAATATGAATTTTGTCTTATTGGCCTTTTGTTAGGCAGGATTGAAATTTTATAGACTTTGTAGAAAAATATGTTCTAGAAACACCAAATGCACTAAGGGGCAAGCAGGTGTTTGTAGGGATAAAATATTTCTTTATTGTTCAGCTCTTTCCAATGTTTTTCTACCTCTGTTTTGAGTTTTTTTTTCATTTGAAGCTTGGAAAACAGAAAAGAGGCAAAAAAGGTACATATAGCAATGTCAAGGGGAGTCTTCTAAGAGTTTCTCTGTAAGGATGTAAAGTTCTCAGGCCAGGATAACAGAAGGGCTTCTCATGCTCTATTTCTTCCTTCTCAGTGTGGCCTCCAGGGCTGCTTTAGGGCACTCTCTGCCTGTGACTTGCTCTTAAGCAGACCTTGTGTTTTATTATGATTAAAAGGCCTCTTCCCTAAGAAACCCTCATGTGTTACTCCATCATGTTAATTGATTCCAGGTCTTATCTAGAGGGTGGCTTTGGGAGGCAGGATAATCAAGGAAGAAAAAACCTCAGCACAACACCTCACCTTGTGCTCAGCAGGTGTCTCACGGACATAGTGGTGAGCGCCCAGGCCCTGCAAGGTGCCCAGACCTCCTTTTGCCATATTTACCCAGGAACTATCTTCCATGGTGGGGACCAGTTTCCCTGAAACCAAGGTAAGGCCCGAAGTATTGATTGTCAGGGTTCGCTCAACAGATCTGAAATAATTCAGAATTCCTAAGCAGATGTGCTGAAACAAAGAAAAGAACAGAATCAGGTCCCTGCCCTTCACCTAGTCCACCCTATAGAATACAACTTGATGGCAGGTCAACCCTACTGTGGGAAAGGAACACACCACCCTGGAAAGGGGCTGATTCCATGTTAAAAAGAAAAAAAAAAGTGGAACAAAGGGCAAAAGCATAAAATGCCATTTGCTATTGGAATAGCAGAAAACCTCTTTTCTAGACAACCAGACATTTCTGATGCCTGCCATCCACATACCTGCAGTTCTCTGATTCGAAGGTGGCACAGATACAGAAAGGACAAGTAGGCCCCTCTCATCAGAACAGGATTCCTATCACTGGGGTCAGTGCCGTCTTCCAAGCCCAGCAGTTGTAGGGTCATTGCATAGTTGTACCTTTAGCAGGCAGGAGAGATATCATAAATCAATTTCACCTCAAAGTGATTCCAAAATTTCACATGCACAAAACTAAAGTCATTTTACTTAATTTAAAGGTGTTTCATGATAGCTTCCCTTTATAAATTTCTGAGGGGAAATAATTACTCTATATGTATACATGTAAAGACAAGTTTCTCTTAGCAATTACTCTCATTAAAAACACAGTCGTAGGGTGAAGCATTAGTTTAGTTGTCTGACCTGTTTTAAAAGTCTTGCTTTCTTTCTGACTTCAAATATTTTTGAGTTAACATGTAAACTACATATTAATCAGTCACTCAGTCTTCCCCACAGTGTTTTAATCCACTTTTTTGAGTCACTAATAATATGATTTAATTTACCCTGTCTCTTGTATCTGCTTGAGAGGCCCATCAGCATGTTGGCTGAGAGTTATCTGTGATAGATCATTTTCATTTTGTTTCATGGAGAGGTCATCATCTTTCATATTTTTATTCTATCAAAAAATTAGCATTAATCAAATTACATAAACATTTGCAATATGATTAACAAAATCACAGTCAGGTCATTGCAAAAGTAACCCTCATAATCCAAAGCATATTTAGATAAGTAAGTAAAAGAGGGGTTTGATCTACTTCAAGCTGACATATTCAACCTGACATCTAAATTTCTACAATAAATTAGGGAGGTCATTGTTTTTACTAAACTAATCTTTGTTTCACGAAAGTAGTCACAGCTTTTAAATAATAGCCATCTACCTCCCTGTCTTTTATGTAATTCCCTTTATAAAAAGTTGATACAAGAATGTATATGTTTGGGACCTTTGAACCTCTCTAATCTAGTCTTGTTCTGTACTGAGAGAGCTCAGTGGATAAAGCCTCTTTCTACGTATTAGCTATATGGTTCAGTCATTTACAGTCATGAGCCTGTTTCCACATTTGTACAATGGCATGATAATGGAAAATGATAAGGTGTTGTGAGAGTTAAATGATAGAATGTATATAAAACCTCCAGCTTAGTGCCCGGTACCTAATCGGTGCTCAAGATGCCAGTTCTCTCCTGTTACGAACTTCAGTAGTCCTGTACGATCTCTCACAGCATTCAAGGTTCACACTTATTTCCACAGTCATCTTCCCTGATGCTGAGAGGGATGTGATCATGCACCCCAGCCCCAGATAACACTGTGAGGAAGACAATGCGGGTCTGAGGTCCTGCCCCTCACCCTCTGGGCAGCCTCGTCTTAGCTGCCTTCTTTGCCTGTCTCTGGGCATACACCCCAATCTCATAAGGTGTGCACTTTCATAGTGGCACCAATCCCCACAAAAGTACTGAGTGGCAATGGCTGAGCTTGGAAATCCCCTCTCTGGGTTATATTCTAATAGTTGGTTCTTGGAATTCCAACGGACCCTTATTGCAGAAACTGCTAGTTGTTCCCCAATAGCCATTTTCCTCTTTTCCTACAGTTATTGAATATTTATCTTGCCACCTGACCACCTAGATACAGACAACATTTCCAAGCCTCTCTTGCAGCTAGGTGTAGCTACGTGACAATGGACTAGGAGTAAAGTGCCATGTTGCAGCTTCAAAGGATTTCTAGTAGAGGCAGCTTCTTCATCCCTTCTCCATCCTGCTACTTAGAGCATGAATGTGACAGCTGGAGCTCTGTCTCAGGCTGGGTGTTGATCTCAAATGTAGAGCCATATTTGTTAGAACTCCAAGATAGACAGGGCTGAGAGCCCTGAGGGCTCCATAGTGCAAATCTACCACACCAGCTCTGTACATCCTACCCTGAAACATTCATATGAGGGACAGAGAGCACAATTTCCACCTCCTTTAATCCTCTGTCATATCATTTTACCATCACCAACAGCCAAACCTAATTTTAACTAATACAGTCCCCAAGACTCTAAAGATAGACTAGCAGGCTTTTGACAGGAAGTGAGGAAGGAAAATGTTGACAGGAATATTAGGAAAAGTGGGTGAGAGAGAAAGTTGTCCAATTGAGTAGCGTTAAGTGATTGCCCATTATGCTTGTAGGTAGAATTGGCTTCCAGCTCAGTGTACACATCAGTGTATTTCTGTGTAAACATCCCACAACCCTAGGACTGGAAAAGACCCTGTGAGGTGACATGGTGCATTCTTGTTCGTTAAAACAGAAAGATCGGCATTCCAAAGTAAAGAACATCTGTTATGTTTTTTAAAATCTATAGGAAAGCATATACTCTGAGAGTAGCTGAATTTTGACAATTCCTATGAATATGGGGTAGCAGGGGTTCAGTGGAGCCTTTTGCCTCCTGGCCTGTAGTGCTCTCAGGTTGCTGTTCAGCACTGCTTGATGTGGTCCCAGAAGGAAGGCTCTGAGCCACATCCTTTCTCTGATGGGATTGTGACACTTTCAGCTGCTTCTAAAATTACCCAGAATTACATAGGACAGGACAGAAAGTGACATCAAGTTACAGTGGAAGACATTTGAAGGACTGACTGAACAAACCACAAAAGTACTGCTGGACCTGCAGGTGGCCTGGGAAAAAGGAAGGGAGCACAGATCAGCTGGAGCAGGAAAAGGAGAGCACCCAGCATCCTCCAGGAAAAAGGACCAACAACATCCCACAAAAGGAAACTGCTTAGGAAATACCAAGTCCAGAAGCATGGACCCCTAAGCGTACTGGAGACGGTGCAGGTAAGCAGCAGGGCAACCCCATCTGTGTTCATTCTCCCGGCCTGGGTGTGGAAATCTGCTGACCTTTACTGCCTGCGGCTCTTTGTCAGCATGGCTGAGTTCATGTGTTTAGACAGTTCTGAGATTTCTGCTGATTGCAAATCTCATTTTCTTCTGGGAAGTTGGCAGGGGAAATGAAGTGGGAGGTAGGTAGGAAAAGTAAGACTGTTATGTATTCCCCACACCCAGAACATCTCTGCTGCTTACATGGGTTTATCCACTGAAACAAAGACCAGAAGGATATATACCAAATATTAATAATACTGTTGTTATTCTGGATGGTACAACAAGGGGTGATTTTAGTTTTCTTTCTTGTATTTTTCTATATTTCCCAAGTTTTCTGTGTTAAACACATGCCACTATTATCATCAGAAAATTTTTTAAGTAAATATTTTATTGAATTTGGTGAGAAGAACCAGGAAAAGGGTGTTTTGTGTTTCGCTGAATATGTTGCACATCGGAGCTACTGTCTACACCACCATTTCTGTGCGAGCACACCTTCTTCTCACTACATCACATTACCTCTGGAAATGCAGGGGAGCACCTCCCCTCCTTGGTGTGGTCAGTGGGAAGAGGCAAAGGAAGGGCTCTACCACTGCCCCCCGACACTGCAACCTGGATGTGGTGTTTGCTGCTGCTTTACTACTCCATGAGGTTAAAAAAACAGTGACCAATTTAAACCTTATCTTTGAAAATACGATGGTCAATAGTAGTGTGCGATGTCTATACATAGCCATTTTAATAAATGTGCTTTTTTTATGAACATGAGTAACTTGATCTAACAATTACAGGTTCCAGAGGTTCTACACAGGCCTAGCTGGGGTGTAATCTGTAGTATACAATAAAATACAACTCAGCCATTGAAAAGAACAGCAGATCTCCAAGACATATTGTTGGGTTGCAGAAAGATATTCATATAGTATGATATATCATTTATATAAAAACCTCAAATGCAAACTTATCCTATATATATTTTATGGGGACATATGTATGTATGTAAATGCATTGAAAAGGCTCAAAGCAATAACCATGTTTGCCTCTAAGGAGGTGGAATGGGGAGCAGGATGGGCAGCAGGGAGTAGTTAAAGGGGAATTTAACTTTTCAGTAATGTTTCAACTTTTTACAAGGAGAAGACATTTATTTATCACTTATATGATTTAAACTTAATTTTTAAAAACTCCTTAAAGAAAAAAATGGTAACTTCAGTGGAGAAACCTGGCAATCACCAGTAGCTTAACCAAGTGAGCTAGATTAACATCAGCCATGATGTCACGTTGATATCATGTTCCCCGAATAGGATGTGGTGAGGACACTTAGCCTCTGTGATATTCTTCTTCTTCTAAACCCATAACCCCAGTGTAACCATGAGAAAATATCAGGCAAACTCAAATTAGGCAAAGGTCTACAGATTGCGGGGCTGGTACTCCTAAAGACTGTCAATGTCATGATAAACAAAGAAAGACTGAGGAACTGTCACAGAGCAGGGGAGGTGGGGGAGGTACGATGATTAAATGTAACATGGTATCCTGGATAGGATCCTAGGGCAGAAAGAGAACATTAATGGAAAAACTGGTGAAATCCAGATGAAGCCTAGTTTAGTTAACAGTAATGTACCAATGTTGGTTTCTTGGGTATGACAAATGTATCACTACAATGTAAGATGTCAATAATATAAGAAACTGAGTAGGGGTAGATGGGAACTCTTTGTACTGTCTTTGCAGCTTTTCTGTAAATCTCAAACTATTTCAAAATAAATAAAAAAAAAAAAACTCCCTAAAGGAAAGTGGGGCCGGGCACAGTGGCTCATGCCTGTAACCCCAGCACTTTGGGAGGCCCAGGCAGGTGGATTGCTTCGAGACCAGCCTGGGCAACATGGTGAAACCCTGTCTCTACAGAAAGAAAAAAAAATAGCTGGTAGTGATGGTGTGCGCCCACCCACCCGTAGTCCAAGCTACTCAGGGGGTTCAGTCAGGAGGATCACTTGAACCCAGGAGGCAAAGGCTGCAATGAGCTGAAATCGCACTACTGCACTTCAGCCTGGGCAACAGAGTAAGACCCTGTCAAAAACAAACAAAACAAAACAAAAAAGGAAAGGTTACTGGTGAATGGCATTCAGAGAGAACTGACCAGAAACTGTTCTGAAGTTGTGCTACAATTAGTGATTATATTCATTCTCTCAGAGATGCCAAAATGGACAGACAGTCGTCCTATGAAGTTTGTTTTTCTTTATGCAGAAGGCCCTTTAAGAAACTTATCTGTCATGAGGTATTGGTTGCCACTTGCCAAATTCAGAATCAAGATGCTGACCAGCATACAGATGCTAAAATCCACACTTGACTGCTACATGTTTGCAAAATAGTAACACAGCTTTAAGATTCATACTCACATTCCTGTAACTCCTCCTAGCTGCCACATTTTTACTTAATCCTAATCTGATTTGATTAGCATTTAACATCCAGAATGGCTATGTGCTACCAGTGGGGCACTGATACAGTATAAAGTGGCTCTTGACCAAAGCAGAAATACTCCAGGAGGTTACAAAGTGCCACCCATGGGAAAATGTGAAGAAAACTAGAAAATATTGGCTGTTGCCTTGGAATTTCTATTCTTAAACCCAGTACTATTTTCTGTTCTTTGCTTTGGAACAGAAAATAGCACTGGTTTTAAGAAAGGGAAAAAAGGAAAGGGAAGGGAGGGGAGGGGAGGGGAGGGAAAGGAAGGGGAGGGGAGGGGAGAGGAAGGGGAGAGGAGGGGAGGGGAAGGGGAGAGGAAGGGGAGGGGAAGGGAGGGGGAGGGGAAGGGAGGAGGAGGGGAGGGGTGGGGAGGGGAGGGGTGGGGAGGGGTGGGGAGGGGAGGGGTGGGGAGGGGAGGGGAGGGAAGGGAAGGGAAGGGAAAGGAAAGGAAGGGAATTCTTCTCTTTCTCCAGGCTCTTTGCATGGCTGCCTCCTTCTCATTCATTAAATTCAGTTCAATCCTCCCACCCCAAGATTTGGCTGAACTCTGTCAGAGGGTGCTCCCCTCCACTTATTGTTCTCTGCCCCCTGTTTTCTTCATGGCACTCACAAGTTAGAGATGTAGGTTTACTTCTTTGTTCACTTGTTTATTGCATGTTGCTCTCAGGGCAGGGACTGGGTCTGTTTCATCCCCTAACCCAAGTACAGTTCCTGACACAAAGGCAATGTCCATGTAATAATCATGGAATGAATGAATGAATGAGAAAATGGAAAACTTCATGATCCTAATTTGTACAGTGATTTGTGTGTGTGCTGTATGTCTCCCCTCATGCCCCATCTCTGGAATCTGAAGATCTACAGGTATTATTAGTCTCTCTATGGTCTATTTACCATAAGTCAACTTGAAAATGCAGTGCTGATATTTTTCTCCCTTTGGGGAATTCCAAGATTCCAAGAACAACATTTATATGTCAGTAAATAGCTAGAGGAAGTGGTTTTCTTTTCTTTTTATTATTTGGGCAATTGCATTCAAAACAGACTTTGGTGAAAGCACAGACTGCATCCTATCAGTACCTGAATCTCCATCTCCTCCACAAGGGGAAGAAAGCAGTGAGAGCAGAAAGTGTTAGTTGTCCCCTCCATTGCACGGCTGGGAGGAGAAGCAGGAGCTTTCCCTGCTTCCATTTCCACCAGTTTCTTACACAGTTGCCCTAGCTTGGTGTTTTCTACTACTCAACACTTACCTGAGCCACCATCTCCTACTGTCACTGTTTACTTTCTGCTTTTCACTGGCACAGTGGTCCTACAGAGGTAACCTCCTTTGTCCCCTAAGTGCCTGTGGGCAGTGCTACAACTCAGCTTCCCAGTGGTCAGGCCACACCCTAGACCTTACCGTTTCTCCATAATTTCAAACATGAAGCTCTTTATCTCTGACTCCCTCCTCCTTTGATTCCGACCTCTCCTCACTCTTTCTTTTTTTTTTTAAGACAGAGTCTCACTCTGTCGCCCAGGCTGGAGTGCAATGGCATGATCTCCGCTCACTGCAACCTCCGCCTCCAGGGTTCAAGCAATTCTCCTGCCTCAGCTTCCCGAGTAGCTGGGACTACAGGCGCGTGCCACCATGCCCGGCTAATTTTTTGTATTTTTAGTAGAGACAGGGTTTCACCATGTTAGCCAGTATGGTCTCGATCTCCTGACCTTGTGATCCACCCACTTCGGCCTCCCAAAGTGCTGGGATTACAGGCATGAGCCACTGTGCCTGGCCCTCTCCTCACTCTTATTCATCTCCTCTCACCTCTTTATGGACCTCCGGAATTTAATTCCCTTTATTCTCTCACTCAAGGAGGAAAACAGACTTGTGCTGATGGGCCTCAGATGTTAATACCATAACTCCCCAGGTAAAGGATGATTATTACATCTGCATCAAGAGGTAAACTGTCCAAGGCTGGGCATGATGGCTCACGCCTGTAATCCTAGCACTTTGGGAGGCTGAGGTGGGTGGATCACTTGAGGTCAGGAGTTCAAGACCAGCCTGGCCAACATGGAGAAACCCCATCTCTACTGAAAATATGAAAATTAGCCAGAGGTGGCCGGGCACCATGGCTCACACCTGTAATCCCAGCACTTTGGGAGGCTGAGGTGGGTGGATCACAAGGTCAGGAGATCAAGACCATCCTGGCTAACGCGGTGAAACCCTGTTTCTACTAAAAATACAAAAAATTAGCCAGGTGTGGTGGCGGGCGCCTGTAGTCCCAGCTACTCAGGAGGCTGAGGCAGGAGAATGGCATGAACCCAGGAGGCAGAGCTTGCAGTGAGCGAGATCATGCCACTGCACTCCAGTCTGGGCAACAGAGCGAGACTCTGTCTCAAAAAAAAAAGAAAATTAGCCAGAGGTGGTGGTGCATGACTGTGGTCCCATTGAACCTGGGAGGCAGAGGTTGCAGTGAGCCGAGATCGCACCACTGCACTCCAGTCTGGGTGACAGAGTGAGACTCTGTCTCAAAAATAAATAAATAAATAAAGATAAAAATAAAAATAAGTAAACTGTTCAGGATCTCAGAAGAAAAGACACGGTTCCAAGACACTGGGACAGACTCTGCCTTCTCACTCCTTTCTCCTCTACCCTGTATCCTCTATGTTTGGTTCAGGAACAGGAGAGTCAATGTTTTTTTAATATCTCCTTATTCGTGTAAGGTCTTCCTGAATGGTGATACAAACTTCAGTTGTAAAACGGCAATGGGATAGGAAAAATGTGGCTATTTTTTCAACTCTGGCAGGATGCTAGCCAAGGAGTGTGTCACTGATAGTTGCATACCCTGTCGGGAAATTCAGGGGCCTGGGAGATCCATGTTATGATATATTGCCTCTGCTCCTGATCTGTGTGGCCAACTCATTTCTCATTAGATCTCTAGATCCTTGCTCAAACAAATTGAACAGTTATAAAAGGGGTGTGTGTGTGTGTGTGCATGTGTGTGTGTGTGTGTGTGCTCCCAACTAATCTATAACTCACTGGATACCTTGAGGTCTCACTTTCCCCCATATCCAGCCTGGGATAATGGACCGTGACCGTACTTCTTTCTCCAGCATTTACTCAACTTCCTCTCAACTTTGATTTTATACAATTTTCAGGCACTCTACAATCATGTTTAGGGGTGAAAGGAATAGAATTTATACAAAAGGGGCTCACTACAAATTCATAGCATTGTGTTTTACCAGGGGCCTCTTGACTATGCAGTCACTCATGTATTTTCCTCTTACTGATGGTCCTGTGGTCTTTCTCATAGCCATGCACCTCCTCACGTGTAGCTCTTGCCGTCCACTTCACTAATGCAGATGAGCTCTGCCTCCTCCCTCTCTCTGAGACAGCCAGGGCCAGTCAGGAGCACCCACATCTTACCTTTTTGCACCTGAAAATTCTATGTATCCCATTCACCTCAAGGGAAGGGATGTCATTCTTGATTTCTCAAAATTACTCCTCCATCTGGTTTCTTCATCCCATCGCTTCCTCTTCCCCAGGGTCATCTGTTTCTCACATTTCCCTTTTCATATCTTCTGTCTCCTCTTCTCTACTGCTTCCTCCCCTTAGACTATAAACATATTTAGGCCTTCCCAACTTAAATAGACAAATGAAACGAAACTCTTCTTTTAGAGTGACAAATAATAGCAGATGAAAACTTCAAAAATGTTATGGTATCATTGTAAAGACAAGTATACACCAGCTTTGTGAATAAACTTCTTTTCACTTCCAAACCTCATGCCTATCCTGTGCAGCAGCTACCTAACTGGCTTCCTTGTCTCCAAACTCTCCCTCTTTCAGTCCAACTAACATTTTGCTGTCACATTATTTTTCCTTAAACATATGCCTTTGTATGAAATATTTTCCTTATAGGAAAAAGCACAGATTCTTTTGTCTGGAATGCATGAGCATTCACAACCAGCACCTCCCCTGACAAATAAAGAAACAAACATTCTTTCTTTTCACTGTATTTCCACATGAATCTTCCACTCAACTAAGCTGGCTCTGACTATATCACATCCAGTATCTCCTCAGCATGCTCTTCATGCTGTACCTCCTAGAATGCACTCCCTACTTTCCTCCCCACCACTTCCGTAAGTCCTATGCTTCCTTCAAACCCAGCTCAATTTCCTCTCCTTCAAGAGGCTTTCCCCAATAGAATCTACCCTTTGGGGTCCACTTTCTAAATACGATATTTAATAACTGTCCAACTCATTGGTTGCTTAGCCCTTGGATGTACAGCCTTGCACTGGCATTTACTGGTTTAAGTATCTGTCCTTGTAGGAACAACATCTTATGTTATACTTCTTTATATCTTTCTTTTTAATGAGCACTTAATCTTTCTTATAATGAAAATAAACCTGGCTAGATGATAGAGATTTTCGTGGGAAGGGTGTCAGAAAAACTACCAAAGTAAATATCTAAGGGCTACACACAGGTAGCAAGTTGCATAAAAGGGCATATTGGTTATTTCTTCCTATAGTACCTGACAGAGGTTGATGTTGTTGTCAATATTCTCCCAGACTTGGTCATAATTGCCCTGATGCAAACCTTGGGAAGCCACAAACGATGGCTGATGTGGAGCCAGCATGACTGTCTTTGCAGCGTGATCTTGGAGCACTTGCATTACTCACTCAGGGTTGGAAATCTCAGGGAGAATAGAGAAGAGAAGGAATGGTTATGAGAAGCATATTCCCTTTTTCTCAGCAAGACTTTGGTCACATACACGTGAACAAGGAAGAAAATTTAGGTAGGACTTTATTCAATTAAAAAATAAAATTAAAGTCCAGCATCATGATTCCCCAAATATGTTTGTCCATTTAGCACTGTAAGTATTCAAATATACATAGTAGCTCATTTAAAAATTCTGTGACAATCCCCTAAAGACAATAGCAGGTGGTACTCCCACAACTGTTGTGACATCAGTGAAAAGATAAACACCCATCAGCATTGGGTGCAAACTCTGTCAACTGTTAGGAAGCTTCTGGGCAATGGAGGAGGGCGCAGAAGTGTAGCACAAGAAGAGCACAAGCTTTATAAGGACACAGACCTGGGCTTGTATCTCTGCAGGAATCCTGGCTTTTCCATGCAGAGCAGGGCAAGTCAACCTAACAAAAATACTAATGATGTCTCTACCCAGAGTGCTGCAATAATGCCTACCATGTAGAAGGAGCTGAATAAATGTCCCTTCTTCTCATCTGGAGGTAAAGAATTTAATAATAATCCCAGAACTGAATTGCTACTTAAGTGATACATATATACTACATCACTTTAATATCACAAAGAACCTCAAAGATCATTTATTTCAATCTCTATCAAAATTCCAAAGATATTTCTTGCAGATATAGAAAAATTCATCCTACAATTTATATGAAATCTCAAGGGACCCCAAACAGCTAAACAACTTTCCAAAAGAACAAAGTTGAAGAACTTACACTCCCTGAATTCAAAAAATATTACAAAGATATAGTAATCAAAACAGTATGGTACTGGCATAAAGAGAGACAGGTAGACCAATGGAATAGAGTAGAAAGCCTAGAAATAAACTCTCACATATATGGTTAAGGGTGCCAAGACCGCTCAATGGGGAAAGGACAATGTCTTCAATATATGGTGTTGGGAAAACTGAATATCCACATGCAAAATAATAAAGTTTTATCATTATACCACATACAAAAATTACTCAAAATGAATTAAAGATCTAAATGTAAGACCTACAATTATGAAACTCTTGGAAGGAAACATAGGGGAAATGCTTCATGATATTAAATTTGGCAACCATTTCTTGAATATAACACCAAAAGTCGAAGCAACAAAAGCAAAAATGGACAAATAGGATGACACCAAATTTAATAACTTTTGTGCAGCAAAGGATGCAAATCAATTGAAACGAAGAGTCAACCTATATAATGGGAGAAAAGATTTGCAAATTATATATCCAATAAGTGGCTAATAGCCAGAATACATAAAGAACTCCAGGCTGGGTGCAGTGGTTCACACCTGTAATCCCAGCACTTTGGGAGACCAAGGCAGGTGGATTGCTTGAGCCCAGGAGTTCAAGACCAGCCTGGGAAACATGGTAAAACCCCATCTCTACAAAAAAATACCAAAATATTAGCCTGGTGTAGTGGTGTGCACCTGTAATCCCAGGTACTTGAGAGGCTAACGTGGGAGGATCGCTTGAGCCCAGGAGGAGGAGGTTGCAGTGAGCCAAGGTCACACCACTGCACTTCAGCCTGGGTAACAGAGTGAGACCCTGTCTCAAAAAGAACTGCAACTCACAAGAAAAGATCAAATAAACTGATTTAAAAATAGGCAGTCAATTACCAAAAAAAAAAAAAAAAAAGAAAGATGAAAGAAAAAATAAGCAAAGGATTTGAATAGATATTACCTAAAGATGATATACAAATGGCTAAGAAGCATATAAAAGATGCTCAACATCACTAATCATCAGAGAAACTCAAATCAAAACCACAGTAAGATTTCACCTCACACCCATTAGAATGGCTGCTATTAAAAATCATAAAATAACCAGTGTTGGTGAAGATGTGGCAAAACTGGAACCTTTGTGCACTGTTGGTGGGATTGTAAAATGGTGCAAATGCTATGGAAAACAGTATGGTGGTTCCTAAAAAAATAAAATAAAATAAAATTACCATGTGATCTAGCAATTGTACTTCTGGATATATATCCAAAAGAATTGAAAGCAAGATCTTGAAGAGGTATTTGCACATCCATATTTATAGCAACAGTATTGACAATATCCAAAAGGTGGAAGCAACCCAAATCCTCATATCAGATGAATAGATTTTTTTTAATGTGGTATATACTTATAAGGGAATGTTATTCAGCCTTGAAAAAAGGAAGGAAATTCTGACACAAACTGCAACATGGATGAACCTTGAGGACATTATACTAAGTAAAATAAACCACAAAGACAAATATTGCATGATTCCACTTATATGAGGTATCTAAAGTAGCCAAACATATAGAAAAAGAAAGTAGAATGGTGGTTGCCAGGAGCTGGGAGGAAGGGAAAATGAGAGTTGTTTGATGGGTATAGAGTTTAAGTTTGCAAGATAAAAACATCCTGAAGATATATTGTGAAATATTATGAATGTATTCAATGCCACAATTATCATGTTCTTTTGGAGGTGTCACGTTTCCTTGCTTTTCTGCTTCTTGTAATCTTTTTTTTTTTTTTGAGATGGAGTTTCGGTCTTGTTGACCAGGCTGGAGGGCAATGGTGCTATTCCAGCTCACCACAACCTCTGCTTCCCAGGTTCAAGCGATTCTCCTGCCTTAGTCTCCCGAGTAGCTGGGATTACAGGCATGCATCACCATGCCCAGCTAATTTTGTATTTTTAGTACAGACGGGGTTTCTCCATGTTGGTCAGGCTGGCCTCGAACTCCCAACCTCAGGTGATCCACCTATCTCGGCCTCCCAAAGTGTTGGGATTACAGGCGTGAGCCACTGTGCCTGGATGCTTCTTGTATTCTTACATTGATATCTGTGTATCTGGTGGAATGGGTGCCTCTTCCAATTTTATGGGGTAGCTTTTATAGGGATACATTTTCTGTATCCCTGAATGGTATACAGTAAATATTCATTTAATGTCATCAATAGGTTCTTGGAAACCACAACTTTAAGCAAAACAGTGTAGAGCAGGTCCTCAGGTAACATCATTTTATTCAATATCATTTTATTGTAATGTTGATGAGAAAAAATGCTGATTTTTCTTATACGTTGTTTTGTTTAAAGTTGCAGTTTCCAAGAATCTATCAATGGTGTTCAGTGAGGACGTACTGTACTTAAAGATGGTTAAGATGGTAAATTTTATGTTACTTTTTTTTTAACCAAAATAAAAGTATCACTTAGGTGCAGGCTCCCCAGGGACCAATGACTGGTCCACCTGGTGCCTACAGCTGCCAGCAAACCCATCTCCTCCAGTGGCAGAGCCACCATGTACTACACCAGTATCCCAGGAACCAACATCCAGCCTGACTGGTGCCTGCAACACCAACCCTGCAACCAGCAGAGATGCCATGCCCACTGTGTGCCCTCCAGAACCTAAGAATTGGCCCACTTGGTGGCCCTTACCCCAAGCAAAGCCACAACACTGCCTTCACAAATACCCAGAGCCTAGGCCGGTAAGGTACTTGCAGACACTGAATACAGCCAAAGAAATCACACAGAGACTACTCTACTGTACCCATCCAGAACCAAAACTAAAGCATCCTTACCTAACCAACACTATAGGACACATCTATGGGGAAAATGTATCCCTATAAAAGCTACCCCATAAAATTGGAAGAGGCACCCATTCCACCAGATATGCAGATATCAATGTAATAATACAAGAAGCAAAAAAGCAAAGAAACATGACCCCTCCAAAGGAACATGGTAAGTATCTAGCAACAGACCCCAAAGAAAAGGCAATCTATAAAATGCCTGGATAGGAATTCAAAATAATTATTTTAAGAAAACTCAGTGAGATACAAGAGAAAACAGATAGACAACTCAATGAAATCAGAAAAATAATTCATGATCTAAATGAAAAATCTGGCCAGGCATGGTGGCTTATACCTGTAATCCCAGCACTTTGGGAGGCTGAGGTGGGAGGATTGCTTGAGTCCAGGTGTTCAAGACCAGCCTGGGAAACACAGTGAGATCTTATCTCTACTAAACATTTTTAAAATTAGCTAGGTGTGGTAGTACATGCACGTAGTCCCAGCTACTTGGGAGGCTGAGGTGGGAGGATCATTTGAGCCCAGAAGTTCAAGGCTGTAGTGAGAGTTCTAATTGTGCCACTACACTCCAGCCTAAGTGACAAAGCAAGACTCTGTCTCAAAAACAAATAAAAAATAAATAACATACTCAATAGAGATTGATATAAAAAAGACCCAAACAGAGATCTTAGAGTTAAAGAATTCAGTGAATAACATAAGAAATACAATTGAGAAATTCAACAATAGACTAGATCAAGCAGAAGAAAAATTTTCTGAACTTGAAGGTCTTTTGAAATAATCCAGCCAGACAAAAAAGAAAAAAATGAAGAAAGCTTAAACGACTTATATAAAACCATTAAGTAAACAAATATTCATTTTATGGGAATTCCAGAAGGAGAAGAGCTGGAAGAAGGCATAGAAAACCTACATAATAAAATAATCACTGAAATCTTCCCAAGTCTTAGGAGAGATATGGATATCCATATCTAGTAAGCTCAAAAGTTCCCAAATTCAACCCAGAAAGCCCTCTCTGAGCCACATTATAGTTAAACTGTCAAAAGTCAAAGCAAAGGAGAAAATTCTAAAAACAGCAAGAGAAAAGTGTCAAGTTA
The DNA here is from genome assembly GCF_000001405.40 of Homo sapiens. Classification (NCBI taxonomy): domain Eukaryota; kingdom Metazoa; phylum Chordata; class Mammalia; order Primates; family Hominidae; genus Homo; species Homo sapiens. The sequence goes on along the minus strand of NC_000006.12, from coordinate 109,212,531 downwards.
CATATCATGGAATCTCCATCAGACTAACAGAGGTTTCTCAGCAAAACCTTATGGACCAGAAGAAAATAGGAGGATATATTTAAAGTGCTGAAAGAAAAGAAAAACTGCCAGTCAAGAGTACTATTCCTAGCAAAGTTAACCTTCAGAAATGAAGGCAAAATAAAGTTTTTTCCAGACAAGGAGAAAATGGGGAATTTATCATCACTAGACTGGCTTCGCAAGAAATATAGAAGTCCTGCATCTGGAAGTGAAAGGACAATAACTACCCTCATGAAAACAGACAAAAGTATAAAAGTTACTGATAGAGCAGATACACATAAGAAAGAGAAGGTAATCAAATCTTTTTGCTACAGAAAACCACCAAACTGAAAATATAAACAATAAGAAAGGAAACAGGAACAAAGACTATATGAAACAACCAGAAAACAACTAACAGAATGACATGAGTAAGCCTTCACCTATCAACAATAACCTTGAATATAAATAGTTTAAATTCCCCAATTAAAAGACATAGACCGTCTGAATTGATTTTTTAAAATGATCCAATTATATGCTGCCTAGAAGAAACTCACTTCATCTGTAAAGACACGTAAACTAAAAAAAAAAAAAAAAAAAAAAGGGATGGAAAAAAATATTCCATGCAAATGGAAGCCAAATGTGAGCAGGTGTAGCTATACTTACATCAGATAAAATAGATTTTAAGTCAAAAACAGTAAAAAGAGATAAAGTTTATTATATAATGACAAAGGGATCAATTCAGCAAGAGTATATAGTAATTATAAATATATATACACCCAACACCAGAGCACCCAGATATTTAACCAAATATTATTAGATCTAAAGGGAGAGATAGACTCCAATACTATAATAGTTGATGCCTTCAATACCCCACACTCAGCACTGGAGAAATCATCTAGATGGAAATTCAACAAAGAAATATCAATCTTAAATTGCACTATAAACAAATGGACCTAATAGACATTTACAGAACATTTTAACCAACAGTTACAGAATACATATTCTTCTCATCTGCACCTGGAACACTCTCTAGGATAGACAAAATGTTAGGCCACAAAAAAAGACTCAAAAAATTTTTAAAAAATCAAAATTATATTAAGTATCTTTTCAGACCTCATTGGAATAAAACTAGAAATCAATAACAAGGGAAACTTTGGGAATGGCACAAACTCATGGAAATTAAACAACATGCTCCTGAATGACCAACAAATCAATAAAGAAATTAAAAAGCAAATTTTAAAAATGTATTGAAACTAATGAAAATAGAAACACAACATGCTGGCCAGGCGTGGTGGCTCACATCTGTAATCTCAGCATTTTGGGAGGCCAAGGCAGGCAGATCACCTGAGGTCGGGAGTTCAAGACCAGCCTGGCCAAAATGCTGAAACCTCATCTCTACTAAAAATACAAATTTAGCCAGGCTTGGGGGCAGGAACCTGTAACCCCAGCTACTCAGGAGGCTGAGGCACGAGAATTACTTGAACCCAGGAGGTGGAGGTTGCAGTGAGCCAGGATCACGCCACTGTACTCCAGCCTGGGTGACAGAGTGAGACTCCATCTCAAAATAAAAATAAAAATAAAAAAAAGAAAAGAAACATAACATACCAAAACCTATCGGATACAGCAAAAGCAGTATAAGAAGGAAGTTTATAGCAACAAACACCTACACCAAAAAGTAGTAAATTTTGAAAATAACAACCTACTGATGCACCTCAAGGAACTAAAGAAGCAAGAACAAACCAAATCCAATATAAGTAGAAGGGAATACATAATAAAAATCAGGGCAGAAATAAATTAATTAAAAACTAAAAACAATACAAAAGATCAATGAAACAAAAAGCTGACTTTTTAAAAAGATAAACAAAATTGAAAAACCATTAGCTAGACTACCTAACAAAAAAAAATCTGAATAAATCAAATTAAAAATGAAAGAGGAGACATTAAAACTGATACCACAGAAATACAAGGACTAGGCCGGGCACAGTGGCTCACACCTGTAATCCCAGCACTTTGGGAGGCTGAGGTGGGTGGATCACCTGAGGTCAGGAATTCGAGGCCAGCCTGACCAAAATGGAGAAACTGCGTCTCTACTAAAAATACAAAATTAGCCAGGCATGGTGGCAGGTGCCTGTAATCCCAGCTACTCGGGAGGCTGAGGCAGGAGAATTGCTTGAACCCGGGAGGCAGAGGTTGTGGAGAACCAAGATTGCGCCATTGCACTCCAACCTGGGCAACAAGAGCGAAACTCTGTCTCAAAAAAAAAAAAAAAAATACAAGGACCATTAAAGACTATTATAAACAACTATAGGCCAACAAATTGGAAAACCTAGAGGAAATGGGTAAACTTCTGGACACATGCAACCTATCAAGATTGAACCAGGAAGAAGTAGAAAACCTGAACAGATGAATAACAAGGAACACAACTGTATCAGTAATAAAAAGTCTCTCAACAAAGAAAAGCCAAGAACTGGATGACTTCATTGCCGAATTCTACCAAATTTTTAAAGAATTAACGTGGATTCCTCTTATACTATTCCAAAAACATGAAAAGGAGGGAATTCTTCCAAATTCATTCTACAAGGCCAATATTACCCTAATACAAAACCCAGACAAGGACAGAACAACAAAAAAGAAAACTACAGGCTGATATTCCTGATGAACATAGATGCAAAAATCTTCAACAAAACAGTAGTAAACCAAACCCAACAGCGCACCAAAAGATTAATACACCATGATCAAGTGAGATTTATCCCAGGGATCCAAGGATGATTCAATATACACAACTCAATAAACTTGATACATCACACAAAGAGAATGAAGAACAAAAATACATGATCATTTCAATAGGCACAGAAAAAGCATTTGATAAAATTCAACATCCCTTCATGATAAAAACTCTCAACAAATTAGGCATAGAAGAAATTTACCTCAGCACTATAAAGTCTACATACGACAAACCTACAACTAACATTATGAGGAAAAGTTGAAAGGTTTTCCTCTAATAGTTGGAACAATATAAATGTGCCTACTTTCCCCACTACAATTTGACACTGTACTAGAAGTCCTAGCCAGAGCAACTAGGCAAAACTAAAAACAAAGGGCATTCAAATTGGAAAAAAGGAAGTCAAATTGTCTTTTTGAAGACAATGTGATCTTATATGTGGAAAAACCTAAAGACTTTGCCAAAAACTCTTAGAACTGACAGACAAATTTAGTAAAATTTCAGGATACAAAATCAACATACAAAAATTATTGGCATTTCTATACACCAATAACAAACTAGCTGAAAAAGGAACCAAGAAAGCAATTACATTTTCAATAGCTATAAAAAATATTATGTAGGAATAAAATTAATCACACAGGTGAAAGATCTCTACAATAAAAACTACGAAGTACCAATGAAAGAAATGGAAGAAAACACAAAAAATGGAAAGAAATACCATGTTCATAGATTGAAAAGATTAATATTGTTAAAAATGACCATGCCCAAATTGATCCACAGATTCAAAGCAATCCCTATCAAAACACCACTGACATTCTTCACAGAAATAGAAAAAATAATCCTAAAATGTGTACGGAACCACAAAAGACCCAAACAACCAAAGTAATCCTGATCAAAAAGAACAAAGCTGGTGGCATCACATTATCTGACTTCAAAATATACTATAAATATACTGTAACTAAAGCAGCATGGTACTGGCATAAAAACAGGTACATGGATCAATGAAACAGAATAGAGAACCCAGAAATAAATCCTCATATTTATAGTCAAGTGATTTTTAACAAAGGCACCAAAAACATACATTGGGGAAAGAACAGTCTCTTCAATAAATGGTGCTGGATAAACTGGATATCTGGATATGCAGAAAAATGAAACAAGACCCTTCTCTCTCCATATACAAAAATCAACTCAAAATGGATTAAAGATTTAAATATAAGACTCTGAACTATAAAACTATTAGAAGAAACTATAAGGAGAAACACTTCGGGACATTGGTCTGGGAAAATATTTTATGGATATAATCTCCAAAGCATAGACAACAAAAGCAAAAATAGACAAGTGGGATTATTTCAAACTAAACACACACACACACACACACACACACACACACACACAAATAATCTGATCTAGAAATGGGAAAATTATCCTGAATGGATATTTCTCAAAAGAAAGTATGCAAATGACCAACAAGTATATGAAAAAATGCTCAACATCACTAATCATCAAATGCAAATCAAAAACCACAATGTGATATAATCTCATTCCAGTTAGAATGGCTATTAACAAAAAGACAAAAAAAATCAAATTCTGGCAAAGATGCAGAGAAAAGACAACTCTTATACACTGTTGGACTTATAAATTACCATAGCCATTATTGAAAAAAGTATGGAGGTCCCTCTAAAACCTATAACTAGAACTACCACATGATCCAGCAATCTCACTATGGTGTATAAATTTTTAAAAAAGGAAATCAGTATATTGAACAGGTATCTGTACTCCCATGTTTATTGCAGCCCTATTCACAATAACCAAGATAAAAGTATCCGTTAACAGATGAATGGATAAAGAAAATGTGTTATATATACCCAGTGGAATACTATTTGGCCGTAAAAAGAATGAGATCCTGTCATTTGCAACAACACTGATGAGCTTGGAGGACTTAATGTTAAGTGAAATAAGCCAGGCACTGAAAGGTAAACACATGTTCTTACTCATGTTCTCCACATGTTCTTACCCATTTTCACAAGCTAAAAAAGTTGTTCTCATAGAAGCAGAAAGTAGAATAGTGATTATTAAGGCTGAGAGGGTGAGGGTGGGATAGGGAGAGATTGTTTAAAGGATACAAAATTATCAGTAGATAGGGAAAATAAGTTCTTGCATTCCATAGCACTGTAACGTGACTGTAGTTAACAATAATTTATTGTATATTTTCAAATAATTAGAAAAGGGGATTTTGAATATTCCCAGGGCAAATAAATAATAGATGTTTGAGAAGATGGATATGCTAGTTACCTTGATTTGATAATTATACACTGTATGTATCAAAATATCACTCTGTACCCTATAATTATGTACAATTTTTGTCAATTAAAATATTTTAAAAAATAATTTAGTTGAGTATTTTGTTTCACAGATAAAGAAGCTAAGGCTCAAGGAGGTTACATGACTAGACAAATATCACAGGGAGTTGGTGTTAAAGCTGGACTAAAATCCAGTTTTTTGGGTTTTGGTTTTGGTTTTTGTTTGTTGTTGTTATTGTTGTTTGAGACAGAGTCTCACGCTCTCACCCAGGCTGGAGTGCAGTATGCAATCATGGCTCACTGAAACCTTGACCTCCTGGGCTCAAGCCATCCTCCCACCTCAGCCTCCTGAGTAGCTGGGACTACAGGTGTGTTTCACCACACCTGGCTAATTTTTAAAGAAAATAATTTGTAGAGACAGGGTCTCTTTTTGTTGCCTACGCTGGTCTTGAACTCCTGGGCTCAAACAATCCTCCTGCCTTGGCCTCCCAAAGTGCTGGGATTACAGACATGAGTCACTGTGCCTGGCCCTAAAGTCCAGCTTTTTGACAATTTTTTATTCTCTACTGAAAGCTAACAGGATTTTTAAAGTGTGGCAATTAGATTAGAAAGTTTAAAATAAGGCCAGGCATGGTGGCTCACGCCTGTAATCCTACAATTTTGGGAGGCCGAGGTGGGCAGATCACTTGAGGTCGAGAGTTCGAGACCAGCCTGGCCAACATGGTGAAACCCCGTCTCTACTAAAAATACAAAAATTAGCTGGGCATGGTAGTGCACGCCTGTAATCCCAGCTGCTAGGGAGGCTGAGGCAGGAGAATCGCTTGAGCCCAGGAGGCAGAGGTTGCAGTGAGCCGAGATCACGCCACTGCACACCAGCCTGGGTGACAGAGCAAGACTCTTGTCTCAAAAAAAAAAAAAAGTTTCAAATAAAGCCGTCATGGTGAATCCATGCCAACATTTTTAAAAAGGGAAAGAAAATTGCATATTTTGAGAATGATTTTAGAAAACATCTACATGGAAACATGGTTATTTTCTCACCTTCAAAAACTTTGCTTGGAGTTGCAATAATGCATCTGTTCTTCTCCGTTCTTTTAATTTAGTCAAAAGCTTCTTTTGCCATGGATCACATTTTGGCTTGATCTAGTGGACAAACATGTTCACATAAAGTTACAACATAACAGAATGATTCTCAATAAAAGTTGCAAGCAAAGAGATTCAAGGACCTTCTGAAATGGTATCTGGCTTTGGTGCTAGGTTGGCTAGGACAAGTGAGCTTTTGGAAAGGGTCTTCATGGGTTCACAGATCCATTGAAGGAGACAGCAGCACCAGTTCCTGTTGGTGCCTGGACTATAAGATGCAGTAGATCTATCTGGGATGACACCATACCACCCACAAGCAGCAGGGACCCTAAATCCATCAGAGTTGGTCATTGCACTTTATTTACAGGGCAAAAGAAAGTTCACCCACAGACTCCATGTGACTCCACATTTAAAACATCTTTCATATTAATAAACTGTATTTCAAAAATAAGTTCTGTTGCTGTAAACACCATTAACACTCAAATTTATATCTCAGCCCTAAACTCCAGCCTATTATATCCAACTACTCCTTTGATATCTATTCTTGGATATCAAGTGTAACAATCTAAAACAGAAAGTCTGGCTTCCCTTACATAGACTACCTTGTTCCTCAAGCACTAGATGGAACTAGGAGAAATCTTTGATTTCTCTCAGTCCATCCTGATTCACTCCTATGGTCTGAATGTGTTCCTCTAAAATTTAAATGTTGAAACCTAACCCCCAAGGTGATGGCATTAGTAATAGAATTTGGGGATGTGATTAGATCATGATGGTAGAGCCCTCATGAACAGCATTCATGCCCTTACAAAAGAGGCCTGAGGGAGCTTGGCTTTTTTCTTCCACCATGTGAGGACACAGGGAGAAGCAGAAGCCTGTAGCCTGGAAGAGGACCTTCCAGAACTTGACCATGCTGGCCCCCGATCTTGGACTTCCCAGCCTCTAGAACTGTGAGAAATATATTTCTGTTCTTTATAAGCTACCCAGTTTATGGTATTTTGTCAAAGCAGCCTGAATAGACTAAAACAGTCATACAAAATTTATTTGATTTTATTTTAATTTTTAGATGGAGTCTCACTCTGTCGCTAGGCTGGAGTGCAGTGGCGCAATCTCAGCTCACTGCAACCTCCACCTCCCAGGTTCAAGTGATTCTCCTGCCTCAGCCTCCCAAGTAGCTGGGACTACAGGCTCATGCCACCACGCCCAGCTAATTTTTGTATTTTTTTTTTTAGTAGAGAGGGGGTTTCACCATGTTGGCCAGGATGGTCTCGATGTCTTGACCTCGTGATCCGCCCACCTTGGCCTCCCAAAGTGCTGGGATTACAGGCGTGAGCCACCGCACCTGGCCAAGATTTTTCTTTTCTTCATGATACAATCAATCCTTGTTGTTTGTGGATTCCATGTTTGTGATTTTGCCTACTATCTAACATTTTTTGTGACTCAAAACTCAATACTAGTAGAGTTTTCACAGTCACTCATAGGCGTGTGCAGGGTGGTAAAAATTTGAATCACTCAATGGGCATATTCTCAATTCAGTATGAACAAGGCAACACTCTGCCTTCTTGTTTCTGCTCGCATATTACAAACAAGGATCCTTTTGTGGTCCATTTAGTGCCACATTCTTCACATTTTTGTGCTTTTTGGTGGTCATTTTACTGTTGAAAATGGTCCCCATGGGTAGTGCCAAAGTAATGTCTAATGTTCCTAAGCATTAGAAGGCTGTGTGATGTACCTTTTGGAAAAAATACATGTGTTAAATAAGCTTCATTCAGGCATGAATTATAGTGCTGTTAGTCATTAGTTCAATATTAATGAATCAACAATATATTTTAAATAAGATGTCTTTAAACAGAAACACACATAAAACAGTTATGTATTGATGAGTGTTCCGACGAGAGGTTCACAGGAACTAACTCTATTTCCCCTAGGGGTAACGATTCAATATTTGCTAACTCAGTGTTCCTGGTGACTTTCCAGAACACAACTACCTTGAATAACAAGAATTGACCATAGTTAGCACTACCTAAAATCATCTTATTTAGTCTGCTTACTTGCATATTGTTTGTGAACTGTGTATCTCCAGCATGAACGGCCACACCTGATATACAATATGTACCAAATAAATAGTTTTTGACTCAATGGTTGGATTTACACAAGTCAATCACACCCTTGGATAGTAAGCTTAGCTCTTGCCAAGTATCTGAGATCATTAGTAATAAGCAGGGAGTTTGGGCCCATTAGAGTGGGGTACTGGCATCTGGAGAACCTTCAGAGAAGGCAGATTAGCATAGCAAACTTCGATATAGAGCCAAGGCAGGCAAAAAGCTGGGACAGTGTGGCACACAAGGCCAGGTTCTCTGAGTTGCCTCCCTTGAGGACAGGGAAGCATCTCCCCTAGTCAAAGAGGACAGTTTGCTGAGGGCACTAAGGAGAGGGGACAACAGGGACTACATAAACCTGTTGTTGCCAGGTTGCCTAGCCTGCTTAGATGACACTGTGACACTGCTGACATCACTGATAGATGACTATCACTACAAGTCTCTTTACCTTTATGAAGGAAATCCAGTTGGCTTTCTTTTTCAGGGTCATTCTGGGTCCTGCCAAACCCAAATTATCTGCTTTAGCTATTCCAGCTTCACAGTCTGGAAACATTTGCAATCTCTGTTGCTCCATGAAGACGCTTTGAAATTTTTGGGAAACCTAAACAGGATGAAGTGAGAAGTGGAATCCAGAAAAAAAGTCTCAGAGAGTGGGCAATTTCAAAAACAGCTACTGGTTGTCTTTGAAATAGCCTTGGAATCAAACTAATTTATAAAACACAACTCTGTGATAGTGACAAGACCTTAAATTGGCATACTTGTGTGGCGCATGTTCTCAGTCAGCTCATTACCATAATTGTGTGTATTACCTGTTCTGAATGTCTGCTCCAGAGATTGGAAATATATTAATGCATTTATATATATATATATTGAACTGGAACCTAAATATAAGTGAGAAGTAAATTGTCCACCTTTGAAAATGCATTCACTTTTTCCGACCACCCAATAAACTATTATAGACTAAATAAGGATTAAATAAATCCTGTTCTCAGAGGCCTGACGATGCTAGAACCTGTTAAACTCTTTAAGGCATCTCAACCTATTCCCTTCATAGCTTACTTTCAGACTGAGGCTACAAGTGCTTTCTACGACATCGGTTCCTACTGTCAAAATGCTGAACATTCCTTCTTCCCCCTCCAGTGTGGGCCCCTGTGGTGGCACCTTCATCACTGTACTTGCCACGTTGTGTCAGGATTTCCTCACTACATGGTGAGCCCCATTCAGGGCATAGACTATGAATGTCAAGAATTCACCACATGGTGATGGCCACACAACAATGTGAATGTACTTAATGCCACTGAACCGAACACTTACCAATGGCTAAAATGGTAAATTTTGTTATGTTATTTTACCACTCATGTGTGCACATGTACACACACAGTAAGAAACTACCACAGTGCTGACACATACTAGGGCCTCAACAAAGGTTTCTGGAATGAGTGAGTAAATTTGTGAGTCACAGAGCTGAAGATTCTTCTAGTAATAATGCTACTACCTCTGAGGTTGTGCTATCCAATGCTGTTGCCCCTAGCAACATGTGGCTGTTTAACATTATGAATTAATTAGAATTAAATAAAATTTGAAATCTAGTTCTTGAGTTGTGCTAACCACATTCCAAGTGCTCAGATAACTATTAGTGTATGTGACTAGTGGTTAACATGGGACAGTGCAAAGGCAGAACACATCCATTGCTTCTGGAAGTTCAGTGAGACAGTGCTGGTCTATGACTGGGTTGGCAAACTTCTTAAAGGGCCAGATAGTAGGTGTTTTAGCCTTTATTGACCACAAGGTCTCTGTCACAACTACTCAAGTCTGCTGTTGTAGTGTGAAAGCAGCCATAGAAAATACATACATGAATAGGCACGGCTGTTGCTAGGGTCTGAATGTTTGTGTCCCCACAAGATTCATGTGTTGAAATCCTAACCACAAAGTGATGGTATTAGGATATGGGAATTTGGGGAGGTGATTGGGTCATGAAGGTGAAGTCTTCAAGAATAGGATTAGTGCCCTTATAAAAGAAGCCTGAGAGACTCTTGCCCTTCTACCATGTGCGGACACAGCGAGAAGGCACCACATATGAGCCAGAAAGCGGGTCCTCACCAGACATCAGACTACCTTGATCTTAAACTTTCCAGCCTCCAGAACTGTAAGAAATAAATTTCTGTTGTTTAGAAGCCACTCTGTTTATGGTATTTTGTTATAGCAGCCTGAATGAACCTAAGACTGCTGTATTCCAAAACAACTTTATTTTAAGAAAACAAGTGGGGCTGTAGTTTGCTGACCCTGCTCTTAGGCATTAGAGTATCAGAATAAACAGCACCTAAACATAGGAACTCTTCCTAGGCAAAAAAGTTGATGTAATGTGACTAGTTATCTTGGAACACAATTAGTATTTCACATAATACTATCATAAGAAAATTAAAAGTGGAAATTATCATCATAAAAAGGAGACAAGCTGTTCTTTGGGAACAACATGGCTTTGTTGGAGTGCTCCGCCAGACTTGTGTTCACTTGTTTATCATTAATAATAGTCTCCTGGGCCGGGCGTGGTGGCTCATGCCTGTAATCCTAGCACTTTGGGAGGCCAAGGCGGGTGGATCACGAGGTCAGGAGATCGAGACCATCCTGGCTAACACGGTGAAACCCCATCTCTACTAAAAATACAAAAAATTAGCTGCGCATGGTGGTGGACGTCTGTAGTCCCAGCTACTCAGGAGGCTGAGGCAGGAGAATGGCGTGAACTCAGGAGGCAGAGCTTGCAGTGAGCAGAGATCGTGCCACTATACTCCAGCCTGGGCAACAAAGCAAGACTCCGTCTCAAAAAAAAAAAAAAAAAAAAAATAATAATAATAATAATAATAGTCTCCTGGGCTATAATTAACTTACATTTATTTTGGTTCTTCTTAAACACCATCATATTCTGATTCTGTGTTTTGCCTATCATAATCCTTGATGATAATAAGGGGAGGACACTCCCACAGAAACACTCTGCTGGAGACAGTGCTGCTGGTGGCATGAAAAGAAAGGCAAAAGCTAAACATCATCACCTTCAAGGAAACAAGAAGACATGTGATACCACTGGTTCCAGTGAGCTTAAAGAGGTTGTGTTACATACTAATAAAAATCATGCTGGGCCAGGCGCAGTGGCTCACGCCTGTAATCCCAGCTCTTTGGGAGGCCGAGGCGGTGGATCACTTGAGGTCAGGAGTTCAAGGTCAGCCTGGCCAATGTAGTGAAACTCTGTCTCTACTAAAAATACAAAAATTAGCTGGGCATGGTGGCGCATGCCTGTAATCCCAGCTACTTGGGAGGCTGAGGCAGGAGAATTGCTTGAACCTGGGAGGTGGTGGTTGCAGTGAGCTGAGATTGCACCACTGTACTCCAGCCTGGGTGACAGACCGAGACTCTGTCTAAAAACAAAACAAAACAACCTCCCCCCACCCCACACACACACACAAAATCCTGGTAAAATTATGCTGGAACAAATGGAAATGCAAGTGGAATTTCAAACTCAAGCAAATGGTGATAGCACAGACGGTAGCTTACTTCTTACGTAAAGAGCATTCAAAACTATTCAGATCTTATTTTTACATGTTTGGATCCATCAATCTCTTATTTTTACCTATCAAATATATACACTTGCAAATAATATACAGTTAGAGCGTTATTGTTGAAACTTTTGTTATTATAAATCTGAAGCTTGGCCAGGTGCGGTGGCTCATGCCAGTAATCCCAGCACTTTGGGAGGCCAATGCGGGCAGATCACCTGAGGCCAGGAGTTCAAGACCAGCCTGGCCAATATGGCAACCCCATCTCTACCAAAAATACAAAAATTAGCCAGGTGTGTCTGAGGCAGAAGAATCTCTTGGACCCAGGAGGCGGAGACTGCGTTGAGCTGAGATTGCACCACTACACTCCAGCCTGGGTGACAGAGCAAGACTCCATCTCAAATATTTTTAAAAATCTGAAGCTATCTACCTATAGTCCTATTTTTCTCATTCAAACAAGTTTTTTTTTTTTTTTTTTGAGACAGGTTTTCACTATGCTGCCCATCCTGGGCTCAAGTGATACCCCGCTTCAGCCTCCCAAAGCGCTGGGATTACAGGCATGAACCACACGCCTGGCCCCCTTTGAAACAAGTTTTAACATGGCTTTTGATAATATGAGTTGTTTTCATTTCAGGAAGTACAACACTGTGTTATAGCAGAGAAGACTGCATGACTTTAAACATCACTACACAATGTACCCTCTATTAAATATAAAGCATTTTGTCAATAAGGAAAGCTATTGCAATATATTTTGAGAATTGGAGGGCTTTAGATAATTGACAACTCTGCCATGCAAATTTGCCAAATCTTTACATCATCTACTATAGACTGTACACTACTTTTGCTTTAAGTTCTGCAGAAAAACAAGTCCTGAAATCCTTCTGGGTTCACTATTTGAGTCCCATTACTCTTACAGAGGAAGTTTTCCCAACTGCTAATCAAAATTTCACCTATTACTACTTTACAAGATCATTCTTGAAACAATTGTTGGTAGTAAAAGGTGCAACTTTGTGGAAAATACCAGTGCTTTCTTTCATGAACACATATATTTGTATTAAGAAAGAGTGTATCAAATACCAAGGAAAAAAGTTCCATTTCCTTAGCAGAGTCCCAGAGCTCTTCTACGTCATATGGGATACTGAAATGGGAGAGCAGGAGCTTCAGCTGAGGTTTCAGTTCTCCTGTTTCTGTTGCATGTTGGGGGAGGACAAAAGCAGCTTCTGTTCTCATTGGCCCTGAGGAAAACCAAAATCAAGAGCATTAAGACCAATGAATACTGTCAGGGAGAGAAAATGGAGAGTCCTTTGAGACAGGTAGAAGTAGGAGCTCCTCTACTGATGGGATGCCCATTCTGCTCCTTTCCCAACATTTTCTGCCACAATTTATAGTCTGCACCCTACTTGGCCAGGTGGATCTGACAAATCCTTGGAGCTGGGCTTTTGTAGGAGGCAGCAAGGACTCCTTGCCATCTCACAGCCTACAGGAGAAACCCAACAGACCTTTTAGGGAATGACTTGGAGCAGAATTGCCTATAGTCCTTTCTGGTAAATGAAGAACATTATTTATAAATTTATCCAACAAATTAGAAGAAGGTGAGAGCCTTCAGCTGTTTTCACATGGCTAACTCCCCCTCATCTCTAAGGACCCAGTTTGGACTCCCCTCCTTCAAGAAGCCTTCTCAGATGCCCCACAACCAGGGTTGGCTGCCTCTCCCAGGCATTCCCGGGACACTCTGTGCATCCAAGCAAGAATGTCACTCAGAGTAGAAATCTTATCAGGTTTCTTAGTCATCTGTAACACAAGGCAAGGGCAGGAAAACTGCATTAATTTTATTCAGATGAAGAAATTATTTTAGATTTGTGTAATATGAAAACTGGAAGGAGCCTTAGAGATCACTGATTCTCAAAGGTTTGTTATGGAGATGACCAAATTGAGGCCAAAGGAGATAAAATGCAGGCCCACAGTGAGGCCAGGACAGGAACAAGCCTAGAGCCCAGTACTGCTGACTTCAAGTCCATTTTTTTCTCTCACTCTTAACTTGCTAATTATAAAGACGGAGATTAAAACATGTCTTAAAAATTGTTTGTTATTTTTTCCAGTCTGAAAATATTAAACTAAGACTTATTTATTAAGGAGATAAAAATTTTGGTATATAGAACAATTTTTAGCAAGAACATGGGACAACCAGCATAAGTCTAAAATTACAATCTTCTTTGCTCCACATTACCCGAGGGGAAAGAAGACTAATTTCTTACCAGAAATGCTGGTATCCACAGGGTCAGGAGATGCAGAACCCTGAATGTCAGGGTCAATGTCATTGACACAGACATTTTCATTTTTCTGACCAGCTTCAGCGACTCGGTTGAAAGCTACACTCAGCACTTTGGAGATGGGCAAATACTGGAGGGCCTATAGAAGGGCAAGACCAAGAGGCCAAACATCAATACAGTTCTCACAGAAGCTTCCAGACTCAGGTTCAGGAGCAGCCCTTTGCTTTGGGAGAGAAGAAAAGAAGTAGAAGTGGAGCCTCAGTAACCTGCCCAATGATAAGGGGCTACATTTGGAGCTCGGAGACCTAGTACTGTTACTGACTCTGAGTGGCCTTAACCTCCAAACAGGTCTACTTTGATCAAGGACCCAAAATGGACAAGGCACTGTGTGGGGTGCTAGGGAGACAAAGAGGAATAAGACAGGATACAACCTCAAAGAGCTCACGGTTTACTAAAGACCCAGACTTATAAGCAGATCGTTATAACACCATGTGACTGGTGAGAAATGTATCAGAGGAAGTGCCCATAGTGGCTGGCTGGGTGCGGGGAAAGGACGAAGCCAGTTTCCGATTTGGGCAATTCCATGTATGATGGTGTCTCTGAGCTAAGGCAGAGAGAAGTAGGAAAAGATATGGGTAGAAAAACAATAATCTTTCCAAAATGGAAATGTGATCATGTTACTCCTTTCTGATGCCTCTAGCCTGACTTAGAGCCTCTCTGTGACTCTCTTTACCCTATGCTTACACTTATCCTGTTCTTTTTTACCCCGTTGTATTTCAGTTGAATATTTACTTACCCATATCCCTACCAGCCGAGAACCCAGTTACTTTTCAGCAAAGGCCGTATCTTTGCTGCATGCCTAGGACAAGTACCTGGCACATATTAGACCCTCATTAAACATCACCTAATATTTAAAAAGTGGATCTAAATCAGAGAGCATAGATCCTGAACAAGATGATGAAGACAAGAACTTACAGAGTGAATATGAAATAGTACAACAGAGTCATCTTTGAGAAAGCTAAATTATTTCAGTAGAATAAAGTTTCAAAAGAGAAAGATGTCTAAGGTTTCAAAGAAGAAATCCAGTGACCCATTATGTTTCTGTCATTTGTAGGGCAGGTGGAGTCCTGAAACAGTGACAATCTAAAACTAAGTGACAGATGTGAGAAAACAATGTACTGATCATCCCTAGAAGGGTGCCACATCATCACATCACTGTGTTTCACATACCTGCAGGTACTGGTGAACAGTCCCAAGAGAGTGCAGGTGGCACACTAACCACTTTGTGTAAATAGTCAGATCTTCCTGTGTCACCAAGTTAGGAGGATTGTTTTTTCCCATGAGGAAGTTTTCTCGAGCAACAGACAATCTTTCAGCTCTCTGAAGGGTGTCATTGTACTCCTGCATAATGTAGCCAACTTGTTTCTGTTTAAGAGAGATACAAAGATAGAACTTGGTTATTTGCAAGCCTTATGCTCTGTATCATTTGCTTCCAAGCATAGGGTAATGTTGTTTTGGGTCTAAATAAAGGAGTTCTTTGAATCCCAAAGTTCTTCCATATTCTGAATTTGACTTATAAGGACAGTGGTCATATTCTTAGGACTTTGAAGGAGACAGACTCCAAGCAAAGAGTCAGTGCATAGGGATACTTATAACTGGAGTCGCTTCTGAACTTTTTACGTAAAGCTGAGGAAGCTAAGTCTGTGAAGAAAAATGCATTTCCTCTCATACAAAACTTCCTTCAAATTTTATTCTTAAGAATAGATTACCTTTACCATTACCTTCTGCCATAGGTAGAACAGGCAAGAAGGCACATCCATTAGTTTCTTTTCTATCTTTAGCTGTGACTTTTAAAAATATAAAAAAATAGCCCAGAGGTTCTGTTCATAGACTTCCTACCTTGTAAAGAGGATAAAGTTGCTCCATGATCTTACTGTGTTGGCAAAACCTCTTCCACCTAAGCATGTGTAAATATTTACTCTGGGCCAGCTGGGCAATTCTCTCTGTGTAATACTTTAACAACAAGAAAAATAAGCACTTAGAGAAGGAAGATTGAATAAAGTCTTAAGAACACTAACGAGGAAAATCAGTCTCTGGTTGTTTTGGAAAGATGCATTTTTCTTTCTTTCTTTCTTTTTTTTTTTTTTTTTTGAGACGGAGTCTTGCTCTCTTGCCCAGGCTGGAGTGCAGTGGCACGATCTCAGCTCACGGCAAGCTCTGCCTCCCGGATTCATGCCATTCTCCTGCCTCAGCCTCCTGAGTAGCTGGGACTACAGGCGCCTGCCACCACGCCCAGCTAATTTTTTGTATTTTTAGTAGAGACGGGGTTTCACCGTGTTAGCCAGGATGGTCTCGATCTCCTGACCTCGTGATCCGCCTGCCTCGGCCTCCCAAAGTGCTGGGATTACAGGCGTAAGCCACTGTGCCCAGCCGGAAAGATGTATTTTTCTATATGAAGACCATAACATTAAGAAGTCTGGCTCGGCCGGGCGTGGTAGCTCACGCCTGTAACCCCAGCACTTTGGGAAGCCAAGGCGGGTGGATCACCTGAGGTCAGGAGTTCGAGACCAGCCTGGCCAACATAGTGAAACCCCATCTCTACTAAAAATACAAAAAATTAGCTGGGCATGGTGGCGGGTGCCTATAATCTCAGCTACTCGAGAGGCTGATGCTGGAGAATTGCTTGAACCTGGGAGGCAGAGGTTGCAGTGAGCAGAGGTTGCAGTGAGCCGAGATCGCACCATTGCACTCCAGCCTGGGCAACAAGAGTGAAACTCTATCTCAAAAAGACAAAAAAAGAGAAGTCTGGCTCAAGATAGTATTCAAATTGAAATAAAGTGAGTAGACATTTCTAAGTCTTTATGATCTGTTACCAAGTCAATAGATTTAAGCTAATTTCTCAGTTACCAAACAATTTTAGCAGTGACATAAAAGTCTGTCAAGTAATCTAAAGCTGAGCCTAAAATTTTTTATTAAAAACTGAACTTATGAGTCAAAAATACAGAGTACATTACAGGTAAGATTATAGCTTTTAACCTCAGATCAGAAATTTTATTTATACTTAAAAACAGTTAATTCTTTTAAAGATTTTCTTTCTGATAATAAAAATAATACTGGCTGTGATGGAATAACCAGAACCAGACTTACCCTTCTATCATAAACAACTAGAAAATTGGACACAATATACAAGGTAACTGTTTTCTGACACTGGACAATGGGCAATGCAGGACTCTGGTCCCTGAGAGAAGGAAACAAATCATGTAGGCCCTGCAATCACCTTAGTTTCATACCAGAAGGCAGTTTCTGAGCCATGGAGCAAGAAAGGGAATCCTAAGCAGAGTAGATGATCTCTCTGAGTTAAAGAAAGAGAAACTGAAATTTGGAAAATTGAGTCAGCTGATGTTTGCAGGAGAGAAGGAAGCCATGCAAAGAAGGGATTCTAGAAATCTGCATCAAGATCCCTTTCAGTCTGTTGCTGAATACTAAGCCATGCATGTAAAAGGTGAAACTCCAGGAGGCTGTCCAAAGAATAACTGACTAGGGAATTGTAAACTGAACAGTTCCGAGTTCATATGAGGCTGAGAGTTGTTCAAGTCCAACCAGCTAGAGTGAGGGCTTTTCACTAAATATCTGGGACATTTAGTAGAGACATCAAAAGCTTTAGTAAAAGGATAAACTATGCCTAGAGTAATGATTATTCTAAACCTGCTCTAACAATCCTTCAGCCTTGAAAGGATTAAGCTGATCTGTAAGTAACTTAACTGCCTACCAGAATAAAGTCCAATAAGCTCTAAATAATACAAAAAATCTGGTACTTAATAATGAAAAATTGACAATTTTCAGCATTCAATAAAAAATTACTAGACATGCAAAGAAAAGAGGAAAGCATGATCCAAAAGCAAAAGAAAAATTAGGGATGAGAAACAGGCTCAGAAATGACAGAGGTGAAGAAAGTTACCAACAAGAACTTTTTTTTTATTTTTATTTTTTTGAGACGGAGTCTTGCTCTGTCGCCCAGGCTGGAGTGCAGTGGCATGATCTTGGCTCACTGCAAGCTCCGCCTCCCAGGTTCACGCCATTCTCCTGCCTCAGCCTCCCGAGTAGCTGGGACTACAGGCGCCCGCCACCATGCCCGGCTAATTTTTTGTATTTTTAGTAGAGACAGGGTTTCACCGTGTTTGCCACGATGGTCTCGATCTCCTGACCTCATGATCTGCCTGCCTCGGCCTCCCAAAGTGCTGGGATTACAGGCGTGAGCCACCGTGCCTGGCCCCAACAAGACCTTTTAAAGAACTATTGTAAATATGCTCAGCATGCTCAAGGATTGAAAGGAAAATGTGAACATAGGCTGATCAGGGTGGCTTATGCCTGTAATCCCAGCACTTTGGGAGGCTGAGGTGGGCGGATCACTTGAGGCCAGGAATTTGAGACGAGCCTAGCCAACATAGCGAAACCCTGTCTTTACTAAAAATACAAAAATTAGCTAGCTGTTGTGGTGTGTGCCTGTAATCCCAGCTTGGGAGGCTGAGGCACAAGAATCAGTTGAACCCAAGAGGCAGAGTTTGCAGTGAGCTGAAATCAAGCCACTGCACTCCAGCCTGGGCAACAGAGTGAGATGAGACTCCGTCTCAAAAAAAATTTAAAAAAGAATAAGAAAAGAAATGTGAACATAATGAGGAAATAAATGGAAAATATCAAAACAAATCAAATGGGAACTTCTAGAAATGAAAAATGCAATATCTGAAATAAAATACTGACTGGATGGGATTAAAGTAGATTAGACAGTGCATAAGAAAAGGCTGATAAATTTGAAGACATAGCAACAGGAACTATGTCAAATGAGGCACTGAGGGGGGAAAAAGACTGAAGAAAATTAGTAGTCTTAATGATCTATGAAACAATATGAAGTATTTAACAAATGTGTAACTGGATTCCCAGAAGGAGAAGTGCAGGCAGAAAATATATTTGAAAAAATAATGGTTGAAGTTTTTTAAAAACTGATGAAAACAATAAACCCACAATCCAAGAAGCTCAACCAACCCCAAGCAAGAAAAACGCAAAGAAAACTTCAACATGCATCATAATAAAATATCTAAAAACCATTAAGAAAAAATCTTAAAAGCAGCCAGAAATAAAAAGATATGCTATGATCAGAAATGGAAACTATGTACATCCATAAAAAAGAATGAAATCATGTCATTTGCAGCAACATGGATGCAGCTAGAGGCCATTAGCCTAAGTGAATTAATGCAGAAATAGAAACCCAAATATCGCATGTTCTCACTTATAAGCGGGAGCTAAATTTTGGGTACATATGGACATAAAGATGGGAACAATAGAAACTGGGAACTACTAGAGAGGGGAGGGAGTGAAGGGGAGTAGGGGTTGAAAAACTACCTATTGCATACCATGCTCACTACCTGGGTGACGAGATCAATTGTACCTCAATCCACAGGCTTACGCAATATACCCAGGCAACAAACCTGCATATGTGCCCCCTGAATCTAAAATAAAAGTTGAAATTATTTAAAAAAGAATAAAATATCAAAAAAAGAAAGTTACTTTGGATTTTGTGGATAATTTAGGTTTTAATGTGCCTGTGAAATGCAAAGACTTTTGCTGGTCAATGCCAGTGACCAAGACGAACCATGGAAACATTACGTATTAGTCAGTTCTCATAATGCTAATAAAGATATACCCAAGAATGGGTAATTTATAAAGAAAAAGAGGTTTAATGGACCCACAGTTCTACATGGCTGGGGAGGCCTCACAATCAAGAGAGAAGGCAAAAGAGGAGAAAGGCACATCTTACATGGTGGCAGGCAAGAGGACATGTGCAGGGGAATGCCCCTTTATAAAACCATCAGATCTCATGAGACTTATTCACTATCATGAGAACAGCATGGGAAAGACACACCCCCATGATTCAATTACCTCCCACTGTGTCCCTCCCATGACACATGGGAATTATGGGAGCTACAATTCAAGATGAGATGTGGCTGAGGATATGAGCCAAACCATATCATTCAGCCCCTGGTGCCTCCTAAATTTCATGTCCTCACAATTCAAAACCAATCATGCCTTCCCAACAGTCCCCCAAAGTCTTAACTCATTTCAGCATTAACTCAAATGTCCACAGTCCAAAGTCTCACCTGAGACAAGGCAAGTGCCTTCTGCCTATGAGCCTGTAAAATCAAAAGCAAGTTAGTTACTACCCAGATGCAATGGAGGTACAGGCATTGGGTAAATATACCCATTCCAAATAGGAGGAATTGACCAAAACAAAGGGGTTACAGGCCCCATGCAAATCTGAAATCCAGCAGGGCAGTCAAATCTTAAAGCTCCAAAATGATCTCTTTTGACTCCATGACTCACATCCAGGTCACGCTGATGCCAGAGGTGCATTCCCATGGTCTTGAGCAGCTTTGCCCCTGTGGCTTTGCAAGGTACAGTCCCCACTCCTGACTGCTTTCATGGGGTGGCGTTGAGTGTCTGCAGCTTTTCCAGGTGCACGGTGAAAGCTGTCAGTGGATCTACCATTCTGGGGTCTGGAGGATGGTGGCCCTCTTCTCACAGCTCCACTAGGCAGTGCCCCAGTGGGGACCCCATATAGGGGCTCCCACCCCACATTTCCCTTCCACACTGCCCTAGCAGAGGTTCTCCATGAGGGCTCTGCCCTGCAGCAAACTTTTGCCTGGACACCCAGGCATTTCCACACATCATCTGAAATCTAGGTGGAGGTTCCCAAACCTCAGTTCTTGACTTCTGTGCACCTGCAGGCTCAACACCATGTGGAAGCTGCTAAGGCTTGGGGCTTGCACCCTCTGAAGCAATGGCCTGAGCTCTACATTGACCATTTTTAGCCATGGCTGGGACTCAGGACACCAAGTTCTGAGACTGCACAAAGCAGCAAGGCCCTGGGCCCAGCCCAGGAAACCATTTTTTCCTCCTAGGCCTCCAGGCCTGTGATGGGAGGGGCTGCTATGAAGACTTCTGACATGCCCAGAAGACATTTTCCCCATTGCCTTGCTGATTAACATTTGGTTCCTTGTTATTTATACAAATTTCTGCAGCTAGCTTGAATTTCTCCTCAGAAAATGGGTTTTTCTTTTCTATCACATCATCAGGCTGCAAGTTTTCTGAACTTTTATGCTCTGCTTCCCTTTTAAATGTAAGTTCCAATTCCAAACCATAACTTTGCAAATCCATAAAACTGAGTGCTTTTGACAGCACCCAATTCACTTCTTGAATGCTTTGCTGCTTACAAATTTCTTTGGTCAGATGCCCTAAATCATCTCTCTCAAGTTCAAAGTTCCACAAATCTCTAGGGCAAGGGCAAAATGCTGCCAGTCTCTTTGCTAAAACATAGCAAGAGTCACCTTTGCTCCAGTTCCCAATAAGTTCCTCATCTCTATCTGAGACCACCTCAGGCTGGACTTTATTGTCCACATCACTATCAGCATTTTGGTCAAAGCCATTCAACAAGTCTCTGGGAAGTTTCAAACTTTCCCACGTCTTCCTTTCTTCTTCTGAGCCCTCCAAACTGTCCTAACCTCTGCCTGTTACCCAGTTCCAAAGTTGCTTCCACATTTTCAGGTATCTTTAGAGCAGTACCCCATTCTAACAGTATAAATTTACTGTATCAGTCCATTCTCGTGCTGCTAATAAAGACATACATGAGACTGGGTAATTTATAAAGGAAAGAGGTTTAATTGACTCACAGTTCCACATGGCTGGGGAGGCCTCACAATCATGGCAGAGGACGAAGGAAGAGCAAAGGGACACCTTATGTGGTGGCAGGCAAGAGGACATGTGCAGGGGAACACTCCTTTATAAAACCATCAGATCTGTGAGACTTATTATCATGAGAACAGCATGGGAAAGACCCACCGCCATGATTCCATTACCTCCCACCGAGTCCCTCTCATGACACATGGGAATTATGGGAGCTACAATTCAAGTTGAGATTTGGGTGGGGACACAGCCAAACCATATCACATTAGTTCAAGTAAGCAAATGGTGAGAGGCTGACAGAAAAAAAAAATCACTTAAATTAGTGAAGTGCTCTTTCCTGTTATGATATATATTTGAGTTTCCTTTTAGCTTATGAATAAACATGTGTACTTACATATAGTAGTGATAAAAATTCAAACTATTCCACAGTTCTATTTTAAAATGGCATGTTTTATATTTTTTGTATAATTAATCTTAATTGCAAAAATGTGTATACTTAATGAAAATAAAGCTGTCACCTAAGAAAAAGAAAGAAAGAAAGAGAAACTATGTAAGACAAAAGAGAAAAGACAATGGAGCAGTATTTTAAAGCAATAAAAAATCACCAAACCAGAATTCTATGCTGAACAAAAATATCTTTCCAAAATGAAGGGGAAATACTTCTTTCAAAATAACAAAGACTGAGAATTTGTCCCTTGCAGACCTGAACTACTAGAAATGCTAAAGAAAATTCTTCAGAGAGAAGGCAAATTATGTCCTATGGAAGTTTAGATAATACTAGAGTTTCTCAACCTCAGCAGCTATTGACATTGGGGACTACATAATTCTTCATTGTGAGAGGCTGCCTTGTGCATTGTAGAATGTTTAGCAGCATCCTTGGCCTCTACTCACTTAATGCTAGTAGCAACCAATCATACCCCTCACCCAAATTATGACAACAAGAAATATCCCCAGACATTTCCAAATGTCCCTTGGGGCACAAAATATCTTCTATCTCTACCCCTCTTCTCTGTCCCTTGAGAAACACTGATATACACAAAAGAATGAAAAATGCCAGAAATGATAGGGAAAGATAATCCTGAATGAAGACAATGATGACAATTTGACTTGCAAATAGTATCTCAATATCTTTTGTTTCTTTGTGATTAATGTAATAGTTAATTCCTAACTAGTTGCTAAAGAACTAATTTGTATGCATAGGTAAGATATAACTTGTAACACAGGAATAGAGAACAAGGAATTTTAAAATCAAAATAATATATACTTATTATAGAAAATTTAGCAAACATATAAAAGTAAAAAGGGGAACTTCATTATCCTGCCATCCAAACATAACATTCATTAGCATTTGGTCTAAGTCCTTCAAGTGATTTTTTTTCTATACATACTTGACCATTATGACACACATACATACACACATTAGTTTTTATTAACTAATATTTCATATATAATAATTCCTTATGCTAATGTTAAAAGAAAAACTTTAGACAAATTAAATTTAACAGAGTTTAATTAAGTAAAGAACAATTCATGAATTGGGCAGCCCTCCTAGCCCCCCAACCAGAGTAAGTTCAGAGAGACTCCAGCACTGCTGCACAGTGAAAGAGGATTTATGGACAGAAGAAGGAAAGTGAAGTAACAGAAAAGAGATGTGAGGTACAGAAACAGTCAGATTGGTTACAGCTCAGTGTTTGCCTTATTTGAACACACTTTGAACAGTTGGCTGCCTGCAAGTGGCTGAAGTATGGCTTCTGTGATTGGCTGAGACTCAGTTACTTGTTACAAGAGTAGGTTATGGTCTATTTACAGTCCAGTTAGGTTACACGTCACTATGTAGGGAGAAACCTTACCAAGGGTTCTGAACTTAAAATGAGGCAGCTTTAAGCTAAACTTAATTTAACAATAAAAAATGTTTAATGGCAGAACAATATTCTACCATGTACCGTACTGTTTTTCTTAACTCTTTCTCTTATTGGTGGATATTCAGGCAATCCTAATGTTTTACTTTTATTATAATGCTGCAATAATAATCTTTATGGAAAACTCTTTTTCCCATGTCTTGAGTTATTTTCTTAATAGAAATTTCCAGGGCTTGGCACAGTGGCATACACCTGTAATCCCAGCACTTTGGGAGGCCAAGACTGGAGTGCAGTCGCTTGATCTGAGCTCTCAGCAACCTCTGCCTCCCAGGTTCAAGCGATTCTTCTGCCTCAGCCTACTGAGTAGCTGGGACTACAGGCATGCGCCACCATGCCCAGCTAATTTTTCTATTTTTAGTAGAGACGGGGTTTCACCATATTGGCCAGGCTGGTCTTGAACTCCTAACCTCAAGTGATCTGCCTGCCTCGGCCTCCCAAAGGGCTGGGATCACAGGCATGAGCCACCATGCCTGGCCACAGCCAATAGCTTTTTAAGGGCTAGAACTGTCCTAGTCAATGTGGTATTGCCCTACATTATCGACACAGAAAGTACTTAGCAGAAATTCAGTCAATTGTTCCGTGCCTTTAAGCTGAATTTAAAACTGTGAAATAGATCTCTAACAAAGAACAGCGTTTACACTAGCCAAGTTCTGCAAACTATACATGTCGAGAAAAACAAAACCTACCCTAGCGAAAGGATATTCCTGAAAGCCAGTTTGCCCATACATTTCTACTAATTTCAAATGAATTTTTCAAATTGCAGTATCACTCTTACCTGCAACAGAAGCAAAGGTAAATTTTCAGGGGTGTACTCCCTTCTTAGGCAGCTCTCTAGCTCCCTCTGCACGGCATCTGCCTGAACAACAAGGGGCTTCGACTCGGCCACCTAAACCCAAATAACTAGTTTTAACATCCCAAATTAAAGAACTGTAAAATTTCAAATATCACAAAATCAGACATTTCCAAGGAAATAATGGTCTGCTCTGATTCAGTGGTAAGCTGAATAGTGGACTGTTCTCATAAATACTGTTAATAGCATCAGCTGTTTGTCTGCAAAAATACTGTTTCTGCTAAAAGTTACCAGTCAGCAAAATCAAACTTATTGTCATATTGAAATAGCCCACTGTCTTACTCACCTGTAAGGTTTTCTTCAGTGCTAGTTCCCTCTCTCTTCTAAAGTAATAAATATCCTTTGGCATTTGAATAGAGCTGCAGAAAGATTTATGCAATATAAGTGGTAATTACAGAAGCTGTAATCGACCAGATTATAGATAGACCATGATTAATCTGTAACTCTTCACAACTGCTCATTTCTGAATAAGTATATCATATTATACTGGATTATTGAGGGCACGCAAAGGCCACATCCTTTTGTTTTGGTTAGAATCTTTCTTGATTCTTCTTTGATTAGCATGTTTGCTAAACTTTTCCCTGGGCCAATTTTTCTCTCCCCTCCCCAAACAAACAGAGTATTTCGTTCTACCCTTGATTCACTTCACTATTTCCTACTGCAGAATAAAGGGAGGGACACAATGGTGAGGATTTTTATTTCCCCACCTGAATTCCCTCCAGCAACCTTATCTCTGACAAATATTGTGCCTCTCAGATCCCATTTTCACCCTAGTTGGCACATAAAACCAGTATCGTGTAATTTAAAATAAAATGCTTTTATTTTTGTGTTCTTGATGAATTATCTGCTGGGGGGTGGGAATGACTCTTAAATATCAAACATGAAATACTTCAGGAATCATTTTAACCAAACTTAATGCTTCAGGAAAATTATTGATTCGTAGGAAAAACATTTATAGCAGAAGTGCCTGTTTAAGCAGCCTTGTGGATTCCTGTTCACACCCACTGATGAGGGACCTGTTGTTTTTACCATGGACTCTGATACAAGGAGGCACAAGCTGTGGGGTCACCTGGTAAGGGGGTGGACCCTGGGTCAGGAACAGCAGAGTGCTCCACATTTGGGATAAGATATATCCCAAGGTTTGGCAGCTTTGAAAACATCAGGAAACAGCAACCCTGATGCAGACATCACTTTCTCAAGATAGTATTTTGCAGACATTGGTAAGGGGCCACAGCAGGTAGTCTGGAACACAGGTGAGAGACCACCTAGAGATTATGCAGGAGGTGTAAGCAGTGACATTTAGGTTATTATTGTTCATATGGCCTATGAGTTCCCAGATAAGTTTTAAGGGAAGATAAAAATACACTGTTAGTTTGTACACTTGCCAGCAATTTCCCCCACTGCAGGCAGTGGTTCTGTGAAAAGAACCCCAGGCTGACAGTCAAGAAATCCATCAGTCAAGTGAGCCTAAGCAACCCATTTAGACACATTGTGTCAAATTTCCACCCCTGAAGTTGGAGATAATGCCCCTCTTATCTCCTAATATCTTCGCTTTAATGGAAAAAGAAAAAGAGGTGAGCTCTGAAAGGGATTTGAGAATAAAACCGGTAATAAACCTGAGGTATAATTTCTGTCATTCTGAATCCTGGCTGCAGCCTTGTGGCGGTGGGGAATGAGTAACCAACCAGAAAAGGGATCAGCTATTACTAGGCAGCTAGAGAAACACAAGAAACTTTCCCCTGCCCTCTTGTCTTCTTATCTTTGGCATACTGGGAGATGGGGAGGGTCATGGGCTTAGCTACCCAGCCCTCTCTCACTCAGATCTTGTCTTTCCTCTCAGTTAGCCTCAAAGTGCCTGTGAATGACCCTGAAGAGACTGGTGAACATAAGTAGTGTGTACATCAACCTGCAAAAAGAGATTTACTCATACGTTCATCAAGCATTGTTCATTCAACATACATTCATTCATTTATTCATTCAGCAAGAATTTATGAAACACTTAACCACTGCAAAGTCTTGGGTTTGTGGAGTAAAACAAGGGAAAGGATGCAAAAAAAACGGGGGGGGGGGGGCGGAAATGTTTAAGACACACAGTTCTTCTCCAAGCCTCAATAGATTTTTCAATCTAGTGGAATGAGAATGTTAAAGTGATTATCAGGAGTGGATATTTCCATGTTCCTTGGACTCTAGAACCTAGCACAGCACCTGGAAAACAGAAGGTGCTCAAGAAGTATTTGTTAGGTGCAGTGTTGGGTGATTTGGGGGAGTAGACAAATAAGGCTATCCAGGATTTCCCATCACTCGATTCTAAGAGACATCAGAAAGCCTTTCTTATCCCAGTGTACACTGGGGAGTCACTTGCCTGACATTCTGACATTTAAATCATAATAATATCAACACTCCATCTTTGCATTGTGTTTTCTAGTCTTAAAAATACTTTAACATGCATTATTTCATTATCCTCACAACCTTATGTAGGTAGGCAAGGTACTAACCTCATTTTTCAAATAAAGAAACCAAAATTGAGAGAAATTATGACTTGCATGGTTCCATGATCTTTCCATCTCATCACACAATCTGATTTGCTTCAGACACCTAATGGTTTTAAATACTAATTAAAAAACATATGAAATGCTGGTTCTTCAGAATTGTCTTTGGAATGAAGTACTAATTCACCTGCTTACTGCATCTTCTGACCTCTCCAAACCTCTCACCATCCACATTGTGTTTTCTCAATGATTCAACCTAACAGGGTTCTTATATTGCTCCTTTTGATCAGTTGTGGCAGTATCAGAAACAGGGATATGAAGGTCCTGGGTCCATGAGACTTGCCATTAGGGGCTGATCTGTGTCTCTTGTTTCTCTACAATAACTTGATTGCTGTTGTTGGCAGCACTTACCTATAGAAGAGCTCCTAATGAAACAGGCTGGCTGGCTTCCTGTTGTGATCTGCTCTAGAGGAGAACAGAAGCCCCTACTCAAGCCCTAGCTTACCTAACTCTCAGCAAATCAGTAACAAAAGACCCAAGGAGTTATTAACAGCAAGTTCCTACTTTGGGGGGATAGAGACTTCCACAAAGCCCCACAGGTGCAGTTAGAACTAAAACTCAACCTATAGTTACCCCTTCCTCATTTTTGTGCTAAGAATAATGCCTTGGGTGGAGATTTAAAATGCTAATGCTACATTTGATGTATGAAGAAGCATGTTGAGCCACTGTATGAGCACTAGAAACCACACCCCCCGCACCCCGCCATATGTGCCCTGATGTAACCCTTCTCTATCAAAGGATGCTATAAAACTAACGCACACACTACCCTTGGAGAGCATCTCTTTCCTTTTCCTTTCTTGGTGCTGGCTCCCTTGTGCACAACCTGAATACACTTACCTTTGCTGCTGCTCTGTTTGGTGATCTCTCTTGATTTCTATCCTGGGAGACAGCAAGAATCCAGAGTGCTGATAACACTCACAGAACATTGTTTTGCATAATGTATTACTAAGTGCCTACCATTATTTCAGCTTTTAAATTTCTCACCAACATCAAAGTCAAATTCAATTAAAATATTATTGGGTAAAATGAGATCTCCTTTCATTGAGTATGATTTGTATTATAGCTCCTGTAACTTCAAGACAATAGCATTAATTAACATGTAAAAACACTTACATTTTCCTTGGTAAGACTTTTGCTTGGATCTGTCTTAACAAATCTAGAATATAGAAAAATCTTAGAGGTAGCAATCAGGTTAGAAATGGGTACCTGAAACTGCTATTATATACTATTTATCTGAACTGGAGATAATGCCAATTGTCTATGTAAAAAGAAGAGAGGGTGCTGATGTAGATTACGGAGTGAGAGTGGGGAGTAAAGCCCCTGAAGATCACACCTTCTCAGTGCCACTATTTACCTGTAAACTCGATTAGCTGTTCCCTGAAGAGCTCCCTGCTCTTCTATCTCAGACTTCAGTTCAGTCAGTTGCACAGCCAGTTTTTTCTCCAACAGCTGGACCCTTTCTGTGGAAGTGATCTTATAAATTTCATCCATGATTTGTATTTGCTGTTTTTCTGTATCCCTGAAAAAGAGGATCACAAATCTTGATGCCCTCAGTGACCATTATCCAGCATGTTGAACTTTGTCTATCTTTGTCCAAGAAATCATGTCAACTTTGTAGAAATGCATGCATTTTGCTATTAGACTGTTGTCATTTGTGATTTAATTAACATCTAGTAAACAGTAGAGAAAAAGTAGGTTAGAATCTCCACTGGCCATGCCTTTGATTAGCCCAGTTCACCTTCAAAAACATCTCTGCTTCAGCTTTGGCTGTGGGGTTTAATAAGTGAGAATGCACCCCCCACCACCCCTCACCTCTGCAGTCTTGATAAATGTTTGTGGGGATTACACAGTAACTTCTGTGAATGGCAGTTATTGCTGACTTCTAATAGAAAATTGTACTTCCGCATTTGAATGTGTTTTCTTAATTTTGACTGCCTACATTTAGCATACCGGTTTTACCATTAAATAACAGCTGATAACCTCCCACCCCACCTCACCTGGTTCACAGTCTGTCAAATTCAACATAATTGTTTGTTAAGTACTTAGTATCAACATTCTAATTAACAATGTAGATTAACTGCATGACTCAGAAGTCCTGGGACCCATAAGTTGCAGGGGATTCAACAGATGATGTATTTCCTTGTGTTACTGCTGCCCTCACCTGTCCTGGACAAGTATGAGTTAAGTCTCTCTTAGGCCACATTAGAGAGATTTAAAATACTTAAACCTTATTTTTTTCCTGTGATATTTCTAGACTCTCATCTTTCCTTTTGAGATATTTCATTTTCTCAAGTTAATATGCTGTCATTTCAACAAATAATTAAGCTGTAGAGATGTTTTGTGTAGAGGCTTCCTTTGGGAGCCCATTTATTCTTTTTCTAAATATATGAAAAATGGAAATGAGCATCCATGTTCAGTCCAGGTTGTGAACCTGCCTAGTAATAAATCTGTCGTGTTTGGCACGCCATTGGAGCTCAATAAAATGCACTGTTATTGTTCTTAGCAAAAGTAAAATGTTGTTATAGAAAATATTTGCCATTTGGCAGTGTCCTTTCAAGTTGGGCAAACAGTTAAACAGCTGCCTTAACAGCTGCATTCCAATCGGCAGCCAAGAGTGGCAGCAACATAGACTGGCTGATTATTCTCCCAAAGGACGGACATTCTGCCTTCATTTCTTGATCAGTTTCAACACTTCACAGCTCAGAAATGAGAACATTTAATCCTGTACTGTTTAGCTTGCAACACAGTCAAGCACAGTATTCAGAAAATTAACATAAAGGGGTCAGTCTTTGACAACTGTCCATGAAATGAATCCAACCCAGAGAAATACATGCCTGCTGAGCACTCATGTCTAGGTTTAAAGAGACAACTGTTTATTTGGAGGGGTATGGGAGGTGTGCTTCATTTATTGAGAACCTACCGTGTGTCAGGCAAGCACTGGGAACTCATTTAGTCTTAGAAAAGAGATTGCGAGAAAAGAGAATTTCTTCAATCATGTTTTTAAAAATAAGTACATTTAATTATTTGTAATTCATAATTATGTATAATACATAATTTTTATGCATTTAAAACGTGGTTAAAATTTAAGACAAAAATAGTAAGATCAGCTTGAGCAAGGTTTGGGGGTGTTCAATGTGTGGTTACAGCAGGCTTGGATGGGGATAAAGCAGACACGTTTAGAAAAGAAATACTGAGTAACTATTTTAAAAGTTTCAAGGTGATGAGTAAAAGAATAGAAATGCATCTAGATGAGTTCATGTCATTTGTAGGGACATGGATGAAGCTAGAAACCGTCATTCTGAGCAAACTATCGCAAGGACAGAAAACCAAACACTGCATGTTCTCACTCGTAGGTGGGAATTGAACAATGAGAACACTTGGACACAGGGTGGGGAACTTCACACACCAGGGCCTGTCATAGGATGAGGGGAGTGGGGAGGGATAGCATTAGGAGATATACCTAATGTAAATGATGAGCTAATGGGTGCAGCACACCAACATGGCACATGTATACATATGTAACAAACCTGCACGTTGTGCACATGTACCCTAGAACTTAAAGTATAATAAAAAATAGGAAAAAATAAAAATAAAATAAAAATATCCGTACCTATTAAAAAAAAAAAAAGAAATGTATCCTAGAGCTTCCCAAAGAAGTGGGAGTAAGGGGTGAGATAGGACTTTTAAATCCAATAAACGGTGGTCCCCAACCTTTTTGGCAACAGGGATTGGTTTCATGGAAGACAATTTTTCCATGGATGGGAAGCAGCAGGTGGCCAGGCAGAGGGATGGTTTCAGGATGAAACTGCTCCACCTCAGATCATCAAGCATTAGCTAGATTCTCACAAGGAGCACGCAACCTAGATCCCTCACATGAACCATTCACAATAGGGTTCATGCTCCTATGAGACTCCAAATGCTGCTACTGATCTGACCAGAGGAAGCTCAGGTGGTAATGCTTGCTTGCCTGTGCTCACCTCCTGCTGTGTGGCCCAGTTCCTAACAGGCCACTGATGAGTACTGGTCCATGGCCTGGGGACTGGGGACCCCTGCAATAGAAGGTAAGAAAAGTGGTGGTGGGGGGGAACAAAAAGAAGTATGGCAGAATTAAGTTCAAATGTAACAGTAATTATAATAAATGTAAATAGTTAAGCTCATCAAAATACATAAATCAGCACAGCTTCAAGTGTTTTAAAGGCTCCCAAAACTTGATAATGTGATATGTACCAA
Source organism: Homo sapiens (assembly GCF_000001405.40). NCBI lineage: Eukaryota > Metazoa > Chordata > Mammalia > Primates > Hominidae > Homo > Homo sapiens. The sequence continues at coordinate 109,181,215 of NC_000006.12, read as the reverse complement.
AATAAAACAATTATTTTTATTCTAGCAAATGCCAGAATTTAAACTGATAAGCATACTGGTCCCATATCACTGTGGGCTAATCCAATTCTCTTTATTGATCTGCACAGATAGATACTCTGTAACCTTGTTGGGTAAACATTTTTGATACGTAGTCATCTTGATCATCAAATGCTTTCAAATCATCTATGCTTTCAAATGAAATACATTACATGCCAGCTTCTGCATTAGTAGGGGTGTGGCTAAGCCATTGTAACAAAAAGACACCATCACCAGTGGCTAAAAGAACAAACTCATGCCTATAATCCCAGCACTTTGGGAGGCTGAGGTGGGTGGATCACTTGAGGCCAGGAGTTCGAGACCAGCCTGGCCAACATGGTGAAACCCCACCTCTACTAAAAATACAAAAACTAGCCAGGCATGGTGGCATACACCTGTGATCCCAGCTACTTAGGAGGCTGAGGCAGAATGGCTTGAACCCAGGAGGCTGAGGTTGCAGTGAGCACCACTCTACTCCAGTTTGGGTGACAGAGTGAGGCTCTGTCTCCAATCAATCAATCAATCAATCAATCAAAGAAAAAAGATCTTTTAAATCTCTCTAACCTAATGGTGCTAATGTAAATGGTCTGGGGTTGTAGAGCAGCCCCACTACTAAATGGGCACTCAACGGCCCGGGTTCCTTCCAAGTCTGCTTCATCATCCCCTAGGCATTGTTCAGATAAACACATTAGTGTTTTCCCTTCATTGTGTCTATAGAACATAGGGGACATGAGATAAATATATTTGATAGTCTGAGTTGAATAACCTGCTTCTACTTCTAGTTTGCTGAGAGGCTTATTTTACTTTTTTCTTGAAAGGGTGAATTATGTCAAATGCTTTTTCTGCATCTATTAATCATGTGATCTCCCTCATCTATTTGTTAATGTGGTTAATTTCACAGATTTTCAAAAGTTAATCCAAAATTGTGTTTTTAGAATAAACTCCATTTGGTCATAATTTGTTATCTTTTTTATAGAAAAATGTATTCAATTTTCTACTATGTTTTTCAGAATGTTTGCATTTATGTTCATGAGAGACATTGGCCTGTCATTTTTCTTATAATGTTTTTGTGAAATTTTGGTATCAACATTATGCTGGCCTCATAAGACATGTTGTGAAGTGTTCTCTATTTTCTGAAGAATGTTTATAATTGCTATATCCTTCCTTAAATACTTGGAATAAATCACCTCTGAAATATAGTAAACTGAAGTTTTCTGTATGGGAGGACTTCAATTACAGATTCAATTTTTTAAACAGATATATAGCTATTCAATTTTCTATTTATTTTTGTGTTCATTTTATTAAGACTTTTAAAAGAACATTTGGATATATAAGCACATTTCATCTAAGTAGATGAATTTTGGGGGGATGTGAGGTTTTTCATAGTATCATACTTTTTAACAGCTTTGTTGAGATATAATTAACACAACATCTGATTAACTCACATGAAATGCACAATCAATGATTTTTATTTAGTATATTCAGAGTTGTGCAATCATTACCACAATCGATTTTAGAACATTTCATTACCCTAAAAAGAAACCCTATTGCCATTACCAGCCACTCCTCATTTTTCTCTAAGCTACCTCTTCTTCCTAACAATAAGCAACCACTAATTGACTTTCTCTCTACAGATTTGTCTCTACAGATTTATATGAACATTTCATATCAACAGAACCATACAATATGTAGTCCTTTGTGACTGGCTTCTTTTACTTAGCATGTTTTCAAGGCTCATCCTTGTTGTAGCATGTATCAGCACTTCATTCATTTTCAATGGCTGAATAATATTCCATTGAACAACTATACTACATTTTATTTGTTCATCAACTGATGGACATCTGGGTTGTTTCAATTTGGGGGCAATTATACATAATATTGCTATGAACATTCATATACAAGGTTTTGTGCACATCTGTTTTCATTTCCCTTGAGTATATGTGTAGGAGTGGAATTACAGGGTAAATATGTTTGACCTTTGAGAAACTGCCAGACTTTTCCAAAGTGGTTGTACCATTTTACATTCCAATCAGCCATGTATGAGAGTTTCAATTTCTCCACAGCCTTGCTAACACTTGTTACTATCTGTCTTTTTAATTTAAGCCATACTAGTTGGTGTGAAGTGGTATCTTATTGTGGTTTTAATTTGCATTTCCCAGTGGCTAATGACGTCAATCATCTTTTCACATGCTTATTGGCCATTTGTATGTCTTCTTTGGAGAAATGTCCATTCAGATCCTTTGCCTATTTTTAATTGGATTATTTGTATTTTATTGATGAGTTGTAAGAGTTCTTATATATTCTAGATACATGTCCCTTATCAGATGTACAATTTGCAAATATTTTCTTCCATTCTGTGGGTCATCCTTTCACTTTCTTGATGTTGTCCTTTTAAACTTCTTATCTTTTTAATATTTATAAAATGTGTAGTGCTGTCTCCTTTTATATTCCTGATATTGGTAATTTCTGTACTTGTCTTTTTTTTTTTTTTTTTTTTTTTTTTTTTGAGATGAAGTCTTGCTCTGTTGCCGAGGCTGGAGTGCAGTGGCACAATCTCAGCTCACTGCAACCTCCGCCCCCCATGTTCAAGTGATTCTTCTGCCTCAGTCTCCTGAGTAGCTGGGATTACAGGCAGGTGCCACTTCACCTGGCTAATTTTTGTATCTTTATTAGAGACAGGGTTTCACCATGTTGGCCAAGCTGGTCTCGAACTCCTGACCTCAGGTGATCCGCCTGCCTTGGCATCCCAAAGTGCTGAGATTACAAGCATGAGCTACCGCGCCCAGCTTGTACTTGCTTTTATCTTGATCAGTCTTATTAGAGATTTATCAATTTTACTAATTTTTTTCAAAGAACCAGTATTACTGAGTTTTCTCTAGGTTATTCATGTCTGCCTTTTCTTTTACTGATTTCTGCTCACCTAACTTAGTAGATCATTGCTTTTACTATCTTGAGTTTAATTTGCTTTTCTTTTTCCAGCTCTTGAGATGGATGTTTAGATAAATAATTTTTAACCTCTCGTGTAATGTATTTAATATTATAAATTTCCCTCTAAGCACTATTCTAGCTACATCACAGAAGTTTTTAATGTTGTGTTTTCACTATATTTTAAATATTTTCTAATTTCTATTATGATTTCTTCTTTGACATAAGAGTTATTTAAAACTGGTTCTTTCTGTTATGGTTTCTAGTATGATTCCACTGTGGCCTGAGAACATATTCCGTATGACTTCAATTTTTAAAAATATGTCAAGCTTGCTTTATAACCCAACATATGGTTATTTTGGTAAATGTTTCATGTATACTTGAAAAAATGTGTATTCTGATGTTGGGAATAGTGTTTTATATACGCCAATTAGATCATATTGGCTAGTCATGTTGTTCAAATCTTTTATATCCATTGATGTAATCACTGATTTTTTAAAGGATATATGAGCTAGGTATATTAAAATCTTATTACAGTGAATTTACCTATTTCCCCATTTTGTCCTCAACACATTAGTTATATATATATATATATATATATATATATATATATATATTTAATTTTTAATTTTATTTTTTGAGACCGAGTTTTGCTCTTGTTGCCCAGGCTGGAGTGCAGTGGCACGATCTCGGCTCACTGCAACCTCCACCTCCTGGGTTCTAGTGATTCTCCTGCCTCAGCCTCCCGAATAGCTGGGATTACAGGCATGCGCCACCATGCCTGGCTAATTTTTTATTTTTAGTAGAGATGGGGTTTTTCCATGTTGGTCAGGCTGGTCTCAAACTCCTGACCTCAGGTGATCCACCTGCCTCAGCCTCCCAAAGTTCTGGGATTACAGGCATGAGCCACCACACCCGGCCCATTGTAAGGTTTTTATTCTTTGGCTAGTGTTTTTTTTTTTTTAACCGAAGATTTCTACCCTTTTAGAGGTTTTAGTTTAGCTCTTTAACCTCCTGCAGCTTCAAAATCTGGCAAACGTCTAGAGAGGAAAACTGGCCAAGTGTTTTGTGCTGGCTTCCTCTCTCCTGTGGGGTGTTGTCTCCTAAGCTAATCTCAGATTTTACCTGCCTTTCCAACTTCCTTCTTAGGTGTGCCTTCTGAGCCTTTTGATTGATAGATTGACATTTCTCTTTTTCCTCATCTCTGAAATTCTGTCCTTCAAAGGTTCGAACTTAGTTTCCCACCCCATGAAAGTTCAAAATCTGGCAAAAATTTGAGGGAGAGAACTGTCGTATATTTGACGCAGTTCCTCCTTCTAGCAGGGTTTATCTTTTAAGCATGGCAAGACTGCAGATTTTACTTTGCCTTTCTAGACCAGCCCCCCAGACTCCTTCACACCTTGGCATTCAGCAAATATCCAATGGGTATATTTCAGACATTAGATTCAACTCTGCCATTCCTGCAGCCATGGCCTTCAAAAGTCTCCCTGGCTTCTGTTTGTCGCATTTGGGTTCTTATGCCAAAACTGTCACTGTGACTAGAATTGGTAGATTGGCTAAGGAAGCAAATAGCCAGGGACTGTCAACTCACCTAGGAAGGCTCTTTCATTTCTGGAATTTTGGTTCTTCTAGTCTTTGTTGCTTCTATAACCTTCCAATGTCTTTCAACATATGACTGTAACTTAACTGTTTTCATGATGTGGCCTTTACTAAATCTTACCCAAAGTAGCCAGGCACAGTGGCTCATGCCTGTAATCCCAGCACTTTGGTGTAATCTTGGCTCACTGCAACCTCTGCCTCCTGGGTTCAAGCGATTCTTCTGCCTCAGCCTCTTGAGTAGCTAGGATTACAGGCGCACACCACCACGTCCAGCTAATTTTTGTATTTTTAGTAGAGACGGGGTTTCACCATGTTGGTCAGGCTGGTCTTAAACTCCTGACCTCATGTTCCGCCAGCCTCAGCCTCCCAAAGTGCTGGGATTACAGGCATAAGCCACTACGACCGGCCCCAAAGAAACTTTCTTAAACTTTGGCTCCCACCGCTCCATATTATTGTCTCTTTTACCTCAAATAATAATAAACCACCTCATTATCTGTTCATGGAAGCATTTTTTTAAAAAATTACCAAAGATCAAAAGAAGCATGTGTGAAAGCAAAATGTACACACTGCTCTGCTGTTATCAGAGCATTATCAACATGTACATTGTAGTCAGAAAATATCTTGCACCCTGAGAGAAATAAGCAAACAAAAACAGGGTCACTGTCATTCATTTTCCCAAAATAAAATAATCCTTAAGTTTTGTTTATAATTTACTAATTCCTTTAATAAAAGCAATTTTATTGCCAACTTTTGCAATGATAATAGATGAAAATCTGTGATGATCTTTGTGGCTATGACAATCATGTGAGAAAATCGCTGTCTTTTCTACCATGATTGGACAACTACAAACTTGGTAATACTGGTAATTTTGTGGGTTTTCCTTTTTTTTTTTTTGTATTTTTTTATTTGATGAGCCAGTTCTTTTAAAACTTGGGAGTTGCTTGCAAACTTTCCTTGAAAGTAAACTTTCCCCCCTAAATCCTTTGTCTATATTTCTTTGACAATTGTGTAGATTCCTCTAAGATTTTGTGTATGCATCAACCAGGGTAAAGTCCACCACATTGTCCATGAAGAGCAACTCAAGGGCTGTTCGAGGTATACATTTTCCAGTCTTGAGGCAATAAAGTCTTCATCTAGTTGATTCAAGTTCTTTTTCTGGCTCTTCATATGTTTTTTGCTTCCTGGCCAAGTCTGCGTTTGACACTGGTTCTGATTTGTAAACAGCCACTTATTTCTCCTTTGGTGGCAGCAATGTTGAAAATACACATTTTAATGGTCGATCCGTTCTTTGTGAGGCAACAATGACAGGACATCTGATTGTACTTTGTTTTTGTCTTGAGGATTCTGTTATCTTCTGTCATCTAAGATACATCTTTTCTTTGCATCTGGGTCTTAAGACATGAGTTTGGTCAAATTGATAGGTTGCATTAGTAGGTTGGAAAGTTGCTCATATTACTCCCTACATCACTGATTTACTTTCTTTCTCATCTTCTGACCATTGACGAAACTTGTTTTTCATTTTTTTGTGCCACTATGAGTTCAAATCAATTAAGAAAAATATTTTTGTGGCCACTGGAATGCAGAGAAGCCCTTGGAGATCTGGAGCTGCTACCATTAACCAATGACTCACGCTTTTTGTACTTTTATTACATTTGATCCATCTGTGGCTAATGTTATAAACTAAGGCTGGTAGTTCTGTGTATTGCTATTATTTTTTGAGATAGGGTCTTGCTCTGTCTCCCAGGTTGGAGTGCAGTGGCATGATCATGGTTCACACGGCCTCCATCTCTGGGGCTCAAGCAATCCTCCCATCTCAGCCTCCCAAGTAGCTGAAACTACAGGCATGCATCACTATGCCTGGCTAATTTTTAAATTTTTTTTGTAGAGATGAGGTCTCACTATGTTGCCAAAGCTGGTCTCAAACTCCTGAGCTCAAGCCATCCTCCCACCTCAGCCTCCCAAAGGACTTGGATTACAGGCGTGAGCTACCACGCCCAGCCTGCGTATTAATTTTTAAAAACCATCTTTTTTCTCCTCAAAAAGGAAGGCATAGTTCTTTGTAATAGTCCATTTGTAATTACACAGCTTTCTTTCTCCAAAGTCAATGTCCTTTCTCCCTCAGAAATATGCTGGAGATTGAACAGTCAGAAAAAAACATCATTTGAACACACTATTTAGGGATATCTAACTCCAACAGACAAATCTACCATGAAAAAGAACAAAATATACACAGTGAACAAACTTGGAAATTGTTTTTATGTAACTTTAGAGCAAAGGGTAGAAACTTTACAGAAGGTTTTGCTTGGTTTGTGTAACCATTCTACAAATAAGCCTGGATCTGTGATGGGATGGGAATGATTGCTGCCAGCTTGTCTGGAACATTATGACCTCTGCAAGAAATCTGAAAAGTTCTCAGTGCATAACATACTCTCTCCCTTCTCAAAAGAAAAGAGTAAAGTATCCATCTTAGACACTGTAATTTATATCCATTAGGCCCTATCTCCTAACACTGCTTCATTGGAGATGGTTTCCAACACAAGGTTTTTTTTTTTTTTTGAGACCAAGACTCACTCTATGGCTCAGGCTGGAGTGCAATGGCATGATCTCGGCTCACTGCACCCTCTGTCTCCTGGGTTCAAGCGATTCTCCTGCCTCAGCCTGATGAGTAGCTGAGACTACAGGTGCATGCCACCACACCCAGCTAATTTTTTTTTTTTTTTTAGTAGAGACGGGGTTTCACCATGTTGGAGGCTGGTCTCAAACTCCTGACCTCAAGTGATCCACCTTCCTTTGCCTCCCAAAGTGCTGGGATTATAGGCGTGAGCCACTACGTTCAGCCCCAACACATGGCTTTTGAGTGACATATTGAAATCATAGCATGTGACTGATTTCTATTTCTAATGGACACAGAAAAATTCTGCCGGGCACAGTGGCTCATGCCTGTAATCCCAGAGCTTTGGGAGGCTGAGGTGGAAGGATTGCTTGAGCCCAGAGTTTGAGACCAGCCTGGGCAGCAAAGTGAGACCGCGTCTCCTCAAAAAAAAAAATTTTTTTTTTTTTTTAATTAGCCAGGTGTGGTGGCATGCACCTGTAGTCCCAGCTACTTGGGAGGCAGAGGCAGGAGGACTGCTTAAGCCCAAGAGTTTGAGGTTGCAGTGAGCTTTGATTGCATTCACTCCACTCCAGCCTGGGTGACAGAACAAGACCCTGAAAAGAAAAAAAAAAAAAAAAGAAAGGTAGGGGGCGGGCTGAGGGGGAAGGAAAGGAAAGATTCCTTTCTTCTTTATCTCAAACTCTCAATAGGCCACCCTTGAATAAACTGGAAGGAAATAATATTCTTTAAATGGTCTCATGTTCCAACTGACCTTTTAGGATTCAGGAAAAAAATTAATAAAAATTATTAATATAACTTGTAAGTAATACAGTGTCAGGAAAATGCAAAAATAATACTGTAGAAAATGACACAATTAAAAAGTACACAAACAATGGTATACATGGTTAAATATTACACAAAAGTATCCCTTTACTTTTCACAGACATGTGGCTATTTGCATAGGTTCAAAAAAAACATGTTCTCCTTCCTACCAGGCAATAATTAACAAATCACTTTTGTAACCATCACCATGCCACACATCTCATTAAAGTAGATATGGCAAACCCATTATTAAGCAAAGCAGTCCAAGCAACTTGGCTGAGGTAAATTGACCGGTTCTTGGTTCCTGACTTCAGTATAGTATGTGGGCAGTATCTTACACATAAAGAAATGACAACCTCTTGGGCTTGAAAAAGCCTCCAGACAAAGTTAACTCCTATGTTGTAGTAACACATGGCCCTAGTTTTATTAACTAGACTTATAAGAAGGTCTTTGTATACTAAGCGTAACCTTTTATCACACTCACATAATAAAACTAGTCATCAAACTAATGATACTAAATCAGAAAATCACTAAGCAAATTTATGGCCAATTCCATGCTTTAGGAGGAAATTTGGAGGCAAGACTGACACCTTAACCAGAGGCCATGATAGGTAAGCAATGCACATCACTTTTGGGTCAGAAAACAAAAAACAATACCGCAGTAAAGGATCAACATAGCAAGTCTTGATTGTGTAAACTTTTCACATTCCAAAGAAATGTTTGTCCTGTGTCCAGATTCAAGATAACCTCTAAGTCCTTGGACTATCCTGCCTGATATGAATGTTTTAATTTACTTGGGGGCCTTAGGCCATACCAGGTAGTCTAAGCTAACAATGTGATTAATGGTGAAGTCCTTAGGCCATGTAGTATCAGCTCCATCTTTGGAGGGGCTGAAAACTGAAGGTCAGCCACATGGGCTATCAGTCATGCTATGCCTACGTGACCAACCCTCAAGAAAAAATCTGGACACCAAGGCTTGGTGGAGCTTCCCTGGTTAGCAATTCTCCAAGAATGTTGTCACACATTGTTGCTGAGAGAATTATGGTCTGTCTGCTGAGAGAATTATGGTCTGTCTACATGACTTCACAGGTGAAGGACAACTGGAAGCTTGTGCCTGGTGTCCCCCAGACTTTGCCCTATGTGCCTTTTTTCAGCTGCTGATTTTAATATATATTCTTTTGCTATAATATACCATAACCATAACTTAACAGCTTTTCTGAGTTCTGTGAGTCCCTCCAGTGAATCACTGATCCTGAAGGTGGTCTTGGGGACCACCCGAGATAAAACACTGAGGTAAGGTTAACAACAAAAACAGTCACCACACTGTCTAGTTCTCATTTCCCATGTAAATGAAACCTTGAGCCTTTCCTGTAAATTACTAATAACTATATCCCTGGTCTTGGCAATGCTGATATCTAAGGATACATGATGACCTCTGATATGATGATTATCTGAGGAAACTGTTTTCCACCATGAAAAGAATAACTAAACTTGGTGACTTTGGTAATTTTGTAGGTTTTTTCATTTTTTAATTTGATAAGCCTGTCCTCCTAAAGCTTGTACTCCCTTGCAAGACTTCTTTGCATATAAACTCCTAAATGCTTTAATCTTTTAGTGGTTTATGTTTTTTATTTCTGTAGATGGTAGTTTAAACTGATAGTATTTTAGTAGAACGGTTTAAGAGAATCAAACTCTAGGCAGGGCGCGGTGGCTCACACCTGTAATCCCAGCACTTTGGGAGGCTGAGGCGGGCAGTTCACCTAAGGTCAGGAGTTCGAGACCAGCCTGGCTAACACGGTGAAACCCCGTTTCTATTAAAAATGCGAAAAAAAAAAACAGCCGGGTGTGGTGACGCATGCCTGTAATCCCAGCTACTTGGGAGGCTGAGGCAGAAGAATCGCTTGAACCTGGGAGGCGGAGGTTGCAGTGAGCTGAGATCGCGCCATTGCACTCCAGCTTGGGCAACAAGAGCGAAACTCCGTCTCAAAAAAAAAAAAATCAAACTCTACTTTGTGGCATTATTTATGGGAATGCTCTGAGAATGAGAAATCACAGGCAAATATATCATACCCAAACACCAAAGGCACAGCCCTCTTTCGACTTGAGAGCCATTCTGTAAAAGAACAAAGAAAAAAGAACCTGTTTGAAATTTTGGCTTAAGTGTCCACCATTTAAATCATACCTTGAGAGAATCAAGAATGTAATACTGATATAAATTTTTCTAAGCTTATAAAGGAGAAGTTATATACATAAAATAGAATAAGTTTTTTAAAAAATCAATTATTTTTTAGATTAAAGTAAAAGCAGATATCTTTAAAGTAACTTGTTTTTAACTCTGGTACTGACTTTCCCAGCTTTAAATTGGTAGCTTGGTTCATTTCAGGGAAAATGAAGGCAATAATGCTTTTTATGTGTTCAAGCATTTCAACAGTGCTATTCTCTCACATGTATTACATATTTTGGATAAGCTATCTCTGAAAATATTTTGTAAGATATTAAAGATACTTTTGCTAGAAATTGTAAGTTATAAAACCATAAATGTTCCACAGACTTCTCGAGAGCTTTTTAAAATTTAATTTTAAGTGGGTTTCCTGTGCACCAAAATGGTTTATGTTTTAAATAACACATTTGTAAAGTTAAACGGATCTACAGTGATGAAGAGTGAAATACTTTCCAATTCAGCAAGATTCTGGACAATTGCCCTGTAAACATCAATCTTGTATTTCAGGCATGAAATGATTCACATTCTGTACTAGGTTCAGTAACAGGTTTTTCTAAGAAATACCAAAGGTCAATGTACATTTAACTTTAAGGCAAACTAACAACAACAACAACAACAACAAAATGCCTCTCAAGGTTTTTTAGAACCTATCCTAAAATTTACTTAACTACATTAAGCCAAGTCAGGTTGAAAAGTACATTATTTTACATTATTTTAGCTGATTGGAAGGTCTGGCTCACTTTACAATCCTCTGTTCTTAAAGACTAAGATTTCTTTCTTTAATTGTTTAGGTTAACTTTAGTAATTTGTAGTGGTGAATAAACTTCTACAAGTGGGTAGAATCCCATTACAATGGGATTATATTTGGTGGCCTTATTATTGCTCATTACCCTATAACACTTCTTCCTACCTTCTGACCATTGTCCAGAGCAGAGTGGCTTTGCTGATATGGTTATAAGAAATCTATTAAATAGGATATTAAAGGCCAAAGAAATCCTCTCAGGAGTTAGTTTATTTAATGAAGCTATCTTTCAGGTAAGATATTTATCCACTTATTCATTTTAAAATATTCAATCAGGTTGATTGCTGAGTAAGATGACATGTTTTTAAAGAGTACTACATTGGTGGTATTATCAGGTTTTTAATTTTCATGGTGCCACTGACTGTTGATGCTCGGAAAAATAGGGTTTGTCAAATAACAGATCTTTGCTCTCTTCAGATTGGAGACATGCAGATAGTTTTTCTCCGACAAATCTCACATTCTTATTGGTTGTAAAACTGTCTGAAGCACCTACAGAGCAAATTTCTTTCTTAATCATAAGACTCATGCTTGGTTAGATTTTACCAAGAGGTAGCATAATGAGGTCATTTTGTTAAGGGATTCATACTGAATGTATTTATTTGCCCACATTAGAAAACCAGTATTTCTCTAAGGTAAGTTGGCTAGTGTTTGAAAATTGTATTCTATAGACCAGGAAATGCAACAGTATTGATTAAAATGAGACTTGTTATCTGTAAAACACATGAAACAATATTTCTGGGATAAACAATAGATTGGCACATCCATAACAGGGGACTTGGGAGTATTCCTATTTTAAATTGGCTATTCCACTTTTCTCCACACCCTTCAAATTCATTCTCACTGAATACTTATTAAAAGCCAACTTTTTCTTCCCTAAAAAACATTTAGGGCTACATTAAAAATGACAACCCGTACTCACAAAGTTTCACAAAACATAAGCTACCTTAATTATGTGTGATGCACTCTGATCTTTTTTTTTTTTTTTTTTTTTGCTGATGGAGCCTCACTCTGCTGCTCAGGCTAGAGTGCAGTGGCACAATCTCAGCTTACTGCAACCTCCGCCTCCCTGGTTCAAGCAATCCTCTGGCCTTAGCCTCCCGAGTACCCGGGATTACAGGCACATACCACCATGCCCGGCTAATTTTTGTATTTTTAGTAGAGATGGGATTTCACCATGTCGCCCAGGGTGGTCTTGAACTCCTGAGCTCAGGCAATCTGCCCGCCTCGGCCTCCTAAAGTGTTAAGATTTTACAGGCGTGAGCCATCGCACCTGGCCACATTCTGATATTTTCAATACTATTTTATATCATTTAAAAAATGCTGGCCAGGCATGGTGGCTCACGCCTGTAATCCCAGCACTTTGGGACACTGAGGCGGGCAGATTGCCTGAGCTCAGGAGTTCGTGACCAGCCTGGGCAATACAGTGAAACCCCATCTCTACTAAAATACAAAAAATTAGCAGGGCATGGTGGTGCACACCTATAATCCCAGCTACTTGGGAGGCTGAGGCAGGAGAATTGCTTGAACCTGGGAGGTGGAGGTTGCAGTGAGACGAGATTGTACCATTGCACTCCAGCCTGGGTGAAGGAGCGAGACTCCAATCTCAAAAAAAAAAAAAAAAAAAAAATGCTGGTAGTGACCCGCTAAATTGATTTGACAATCCACCGGTATGACTGTATGTACTATGAAAAACACTGACTGGATCCAACCAATGAGGAGGCTGAAGTATGCAGAAATTGAGTGGCTTAAGTTCATAAGGGAAGTGAATGGCAATCATTTACACAATTCTGTGCAAGTCAATACTTGGCCTCTAGAATATAACCTTTCTGTATAATTCTTATTGTTCTGTTTTAGTCTAAGTGATTATTGCTTGATTTTCCCCCACTTCTCCATTTACTTCATTGTTTCATACCCACTTTTTCCACTCATGCCTTTGAATTGGATTATAGACTGGCTATGGCCGGCATTTTGAAATTACTAAAGGAACTGGTATCTTCAATCAAGAAGCCTAATAAAGAGTGAAAATCCTAGACCAATACTGCTACCAGGCAAAAAATTTAAAAAGGTGAAGGTATATAAATCAAGATAGATAGAAAATGAAGAAATTACAAACAGGCCAACTTCTTAAGCACTTTATCGATAGATGAGAACAAACATTTAGTAGGCAAATAAATATTTGAGCATCTGCTCTGTGGTTGTCATTATGCCTTTCATGTCACTTACTGTTTTCTTCCTTTTAAATATATATACATCTTATCTCTCCTCAAGACTATAAGCAACTTGAAAACGGAATTCCATAGTAGCTAATACAGTATTTTGAGATCAATAATTAGAGATCAATAAATACTCACTGATGAACAAGTCAAACATACCAATATCCAAATAAAGAACTCTTGGCTCTCAAACCTCTTCCTCTTAGCATAGTATCAAAGAAAGCACCATTCTGGTGCCCACAGTTGGTGGAACCACACCCTGCCCCTCCCCAAACAAACAATACTGGGCTATTCCTTTTTTCTTTTCTTTTCTTTTTTTTTTTGCTTTGAGGCAGAGTCTTGCTCTGTTGCCCAGGCTGGAGTGCAGTGGCACAATCTCGGCTCACCGCAACCTCTGCCTCCCAGGTTCAAGCAATTATCCTGCCTCAGCCTCCCGAGTAGCTGGACTGCATGCTACCACACCCAGCTAATTTTTTTTTATTTTTAGTAGAGACAGGGTTTCACTACATTGGCCAGGCTGGTGTTGAACTCCTGACTTAGGTGATCCGCCTGCCTCGGCCTCTCACAGTGCTGGGATTACAGGCGTAAGACACAGTGCTCAGCCCCAAATGGGAAATGGATCCATCTATATCAATATGGAGAACACTCCCAATAAACCTACCAGGAAAAAAAAAATTCACCTAATTCTTTAAGTAAACAATCTACAGCAAAAGTAACAACAAACTCTGGCCCAGACATTATTTTAAGGCTTAAATTTATAATTTTTCTATGTCTAATTCTCCTTACAGGAAAAAAAAAACAAAAACGAATTGAAAGACAAAGTTACATGAAAACAAGTAGATGGAATATGAAGAAAAAGGCTGAGGCATTGAGAAGGTCTATTTAATTACCAAGAAGTAAATTTATTTTCAGATGAGTGACAGTCAATATTATTTTTATTTATCCTCATCTCACTTTAATTAAAAGGTGCAATGGCACGCATAGTTTTTTAAAAATCTCACAGTTGCTATTATGCCTTAGTGAAGGTTGTCTTGTCATATGTCTGAGTGTCAGCTTATACTTATCTACACGTCACCTACAATTAAATGTTCTCAGTAGATAAAGCTTTAGTTACAGCTGAATATTGTTCCAGGAAACCCCATTAGGAGTTTCATTATTTACTCTACACCAATAATGGCAGCTGTTGCATTTCTGTCCACAATGCACTCCTTCCATTGTGCATAACCAACTGGCCTCTTCCCCCCTTAGATTGATTTCTCACATTACAAGTAAAATTTTTATTTAATTTTTGATCTCTTATCATGGATAAGAATACACATTTAGGCTGGGCGCAGTGGCTCATGCCTGTAATCCCAGCACTTTGGGAGGCTGAGGTGGGCGGATCACCTGAGGTCAGGAGATCCAGACCATCCTGGCTAACACAGTGAAACCCCATCTCTACTAAAAATACAAAAATTAGCTGGGTGTATGGCAGGTGCCTGTAATTCCAGCTACTCGGGAGGCTGAGGCAGGAGAATAGCTTGAACCTGAGAGGTGGAGGTTGCAGTGAGCTGAGATCGTGCCACTGCACTCTAGCCTGGGTGACACAGCGAGACTCCATGCCCACCAAAAAAAAAAAAAAAAGAATATACATTTATAGTTAAAATTACACTTTTAAAGTAAGAAAAGCTCTCACATCTACTGGCAGGTATAGAAAAAAAGGAATAAAGTAAGAAAGCTACCAAAAAAGCTCAAAAATAATTTTCAAGTACATTATCTACATTATCCCAGCCAGTTAACTTACTATGTACTAAGTATCTCCCACTTTAATCTTACATTGTTGAAAACTGAACATTTCCCTCTGACCCTCCTGTCTTTATCTACAACCTAATAAAAATGGCTGGGTTGCCAATGATCCACCCAAGTACAGTTAATTCAGGATTCCAACTCCCATTTCCAGTATCAGAATATAGTCACAATACCTGCTGCTTCAAACACTGGAACTTTCTGGCTTCAGTTTCATCAAAATTGAGACCTGCCTTGGCTAGAAAATTCCAATTCCATTATTTCAATTTCTAATTACATAAAAACCAAACAAATCTGTTTTTTACTTAAGTGAACAAAATCCGTGAAATCATACCAAGTTTCTGCTAGACAGAGCACAGCTGTGAGGTTGCTACAGCAACTCTTACACTGACCATAGACTGACTGCTCCATCCAGGAAAGAAATCTTTTGCTCCACCCCCTGAGGAGTCAAAGGCTCTGGCAAGCAGGCAGTCTGTGAGTTCAGTAGCTGTGATGAAGCAACAAGACACCATTCTTCATTGTCTCTCAATAATAAATGTCACCTCAACAACCACACCATACTCCAAACCTATTTGCTGTGTGTGGTTACATGTTTCAGCACAATGACAGGACTGTGTTCTTTACCCCCTCCCATTAGAAACCTGGGCTAGGAAAGATGACAAAGCCATTTCCCTTCAGGCACACAGAAAGAGATAAAAACCAAAATAAGTGAGAATATTCCCACTTTTACCAATAATATATTTAGGTGTTTGCTTTTAGGCTTCAACCCATGCAAACATGTGTTCTACATTTTTTTTTTTTTTTTGCCACTCAGATTCAAAAAATATTTATTGAGTGTTTAATAAGTGTCAACTCTTCTGCTGGGTGCTTTCCCATGTTATTTCATTAACTCCTCACAACAAATTAGTATAGTCCTGTGAGGGAGATATTAGTATAATCCTCACTTTACAGATGAGAAACTGAGGCTCCAGAAAGTTATCTGACTTGTCCAAGCTATTAAATGGTAGAGTCCCAGAATTTGAAACCAAGTTTCCTAGCTCTGAAGTTGTGGTTTTTTCTACTACACTGGACTAATTTTTAAGAAAATTCTCAGTTGAAATATTCCATGTTCCTAAAATGGTTTTAATTTTTTTTTTTTTTTTTGAGACAGAGTCTTGCTGTGTCACCAGGCTGGAGTACAGTGGTGAGATCTCAGCTCACTGCAACCTCCATCTCCCAGGTTCAAGCGATTCCCCTGCCTCAGTCTCCCAAGTAGCTGGGATTACAGGCATGCGCCACCACACCCGGCTAATTTTTGTAATTTAGTAGAGACAGGGTTTCACATGTTGGCCAGGATGGTCTCAATCTCCTGACCTCGTGATCTGCCTGCCTCGGCCTCCCAAAGTGCTGGGATTATAGGTGTGAGCCACCGCGCCTGGACGGTTTTTAAATTTTTAATGATAATTTTTAAAGCAATACCTTTTCACAAGTAATGAATTATTAATAACTAAATATATTCAGCCACCTTCCTAAATGTATAGAAAACAAAGGCACAGAACTATAGGTCTGCATTATGGTCCTGGTGGATAGCAGAAAGCTAAAAAGTTTAGCAAAAAGCTAAGCTTAAGCTATAAAACTCATATCCTCAAGGAGGAAAGGCAAAGTAGAAAAACAGGTAAGGTGATGCAACTGAGTTTAGATCAAACACCCTATGGAACATCTCCAGGGCTGAGGAGCTAAGGGTGTGAATGAGTGGGAGTGAAAGCTGGCAAAGGGCACATGCACTATTTACAACAGGAGGAAATTTTGATCTCTGCCATTAACTACTTTCAAGGACAATTTCAAGCATCAATGTGCCCATCTTCAGTCACTTCCCCACTTCCAGGTATGGAAGGTATTCTAACATGGTATCTCTCCTCACCATTAGAATGAATTATAGTTCTCTTCCTCCCCAAAAGATCCATAATTACCAACTTTTTCCTACACAAGCTTCTTGGGAATTTCCTAGGAAAACAGAAAAACTGTCTTTTAAAAATTGCTCTCCTTAGCTTCCCAAGATCCTGACCTAAAAATTCTTTCACATCTATAGCTTGAACATTCCATCAGCTGTGGGTTCAAAGAATTCAGTAAATATGTACTTCCAACTCTGTCCCTTAGGAATCACCATCTCTTAAACTGCTACCCTATATTTGAGCTCCTCCATTCTATTATATCTTTTCTCTCTGTCCTCTATTTCTAATTCAGTTCATGACTCTAGTTCCCCAGTTGCCTCAGAGGATTTGAGTGAGAAACCAAGAGTTCAGAAGAGTTGTACTAGTTCCCATAGGCTTCCAGAAAAATGATCAAGTGTAAATTTATTATAAAGCATGCATACACAATGACATTTGACATTATTGATTTTAAAATATAAAAAATAAAAATATACCATACTACCGTGAATTTCTGCTGGATGAGGTAATTTAATGCCCAGCTTCCTCTTCCTCTATACTTTCTTGTACAAAAAAAAAATACCACTTTTGTGGGTCCTAGAAATTCACAGTCTCAATTTATACTGATGGACATTACATACAATGCAAAGAATAAAAGTCAGCAAAAGTTATAAAGTAGTAAGATAAAATTGATCATTGATTTTTTAAAAAAAACTAGTTTTGTAAAAGAGAATGGGAATAGCAGAGGAAAGCTTCTGCAACTGAATTACTGTCTCCTAAAAATTAAGTAGCTATAGGTTCCTACTGTCTCATAAAACTTGGATTAAAGGCTTCTTCACAAAACTGTGTAACTATTAAGTTTTTCCTTTTCCAAAAGAGAAAAACATTTCACAGCTCTAAAACAAAATAGAAAGAAGGCACCAGGAAAGCTAAATGATCTTTCTGAACTCTGTTCATTGAACATTGGTTTTTAAGGTTCCAAACCTACTAAATGAAAAGTGGAATGAATGGTACTTGTAGCTTGGATTTAACTCAATTTTGAATATTGTCAATCTAGTACAATTTCTTAAATTTAGCTTAAGATATCTGCAAAGCCAACAATGTTTCTAAGACAAGATGAGGTTACGGGCTTCAATCAATAAGAAAAATAAAAAAGCAATTAATTTATTATTTGGAACCCACCAGGTCATTAGGCATTAATTTTTAAATACTGCAACTTCATGTTTTATAGAAACTAGAAACATGATTCAAAATGTCACAAAGTTATATTAAATTAAAACCACTTTAGACAATTCAAGGTCTCACTGACAAAGTTCATTAAGGTGACAGTTTTGCTGTTTTGTTACTGTTCCCACATGATATCATCTCTTCTCAATTTCATTTGAAGATTATGAACTCGTATTGGATGAAAGCTGCTGTTTTTCTGAAAAAGGTTAGTGTCAGTCAAACATTTTCTGGGGCTATTTTTTATGTTCTTTGATCCTTTAGGGTAGCTGTCTTCTTGCTGAATACCTGAAGCTTCACTCATCTTTGAGTTTTGAACTTTTTGCTGCAGTTTACAGACCTGGAGAGAAAAAAAAATCTAACATTTTAGTCAAAAATATACTAAAAATATATTCCAAAATAGATAGGTTGAATTGATGGTTTAACGTTAAAAAGTTAAAATTGAACATTAAAAAATTCAATTCATTAAGTTTTTAATTTATTGAACATCTATTACATGCCTAACACTGTGCTTGTCAGGTAGAAATATAATGAGAAAAAAGCTCTTACTTTCAAGGAGCTTACTGCTCCTATTAGTGAAAAAAAGCACATATGTGACAACTAGAGAATACTCTGAGCCAGGATAACTTTGAATAAGACAAAAAGTGTATATGTAAGAAGGCCAAAGTCGGATAAGGTCAACATGGGCTGCAGAGATTGAGGGAAAGGTTGTATATAAGATATTAAACTGGTAAAAACTAGAGAACAGAGAGGACAGAGAAGAACCTTTCAGGTAACATTAACAGCAAAGCAAATAATTGGTTCTAGGAATGAGTATCAAGTTTTGAAAGTTATACACACACATGTGCATATGTATGTGTATATGTATATATATGTGTGTGTATAAATATGTGTTTTTTTCCAACTGCCATTCAGTAGTACTTTAAATTCAGGAATACTTTTGTGAACAAACACTTTTGTGTATTCCTGAATTTAAAGTACTATTGAATGGCTGTTTAAAAAAAAGTCAAGGGAATAACTTTATCACCTTGAGTAGTATATGGTAATAGTGGAGGCAGACAGAATTAAACAAAAACAATACATATCAACTAGCCAAAATCAATTTCTTCAAAGTCCAACCCATTACTTAAGCTATTTCACTTGAGCATAGGTCTAATTTGTAGAGCTGATCCAGACTTTGGGGGAGTACCTAGTTCTCTATTTGGCTAACAGTCAATTTTTATTACAGATATTACATTTATCATAATAAAATGCTTAAAATTTATACTGCTATAGCTATTATGGAATATAAATCATGTTTTTAAAAATATAGTATATATATACAACCTGAGTTTTAAAAGTGATAATTCTTCTATTCCTTTCAAGTTTCTCCAATGCAATTTCAAGTAAGTGTACAAGTTGTATAATCTTCACTCCAAAACAATCATACAGAAATTTTTACTTACTATAGCCTTAAAAGCCAGTAAAATAAAAATATTTGTTTTAAAAATTTCACTTCTTTCTTTCTTCCTTTCCTTCTTTCCCACAATAAGAATAAAAGTAATAATATTCTGCATCTTCTATTACTTTCCTATAAAACGCGGGGAGGCTTATTTGTGACATTCATATATCACTAACTTATATGAATGATGATTTTGTCCATAGCCAGATGGCTACATGATGTGACTTGAGGGTTCCTGGGAAAGGCTCCCTCTGCTTTCTGCTCCAGCAGTGTAATAGTGCTGCAAGTTCAACCTACGGAGTCATTGTCTTGGAATTAAATATTACATTCCATGATTTTTCTGTTAAAATAAGAAAACTGTTAGCTATTCTTAGTTATTACATCTTAACATACAAGTGCAGAGTTTTCTTCACCATCCCTGTTCTACTCACTATAGCTAGCTGAGTATAGGACCCCAGGGAATGGAACATAAAACAGCTTGTTTTGGGAAAGGGGAAATCATGCTTTAAGGATTGGGGCACTGCTTGGGAGCCAGGTTTATGTCTGGCAGTGAATGAGAGACCTGCTGACATAAGGGGTATCATTAAGGCATTAGAGGAGAGAAGGAAAACGAAAAAGAATGCTAAAAGGGTAACTGGAGGGCTGCTAAGGCAAGTTTAGTCTGCCTCACAATTTCCCCAAAGCAATTTCTGAATACATAACTGAACTTATTTGCTCACTTAAAAAATTTTAACTTGGAGAGTTATGTAGGAGGTCCATGTTATTCCAATGGGACAGATGGCTCTATTCTGTCATAGGCCTAAGGGATTACCATCCATCTTTTCACTAAATCCCATATACAGACCTCAAATTTGGAAAGTCATACAGAGATACAACACTGAATCCAGATATTTTGTGTTTTTATTAAAATCTCTTACTAAAGCCTTCTTACACTGTCTTGATGCTTCTTCAGTTTGGAGATTTGTTCTCCTTTAATTTCCATTTTCTTGAGTAAACACTCTAGTTCACATTCTATGTCGTCACAGACTGAATGACTTTCAGTTTCCTTCATTTGTTTCAGTAGTTCTTGGTGCTCCCTATGAAAGAATAGCAAATATTAAGCAGTATTATAGTTTATTGCATATATTTCTTTGCCATAATTAAGCAATTTTCTGTTCAATCATAAATTTTAGTCAGAGTTAAATATTAACCTTTAAAAACAGCCTCTTTCTTTAGGGTTAATTAAGTCTATGGTAAATATAACCAGGCTCCTGTGATTTGAAATTAAATACCTTTAGAAATATCTTAAGACGGCTAAGCAACTTTTAAAAACATCTGAATTCCTGATGCTCATAGCTGAATGTAGTAAAATGTATGATGTCTTTAACAGAGGTATTAAAGGGCTTTCTTCCTCGTTATTGATATAGGATCTTTGGAAGAATTCCAGTTGTAGAAGTATCTGCCTGAAAAATTTCTGGATTTGGAGTTAGCCTACTGAAATACTGTTAATAGAAAGAGTTATATCTTCTACAGAAGTCTTAGATCAACTAGCTGGTCAGCCAAATCACATAGTTCTGGAATTTCTGTTGAATATATATTTAAGCAGGTGGGCACAATATAATGTATCCCATATGGAAATCTTCTTTACTATAGATGCTTCAAAATTTGTAATGCAGACCAGCCAGAGTCTAAAACAAGGAATTACATTCCTACTTGTCTAATGAAATAATTCATTCAGCTAAAAGATTCTAAAACACAAAAGGAGAGCCTGTCTTATAAAAGCTTTTGTGAGTTTTAATCTAAGGTCATCAGATCCTGTATGTTAGAATGATAATAATATCTATCAGTCCAGATTTTGGGAATACAGAAATACCTAAGAATGAAAAAGTAGTAGCTATAAAGAATTGAAATTTTAAATAGTAATAAATACAATGAAAAATAGGGACAACAAACTGTCCAAATGGCTAAGTAACGCCTTTAAGAATTTATAAGTGGTATTGTTCTTAAGACTAAGAAGAAAAAGTGATATGGTACTTCTCCTGATAAAGAATAAAAATACTGGCCAGGCACGGTGGCTCATGCTTGTAATCCTAGCACTTTGGGAGGCCGAGGCAGGAGGATTGCCTGAAACCAGGAGTTCAAGACTAGCCTGGGCAACATAGCGAGACACTGTCTCTTGAAAAAAAAAAAGAATATAAATACTTACATGCTCATTTGGTCCAGCTCATCTTGCATTGCCATCAAAAGTTCAGATAAATTGTCACAAATGGAAATGGACTTTTCTGAGTCAGGAGGAATAGCTTTACACCAGGAAGTTGTTCTAGAAGGCTTGGGGAGACATCTAGTCTCAGTCACGTTAAAAGGTTTCTGAAGGATATGTGGGTCACGATGTTGCCTCATCTGCAAAAAGTTTTGCATACTTGCATTCACAGAACAGCTTGCACTGGTAGACTTATGGGAAAAGAAACAACTGAGAATAATTTTAAATGACTGAAGATATTTAAATAGCACTTACAACAAAACAGGAGTTTTTTTGAACGACTATCTTCATTTTATCCCCTCTCACCTTTTCAGCCACAAAAGGCAGTGCTCCAAACTTTGAACAAATTTGCCAAGGTGGTCGTCTCTTTATACATTTAGTTTTCTAGAGATTGGCAAGAAAAAAACGTAAACAAGAAATTATTTTAAAAGTTATTTACGATATGAAGAACTCTCAAAACTCAACAGAAAACAATGCAACTGGAAAATGGGCAAAAGACATGGACAGAAATTTCACTGACATAGACATACGTATGACAAACATACGAAAAGATATTCAACATCATTAATTATGGAAATGCGAGTTAAAATTACAGTGAAATATCACTGCACATCTATCAGAATGGCCAAAATAAAAAACAGTGACAATAACAAATGTTGGCAAGCACACAGAGAAAATAAAATCACTCACATATTGTTGGTGGGAATACAAAATGGTACAGCCATTTTGGAAGACAGTTTGGCAGTTTCTTATAAAACTAAAAATGTACTTATCACATGACCCAACAATTGTTCTCTTACGCATTTATCCTAGAAAAATGAAAACTTATGTTCACATAAAAACCTGTACACAAATGTTCATAGCAGCTTTATTTGTAATAGCTAAAAACCTGGAAACAATCGAAATATCCTTTTTTTTTTGAGATAGGGTCTCATTCTGTCACCCAGACTGGGGTGCAGTGGTATGATCTTGGCTCACCGCAACCTCCGTCTCCCAGGCTCAAGCGATTCTCCTGCTTTTGTCTCCCGAGTAGCTGGGATTACAGGTGTGTGCCACTACTGCCTGGCTAATTTTTGTATTTTTAGTACAGATGGGGTTTCACCATATTGGCCAGGCTGGTCTTGAACTCCTGACCTCAAATGATCCACTCGCCTTGGCCTCCCAAACTGTTGGGATTACAGGTGTGAGCCACCGCGCCCGGCTCCAGATATCCTTTAACAGATGAATGGTTAAATTGTGGTACATCCATAATGCGGAATACCACACAGAAATAAAAAGGATGTACTGATACATACGACAACTTGGACGGACCTCAAGGGAAAAAAGCCAACCACAAAAAGTTACATACTGCATAATTCCATTTATATAACATTCTTGAAATAATAAAATACACAGATGGTGAACAGATTAGAGGTTGCCAATGTTCAGGGAAGGGGATGTGTAGCTATAGAGGGATTGCATGAAGGAGTTTTTTAGTGGTGGAAGAGTTCTGTATCTTGATTATTGTGATGGTGACATGAATCTACACATATGATTCTCTCAAAAATCTACACATCTGATTTCTCTCTTGTAAAACTCTCCTACTGCTGTCAGTTACCATCTAAAATTACAACTCTAATCATGTCCCTACTCTTCTCAGAAGCCTTCAATAGTTCCTGTTTATAGAATAAAAGTTCAAACTCTTAACATGGCATTCAAGGTCAGCCATTAGCTCACCCCAAGCTATATTTTCCATTTTAACTTTCATTATGATCCCATCTCACCCCCACTACTGGACTATTACTTATAGGTCCCTGGAAAAACCAACAATTCCCTCAGACTATAACACATTTTTCCTCATCTCAGTCTGTCAATATTTAATTCTTCAAGGCTTCCTTTAATATTGCTCTTGAATTACCTTTCACATATTCCTTTGTCTACACAGCACCACAACACTTTGTTTAAACCTCTATTAATCTTCTATTATACTGTTTTATACTTATATATTTATCTGTTTCTCACAAATTCCTGTCTTATCTTTTTATCACCTAGAGATACCAGTCTATGTACATCAAGATGTAAGAGTTGAATGAACTATGTCCAGGACATGGAGAAACAGTGTGATGGGAAGCAGATCTCTCATAGAGGCTTCTTGAAATCTGATCCTACTTTCAGCAACTTTAGCACTCCCTCCATCTTTAAAAAGAGACATCATTATTTGCATACCCCGTGAACTTGGGATTTGAACTAAGTACTTCCATAAAATGATTCTGCTGTTAATTACTCTCTTCTCTTCCAGTAGTTACCTTTTCTTTCCTTCATTTCTTTTATCTTCTCCCTGTACCTTCACTATTTTTATAATAAATAGGTAAACTGAAAAAAGTTCCATTAACCCATCAGAGAAAGGATGCCATAAAACATACATACTGGGCAGTATGTGTTCCACTGGCAAATTACTTATAGTGATTTTTCTATTTGGCTTTGTAGCTGTGAATCTCATTGCACAAATAAGACACAAAACAAATATTTAGGAAAGGAAAGAGCCAAAATAAGTCATATTGGGGAAATATTGTTCGTTATTGTAGTTTGAAAATTCTTTAAAATGAAAAAATTATGAAAAATACAGCCCAAGTATTGAACATTAATTTTTATTTACGTAATAAAAGAGTAGCCAAAGTTAAGTTTACTGTTCTCTCCATTATTTTATCCACAAGCTAAGCATATGGCAGTGGCCAGAATTCCCAAATAGCATCTCCTGTCCCCCACAACAAATGGCACAGAGAACACTCACTCCATTCATATCTGAATAAATAGTAATAATGGCCATCAAAACCATAATTCCACAATCATAAGATTAAAAGGGATTAAAAACTTTTTTCATACCATTATATATAATTAAGAAGGGTTACTTGAATAGCATACATTCAAAACATCAATCCATCTAAACAAAATATTGGTCTATAAAGTACTAACTCTCCAATCCTTACTTTTGGGCAAATTCACAAGAAATAAGCATAGAAATTACATATAACAATAAATTCCCTATATAAATGACTTTACAGACTTAACAGGTCTATAAGAAAAACCTTATTTTTTATTGTCTATATATTACATAAAACTGCTTTCAGGATTTATTATGTTGTCAGTATCTACTGTGTTGTTTACTGCCTCTTTTATAAACTATCACAAAATATGTTTCTCCAGAAGTTTAAAACTAGAAAAATGTTAATCTTTCTAGAAAAACTGGAGTGCTTCCTGTTATTTCACAAAGATAGCTATACTGTCCATTATATGTTCCTTTTTGCTTTGGTTGTCAAGCAAACTCAGAGCTAAATTTTGTACATGACTGCTGCTACTTTTTTTAACCTGAATCTTATGAAATTTTCTGTCCTTATACCCCAAACCATCATCCATTACTTGACACGCATTATTGCATGTCTTTTATTTTATATCTTCAAATCCTTTTTGGAAAGGGGTAGGTATAAGGATTAAGAGGTTATATAAATAAGTATTAGCAGTATTTTTGTTTGGGAAAAAATTTTATATGCACACCTTTGAAGATTTCTTCTTTTCCTTGGAGTGCTTTAGATTTGAAACTGAAGACATTATAATTTTACTGATTTCAAGTCCAGTTTGAAGCTGTAATATTTAAAAAAAAGGTTATAACATTGATTTGTAACATGCAAAAACACTGTAATGAGATATCAGGTCTAAGTTTATAAATATAAAAATGCTTTTTGGAGAAGAAAAGAAAAGAAAATCCAAGATACCGTTTTTGTACATGTGAAGGTCACTAAGTCTATTGGTAATTACAATAATTTTCTGTTTATAAAAGAATAAATTATTTAATATATGTACAGAAATCAAACTGAAAACAATCTATCCTAGGAGTTCCTTCAACTGAGAATATATGTATTTGTCAGAATTTCAAAAGATTAAAAAAGACCTCTTGGTAATACATCCATGTATCATACTGGCTGACTGAGAATTTCATTATTGTAACGAAAAGACAATTTAGGAAGCAGAAATTAGAATCTAGAACATAGGCTTCAGTTAATGAAAATAAAAATATAATAAAACATATATGGTTTACTGTGATAGATTATATAGTGCTATATTTACCTCAGAAGCTTTGTCTTGAAATAGCTTACGCTGATGTTCTTCTTCCTTAAGTTTTTCTTCTAAATGTTTAATCTTGTCCTGCAAAAGAGTAAAAACTAAGATTGTTACATAAAAACTAGAGCCAAATATCATTTGTTTCTTTTCCAAATAGAGTCCTAGGGGGTCTTGATTCTTAAGAGTTTGGCAAATTAAGGCAGAAAATAAGAAAAAGGAATGGCACAAGATGTTAAGATTTTTCTTGGCTTTCTTCCCACTTCTTTCTTTGCTTCTTTACCTTCTATTACATACAAGAAGAACAAAGGGAAAGCAAAGAATATACACACACACAGGCTTTATTAACTTCCAGCAACAAAATCATTATGATGAAACTTTTAAGGGTACTAAAGGTGTAGCAGGTCAAACAATTATAGTCTTGGGTCTCAACGTTTCATTCAAAACATAAAAAAAAAATTCTACTATTTGCATATATGTGATAAGAGTGTACTTTTGGGAGAAGAGTGAAAAGACATAATAGAAATATACAATGTGGTCCTTGTTACTTAAGAGCTTATACAGATTGAGGATCCCTTATCTTAAGTGTTTGGAACCAGAGATATTTTAGATTTTGGAATATTTTCATTACTGGTTCGGTATCCCTAATCCAAAAATTCAAAATCCTATATGCTCCAGTGAACATTTCTTCTGAACATTATTATTAGTGTTCAAAAAGTTTTGGATTTTGGAGTATATCAGATTTTGGATTTTTGGATTAAGGACACCCAACCTGTATTGTATGAAAAGAAAAAAAGAGCAATATTCATAAAACAACAAAACAACAAAGCAAGGAAATAACTTGACAGGCACCATATATACATATAACCTTATATATGTAAGTATTATGTCTTACATCTGTGGTGTGGTTCAGAATAGGAGGACAGTACTATTTCAAAGGGAGAACTTCCTGAGTGTTGGAGAGTTCAAGGAGGACTTCCTAGGGGAAGTACGACTGTGAGAAAACCCTATAAAATGGAAAAGATTTGGAGGGAAAAAGGATGAAGAGGGGAACTGGTATAGGCTTAATTTGACTACAAGTGGTGAAAGACAATTTTTCAATACCCTTTAGGTAAAGTATCTGACAAATGAAAATATCCTGCCATATTAGAAGTCAAAATTACAATTTCACATCAAAAGACAGCTCATTCATACTGTGACAGAACGCATTAACTTTTCACTCTATAGGTGAGAATTCATATCTGGATTATAAAAAGTTGTAAATGAAGTTTTATAAATCTAAGATTTACTCTACATTCACATAAAATACCAATTATGCTTAACACTAAAGATTCATTCCTGTTGTCATCACTTCAAAGAAAGCTTACCTCAGCAGTTTTCTGAGTTGTTGTAAGTCTGAAACACTCTTTTTCTAAGACATCAAGCTTTTCAAGTTTTGCATACAGCTTCATCTGATCTTGTTCTTTTTCCCTCTGAAGCTGGGCCTAGAAAGGATAAAAATAAAATAGCAACCCTGAATTTGGCAAGTAATGCCAATGGAACAAGAATAATACAATTTCTGAGAATTCAAAACACAATATAAATATCTTAAGAAACATGTACATAAACAAACACACATACTTTAGATGCTTACAAGCAAAAAACAAGAAAATCAAATACTTTTTGTTATTTATTTTTTTCAACCTTAAAGTCATAATTTTTAAAATTTAAATTTAATTTTTTTTTTCTGAAAATCAAACACTTTTAAGGAGCAAATATAACACGCAAAAAAGGCCAGGCGTGGTGGCTCATACTTGTAATTCAAGCACTTTGGGAGGCTGAGGTGGGAGGACTGCTTGAACCCTGGAGTTTGAGGCCAGCCTGGGCAACATAACGGGACCCCTCCTCTACAAAAAACTTAAAAATCAGCTGGACATGGTGGTGCATGCACACCTGTAGTCTCAGCTGCTTGGGAGGCTGAGATGAGAAGATTGCTTGAGCCTGGCAAGTCAAGGTTATGGTAAGCAGTGACTGTGCTACCGCACTCCAGTCTGGGCAACAGAGTGAGACCTTGTCTCAAAAAAAAAAAAAAAAAAAAAAAAAAAAGTGCAGATTAGATGTGTTATATTAGCATCAGTGAAACAAACTCGTCTATGCATCTTTGTATAGAATATAAATTAATTCTATTATGGAAAACTTTTCTTTTCTTTTCTTTTCTTTTTTTTTTTTGAGACAGAGTCTTGCTGTTGCCCAGGCTGGAGTGCAGCAGCATAATCTTGGCTCACTGCAACCTTTGTCTCCTGGGTTCATGCGATTCTCCCTCCTCAGCTTCCCAAATAGCTGGGATTACAGGCGCCTGCCACCATGCCCTACACTAAGTTTTGTATTTTTAGTAGAGACGTGGTTTCACCGTGTTGCTCAGGCTGGTCTCGAACTCCTGACCTCAAGTCATCTGCCCGCCTTGGCCTCCCAAAGTGCTGGGATTACAGGCGTGAGCTACCAAGTCTGGCCTAAGAAAACCATTATTGATAAAACCTGTATTAAATAGTGTTATTTACAAGGTGACCAAACATACTCATTAACTTACCCTCTCTCTAACATAGAAAAGCAGCTATCAGAGGAATAAAACATAAGAACACAGAGAAAAGGAAAGTTATACACACACACACACACACACACACACACACACACACACACACACGCACGCACATCTATATGCTATTTTGTAGTGGCATTTATAACCATACCAATGTAAAGTATTAATAATAGGGGCAACCGTGAGGGAGCAAGAACTCTTTCTATACTATCTGCTCAATTTTCTATAAACCTAAAATGGCTGTAAAAGATAAAGTCTAGGCCGGGCGTGGTGGCTCACGCCTGTAATCCCAGCACTTTGGGAGGCCAAGGTGGGTGGATCACCTGAGGTCAGGAGTTTGAGACCAGCCTGCCCCAACATGGCAAAACCCTGTCTCTACTAAAAATACAAAAAGTTAGCTGGGTGTGGTGGCGGGCGCCTGTAATCCCAGCTACTTGGGAGGCTGAGGCAGGAGAATTGCTTGAACCAGGGAGGTGGAGGTTGCAGTGAGCCAAGATTGTGCCACTGCACTCCAGCCTGGGCGACAAGAGTGAAACTCTGACTCCAAAAAAAATAAAAAAGATAAAAGTCTATTAATTAAAACAAAACCAAAAACAATACCAATAAACAGAGTCTTGGTAACCTGTGGTTTAATAACATTTAGTTGAAGTCCCAGAGAAGAAGAGAGAGAGGTGGGACAGAATAATTATTTGAAGGATAATAGTTGAAAATGTTCCAATTTAATGAAAAATACTGACAGATTCAAGAATCTCAAAAGGTTCAAGCATTAAAAAAAAAATACTTAGCAACATATTGTTGAAAACTAGTGATAAAGGGGAAAATCTTAATAGCAGCCTGAGAAATGATGACACATTCTGCATAGAGGAATACAGAGAAGAACTCTGATTAGAAACTATGAGATCCAGAAGGCAACAGGAACAAAATCTTCAATGTGCTTAAAGAAGAAAAGATGTCACCTAGAATTCTATATCCAGCCAAAATATCTTTCACAAATGACAGTGAAATAGACTTTTCCAGATAAATAAATGCTAAGACAATACTTAGCATTCTGATATTTTCCTTCAGACTGAAGAAAAATGATATCAAATGGAAAACAAAATCTACACAAAAATAAAAAGCACAGAAAATGGTAAAAAATACATATTTTTGTTTCCTAATTTTCCTGAAAGGATAATTGACCATTTGAAGCAAAAATAATAATGTATTGTGGGTTGTATGACAAATGCAGAAATAAAATGTATGAAAACTATAGCACAAAGGGGAATAAGAGGAAGCATACTAAAAGAGGATCCTACATTACATGTGAAATATTTTAATACAGATTTATGGCAGACTGTGGTTAGTTAAGAATACACATTTTAGTTCATAGAGCAGCTATTAAAAAGGATCATAATTTGTTTCAATATCAACTAGAGAAAGACTTTCATCTTATTCTTCTTCAGAATACTTTGGCTGTTCTTGGACCTTTGCTTTTCCATATAAATTTTAGAATTAAATTCTCTAGTTCCTTAAAAATCTGTTATGTATTTGACCCATCAATATCCAGTATTGATTGGTACTTTTACCCTTCTGCCAAGAAAATGCAAGGATATTAGAACACTTTAAACTACTTTACTTCTTCCTAACATATAAGCCATTGTTCTGATGAATTTTAATTCTTTATATTTAAACCATACAAAGCATTATTATTGTTGCCTTATATAATATTAATTTAGATTTATCCACATATTTACCATCTTCATTGCTCTTCATTCCTTCCTGCATCTCTGACCTTCTACCAAAGGTCATTTTCCTTCTGTCTGATGTCCTTTAGTGTTCTCTTTAGAGTGGACCTACTAGTAACAAATATATCTCAGTCTTTTTAGTCTTAAAATATCTTTATTTCTGAAGGATACTTCCCCCGGGCATAGAATTCTAGACCAGTACTTATTTTCTTTTAACACCTTAACTCTATCAGTTCCTTGTCTTCTGGGTTCAGTACTTTGAGTTGAGAAGTCAGCTATCACTTTAATTGTTGTCTCTTTGAGTGTAATTTTTTTTTTCTGGATGCTTTTAAGATTTTACTTTTTTTTTTTTTTTTGAGACAGAGTCTTGCTCTGTCGTCCAGGCTGCAGTGCAACGGCACAATCTCAGCTCACTGCAACCTCTGCCTCCCGGGTTCAAGCGATTCTCCTGCCTCAGCCTCCTGAGTAGCTGAGATTACAGATGCCTGCCACCAAGCCCGGCTAATTTTTGTATTTTTAGTAGAGATGGGGTTTCACCATGTTGGCCAGGCTAGTAATTTTACTTTTTAATACATTTTGTAACATTCTTAGCCATTATCTCTTCAAATATTGCTTTTCCCCATTTTCCTTTCCTTTCCTTTTGAAACTCCAATTACACGTAAGTTAGACCTCATTCTAACATTATGCCACCTTTGCCTTTGAATTTTCCCGTGAAATTAAAATATTCTTCAAAAACATACAAAATTATATTATCATTCCTTATAGAAAATATGCTCACCTGTTGTTCTAGGATCATGTTCTTTTCTCGCTCTACGTTGAGAACCATTCTCTTTGTATATTCTAGTTGCTTCTCTAGAAGAGTACAACGAGACTGGGCTGAGCTTAACTGTATACTTATATCTATGAAATAAAGGGTATTCAATTAGGAAAAGAGGAAGTCAAATTGTCCCTGTTTGCAGATGACATGATTGTATATCTAGAAAACCCCATTGTCTCAGCCCAAAATCTCCTTAAGCTGATAAGCAACTTCAGCAAAGTCTCAGGATACAAAATCAATGTACAAAAATCACGAGCATTCTTATACACCAATAACAGACAAACAGAGAGCCAAATCATGAGTGAACTCCCATTCACAATTGCTTCAAAGAGAATAAAATACCTAGGAATCCAACTTACAAGGGACATAAAGGACCTCTTCAAGGAGAACTACAAACCACTGCTCAATGAAATAAAAGAGGATACAAACAAATGGAAGAACATTCCATGCTCATGGGTAGGAAGAATCAATATCGTGAAAATGGCCATACTGCCCAAAGTAATTTATAGATTCAATGCCATCCCCATCAAGCTACCAATGACTTTCTTCACAGAATTGGAAAAAACTACTTTAAAGTTCATATGGAACCAAAAAAGAGCCCGCATTGCCAAGTCAATCCTAAGCCAAAAGAACAAAGCTGGAGGCATCACGCTACCTGACTTCAAACTATACTACAAGGCTACAGTAACCAAAACAGCATGGTACTGGTACCAAAACAGAGATACAGATCAATGGAACAGAACAGAGCCCTCAGAAATAATGCCGCATATCTACAACCATCTGATCTTTGACAAACCTGAAAAAACAAGCAACGGGGAAAGGATTCCCTATTTAATAAATGGTGCTGGGAAAACTGGCTAGCCATATGTAGAAAGCTGAAACTGGATCCCTTCCTTACACCTTATACAAAAATTAATTCAAGACGGATTAAAGACTTAAACGTTAGACCTAAAACCATAAAAACTCTAGAAGAAAACCTAGGCATTACCATTCAGGACATAGGCATGGGCAAGGACTTCATGTCTACAACACCAAAAGCAATGGCAACAAAAGCCAAAATTGACAAATGGGATCTGATTAAACTAAAGAGCTTCTGCACAGCAAAAGAAACTACCATCAGAGTGAACAGGCAACCTACAGAATGGGAGAAAATTTTTGCAACCTATTCATCTGACAAAGGGCTAATATCCAGAATCTACAATGAACTCAAACAAATTTACAAGAAAAAAACAAACAGCCCCATCAACAAGTGGGCGAAGGACATGAACAGACATTTCTCAAAAGAAGACATTTATGCAGCCAAAAAACACATGAACAAATGCTCACCATCACTGGCCATCAGAGAAATGCAAATCAAAACCACAGTGAGATAGCATCTCACACCAGTTAGAATGGCAATCATTAAAAAGTCAGGAAACAACAGGTGCTGGAGAGGATGTGGAGAAATAGGAACACTTTTACATTGTTGGTGGGACTGTAAACTAGTTCAACCATTGTGGAAGTCAGTGTGGCGATTCCTCAGGGATCTAGAACTAGAAATACCATTTGACCCAGCCATCCCATTACTGGGTATATACCCAAAGGATTATAAATCATGCTGCTACAAAGACACATGCACACGTATGTTTATTGCGGCACTATTCACAACAGCAAAGACTTGGAACCTACCCAAATGTCCAACAATGATAGACTGGATTAAGAAAATGTGGCACATATACACCATGGAATACTATGCAGCCATAAAAAAGGATGAGTTCATGTCCTTTGTAGGGACATGGATGAAATCAGAAATCATCATTCTCAGTAAACTATCGCAAGGACAAAAAACCAAACACCGCATGTTCTCACTCATAGGTGGGAATTGAACAATGAGAACACATGGACACAGGAAGGGGAACATCGCACTCTGGGGACTGTTGTGGGGTGGGGGGAGAGGGGAGGGATAGCATTAGAAGACATACCTAATGCTAAATGACGAGTTAATGGGTGCAGCACACCAGCATGGCACATGTATACATATGTAACTAACCTGCACATTGTGCACATGTACCCTAAAACTTAAAGTATAATAATAATAAAATAAAATAAAATAAAAAGACAAAATAATAACCAGTCAATTACCTGATTATCATATAGATCAGAGATTTGGTTATCACAAGAAATGTACTATGTGAATTCATCAAGAGCTAAAAGTTCAAGGCCTCCTTTATCTCTGAGTATTGACTCTCCCAGAGTTATGAAAATACATTTGTAAACAGCTCATTAATTACACAGAACTGGTTTAATATTGTCTCCTCCTAAAAATTCAGAGGGCACACTTCTGAAAGAGGAGGATGTCAGTAACTTGTGGGATGATAAATATCCTGGTTGTTGATGGAAATAACATCATCTGGAAAAACAGAGGCTGAAAGTTTCTTACCTATCAATATATTTCTTCTCTTTCAGGAAACTCAAGTATATGCATCTACCACTCTCATTTTCCCCTGTTCTTGACTGCTGGCAGAACAGTTAATTCCACAGCAGAAAGCAACCTATTTCTAATCCTTTAACTCTTTACTTTCCTCACCCCTTTCTTCTACTTTTGTCCAATTACCTCAGAAATATTTTTCTCCCCATTTGTTCATTCTACTTCTAAGTTGAAACACAAACTTGAGCCTTGTTTATGAGGATGAGTGTAGTGTAAAAAGGAAAAAGAAAGTCTTAAGTTTTGAAGTGAAATTACTTAAAAGACTTATGTTCTAAATTTCTAAAATTTTTCATAATTTCCACAGAAGCCTCCCCCATTTGCCTATGTCTTCTAATTAACCTTGCTTTCCTCTCATTAAATAAAATTCTTTTGTATTCATTTTTATTGGTTTTACATTGTTTAATTACTAGTGTTGTTCTGTATTTCAAATTCTAAAGTTTAGTGTTAACTGCAAATACAAATAAATAAAATAAAAAATAAATATTCAATTACGGGTTAAATTGGAGTTTGTTGGCTATTCTGAAAATATTCTAATTTTTAAACACAACTTGTCTAAAATCTTAATTTTTCCTTTAATTTCTAGAATTTATGAATTATGATAAGTAAGATATGATAGAGGTAAGTTCAAAACTGTATCTTTTTCTCACAAATATCAAAAGGTCTGAGAACAAAGTCATGAAGTTTGAATATATATAAGAATAAAGATATCTGAGTACATCGGCTTAGACTAGGTTTATTATTTTTGAACTGTAAACTCCAGTAACCCCCGGTTTCTGAGAACTACTGCATTTCTTACCTTTTTTCTGCTTTATCAGCTCCTGGTGTGCCAGATTTCTCTCATTTGTTTCATTCTCTAAGGCCTTCTTATACTGTGCTGCTTCTCTGGAAAGAATGTTCAGGTTATCTTCAGCTTGTGTTCTCTCCAGCTCTAAACGATGAATTTTTTCCTGAAGAGTTTTTAAGGCTAAAATAAGAGCTGTTGAAAAAAAATTTTGTTGATATTTTAAGTGAAAGTTTCTGAACACTTACAATCAAAGTAACATAAGAAAAATAAGCAGTATATTTTTGTTACTGAGCCAGAAAAATGTACAAGTAATGCATATTCTTCAAAAAATGAAAAATAATGACTAACACTTTGAAGAGGCGCACATTTTCTCTCTAATATATCTTGTAAAAACACTATATCTATTATTGTATTTAGTGGTTTCTAAGACTGAGAAAGGTAATAACCACAATTTTAATTTAATAAAATATTTACAAATGAAAGGACTTAAAGACAATGTACAGTCTGGGGAGCATAAGAGTATAAATATGAATAAGAACATTAAAATATAATTTCTACTAATTAACATGGCAATTTAGGTTTAAAGTTATAGGCTTTTTTTCTCAGTTCTTGAGGTATTCCGTTTTAGTCAAATCACACATATTTACTGTTTCTTTGTCCATGATGCAGTATTAAGAACCAGGATAATTATAACCTAATGGTTTACCTGATGTCAGACCTGAAAGATAATAGTATTCTATACTACTGTGACTTATATTCAACTATATTAATATCTTCATGCTTCAGATAAGTTCAGAGTTTTAACTGTCATATAGTTTATATCAAATTAGAAAGATGCTTGCTAGAGATTACCATTTTGTTTTTATAAATGAGATAAATAAATTATATTTATTCCTCTTTACATGATATCTGTAGCTGGCACATTGATTTGCATTATTATTTCTTATAGTTTATTCCACAAAACTAGTTTATTTATTAACAGCAACCATTATTATAGAAGATTTTAAAAGTAGGTGATATCAGCATCTCAGAAAAGAATTTGCACAGCTTAAAATATGCCTGGAGTAATAAAATGTTTTCCTAATTCAATTTTAAGATCCTCCTACATTTCTATTTTAAACGTTAAAATACTAGTATTTTGTAGTTACTCTGATATACTGGCTTCCTAAAATATTTTCAAGAATAATTTTGGATATATGTAATTTCTGAATCTAATTCTTGAATAAGATGCAATTCCATTTAATTCACTAACATTCTAATCATCTAGTTTAGTATTCCAAATCTGACCTTTTATTCTTCAAAGAGTATTTTCCTGTTTTCAAATGATGTTTTTATGATAACTCTGTGATATGTGTCCAGCTGGTTGTATTAATCTTCATTTTATGGCTGAAGAAGCCAAAATAAAAAATGTCAAGTAATTTGTCTAAGTTCATAGAAACTTTTAGCAACAGAATCAAAGTTAGGAGTTTTGTTAAGATTAAATATGCAATCATATTGTATTCCACATAAATATGAAAAGTTTTTTATAGCATGTTTTTACCATTCTTCAAATTTTATATCAGCATTACCTTGGCTATTTGGGCTATGAAGTATCTTAGGAGAGGTAACTTCTAAGTTTGCAGGATGGCAATTCTGAGATGGTTCATTCTGGGTGAATGAGGGAACAAATACTCTTTCTGGAGGTTTATGATAGCTTCCTACTATACTATGCATTAATTCAGAATCCATTATCTGTAGAGAATAAAGGAATGATATAGTATCATGCTTTCCTATTTTAAGGGTAAATGCATTATACAAAAATTCAGGTGAAACTTTAAAAACATAATCATATACTGTGGAGTTGTATCTTTATGAACTTAATTATAAATTCAACTCTAATAGGCTTGGCAATAAAAGAAAGAAAAGTTACTATTTCTTGTGTAAGCAGTACTGACAATTCTGCCTGATTTTCAATAATCATATACCCTGGAGTAAGCATCACATGAGTGATTTGAATTTACTGGTTTCTCAGTTACCCATAAATCCCATATACCTATCATAGTCTGAGCACTTCTCTATAAGCAGTGTGACTCTAGGATTTAAAGAGAAAGTACATATTCTAAAAGATAACTGAGCTTTTAAACACAAACCAACAATATACACTGATTCTCTAATACTGATTGTTGAATTCTAATGTATGGCTTCCTAAGGGATTTTCAAGGGTAATTTTGGATATATGAAATATCGGAATTTAACCTTTGAATAAGACACACCTCTGCTTAATGTATTAGCATTTTAATCATCTAGATTAGAAAGTTTCCAAATCTGAAGAATCTAGACTACTTAGTTTTGTTAGTCTGGTTTTTATTTTGTTGTTGTTTTTGTTTTGGTAAGAGAGCCCTTTTAACCATTTAAGCAGGTAATTTTTGGTCTAAAATTTCCAAATAATTTTATTTTCCTTTCTGCAATTTAAATATTTTAGAAATGTATTCTATTTTTTAATAGATTCCAGTCAATGTTAATTAAATTAATTCATAATCACATAAGGTGATAACTGCTTACAAAAAAATAACTCACTGGAAGAATTTTAAGCAAGAAAGCTTGCTTCAAAATGGAAATCCAAGAATTACACTATAACATTAGCCTATTTTGATTTTTGAGAGTTGTACATTTTCCATGATTTCACCACCTCCTCAATTCACAAGGCAAAGGCAGGCACTTCCCAGGATAGTATTTTCTGGAAGGGCAGAAGGCACACTTCACTTCCTAGAATTTTCTACTTTAGCCATTGCCATGATTGGCAATCTCCTAGAACATTCTGATTGGTCTAAATTAGAGGCTATAAAGCCTAAGGTTTGCTAAGATACTTGATGCTTTTTGTTCTTGCAAGGTAACCATATTTTGCTATTGTGATTAGTACCAGCTATCTCAGACACTGCCTGCTCCCCATGGGATACCGCATCTATCTAAGTTGTTGTTCCCTCAAAAAACAAGAGATCAACATTAGTCACAGCTGGCTCACTATAAAGTGGAGGTAAGGCCCTAAAGTACGTAAATCCTGAAGATGGTTGTACATCTTCAGAGAGAGGTAAGTTGTTAAAGCTATCCCAAGAATACTGGAGCTACTCAAGAAATCTGACTTAGTTTTCAGCTCCGGGTGGGTTTCTCCAATGACATAAAGAATGAAATTTTGCTATTTGTCACTACACACTGAAGTCCTTGGGAGGTCTCTGCTTCCTCTGACCTAAGTATAATATTATTTCACAAACCGGATTTTGTACCAGTTAAAAAACTGGTCCAAATTTGAGGTTTTTAATGTATATGAAATAATGACTAGTTAGAAGATTGCCAGTAAGTTAAAAAGTAGACTACAGTTTATTTAAATTAAATGTGTAGACACATATTAAAGTGGGCACAAGCAGAATAATCCACTGATAGGATAAAAACAAGATGAAGAAAAAGAAAGAAAACAGTAAAGAGATGAGAGGACAAGTTATGTTGTGACACAGAGCTCAGAGATTCTCATTGTAATGGGATCTCAGCTTAACCTTTATAATCTGGTCCTGTGTTGTAAACAAGTGCATAAGCCTACTGGAAGCTTATTTATATAAAGCACTGAAGCATCCTGGGAGAAAAACTCACTCTGAAAGAAGGTGAAGTAACTACAAAAGGCTTGATCCAAAATAAAAGCCTTAAATGACTAAGGAAAGGAGGAGTGATTCTGAGTAGACTATGATGGTGGTCATTCTAATTTATCTCTGACCTAGTGCCATGGACTCATATGTGGGTTCTAAAAAGAGAGAGAGTTTAAATAAAAACTGAGAAATGTTTCACCAATATCTCTATAAAATATCAAGGCATTAGCTTCCCTGCTTTGTGTAAGATGTTACATGACAATGGAGGGGGAGTCAGATTGCTAACACAGTTTTGGCCCCTTTCTGGTGCATCAGTTAGTAGTATTCAGTGAGAGAGAGAGAGAGAGAGAGAGAGAGAGAGAGAGAGAGAGAGAGAGAGAGAGAGAGAGCAAGAGAGACAGTGAACAAGAGTGAGAAAGCGAGAGAGCAACAGAGAAACAGAGAGAGCACAGATGGAAGGGATACATTCATGGGCACATATGAGAAATATTTCTAGGGAAAAATTTCTGAAAATACAGAGAAGTACCTAAATCACAATCTCTAGGATTCCGGTATTTCTGATACCAGACTTAGCTAGCTGTTGGTAACTGAAAAGACCTCAGGAATTCTTATGGAACATTTTATAGGTGTCTTCAAGTAAGGGCAAAAGGCTATAAAATGTGAACCTCATTTGTATCAAGCCTGAGAAACTCAAGTTGTACCTTTTTTTTTTTTCTTAAAATTTTTATTTATTTTTTCTTTATTTATTCTAACAACAAACAAACAAAAAATGGAATACATGTGCAGAACGTGCAGGTTTGTTACATAGGTATACATGTGCCATATTAGTTTGCTGCACCTATTGACTCGTCCTCTAAGTTCCCTCCCCTTACCACCCACAGGCCCTGGTGTATGTTGTTCCCCTCTCTGTGTCCAGGTGTTCTCAATGTTCAACTCCCACTTATGAGTGAGAACATGCAGTGTTTGGTTTTCTGTTCCTGTGTTAGGTTGCCAAGGATGATGGCTTCCAGCTCCATCCATGTCTCTGCCAAGGACATGATCTCATTCCTTTTTATGGCTGCATAGTATTCCATGGAATATATGTACCACATTTTCTTTATCTAGTCTATCATTGATGGGCATTTGGGTTGGTTTTCCTGAAACCATTCTTGACAGCTTGTGAACAACCAGGGAAATTACTCACTGTTTTTATGGTTTATAAAATTAAGATACCCCAATTGGCTGCAACTAAGAACCCATTGCATAAAAAAACTATCCCCCTAAAAAGAATGCTCTAGACACAAACACTTTACTGCAAAGCATTTTTACTTTTTATAGAGGAAAACACTTATTCCATAGGACTGCTAGGGAGACGACATTAGGGGGCAGTCAGAGATACTATAGAAGACTTTTGAAATAAAGGAATCTCTGTTTGCTGTAACTGCTACTTCTTCCAAGTTTGGATTTTTCCTTAGAGAAACTGAAGAAGGATCAACAGCTCAGTTTCTTTGATCTGTTTTTTTCTTTATGTATGCATCTATGCTAACTTACCTTAAGAGCAAACACAGTAAGGCTGGACTAACTCTTTTATTTTTTAATGTATAGTACTTTAGGAAGTACTATAACTTATTATATCTTATTATTATCTTATTATAACTGAATAAGATAATTTGTGGTGGTGGAACTTACTTATAGATATCCCATAATAATTATATAATGTATTATTTATAATATAAAATCACCAAAATGTTAAGATGTGACAATAAAAACTGGTCAATAGAAACTAGTAAATACACGAATGTAACATAAATACTTCAATGGGATTCAGCTATTCATTTGTTGATCATCCAATAAATGATGTTAGAAAAATTGGGGAAACACTTTGGGAGGGAGAGGTGGGCGGATCATGAGGTCAGGAGTTCGAGACCAACCTGGCCAACAGTGAAACCCTGTCACTACTAAAAATACAAAAAATTAGCCAGGCGTGGTGGTGGATGCCTGTAATCCTAGCTACTTGGGAGGCTGAGGCAGAAGAATCACTTGAACCTGGGAGGTGGAGGCTGCAGTGAGCCGAGATTGCGCCACTACACACTAGCACAGGCAACAATGTGAGACTGTGTCTCAAAAACAAAAGAAAAAAATGGGGAAAAAATCCATTTAAGGCTTCATCTTGCCCCATACATCAATACAAATTTCAGATAGCTACAGAGTCAAATAAAGAAAACGCAGCTGGGCGCGGTGGCTCATGTCTGTAATCCCAGCACTTTGGGAGGCCGAGGCGGGCGGATTACGAGGTCAGGAGATCGAGACCATCTTGGCCAACATGGTGAAACCTCATCTCTACTAAAAACACAAAAAATTAGCCGGGTGTGGTGGTGGGCGCCCGTAGTCCCAGCTACTCAGGAGGCTGAGGCAGGAGAATGGCGTCAACCCGGGAGGCGGAGCTTGCAGTGAGCCGAGATCGCACCGCTGCACTCCAGCCTGGGCAACAGAGCGAGAATCCATCTAAATAAATAAATAAATAAAAAACTCTAAAAATTATTTTAAGAAATCAGTGAATATTAAATAACCTTAGAATAGGTAAGATATTCTATGTTTAAAAGTAACAGAAAAATAAAGGAAAAGATACAAAAGCTCTGTTAAAATTAATACAACATATAAGGCCGGGCGCGGTGGCTCACCTCTAATCCTAGCACTTTGAGGGGCTGAGGCAGGCGGATCACGAGGTCAGGAGTTCGAGACCAGCCTGGCCAGCATGGTGAAACCCCGTCTCTCTTAAAAATACAAAAATTAGCCAGGCATGGTGGCGCACACCTGTAGACCCAGCTACTCGGGTGGCTGAGGCAGGAGAATCACTTGAACTCGGGAGGCGGACGTTGCAGGGAGCCGAGATCGTGCCACTGTACTCCAGCCTGGGTGACAGAGAAAGACTCTGTCTAAAAAAAAAAAAAAAAAATTAATACAACATATAAAAATTATAAACAAAATTGAATGACAAAAGACAAACAGAAGTAATTAAGTGCAATGAAGAACAAAGGGTTAATGTTAATATGTAAAGGGCTTTTGTAAGTCAAAAGAAAACTACTAACGTCATAATAGAAAAATGACAAGTGGCAAGTGCTTGTAATCCCAGCTACTCAGGAGGCTGAGGGAGGAGAATCGCTTGAACCCGGAAGGCGGAGGTTGCAGTGAGCCGAGATCAAGTCACTGCACTCCAGCCTGGGTGACAGAGTGAGACTCCATCTCAATAAATAAATACATAAATAAATAAATCTTAGTAATAATCAATGAAAAGCAGTTATATCCAGATTCAAAAGTAAAGCCTTTGCAGCTGGACCTCAATTCAAATCCTGAATCTGCCACTTACTACTATCTTTCTGACTTTCAGAAAAACATTTTTCAGAAAATATTAATGGAAAATTCCAGCCTGGGCATGGTGGTTCATGCCTATAATCCCAGCACTTTGGGAGGGTGAGGAAGGTGGATCATTTGAGGTCAAGAGTTCGAGACCAGCCTGGCCAACATCGTGAAACCCCTTCTCTCTTAAATATACAAAAATTAGCCAGGCAGGCTGGGCATGGTGGCTCACGTCTGTAATCCCAGCACTTTGGGAGGCCAAGGTGGGCAGATCATTTGAGGTCACAAGTTCAAGACCAGCCTGGCCAACATGGTGAAACACCTTCTCTACTAAAAATACAAAAAAATTGGCTGAGCGTGGTGGCAGGCGCCTGTAGTCCCAGCTACTTGGGAAGCTTGAAAAGCGGAGGCAGGAGAATCACTTGAACCCAGGAGGCAGAGGTTGCAGTGAGCCGAGATCATGTCACTGCACTCCAGCCTGGGAGACAGAGTGAGACTCCATCTCAAAAAAAAAAAGAAAAAAGAAAAAAAAATTCAGCCAGGCGAGATGGCTCATACTGTAATTCCAGCTACTATGGTGGCCGAGGCACAATTGTTTGACCCAGGAGGCGAATGTTGTGGTGAGCTGAGATTGTACCACTGCATTCTAGCCTGAGTAATAGAGTCAGACTCTGTCTCAAAATTTTTTAAACTGAAAATACCAGAAACCATTCATAAGTTTTAAATTGTGCTCCGTTCTGAATACCATGATGATGAAATCTCACACTGTCCAGCTCCATCCTGCCCAGGATGTGAATCATCTCTTTGTCCGGCATTTCCACACTGTAGACGCTACCTACCTGTTAGTTGTTTGGTGGCCACCTTGGTTATCAGATCAACTGTCATAGTATCACAGTGCTTGTGTTCAAGTAACTCTTATTCTACTTAACATTGGCACCAAAGCACAAGAGTAGTCATGCTGGCAATTTAGATATGCCAGAGAGAAGCTGTAAAGTGCTTTCTTTCAGTGAAAAGGTAAAAGTTCATGACTTCATAAGAAAAGAAAAAAAATCACATGCTGAGGTTGCTAAGATCTACAGTAAGAATGAATCTTCTATCCATGAAACTATGACGAAGGAAAAGAATTGTTCATAGTATATATAGAGTTTGGTACTATCTGTGGTTTCAGGCAACTAAAGGTCTTAGAACATACCCCTCATGGACAAGGGGGGACTATTGTATGCAGTTTCTGTAAGCAAAATATGTATTTGATAAAAGGCGGTCATACTTATCTTAAAAGAAAACAAGGCAATACAATTTTTAACATTTCAAACAAGGCAAACTCCCTTTAAGGAACAATAGTTAATGCTGGCAAGAAAGCACACATACATAGCTGACAGGAATATAAACCAATAACACTTTTCTGGAAAGCAATTGAACAGGATATGTCAAGGACCTCAAGAAGTTCATGTTCTTTGATCAGTAATTATTATAGGAATCTCTACTAAAAAAGAATCAAAGATGTGCACAAAAATTATTATAAATGTCATCACTTTAGCATTATTTATAATATCAAAATTTTTGTCTTGATACCTCTCTCTCACATCCCATGTTGAATCTTTCAGGATACATACTAGCTCTACCTTCAAAATATATCTAATATCTGACCAGTTGGCCTATGCTACCATCCTAGATTATTGTAAGAGATTCTCTCCTAGTTCCTCAGCAATCTATTCTTCACCCAGCAACCAGAATAAGCCTTTTAACATAATGTCACATCATGTCATTAATCTGCTCAAAACTCTCAAAATGGCTTCACGTCTTACTCAGAGAAAAAGCTCAAGTCCCTACAATGATTTACAAAGCCATATATGAATTGGGTCCCCCACTCCCCAACTCTGACTCTCCTTCAGTCTCCCTTTTGTTCAGTCCTCTCTAGCCCCACATTGTCCTCCCCACTGTTTCTGTAATAGTCAAACATGCTCCTGCCTCAGGACTTTTTACTTCTGGTTCCCACTGCCTGGAACACTTTTCCTTTAGATATCTGCATGGCTTATTCTCTCCCTTCAGGTCTCTGCTCAATTGTCACCTGCTCTGTATCTGCTGACCATTCTTTATAAAACACTAATTCTATTTCCCTCCTTAGCACTTTGTATCCCATTTCTCTGCATTTTCTCCATTGAATGCAGAATTGTTTTGTTATTTGTCTTCTCACTGCCCTAACTAGAATGTAAGATCCATGAGGGCATGGGCCTTGGGTGATTTGTTCCCCACTCTATCCATAATGCCTAGAATTGTACCTGGCACAGAGAAGGTATTCAAAAATACTTGTTGAATAAATAAATATCCCAAACTAGCAATAACTCATTACATGACAATCATATACTGTAAAATTATACAGCCATTAAAAGTATGTTTTGAGGCTGGGAGCGGTGGCTCACACCTGTAATCCCAGCACTTTGGGAGGCCAGAGCAGGCAGATCAGTAGGTCAGGAGTTTGAGACCAGCCTGACCAACATGGTCCAACTCCATCTCTACTAAAAATACAAAAATTAGCTGGGTGTGGTGGCACACACCTGTAGTCCCAGCTACTCAGGAGGCTGAGGCAGGAGAATAGCTTGAACTTGGGAGGCAGAGGTCGCAGTGAGCCGAGATGGGGCCACCGCACTCCAGCCTGGGCGACAGAGTGAGACTCCATCTCAAAGAAAAAAAACAAAACTTATGTTTTGAAAGTCATGATATAACTAAGTGAGAAAGGATGGGATACTAAACTACACAAAATTATAACTTAGTAAATAAAACAAAATCAAAATAAAAATGAAAATACGCATCTTAAATATATTACTATTACAAACAAAAAAGGTTTAAACATATTGACTTTATTAAAAACAGAGTTTTTACTATACTTCTAGAATACAACTTATG
The DNA here is from genome assembly GCF_000001405.40 of Homo sapiens. Taxonomy (NCBI): domain Eukaryota; kingdom Metazoa; phylum Chordata; class Mammalia; order Primates; family Hominidae; genus Homo; species Homo sapiens. Next base: position 109,137,095 of record NC_000006.12, on the reverse strand, counting down.
AAAATAATGAAAGGTATTACAATGTTTAAAGATACAAGTTTTAGGCCAGGCGCCATGCCCCACACCTATAATCCCTGCACTTTGGGAGGCGGAGGTGGGCGGATTGCTTGAGACCCCAGGAGTTCAAGACCAGCCTGGCCAACATGGAGAAACCCCATCTCTACTAAAAATACATTGTAGGGCGCAGTGGCGCACATCTGTAATCCCAGCTACTCAGGAAGCTGAGGCAGGAGAATCACTTGAACCTGGGAGGTGGAGGCTGCAGTGAGCCGAGATTGTGCCACTGCACTCTAGCCTGGGCGACAGAGCAAAAGACTCTCTCTCAAAAAAATAAATAAAATAAAATAAAATAAAATAAAATAAAATAAAATAAAATAAAATAAAATAAAATAAAAATACAAGTTTCAGAGCAGACTTCTTTGGTTCAAACTGAAGCACCGCTGTGTGACCCTCATCAAATGTTTAACTTCTCTGTGCCTCAAATTCCGCATTTGCAAAATAAAGATAAAAATGGTATCTTTTTTTTTTTTTTTTATACTTATAGTTTTAGGGTACATGTGCACAACGTGCAGGTTTGTTACATATGTATACATGTGCCATGTTCGTGGGCTGCACCCATTAACTCGTCATTTACATTAGGTTTATCTCCTAATGCTATCGCTCCCCTCTACCCACACCCTACAACAGGCCCCGGTGTGTGATGTTCCCCTTCCTGTGTCCAAGTGTTCTCATTGTTCAATTCCCACCTATGAGTGAGAACATGCGGTCTTTGGTTTTTTGTCCTTGCGATAGTTTGCTGAGAATGATGGTTTCCAGCTTCATCCATGTCCCTACAAAGGACATGAACTCATCCTTTTTTATGGCTGCATAGTATTCCATGGTGTATATGTGCCACATTTTCTTAATCCAGTCTATCACTGAGGGACATTTGGGTTGGTTCTAAGTCTTTGCTATTGTGAATAGTGCCGCAATAAACATACGTGTGCATGTGTCTTTGTAGCAGAATGATTTATAATCCTTTGGGTATATACCCAGTAATGGGATGGCTGGGTCAAATGGTATTTCTAGTTCTAGATCCCTGAGGAATCCCCACACTGTCTTCCACAATGGTTGAACTAGTTTACAGTCCCACCAACAGTGTAAAAGTGTTTCTATTTCTCCACATCCTCTCCAGCACCTGTTGTTTCCTGACTTTTTAATGATTGCCATTCTAACTGGTGTGAGATGCTATCTCACTGTGGTTTTGATTTGCATTTCTCTGATGGCCAGTGATGATGAGCAGTTTTTCATGTGTCTGTTGGCTGCATACATGTCTCCTTTTGAGAACTGTCTGTTCATATCCTTTGCCCACTTGTTGATGCGGCTGTTTGTTTTTTTCTTGTAAATTTGTTTGAGTTCTTTGTAGATTCTGGATATTAGCCCTTTGTCAGATGAGTAGATTGCAAAAATTTCCTCCCATTCTGTAGGTTGCCTGTTCACTCTGATGGTAGTTTCTTTTGCTGGGCAGAAGCTCTTTAGTTTAATTAGATCCCATTTGTCAATTTTGGCTTTTGTTGCCATTGTTTTTGGTGTTTTTGACATGAAGTCCTTGCCCATGCCTATGTCCTGAATGGTATTGCCTAGGTTTTCTTCTAGGGTTTTTATGGTTTTAGGTCTAACATTTAAGTCTTTAACCCATCTTGAATTAATTTTTGTATAAGGTGTAATGAAGGGATCCAGTTTCAGCTTTCTACATATGGCTAGCCAGTTTTCCCAGCACCATTTATTAAATAGGGAATCCTTTCCCCATTTCTTGTTTTTGTCAGGTTTGTCAAAGATCACATAGTTGTAGATGTGTGGCATTATTTCTGACGGCTCTGTTCTGTTCCATTGGTCTATATCTCTGTTTTGGTATAGGTACCATGCTGTTTTGGTTACTGTAGCCTTGTAGCGTAGTTTGAAGTCAGGTAGCATGATGCCTCCAGCTTTGTTCTTTTGGCTTAGGATTGACTTGGCGATGCGGGCTCTTTTTTGGTTCCATATGAACTTTAAAGTAGTTTTTTCCAATTCTGTGAAGAAAGTCATTGGTAGCTTGATGGGGATGGCATTGAATCTATAAATTACTTTGGGCAGTATGGCCATTTTCACGATATTGATTCTTCCTACTCATGAGCATGGAATGTTCTTCCATTTGTTTGTATCCTCTTTAATTCCGTTAAGCAGTGGTTTGTAGTCCTCCTTGAAGAGGTCCTTCACATCCCTTGTAAGTTGGATTCCTAGGTATTTTATTCTCTTTGAAGCAATTGTGAATGGGAGTTCACTCATGATTTGGCTCTCTGTTTGTCTGTTATTGGTGTATAAGAATGCTTGTGATTTTTGCACATTGATTTTGTATCCTGAGACTTTGCTGAAGTTGCTTATCAGCTTAAGGAGATTTTGGGCTGAGACGATGGGGTTGTCTACATATACAATCATGTCATCTGCAAACAGGGACAATTTGATTTCCTCTTTTCCTAAATGAATACCCTTTATTTCCTTCTCCTGCCTGATTGCCCTGGCCAGAACTTCCAATACTATGTTGAATAGGAGTGGTGACAGAGGGCATCCCTGTCTTGTGCCAGTTTTCAAAGGGCATGCTTCCAGTTTTTGCCCATTCAGTATGATATTGGCTGTGGGTCTGTCATAAATAGCTCTTATTATTTTGAGATACGTCCCATCAATACCTAATTTATTGAGAGTTTTTAGCATGAAGGGCTGTTGAATTTTGTCAAAGGCCTTTTCTGCAGCTATTGAGATAACCACGTGGTTTTTGTCTTTGGTTCTGTTTATATGCTGGATTACATTTATTGATTTGTGTATGTTGAACCAGCCTTGCATCCCAGGGATGAAGCCCACTTGATCTTGGTGGATAAGTTTTTTGATGTGTTGCTGGATTCAGTTTGCCAGTATTATATTGAGGATTTCTGCATCGATGTTCATCAGGGATATTGGTCTAAAATTCTCTTTTTTTGTTTTGTCTCTGCCAGGTTTTGGTAGCAGGATGATGCTGGCCTCATAAAATGAGTTAGGGAGGATTCCCTGTTTTTCTATTGATTGGAATAGTTTCAGAAGGAATGGTACCAGCTCCTCCTTGTACCTCTGGTAGAATTCGGCTGTGAATGCATCTGGTCCTCGACTTGTTTTGGTTGGTAAGCTATTAATTATTGCCTCAATTTCAGAGCCTGCTATTGGTCTATTCAGAGATTCAACTTCTTCCTGGTTTGGTCTTGGGAGGGTGTATGTGTCGAGGAATTTGTCCGTTTCTTCTAGATTTTCTAGTTTATTTGCGTAGAGGTGTTTATAGTATTCTCTGATGGCAGTTTGTATTTCTGTGGGATTGGTGGTGATATCCCCTTTATCATTTTTTATTGTGTCTATTTGATTCTTCTCTCTTTTCTTCATTAGTCTTGCTAGCGGTCTATCAATTTTGTTGATCTTTTCAAAACACCAGCTCCTGGATTCACAGATTTTTTGAAGGGTTTTTTTGTGTCTCTATCTCCTTCAGTTCTGCTCTGATCTTAAATAACTAAGATCAGAAAAATGGTATCTTAACACAGGGGTCCCCAACCCCTGGTCTGTGGAATAGTATCCATTCTTGGCCTGTTAGGAACCAGGGTGCCCAGCAGGAGGTAAGTGAAGGTCAGCGAGCATTACCTCCTGAGCTCCGCTTCCTGTCAGATCAGGGCTGCATTAGATTTTCATAGGAGCGCAAACCCTATTGTGAACTGCGCATATCAGGGATCTAGGCTGCATGCTCCTTATGAGAATCGAACTAATGTCTCATGATCTGGAATGATCTAGGGTGAAACTGTTTCATCCCCAAACCATCCCCTTACCCCTGCCGCATCTGTGGAAAAACTGTCTTCCATAAAACCGGTCCCTGCTGCCTTAACATATAAGATTGCTCTAAGGATTAAATGAGACAACATAAGTAAGGTACTCAGAAATATGTCTGATACATAGTAAAAGTTGATACATGTTAGCAATTATTATATTTAAGGGATAAAGGAGAAGAACAATTCAAAGATAATTCTCAGACAGTCTAACTTGGCTACTGGGTAGATATTAATTTAATTAATTTACCAGGGACTAGTACTCAAAATACCTGAAGAACTACAAATCAGAAAGAAAACACAAAACCCAATAGAAAAAATAAGCATAAGGGACACTTCAAAATGAGGAAACATAAGTGGCTTATAAATATAGGAAAAGATGCTCAACCTCAGTAGTAGCCAGGGAAATGCAACTTAAAACCACAAACTAGCATTTCATATCTAACAGTTAGGCAAAATTTAAAACCGACAATATAAAATTTTAGAAATGATGTAGAACTATGAGAACATAAGTAAGTGTTGGCACATAAACTGGTACCAATTTTAAAACAATTTAGTATTATGGAATAAAATTAAATATGTATTTCTTTACATACACATATATACATACAGATAGATATTACAATCTAGCGAATAAGTCTTAGAGAAACTTTTACATATAATCACCAGGAAATACATTATTAAGAATATTTGTAGCAGCACTATTTGTGATAGCAAAAACTAGAAACAGCCGAAATGGATAAACAGATAAACTGTGGTATATTTACACAATGTCCTAACAAAGACAATGAAAAACCTGTGGTAAGGATTTCAATAAGGATGAATCTTAGAAAACTGTTGGGTGAAAAATGCAAGTTACTGAAGAAGAGTATCATACAATTTTTTGTTATTGTTGCTGCTGTTTGTGTTTTTCAGAGATGGGGGTCTCACTATATTGCCCAGGCTGGTCTTATTCATACATTTAGAGTTCTAATTTTAAACACATTTCTTAGATCTTTAACTGTAGGAATTCTTTGAAGTCAATGTTTAAAGCACTTTTCTTCAGAGAAAATTTCTATTTTTTCTGCTAGGATCCTGAGGCACCCCAAACCAAAAGCATCATTAAACTAAACCTTTAGGTTAAGATTATTTTTGCAAGGCGAATTTCAACTTCAAACCCACATGAGCATCGGATTGTGATGAGGATTTCTCAGGAAAGATTCTTTTTGTGTACTCCAATCAAAACCAAGGATGAGCTAGGCAGTGTCATTCTAAAGAGCAGGTTATTTTCCTTAAATTATCCACAGGGGATGATTCACACTTTGGGGATCTCAGCTTTATGTTGCAGTGTCCAAACTTATAACTCACAATGCCTAGGCTCAGACTTCCTCTGTCCCATGCAAGCAGGACTACTTCTTTAAAGCCCAGGTTCTGAGCCATAAGGTATCAGAAGGCAACTTTAGAGGTAAAGAGGTTCTATGGCTCACTTATCTCCACAGAATTGGGCCTTCTCATTATTTACAGGCTTGTATTTTCACCTTACTTTGCTGTCAACTCAAGCATACTTAAAAAAATTTTTTTTAAGTATTTTATCCAGCATTTAAAAATGTGTTCTTTTACCAGAAGTTTCTCTGAACATCTAGTCTGCCATATTGCTTGAAACAAAATACTGTAATAGCTTTAGACATACTTTAGAGATACTAACTGCTTCAGACAAACCAGTTTTAGTTGCACACACAGAATGATACTTAGGCTTCAAAAAAGGAAAAGGAGTTTATATCTTTCCATTCCAGCTACAATTCTCAAAAGTATTCCATACTGTAAAGTTTGTTCTTCTTCAATTACAGTAAAATGAATATTATCTGGTTAGTTATTAACTAGAGAGTTCACTAGCAGGATTCAGATAATAGAACAAACAGTAAACAATCTATAGGCTGAGAATAAGAAAAAGTATCAGAACCTAATTCAGGTCTTAGGCACTATATATTCAACATTAAAAATATGCAATGACTTTATAGGAATACTATAGTAACCATCAAATCCAGAAATTTAGAAGCAGTTTAAGTATTATTATACTTCAATGACATTCATGTATAATGTATTAACAGTAGCAGCAAATCTTACATTTAATATACTGATCTTTTGACATTCGAATTGATCTACTTAATGTAATTTATAATTAACTTAAAAAACATTCCTTGATAGATATGAAAAATCATCATTTTGTAACCATCACAATAAAGGCTGATTTAGGCAAGAAGCATCAATAGCTGCTAAATCCAGGGGATACAGTTTAATGAGGAGCAGGATATTTGCATGGTCCTAAAGTGTATTTCCCATAGAGTGCTTATAAGATGCAAGGAAAAACTAGTAACTTTATAGTAGAAAGACAAACAACACTCTGATAGGATGATTAAAATTAACATCACCTGTGAGAGGTAGAAGGCCACCATGTGCCTCTGGATATGAAACCTGGAGAAGGACGCAACATCACCTATGCAGTATTCTGGCCAGAAAGCATAACCTGAATCTCAACATGAGAGACACCACATAAACAACAAATGAAAAGTGTTCTATTTTTCTTTAAAAAAAAAAAAAAAAACAAAACCAGCAGAGAGGGGGTTGTTTTCTTTAAAAATGTCAATTTCACAAAAAAAAAAAAGACAATCACACTTCTGCATATGTATTCAGAAGAACCGAAAGCAGGGTCTCAAAGAGGTATTTGTATACCTATGTTCGTAGAAGCACAATTCACCATAACCAAAAGGCAGAAGGAAACCAAATGCCCATTGATAGGTAAACAAAATGTGATATATACAAGCAATGGAATATTAATCAGCCTTAAAAAGGAAGGAAACTCTGACAGAGGCTTCAATTTTGATGAACCTTGAAGATATGATGCTAAGTGAAATAAACCAATCACAGAAAAGACAAACATATGATGTTTGTCTTATGTAAGTTTGTCATATATGTGTTTCCACTTATATGAAGTATCTAAAGTAGTCGAACTTACAGAAACAGAAGGTAGAATGGTGGTTGCTGGGGGGGAGTGAAATGAGTTACAGAGTTTCAGTTTTGCCAGATGAAAAAGTTTTAGAGATTGGTTGCATAACAATGCGTAGTAGGGGAGACAAATATGATAAAAACAATCTTTGATTCGATGGGCTTGGTTCCATAACAAAAGCATATGCAGAAAGCCATGGGAACACAAAGGAGAGATTAACACTCTCTGATTGATGGGGTGATAACTAACTTCAGAATATAATCTGAATATAATCAAAATATAATCAGAAATAATCTGAAATTACGAACAGTTTTGAAAGAGAAGTTTAGGTTAATATGGCAGAGTGAACATACATACTTACTTTTGCTCCCACTTGGAAACTCACTAAAATAATATTAAAACAATTTTTAAAGAAATTTTAAATTTTAAATTTTAAATTAAAAAAAAAATTTTAAAGAAAGATATAAACCTGCGAAGAGAAAGATAAGTAGAGGTGACAACAACAAAACTTTGGAAAATGGAAAACAGATGTATGAGTAGTAACAGGCTTAGCTAATGCAAAAAGGCAGACTCCTAACCCAAGTAAGAAATGTGACTTTTTAAATTTTACCCAATAGGATCCTCGAATGGCTCAGGAATTAGCCACACCTCTGTAAGCAGTAGGTAAGATTGAGCTGGAAACTAGAGAACAGGTTGAAAATTTAATGTAGAAGTAAATTATATGCCCAAATACCCTCTGTCTTTCCATGCAGCCAGAAGAGTACTCTACCTTCATCTGGGAAGATCAGAATTTTGTTTTGTTTCTTTCTGAGGAAGAAATTACAGAATATCTCTGGATTGGGGGACACTCAGCACAATTGAGGGAGGGCACCACACTGGAAGCTGGAAGACTGATCAGTTCCCAGAATGTCGGCAGTCTATATTATTATATCCAAGTGAAGAAGTGAGGATCCATTTTCTAGGAAATATGAATAGCTTAAGTTAATAAAGATACTAAAGGCGATAAAATGAATTGATTGGATAGATTTGGAGTTTCCAGTTAGTTTTTTTGGTTTTTGTTTAGAGATGGAGTCTCTCTCTGTCGCCCAGGCTGGAGTGCAGTGGTGCGATCTCAGCTTACTGCAACCTCTGCCTCCCAGGTTCAAGCGATTCTGCTGCCTCAGCCTCCCGAGTAGCTGGGATTACAGGCGCCCGCCACCATGCCTGGCTAATTTTTTGTATTTTTAGTAGAGACAGAGTTTCACCATGTTGGCCAGGCTGGTCTCGAACTCCTGACCTCAGGTGATCCACCTGCCTCGGCCTCCCAAAGTGCTGGGATTACAGGCATGAGCCACTGTGCCCGGCCTTCAGTTAGTTTTTCAGTGCTCCACTCTTACATATAAGCTATCTAACCAAGGCTTACCAGACCTTAGGAGAGACAGACACCAAAGCAAACAAACAATAAGAGGTTTAGCAGGAACACGAAAACTGGAAATATACCATTAGTGAAGACAGAATGTATAATCATTGAGAACGATGATAGATCCTAGTGAATTTGTTTGGAGTATAGTGAATAAATGTTGGCAGTAAAAAACAGGCTAAAAATGCATAAGGGCCATGCCACAAAGGATTTTGTATATCACATCAAGGAGTTTATAATTTATTTGATTAGACCATAGGGAGGTAATTAAGGACATAAAAGGGAATAACATGACCAGGTTTGCATTTTGACAAGTTCATTCAGACGGCTTTAAGGTGAACAGACAAAAGGAGGAAGAAATTATAGGCAGATGGACAAATTAAGAGGTTACCAAAATAATTCAAACACGAAAAATATAGGTCTAAAATAGGACTGGAGTAGATGAGATAAATATGAAAGATGCTGAGAAGATATAATCAAAAGAACTTACGAATCTGCTACAAATATGTAATAGGAGAGAGGAAAGACTCAGAAATACTCCTCAAAATTTTTGGTTGGGCAAATGGGTAGATAGTGGTGAATTAATGGAAATATGGAATAATATAAAAGGGGCTACAAGTCTTAGGGAAATAATGAATTCTGTTTTAGACATGTCAAATATGAGGTGCTTACAGACACAGAACTGCCCAGCAAGCAGACTGAAATATGAATCTGGAGGTTAGGTGAGCATTTAGGCTAGATCTAGAGATAGAGATTTGGTTATCAATTAGATCACCCAAGGACAGTATAAAGAACAGCAATTTTCAGTGTGTGCATTGTGTGCATGACAAAAGAGGTAGCTGAGACTCACTGCCTTTGTCCATTAGGGAACCATTGTTAGTCCTCCTCAGATGTGTTGAGACAAAATTTTATAAAAGGTTAAGAATCACAGGTTTGGTCGGCCGCAGTGGCTCATGTCTGTAATCCCAGCACTTTGGGAGGCCGAGGCGGGCGGATCACGAGGTCAGCAGATTGAGACCATCCTGGCCAACATGGTGAAACCTCGTCTCTACTAAAAATTAAAAAAAAAAAAAAATTAGCCAGGCGTGGTGGCACGTGCCTGTAATCCCAGCTACTCGGGAGGCTGAGGCAGGAGAATCGCTTGAACCCAGGAGGCGGAGGTTGCAGCAAGCCGAGACTGCGCCACTGCACTCCAGCCTGGGTGACAGAGGAGACTCAGTCTCCAAAAAAACAAAACAAAACAAACAAACAAAAAAAGATTAAGTATAACAGATTTGGGAGACAAGTGAAGGAAAAAAAAAACTCTCAAAGGAGATTAAAAAAAAGGAATGTTAAGAGAAGTGGGGAAAAAGCAGGAGAAAGTGGTAACAAAGGAGTAAAAGTGAGAACAAGTATTTACTATTTTCTAATACACTATGCCTCCCTGAAATATAAAGAACACAGGACATGGCTTCTGCTATCTGACTGAATTTGCAATTACACTGTTGAAAAAAGACTCACACAAGACGATGAGATGGAGAAAAAAGAAAAGGGAAGGGGGTGAGTCAACAGTATATCAAGTAAAATTGGTTTATTTCATAACTACTAATAAATTTTTACTAAGCAGCCTCCAAACTCATTAAATAGTCTGAATATAAGAAATACATTATTACATGAGTAGAACAGCCAGTTTTTGGTTTTTTTTGTTTTGTTTTGTTTGAGACGGAGTTTCGCTCTGTCGCCAGGCTGGAGTGCAGTGGCGCGATCTCGGCTCACTGCAACCTCCATCTCCCGGGTTCAAGCAATTCTCTTGCCCCAGCCTCCCAAGTAACTGAGACTACAGGCGTGCGCCACCGTGCCCAGCTAATTTTTGTATTTTTAGTAGAGACGGGGTTTCACCATGTTGGCCAGGATGGTCTTGATCTCTTGACCTTGTGATCCGTCCGCCTCGGCCTCCCAAAGTGCTGGGATTACAGGCGTGAGGCACCGTGCCTGGCCAACAGCCAGTTTTTTAAGAGTACAAAGTAATGCCAATCTTTTACAAATATTTTATAAATTATAATATAGCATCTAATTGTTCATGTGCACAGTTAATTCAACTCAATACATGCAATAAGAGCTATCTAATTTTCAAATAAACTCAAGTGCTGAATTTAAAATAACCAGGCTTATGAACATACTAATAATTAGATTTCTCCTTATTGAATGTGTATCCATTTAGTTTAGAACATATAATGTCTAAGGTCACTTAAATGATTAGACTCCCCATCATCTTTACCAAGATTTAGTTTATCTTGACTATTCAGTTCATGAGAAAATGTTCCTGATTTAACATAAAGTAAATGAGGAACAATATAAAACTGTATAATTATAGTCTATTTTTTAAAAGGACAAAGATAGATACAAATAACAGATTAAAGTAATTAAATGTTAATAGATGGACAACAGATTTTCATGTTCTTACTTCTACCTTCTAAAACATTGTCCACAATGAAACATTTTACTTTTATAATGAGAAACAGAAATCTAATAAAATATTTTCTCAATTAGACTTCCAAAGAGGTAGAAAGCAGCTGGAGATTTAGAGTATCAATTATTTATACAAATATCTGTTGGAAGCACTTACATATTTTCATTTGTAAGGGTCTCATGTCTCTTATCTCAACATAAACTCAGAAAGGGCAATTATGTTTATTCTTTCTGTAAGTCTCCACAATCCAAATTCCTACGCTCTGCAAAGGGGCATACATATCTTCAGGGCCTAATCCAAAAAATATTTGTAAAAATAAATCCTCTGAAACTAATTTGTTAGGTCAACAACTTTTTCCTACCTCCCTATGCTAATGTTTGTTATGGTTGAACCCAGCAAATCAGTAAATACTGTCCTAACTTAAAAAAACACACACACATATTGTGCTTTAATATGTACTTTTACATACAGGTTTTAATTTAATATCATTTTATTTAAGTAAAGCATAATTCTTAGGATTTGAAAATATTACTGGTAATATTTCTTCAAAAAATTCTAAGTTAAAAAATAAGTGATTTTGAAAGGGTTTCAACATTCTTATAATGTTTATTATATTTATAAGGATAAAAGTATACTATCCTTATTTTTGTTGAACTTTAAACATCTCTATCCACCCGTCTATCAATCAATCAATCAATCAATCAATCAGTCAAGACAGGTTCTCACCGTGTTGCCTAGACTAGCTTCAAACTCCTAGGCTCATGCAATCCTCCCACCTCAGCCTCCCGAGTAGCAGCAGGTGTGTGCCACCACACCCTTTTCTCTTTAGAATGGTTGATGGTAAACTTAGTAAAGACAGACAGAGTTCAGAAACTGGTTAAAAAAAAAATATATATATATATATGTATATATATATATATAGCATTTAAAAACTAATGGCACTCAGATTAGTTGCTACAAATCCACTTTCTAGGCCTTTACATTTTTTTTTCCACAGGTTGAGCAGACTTAATAGTCAGAATTAATTGTGGGACTTCACTGATTAGTCAGGCTGCCTAAGGAGGAATGAGCTATTGGACAATGATAAATAACTAAAGCTTGCCTAGTTCAGTACCAAAATTTATTTCGACTAGTTTTAAAAGAAAGACTCCTAAAGTGTTTAAACTGCTTTCCTTCCTTTTAGACAGAGTATATTCAACACAATTTAACCTTTAGGATGACTCAAGGATAGCATCATAGCATTTTAATTATGCACAATGATACTTAGGGACCCCGTGTGATACTTGTATTGTTTACCCCTTCACTGGAAAGTTCCAGACTATCCTAGACTCTGTTTTCTGTCTTTTCATCTCTTGCTACCTCTTCCCTTGCTGTCTACCTACCTGTTTCTAGCAGAACACTCCTTTCTAATTGGTTTCCCAACCTATAGCAAATAAGAAACAACAAAGCAATCAAGTTTCATTCATTAAACATTCAGAGATGAAAAATACAACCCCAGGCAGTCCCTGAAACATCCACAACTTAATTATGCTACATAGGATGCTATGGGAATCCAGAGGAGAAGCATCTGACCCAGAGTCTGGGCATTTCAATGATGACTTCCTGGAGGTGCTAGTTCTTAACTGAGACATGAAGGGTGAATACTTGGTACTGAACTAGTAGTATTCTGAACTAGGCAAGCTTTGGCATTTCACAAGCAAAAGAAAGTGAGAGAATGGGTAGAAGAAAAGATCAAGTTCACAGACAGAAGAAATAGCATGGTAATAATAAAAATAATGATATCTCACATTTATTAAAAACTTCTTCTGTGAATTAACTTACTAAATCCATGTACCAATGCTATGAGGCACAATTATTCCTATTTTACAGATGAGGAAACTGTGGCACAGAAAAAACTGTTTCATCCAAGGTCCATACCTAGTTAAGTGGCAAAGTCAAGATTTGGCAGTCTGGCTCTAAAGTTCACATTCTAAATCACCACACTATATTGCTTATCTATGCAAAATTATGAAAGCAAGAGAGAATCCAGTGTTTTGAGCAATCTACTCTGAGTGATTTACTAAAGCTGGAAAGTCGTATAGTGCCTAAATATTGCAGAAGATGAAGCAGAAACCAGATCTGAGGAGTCTCGCATGCCAGGTACAGGTGTTTAGATTTTATCCTGTAGGTAGTAAAAGCCATGCAGCAGAGGAGTAGCAAGATCACATTGCCTTTAATAAAGACTTTTATGAAGTAAGAACGACAGAAACAACCAAACGCTCAAAGTACAGGTAGGAGGCTATTCCAGAGCTCTATGTGAGAGATGATAAGGCAATAGAAGTGGTTCTTTTTTTTTTTTGAGACAGAGTCTCACTCTGTCGCCTGGGCTGGGCTGGAGTGCAATGGTGCGATCTTGGTTCACTGCAACCTCCACCTTCTGGGTTCAAGCAATTCTTCTGCCTCAGCTTCCCAAGTAGCAGGGATTACAGGTGCACGCCACCATGCCTGGCTAATTTTTGTATTTTTTTAATAAAGACGGGGTTTCGCCATGTTGGCCAGGCTAATCTTGAACTCCTGTCATCAGGTGATCTGCCCGCCTTGGCCTCCCAAAGTACTGAGATTACAGGTGTGAACCACCATGCCTGGCCAGAAGTGGATCTATTTAGGTATTTCCTGCTACTAATCCTATGGAAAGGAAGAGAAAAACTAGAGAAAATTAGGATGTCAAATTCATAGAACTTATGACCAGAACAAGGAAAACTCGTGACAGGGAAGAATGAAATAAAGTTGTAACCAAGGTAGAAAACAGATTTTGAAAGCAGTGGAGGTGGTATAAAACATTATTTTAGACATAATTGAGGTGCTTGTGAAATAACATTTTTTAAAAAACAGCTAACATTTATATTGAGCTTGCTACATGTGAGGCACTGGTCAAAGAAGTTTACATGCATTGATTGAGCCACTGAATCATGAAGGCAACACTATGAGGTATTAACTTCTTTTTACATAAGGCATCTGAGAAGTTAAGTAACTTGCCCAGGGTCATGCAGCTATTAAGGGGCTGAGCTGGGATTTGAACCCAGGTATCCTAGTTCGGAGTGTATTCTGTCTTTAATAGAGACATGCCAATTTTATAGATGAGTTTGACATTCAAGAATTGTTTAAAGATAAGGATTTGGCCCCAGCTAGCTCAGTCAGTAGATAATAATAATAATAATAAAAACAAAGATAAGGGTTTGGAAGTCATCAATATACATAGATGGCAGCTGAAGCCATGAGTACTGAGTTAGATATAGAGTATGCAGTCTAAGTGTGGTCCTTCAATCACTTAGGTAAGAATACCCTGAGAATTTTTATTTTTAATAAACATGCAGATTCCTAGGCCCCACCAAGGTCCATGGAAACAGAAATTCTAGGGATACGGCCCATAAATATATCATTTTGATAATTATCCAACTGATTCTTATATAAATTAAAGTTTGAAGATCACTGAAGGAATGAGCAAAGAAATGTGTAACAATGACATTGAGTTTATTAGAAGTGTGTCTACAATAAGAGTAAGCAAATTCTGAAGAAGGATGGTAGTAGGGGCCTGGGTAAGTGTCTGATGAGTCTTTTTTTTTCTTTTGAGACAAAATCTCACCCTGTTGCCCAGGCTGGAGTGCAATGGCACAATCTTGGCTCACTGCAACCTACGCCTCCCGGGTTGGGTTCAAGTGATTCTCTTGCCTCAGCCTCCAGAGTAGCTGAGGTTACAGGTGTGCACCACCATGCCCGGCTAATTTTTTGTATCTTTAGTAGAGATGGGGTTTCACTATGTTGGCCTGGCTGGTCTCGAACCCCTGACCTCGTGATCCTCCCACCTCGGCCTCCCAAAGTACTGGGATTACAGCCATGAGCCACCGCACCTGGCCCTCTGATGAGTCTTTGATCAAATCTAAGCCACAATAAATTATAAGATGTATTATTCTTTCATGTACCATCACCACCAAAACAACAAAATACCCCAAATAAGAGCCTCCCATGTAAAGCCAGAACAACAAAAGGGGTACAAATGCAATATAAACAAATGAAAAATAAACCCAGCATTCAGAATGAGACAGCAAGGAAACCTGAAAGTCTCCATCTGTACACAAGATAGAAGCAATTTTATCTAAAAGCCAGTATTCACCTAGCTTTGCAGTCTGAATTCATATAACCAGTGGGGTCAAAACCAAAACACAGCAAAACCAACAAAGACAAAACAAAACAAAAAAATCTTTCAGGCAGAGAATTTAACTTAAAGTAGTCTCAGATTGGTAGTAGTGCAAATAACTGGCAGAGCGAAATGCAAATCCTTTCTGAAGTAATCTGACTTCAATTGAGGCCAATAATGATTACAAAACATTTCCTTATCTTAGACATTTTTTAATTTCTAAAATTTCTAAAATATGCATCTTAAAGCCACTGAAATACAGTAGATAGAATGCATACCAAGCTATATTCTGAATGCTCAGAATCTTTGGCAGTGGGGTTATTTTCGGGTTCTCAAATGTACTTTATAATTTCATACAGGTGTTGATTTGTTTTCAAAATAACTATAAAACAAAGACACTATTAAAAATTATAAAATTGTTTCCCTTTCCATCACATTTAACCATATTTATAATTCCTCTAAATATAAAAAGTCTCATCCATTTTAAAACAAGAACCCCAAAGAGTGAGATCAGACCACTAATACCTGTACCCTAGAGTCTATGTAAATGCTTCCACACTCTGGGATTTTGATAATGAAATTGGAAAATTCATCACAGGCCCTGGTAACTGTCCAGACATAACAAGACAAACAGCAAACTTTGTTCCTGCCAAAGATGATGATTTACAATCCTAGTCTGACATTTGGTATTCCCTCTTTTGCTTACAGGCCAAACACTAACTTAATATTTTCATTACATCCAGAGTATCCTGGCTCTTTTTAAGAAAAATTAATCCCTTCTTAACAATGCCACAGTGAAAAAAAAATTATTTAAGAACTTCTGTAATTTTCCAGAAAAGCAGTCTTTTCTTAATTCAAACATACATTTCCTATCTATTCCAAGAGTAGTACAACACTGCACAAATTACACACCATAGTTGCTCTGGGGTCTTTTAAAACTGCAAATTTCATTGTACAGCAAGCACATCATCCAAATGAGTTGCTAGATGACTAAAATTGCTTCAGAATGAAAATAAACACCAACTGATCACTGTGGGGAGTTTCATAATCCAAAAGTGTAACTTACAAATAAACCAGTTATACAAACAACCACTGCTAACTTCCCCGTTTTTAGTGGGTGAAGGTCCTCAAGAGTCCTTCTCACAACACAGTCCTGTCTAGAGCAAATGATATAAAAATTCTAATCTGACTCTCATCCTTGCCACACCCCACTAGAGCACCTCTTTCACTCAGGAAAACTATCCTACCCCCAGAGCAAATGTTTGCCTATGAGTGAGTGACTGTGTGTGTGTGTGTGTGTGTGTGTGTGTGTGTGTGTGTGTGTGTGCGTGTGTCTAAGTATAGGAATTTTCTAAGACTGCAGAAAGTGAAGTAACAGTTTCCACATCCCTATCTATAATTGAAAATTCACTTTCCCATAGAAACAAGGGAATAATGGTTTCATAGTGACACTACGTTTCTAACCATTTTATAACAATAGTGTTTCTATGTGGAACTGTGTAAAATCCACTGAATATGAAAGTCAACCTACTTAGTAATTCTTGGGATGATATGTTAGTATAATTTGTGTGCTATAAATATTTAATTTAAAACATTTTAAGAGTAGCCCATAATCCCATTACACAGAACCCCCGTTAACATGTTTTTTAATATCCACAGGTAACAAAACTTAAACAGCACAGAAAGTCACAAAATGAAAGTAAAATTTTTCTAATCCTGGACTGCTGATTCCCAACTACACCCACTACCTTCCCCTCTCTGAAGATAATCATCTTCAACAGTTCTTGAGAACAGAAAGAAAACAATTATTTATAGACCTAAGCACTTTTCTTTTGGAGACTTTCCTATCATACGCATCAACTGGCAGCCAATGCAGAAAAAGGTTCATCAGATTCTAGAATATGGCAATCTTGTCCCTCTAGAAATGTTACCTTCATATGAATTTTTGTTTGTATAATGCATTTTCATGTTTTCATGTACCTGTAACCTAGATTATTTGATAATGAAGTATAGCATAGTGGTTAAGAGGTAGGTTCTGCAGCAAAACTCCTTGGGGATAAATCCTGTGTGATCTGCAGTAGGTTTCTTAAACGTTCCTCCTATCTATAAAATGGGAATAATATGACTACCTGTTTAAGACAATTATATGTAATGAATCAACATGAAGTACTAGAATAGAGCTTAGTGCACAGTAAGCACTCAACACATGTTGCCTATTATTGATATCCAGAAATCTTTATATTTTGGATATTTCATCCAAATTTTTGTCAGTAAAATCACTGATGTGCATGATACTGAGAAACCACAAAATCAAAAAATCTTTTTTGAACTATCAAAAACTACATTATATCCAGTGTTTCTTAACATTGTATCATACTATAATCCTAATGTCTCCAATAGGTAATCTATAAACAGTATATCACTTTTCAAGTGAAATGCTTGATTCCCCACATAACCTACTTATAACTTTATACTGCTCCTGCACAAACCTAATTTTTACACCTAATGCCTTCTCCAGGCCCAGCCCTTCTTAAGAGACAATATCACTTTGGAGTTTGCACTCATTTATTTGTTCTTTACTTCTGCCTAAGATAATATTTTTTTGTCAAGTACTGACTACCATTTCTCTGCATTTTAACAGAGTTCATGTCTACTTGAATGTCCTAAAGGCACCTCAAACGTATATCCAAAACTTAAAGCACCATCTTTGCCTCAAAACAGTTTTTCTTCCTATATTTGTAATCTCACTTAATAGGATCATCCTCCTACTCCCCATTCTCAAGTCCTGAGGAGGTCAACACGTAAAACACTTCTTGACTCACCTATCCTCTCCCATCCTTACCACCACTGATTAGGTGTCCCAGCCTAGGCCCTCATCATTTATTGGTCCCATTACGTAGCCTTTTGAAGTGATTTTCCTACTACTAATTATGTTTCACTAAAACTATTTTTTACTGTGCCCCTAGAGTGATCTACCTAAAATTAAAATCCAGCCATGTTACTTCAATGCTTCAAACTCTTCAGTGACTGCAGAATAAAGACCTCCTCAGGGCATATAGGGCTCTCCATTACTCATTATCTAGTTCTTTTCTCCTGCCCCTGCTGAGTGAACACGTTTCTAATGTTCCTATTGTTCTCTCTTCCAGAAATATTCTTGCCCATTATGTAAGACACAGTTTATCAGTTAAACTGTCCATGAAGTTTTCCCTTTCCTGGCTTCCTGAGGCTGGGCTAATTAACTTTCCTCTGTGCATACCTATATGTTTAATATATATTGAAATAATAATCTGTTCATGTCTTCCCCACTGAACTGCACGCCTCATTCATCAAAGTCTTATTCATCTTTGCAATCTCAGCACCTAATTTAATACTTAATAAAGGCTTGCTAAACTGAAATGAATTAAAAGCTATGTGGAGCTCCAAGACAAAACCTACCGAAAAGTCAGAGCAATATAAGGTAAAAGGAAGATGTCTATACCATTCAGATCAGAGAGAGTGCTAGCTACTGATTGTAGTGTCTGAGTTATTCTGTGACGAAGCAACACAAACACGGGTTTGTCATAACATTGCTTTCCTTGGTATTGAGAGCTCAGAAGTCATAATTCCAATTCTTATTCGTATTAGCAAGCTTCAGTATGTTAACTACAGTGACGTTTGACCCACATGTCTGAGGTGAACAACTGTTTTGAAAGGCTCAAGTAATCTACTGATGCACAGAGATGTTGATAGGCTGCAGAGACACACCATTAAGCCCCTTACTTTTTTTTCAAACCAGACTTGTTGGCACAGCTGTTAAGGTATTAACATGAGGAACAGCATACGTTGTCAAATAGCCCAGAAGGCAAAAGGACAAAATCTGATTTTCCTGGCTAGCTGAGGTGGGAGGTTAATTGATAAAAATATATTTTACTGGCCAGGCTCACGCCTGTAATCCCAGTTCTTTGGGAGGCCAAGGCAGGTGGACTACCTGAGATCAGGAGTTTGAGATCAGCCTGGCCAATATGGTGAAACCCTGTCTCTACTAAAAATACAAAAAATTAGCTGGAGTTGGTGGTGGGCGCCTGTAATTCCAGCTACTAAGGAGGCTGAGGCAGGAGAATTGCTTGAACTCAGGAGGCAGAGGTTGCAGTGAGCCGAGACCGTGCCACTGCACTCCAGCCTGGGCGACAGAGTGAGACTCCGTCTCAAAAACAACAACAACAACTATATACATTTTACTTAAAATGCACCTACAAAAATATGTATTACTTTCCTCTTAATGTTGCAATTTTTCATCCGTTTCCAATGTGCTTATTTAACTTACATCTCACTATGCCAAATGCTGAAAGTGCTGAGGGCCTTCCAATTACCACCAGCAGCCAAAATAGAGGAGCACAGAGAACAGCCTATGATGTCGAAATGTAAGAGATCATTATGGCTCCAATTGAACTTCCCTTGTATCCATATAGACGTTGCCTGTGACTGTATCTGCATAATTCACTTCGCTTAATATTGCAATGTCTATTTAGTAAAATTAATGTTGAGAATCTGCATAATTTCCTAATTCCTTTCCATTTCAATTCCAATACTGTTTGCTAAGCATCTATCATGTGCCAAACTTTGTGCTTAGAGCTGGAAATGGAAAGAGGAAGAGGTCACAGTCTCAGGGGAAAACAAATGCAATGCCTCACTAACTCAGGACTTTGAACTTGCTCTAAACTAGTACAGATTTGGTGCCCATAAAAAGTGGGGTTAACCCTCCAATGTTGCTTTCGTCATAGTAGTTGGCCCAGTTTGCCAGTCTAGCCCAGACAAGCCCTAGCTAAGACAGCCTCAGGTTCCTTCAATATGATCACCTTTCATCCTTCAATTAAAAACTTCCTATCAGCAGCACATTACAGACCATCAAAAGATAGAGAAGGTTTGTAGAGCAGCAAAGCCAAAAGGTATAGTCAAAGGCATTCACAATAAGTTCAATCATAAGTAATATTCTCTTGTGTACCTGAATATTGCCTACAACTTCTTATGCTTACGTTATATATAAATCCATGATATTTTACTATAATAGCTGAGACTAGAATGAGAGTGTTTGGAAAGAAGTTTGACACAAACATACTATATATATATTTCTGATTATAAAAGTAATACATGTTCATTCTACAAAATTTTGAAATTATAGAAGAAAATAAAAATCACGGGAATTTTATCAATCTCAGATTATTAAAATATTGTTAACACACTTTTGGTATATATTAAATCAGTCTTTTATTATTTTAACCAAAGTTAGGACTGTACCATGCTTGTATAAATTGTCTTTCTACTTAATATGTGATAAATGTTTTCTTGAATCATTATCTTTTTTTGTATATCATTCTTTAGAAGTATGTTTTTCTTAATGGCAGTACATAAATGATTTTGTAAATTACCAATTTTTTCATTAAGAAACAGGCTAGCAATTGTGTTGTTAGGTCAAAGACAGTTTTAAATGCTTCTGGTACATATTGTCAAATTGTCTGGGCCTGTTTTGAATTAAGGCATTACTGGAGATTTTTAGAACTTAGAAAAAACTCCTGAAGGTCACAATTCTCACCATGTCTTGAGATTATTTCTCCAGTCAATAATACTATACTTTAGACAAAGTTTCTCTTGGATAACCTCTTATCAAAAGCTTTATGACAATCAGAACCTAGAAAAAGATTGAAACTGTACCTATATAAATAAAGTAACATATATATCAATTAGTCTACTCTACTGTTAAGAAAAGTATCTCTAAAATGCTTATGGGAGCTGGGCGCCGTGGCTCACTCCTTTAATCCAGCACTTTGGGAGGCCAAGTTGGGCAGATCACCTGAGGTAGGGAGTTTGACACCAGCCTGACCAACATGGAGAAACCACCTCTCTACTAAAAATACAAAATTAGGTGGGCGTGGTGGCATATGCCTGTAATCCCAGCTACTTGGGAGGCTGAGGCAGGAGAATCACTTGAACCTGGGAGGTGGAGGTTGCAGTGAGCCGAGATCATGCCATTGCACTCCAGCCTGGCCAACAAGAATGAAACTCTGTCTCAAAAAAGTAACATAACATAACATAACATAACATAACATAACATAACATAACATAACATAACATAACACAACACATAACATAAAATAAAATAAAATAAAATAAAATAAAATGCTTAATAGGGAGGAAATAGAATTCCAGGAAATACCTAAAACAAATTTACTTTCCTTTTTTTGACCAAAACTCATAAAAATACAGATAAATCAAAATTGTTGAACTCAATTCTATAAAATGTATGTAGTCTTACTTATATAGTATATTCTTCATATCTGCAATAAAAGGCAAAATCTAAAAATATCAACTTAACATTTGAAAAGTATTACCACTTACAAGCTTTTACACGCTAAATTTAGTCTTAACAACCTTAAAGAATGCTATTACTATTACTACAGTCACTTTTTAACACATTAGGAAACAGATGAAAAGATTGGGTGACTTGGCTAATTGAATATGTATAAAAAATGAATAGCAAAGCCAGAATTCAAACCCAGGTCTCCGGACTCTAACTGTGGACCCTTTTGATTTCTGTACTGCTTTCCATAAATCATAAATAATCAAATTTTTCTTTATACTTGGCTTCAGATTTTTTAAAAAAAATAACAGATTTATTTTCTTAACGTTATTTATTTAAGCCAAAATTAAAATAAGTTTGCATTCCCTGAGTGCACACACCGACAATGGGTGGGCCAACTAATAAAACTACTGATAGCACATAGATGCCAGCTTAAAGTTAACATTTTTCCATTGTATAAATCCACAAACAGAGAAACATGTTTGGCTGAGCGTAATCTAATTTGTAAATTTCCCAAAGAAAACAAACATTACAACTACTAGAATTGTTTTCCCTACAAATAGAGTAGTGTGGAGACTACAACTGAGAACAACATGAAATTCCTTTAAAATGACACTCTGAAGGAGTGTCATTTCTCTCTTTTCTCTCCTTTAAAAAAAAAATACATATATACCCATAAATAAATATTTCCTACCATTTCTCCCTTTTATCCACTACTACCCCTAACTTCTAACAATGAAAGAATAAAAAATTAACAATAGAAGATTTTTGAAGTTGTTAATGTATAACTTTTACAAAATCAACTATCATTAATTTAGCCATATTTTAATGTATGTATTAATCATGGTTTATCTGATTAATTTAGTTGCTTTAACAAATATAGTTTTACATTTTGTATTTTTATTAGTTTTATTTTAATTGGCAAATAATAATTGTATATATTTATGGGGTATAAGGTGATATTTCAATACATGTATACATTGTGGAATGATCATATCAGAGTAATTAGCATATCCATCACCTCAAATATTTACCATCTCTTTGTAGTGAGATATTTAAAATTATCTCTTTTAGCTATTTTGAAATATAATAACTATAGTCACCTTGCAGTGTAACAGAACACCAAAACTTATTTCTAGTAACTTAACTTTGTACCCCATTGATCAGCATCTTCCCTTTCCCTGTCCACGCCCTACAACTCTCCCACCTCTCTTCCCATCCCCTGCCCCTTGCCTCTGGTAACCACTATTCTACTCTCTACTTCTATGATTTTGACTTTTCTAGATTCCACATATAAGTGAGATTACAGAGTATTTGTTTCTCTGTCCCTGGCTTATTTCCCTTAATATGATGTCCTCTAGGTTCATCCATGTTGTTGAAAATGAAGAAATTTCCTGTTTTTTTTTTTAAAGGCTAAACAGTATTCTGTTGTTTCTATATACATGAGGGGCTAACACCCAAAATATACAAAAAACTCAAACTATGAAATAACAAGAAAACAACCCTATTAAAAATGGGCAAAGGACTTAAATAGACATTTCTCAAAAGAAGGCATACAAATGGCCAACAGATATATACTTTAAAATGTTCAACATCTCTAATCATCAAAGAAATGAAAATTAAAACCACAATGAGATATCAGCTCATACCTGTCAGATTGGCTATTATCAAAAAGATGAATGACAACAAATGTTGGCAAGGATGTGGAGAAAAAGAAACCCTTATACTCTGTAGGTGGTATTGTAAATTGACACAGTTATTTTGGAAAACAGTATGGAGGTTCCTCAGAAAATGAAAAATAGCATTACCATATAATCCAGCAATCCCACTGCTGGGTATATACCCAAAGCAAAAAAAAAATAAGTACAGAAAGGGGTGTCTGCACTCCCATGTTCACTGCAGCATTATTCACAATAGCCAAGAAATATATACAAACAACCTAAGTGTCCATTTACAGATGAATGGATTTTAACAATATGGCAAACAAAGCTTTATTCTAGCAATGTCTGTACCCATTTGCCTTCCTTTATACTTCCTTAAGAGCAGGGACAACATCTTATTCATTATTCTATTACACTGGACTTTTTAACATGGCAGTCATTTAATAAGCATTTGGTAACTAAATTCAATTAATGTAATAGAAATACATACAACAAAATACATCTAATATTTAATAAATATTTACTACTGTATGTTAATACATACATTTTTTCACATTTAACATCTCCAAAATCAGGATTCACATTTAAACTATATTTGGCAGCAGTTTTTCTTTGTGATACATAAAATAATGCTGTGACTTATAATCTTTGACATCATAGATTTAATGAAGAAGTCTTTACAAAAATATATATTGAGAGCATTTTTCTGATGCTATTAAATAGGTAAATGCAAAGTCATGATGAGTAAAGATATGAGGGGGTATCCTGTATAGGTGGCTCCCCTCCTCCATCAAATCAGTGTATTAGATCTTCAAGAGAGAGAACTGTATTTTATTCATCATGTATCTCTCGGATGTGTTCACAGGGGCTCAATAAAATGAGGTAAACGAGTAAATGAACACAAAAATTTTGATCTGAGGAGGACATGGGCTTTTCTCCGGAAGAGGGGAAAAGTTAGGGGAAGAGGGGACGATCCATGTTACAAAGAAAATTATGAAGATAAATTGGCTTAAAGAAATAAAGATACCTAAATATATATGCCCCCAATACAGCAGCACCCAGATTCATAAAGCAAGTTCTTAGAGACCTACAAAGAGACTTAGACTCCCACACAATAACAGTGGGAGACTTTAACACCCCACCTTCATGTTAGACAGATCAACGGGATAGACAATTAACAAGGATATTCAGGACTTGAACTCAGTTCTGGACCAAGCGGACCTAAGAGACATCTACAGAACTCTCCACCCCAAATCAACAGAATATACATTCCTCTCAGCACCACATCACACTTATTCTAAAATTGACCACATAATTGGAAGTAAAACACTCCTCAGCAAATGCAAAAGAACACAAATCATAACAAACAGTCTCTCAGACCACAGTGCAATCAAATCAGAACTCAGGATTAAGAAACTCACTCAGAACTGCACAACTACATGGAAACTGAATAACCTGCTCCCGAATAACTACTGGGTAAATAAATATTTCTGCCAGAAATAAAGATGTTCTTTGAAACCAATGAGAACAAAGACACAACGTACCAGAATCTCTGTGACATATTTAAAGGAATGTGTAGGGGGAAATGTATAGCACTAAATGCCCACAAGAGAAAGCAGGAAAGATCAAAATTCGACACCTAACATCACAATGAAAAGAACTAGAGAAGCCACAGCAAACAAATTCAAAAGCTAGCAGAAGACAAGAAATAAATAAGATCAGAGCAGAACTGAAGGAGATAGAGACACAAAAACCCTTCAAAAAAATCAATGAATCCAGGAGCCGGTTTTTTGAAAAGATCAACAAAATAGATACACGAATAAAGGAGAAAAGAGAGAAGAATCAAATAGACGCAATAAAAAATGATAAAAGGGATATCACCACCAATCCCACAGAAATACAAACTACCATCACAGAATACTATAAACACCTCTACGTAAATAAACTAGAAAATCTAGAAGACATGGATAAATTCCGGGGCACATACACCCTCCCAAGACTAAACCAGGAAGAAGTCGAATCCCGGAATAGACCAATAACAGGTTCTGAAATTGAGGGGGCAATTAATAGCCTACCCACCAAAAAAAGCCCAGGACCAGAGAGATTCACAGCCGAATTCTACCAGAGGTACAAAGAGGGGCTGGTACCATTCCTTCTGAAATTATTCCAAACAATAGAAAAAGAGGGACTCCTCCCTAACTCATTTATGAGGCCAGGATCATCCTGATACCAAAACCTGGCAGAGACACAACAAAAAAAGAAAATTTCAGGCCAATATCCCTGATGAACATTGATGCGAAAATCCTCAATAAAATGCTGGCAAGCTGAATCCAGCAGCACATGAAAAAGCTTATCCACCACGATCAAGTTGGCTTCATCCCTGTGATGCAAGGCTGGTTCAACATACACAAATCAAGAAACGTAATCCATCGCATAAACAGAACCAATGACAAAAAAACCCATGATTATCTCAATAGACGCAGGAAAGGCCTTTGACAAAATTCAACAACCCTTCACGATAAAAACTCTCAATAAAGTAGGTATTGATGGAACGCATCTCAAAATAATAAGAGCTATTTATGACAAACCCACAGCCAATATCATACTGAATGGGCAAAAACTGGAAGCATTCCCTTTGAAAACCGGCAGAAGACAAGGATGCCCTCTCTCATCACTCCTATCCAACATAGTATTGGAAGTTCTGGCCAGGGCAATCAGCCAAAAGAAAGAAATAAAGGGTATTCAAGTAGGAAAAGAGGAAGTTAAATTGTCTCTGTTTGCAGATGACATGATTGTATATTTAGAAAACCCCATCGTCTCAGCCCAAAATCTCCTTAAGCTGATAAGCAACTTCAGCAAAGTCTCAGGATACAAAATCAATGCACAAAAATCACAAGTATTCTTATAAACCAATAACAGACAGAGAGCCAAATCGTGAGTGAACTCCCATTCACAATTGCTACAAAAAGAAAAAAATACCTAGGAATACAACTTACAAGGGATGTAAACGACCTCTTCAAGGAGAACTACAAACCACTGCTCAAGGAAATAAGAGAGGA
This sequence comes from Homo sapiens, assembly GCF_000001405.40. Lineage (NCBI taxonomy): Eukaryota > Metazoa > Chordata > Mammalia > Primates > Hominidae > Homo > Homo sapiens. Next base: position 109,111,185 of record NC_000006.12, on the reverse strand, counting down.
CACAAACAAATGGAAAAACATTCCATGCTCATGGATAGGAAGAATCAATATCGTCAAAATGGCCATACTGCCCGAAGTAATTTATAGATTTAATGCTATCCTGATCAAGCTACCATTGACTTTCTTCATGGAATTGGAAAAAACTACTTTAAATTTCAAATGGAACCAAAAAAGAGCCCGCATAGCCAAGACAATCCTAAGCAAAAAGAACAAAGCTGGAGGCATCATGTTACCTGACTTCAAACTATACTACAAGGCTACAGTAACAAAAACAGCATGGTACTGGTACCAAAACAGATATATAGACCAATGGAACAGAACAGAGGCCTCAGAAATAACGCCACACATCTACAACCATCTGATCTTTGACAAAGCTGACAAAAACAAGCAATGGGGAAAGAATTCCCTATTTAATAAATGGTGCTGGGAAAACTGGCTAGTCATATGCAGAGAGCTGAAACTGGATCCCTCCCTTACACCTTACACAAAAATTAACTTAAGATGGATTAAAGACTTAAACATAAGACCTAAAATCATAAAAACCCTAGAAGAAAACCTAGGCAATACCATTCAGGACATTGGCATGGGCAAAGACTTTATGACTAAAACACCAAAAGCAATGGCAACAAAAGCCAAAAATTGACGAATTGGATCTGATTAAACTAAAGAGCTTCTGCATAGCAAAAGAAACTATCATCAGAGTGAACAGGCAACCTACAGAATGGGAGAAAATTTTTGCAGTCTATCCATCTGACTATCCATCTACAAAGAACTTAGATTTACAAGAAAAAATCAAACAACCATGTCAAAAAGTGGGTGAAGGATATGAACAGACACTTCTCAAAAGAAGACATTTATGCAGCCAACAAACATATGAAAAAAAGCTCATCATCACTGGTCATTAGAGAAATGCAAATCAAAACCACAATAAGATACCATCTCATGCCAGTTAGAATGGCAATCATTTAAAAAGTCAGGAAACAACAGATGCTGGAGAGGATGTGGAGAAATAAAAACGCTTCTACTCTGTTGGTGGGAGTGTAAATTAGTTCAACCATTGTGGAAGACAGTGTGGCGATTCCTCAAGGATCTAGAACTAGAAATACCATTTGACCCAGTGATCCCATTACTGGGCATATACCCAAAGGATTATAAATCATTCTACTATAAAGACACATGCATACGTATGTTTACTGCGGCACTGTTCACAATAGCAAAGACTTGGAACCAACCCAAATGCCCATCAATGACAGATTAGATAAGGAAAATGTGGCACGTATACACCATGGAATACTATGCAGCCATAAAAAAGAATGAGTTCATGTCCTTTACAGGGACATGGATGATGCTGGAAACCATCATTCTCAGCAAACTAACGCAAGAACAGAAAACCAAACACCACATGTTCTCACTCATAAGTGGGAGTTGAACGATGAGAACGCTTGGACACAGGGAGGGGAACATCACTCACCCGGGCCTGTCACGGGGTTTGGTGCTAGGGCAGGGTAGCATTAGGAGAAATACCTAATGTAGATGATGGGTTGATGGGTGCAGCAAACCAACATGGCATGTGTATACCTATGTAACAAACCTGCACGTTCTGCATATGTATCCCAGAACTTAAAGTATAATAAAAATATATATATACTTTTCATTCTAATATTTAAATGTTATAGATCTACAACCCACTAAAGATTCATACTTTTAAACAGTATTTACCAAGACTTGCTCTATGGAACACTGGTTTCAAAGGATGTTAATTGAAATTACTCCCTAAATTAAATGAATTTCCTGGCAAATAACTTTCAGGAAATTGGTAAAACAAAATTAACCTTCTTTACCTGCAAGTCTTGTCAGTATCTTTAATATGCTACTATCATTGTAAATTTCCAAAATGAAGATGAAGCATGCATTTTCCAAATTTATGTACAACAGAAACCTTTTTGGTGAATACTCTTAAGAGATTAGCATTCCACAGAACAGACTTCAAGTAATGTCTATAATGTTTATATACATAATCATCAAAGCAGCTCTACACAGGAGACTACTATTGAGATATTATGAGACATGTAATTGATAACAAGAAATAACAACTGATAATAGAAATAACGAAGAGCAAATTGTCCACAACATCCTTGTTAGAAATTTGTATTTCTAGTGTGGGAGAGTAAAGGAAGAGAAAGAGACTCTCCTATTAAAAACAAGTTACGAATTCTAGCATTTGTGTATTTAAGTTCACTTGATTTAGTAAATAATCAGTCTGGTATATCTGATGGAATGGCACATAAAAATTGCGAAGTTAGTGTACCTTCAAAAGTACTTAACAGAATCATGATATAGCCAAATCATTCAGTAGATGCTATAACATCTTCTTGTTAATATAATTCATGAAACAATACTGTGGTTTCTCTTCAGAGCATATAAATCCTTCGCCTTTTTTAATTCAAGAAATAAGGAGGGCTCATAAATGAGATGGTAAAATTGAGTAACAGAATTCAAACAATTTGCATGAATTTATTTTGGAACAAGAAATAGAATTTGTCTCTCGTATTTTCTAAATTAATAAAGGCCAAAAAAATCACAGCACAAGGTCTCACAGGTATCATCTACCCCTTTTTGAACAGAGGAATGTAGGAAAATGCAATTAAGTCAAACAAAATAAGAAAAATGGGGCTGGCTGTGGTGGGATTACACGCCTGTAATCCCAGTACTTTGGGAGGCTGAGACAGGTGGATCACTGGAGTTCAGGAGTTCGAGACCAGCCTGGCCAAAATAGTGAAACCCTGTCTCTGCTAAAAATACAAAATTAGCAGGGCGTGGTGGCAGGTGAGGCAGGAGAATCACTTGAACACTGGAGGCAGAGGTTGCAGTGAGCTGAGATCGCGCCACTGCACTCCACCCTGGGTGACGAGAGTGAAACTCTATCTCAAAAAAAAAAAAAAAAGAGAAAAATGTAGAACATTAAATATTGTAGTCCTTATAAGCTTTGGTGTCAGAGACTCCTCCAGAACACTACTGCTTACTGGTGGGGCATTACATTTAGATTCACTGGTGTGGACAACACTAGTTTCTAACTAGTTCTGGGATCTTGTCCTAATTAGTAGCTTAACTTCTCCATAACTTTATATATTTATGAATTAAACAAAATGAATAACTTAATTTTGAGGTTTTCATACATTTCTAAAATTCTATTAAAAGAGAGTTGTACTTACAAACATGAACTTATTTTTTCTTTTCTTTTTTTTGATACAGAGTCTCTCTGTGTCGCCCAAGCTGCAGTGCAATGGCACGATCTCGTCTCACTACAACCTGCGTCTCCCAGGTTCAAGTGATTCTCCTGCCTCAGCCTCCCAAGTAGCTGGGATTACACCCAAGCGCCACCATGCCCAGCTAATTTTGGGATTTTTATTAGAGACAGGGTTTCACCATGTTGGCCAAGCTGGTCTCGAACTCCTGACCTCAAGTGATCCACCTACCTTGACCTCCCAAAGTGCTGGGATTACAGGTGTGAGCCACCATGCCCAGCCACAAATATGAACTTTTACTGAAGCTTTTGCCAAATTCTTGAGTTCTAAACCTGGGGTAACAATTAAGTTTTGTCTTCTCTGTGAATTCCCTTATGAATACCTTAATGCTCTTATTTAGACAACCATTAAGTCTAGATTTTTAAAAATAAAAAGAATCCATAATTTGCATTATTTAACAGGTATCTGAAACGCATGTTTTTCAGGCTTTAGAAAGACTATTAAGCAACTTATAAAATTATATGTAATAAGAAGGAAAATATAAAAAGTTCTGATTAATATGAAAGAGAAAACTCTCCTCTAACCTACACACAAAAGTATTAGATGATACATAACTTTAAAAAAATATATAGCCAAGCTCAAAAGAAAAAGGGGAAATGCCCAGATGCTAAAAACAGAGAGAAAATTCAAGCCAGAATTCGTGAATCATGGTTGGATTTTTTAAATGTTTAAAATGATTAAGAAAATCAGATTTATTTAAAAATATAAGTCTAATTTATTAGGTTCACAAAAGTTGCTTACTTAGGAAGATACTGCTTATTAGAATTGAGGGTCTGTTTTGATAATTGCTTAAGTATCTGATAAAATGATAGACTAAATTGAAAATTGTAGTTTGAAACGTATAAGAAATTTGTTTGTAAATACTATTACATATTTAAGGAGAATTTTATCTTTTATACGTACATGTTAACCAAACATTAATTTTATTTCGTTAGTTTTTTGAGATAGAGTCTCACTCTGTCACCTAAGTTGGAGTGAAGTGGTGCGATTTCAGCTCACTGCAACCTTTACCTCCTGAGTTCAAGAAATTTTCCCGCCTCAGCCTCCTGAGTAGCTGGGATTACAGGTGTGTGCCATCATGCCATGCTAATTTTCTTTTTTTGTATTTTTAGTAGAGACAGGGGGGTTTCACCATGTTGGCTTAGGCTGATCTTGAACTCCTGACCTCAAGTGATCCACCAGCCTCAGCCTCCCAAAGTGCTGGGATTACAGGCATGAGCTATCATGCCTGGTCTTGAACATTAATTTTAAAAAAGCCAAAGTCCTTATTTCCTTGCAAAAACTACTATACTTAAAATAGATGTAGTACAACTTGTAAGTTAAACTCAAAGTCTTAGGGAAAACTGCATATAAAAAATGACAACTTTAATAAATGGAATACTAATTAAAATAAATGAAAAGTATTGAGTTTCAAGAAAAAGGTCCACATCTGACACTAAAAACACTGACAACAAGGATACCCACTATCAGTAGTATTATTTAATAATGAATTGGAGATCCTGACAAAGGGACAAAACAGAAAAAGAAAATAAGATGTATAAGAGTATAAAAATTGTTATCTGTAGGAAATATGATTTTCTATATAGAACAACCCAAGATAATCTAGATCAGTGGTCCCCAATCTTTTTGGTACCAGGGACAGGTTTCATGAAAGACGATTTTTCCACGGACCTGGGTTAGGGGTGGGGATGGGATGGTTTCAGGATGATTCAAGCCCATTTCATTTATTGTGAACTTTATTTCTATTATTATTACATTGTGATACATAATGAAATAATTATACAACTCACCGTAAAGTAGAATCAGTGGGATCCCTGAGCTTGTTTTTGCAACTAGACAGTCCCATCTAGGGGTGATGAGAGACAGTGACAGATCATTAGGCTTTAGATTCTCATAAGGAGTGTGCAACCTAGATCTCTCACATGCACAGTTTGCAAGAGGGTTTGTGATCCTGTGAGAATGCTACTGCTGATCTGACAGGAGGCGGAGCTCTGGGGGTAATGCAAGCAATGGAGAGCAGCTGTAAATACAGATGAAGCTTCACTTGTTCACCTGTTGCTCACCCCTGCTGTGTGGTCTCGTTCTTAACAGGCCACGAACCCGTACCAGTCCATGGCCCGAGGGTTGGGGATCCCTAATCTAGATAATCTATCTAGAAAATGTAATTTCAAAACATACATGTGCACTATAGCATCAGAAACTATATGAATCATAGGGATAATGGCAAATAAAAATTTGTAAGGGCACTGTGAAAAAGAACAAAAAGATGGTACTGTTTTTCTAGTTATTAAGACTGATTATGGTACTTCAGTCATTAAAATAGTGGTATAGGCCTGAGGTGAGACAAAAGGGACTGATACAAAAGAAAAGAGAGTAAATAAACTTTTACATATGTGGGAATTTGGTATATGAAAAAGAGGGCATTTACATGGAGAAAGGATTGGCTATTCAATATTCACTATGCCAATATTCACTATACAGTGCTATCCACACGGTAAAATATAAACATATATCTCTACTCCATGCCAAACACAAAAATAAATTCTAGCTAGACTGAACATCTATACGTGAACAACAAACCTTTGTTTTAGAAGAAAATATAGAGTACGTTTCAGACTTTGGGTAAGAAGAGATTTCTTAAAACAAGACAATTTACAAATAAAAAAGAAAAAATGATAAAACTATATAAAAATTAAAATGTCTGTATAACAAAAAACATCATTGATGATATCTTTAAAAAAGAAACATATATAACATAAAAGATTAGTATCTGAAATACAGAAACAAGTTCTATCCTATAAATTATTAAGAAAAACACAAAGGTCAATTAACAAAGGAACAAAAGGTACAATGGAAGTTAAAAGACAAGAAAACACGAATAGCTAAAAGGACAAAAACGTTCTACTTCATTGATCAGGAAAATGCAAATTTAAACAATACAGAAATTATTTTACACCCATTAGATTGAAAAAAATTTTAAAAGAAGCCTATCAGGACCCAGTGCAGTGGCTCATGTCTGTAATCCTAGCACTTTGGGAGGCTGAGGTGGGAGGACTTCTTGAGCCCAGGAGTTCAAGATCAGCCTGGGCAATACTGTGAGACCCTGTCTCTACAAAAAAAAAATTTTTTAATTAGCTGGGTGTGGTGGCACACACATGTGTTCCCAGCTACTTGTAGGGCAGAGGTGGGAGGATCGTTTGAGCCCGGGAGGTTGAGGCTTGCAGTGGGCTGTGATTGTGCCACTGCACTCTGGTCTGGGCAACAGAGTGGGATTCTGTCTCACAAAACAAAACAAACAAACAAAAAACAAACAAAAAAACACGCCTATCAATATTAAGTTTTGTCAAGGATGTGGGGAAATGAAAATTCCCATGAACTGCCAGTGGGAGTGTAAACTGGTAAAACAAAACATAACTTGAAAAATGTGATCCTGTGTATATCCTATAACTCAGCAATTCCACTTCTCCGAATTTATGAGTGAACCCTAGAGAAAATGGCACATATCTGGACATATGTATAATGATGTTCACTGCTGCACTGATTGCAACAGAAAAAAATTTTTTTTTTAAATAAATATACATTAATAGGGACTGGATAAATAAGTTGTATCATATTCATACAATGAAACACTATACACCAGCTAAAATTTGAAAACAAGATCTACATTTAGCAACACAGATAAGCTCTGAAAATATATTGTTGAGTAAAACAGAAAGTAAGTTACAGATAGTAAGATATCTTCTATGTAACATTTTTTTAAAAGACAAAGACAATATATGACTGTGCCAAGAGCACTTTCACAACCTATGTGATATTTCATTTCATTGAAAAAAAAAAAAACAAAAACTAAAGCAAACTAGGTAAAATGTTAACATTTGTTCATTCCAAGGGGTAGTTTAAAAGGGTATTTATTTTGTTACTCTTATTTTTTGTTTGAAATATGTAATGCTTTTAAAAATGACATATAATTTTAATATCTTACCCCTATATATGTATATATTCATGTAAAATGTGGATAAGGAAAATAAGTAGAAAAATAAGAATAAAATCAGTAGTGAGACTGGTTTATAAAATTCATATTGTATGTTGCGTATATTGCTAGAGCTCGCTCACAAATCTTTCAAGAAGAGCAAAATGAAAATAGATTCAACAATTATTGGTTTTTAAAAATCTATCCATTAATATATGTCAGAAATACTAGAGATTTAGTCATTCAAAGCATACTATAGTAAATTTGGAGACACCAAAAACAGAAAAACTGGAGAAAATACTGAAGAGTAAACTTGATTTAAGTGGTTTACTCATTTATTCCTGAAAGATGGAACCAAAATAACATAGAAAAAAGGGGCATGGTATTCTGAGAATAGTATGTATGACAGTGTTTCAGAAAATATGTTTTTGAAGGGCTGAAAAGAATATCATTCAAATCAATCTTGTTAAGGAATTCAAATCGACCTTGTTAAGGAAAACTTAAAAATAAAATATACAGATTCAAATTAAGAGCCTTTATGATTCATTTGGGCAATACACATATACCCCACACATAAAAGTACACATATAGTACTTGGTTGACAAGACATTTTTCAACAAGCCAAAAGAAAAACTAAGGAAGCATTTAGAGGCAAAACTGCTTATGCTACTATACAGTAAATAATTAGTATAATTTCCTTTAAAAACTTAAGTTGAAGTCAGTTATCATAGAAAGAGATATTTTAAGTTTACATGGCTTCAGTGTTTCATTGTAGAGAAGGGTCAAACTATTGTGGAAAAATCACAGGTTGATTTTTGCAACCTTGTAAGACTAGGCAAAAAAGTAGCAAAAAAACAAAAACAAAAACCAGCAATGTAGACAAGTAACAAGGTAATTCAATTGGAGAATAATATTCTTAATTGTAGAAAGTCTTCCTAACAATTTTCACTTACAGCACTCAGCCAACTGCACATGCTGACAACAGATAACTAAAATGGAACTGTTAGTCCGGTTTCCTGATACATTCCAGATAAAGTTCTCCCTGGCCTCATCTTTAGGCTGACTTCAGGTCTCTCTCTCAAGGAACAGTTTTGAAGAATGGCACCAATATAGTTGTACAGATTCAGTATAATGGTCTTTAAAAAAAAGTTTTTCACCTTTTAATATTATTGATCAAAATAATAATTTCAGATCCAGCAGAAACTTTTTAATAAAAACATAAATCTAGGCACAGACCTTATACCTTTTACAAAAAAAAAACTAAAAAATGGATCATAAACCTATATGCAAAACACAAAGCTGTAAAAGTTCTGGAAGACAGGAGAAAATCTACATGACCCTGGGTATGGCAATGACTTTTTAGCTACAACACGAAAAGCATGATACATGAAAGCTGGACTTCACTAAAATTAAAAATTTCTGCTTTGCAAAAGACACTATTAAAGAATGAACAGACAAGCCACAGACTTGGAGAAAATATTTACAAAATGCAGGTCTGATATAGGACTTGTGTGTCCAAAATATACAAAGCACTCTTAAAACTCAATAGTAAGCTGAGCGTGGAGGTGCATGCCTGTAGTTCTAGCTACTTCGGAGGCTGAGGCAGGACTGCTTGAGCCAAGGGGTTTGAGGTTACAGTGATCTATGAAAGCAACACTGCACTCCAACCTGGGTGACCTAGGGAGACCCTGCCTCTAAAAAACAAAAACACTCAACAGTAATAATAATTTAAAAATGGACAAAAGATCTGAAAAGACACCTCACCAAACATGATACACAGGCAGCAAATAGGCGTATGAAAAGATGCTCAACATATGTCATTGGGGAATCACCAATTAAAACAATAATGAGATACCATTACATACCTATTAGAACAGCTAAAGTCCAAAACACTGATACCACCAAATCCTGGCAAAGGTGGGGCGCAACAGGAACTCTCATTCATTGGTGGGAAATAGAAAATGGTACTGCTGCTTTGAAAAACAGCTGTATGGCTGGGCGCGGTGGCTCACGCCTATAATCCCAGCACTTTGGGAGGCCGAGGCGGGCGGATCACGAGATCAGGAGATCGAGACCATCTTGGCTAACACGGTGAAACCCCGTCTCTACTAAAAATACAAAACATTAGCCGGGCGCGGTGGCGGGCGCCTGTAATCCCAGCTACTCAGGAGGCTGAGGCAGGAGAATGGCGTGAACCCGGCAGCGGAGTTTGCAGTGAGCCGAGATGGCGCCACTGCAGTCCAGCCTGTGCGAAAGAGTGAGACTCCGTCTCAAAAAAAAAAAAAAAGAAAAAAGAAAAAGAAAAACAGCTGTGAGTTTCTTACAAAGCTAAACATAGGGTTACCTGAGATCCAGCAATCATATTCCTAGATGAGTTAAAAATTTTTTGCCCAGAAAAAGCCTGCACATAAATTTTTAGGACACTTTATTCATAATTGATAAAAACTGGAAGCAACTAAGATGTCCTTCAAAAGGTGAATAAGCAAACTGTGATATATCCATACAATGGATTATTTTTCAGTGATAAAAACAAATGAGCTCCCAAGCCATACATATAAAGACATAAAATAACTATAAATGCACATTGCTAAGTAAAGGAGCCAGTCTAAAAGGCAACATACTGCATGATTCCATGGTCCATGACCAAAGTTAGCAAAACCTCTCAATATCTGTTCCCTAATTAATTACTCTTCTAAAATGTAACTGTGAAAATTTACTGATCTAAAGAAGTTCTTCTAAATTCCATAACATCTATTGATATGTTGCAGCAAAAAAGGCAGACTGTTTTGTTTTGTTTTTTTCCTAAGACAGAGTCATACTCTGTCGCCCAGACTGGAGTGCAGTGGTGCGATCTTGGCTCACTGCAACCTCTGCCTCCCAGGCTCAGGCGATTCTCCTGCCTCAGCCTCCTGAGTAGTTGGGACTAGAGGCGTGTGCCATGATGCCTGGCTAATTTTTGTACTTTTAGTAGAGATGGACTTTCACCATGTTGGCCAGGATGGTCTCGAACTTCTGACCTCAGGTGATCCACCTGCCTCAGCCTCCCAAAGTGCTGGGATTACAGGTGTGAGCCACCATGCCCAGCCAAAAAGCAGACATTATGAATATAAGAACTCTGAATTAAACAATGTGAAACTGTATCACATTAAATAAAATTTTATGTGACCAGTAATTACATTTCCTAGGCTACAGATTCTGTAAACTTTCTTTCTTTCTTCTTTTTTTTTTTTTTTTTTTTGAGACAATCTCACTCTGTCACTCAGGCTAGAGTGCAATGGAACGATCTCAGCTCACTGCAACCTCTGCCTCCTGGGTTCAAGCGATTCTCCTGCCTCAGCCTCCCAAGTAGCTGGAATTACAGGCGCCCACCACCACGCCTGGCTAATTTTTGTATTTTCAGTAGAGACGGGGTTTCACCATCTTGGCCGAGCTGGTCTCAAACTCCTGACCTCAAGTGATCGGCCCACCTCAGCCTCCCAAAGTGCTAGGATTATAGGCATAAGCCACTGTGCCCGGCTTTGTTTTTTTTAGGACGAACTTTCTAAAATGTTTTTATTATAATGTACCCTCGTCCATCCATTAATTACTTTGTGTTTTTGTAAATGATAGATAAATATGCCATACCTTTGAAAGTTCTGTGGCATTATATCATTCTTCCATTCATTCATTCCTTTATTCTTGCGTCACACATTTATTAAGTTTGTACTAGGTACCAGGCACTGTACTCAGAGGTAGAGATAAGATGATCAACAAAAACAAGCACAGTAGTTCCTCTTGTGTGCTTAAGCTCTACTGAAATAAACACACTTTAATCAAATCATGGCACAACTGCAAAACTAATTGGTAACATAAGAGCAACTCAAGGTTTACGGTGCAATAGGTCTATTTACAAGAAGAGTATTTAATTAGATCAGGGACACCTCTGAGAAAATGATTATTTGAGCAAAGACCTGCAAGAAGAGGAGTTAAAGACAGGCTAGAACAATCTGGACAAAGAACACAGTAAAAGAGTGCTGCATCCATACTCGCTGTCTCCCATACTCTACTAAATAAAAGTACCCATTGTTGGGCACGGTGGCTCACGCCTGTAATCCCAGCACTTTGGGAGGCCGAGGCGGGTGGATCACGAGGTCAGGAGATCGAGACCATCCTGCCCAACATGGTGAAACCCTGTCTCTACTAAAAATACAAAAATTAGCCGGGCATGGTGGCGGGTGTCTGTAGTCCCAGCTACTCAGGAGGCTGAGGCAGGAGAATCACTTGAACCTGGGAGGCGGAGCTTGCAATAAGCCGAGATAGCGCCACTGCACTCCAGCCTGGGCAACAAGAGCAAAAACTCCTTCTCAAAAATAAATAAATAAATAAAAATAAATAAATAAATAAAAGTACCCATCTGGCTTTTGTACCCTTTACTCCACCAAAAGTTTCTTATCAAGATCCCAATGACCTCCATGTTGCTAAATGTACTGGTCAATTATGAATCCTCATCTCATTTGACCTACAGCAACATTTAACATAACTTATTTTTCCTTCCTCCTTAATTACTTTCTTCATTTTGCTTCTAGAACACCTACTGAACAGTGGGTTTTTCTCTGCTCACTGGCTGCTCCTTCAGTCACCTTTGCAGAGAACTCCAAATCCACCCAAACTCCATAGAATATCACTTTTGGTGATATCAACAACTCCTATCAAAACACTACTATAAAATCCAAAATTATATCTATTGCCAGATCTTTCTCCTCACTTCTGGACTCATTTATTCAACTGCCTCCTCCACCTCCACATCTCAATGTGAATTTCTTAGAGGCATCTCAAACTTAACGTGGCCAAGCTAAAATACCAACCTTTCCTCTCTCTCCCATTCACAAATCTGCAGATTTTCCCATAATAGTAAATGGCACTTCCTCCATTCTAGTTACTCAGGTTAGAAACTTTGAAGCCATTTTTGACTCTTACTCTCACACAATCTGTCAGCAAAGTCTGTTGGCTATACTATCAAAATGTATCCAGATTCTGTCACCTGGATTATTACTTTAGTTTCCTAACCAGTCTCTCTGCTTCCACCCTTGCTTCCCTATGGTCTATGCTCAACACAATTTAAAAGAAATATTCACTTCAGGCCAGTTGCAGTGGGTTATGCCTCTAATCTCAGCACTTTGGGAGGCTGAGGCAGGAGGATCACTTGAGGCAATCACTTGAGGAGTTCAAGACCAGCCTGGGCAACACAGTGAGATCCTGTCTCTACAAAAAGACAAAAATTATCTCAGTTATGTAATTTCAGTTAAAAAAAAAAAGGAAAAAATACAAAATTAGCTGGGCTTGTTGGCACGTGCCTGTAGTCCCAACTACCTGGGAGACTGAGGTGGGAGGATTACTTGAGCCCAGGAGTTCAAGGATGCAGTGAGCTATGACTATACTCCAGCCTGGGTGACATAGTCAGATTCTGTCTCAGGAAAAAAGAAAGAGGCCGGGCACGGTGGCTCACACCTGTAATCCAGCACTTTGCAAGGCTGAGGTGGGTGGATCACTTGAGGTTAGGAATTCAAGACCAGCCTGACCAACATGGTGAAACCCTGTCTCTACTAAAAACACAAAATTAGCCAGGTATGGTGGTGCATGCCTGTAATCCCAGCTACTTGGGAGGCCGAGGACGAAGAATCACTTAAACTTGGGAGGTGGAGGTTGCAGTGAGCCAAGATTGTGCTATTGCACTCCAGCCTGGGCAACAAGAGCAAAACTCCGTTGAGACAGAGGGAGAGAGAGAGAGAGAGAAAGAGAGAGAGAGAAAAGTAGTCATTTTTTAAAAGTCAGATCATGCCCTCATCTGCGCAAAACTCTCCAATGCTTTCCCAACCCAATTAAAAATGTTAGTCCTTTCAGTCACCTACATGTTCTCCTACCATTACTTCCTTTCTCTGTGACCTCATGTTATTCTCCTCTTTGTACTCATTGTGCTCCAGCCACACTAGCCTTCTTGCTATTTCTCAAATGCGCACTCAGGCTTCTGCCCAAGGCCTTTGCACTAATTCTCTTCATTAGAATGTTATTTGCCCAGGCATCTACATGGTTTATTCCCTCCCCTACTTCATATCTCAATTGTCCCCTTCTGGATTATGTCTTTTCTAACAACCTTATTTAAAAGTGAACCTTGCCCCTCACATCCTGGCACTCCCCATTCCCCTTCCCAGTTGTTTTATTCTCCACTGCATTTGTCTTCATTTCATTTACTAAGTGTTTTACATATTTATTTATTATCTCTCCTCAGTAGAATGCAAGCTCTATGACAGTAGGAATTTTTATATATTGTGGTCAATGCTGTATCTTCAATGTCCTGTTATATAAAAGGGACTCAACAGAGATTTGTTGAGTAAACGCGTGGGTGAAATGGAATATGAGAACCAATGACTGAAAAATGGACTGTATGGCTGATCTGGAGGGCAATATATGAAGTTAGTCTGAAAGAGTACCAGATGATGTCAGGCTTTATAAAGGAGTTTTGTCTTTAACAGTAGTAGGACACCACTGAATAGTTTTAACCAAGAGAAAATCTGATCAAATCTGCAGTTTCAAAAAATCATTCTGGCAGATATAATGGAGAACTAATGGAGGAGGGTCATTGTGAATAATTGCTACTGTAGTGGTCTTGAGAGATTATCGCAGTTTGAAGACAGGTGGAGAGAAAAATATATTTGAAGGATATTTTGAGAGATAAGGTTGGCAGAACTTCATAATAATTTGGCCATAGAAGTATGAAGGGCAAGAAGAAATAAAGAATAATGTTTAGCTTTCAAATTTTCACAAGTAGATGGATAGTAGTGTCCTTTGCTGAAATAAGGAACACTGAAAAAGAATTAGATTCATAAGAGATAACTATGCATTTGGTTTTAGGTATGTTGAGTTTGAGATGCTTTTGAGATATCCAAGAAGAAATATCCAAGAGATATTGTGAAAGCTGAGAGGTGAAGCTGAATGGAGCTATTCATTTGAGAGTCATAGGTGTTGGTGAAGCCATGGGTATACATGAGATCATATTTAACTACGGCATAAAAAGGCACCCAGCCTTAAGAAACTACCCGACCCTTTATGGGCTGGATAGAGAATGAAGATCCCAAAAAGGAGATGAAAACGGAATGGTTTTTGTTTTGCTTTTTCAATCACACTCATAAGTTATTCCCTTTTTAAAATTCAGATTCAAACTAGAAGTGTCAGAATGTAACAAGGCTTTTGAAATTAGACCAATTCATCAGAACTATGCATCTATTCAAAAATAGCTCACTTACAGAAACGATGTAAAGAATTCACAATACCTGTCTCTTTGTAGCTTCTAAGTGCATCAATACACAAAAAGCACCCTTCCCGTCCCACCCCACACCGCCAAGTATGCATGATTTGGCTTACTGACGTTTCCTGAAAGTACCCTATCTCTCACTCTGGGCCTTAGCATATGCTGTTCTTTTGGTCTTCATTTCCCCTGGGATGAAGATTTCCCTGACTTTCCAAGATTGGGCTAAGTCATCTCCTTCTAGACATCCCAGTGATATCATGTATTATTGTAACCGTATGTCTAACAACTAGTTCCTCTAACTAGTAAGACTGTCTTTTTCATTGTTGTATACTCAGTGCCTAGCAAGACGAAATTTTTAGAATTTAGTGCAATGCAATTCTGCAATGTAAAGAATTAAAATCTACACCGATTATCAGTCCACTGATGGCCGTTCAAACCTCGACTTTTCTCAAATAATAACTTTTTAAAAGCAAACTAATTTTAAGCAAATGACTGAATCTTTTGAAAAAGTCGACTAAGTTTTGGAGACTTTTACGGTTTTGCTTTCTTTTTCCTGCTGTATCCTTAAAGCCTGCAAGAATTCCTATCTAGGAATACTGGGGATTCTTTTACGAGATGGATTTGACAACTTGCTTTCAAAGCCCTGCCTAGGATTTCATTTGACTGAGCAAATAAAGCCCAGAACATCCCTAAGCAAAGGCAAACAAAGGTGCAAATGCGCGGAGATCCCAAATCCACCCCGCGTGTGTCCACAAAAAAGGGCGGAATCAGAGGCAGCAGCGCGAAGCTCCAGTTTCCACAGCATCCTTCCTTCTTGGCCTTACTTAGGCCGCTCCCTGCGACCCTTGGGATCAGGATCCCAAATCCTTGCCTCACCCACCACACCCCGCGCTTGGGCAGCTGGACTAGTCCTTCCCACGCAAGTCACTGGAAAAAGTCCTTGGACTAAGGGAGGCCACCCTAGATGGCTTTGTCTCCAAAATCCCAGAGGAAATGGAGGAAGGAAAAACCCTGTCAAGGAAAGGTGACAACCCAGCTTACAGTGCTTACCAAGCAGACGCTCTCAGTCAGCCCCTGCCACCGCTAACCGTTGGTTCGCGGGCACCCACAGGCAACGTCGCGGTGGCCCCTGGGGGTTGTAGTTTCTGTCGCAAACAAAACGCGCCGGCAGCATCGAAACTACATTCCCCACAAGTCAACGCGAAGACGTCCTACCGACTTAAATCTGGGGTTTGGAGTAATGAAGAGGCCGTCACTACTTTTAGGGTGATCTTAAATGTAGACTCAATTTCTTCCAGGAGTCCCTTCGCGCCCTCTTTCTTTGTCGTGCTTGTTTTATGTGTGACGAAGTCTCAGTGTACTTCTACGTCTTACTTTTTCCTTCCCCTTCTCCAGGACAGAGTCCAAACGTCCGGGAACGGAAACCGCCTCAGGGCGCAAGCTTAGCGCCTCCGGGGGCGCTTGGCCCAGTTCGCAGTCACGCATGCGTAGCAGCCGGCAGTGGCTGGCAGCCGCGCGCGGCGCACTTGGGGTCCGGAGGGTAGCCTGCCAGAGGGCGGGGCTTTTTCCTAAGGCTTTGCCTCGGCGGGTCGCGTCTGCCTGGGCGGGGAAGAAGGCGCTGGGGCCGGGGCGGCTCCCGGTTTGTGCCGGGCGGAGAAAGGGGAGGGGCTGGGGGTGAGGACCCCGTCTCCACTCCCTGCTCCCGCCCTCTGGGCTGATCCCCACCGATGGGGCTGGGCGAAGGGCGGGCTTTGCGCCTCGGGCCCCGCCGCCCCGCCAGCTCCGCGGCCCAGCCTGGCGCTCGAGGATTGCCAGGGCCGCCCTGTGCCCTCTGGCTCGGCGGTGGTGGGCGAGGGCTCAGGGATCGGAGAAGTAGCGTCTTCCCGGGGGTGCCGAATTGGCGGGGCTGGGGGACGCTTTTTTTCACCGCCGCCCGCCGAGACTACGGCTGCCCGAGACTGCCGCCCTCCGACAGCGCCCAAGCCTCCGGCCGCTGCGGCCAGTGGGCCAGGGTTCGGCGAGCCTTCCCTGCCGGCGCCGGCCGGCTGCTGAGGCGCTGGGAGGAGCTGCGGAGGGCGGGGACTGGTGTCGGAGAAGGGGCGGGGTGGGAACGCCGGAGAGAACCCGGTGGCTGCACAGACAAAAAAGCCCCGAATGGCTGGAGGGCGTTCAGCTGTTAACAGCCTTTTGGGGCAGAGCACGGATTTGACAGCTCCACAACGTGAGGATATCCACTGACCCCGCGAGACGGAGGAGAACGCTTCCCCGAAATTCTCTGCCCACCAAAGCCAGCGCTGCAAGGTTGCAACTTTCAAACTTTGTTTTTCCAGAAAGAAGACTGCCCTTTCGTGTACAAGGAGAGGGTGAGAGGGTGACCTAGCTTGTAGATCGGCTGAAGGCACCAGTGGTTCCAAATGTCACCCAGATGTGTGTTTTCATGACGATTTGATTTCTCTGATTTTATTTTTACATTTTTCATTTTAAAAATACAAAGCAATTTTTTTGGGGCATGCTGAAAGGTAACTGAAGACCGCAAAGGAAAAACTATTGTCATGGCTGAAGGAGAGAATGAAGTGAGATGGGATGGACTCTGCAGCAGAGATTCAACTACTAGGGAGACAGCATTGGAAAACATTAGGCAAACCATTTTGAGGAAAACCGAGTATCTTCGTTCGGTGAAAGAAACACCTCATCGTCCATCAGACGGGCTTTCAAATACCGAGTCTTCGGATGGGTTGAATAAGCTACTTGCTCATCTGCTTATGCTTTCTAAGAGGTGTCCCTTCAAAGATGTGAGAGAGAAAAGTGAGTTTATTCTGAAGAGCATCCAGGTAAGGAAGAGCATTTTAAATACAACTATGTCTCTACTACAGTTAAATTTTACTTGCCGTTATTCACGTTGTGTTTGTTTCTATTAGGTTGTTATGTAAACTTTTATTATGAGTTTACATCTTTAGAGTGTTCTGTAAGTAAACAAGTAGTGTTTTTCTAGAGTTTTAGGCAGAAACTGCTTTGCTCCTGGAAGAATATATGAAAACTACAGTTAATTCCAAGTAAATACTTGTTTTTCCTTATATTTCTTTTTACATGTTGTTGGAAAATGTAGCCAGTGTTTTTTTTTCACATTGTCACAGTGTTCTGAGTGTAAAGGCTCACATTTAAAAGCCTCTAAAATGATAAAGGATATTAAATGTTTCCTAGTCAGCCTGTTCAAGATAATTGGTGGAACAATTTTCTCTTATTTTTAAAAACAAAACAAACCAGGATGTGTTCTCTAAATGCAACCTCTCTTTTTTCAAGAAGAGAATTATATAAAATAATAAAAACCTATCTTAAAAGAAGCTAATATCTTCATGTTGAAAAGGTGGACCCAGGTGGGGTATTTGATAGAAACACTTTTATGGCAAATTGCTCAACTAGCTTTCTCTGTGTTTGCCTGAATTGTTTCTTTTTCACATGTGTAGCTATTTAAGATACGAGTGCAGCAGGTTAAAAATATTATAGTTTTTCCTCCATTTCGTTCATAATTTATCCTGTTTTATTACAAGGTGTCTTAGAATACTTTTTTTTAAGTTTTTAGATATTGACAATATTCAGCAACACCTTATATATGCTTGTCAATCTTTACATTTCTCAATCCACGTGTGTTGTCCAAAGTCCTGTATGAGAGATTTTTAAAATTTAAAATGTACTTGGGTAACTATGTAAGTTAAAAGTGACAGTTTTTATATACTGGCTTGAATTTAGTTTAAAGCAACAGAAAAATAATATCCACAAAATGAAGACTCTATTTAAGATCTTGGGATATTTCTTCTCACTAACACTTTGGAAACAATTGTTACAATTCAGAGTTACCCGAGAGGAATTAATATACTAGGTAACTGAAGTTTACCCTTTGAAACACAAAAAGTTATTTCTCTATCTTCTAGACTGTAGTGACTGTAACAACCATTTTTGTCCATAATGGGGTCATCATTATGCATATCAACTATTGTTGTGCAGCAAAGGGTGGAGGACTGACTATATGATCCATTAGTTTTTGTATTTTTGTGTGTAATTTTTATAGTTTTTCTGTTCTTTCCTTTGCCGTCAGGATACTTGACTTTGGTCTCTTCCTGATCTTTCATTTTGCTGCTTAATTCATATTAGAATGGGAAACCAGATAACCAATCGTGTTAAGAGTTATATTGAAAATAAAAGTAAGCAGGCTCTGGGGAGCATAGTATCAAAGGATTTCAATATAATGATAAATAAGTGGGTACTGGAGTCAGAGTTGGGCTCAAATTCCACTCCTTTACTAATGTCCTTGCCTGTAACCTTGGGCAAATTCCTTGACCTTTCTTAGCTTGGATTTCCACATCTGTAAAATGGGAATAACAACACAGAGCTCTTGTGGGAATTAAATCAGATGTAAAGTACTCTGGTATATATAGTAGATGCTCCTCTCCCTTTCATAAGTGAAATACATAGACTATGCAATATATATTTCAAGACTCTTTCATCCTGCAAAAGGACTCAGGAATTTCCTGGGAAGGTTCCCTATAGACTTATACTCTTTTTTTCCATCTCTGCATCTATTGTACAATTATAAAAGGCAATTTACTTATATTGTGTTATAAGCACATGCTTTTGTGTCTGTCTCCCATAGGAAGGCTATGAGTTCTTAAGAGTACTGGCTGGGACCTGGAAGCTACTAAATAAATATCCAGTGGATGAACAAATTTATACTTTCTTTCTGTTTTTCATCAGTAGTCTGAATAGATGAAGTTTTCAGTTTAGGGAGTTTCCACCCCAGCATCATTCATTTATGCTTGCAGTTATGCAACAAATGTTTATTGAACTCCTGCTGAATGTCATTCTGAGAACTGAGGACCAGTGGTAACAATTTTGACATCATACCAAAGGGAAACAGACCATAAAGAAGTAAACAAATATAAAATTTAATTTTAGATAGTAAGGGAAAGCTTTCCTGAGGCAATGACATTTAAGCAGAGACATGATAAATGAATAAATATTACCCATGTAAAGGTGAGATTTGTGAGGGGACATTCCGGACATAGGGAACGGTATGTATGAAGGCCTCATGCCAAGGAGAGCAGATGAGTTCTAGGAGCTGAAAGTAATGCAATATGGCTGGGGCAGACAGTTTGAGGGTGGCGTGAATAGCTTAAGAGGACATACTCTGGAGTTTGGCAGACCTGGCTGCGATACTGTCATGTGTCACTTAATGATGGTGATACACTCTGAGAAATGCATCGTTAGGTGGTATCATATTTGTTTGAACATCATAGGGTGAAATCACACAAACCTAGATACTACACACCTAGGCTATGTGTTATATAGCCTGTTGTTTCTAGGCTACAAACCCGTACAGCGTGTCACTGTACTGAATACGCTTTGGCAATTGTAATGCAATGGTAAGTATTTGTGTATCTAAACATAGAAAAGGTAGAGTAATAATATAGAATTACAATTGACCCTTGAACAGCATAGGTTTGAACTGCATGAGTCCACTTATAGGAAGATTATTTTTTCAATAGAAGTTATACTAAGTTGGGCGGGGTGGCTCACACCTGTAATCCCAGCACTTTGGAAGGCTGAGGTGGAAAGATCTCCTGAGGTCAGGAGTTGGAGACCAGCCTGAACAACATAGCAAGACCCATCTCTACAAAAAGTCAAGAAAAAAAAATTAGCTGGGTGCAGTGGAGCACACCTGTAGTACCAGCTATTCAGGAGGCTAAGGCAGGAGGATCGCTTGAGCCCAAGAGTTCGAGGTTGCAGTGAGCTGTGATTGTCTCATTGTCCTCCAGCCCTCTGGCGACAGAGCAAAACCCTGTTTCAAACAAACAAACAAACAAAAGTTACACTTGAGTATGCCTGCCTCTTCTGCCTCTCCTTCCGCCTATTCCACCTCTATCACCCCTGAGATAGCAAGACCAACCCCTCCTCTTGATCCTCCTCCTCAGTGTACTCAAAGTGAAGACCGTAAGAATGAAGATCTTCATGATTATCCACGTCCACTTAATGAATGGTAAATATATGATCTCTTCATTATGATTTTCTTAATAACATTTTCTTTTCTCTAGCTTATTTTATTGTAAGAATACAGTATATAATATGTATAACATACAAAATATGTGTTAATTGACTGTTTATATTATCAGTAAGGTTTCCAGTCAACAGTAGGCTATTGTTGGCTAAGTTTGGAGGGAGTCACAAGTTAAACACAGATTTTCAACTGTGTGGAGGGTTGGCCCCCTAACCCCCTTGTTGTTCAAGGGTCAAGTGTGTAATCTTATGAGGCCACTGTTGCATATGGGGGTCCATCATCAGCTGAAATGTTACGCAGTATGGGACTGTACTTTATTAACTCTACAACTTTGAATAAGTTACATAATCTCTCCTTGATTCAGTTTCCTCATCTGCAAAATGAGCATTATGCTTATGGTTCCTGCCTCACAATGTTGCTGTGAGAATAAAATAAATGATGTTTGCAAAGCATAGCACAGTGCCTAGCATAAAAGAAATGCTCAGTTAATGTTAGGTATGCCTGCTATTACTAGGCAGAAACCAGATCCCAGAGGGGCTTATAGGCTATTTAAGGGTTGTGGACTTTATCATAGAAATAATGGAAGCCACTGGGGGATTTTGAGCAAGGTAGTATAGTGATTGATAGTGTGTCAGAAGGATCACTCTAGAGAATGGATTTCCATGGTCAAAAGTGGATGTGTGACATCAATTAGGAGGTTGTCCTACTAGCCTATGACAAAAGTGATAGTGGACTAGGATGTGAGGTAGGGCAGGAGGGAGTGGAAAAAATTAAAATGGGTCTGATAGATATCAAGGAGTTAGAAACCACAGGATATAGTATTTAGTTGGATTTAGAAGATGAGGAAAATAACAAAATTAAGCATGGCTCTAAAGTTTTTGGCTTGAGGTACTTGGTGAATTGTGCAATTGTTTTCTGAGACAAAAGAGTGGCAGGGGGTCAATTTAGGGGAAAAATGACTGCTGTTTTAGACATGTTGAGTTTAAGTTGCCTATGAGACATCCAAGTAGAAATAGCTCCTAAATGAATTTCTGCCCCCGATACCGCTGTTCTAGTTCTGTCACTGCTATGTCTTCTTCTCCAGATTAAACTCACCCTCCACTTTTATATCTATCCTCCACATAGCTGTAGAGCCATTTATCTAAAATGAAAATCTATGTAACTTTACTGGCAAAAGCCCTTTAGAATAGAATTGAATTTAAACTTCTTAATGTCATATAGTACCCAGCATTATCTGGCTTTCACTTACCTCTCCAGCTTCACTGCCTACCATTTTAGCATCAGCCTCACATGAGAAAGCAAATATTAATTCAAATGTAGCACTCCATAATGCTTTCTGTTATTCATTAGTAAAGCAGCAAAAGCTGTGGTGCATATGCAATTTCTGCAGCTGCTCCTGAAAGCCCTTAATTGCTATAGGTCAGCTAAAAGGGCTGTAGTTGGCAAGGGAGAAACGATGACAAGGTGGTAGAATGAATTCAATTCCAAGCAGCTAAATCTGTTAAAAAAAAAAAAAATGGACACATTGGGAGATAGCATCTTTTGTTTATACCCCAGTTCTCAATTTATTGATTCCACATCAGCATGTTTAAATATATTCACATTTTTGAGAAATATTCTGGGCCAGGCAGTCACTGTACTTAGGACTTGAAGATCAGTAAGACTTGTTTCCTGCTTTTGAAGAAGGTTTTCTATTCTCATCCAAGGCTTTATACTGGGTTTTTAAAGAAACTTTAAAAAGAAGAATTACACCTTTTGATACTCTTGATTCTCTAAACAAAGGAATGGGAGTATTAATACTGGCCCACTTTCCTAATATAGTCTACTGGTGAACTATAGTCTTGATGATACATGTAATTAAGGAGGAAAATATGAGAGCACATATGTATCAAAAGATTTTGAGGCCTATCCAGAATAGCCAAGTACTTTTCCAAGAATGGTCATTTGGTCATTTTCATAAGTTTGCCAGCAATCAATATTGTCTGAAAGTAAATTGGCTTAAGATAGAAAATTTAGAATAAGCAACAAAATACTTATCTTTGGTAAGTGGGGTGGTGGAGGCTTTCATTTAGTAAAGTGATTATTACCCCCCCACCTCCAGGAGAAATGAAACTTTCGTTGCTGGGTAGGATGCACATTTATAGCTGTTAGAGTTACAGTTGGAGTTGCAGTATCTAGTTGCTATCCAATTGAGTAATAAATAGATTGAAAATGTAACAATAAGTTTATTATTTCACATAATAAGTCTGGAGGTTGGCAGTTCCAAGCTTGATTGATTCATTGGCTCAACTACATTACTTGTCTGCTTTCTTTTTTTTGTTCTCCTTCCTCAGCATAGCAAATGATGTCTCCATTCCTACAGCATGCTATTCCAGGCACCATGTGCAGACATGACTATCTGCAGCTAAGAAGAAAAGAGTTTCTTCCCACGTCTCTCTCTCGGGGAAGAAAACCTTTCCCAGAAACCCTCTAGCAGACTTCCTCTCAGTTTCTATTGACTGGGATTGGGTCACATGCCCTTTTCTAAGCCAGTCATTGATGAAGAAATTGGGCATTTCTATTTTTGGTTTGGACTAATCAGCATTCAGCCCCTAAGGACCAGGAGACCCGCCCCCTGCCCCCCCATCACTTGAACAGAAAATTTCTCGATGAGGAGAAGCAGTACAGAAGGCAGTCAGGCCTAATTAGAGGCTTCCATTAAAACTGCATGTGTATCTAACTAGATAATATATCACTTGGTCTATTTATAATTTGGATCCGATTAGATTAGAAGCATACTTAATTCATTTTTAGTGGGGCTATAAAATATAACAGATTGGAGACATTCTAGAAGCAGATTTGGTCTTTTTAAATGATTGTTTTGTTTTGATTTTTTTTTAACTGCCATTTAGTGGAGCCAAAAGTCTAAGGTAGTGCATGTCAAACATTCACTGCTGACTCTTAGATATCACAGCAAATATGAGAGTCCTCTTTCAATATTTACACTAAGCTTCTCTCTTCCATACCACTATTTTCTGGCCTTTCTTATTTTATTGATACGTTGTGAACTCGGTCCCTTTCCCTCAGAAAGCCTTGTGGCTTACTTCTCATTGCCTCCTCTCATTCGTGTCTTTGACCACTTTCCTTCCTTGCTTTTGAGGCTCAGAGAATATTCTTTATTCTCAGGTTTTCTGTCCTTCTTTGGATAAAGAATGTGAAGAAACTGAAGGCAAATCTTTAACTTTTTTTTTCTAAATTGTTTGAAGACAGCCAATTTTTTTTCACTTTCTGACTTACAGGAGGAATCATATCTGTACTATCTATACTCAGTGTCTTCTTTATAATATATAAATACATCCTGTCCTATGTTTTGACTCTTCAGAAAGATCAAAATTAACAACAGTACTCTTTATGTGTTCAGATTTCGTCTATTTTATTTTATTTATTTTTGTTTATTTATTTATTTTGAGATGCTGTCTTGCTCTGTCGCCCAGGCTGTAGTGCAGTGGCACGATCTTGGCTCACTGCAACCTCTGCCTCCCGGGTCAAGCAATTCTCCTGCCTCAGCCTCCTGAGTAGCTGGGATTACAGGTGGGCGCCACCACGCCCAGCTAATTTTTCTATTTTTAGTGGAGACAGGGTTTCACCATGTTGGCCAGGCTGGTCTTGAACTCCTGACCTTGTGATCCACCCATCTCGGCCTCCCAAAGTGCTGGGATTACGGGCATGAGCCACAGTGCCCGGCCTGATTTCATCTATTTTATTCCTGTTGGAGTGCCCCCATTGGCCTCTAACATGAAAAAAACTGATTCATTTAAAAAATATTTTTCTAACATAGTTATTTTGTTTACAAATGGGATATAGTATTTTGTACAAAGATGTTAAACACTTGCATAGTAAATTTTACTTTAAGATCATGGGTTGTTCATGACATCATGAAGGATCCTCTAAAACAATGGCTTAATTAGAATTTTTTCTCATTTTCAACACTTTGTGTCCTTAAAGGTGCTGTATGTGCAGACCATTCATGAAGTAAAAGAATTAGAAAGTAGGTGTACTGTTGTCTTTGTTTAGAGTTATATTTATTTTTCTCTTGATAAGCCATGAGAAATTTGCAAAATATCTTTTTACCATTTGAATAGGTAATTAATAATTCAAACTGCTAACTTAAGGATTGTTGAAACTTTGGTCTGACAGAAAGTAGCTGTGGAATCTTGGGTATAATAAAGGATTCTTTTTGTTTTTTGAGATGGAGTCTCACTCTGTTGCCCAGGCTGGAGTGCAGTGGCATGATCTTGGCTGTCTGCAACCTCCACCTCCCGGGTTCAAGCAGTTCTCCCTGCCTCAGCCTCCCGAGTAGCTGGGATTACAGGTATGCGCCACCACACCCAGCTAGTTTTTAGTAGAGATGGGGTTTCACCATGTTGGCCAGACTGGTCTTGAACTCCTGACCTTAAGTGATCTGCCTGCCTTGGCTTCCCAAAGTGCTGGGATTGCAGGTGTGAGCCACCGTGCCCGGCCTAATACAGGATTCTTAATCACTTAAAATTTTAATAAAATGGGCACTACTTTGGGTTATGTATTAATCATGAAGAATTTTATAACTTAAAAATAGTCAGTGTTTATGTTGTAGCAAATTAGCATGGACTGGAAGGAACCATAGACATGAGAAAAATCTTAGAATTTGTGGAAGAACAGAGTTGATGCTGGTCAGGGAGGGCAGCGTGCTTAAAGTGCTTAGAAGGATGAAAGTGCTGCTGGAAGTACATCAGCACCAAGCAAGCTTTGCCACCAATTCTAATCTCTGCTTTGTCAGAATTTCTCAAATCAGTTTATTTTTTCACACGATGGTAAAATATCTAAATTTTTAAATAGAAGTCAGTGGAAAATAGGGTTTACTTTGACACATTGTTTCTAGCTCACATTTACTACATTAAGTGAGAAAGATTTGAAATGACCTTAAAGAAATTACTTAGTACTTTAATTAGGCTGGCAGAATATACTCAGGAAATCAGATTTCAAGGATTCTTCAGAATATTTGGTGATTGTATTTCTGTGTGTGTGTGTGTGTGTGTGTGTGTGACGGAGTGTCACTCTGTCACCTAGGCTGGAGTGCAGTGGTGCGACCTCGGCTCACTGCAAGCTCCGCCTCCGGGGTTCACGCCATTCTCCTGCCTCAGCCTCCCAAGTAGCTGGGACTACAGGTGCCCGCCACCAGACCCAGCTAATTTTTTGTATTTTTAGTAGAGACGGGATTTCACCATGATAGCCAGGATGGTCTCGATCTACTCACCTTGTGATCTGCCTGCCTCGGCTTCCCAAAGTGCTGGGATTACAGGCATAAGCCGCTGCGCCTGGCCAGTGATTGTATTTCTAGGGGCATTGACACACTAGAAATTTAGGTATGAAATCCTTAGCTAGATAGTCACACTATGGGAACATTATTTTTATGCTTGTTTTTTTTTTTTTCTGTTGGTTGCTACACTGATAAGCCAGTGTCAATAAAGATACATGTACCATAAAGTTACTGTATAAAAGAAAAAAAAACTTTAAAAGATGCTTGTTTTTTTAAAAGTGCGTTTTTCGCTGGAGATACTTTGAGAGTTTCTGTAGGATGACTATTAGGAGCATTTATTAGATTTTCCCAGTTGGTATTTTATTATTAAAATCTGTCTATTACGAGTAGACTCACAGTTTGTGGCACACTTTTCAAATAAATAGATTAAAAACAACCTTTAGTTTGTAACAAAAAAATTCATGTTAAATTTGGCAACATAATAATTATCTGTCTTCTCATGTTCTAATGTCTTTTATATAAAGAAATCTGATAGATTGTAATGAAATAGGGAATTACCTTGGAAAAACTAGATACTTTTAGCTTTATATTTTACATAAATATTACCTTATTTTTAATTTTAAAAGTTAGAGGTCTTCTTAGAATTATACATTCTTTCATTTATTATAAAATCACCTTAGGACAATTCCTAAGCTTTTATTTATTTTTTGTTTGTTTGTTTTGTTTTCTTTTGTTTTGTTTTTGTTTTGAGACCGACTGTTGCTCTTGTTGCCCAGGCTGGAGTGCAATGGCGTGATTTCAGCTCACTGCAGCCTCCCCCTCAGGGTTCAAACGATTCTCCTGCCTCAGCCTCCCAAGTGGCTGGGAATACAGGCTCCCGCCACGATGCCCGGCTATATTTTTAGTAGAGATGGGGTTTCACCATGTTGGCCAGGCTGGTTTCCAACCCCTGACCTCAAGTGAACCGCCTGCCTCGGCCTCCCAAAGTGCTAGGATTACAGGCGTGAGCCACTGTGCCTGGCCTAATTCCTAAGCTTTTAAACAATACTAAAGGGAAAAAAATTTATGACATGAGCTTTGTGGTTTATATTACCCAAATAAACTTTAATATGTATATATAATCATTCATTGAATATACATATTCATTTAGTGAATAGTATTAATTTAGTATTTTAACTTGAAAGTTGTTTAAATTGACAAACTGACAAATATATATGCCTTGAAAAATTAAACATATGGGTAGGATAATTTTTACTTTTATTGTAATATTCAGTAAAGTGTAATTAGAATCTTTACCTTACTAAAAGTGAGCATTTACTGTTTTGATACCTCTGTGTTTGACAAGCACTGCACACTTGTCTTTAAATTTTACATGATTTCATTTTCTAGCTAGTTGGCAGGTGTTAGCTGTCTATAATTATAACTGAGTAATTTTTCAAATGCTATTCATAGCCTAAACACAGCAAGACATTCTTCCAATCATGTGATAAAAACTGAGCCTTGCAAAATAGTGGTAGAGTGATATGTTCAATGGTACCGAAGGACATATTTAAGAGAAGCCTTTCAAAAGTAAAAAGTAATTTAAATGTTAGGGAGACAGGTTTTCTCACAGTGTAAGATCTCTCAAAGTCATTGATAGTGATTATACCTCAAATTAAGATGTATCTACTTTCTCATTGAACAAGTTAAGGTATACATTGACTGACTTAAATTATAACATATGACCTTTGTTGATGACAGTCATTCTGAGTATGAAAAATTGAAATTTTGTTGAGACAATGTAAATTTTACCATTGAACCTAATGAATCATTTCTTCTCATTTCATTCATTAGATTTGTGTATGTGTGTGTATCTACTATCTGCCAAACCCTATGCTTATCTATTTTTTGACATGGGAAAGAAAAGGCTATGTATTTCACTTAAGTTTAATAAAGGTTATACTTTAAAAAACAAAAGAAACTTTTTATTTCTGATTTACTTTATTTCCTAACCATCTATTCTAAGTATCCACAGTCTCACTTTGACTAGAGATCTTACTTCAGAATGGTGTAAAGGTCATGTTGAATTTTCTTACTGGCCATGTGCTCATGAATAAATTAACCTCTACAGTCTCAGTTTCCTCATCTAGTAATTGACATTTTATTATCTCCCTTGTGGTATGGTTCTAAAAATTAAGAGATGACATTGGTAAACCATTTTGTAAACTTTAGTATACTGTACAAATTTAACTGTGAATAAACTCTTTGAACCTTTGTTTACTTATCTGTAAAATAATAATAATACTTCATACAGTGGGTTTGAGAATTATTTGAACGTGTAAAGCATGTAGAAGTAAACCTAACACATAGTAAGTGCACAACAAATATTGGTGATGATTGTGATGGTGATGATAATGATGCATTTGATCTAGATCTTCCATCTAATGAGTCAAACTTGAAACTGCCATTAGTTTAGAAATGGATACGCTTGATTTTTACGTGATTGACTTTCATACATCCCGCACTTTATCCACATGTATTGAAAATCCCTAATTGCCTTTTGTACATTAAATTCCATTTTAATACATCGTGTCATAGGGTACCACTGCCCCAGTGTAAGTGTTAGTAGTTGCCCAAAGTGACAGCAGATCTGGAGCAACCAGCCCTTCATTGGAGTCCAGCATCATTCTGGTATGCCAGCATGGCACCAGCAGGGAGAGGTTGCAGAGAGGCAGCTGCATGGATCATCCAGGTGATCAAGTGCACATGGAGAGACCCATGGCCAAAGTTTGTGCTTCAGTACCTGGACAGCATTGGAGGATAATGGTCAAGACCATGGGCTGTGAAGTTAGTCAGACCGGGTTTAAGTCCTGCTCTGCCAAACTGTGTGACTGGGCAAGTTACATAACCTCCTTAAGCCTCAGTTCCCTTACAGAGTTATGAGCAATGCTTACTGGAACCCAGTAAGCACTCAGTGAATGTGAGTACTTAGTATTCTATTCTGCCTCCTTCCTCTAGGGGAGGAGATAGGAAGTTGAGCCCTCTAGCACTATATGCCCTTAGAGCCCCCAAGTCTCCAGCCAACTGAGAAAGTTTTAAGCTACTTTAAAGGTTCATTGGTCCTAGGGGAAATAGTGCCTCTAGGAACTACAAGGATTTTATAAATATTGTTTTAGCTCTCTGGGAACTGGATTTCCCTTACACTGAGTTAGTCTCTTATTTCACTTATAAACATTTAAATTTCAACGTGTCTTCAGGGACACATAATATAGGAAAGCAAGTGATTGTTTGTATGCCGGTATTGCCAGTAAGCAACCGAATACTCTGCTCCTGGTTGATTCATGTCTAGTACTCCAAGCAAGTTATCTACTACAGAAGTTTCTTTCCTTGACGGTTTAATGAGGACATTAGAGCTGCCCTATCAGTGTTTCTACTGTGCTTCCCCCAATGGGAGCTTGACATACTAAGCAGAAAGTCTTCAAAACAGTGCTTTCTGTATCAGACAGCCTGATATAATTTAGAAGAAAGGAACTAAGCAAGGTTGAATTTGCTTGGTAATATCTGGCAGGTGTCTTTGGGGCTCCTGCTGAGCTCCCAATGCCTGCCTAGTTTATCTTCTGTGAATTGGGGTGGATGGGAGGGGAGGGGCAGAGGTGGCACCAGACTTTCCTGTCTGCTTTAAAATGTGCCATGGGATTGGAATCAAGTTGTCTTAAAGAGCCATTAGCAGTCTGTATGCTTTTGAAAACAAGAAGAAAAGGCATTCTGTATGCCACACCTAACCCTTAGCCCTTTTCATGTAATAATTCATTCAACCTTCCCAACATTGTATGAGTAGATATTTTTATTCCCATTTTATCTGTCAAGAAAAAACAAGGCCCAGATGGGTTAAAAACTTGCCCAAGTTATCATAGCTAATGCAAGTTGAATATGTCTTATCCAAAATGCTTAAGACCAGGCTGGGCACCATGACTCACACCTGTGATCCCAGGGTTTTGTTGGATTGCTTGAGCCCAGAGTTCAACACCTGCTTGGGCAACATAGTGAGACCTCATCTCTACAAAAAATACAAACATTAGCTGGGCATGGTGATGCATGCCTGTGGTCCCAGTTCCTTGGGAGGTAAAGTAGGAGGATTGCTTGAGCCCAGGAGGTCAAGGCTGCAGTAAGTCAAGATTGCACCACTGCACTCCAGCCTGGGCAACAGAGGGAGGCCTTGTTTCAAAACAGAACAAAATGCTTGGGACGAGAAGTGTTTCAGATTTCAGATTTTTTTTTTTTGGATTTTGGAATATTTGCATATGTATAATGAGATATCTTCGGGATGTAACCCAAATCTAAACACAAAATATATCTGTTTTATATATACCTTATCACATAATCTGAAGGTAATTTTTATGCAATACTTGGAATAATTTTGTGCATGAAATAGTCTGTATTAAGTACTTGTGTGTGGAATTTTTCTACTTGGGGTGTCGTGTCAGTTCTCAAAATGTTTCAGACTTTGGAGCATTTGGGATTTGGGATTTTTGGATTAGGGATGCTCAGTCTGTAAGAGGAGGAGTCAGGTTTAAAACCCAGGCTGTGAGACTCAAGAGTCTGTGCTTTCCAACATTATACCTCATTATCTGAATAAAAATTTAACGTTAAGATTCCTAACAGTAAAAATATATTACTTTCTTTCCCAAATTGTTTTCCTTCAAGGTAAAACTTAAAACTTTTCTAGGGGAAACCACATTCTCAGATGTTATTAAGTTGCATATCAAGTTCTTATTTAAACCTTGACCCATGTTGAAACTGATTTGAACCCTACTGAATCTTCATGTTTCACTGTGGTGTATAATTTTCATTATGTTGTCATTATAAAAGTTGCCTGATCGCAAGGATTCTATGGACTGAGATCCTGGAAATATGGTGTATAAAAGGCTTATTTTTATATTAAGAGATTCCTAGTAAGATGATTTATTTAATGCACTACCTAAAAGAAAATTTGGTATATTTCCATGAGCAATAGACTCAAGATTAGCTTTGAAAGTTAAAAGAGCATTCTCCTAGCTAGTTCATTGTTGCCATGACAGTGCTGGCAGTGCAAGTGTTGTAGTAACTCCTTGCAATGATCTTATTTTAGACCCTAACGTTTGCAGTGCTGAACGTCCCCTTCCCCGCCCCACAAGTAACTCTAGTGGAAAAGTACTGGTTTTATAACTGGCTTCTGGCTTTATAGCTGAAAGACTGCACTATTGTGGGCTTGAAAAAATAGTGTAGGAGTGTTGAGTATTTTTCCTGTGGATTATAAATGTTTGAAATCTCCCAAAATACGGTTTTGCATTACATATCATACAGCAAGTTGTTTATAGCTAAAAAGAAAAGGAGCCTCAATTGTCTTTAGAAATCAAGCCTAGGTTGTATAATTACATTGAGCTCATACAGAAATCATTCTCCCATTTGTATGCTCATGCATACTTCAGATTCAACTTATTCTTTTATTCAGTTATTATGGAAAATTATCATTAGAATCATAAAGGATTGTGTTTAAACAATGTAGAAAAGTACTTTTTTGCATCCCTTTCATAATTCAGCATTTATTTCATAAATTGTAACATTTTAGTCTTGATTTCTTAAAAAGCAAACTCACCTAAGTTATATAATGTTCAGAAATTACTCAATTTGAACTGGGTACCCGAACCAACATAATTGTTGAAGCATTTTTAACTTTGTTGCTTATATGTTTTAAATTAGATTTTAAAATACCTCATTGAGATTTTCTAATTGTAAATCCTATTATGACAGTACCATTAAGCACAAAATATTTGCAAATTTATAAGAGTAAATGCCATTTTTGTCCTTTTGCATACCATTTGTTAGGTCAGAGTTTTGATATGTGCGCTAAAAATCTGTTATAACATGATGAAACAAAATGATTTTGGCAACTGACCTTGTCAAGGAAGATGGAAAGTCTAACTGTTATACCTCATTAGTGACACCTGCTTTTTTCTTAAATACTACATTAAAGCTTAATTCATCTTCCTTAGGTGTTAAAGATTTAAACGTATCTTGCATGATTGGGCCTGTATTGAATATTAGAGTATGAATATCAGACAATCCCTTTTGTTTCTTTTTTTTTTTTTCAGTTTAGCACAGAAAAATAACTTTATAAGCAAAAATTTGACCCCAGGCTAGAATTGCATTTAGCCTTTCCACCAGGCAATGAGAATTTATCAGAAGTGTGTTTATTTTTATTCTCTTAGTGGTAATTATTCCGATAAAGAAATATCCAATTCCAGTCTACAATGGTCTTTGATGGCTCCCTCTTTGAATTTGGAAGTAGATATATAGTAATATATGAAGATTCAAACCTTGAGATAAATATTCTTTCATTTCATACAATATATTATTTTAATTGGTCAGAATGAGACTAAATTATGATTAGCTCCTTTCTCTTGTTAAAATACAGAATTACAGGGTTGTTATTTTTTTTCCTGAATCCCACAGCACCTCTATAGCAGACCTCCCTCTCCACCTAAGGCTGAAATAAATATGCTTTTTAAAGATAAGGTTAGAATTCATTTAAAATATTTCTTTATGTCTGACACTGTTTTGGCATTGTGGGGGATGTAAAAACAAAAGAAAACAACTATTGCCCTTAAGAATTTTGTAATGAAAATCGAAGAACAAATTAAGACTGGCTAAAAATGTGAAATTTTATGGTACTGTGTTGACAACAGTGCAGCTGTTGGTGGGACAGTGCATCATACAGCCAGACTTTCTAGAGGGCAGTTTGAATATTAGTCCAAACCTTAAAAGTGTGTACATGTTAATATATTTATGATATAAATGTATTATCTATATGTCTTTTATATACAAGTGGGTAATTAAATATCAAACAGCAGGGATTATAGACATAAAGGATTATTATTTATATTTATATTTTATTTTATTTTGAGACAGTGTCTTACTCCATCACCCAGGCTGGAGCACAGCAGTGTGACTATAGCTCACTGCACCTTCAATCTCCTGGGTTCAAGTGATCCTCCCACCTCAGCCTCTTAAGTAGCTGGGACTACAGATGCACACCACTGCACCCAGCCAATTTTTAAGTTTTTTGTAGAGACAGGGTCTCATTATGTTTCCTAGGCTGGTCACGAACTTATTGTAATTATTGAAAATTGTTTTAAAATGTATGTATAGGAAAAGAAATAAATATACAAATTTAAATAGAAAAGACAGCTTTAAAATAGTATGTAAAATATTTATTATTATAGAGAAGAGGGAAAAGTCAGGAAACTCATGCACCAAAATATTAACCATAGTTCTCTTTTAGAAATAGAGTTATTGGTGATTTAAATTTTTCTTTGAATAATGGTAATCATTAGTAATTAATTTTTGATATGACTTGTTTAATGAATTAAAAAAATTAAAATCACTTAAATGTATTGAGTGCTTACCATATGGCATTGTGGTAAGCATTTTACATATAACATTTGCAGTGTTTCCATGGGTTACAGGTTTTGAGGAAGAGATCTTTCCCAAACAAAAGAAGTACACAAATATGCATGAACCCACTCACTATAATGTTAGATTAAGTTTCTGATTTATTTAGTCAAGGAAACGGGAAGCTCCTAGGCATTCTCATTGAGAAGAAGTACTTGCAGCCACCTTAGTGCTCTTTCCTTGGACCCCAGGGTTCCCAAAGGTGGGGTGCAGCTGCTGGTGACACTGTCTGATCATGTGGGTCACACCAGATCTGCAAAACTCAGTTCATGCCATACTATTGTCTTTTTATATTTGGGGTTTACATTCATATTCTGGATGAGTTTACACAACTATCTGTGCACTTTGTCTGAAGTCTCATTTCCCTGCAATCTCCAATTTTATACCTACAACAATTCTGGGAGGTGAGTTTTAGTTTTTATAGATGAGGAAACAGACCCAGAAAGATGAACTTAAATAGTGAATACTGGAGTCGAGAAGGCATGTCTGATTTCTAAGTCTCTGTTCTTAATCACTAGTCTATTTTCCTAGAGTTTTTTGGTTTTTTTGTTTTTGCTTTTTACAGTGAGCATGTATTATTTTTGTATTGGAAAACAAAATCAATGGGGAAAAAGTATGTGAAATGTAGGGTGATACAGTACAGTCATGTGTCACATAATGACATTTCAGTCAACAACAGACTGCATATACAATAGTGGTACTATAAGATTATAATATATTTTTACTGTACTTTTTCTATGTTTAGATATGTTTAGATACAAAAATACTTATCGTTGTGTTAGAACTGCCTACAATATTCAGTCCAGCAACATGCTATAGAAGTTCGCAGCCTAGGAGCAATAGGCTCTACCATAAAGCCTAGGTGTGTAGTAGAGTTTACCCTCTAGGTTTGTGTAAACACACACAATGATTTTTGCACAAAGATTAGATCACATAACAACACATTTCTCAGAATATATTTGTGTCATTAAGTGAAGCATGACTGTAATTCAGAGCAAGGAAAGATCAGGATGGGTTGGAATAATAAAGACAGCTTAATACAGCAAATAAATTTTACTGTAATAATTAACTTTTATTCTCAGTTTGTCTGTCATTTACACAAGTATACACTGCCTCTATCCCAAACATGCCTAAACCAAATCTCGGATGACTGGCTGGAAGTAATTAATGTTCTGTTGTTGTTTCCTGCAGACTAAGTTTTGGCCTCATTTTTGTTTCCTTTTTGTGGCCCCCTTTTATCTTCCTTGCGCCATCTGTCAGTGCCTGTATGAACATGTAACTATAACTTGTGTCAAAGCTCCTCACTACATTGATGGGCATTATAAATAAAACAATTCCAATAAAACAAGTTTCCATAAAGTAATACCCTCGTAATTTAAAGACTGAGATGGCCAAAAGAAGTTGTAAAATTTACATTAAAGAATTGAAATTTCCCTAGAATGTTACTATGCTTGACATTCAAACTCATACACTTATACTGTATTGAAAACTTATTGAAAGAAAGTAGATTCTTATCAAGCAAATTAAACTTACAGCATAAACTAGGACTGATATTCAGCCAGTATGCATTGGCACAGCAGTACTTGTTAAAATACTGAACTGTTTTCATACTAGTTGGTAAATAGTAAATTGAAGCTGCAAACCACAGTACAATTAGTGATACATAATAAAGATGGATGATTTATCTTAGAAACCACACATGCACTTAGATTCCAATCTGGTCTGGTCACTGAAGCATGGAACTAGGAAGTTTGCTCAAACATCATATTATTTATTTCAGATGTTGGGGAAAGTGCAGAAGCCCTTGGATGACAGAGAGAGACTATGCAGTGAACTGGAGAGGACCTAATTTGTGAAAGTGTCAGTCATGCCAAAGGGAGGAGCAGGGTCCAGGCTTAGGTGGTTACTGCAGAGGCTTCCACAAGCCGAGGAAAAAGACCCTCAGAGTCATTCCCTCTGGGGTCGGGGAGGGGGTGTTGAGGAGCTTTTATTTTTTTAACAACTGAATTAGTTTTTTATAGCCTCATTACAAATTTGGTAGTTTAAAACAACACACAACTATTATTTCACAATTTCTGTGAATTAGGAATCTGCTTACACCTTAGCTGGGATCCCTGTTTCAGGGTCTCCTATAAAGCTGCAATTACAGTATCTGCCAGGGCCATGGTCTCATCTGAAGGCTCAAATTGGGAAGAGTTTTCATCCAAGTTCATTCAGATGATGTAAGATTCAGTTCCTTGCAGGCTAATGGATTGAGGGCCTCAAGTTCTTAGTTATGTTAGCTGGAGGCCACCCTCAGTTCTTTGCCACATGGGCCTTTCCATTTGCTTCTTCAAAGGAAACGTGAGGAGCTGGAGAGAGTATTAGCCTGAGAAAGAGTGCCAGCAAGACAGAAATCACAGTCTTTTATAGCCTAATCTTGGAAAAAACATCCCATAACTTTTACCTTAATCACTTCATTAGAAACCAGCCAACTAGGTTTAGTCCATACTCAAAAGGAACAGATTACAGAAAAGAGTGAATACCAGGAGGATCATTAGGAACCATTTTAAAAGCCATTGGGAACCATTACCCTAACAACCTATCTCCTGAAGCTAGGAGTTAGGAAAAGAGTCCTTCCTGCATACTATGAAGAGAGCTGTGATTTAGGGTATATGCTTAGAAACCTGATTAATGTCAGAATAGAGTGTGCTTCAGCTAGTGATAGTATGAGTCCAGTCTCGACTTCTTCCTACCTTTGCAACCATTCTCCAGATAAAGGAGCCTCACACCAGCCTGAACAATAGATGCTCTACCCCAGTGCCTGCCCCCTCACTAGGTGGGGCTCACCATGCCTCAGTGGGAGAGGCCTGCCTGGCTCTAGCAGCTTCTTCATCTTCCTCGTTCTTCCTTTCCTCCATGACTCTTGTCAACCATTATTCCTATGCAACTTTAGGAAATGTTTTACTTCCCATTCTTGGTACTAAAAGCAAAACAGCATTTGTCCAAAAGGTAGGAAATGGCAGTCAGCTTTCTTTTCATCATTTGATACTTCTCTAGTGAGCTGTGAGTCAAATCTCTTCTGTGTCTATGATTTGAGGGGAAAGAGAATTAAAAGCAAATCCCAAAACTTTAATGAGCATTGTCAAATGAATAAGGAGTGAGATTAAATATTAAGCAAACCCAAATTTTATTCAGATCACCCAAAGTCAAGTTGGTGTACTTTACTATCAATTTTGTGTTATTTATAAGGAACAGATGAAATAATTTTGTCTTTTTTCACTTTATAAACCATAATTCTTATGTATTTTGGCTATTGTAGAGCTACCCACAAATGATTACATAATTTATAGCAATTTATTTTAAAAATTTAACCCACTGAATACAATGTTGAGATGAGAGCTTTTCAATGACAGAGAAAGCTCTTGATTTTAGTAGAGAAACAAATTATCAATATTTATAATTTTCTCATTTCATTTTTAGCATCTTGGCCAAATGTTTTATTAAAATTAAACTATTTTTAATGTATATTTTAAATCTAGAAGGTATATACATATATACACACATATATACAGTTATGTGTTGCTTAATGACAGATATATTCTGAGAAATGCATTGTTAGGCAATTACATAATTGTGCAAACATCATAGAATGTACTTACACAAACATAGATGGTATAGCCTACTACATATCTAGGCTATTGCTCTTAGGCTACAAACCTCGATAGCACATTACTGTAATGAATAGGCAATTGTAACACAATGGTATTTGTGTTATCTAAACATAGAAAAGGCACAGTAAAAATGTTGCATGATAATTTTATGGGATGACCATAGTATATATGGTCCATTGTTGACCAAAATGTTATTATGTGACACGTGACTGTATGTCCCAATACTAATAGCGGTTATCTCTCTTGGCAGTGGTTTATGCTTTTCTTAATTTTTCCAAGATTTCTATAATGAGTTAATCTATTATAATGAGACCAAACACATGTCATTAAAAAGAAAATAAGTCAAAACACCACTTTCTATTCATAGAAGAGTGGCTTTTAAGGTAAGTAGAACTTCAGTAAACTGTACTCTCTGAAATGTCTCTTCTAATATGGTATATACCAACTTTTAAAGCTGAGATTTTTATTTAGAAATAACTTTCTTTCAAACACCTTGGCTGTTAATGAAGAATATTTTTTCCTAATGAGTTTTGCATTTGTGGGTTTTTTCCCCTTTGTGTTTACACTGAATAAAAATTTACTCCTAATTCTCAGCTTTTAGCTTTTATGAGCGCTAGATGGCACTCTTGCTCAACCAAAATCTAGTTTGTTGCCCATATTTTGGTGCTGTGGGTCTTAGGAGAAGACGGGTTTGCAATGTCACAACACTTATGTTTTTAAAGGGGGGTTGGGGAAAAGAGACCAAAGTTTCCAAGTTTAAATAGCCGAGCTTAACTGATTTAGTGTTTCCATCTATTGAGAAAATAACCATATAATAACAACGATAACAGTCATTCATTTCACAAATATTTTTTGAGCACCTACCATCTTTAGTACTGTTCTAGGTACTCATATGCACTAAAGGGAAAAATAGATAAAAATCACTACCCTCGTAGAGCTTACATTCAAATGCTTGGATTTTTTTTTGCAGGTGCCACTTTAAACTCTGTACATGCATTCACCCATTTAATAGGAGGCTGAGACACAAAGAGGTTATCTAATTTGCCCCTGTTCACCTAGCTAGTGCAGATGGCAGAGCAAGGATTCAAACTCAGACATTTGGTCTCCAGAGTTTATTTTGTTAATTTCAATACTATACTGCCTCTTGAAACTAAAAAAACAAACAAAAAAACACTTTATTTTTTATTCTATTGAATGCAAATAATAAAAATTTACCTATTTATAATTTTTTCTAAATCTGCTTAATTCAAATATCTTTGCCATTTTATTAAAAAAAAAATTGACTAGATAAAATGTCTGTATTTTTTGGTGATTCCGTAGTCAACTATCGTGTTGCCTTAGCTCTCTTTCAAGTCACAAACACAGCTGGCCTTAAGTATTTATTTAAGCATCTTTATATTCCTGTTTACTTTAAACTCCTTGAATTAGCCATGCAATAATTTGGGTATGTTGTATTAAGAGCTCTACCACATTATGGTTCAGTCATTGTATAATTAAACATGAGGCATCAAGAATCAAAAGTTACTGTTTTACTTGCCTGCTCTCTCCATTGTGTCATTTTACATTTTAGTAGTACTGTGTTTTGTTTATTAAAAAAAGTAAAATCAACAATATACTATGAAGCTGAAAAATGATACAGAAGCCTAAATCATTTCTTAGTCTAGAGATGCATTTCATGGTTTTTAGAGGGCAGAAGGAACAAATTTACCTTTCTCTAAAAACATGCGACTTGGGGAAATTATATGTGACTTAGGGAAATTATGCTTGTGTTTCTCAAGGACTGGAGTTATATTCAACAACATACTTGTTGTAAACTACTGACTATAGAAGGGAAATCACCCACTATACAATAAAAATATTTATGGCTAATTCACACATAGATAACCTATCATTGAAACTTGCCTTTCAGGAAGCTGAAATAATTAATTCTTAACAGCTAGCTAGGTCCTTTTTCTTTTTTGCTGCAGAACTGTGTTAGAGGATAAAGCTGTATTTTTGAAATGCTAATAATTAAGAGTTAACTGTGTTTTAATTAAATTAAGTAATTAGTAAAAGAGGATCACTCCCTTCACCAGGGAGAAGAAAGTTTTCAGAGCAGAGATTTATTTTGGAAGATGCTACAATGTAAGCATTCTCAAATTGAGGATTATTGCTATTTTAGGTGTCTGAACCCCTTAAGCTGCATGCAAAACTGTGTACTCACTTGCATTTTTCTTGGGAGAGAGCCCGTGTTTTATCAGATTTTCAAAGAGATTGTGATCTTAAAAGATTAAGAACCATTGCTAAAACGAGAGTGACCTGCTGCATGTTAAACTTATTTTCCTTAAACTTTAGAGAAAAATTGAAGTGATTGAAACTGGGGAGTTTTAAACCAACAAAGGGAAATTTTTGTTGACTAAATGTTAGCTCGTGCCTCTGAGTCTGCTGAGTGAGTACAAGACACATTCTTGCAGTGTGTCTGGTGAATATTTGTACTTGAGTTTCTTATGATGCTGGTCTTAAACTGGCAGGCCCTCACCTGGCAGTTTACAGGTTAAAAGTTTAAGTCTGGCTTCCAGAATATGAAAACACAGGGAGCTCAGCTGAGCACAGCAGAGTTGCAGCCCTCATGTAACATGAACAGGAAATACATATTAACACAGAAATTGATCCTAGACTGCCGGGGTCCATATCCCGATTCTGCCTGTCTAACCTCGAGGAAGTTACTTACCATCTCTGAGCTTCAGTTTATCATCAGCAAAATGAAGATAAAAGGACCTTCATCTCTTTAAGGTACTTAGCATTGTGCCTGTCTTAGAACTTAGTATGGTAAAAAAAAAAAAAAAGAAACAAAAACTATCTTTGTATATGCCTTAGTTATCTAAAATAGCACCTCTTCTTACCCTCTAGATCCTTATCTTGATTTATTTTTCTTCTTTGCCCCAAACACGACCTGAACTCGTTATTTACTTATATATTTATTCTGTCTGCCCTAGTAGGTTATAAGCTCCAGGAAGA
Organism: Homo sapiens; assembly: GCF_000001405.40. Lineage (NCBI taxonomy): Eukaryota > Metazoa > Chordata > Mammalia > Primates > Hominidae > Homo > Homo sapiens. Next base: position 109,071,181 of record NC_000006.12, on the reverse strand, counting down.
CTGAGACTTTTTCTTGTTCATTGCTGGACCCTCTAGACCAATGCTATCACATACATTGTCCAACAAATGTTTGTTGAATGAATGAATAATGTTAGCTATTATTATTACTTGGCAGTTTCTACCCACCCTCTCTCCCATCTGTGTGGACTGACTGTAGCTTTTTCTCTTTAAATGAGATGGGTAAACCAGGAGGAAAACGTCCTTCCCTACCTGGGTAGCTGAAGTCATAGCTTCAAAAGGAATATTAATTTCTTATACGCTCTTACTACTCAAGGTGTAGCCTATGGGTCAGCAGCATCAGTATCACTTAGGGAAGATATTGGAAATGCAGAATCTCAAGCCTCACCCCAGTTCTACTGGATCAGACTTGAATCCCCAAATGGTTCTAATGAATGTTATAGTTTGAAAAATGCTATGTTGACCACTTTAAGAATTTTGGATTTTATCTTAACAGTAATAGAGAACCACTAAAATCCTTTAGGTTGGAGATTACATTTTCAGATTTTTGATTTAAAGTGATTAACTTGTATTAGAAACAGTAGTTGTCTTTGGAAAAAGTAGCCATTGGCTGGGGACAGGAATGAGTCCAAGGCTTTTCACTGTATACGTTTTCATAAGCCCATTTCAACTGGTGGGCCCTGGCGGTGGCCTGTCTATGCTGTTCTCCCACCCCAATCCCACCCACCCCTACACTATGAAGGATAGACACCCTGCCCTCACATCAGCTGCTGCACACCCCACATACAGCTGCTGCCTGTCCACTTTCTGAGCCTAAGGTTGCGTACATGGGCCTTGTGTTCAGCCATAGGGAGGACAACCCATGTGTAGGCCCAGAGAGCTGGCTCAGCCCATTTGAGTAGAGATTCCTACGGTTCCAAGTACCTGAAGCATAATCTGGGTGGGCACATGCCCTAGTCCTGTGGACTTCATCTCTCAGAGGGGTGCAGCTGGAGGAGGTCCACAGCAGGCCCTCTAAAGTGTAGGGGCCCCACTCTCTGGGTCTCAGAGACTTAATGCTCTTTTGCACTTCCTACATTCAAATCACGTGAAAGTATTTTGTTCAATGTGAATCTGTTACCTACATTTAAAAAAATAAAATGGAACATTAAAATAAAATGATGGTTCTTGTGTGGGGCATGGATAGGTACAACAAAGGAGGCATGAAGACCAGTTAAAGGGCTGTTGCATTGTTTCAGCAGTAGGTGATGTAATGCTTGGATTAGCGTGATAATAAGATGTGGTTTCATCACATTTTTTAAGTAATTCATTGCTATGTTTTTTAAGTTTCATAAGCTCAGTATTAATTTTCTTAAGAGTTTGTGGAGGCTGGGTGCAGTGGCTCACAACTATAATCCCAGCACTTTAGAAGGCTGAGGCAGGAGGATTTCTTGAGGCCAGGAGTTTGAGACCAGCCTGGGAAACATAGTGAGACCCCCCCTCCCACCATCTCAACAAAAAAATAAAAAGTAAAAATTAGCTATGTGTCGTGGTACACGGCTGTGGTCCTGGCTACTTGGGATGCTGAGGTGGGAGGATCACTTGAACCCAGGAGTCCCAGGTAACAGTGAGCTATGATTGTATCACTGCCCTCCAGTCTGGGTGGCAGAGCAAGACCCAGTCTTAAAAAAAAAAAATTAAAGTTTGTGGGAATTAAGTTTTCTGGCCCATGAATATTTGAAGATGTTTTTACTTTTACCTCAGATTTTGTTACAGTTGATTTGAATATTAGGTTAAAATCATTTTCTCTCATAACTGTGAAGGCATTATTCCATTATTTTCTAGCATCTGGTGTTTATAATGAGAAGTCTTATGCCAGTCTCATTCTTATTCTTTTAGCATGGAACTTGGTGTTTTTTTTTGTTTGTTTGTTTTATTTTACCCCTCTCTAGGAGGCTTGTTTTTCTTTTTTCCGCAACTTTTTTTTTAAACCTATCAAATAGTTCAAAAAATAGTATGGAAAATGCCATATACCCTTCACCTAGAGTCACGTATTGTTAACATTTTGCCACGATGGCCTTCTCTGTTTTTTTCTCTCCTTTTGCTCAACCTCTTGAAAGTTACAAACACTTCACCCCAAAATACTTTATCATGTTTTTCCTAAGAAGAAGGACATTCTGGGAACTTAAGATGCTTTCATTTATCTTTAGAGTTTGAAATTTCGGCTGGGCGCGGTGGCTCACACCTGTAATCCCAGCACTTTGGGAGGCCGAGGCAGGTGGATCACCTGAGGTCAGGAGTTCCAGACCAGCCTGGCCAACATGATGAAACCCCATCTCTACTAAAAATACAAAAAATTAGCTAGGCATGGTGGTAGGTGCCTGTAATCCCAGCTACTTGGGAGGCAGAGGCAGGAGAATTGCTTGAACCCAGGAGACGGAGGTTGCAGTGAGCCAGGATCGTACCACTGCACTTCAGCCTGGGCAATAAGAGTGAAGCTCTGCCTCAAAAAAAAAAAAAAAAGCCCAGGAAATTTCACTGGTGTATGTCAGAATATGTTTCTCCCCACTATGCTTGGGTCTTTTCAATATAAAGATTGAATCTCAAATTACTCTTCTATCCTCTCTTTTGTTACTTCTCCTCTATTATATCTCTTATGTCTGTCCTTTTTTGACCAATAGTTAAGTGTTAGACCTTCATCTTAACCTTTTTTCATATACCGTTTCTTTTTTGTCTTTTTACTTTATATCTTGGAGAGTTCCCTGAACTTATCTTCCAAATTACAAATTTGCCCTTCAGCCCAGTTCTATTATTCAGTTCTTCTATTGACATGTTTATTTAGCAGCCATGTTTTTAACTTTCAATAACTCTTTTGTATTCTCAGATTGTTACTTTCTCTGAGCAGCCAGTTCTTATATTATGAGTATTTTATTCTCTGATGATATCAATTAAATTTTTAATTAGTTTCTTTTTCTCCCTGCTGAATCAGCCAGGATCCTAGCAGAAAATGGATGGCACACTCAGCTGGGGTGACTAAAGAGAAAAAGGACTGTCTACAAAGGTGTATGCAGGGTTAAGAGAAACCAAGAAGGGATGATGGGCATTTTGAACTAGTGACATCTGGAAGTCACTGTCCCCCCCAAACTTCAGGGGCAAAGGTTGAGTGTAGTTACTGGAACTCAGTGAGGTCTGCAGCTATAAGAGAAGCCTGCCTGCCTAACAGGAACTGTGGCCTTCAATAGAGGAATATACCCACTTCTGCCTTCAGAATAAATACCCTGACCTTCTTCTCCCTGTCCTCCAATTTGTTAGTGCCTCTCTATCATAAACCAAACAGTAAGAGTACCGTAATGATACAGTCCATAGTGGTGAGCATTTTGAAGCACAAAACAGGGTAGAGTAGGGCAGATACATACTTTGCAGGGGCAAATAGAACATATCCAGCATACCTGTATTGTGTCTGTTTCATGCTATTTAGGAAGACATTTTGATGAGTGGATTGAGACTGTGAAAAGAATAGTACTTGGGGCTGATCTGGTAGGATAAGGCAGCAGCAAAAATAAATTGCTCTTGTGAATAGTCAAGGTGAGTGCAGTTGAGAGTCCTGAGGAAGTGTGTATAGGATTTGAGTACTCAAAACTAAGAGATGGAAGAGGAAAGACCGGAGAGAGGGAGAGGTAATAACACAAAGCTATAGCCATAGGAATGAGGCTCTGCCGATGAAATGGATCCCTTTGAAAAGCTTACATTCCTTTTTTGTTTTCTTTGAATTTGGAGGACAGTTATCTTACTTAGCGTTCAGTTTTAGGGAATTTTCTCTCCTATTTTTACTATCTTTTACCTCCAAAATGTCCATAAAAGACTTCTACCCTTGATGACTACACATTAATGATGATCTGTGGAGTGACAGCAGGGTGGGCACTGTGCAGGAGGGTGTTATGGGAGCTCAGGGAAGTTGGTCATGGTGTGGAGGACCTGCAGTGACAGTGATACAATCCCTTTGTGCCCAGATAGACTGGAGACCTACAGATAGGGAGGGGAAGTTGTGAGTGAGGAGGCATTGGGGTTCAAGCTGTTTTGTTGAACAGTGAGGGCTGGAGGATGGTGGGACATCCAGACTATAGGCTCTTGAAGTTATATACTCTTTTCCTCTTCAGAAAAGCAACCAGATTAAATTGTATTAGAATGAAAGGTGAAAAGCATACATTTTCAAAGTAGGCCTGTCTGAGGAAACATAATTGATTTTGCGAATATTGCACCAGAAGAACCAGGGCCAAGGAGATAATAAGATGATGGTGGCTTTTTGCCTTTTTCCTCCAGATCTGAGAGTTTCTATTGTATTCTGGCATCTGTTACTTCAACGTTTGCTGTACTGTAAGTCTTCATTGACACTTGACCCAGGCAAATCCATTTTTCTCTACATAGTCTCTCTCGAACTTTTAAGCTTAGCACTGTCTTTCACTATTGCAGCATGTTTCTTTTTGGGATGGTCATTATTTCTTCTCTTTTAAAAATAATATCCATTTATATCTGTTGGTTATTCAAGTGGTATGGCTGTGTCCACCATTTGAGTTATCTTCATGAGCCTCTTTTTTCTACTTCGTATCACACATACTTGAAAACAGAAGACTATTGTTGACTTGTTTAGTTTCATCTTATTTTTATTAAAATTTAAATGCCATCACATGATCTCAGTGCTATGATACATGTCTGGATCTTGGTTACTTGAATTGGTCGATATTTCTTAAGGGAAATAGAGTAGACCCACATATAATTCCCACCTACTTTCTTTTTCATTTTATCCCAGAGGGATCCACATTCCTTCCTTACCCTAATTCACTGCAGGGAGACAAAGAGAAATAATAACCCTCTTCCCCTACTGCTCCAGTAAAAATTACAACAAATCATAGTGACTTTAAAAAAAAAAAAAAAGAAACAGCAAACCTTCGTGATTTAAAAATAAGCAAGCTTATGTTTTGCTTCTTCCCCTGTGAGGAAGCTACAGCAAAGGCTCTAGGGAAAGAGTTTGGTAGAAATCACAAATTTGTGTATTTTTGTTTTAGTTTACAGACATGTTATTAAGCCAAAAATCAAGATACAGGATCTAACAAAGGCTTTTTATTACCTGTCAATATATGTATTAGTTGGAAATAATTAATTTGAATGTAGAACCAGGAACTATTGTATTCGTTTAATAATTTTACCTTTCACTGAGTATGGATAGTAGTGATTCTTTTATCCCTCTTAAACTTGCCTCTTTTAAGATTTAAGGGATGATCTTATTCTTAGTTTAGGCTCTTATCTTACATTAGACGAAAAGGAGTTCTAACTTTGTAAAATACCTTCAATGTATTGGTTTTAGATTCTAATTATAGATAGTATCTTCTATTATAATAGAGAAAAGGTATAGTAATAATTTCAATATTTTAAAGTAATATTAAAGTAATTTAATATTTTAAAGAAAATAATTTTTTTGTATTTTAATAAGGGGTCAGTATTTTAAGACACCAAGAATATTACAATCACATATGTCAGAAAGAGAAATGTGTGATCCAGGGTCTTTTCTACACCTGAACACACATTTATCTTATTTTTTGGCCTGCAACCTCGTCCTTATTACAATGGCCCAATATCTTGCTTTTCTTTGTTTTTTCATCCTCTAGTCATATTGTTACACATTTGAGGCTATTTAAGAAAGAAAAAGGACTCTGCTTCAGAGTTTTCTCCCTATGTCTTCATGATCAAATAGAAAGGAATGTGTGAGAGGGACAATCAGGTGATTTTTAAAACCAAGTGAATTTATATTTTAGTTATTTCAATCACAGTGAATTGTTACTTCTTTTAATATTGGAAAAATAAAAAGAAACAAATCTCTGAAAATTGAATGAGTAAATGAAAACAGGAAAAGAAGAAACTAAATAACAATAGTTATTCTTATAAATCTGAGAAGCATCATAATAATAGTATTAGGGGAAAATAATTTTTTTTATAAACCTATAAGAACACTGATAGTGATAATGATTCTCAGACATGCCTAAAGTTAAGGAAAATATATGCTTATAAAGGTTATGATAATAGATGTGAAAATGGGAAATAATAGGAATAGAGAACTGAAAAGAGTTAATGGGCTATTAAATTCGGGAACTTAAGGAGAGAGGGATTGGAAATAAGTGCAAAATTTTGCAACTCAAATAGCACAGTTTCTTATGTGACAGGTAACCTATGTTACATACTTGATGAGGAAAACAAGAGGACACAGTACTATTCTTGATAACTTTTTTAAATTGTCACAGTATGTAATATGAAGACATTTAGGCAACTAGAGGGTGTAGAAAGTAAAACAGAGGACTGGTTATTGTTGCTGTTGTTGCTGTTTTGCCTCTGTTACATATGTAGAGATTGCTAAATTGTTACTAGTTTATCACCACACAGATTTTGCCAACCTGAAAGTGTACTCTCAGCGATATAGACTTGTTTATACTTCATATACTCTATGCTTGCTATCCCTCCCTCCCTCCCTCCCTTCCTTCCTTCATCTCTCTCCCTCTCTCTCTCTCCCACCCACTCTCGGTCTTTCCCTTTCCCTCTCCCCCACCCCACCTCTCCTCTCCCCTCCCCTCCCCTCCCCTCCCCTCCCCTCCCCTCCCCTCCCCTCTCCTCTCCTCTCCTCTCCCCTCCTCTCTTCTCTTCTTTCATTTGATATTTTTTATGTCCCATGTTTTGATTTGGTGATTGATGATGAACTGTGGCTTTCAGATCTTCCTTTTGTTCTAAAGCACATACTGTCCTAAATCATTTTCTATTTTGGTGTTAATTAGTACATCATTGGGCAGAGTATTGTCTAGGTAGCTGAATCCATGATGCTTTGGAGCTAAATACACTATTTTCCATTATAGCCTGATATGTGGACTAGGTCACCTTTAGATTTATTGACTCTGAGCTAACTCTGGAGTCATCTATAAACCTTTATTTATCATCTTGGCATATAATCAGGAACATAAGGGTATAGCTGTTTGAGGATTTGAATGATCATATGGCCTGTAGGAAAAAAAGGGGGCAGTGGGGGAAATTCTAGAAGTTGACAGATATCAATCAAGCCAGTTTAGTGACAAGGCTAAATACTAGTTTACTAAGATTCTAAGACTATTTCATGATGATTTTACCGTTCATTGTTAATTTCCATGTCATGAATTTCAGTTCTTTAGATCCAAAATTGTATACATGGCTCAATTTTATTTTTTCTATTTAATGCAGCATTGATATGGGTAAAGTAAAAGGCTACAAGTTGGGGTAAAATAAATGAAAATCTAATTTTTTTTTTAGTTTTTTTTTGGCTTTTTTCTTTTTTTTTTAAAGGATAACTATTTTCAGACATTTTTGGGTACCAGACAACTTGTAGAAGGTATTTTTCTTCTTTTGAAATGTGTTAACTTCACAATATGTAATGAATAGCTTTATATGTAAATGGTTAAAACTCCCCTGGTGACGAATTTATAGATTGAGTAGAAAGACAATCAGATTAAAAGATGGTAGCACAAGACGTATCTGAATCAAAGTATCATCAAAAGCTTAAAAGCAAAAGGATCAGCAAGGGTACATAGGAAAATGCAAAGGGGAAACAGCAGTAATCACAGCATTAATCTCAGAGAAGACCTCAGGATTCAAGGATTAGGCAAAACTCATCTTCTGGCAAGATAGTGAGTTCTCAGTTGGGATGAGCAGACAGTTCCCCAACTGTGGTTCCCTAAATTTTGATTGCTCTGTCTCCATGAACATTTCCACATCATCTCTATCCCCTCTGGTCCCATCACTGTAATTGAGTTGCCTACTGGGTATGGCTCATGGAAAATTTGGGGCAAGTCATTGGTCTATGCAGCCTACTGGCCTTCCCCCCAACCCCCTGCCCAAGGGCAGGCTTCCTCTCTTTTCTCGTGTGCTCCCTCCCACCACCCCACCCTCCTACTTATTTCTCTTCAAACAGTTATACCTGAGCCTATGTTGGCAGTTTCCCTCTCCTCTTCTATCTAATATAGAGGTGTGTCTCTACCCTGGCTGACAGACATATTCATGCTCCCCTCTCAGGCCAGAAGCCTGCCCGACCTCTACAGGGTGACTCCTGGGACTCAGACAGGGCAGTGACCAAGGGCTGTTTCTCTCTGCAGGAAGGCTCTATAACCCATTCGTTTGGTATACTTTCAGACATCTCGTTCTCCCTGAGACCAACTATGAAGTGTGTTTCAAACTTTGCAGATGCAGTTGTATATTTACCTTCATACAGCAGTCCCACCTTATCTATGGTTTCACTTTCCTCACTTTCACTTACCAACAGTACAGTATAATGAGGTATTTTGAGAGAGAGAGAGACCACATTCACATAATCTTTATTATAGTATATTACTATAATTATTCTATTTTATTGTTACTTAGTGTTTTTAATTTCTTACTGGGCCTAATTTCTAAATTAAACTTTATCATAGCTATGTATGTATAAGAGAAAACATAGTACATAGGGGGTTCAGTACTACCTGTGGTTTCACACATTTATGGGGGTCTTGGAATGTGTACCCCACAGATACCAGGGGACTACTGTGTATGAATTCATGTTTTAATACAGCTATTTCTGTGTCTCTCTCTTTCACACGCACACACCATCTTAAAATTTTTATATATGACTTCTCATAGTGTTTTCGTTAAAGATAAATGTTTTTACATGGCCTCACATAATTTATCATCCAAACTGGGACACTGTGAGAGAAGGGATTACACCAAGTCAACAGGAGTAAGCCAAATTGAATAGTCAGCCTCCCTGCAAGGCCCTCCATGGTGTGGCTGCTGACCTTGGCAGCCTCATCTTGCAATGTGCTCTTCCTCGCTCTGTGCGCCTCAGACTCACAGGCCCTCTTTGCTTACTGCTTACTTTTGCTCAAAAGCCTTTGACATGCTTTCTCCTCTACCTGGACAGAGCTTTGCCTCTGCTCTCTTATTCACCTAATAAACTCCCCTTGTTCATTTTTCGGATTTCTCTCAATTCTGACTTCCTCAAGAATGCCTTCCAGGCTGGGCATGGTGGCTCATGCCTGTAGTCCCAGCTACCTGGGAGGCTGAGGCAGGAGGATGGCTTGAGACTAGGAGTTCAAGGCTGCAGTGAGCCGTGACTGTACCACTGCACTCCAATCTGGGTGACAGAGTAAGACCCTGTCTCTTAAAAAGAAAGCCTTCTAGGGCTTCCCTAACTTGATCCATTCTCTCTCATTATTCCTCAGAGCACCATCTTTTATCACGTTTAGATAATTCTTGGATTAATTTCTGTCCTCCACTAAAGTGAGGTTTAATGTGGGTAGAGACCATATCAGGGTTTTCTCATCATTTATTTTTTCATCACTCATTAGGCACATAGTAAAAACTAAATAAATATTTGTTAGATTAATTAATTTTTTTTTTGAGACAGGATCTCGCTCTGTTGCCCAGGCTGGAGTGCAGTGGTGCGCTCTCAGTTCACTGCAACCTCTGCCTCCTGGGCTCAAGCCATCTTCCCACCTCAGCCTCCTGAGGAGCTAAGACTACAGGTGTGTGCTACCATGCCTGGCTAATTTTTGTATTTTTAGTAGAGACAGGGTTTCACCATGTTGCCCAGGCTGGTCGCGAACTCCTGACCTCAAGCAGTCCACCCACTTCCATCTCCCAGAGTGCTGGGATAACAGGTATGAGCCACCTCACCCAGCAGGTTAATTAATTTAAAAGAGGAAGATGAAGATCAAGTTTATTGCATATCCCAAAATATTTAGGTAGAATTAATTCTGATACATCCCCTTTAATTTTTGTTTAAAATACATGGTACATTTTTAAATTATAACTGAAAGTGTTCAAAATTTAAAATTTTTATTTTACATGTTATACACAAATAGAAAATTTCTAAACATTAAATTTGTTGAAAAAAATTTTTTGGTCAAGGCTGTTTTTTTCTTAGATCGCATGCCTGTCTATTATTTAGGTTTAATACATGGAATCAGATGTGGTTTCACAGATATGTATATTAGTACATTGTTCTTTTTTCCTAAGGGAAATATAAAATTAAGAGTAACTTATTGTTGCTTTAATTTTAGATTATGTACATTTTAAAGTCAGATATACAACTGAGTTATGAATAATATGTGTGAGATATTTCAAAAAGTAAAATGCATTTTTAAAGAAATTGTTACCTTTCTGAGTAGCAATTTAATCATAAATTAAATCAGGGTTCATATACATGTATTGATTTAACCATTTAAATGTATTTGATTTGAAATTGGTCTGTCCTGATGCAAGGATTCAGAGGGGAGAATAGAAAGAGCAGTGGATACTTTTCCTGGAGACATTGAAAGTTGCCTGGCATAAATTTAACACAGAGAGAAGGAAGATTATGTCATTATTCCTGATTCCCTTGGTCATTCGTCTTGTGGAGAACAATTGCTACATTCCAGTAACAAGTTTTCTGAGGCTTACTAATAGCTCCATGACATATTAAGTACTGATCTCATTTAATTATAATTTCAGTGAGATTAAATTATTCTATGTAGTTAAAGTAGAATCGAGCATCCTACAGATGCTGCACTAATTATAGTTATTGATGGCCTACTTTTTCTGACCTAAAAAGGTAAATGAGGGAGGGAATTGTCTTTGCCTTTGAGGAATTTTCCCTCTAAAATAGATTAGTTCACTGTCATTGCTGTTTATTTTCACCTAACACTTTTCTAGAATCTTCATAAAACTGCACAGTACTGAACTAATCAATAGAAAAGGCAGATGAATATTCTCCCAAAGGAAAAAAGGCTTGGCAGGTCAAATCAAGCATGTCAGATCTCTCTTGCCACTCCCAATTAGAAATTGTAAAGTTTTATAAACAGGTGCTTTAAGCAAAAGATGGGATCTGTGGATCAGGAATACATACACAAGACACTAATTTTAAAAGCTATTACATTTCTTAAAATACTTATCTAAAAATTCTCCTTTTAAATTTTTTAGAATCTATTCTAGAAAAAAAACTCAACAAATTATCCTTTGTTAATGTTTTATTTAGTGGTGTGGCTTTTTCCACAGATTAGATTGTTTACTCCTTAATATAAATGTGTGTGTGTGTGTGTGTACGTGTGTGTACACATGTGTTTGTCTTTTTTGTTGTTTGTTATTGTTTATTAATGTGTGATTAACAGAGGCCTAGCTTTGGTGCTTTCAGGCTGAGAACTAAAGGGATGATTTGTAGAAAACTAAAGTAGGTCAAAGAATACCATGGTGTAGCAAAGGGGAAGTCCCTGTGTTTAGTCACATTGTTTTGCCTCTGGTGGAGTTCACTTTCATTGTTATAGTCTAGGCCTGTCTTCCTGTGAGTGGAAGAAATCGTCAAATTGCAGAAAAGTCTCGGGAATATTATCATAAGTAACTTTTTAAAACAATATGTTATTGTAAGTTATTGGAAGGGCCGGTAGGGGCAGCAAAGGAAAAATAAAAAGTAGAACTGAATTTATCCCTAAATTAATTTCACAGATCAAAAGCAAAAATATGCATGAATATGACACCTTCTCTAAGTATGATGTAAGGAGTACTGTGTGGGTCTCTGTGGGATGGGAACTAGCATTTCAAATTTTGCCCGCCTTGTGCTTGCTTCAGCAGCACATATGCCAAAGTTGGAATGATACAGAGAAAATTAGCATGCCCCTGCACAAGAATGACATGCAAATTTGTAAAGCGTTCCATATTTTAAAAATAAAAATACAAACAAAATTTTGCCCTCTTATTCTGCTTTTTTATATATAGCCATTATGGAAGTGACCATGTTTCGAAATCAAGGAGCTGTTCCAGGCTTTAGCAATCCATGTCATGTTAGTTCTGAAAATATGCAACTGAATAAACATTAAAAGCACACCTACTGATCGTTGCAGTAGCAACTATCACACTTTTATGAAACACCATTTTGTGTCTGCTTGGCTATGATTAAGCAGTACTATTAGAATCCAGGAATGTACTCTGGCTAGCTTCAAAGATCTTAGACTGTTTTTTACATCTCAAAGTTAAAATGAATTTCTCTTAAAATTAAATTTTAAGAAATAGCTTCCTCAGGTTGGTTAAATGTTAAGAAGTTATCTGTAAATTATGTGTGTGTGTGTGTGTGTGTATGAAGTGATATATATGGAGTTACATAAATTTTGAAAAACTTCGTTTTAAATTTGGTGTTTCCTCAAATATAGTATACTTGATATTTTGGATTATGTTTTCTCTTACAGCAGAAGGTTTATTCTCTGACTAAATTTCCTTTCTTTAGGTACCCCCCTACCCACCCACCCTTTATAAGGGCAAGACACCTATGAGAATATTAAGCCTTTTAGCTCAGAGTTTTACTGAAGTTATTTTCTATTCTTGTATTTGCCAAGAATTGCTGACAACTTAAAAAACTATCATACGAGTGAAAACCAGTTGCCTAGATTGTTTGATGATTTTGGTCAAGTGTGGATCGGGATTTCCTGTCATTTTTCTTCCTCTTCTGGGGCTGCATTGCTTCTATCTCTCAGCAATTGTACACTTGGAAAGAAAAAACAAAAGAAGGTCACTAGATCTGAATTACTTTTACTTCTGTGCCAAATGAAACTTTCCTTCTGTTACGTGTTACAATGTTTGGCATCTTTTGGCATCTAGAGAGAGATAAGCAGTTAGGAGGACAATGTGGGATCTGTACAGTCACGCATCACCTAATGATGGACATATGTTCTGAGAAATGTCATCAGGCAATTTTGTCCTTGGGCAAACATCACAGAGTGTACTTACACAAACCTAGATGGTATAGCCTACTGCACACGTAGGCTATATGGTATAACCTAGTGTTCCTAGGCTACAAACCTGTATAGCATGTTACTATACTGAGTACACACTGGCAGTTGTAACACAATGGTAATTATTTGTATATCTAAATATATCTAAGCCTGGGCAACATGGTAAAACCCCATCTCTACAAAAATACAAAAATTAGTCCTGTGTGGTGGTGTGTGCCTGTAGGTCCAGCTACTTGGGAGGCTGAGGTGGGAGGATCACTTGAACTCAGGAGGTCAAGGCTGCGGTGAGCCGTGATCGTACCACTCCACTCCAGCCTAGGCAACAGAGCGAGGCCCTGCCTCAAAAAGTTAATTAATTAATTAATTAATATATCTAAACATAGGAAAGGTATAGTAAAAAAAAAAAAGTTACTGTACAATATTAGGGGACCCTGTTGTATATGCAGTACATCATTGACTGAAACATCATTATGTGTTACATGATTGAACCTCATCTAGAGACAGCCAGTTCCTTCTCTTGGGCTGAAACATGTTCCTGGAATTCATATGATAAAGCAGGTTATCATCAAGAGAAACTCATTTTCCTATGGATTATATGATCCAGCAGCTTAGAATACATTTCTGAATTCTTTGTGTTTTGGGGTGTAGCTGAATGAAGTTTTTAGTATGTCAAAGGGAGACATGTTTTAAGAAGTAGGCATTCTACTGAAAGTATTGTAATTGCTTGCTGAATGAAGGGGATAATCCTTGCCACTGCCTTTAAATACTAGGAGTTCCTGCAGGACAGCCTGAATATTTTTTCTGGATCATTAAATGAACAACTGGGTTCCAGAAGATAAGAGAAGTATGAACTTCTGAGCAGAGGTAGATCCTTGAATAAGAGGAACCTTTCTTTAGAAACAGTAATTGAATTTTGGGAATTGTTGAGTATGTCAGTCTGGAATGTGTTTGGCTGCAAATAACAAAAAAACCCTACTATGTAGTATAAACAGATAGGGGTCTGCCTCCACAAGAAGTCTTAATTAGGCAGTCCAGAGCCGGTGTGATGTTCAACTACATTAATAAAAGCCCTCTGCCATCCTTAGAATGTGATTTGTATCAAGGTTGTAAAAAGTCTGTTGTACCTTCACGTATCAATCACTATATTTCTGGCATCTATTGTTGTGTAACAAAATTACCCTAAAACATATCAGATTAAAACAATAAATATTAATTATCTCACATAGTTTCTGAGGGTTGAAAATTCAGGAATGGCTTAGCTGGGAGGTTCTGGCTCAGGGTCCCTTATGAGGTTGCAGTCAAGATACCAGCTGGAGCTGCAGTCCTCTGAAGGCTTGTTTGAGCTGGAGATCTCCTTTCTAAACTAACTCACATGACTGTCAGCAGGAGAATTCAGTTCCTTACCATAGGGATCTCTCTACAGGGTTCAAGGCATGGCAGTGGACTTCTCTCAGAGCAAATGATCTGGGAGAGTGGGGAGGGTCTAGAGTGTGTGTGTCAGGGGAGGGAGAGGACAGATGGAGATAAGAACAAGATGGAAGTTGCAATGTCTTTTATAACCTAATCTTGGAAGTGAGCTATCACTCCTGCCATATTCTGTGGTCACAGAACCCTGATACAGTATGGGAAGGGACTATACAGGATGTAGTCCCTTCAGGAGGGAGGCATCACTGGGAGCCATCTTGTAAGCTGCCTCCTACACATCACAAATATGTACTACACAGTGAGAAGGAAAGGAAAGAGACAGTGCTAGCAGACTTCTGTTTGTATCTCATTGGTGATAACTGTGTAACATAGCTTCTCAAGGGAGGCTGGGAAGTCAAATGTTTAACTTTCATAGCCTCTGTAGTAGAGACAGGCAGAAGGAAGTTGGAAATGGAACTTGGGTTAGCCTACTGTCCATTTTCTGCCACTACCAGGGCATTTGATGACAGTGACTACTTTTAATTTGCCTGTATTGCCTGTTCGTAGAGTTAATGATGCATCTTCTAGGAGATTAGGAGTAGCCCAGAAAATTGCTTTTTGTTGTTGTTGTTTTTCCAAGACAAAGTCTTGCTCTGTCACCCAGGCTGGAGTGCAGTGGCACGATTATGGCTCACAGCAGCCTCAACCTCCTAGGCACAGGTTATCCTCCTGTCTCAGCCTCCCAAGTAGCTGGGAAAGGTGTACGCTACCATGCCTCGCTAATTTTTAAATTATTTGTAAAGATGAGGTCTCCCTATGTTGCCAAGGCTGGTCTCAAACTCCTGGGCTTAAGCAATCTTCCTGCCTTGGCCTCCCAAAGTGTAGGGATTACAGGCATGAGTCACTGCACCCAGTGAAAATTACTCTTTTAAAAGTGTGGTGGTTTCTCTAGTTGTTTTAGAAATAAAGTTCTCACTGGCACCTAGCTAGCTAACAGAAATAGCTTAAATTGTGAATCATAAGTAGTTTGTTGTGAGGAAATTTTAGGTTACTTTCTCCTTTGTATTCTTCTACATTTGTTTGCATAAAATATTTAGGCAGTAAAAATTCTGAAATCTAAAACTATACCCAATGCCAGTTTTCAGATCCAAAAAGAAAAATTCTTCCCAACCACAAACATATTGAGTAACTACTATATATCACGGACAATGAGTACAGATCTTACACAATTTTTGGAAATTTAAAAATAATCTCTGTTAGGCACTATTTTACTTAGTGATAATTTTATTTGTAATGGTTACTAGACTTTTGTGAACCATATTGTTGATTGAAATAACCATTCTGGTTTTCTTTCTTTCTTTTTTTTTTTTTTTTTTTTTGAGGTGGAGTCTCGCTCTGTTGCCCAGGCTGGAGTGCAGTGGCATGATCTACACTCACTGCAACCTCCGCCTCCCAGGTTCAAGCAGTTCTCTGCCTCAGCCTCCCGAGTAGCTGGGATTACAGGTGCCTGCCACCACACCCGGCTAATTTTTTGGTATTTTTAGTAGAGACAGGGTTTCACCATCTTGGCCGGGCTGATCTTGAACTCCTGGCCTCGTGATCCACCCACCTCAGCCCCTCAAAGGGCTGGGATTACAGGCATGAGCCACTGCACCCAGCCACCATTCTGTTTATTATATATTCTTTCATTAATTAATACCAAACTACATTTCTGAAAAATACCACACAACTTGAAAACAAGAAAGTAGAGTCTGAAAAACTAGGGACCCAAGAAGGATTGGAGAGGAAAGTGAAGGGAGTTAGATGCAAAAAATAAATTGAACGGAGATAAGGACCAGGGTTATCCTACCCTCCCTTTCCTCTTTTCACCCAGGGACCAGGTTAAAAGAGGATTCTGTCTTCAGGAAGGAGAAGCACACAGCTATTAGCAGGTAGAGGTGAGGATTAGAACCTTGTGTGAGCAGATGTCATGCCTCAAAAATGTATCCATATGTTTTGGACAAAAGGCTGGTTCCATAAATATACTGGAACAACTGTTCACCTTCTTGGAGAAAAGTATAAAATTTGGACCTACCTCATACTAACAAATAGAGCTGCTATTTAATTTGACCTTAAGTTAGGGAAGATCTTTTAAAGCGTAAAAGCAAGGGAAGAAAGCTTTAATGGAAAAGATAGTTTTGATTGCATAAAAATTAAGTACATCAAAAAGTACCTTAAATTTAAAATATAAACCACAAGTTGGAAAAATGAGTTGTATCATATATGAAAAAGTTAATATTCTTAATGTGCAAAGAAGCTCATAAAATCATAAGAAAAAGCAAAAGACAAAAATAGAAAAATGGATGTGGTAAATAAAAATTTTGAACAAGTGTGCCAAAAAGCTCAACTTTACAATGACAGAAGAAATTTTTTGAGAGACTATTATTTTTTTTGTGCCTACTATCTTAGTAGATTGTCCTTCAGGAGATAATCCTCGTGTAGGTCAGGATGTTATAAAATGAGCTTTCTTATACACTGCTTATAGACATGTAAATTGGTGTAACATAATTTTATCTTTTTATCAGTAATTCCACTTAGGGCAAAAATAATATTTCTTCACAATAGAGCTCTAAAGGAATTCTTTACTGTATTTTTTAAGGATTATAAAAAATCGAGTATAAAAATATTTTTTCACCTTTAGACTGTATCATTCTCTTCTGTTAAACTGAGAAAATTAATGAACTTGTTTTTTCCTTCCTCTTACCTCGTATTTTTGTTAGTCAAGTTATTATTTTAATATTCTTAAGATCTATGACATTTAAGTTCTATTCCATCATCATAACTTTCAGAGTTAGTCTTAGTTTCTATATTTAAGTAAATTTGTTTTTCATCATTGGTATGAATAATCGGCAGAAAATTAAATTGACAATTACTTAGATGTATGTTCAGGGAATTTTTCCCAGATCCCTCCCCCCCCAAAAAATTAAGAAAAAACGAAAAGAAATGTCTTGCCAACAATATTAAAAATATTAAAAAATTGACAAGGGAAAAACTGGGGCAAGAAGTAATTCCAAAATAAAGATGAAAACTACTAAAATTGCACAAAGTAAAGGTAATTGCCCAGACCCAGAAGGCAAACCCAAGCCTCTGTTAAATTTGTCTACATTTGGTTTATCTTAAAGGGTATTCAAAAGCTACCACTTTTAAAATTCCTGAAGTATGCATACTTATTAATACAGATATGATAGGTCCTAGAAAATATTTTCAAAACTGAGCGAGTGTTCGTCCTTCTAGTTCTTGTTTCATGAGATCCAACCTTTATGAATTTTCTTTCCCTTAAGTGTTTGAATTTCAGATAAAAGCAGTGAAAGCGTCTAATGCCTTCTCATTGCATTTAGGAATGCCAGAGTCCTTCATGTGGCCCATGAGGGCTTTCACTGGCCCAGCCTCATCTCCCAGTCTCATCTCCATATTTCCCATTACTTTCTGTGTCCTTACTTAGTTCACTGGCTTTGTTACTGCTGTTGTTCCCACTTTAATTTATAGCAGCCTCTCCTGTCTTGGGGCTTTCTCATGTTTCTCAGTCTGCATGGAATGTTCTCTCTTCCCCTCCCCCACACCATGCTTTATTAACACCAGCTTATCCTTTATATCTTAGTATAATTGTCAGTTATGCAGGGAAGTGGGATATGTGGCATATGACTTAAGCGCTCTGTTGTCTTATTGTTTGGGTTTTCATCCCAGTTCATTATTTACTGGCTGTATAATCTTAAGTTATTTGACTTATCTCTGAGCCCCAATTTCTTTATCTGTAAGGTGAAGGAAGATAATTCTTACTCATAAGATGCTGTGATTATCAAATAAGAAAATGAGAGAAGCCATATGTTTCCAACACAAGGCTTCACTAGCATTGAATGAAGTACTTCTTAAATGTTAGACAAAATTATTCCCAACCTACCTCCTACCCCCAATTCCCTGCTGTGCACACACGCACGCACACACACACACACACACATCCTAGTCTTGAACAGCTCCTTTTATTGAATAGTGACGTATATGACCATATACCTCTTATTCCTAACATTTACAACTTTCAATTACTTTATTGATTGTTTGATTAATGTCTGTCTCCCTTGACTAGATTATAAGCTCTACGGGGTAGCAGCTGTGTAGTTTTGCTCATCCTATTCTCAGTACTTAGTCTGGATTAAGTCAACAATAAATATTTGTCGAGTGTAGGGACAAATGAATGAACTAAAGGAATATTCTGTCTCGTCTCAAAACTGCATACTTAATGGTTGAAATGTTTCCTGTAGTATAGTTTTGCCTTTAAGCCTATAAATCACAAATTCAATATCAATGACTAGAGAATAATCTACTGCCAGTAACTTATATAAAACCTGCTTGTCAATAAAAATTGTTTTCAGGCCTTTTGGAATGTTTAAATATAACATTTAAAAAGTACATAATGAATACTCTCATTTTCAATAACATTGGGAAAGGATTATATTAAAACTTTAAGTGAACATTGAAGTCTAGATAAACTATTTTAAGTAATGTTTGATCTCAGCTGTCTAAAAATATACATAAGAAAGAGAACTGAAAGTAAATATACCAGTGTGTTATAATAGCAGTGGCTTTCTTTGAGTGGTAGGATTATGATCAATTTTAATCATTTTGTGTCTATGCTTATATATTTATATCAATATAGTCTTCACTTTTACAGTAAAACATTGCTTTATAATAACAAAAATTATCTTTAAAATTTTCTCAAATATTTCTGGAATTTATAGAGGGAAACTTCATTCATTTATCTAACAATTATTTACTGAGCAACTACAAAGTGCCAGGCACTGTTTTAGGCTAAGAGGATGAGATTATAATAAAATAAGCAACAATTCCTTTCTTTGTTGAATTTTCATTTTGATGTATTTGCAGCTACCTGTCTGACTTTGGTTTGAAACTTATCTTCTACATCTGTCTTATTAAAAGTAATGGCAAAAACCTCAATTACTTTTGCACCAAGCTAATAAGCCATTGTTGTCTGCTGTGGTTTGAATGTGTCACTCCAAAATTTGGGTGCTGTCAATGTGATAGTATTAAGAGGTGGGGTCTTTAAAAGGTGATTAGGCCAGAGGGCTGCTCCTTCATCAGTGGAATTAAGGTCCTTATAAAAGAGGCTTCACACAGGGTTTGGCTAACTTGCCTTTGTTCGACTGTCTTCTGTCATGTAAGGAGATAGCAAGAAGGCCCTTATCAGACCAAATGCCAGCATCTTGACCCTGGACTTTCCAGCCTCCAGAACTGTGAGAGAAAACAAAACAAAACAAAAGATTTTTTAAATAAATTACCCAGTCTCAGGTATTCTGTTACAGTGGCACAAAATGGAGTAAGACAATGTCACATTAATGATTTATCATTTTTATCTTGTATTCAATTACAGAAAAAAAGAAAACCAGTGACCACAATTTCTAAACTCTTTGTAATTCTACAAGCTTTTAAGTGTTTTTCATACTTTAGAACCCCATCTTTGACCTCTAATGGTAAGCAAAAAGGTAATAAGAGGACCCTATTTAAACATTCCTTAAAGGGTTACATTTTCTCCTTCAAAGAGTCCATTCATATAGTATTACTCACTAATATACAATGTTGCAGTTTGTTCAACTCCTTTTATGTTAAAAATACACAACTGATGTGTTACATTTTTCACTGAAGTAGCACCATTATTGTCTGACTCAGTTTCAATGTTTGGTAAATAATTTTTAAAAATCTTTATAATATTCTGATCCTCTGAAATTTCATTGCACCCTGCTGTTTTATAAAACCAATTTTAAAGCTACTGATCCAAAAGAAGTTTTAAACCATCATGAAACTGATTTCTGAAATGAGTTTTTTTTTGTTGTTTTTTTTTGTTTTTAAGAGATTTCCTGTTTGCTTCTGAAGTTAGTTTGCAAATTAGTTGTTTAGGACTCAGGTTATATTTCTGTGTCTAAGCAGCATTAATATTTGGTGATTAGCTTCAGGAATCAGTTCAAAAAAGGTATTCAGCCCTTCTTACTTGAAGTCATGCTAATTGAACAACTTTAACCATAACAAACGTCCACTCATAATATTATTTCTATGGAGGTGGCTGAGGACCACATTCCCCCTACCTAAGCAGTAGAAGCTGTGTTTGTTCCTTCTTGCCTTCCTTTGCTAGGCTGGAACCTGGAGACCAGAAAGTAAGAATGGAAAGGAAGGGATGCTAGTGGTGGATGAGTGATTGTTGGCAGCAGTATTTTTTTAATTCCTTATGATTACTAAAAGAAGATAGCTCTCTTGGAAGGTTGGTCTTCCTGTGGTCAGACTGGAAATCAGCTTTTGCCTTTAGGCTGAGAGACCTAAGGATTATGTAAGTCTATTGATTTAGGAATGGGAGGGAACTTCTGCTGCCTGCCCATTTGTATAGATAGGTTATTTGAAAGTTAGAGACTGCTTTGATGTTTGCCTGCCTCTCTTAGGAAGCTAATTTCATCAGTCTTTCAGACCAGTCCAACTAATTTTTCCTCCTTCAATCAGTTTTATATATTTAAAGTCTATTTTTAATATTTAAAGACTTGCCATACTGTCTCCTTTGCAAGATGGAAAGTCTATGATTCACTGTACATTAAAATGACTTTTTTTTTTTTTTTTTAACAATTTAAACAATAGCATTCTGTGTGTCTTTTCTAGGCTGGAGATGTGTTCTCTGCTTCTAGCCGCTGAATGTTTTGACTGCTACTTAATGGCGCTGTTGCAGACAGATGCCACCTTCAGCTGGTAGCACAATTGGTCAGTCTTTGAACAGCTCTGAGTTGGGCCAGTTATTGCTGTTTGGACATGTTTAGATTTGAAGTTCCTCCCTTCCATTGTGAGTAGAGCAAGATTGTGTCATCCCATAAAACCTGTTGAAAAGTGAAAAAGTAGTCAAATCAGATGCCTATCCACCAGTTTGGCTTTTTCACTAAATTGGCCAGTATTTTACTTCATATACAGAGTTTTAAAAATCAGTTGTTATTCCTTTACTTACAGCCTTTCCTTTGTTGTATTTTACAACACTGTTTTATAAATCTTCATTTTAAAATTTCTTTTAAAGCTGTTGCCTATGTTTCAAACCAAAGTCAGACATGGAGATGTATTTACTTCCTCTTCTCTGGGTATTTATTTGTTTTGACATTTAATTCCCATGATGCAACTTTCTTGAGAATTTTTTAAAGAGGGTATTTTGGTAAGTTAACTTCCTTTCAGTTCTATGCTATTAAAAAATACATATAAATATATATGTAATGATTTCAACATAATATATATTATACATCAATATTAGTATATAATATATTAATATAAATATACGTCCCCTCTCCTTTTTATTTTTTATTTTTTAACTGACACATAATAATTGTACATAATTATGGGGTACATAATAGTGTTTCAATTACAATGTGCAGTGATCAGATCAGGATAATTAGCAAATCCGTCATCTAAACAGTTATTTCTTTGTGTTGAAAACATTCAATTTCCTCTCTTCTAGCTGTTTGAAAATATATAATATTGTTAACTATAGTTATCCTACATTGCTATGGAACACTAGAACTTATTCTGCTTATCTAGCTATAATTTTGTATACTTTAGCAGATCTCTTCATATTCCCCCCTTTCCCCCTACTCTTCCCAGCTTTTAGTAACCTCTCTTCTACCTTTTACTTCCATGAGATCAACTTTTTTTTTTTGGCTTTCACATATGAGTGAGAACATACGATGTTTAACTTTCTGTTCCTGGCTTATTTTACTTATCATAAATTCAGTTCCATCCATGTTGCTGTAAATGACAGGATTCCTTCTTTTTTATGGCTGAGTAGTATTCCATTGTGTGTATATAACACATTTTAAAAATCCATTCATCCTCTTTTTTTTGATACCAACTTTTCCTACTTTTATGTGCCAAGATGTTCTCAAAGCCTTGCAGAAATCATAGCTGTCATTTATTCATACACATGTTCTACAGGTGTTTGTTGAAAGCTAGCTCTGTACAAAGAAGCGTGCTAAGCAAAAAGGACAAAGACACTAAGTCCTAGAGAGACTTGCTGTTTAGTGGAGGAAACAGAGAAGGAAACCATTGTTATGTTTTAAGTACTCATCCCGTCACTTTTTATAGCTCTGAACTTCACACATTGGAGTAGGATTACAGCCTGTGATATATGGCCATATCCCAGGGTATGCAGGAACACATAGAATAAATTGTGATGTATCTTCCTGGAATTTAGAATCAGGGGAATGGGAGGCAGGGATGAGGAAGAGATAGGTAATTTAACTGGTAAGTAATGAACAGCATTATTTTAGGTTAAAAATAAGCATAGCTGTATTAGGGAATAAGATTTTAAAATTTGACATAAAAAAAATTCTCCTACTTGTGGCCATCTACCCACAGGCTTGTCACCATATTATCCCCTGTGGAAGGAGTTCACTCCTCTCAGAGGTTAGAGGTCCTCTGGGAAAGATTTTGTAAAGGCCCTTCTATCTGTTCTAATAAACCTGGTTGTGTTAAACAGAGAGGCTAGAGAAGGTGGCTGCCTTTTCAGAGCACAGCCTTGGTATTTCCTATGCAGTCACTACCTTTTAACAGTAATCCTTTAAAAATACTTTCACTACTTTTGTTAACTAAACCCACGGTGCAATACTGTGGTGCAGATCTCAAGACAAGTAAACAAGGGAGGTGGAGGAATGAATGTCTCAGGAAGGTGGCTCCTCAAACTATTCACCTGTGGTTAAACTGCCTGCACCACATACAAGCAGGGTCAGTTGGAGATATCTGAATGTTTATTGAGGCCTTTGTGATCTTGGAAGACAAAAGATTAAGGGAGGGCATTTGTGAAGGTCATTCTTCTTGTCACTGTTTCAGTGAATGTTGACAGCAAAAATATTGCATTAGATTTTTTTTTTTTTAATTTATTTTTTTATTGATAATTCTTGGGTGTTTCTCACAGAGGGGGATTTGGCAGGGTCATGGGACAATAGTGGAGGGAAGGTCAGCAGATAAACAAGTGAACAAAGGTCTCTGGTTTTCCTAGGCAGAGGACCCTGTGGCCTTCCGCAGTGTTTGTGTCCCTGGGTACTTGAGATTAGGGAGTGGTGATGACTCTTAACCAGCATGCTGCCTTCAAGCATCTGTTTAACAAAGCACATCTTGCACCACCCTTAATCCATTTAACCCTGAGTGGACACAGCACATGTTTCAGAGAGCACAGGGTTGGGGGTAAGGTCACAGATCAACAGGATCCCAAGGCAGAAGAATTTTTCTTAGTGCAGAACAAAATGAAAAGTCTCCCATGTCTACTTCTTTCTACACAGACACGGCAACCATCCGATTTCTCAATCTTTTCCCCACCTTTCCCCCCTTTCTATTCCACAAAGCCGCCATTGTCATCCTGGCCCGTTCTCAATGAGCTGTTGGGCACACCTCCCAGACGGGGTGGTGGCCGGGCAGAGGGGCTCCTCACTTCCCAGTAGGGGCGGCCGGGCAGAGGCGCCCCTCACCTCCCGGACGGGGCGGCTGGCCGGGCAGGGGGCTGACCCCCCCACCTCCCTCCCGGATGGGGCGGCTGGCCGGGCAGAGGGGCTCCTCACTTCCCAGTAGGGGCGGCCGGGCAGAGGCGCCCCTCACCTCCCGGACGGGGCGGCTGGCCGGGCAGGGGGCTGACCCCCCCACCTCCCTCCCGGACGGGGCGGCTGGCCGGGCAGAGGGGCTCCTCACTTCCCAGTAGGGGCGGCCGGGCAGAGGCGCCCCTCACCTCCCAGACGGGGCGGCTGGCCGGGCGGAGGGCTGACCCCCCCACCTCCCTCCCGGACGGGGCGGCTGGCCGGGCGGGGGGCTGACCCCCCCACCTCCCTCCCGGACCGGGCGGCTGGCCGGGCAGAGGGGCTCCTCACTTCCCAGTAGGGGCGGCCGGGCAGAGGCGCCCCTCACCTCCCAGATGGGGCGGCTGGCCGGGTGGAGGGCTGACCCCCCACCTCCCTCCCGGATGGGGCGGCTGGCCGGGCAGGGGGCTGACCCCCCCCACCTCCCTCCCGGACGGGGTGGCTGCCGGGTGGAGACGCTCCTCACTTCCCAGATGGGGTGGCTGCCGGGCGGAGAGGCTCCTCACTTCTCAGACGGGGCAGCTGCCGGACGGAGGGGCTCCTCACTTCTCATACGGGGTGGTTGCCAGGCAGAGGGTCTCCTCACTTCTCAGACAGGGCGGCCGGGCAGAGACGCTCCTCACCTCCCAGACGGGGTCTCGGCCGGGCAGAGGCACTCCTCACAACCCAGATGGGGCGGCGGGGCAGAGGCGCTCCCCACATCTCAGACGATGGGCGGCCGGGCAGAGACGCTCCTCACTTCCTAGATGTGATGGCGGCTGGGAAGAGGCGCTCCTCACTTCCTAGATGGGATGGCGGCCGGGCGCAGACGCTCCTCACTTTCCAGACTGGGCAGCCAGGCAGAGGGGCTCCTCACATCCCAGACGATGGGTGGCCAGGCAGAGACACTCCTCACTTCCCAGACGGGGTGGCGGCCGGGCAGAGGCTGCAATCTCGGCACTTTGGGAGGCCAAGGCAGGCGGCTGGGAGGTGTAGGTTGTAGTGAGCCGAGATCATGCCACTGCACTCCAGCCTGGGCACCATTGAGCACTGAGTGAACGAGACTCCGTCTGCAATCCCGGCACCTCGGGAGGCCAAGGCTGGCGGATCACTCGCGGTTAGGGGCTGGAGACCGGCCCGGCCAACACAGCGAAACCCCGTCTCCACCAAAACCAGTCAGGCGTGGCGGCGCGTGCCTGCAATCGCAGGCACTCGGCAGGCTGAGGCAGGAGAATCAGGCAGGGAGGTTGCAGTGAGCCGAGATGGCAGCAGTACAGTCCAGCTTCGGCTCCGCATGAGAGGGAGACCGTGGGGAGAGGGAGAGGGAGAGGGCTAGAGCTACATTATCTTATTGCATTAGATTTTTTTAAGCTTGTAAATATAATATTTTTTACTTATGTTCCAAAGTATATGAATTATTGAAAGTTGAGGCATTGGTTTTTCATTTAGAGCAAAAGACAGAATACGCTTTTTTCAGCCCATATGGGTTCAAAATCAAATTCTTATTTTCAATCAGAGTTCTTCCATATCGTGCCTCACATTTATTTATTTCAGAAACATGTATTATCTACTCTGTGTAACATTCCATGCCAGACACTGGAGAAACAGATAAGGCAAAGGTCTCATTCTCAAGGAGCTCACAGACAGGTGGGCAAGATAAACAGGCAGTTATGGTATATACTAGTAAGTGCCATGCAAGAGAATTCTGCAAAGGCTTTGGATGGTTGGGGATGAGGGGATACAGAAAGGGAGTAGCCAGGGTAAGCGCTGTAGAAGAGTAATGCCTCAGCTGGCTCTTGAAGCCTGACTAAGGAGAGGCCAGTTGAAGAAGTGAGAGATAAGGTGCTCTGGTCAGAGAGATTAGCATGTGCAAAAGTACAGAACCATGAGATTTACTGTGTTTGAAGAACTGTAAGTAAGTTGAACTCAGTATCATTGGAGACATAGGCAGAGATGCAATCTGAAATGGAATTATATGCCATGTGAAGAATCTGGATTTTATTTTGAAAGTTAGGGGGAACCTATAAAGGATTATATCATCATCAGATCTGCATTTTGGAAAGACTTCTCCAGTGTAGAGAATAGGCTAGAAGGTGGCAAAGGCATTGAGACAGAAAGGAGGCTATCGTTCTAATCTGGGAGAGACATGGTGAGGGACTGTTTTGATGGGGTTGGGAGTGAGGTTGAGGATAGGGGATAGATTTTACAGTTTCTAGGATGTAGAATATTCAGAACTTGACAAGAGGTTAGTAAGGGTGTCAGAGGAGCCTAGCTAGGCACAGACTTGCAGGTGTCTGCACTGGACAACTGGAGGTATAATGAAGGCCTTCGTGGAGATAGGGAATATAAGAGGTGGTAGCGTAGTGCAATGGGTTTGGGGAAGGTGATGAGTTCAGCTTTTTTTTTTTTGAAATGGAGTCTCGCTCTTGTTGCCCAGGATGGAGTGCAGTGGCGCAATCTCAGCTCACCGCAACCTCTACCTCCTGGGTTCAACCGATTCTCTTGCCTCAGCTGCCCAAGTAGCTGAGATTACAGGCATGCGCCACCACGCTCAGCTAATTTTGTATTTTTAGTAGAGATGGGGTTTCTTCATGTTGGTCAGGCTGGTCTCAAACTCCTGACCTCAGGTGATCTGCCCTCCTCGACCTCCCAAAGTGCTGGGATTACAGGCGTGAGCCACTGCGCCCGGCTGAGTTCAGCTTTTTATTTTTTATTTTTTGATTCGAGATGTCTGTGTGACATCAAGATTAAATATATTAGGTAGATAGAGAAATAGGCCTCAGATTCAGGAGAAAGGACTGAGATGTAATTACAGGTTTGGTCAGTGATGAAAGCGTGAGATCATTCAGGGTGATCTAGATGTAGATATTCTCTTATGTTTTCTTCTAGATGTTTTTTAGTCTTATATATTAAATTTAGGTCTGTGATCCATTTTGAGTTACTTTTTGTTAAGGGTATGAGGTTTATGTCTAGAATCATTTTGTTTTCTTTCTTTTCTTTGCGTATGGATGTCCTATTATTTCATCATTACTTGGTGGAAAGACTATCCTTTCTTCCTTTCTCCATTGAATTGCCTGTACTCCTTTTTTTTTTTTTTTTTTTTTTTTTTTTTTTTTTTTTTGAGGCAAGTTCTCACTGTGTCATCTAGGCTGGAGTGTGGTGGTGTGATCACGGCTCACTGCCCTGGTATCCTTGGCTCAGACAGCCCTCCTGTCTTAGCCTCCCAAGTAGCTGGGATCACCGGCAGGTGCCACTATGCCTGGATAATTTTTTTTTTATTTGTAGTAGTGGAGTCTCCCTGTGTTGCTTCGGCTGGTCTTGAACTCCTGGGCTCAAGCAATCCTCTTGCCTTGGCCTCCCAAAGTGCTGGGATTACAGGTGTGAGCCACCATACCTGGCCACTTCTTTGTTAACAATAAGTTGACCATATTTTTATCAGTCTATTTCTGGGCTCTCTATTCTGTTCCATTGATATGTGTATCTGTCCTTTCACCAATATCATGCTGTATTAATTATGATAGCTTTATAATAAGTCATGAAAACAGTTAGTATGACTGTTCTAGGTCTTTTGCCTTTCCATATAAAATTTTGAATCAGTTTGTTGACATTTACAAAATAGCTTGCCAAGATTATATTTGGAATGTTGAACTTACAGATGGGAAAAATGGACACCTTACTAGTATTGAGTCTTCCAATCTATGAGCATTGAATATTTCTCCACTTATTTGGATTTTTGATTTCTTTGATCAGAGTTTTGTAGTTTTTGGTGTATAGAGTCTATACATATTTTGTTGGATTTATGCCTATTTTCTTTTTTATTGTAATTCTTTTAATTTCAAATTCCAGTTGTTCACTGATGGTCTATAGAAAAGCAATTCACTCTTGTATATTAACTTTGTATCCTGCAACCTGCTCAACTCCCTTATTAGTTCTAGGAATTCGTTGTTTTTTATAAATTCCTTGGGATTTTCTATGTACATAATTGTGTCATCTATAAGTAGGGACAGTTGTTATTTATTCCGTTTGTTGTTTTTGTTGTTGTTGTTGTTTTTTATCTGTATGGCTTTTATTTACTTTTCTTGCCTTATTGCCCTGACTAGAACTTCCAGGACTATGTTGTGTAAGAGTGGTGAGAGTAAATATTCTTTCCTTCTTCCCAATCTTAAGAGGAAAGCATTCCATCTTTCACCGTTAAGTATAAAAACAGCTGTAGGTTTTTGTAGAAGTTTTTAAGCTGAGGTAACTCCCACTCTGTTCTTATTTTTCTGAAAGTTTTTAAAAATCATAAATGAGTGTTAAATTTACTCAAATGTTTTTCTGCATCAATTAATATGAACATATGGTTTTTCTTCCTTAGCCTGTTAAAATGGTAGATTGCATTGATTTTCAGATGTTGAACCAGCCATGCATTCCTGGAATAAATCCCCCTAAATCTTGATATATAATGCTTTTTATACATTGTGGAATTCTGTTTGCTAATATTTTGTTTAGGATTTTTGCCTCCATTTTCATGAGGCTGTATTTTTCTTTTTTTGTATTGTCTTTGTCTGGTTTTGGTATTAGGTTAATACTAGCTTCATAAAAATAATTGAAAATTTTTCCCTCCTTGTTTTCTGGAAAATATTATGTAAAATTGGAGTTAATTCTTTAAATGTTTGGTGGAGTTATCCAGTGAAATAAACTGGATTTGGAAATTTATTTTGGGGGAGTTTTTAAAAATCACAAATTCAATTTTCTTAATAGCAATAGGGCTATTCAGGTGATCTATTTCATAGTAGGTGAGTTATGGAGTTATGGTGGGAATTGACCCATTTTGTCTAACTTGTCAAATGTATGAGTATAGAATGTTCACAGTATTCCATTATTATCTTTTGGTCTTTGCAGGTTTGTTTTTTTTTTTTCGCAATAATCCTCTGTTTCATTCCTAATAGATATTGGTAATTTATGTCTTCTCTTAATTCCCGTGTCAGTCTTGCTAGAGGTTTTTCAATTTTTTTTTCTTTTCAAAGAACCAGCAGTTTGTTTCACTGATTTTCTTTTACTCTTTTGTTTTTCTGTTTTCAAATTCATTGATGTTTGTTCTTTATTATTTTCTTCTGTCTGCTTGATTCTCAGTTTATACTGCTCTTCTTTCCCTAGGCTCTTGACATAGAATTTTAGATCATTTATTTGAATTTTTTATTTTTTAATGTATATATGTAGTGTTATAAATTTCCCTCTCAGCACTGCTTCAGCTGTGTCCCACAAATTTTGATATGTTGTATTTTCATTTTCATCCTATTCAATATATTTTTTAAATCTCCCCGATACCTCCTCTTTCACTCATGAATTATTTCTGAGTGTGGTGTTTAGTTTGCAAATGTGTCCAGGCTTCCATTTTCCTATTATCTTTCTATTATTTACTTCTAGTGTGATTTCGTTATGATCAGAGAACACATACTTTGCATGATTTTCATTCTTTTAAATATATTCAAATTTATTTTATGGCCATGATGTATTCTGTTTTGGTATATATTCCCTGAGCATGCTAAAAGGCTATGTATTTTCTTATTAGGTAGAGTATTTTATAAATGTTGATTACATCCTGTTGGTTTATAATATTGTTGAGTTCCTCTACATTTTTGCTGATTTTCTGTCTAGTTGTTCTAGCAATTGTTGAGAGAGGAATGTTGAAGTCTCCTGCTATAATTATGGATTTGTTTATTTCTCCTTTCCGTACTACCAGGTTTTCCTTCATATATTTTACAGCTCTGTTTGGTGGATGTACATTTGGGTATTGCTATATATTCTTGGTGGGTTTAACTTTTTATCATGATATATAATGTCCCTCCTTGTCTCTGGTAATTTTCTTTGCTCTGAAGTCTACTTTATTTGGTATTAATATAAAAATTCCTGCTTTTTCAAAAAATGTAGTAAAACAACAATTATGGTAAATAACTTCTACCGCTTTTTCATTGTCCTCAAAATCCCTCCTTTGGCTTAATAGTTACTTGTTAGTGGCGTAAGTACTTGTACAAGTATGTTTGGTAGATTTACTGAGTTGTTGGAGATGAGAAATAGCAAAAGGTCATCTGCTATTTTTATGTTGCAATTTTATTTTATTTTTTTAAATTATTATTTATTTAGTTTTTGAGACAGAGTCTCACTCTGCCACCCAGACTGGCACAATCACAACTCACTGCAGCCTTAACCTTCTGTGTTCAAACAATCCTCCTGCCTAAGCCCCCCAAGTAGCTGGGACTATAGGTGCATGCCACAATGCCTGGCTAGTTTTGGTTTGTTTTTTTTTTTTTTAATAGAAACAGGGTCCCACTATGTTGCCCAGGCTGATCTCAAACTCCTGGGCTCATGCTAATCTCCTTCCTCAGCTTCCCAAAGTGCTGGGATTATGGGCATGAGCCACTGTGCCTGGCCTGCAATTTGAAATGATGCACACTCTGTAAATTGAGGGTATGTTATTTTAAAAATTTATGCTAGTTTGGGCCAGGTGCGGTGGCTCACGCCTGTAATCCCAGCACTTTGGGAGGCTGAGGCGGGCAGATCACGAGGTCAGGAGATTGAGACCATCCTGGCTAACACGGTGAAACCCCGTCTCTACTAAAAATACAAAAAATTAGCTGGGCGTGGTCGCGTGCACCTGTAGTTCCAGCTACTCAGGAGGCTGAGGCGGGAGAATCGCTTGAACCCAGGAGGCAGAGCTTGCAGTGAGATGAGATTGCGCCACTGCACTCCAGCCTGGGCGACAGAGCGAGACTGTCTCAAAAAAAAAAAAAAAGATTATGCTAGTTTGTCACATATATGTTTAACAGTTCATTTGTTTTCAAGAAGTTAAATTCAGGGAAGCGACACCAAGAATTCCTGTTTTAATTTAATCATTGTAGTGGGACACCTGATGTAATTTGCTGGCGTTACCCTAAGAGTCCTTGGACAAGTATGTACACAAGGAATGAGAATGGCACAACTAAAATGATAAATTCTTAGTAACTTTCCCACATTTAACAACTAAATTGACAGAGAAATCAGAAGTCCAAAACAATAAATGAAACCTTTTAATCCTTCTTCAACCCCAGTAATTTATTATTACTCCCCCTAAAAAATCCTCAGTCGTAATACTTTTCTGCATAATTTGTTCAAAAAGGTGTATTTAAATATAATAAAAAGGAATGTCATATAAAGGAGAGGAGACTTGCCAAACTAGATTATTTCTCTTGTGAAAGAAGGGAGAGTTGGGGGTTGTGGTGGGGGTAGTTGTTGCTTAACTTTTATTAGTTCTGTAGTTGAAGACTAGCAATTCAAATAATAATCTCTTATCTCATGACTGAAGTTTTTACGCTAAAGATAATACTGTACTTGGTATCAGTAGGCCATCTCTTTCCAGGTAATTGTTTTCCCAGTCGTGGTTCCTAAGTGAGCTCAGCCATACACATTCTCTCACAGTCCTTCATTTGACTGTTGGTACATACACATTTGTGAAATCCCAGCCACAGCTGTGATGCAGTCTGTGGCCATGAAATAATCCCCCTTGACTGTGCTTTCTCCTCTCTCCCATCCTGCTTCCTTTTCAGAGTTGAAGCCACAATAATTCACTTCACTAACTTATTTTCTATATGAACAAGACTCTAGTTAAGACAATAGAAAGATCAACAAGGTTCTTAAAAAACTGAATTGGTAGCTAAAATAACTTTTACTAGAAACTTTGTAGTTTATGAAAATACTGGTTCTCGTTTCTAGTAACTCATTTCGCCATTTGGGTTAGCAAGTTTAGAATCTACAAATGTAAATCATCTATATATTTTGGTTTTTAATCCCAGTGATGGGACTATGACCCCTCCACTTGAGATGTTTTAGTAGTGCTTATCAAGATAAAGATAGCCAGTGCTTGCTGGCAGTACTCAGTAAGAAAAGTCACCAGACAGCTCTGTGATTTGCAGATTTGATGTTCTTGCCTCCAAGTTGTCTTAAATTGGACCTCATCTTGAACTGAAAATCGTGAAATACAATGATGATACTTTGACATTAATAGTTACTGTTTGTAAAAGTGAAGGGAAATTACAGAAAATTCTCAGTTAATCATGTTTGAGAATGTAAGATGGTATGATTAATAAGCTATTATGACTTAAATGATTTATGCAGTATATACAATTTATATTCCATACAAATTTGTGAAGTAGGCAAAATTTATCTTTGGTCATGGTCTTCCCTACCCTCTATAGTATCCCTTCCTTGCCCTCAGGCACAGAGCCTCTTCTTTCTTCTTCTTCTTTCTTCTCCTCCTCCTCCTTCCTTCTCCTCTTCTTTCTTTCTCCTTCTCCTCCTTCCTTCTCCTTCTCCTCCCTCCTTCTCCTTTTCCTCCCTCCTTTCTTCCTCCTTCTTGTTCTCCTTCTCCCTCCTTCTTCTTTCTTTCTCTTTTTCTTTCTTTCTCTTTCTTCTTTTCTCCTCCTCCTCCTTCTTCTTTTTCTTTTCCTTCTTCTCCCTTCTCCCTTCTTTTCTTCTTCTCTTTTCTTCTCCTCCTCCTCCTCCTTCCTTTTTTCTCCTTCCTTCTTCTTTTCCTCTTCATTTCTTCTTCCTCCTCCTCTTGCTCTTCTTTTTCCTTTCTTTCTGCCCCAATTGCCGTCAGAATCTGCTCTTAGGGAAGTAGCTGATCCCTACAATGGAGTTACCTCATTCATACACTTAACTTATGCAAATTTAACTATTCTTGCTTATTAAAAATTTCTTAAGGTAGGGCAGAAAATATTTTAAATATAAATTGCATAGGCAATTCTGTCCCACATCCCACTCAGAGCATATGCCCCTAAGTGGGTGTGAAATGAGAAACAGAAATGTGTTGTATTCCCTTTGGTCTTGAATTCCTGCTTGCTTCTCTTAGAGTCAACATCTCATTGTGCTGTAGGTAATTCAGGTGCTAAAGACTTGTGTTGTTTTTTGTTTTTTGAGACAAGTCTTGGCTTTGTCTTACCCAGGCTGGAGTGCAGTGGCACGATCTCAGCTCAGCTCACTGCAGCCTCTGACAACCAGGTTCAAGCAATTCTCCTGCCTGAGCCTCCCAAGTAGCTGGGACTATAGGCATGTACCACCACACCTAGCTAATTTTGTATTTTTAGTAGAGACGAGGTTTCACTATGTTGGCCAGGCTGGTCTTGAAATCCTGACCTCAAGTGATCTGCCCACCTTGGTCTCTCAAAGTGCTGGGATTATAGGCGTGAGCCACTGTGCCCAGCTGGCTTGTGCTTTTTTATACAAAGCCCCTAAATACAAGCCAGTGACTCCAACTAGTGCTAGAAAATAAAGTCATCTGTTCTAATGCTGCAGGACAAAATGTCTACTTTGGCCTTAGTTAAGAAGTGGGCTGTCAGTCTCTAGCATGGAACCTTCCAGAAGAGATTTTCAAGAATACTCATATAGACATGATTTTGACCTTAAATGCCTACCTAAGGTTTGAATCCATTATATTGCTTAATGATTTTTCTATTTTTCAGGGTACTTGCATTTTAACAAAAGATAATGGAATTAGTCAGCTTATAGAATTATAGGCATCGTTGAACATCAACTAAATATGTAAATGGAAGATGACTAGGTATCATTTTACTATTTTTATCTCTGAGGAAGAATCTGGGTGACAAGTTTCTATGCCTTTTTTTTTTATAATAGCGCTTCTGAAATTATACCAAGCAAGCAGCCATATACTCTAGTAAATCATAAGGCCAGCCTTGATTTTATTGATGATTGTCCAAGTTTCTAAAAACTATAATATGATAAATATTTCAACATTAAAACCATATATTTTGCCTCTGGTTCTCAATTTCTTCATCTATAGAATTAAAGTATTAATACTTAGATGCTCCAAATCTATTCTAGCTTCACCCAACTTATAATTGTTTTAGCTCTGAAATTCTGTAATTATTACATCACATTGGACTAGATGCTGAATATATTAATAATTGCATTGTGTAATGGAGGGAATTTTAACATCTTGGTGTATTTCAGAATCATCCCCGTGAATTAAGGTTGCTTTAATTATTGCTCTGCAAAGATACTAATTAGTGGAGTGTTATGGTTTCTACGGCCTAATAATGTTTCCTAGGTGAAATAAAAACATACTTCTTTTCTGTGCCCTAAATTCCAATTTAAAAGGATAAGAGAAAAAACAAAATTTTTATAACCTTAATGGACATTTTAGCTAAGATTTTGATTTGAAAAGTACATTTTAATAGAAAATAGTAGTGCAATATTGTTGCATCACAGAGTCTTAAATAGCGTGGTTCATAAGTGAGGTAACTTGTTTTTCTGGACTTATGGCCCATTGGGGAGGGAAAGATTGTCTTTACTACTTAGAAAGTTTTCATGCCTTTTTATGCTGTATCAGGAATATAACAGCTATATTTTGGCAGCACATTATGGGCGGGGGCCCTGTAGAAAAAGACAAGGGACCTTGATCGGTAAGTTTCCTAACTGAGGTGCTGAACCAAAGCCAAAGAAAGTTTTTAAACATCTGTAAACCTTTTTGTTAGTACTGATGGGGCAGTATGCCTATTTGTCTCTCTCAGATTTACGACTGTTTTATTATTTTACTGTAATTATTTTAAGAGCATTTTTATTAGGCTAGAAAGAGAGCTGTAAGTGAACATATGATACTCTACTAATGGGGAACAGGTGAGAATAATAGCGCCACTGGAAACAAGAAAGCTAAAATTGTGGTAGCACTTCCTCCAGGTATTTAGCTTAGGCTTAAGCAGAGTTGTCTGAAAGTTAACAGGAAAAGAAACTACTTGTGAAGTGTTAAAAACCACAACCTAAAAAAAATTTTTTTTATCATATCATATTATAGTGTATTAAGAACTACTTGTCACAGTTAAGCTGGTTTAGTAGTATTTGATAAATACACTTTCCCTCAAACCTCAGATAAAAACAAACAAAAAACACTAGATCCCAGCATCAGAAACTGGTTTGTTTCTTTTTCATTCTCCTGGAGCCAAGTGTGTAACAATATTAGTGCCATGCCATCTTTTATTAGGCAAAGAATGATGGTTAAGCTTTCCATTCCTCACAAAAGGACTACAGTCTAAAGTTAAAATTCATATTAATTATTTGAAACTCTGAACTTACTTTTTCACTCAGACAAATCGTAAAGCCAACCCACAAAAGCTGATTTTAACTGCATAGGTTTGCTGAACTATAAAGCTGGAAGCAGTAATGACATTTAGATTCTATTTTAGCAATGTTTCTATGAAAAAAACTAAATTTTAACTGAGAATTCCAACAACACTCCCTCCCTCCCCATTCTGATGACTCCTCTCTTTCCTAAGTGTACCTTGGTAGGAAAAGGTCCTAATAAGAGGCTAGAAGAGGGTGGAAATTCTGAATGGGGCCTAGAATTGGAAAAGAATGGTGGGGAGTCTTGAGGGTTTCTGAAAGTCTTTGATTTTAATAATACAAAGGGCAGATACAATAAGGAGGGCAATTACTATGCTCTGGGAGTTACAGAAGTTTAGTAATGAGCTTGTCCCTATTAATCATTAATATGTGATAGTGGTGCAGTGGTCACGTCTGTAATCCCAGCACTTCAGGAGGCTGAGGCAGGAGGATCACTTGAGGCCAGGAGTTTGAGACCAGCCTAAGTAACATAGCAAGACTCCATCTCTACAAAAATAAAAATAGAAATAAATTAGCTGGGTGTGGTGGCATGCACCTGTAGTCCCAGCTACTGGGGAGGCTAAGGTGGGAGGATCACTTAAGCCCAGGAATTTGAGGCAGCAGTGCATTATGACTGAGCCTGGGCAACAGAGTGAGACCCCTTCTCAAAAAAAGTGACAGAGGTTCTAAGGCTACATGAAGCCCAGTAAGAGTCAGTGACTGTGTTCTTTTCCTTTTCCTTTTTTTTTTTCCCTCTGCCGGGTAGTCACATCTTTGCCTTTGTCCCCAAGAGTCCTGAACACCTTATTTCCTATATTTCCAGTACTAAGGTTCTTCCTACCTACTCCATATGTCAGCTTTCTCCCGACCTTTTATACTCAGTCTTTTACTTCAATCCTATAAGAAAATTTGGGACCACAGAGGTGTAGTGTACAAATTAACAGAGGAAAATTTAATGTACATTTCTTAAAATACCTGACTTAGCTCTCTGAAGTTAGGGGTCTGTTTTATTCAGCATCTAACACACACTAGATGCTCAGCAGGCATTTGTTGAGTAATGAACAAATGAATGCTGTTTTGGGGTCAGTTCTTTTTTGGAGTTGAACTTCTAGGATGAAAAGCAAAATGGACCCTAGAGTGGTTGGGGGTAAAAGACAGGTTAGGAATATGATGTGAACTATAGCAGTGGTGGGGCAGCTGAATGAATCCTCTTGCCCCTTTTCTCTCCCTTAACATTATCTCTTCTTTCTCACCATAAGTTGAGGAAAAAACCTATTAAGAAAATAAGTGAAATTGAAATTCAGATTTCACTTTCTCTGTATTATTTAGGATGAGATTAGGCTTCCAGTGACAGAAACCCTGATATAAAAGTTCTTAAACAGGAAAGTTTATTTTTCTTCCTTGTAAATAAAGGCAATGCAGGACTGGTTTAGCAGCTCCATATAATCATCAGGAACTCAAATCCCTTCTCTGTTGTTCCAACAGCATCAAGATGTGGCTTCTGTCTCTAAGACAGCTCCAGCTCTGGCCATCACATCCACATTTCAGACAGACGAAGAATTTACTGGGAGAATAAGCATATGCTTTCTCACTTTAGTGACATTCACTATGCACACTCCCATTCCCTTTTGTATCTCACTGGCCAGAGCTTAGTAACTTGGTCACACCCAGCTTCAAGGAAAGCTGGATAATATGGTCTTCATTCTCAGTGGCAATGTGCCCAGCTAAAGATTTGAGCTTGTATTAACCACAGAAGAAGGAGAGAATAGATGCTAGGGAAACTACACATTTCTACGATGCTGATCAGTAAATTTTCTTGAAAATATATCAATAATGAAAGATACTCAAAGAATTGATAAATAAGAGATAATATTCAATATTGTATTTAAAATATAGATTCTATAATATGTAAAATCAGTGAGGGTAGATTGTACTTAACACTAAATTATTTACAGATACTTAGTAAATGTTGTAATTGAGAGAAGTAATTATACCATTACAAATACCAAATTTTAAAAAATACATCAATACCTAATAATTTTTATCTCAAATACATATTATTCAAGTCCAAAACACAAAGAGGAGGAGTAAAGTCATGGGTGTTTAAAAAATGCTGTGCTAAGTAATTAATTTATATTCCAAGTAAGACAGGACAGTTGGTTCAATGTACTGTAGCTCTTACTAGGTAGGTCCCACAACTAATATTTACTGACCACTTAGTATTAACCACTCACTGTGCATGATTTCATGTAATCCTGTGGCTCTCTAAGACTGCTATGTTATCATGTCCATTGTGTGGGTGAGGACATTGAGGCTAAGAGAGATTTAATTTATCCTTGTAACCCAGGTTGTTAGACTCTAATGCTGATGCTTTGAGCCTTGCCTCCGCTTCTTTACGAATGCTTAAGTCCATCTGATTGTCATCTTATCACTAACAGAAACATGGCTGGAATCAATTATGAGAGGCACTGTTAACTAAAAGCTTGTTCTTAATTTATTATAAATATTTCTTCTGTCCAGATGGCAACCTGAATCCAGCATTTTGGCACTGTCATACAGTAACTTGCCTGTTTCTAGCAGTTTTCATATTATCAAATTTTGCTCTTAGAACTGTCCTATGAATTATGGCCCCTCCCATTTTACAAATGAAAATCTAAGGCATGAGGAGATAAAATAATGTGCTGGGGTTGCAATCTAGATCTCATTTTTACAAAGTTCAGATTCATTCTAATTAATTGTGCTACCTTAAGCTCTGAAGATAATTGCAGAGGGACATTATGGAATAAAAACAGCTGGAGGCATCCTGTCCAGAAGTGAACAGGTTATAAATGAAAATAACCTTATCATCCTATTGATAAGCATCTCCATCAAAACCACCTCTGACAATGCCACCTTTGCTTATATTTGTTTGGGTATAAAGTTAGAAAGAAGCAAGAGGCTTCTTGGGAAATAAATTTTTTTATTCTAATTAATAATCAGTTTTTAACAGTCTGCCTTCTTACATTTACTTAAATTTACTTCATTTCATTTCCACTGGCATCACTGGTTTATACCTTTGTTACTTCTTAACCAGACCACTGCACTCTCTTTAGCTTAAAGTGTGTCTTTAGCTTCTCCCTACAACTCAGACTATCCTAGAAGTTTCTCTTAATCTTCTAAAATCACACCTCAACACCTCATCTCCCTGCTTGCAACATTTTTAATAATCCCTTGACTTTTTCCCCTCCTCTGAATCCATAGCATTGTCTGTACCTTTAACATAATTCTACCTCATGGGTTTTCTTAAATTGGATTATAAGGTTCCTTAGGGCTGGAATTATGATTCATCTTTGTATACAATGAAATACCTGTGTGGGTTCTTACAAGGCACTGTGCTCTCTGTTGTTAAATGACAGTTGTTGAATTCTTCCCTTTTAGCAGAAGAAAAAATTGTTTTTTAAAAAACTACAGCCTATTGTCCTCAAGCAATGGCTATAAAAGGTATATCTTCCTATCTTAGCCCTGACCCTGATCGAGCCCTCCCCTTCATTAAGGGGCTTGGGTAGACAAAAGAAAAGAAGGCTTGGAATATCTCCTTCACTGAGACAAGAGGCCATCTTCCAATTTATATTCTTCCATATTTTAGCATGGTTATATATGTATCTGTCTTCTTACCTTTTCTCTTCCCCCCCACTCCCCCCACGAGATGAAGTCTTGCTCTGTCACCCAGGCTAGAGTGCAATGGCCCAATCTCGGCTCATTGCAACCTCCGCCTCCTGGGTTCAAGCGATTCTCCTGCCTCAGCCTCCCCAATAGCTGGGATTACAGGTGTGCACCATCACACCTGGCTAATTTTTTGTATTTTTAGTAGAGACAGGGTTTCACTATGTTGGCCAGGCTGGTCTTGAATTCCTGACCTTGTGATTTGCCCGCCTCGGCCTCCCAAAGTGCTGGGATTACAGGCGTGAGCCACTGCGCCCAGCCTTACCTTTTCATGTACAGGGGGAGCACGCCTCATCTGAAATGCTCCAAACTCTGAGACTTTTTTGAGGCAGAGTTTCGCTCTTGTTGCCCAGGCTGGAGTGCAATGGCATTATCTCAGCTCACCGCAACCTCCGCCTTCCAGGTTCAAGTGATTTTCCTGCCTCAACCTCCCGAATAGCTGGGATTACAGGCATGAACCACCACGCCTGGCTAATTTTTTTGTATTTTTAGTAGAGGTGGGGTTTCTCCATGTTGGTCAGGCTGGTCTCAAACTCTCGACCTCAGGTGATCCGCGGAAAATTCCACATATAAGTACTTAACACGAAATTTTATTTATGCCAAAATTATTTACAATATTAAATTACCTTCAAGATATGTGTATAAGGTGTATATGAAACAAGTGAATTTCATGTTTAGACTTGGGTTCCATCCCCAAGATATTTCATTATATATATGCAAATATTTCAAAATCTGAAATACTTCTGGTCCCAAGCATTTGGTATAGGGGATACTCAGCCTGTAATCTTAGGGGAAGTTAATCCCTAAATCTGTTTCCTGACTATATACTTCTTTATACTTCCTCTAAATCACCCATTATGTACCAAGGGATTTTAGTGTTGGAAAAAGATGGGCCATTTCCTACCCTGGGAGCTTTCAGCCTAATAAGGGAGACTGGCTAGCTCACTGGAAATTATAGTGCTTAGAGATAAGTGCTGCCACAGAGGAAATTTTCAAAGGAGGACATCTAACTCAGACCAGGAGGGGTCAGGGAAGGGTTCTCCAACGCAGTGACTTCTAACTTTAGGCTGAAGATGAGGGGTGGGCCATGATTAGAGGGGAAAGACTTGAACTCAGAGGGAGGAGCACATACACAAGTCTAGGAATGATTCCAGCAGGTGGACTGTGAAGTTTGGTGGTGGTGTGAGGCTGGAGAGGAGGTGGAATGGTAGCACTACCTCTTCCACTGAAGTGCACATATTTAATTTGCCTTGAGCTTCTCATGCACAGTCACTGCTTTCACTCCTTTGTACCACTGCTGAGAATCTTTTAGGGCTCCTTTATTACCCCCTGCAGTATCTAATCACTTTTACTGACTTTATAGACTACCTAAAACTGACCGTTTCCCACTACTAACTCACTCATCTCCTGCCAGAGCCAGGGAAATCTCTTAACTGTCTCTTGAGTTCATCCAGTTTATTCTCTCTTCTATGTCATTCCCCTTTACCCATCTTTTAAGCCTTTACTCACTCCCTACTTCTGGATATTTGCAGTTTGTGGTGTATAATTTAATACAAAATTACACGTTGCCTAGAATTGTTCTCTAATTGTTTCTGAGTATTTTATGATCAACTGGATTGTAAGCCCCCTAAGAGCTGGCTCTGAAGCTGCATTTTAAACAGTTGAGTAGTGGAAAGGAAAGGGCACTGGACCTGAAGTCAGAGCAGACCTGCATTTGACTTGTAGCTCTGCCACTTGTCAGTTGTATGACATTTCTTCATGGGTAATATAGGAATAATGAGATACATCTTACAAGGTTGTTGTAAGAAGTTGTACAAGTCACTCTATGGGAAATTAATTTGTAGACCATAAAATCCTATATACATTTTACATTTTATTCTGTAGTCCCTAGGTAGAACCATAATCATTTCTTAATGTGAGATTTTTATGGTTCCTTTCCAGACCTTAGAATCTTGAAGATTCCAGACTTATTTTTTTCCTTTGTGACATATTTTTCTCTAAGCCACATCCCAGCTATTTTTATTCTTCCTCTTTTTCACCTATTCCCACCCCATCCTTAAACTTATGGATAAAGTAACTTTAGGCAGCTAAGAATAGAATATTTTGAGACATGAGAAGTTCAGGTGCCTCATCTATTGATACATTGGATAAATCTTCTACTGTCTTTTCCCCTTGGTATACTCTGCATGCATAGGAACAAACTTACTACTAGCAATCTACACCTTTACATAAATGCTCTGGACATAGAGCCTTGATCATGCCTTTGTGGGCATTCACAGTCCTAAGAAATTTATTTGATATTCTTTTCTAGATCCATTCTTTTTATTCTTGATTGTCATATCTCTCCTTAGACCAGATTCTTAGATCGGGGGGTCCTAGCAATGGCTTTCTTGTTATGTACTAAAGTGCTGATTCTGAGGGTTCAGAGCTAGGGATCTTGCTTATGCTAACACAGGACTAGACAGTGGAGAATCAGAGGAAGCAGACACGTGTCTAAGACCCAGGTGTCTCGAAAAGCTATGGCCAAGTTAAAAGGCTATTTTATTTTTACCTGCCACTTATATTGGGTGCAGAGATACTTAACATTTTGAGGGTTGGGTACCGTAATATCTCAGACCTTATGTTATCTGTCATGTTAATAATGTCTAAGAACCTTACTGAGGAGTTCTAAGAGCTTGAAGAAGCTCAGCAAAATATAACGTAATTAGATACAAACTTACATAGAAAAATAACTTGAACATTTCCTTCCTCACTAGGAAAAACAGCAGCTGGGTGTGATGGCTTACACCTATAATCCCAGCACTTTGGGAGGCCAAAGTGGGAAGATCATTTGAGGCAAGGAGATAAAGACCAGCTTGAGCGACATGGCAAGACTCTGTCTCTACAAAAATAAAAAAATAGCTGGGTGTGGTGGCATGCACCTGTTAAACCCTACTTGGGAGGCTAAGACAGGAGGATCGCTTGAGCCCCAAGCTCAAGACTGCAGTGAGATATGATTGTGCCACTGCACTCCAGCCTGGGTGACAGAGCAAGAACCCATCTTAAAAGAGAAACAGAATAGACAAATCTGCTTGTTATTGGAGGAAAGGAGTGGCTTGAGGAGGGAGAGGTTGTAGGAAGTGGCAACATTTAAAATTCAGTATTCACAGCATCTTAAGCAATAATTTACACTCAAGAAAAAGATTTAATAAAGCAAAATCATTCCTGCTTCTCTTAAGAATTGCTCTGAATAGTACAATTGCCATAAATCAAGTGCATTTAGTCTGGAGACCAACTTTTTGGTTCAATTACTGTGTTTTAACCCGTGATTTCTATTGTTCCTAATAGTATCCTTAGTCATCAGTGGCTAGGAAGAGTCTTTCTGGGACACAGAGCTCTATTATGCTTAGAAATTGTAGGTCTTTGAAATTCTTTGTAAAATTTAGGATCATTCCTCCTCTTTTAGTCTTCCATTTACTGCTTACATTATTGCAAATCTTCCACAGTAAATAATTTCCTTAAGAAGAGAAGGTAGAAAAGTATCCTAAAACCATCTTTATACACTAAATCTGTTTCAGAGTAGGCATGAAGCTATAAGAATTTTATACTTATGAAGTGAACAATTTAGACTAAATCTCTATGAGACAGTTAATATACATAAAGGTAAACTTCAGCCCCAATTCAGAGATACCCGCTCTCATGTCACCATATGCACCATGCGCAATCCTGTACCATTTTTTCATTTCTTCAGCTGCAGATTTATTGGAAAGTTTGGGGGTTGTTCTTTTCTGATACTAGGAGGCTCTCTGAAATGGTCTCTTTTTCCAGTGCACTGCTTTCGTGACCCAGTCTTTGTTCTGTGCCAGTTCTGAGATCGGGGCAATTATTTTTAAGTAGTAGATTCTCTTTGCTTCTATGGTATGTGTTGCCCAGTCTTCCATGTGGCATCAACTAATACTATTTTTAAGAGATGCTTTTTTATGACTCAAGGGTACTAAAAGTAGAACCATCTTGTTTAACCCTGTCTTACCCCCTAGTATTGCCCGGAAGAAAGGCACTGGTCTCTGGAAGAAAGACCACTTTACTTTTTTGCTGCATGGAGTTAATATAGTAGAAACTCATCAGACAGTACTTAATTTAACATACATACATGCAAATGTACCAGAACACTTTAAGGTCAAATTTGGTCCCTGTGATAACAACAACAACAAATTAGCCCCATTCGAGATAAACTTCTCATTCCCATTCTTCCCCTACTCCAAAAAGTTATCTGTACTGTAGAATGTTTAATAATTATTGTGGGAAGATAGTCAGATACAACAGATATATTTAAAAAGTGAATGCCCTTCACCCATAATCCCATTCCCTGAAGAGAAACTTGAGAAGATTTATTTTCAAATATCATAAAATTTATATGATCTATTAAAACCTAAAGCTATAAAACTTTCAGAAGAAAACAGATGGGGAAAAAAAGTTTACAACCTGGGGGTAGGCAAAGGTTTCTTATCTAGAATACAAGCATGAGACATTAAAGAAAATATTGACAAATTGGATCATATCAAAATTAAAACATGATTTTCAAAAGACATCATTAGGAAAATGAAAAGGCAAGCCACAGACTGAAATAAAATTTATAACACATATATCAAAGTACTTGTATTCAAAATAATATAAAGAACACAGCACAAGAAAATAACCAACCCAATAAAAAATGGACAAAAGGTTTGAACTGATACTTCACAAATATATATATATGTATTTAAATGACCAATAAGCACATTAAAACATGTTCAGTATCAAAAGTTATCAAGGAAATGCAAATTAAAATCACAATGAGATATTGCTACATTAGGCATCTTGGGCCAGATAATGCTTTGTTGTGGGACGGGGAGCTGTCCTGTGCATTGCAGGATAGTTAGGAGCCTCCCTGGTCTCTCCCTGCTACATACCAGTAACAACCTGCTCCTCACCAGTTGTGAAAATTGAAAATATACGCAGACATTATCAAATGTCCCATGGGAGAAAAAAATCACTTGTTAAGAACAACTGCACTACACCCATTAGATTGACTAAAATGTTTTAAATTGACAATGCTGAGCATTGGTGAAGATGTCTCTTTTTTTTTTTTTTTTTTTTTTTTTTGAGACAGAGTCTCCCTCTGTCGCCCAGGCTGGAGTGCAGTGGCGCGATCTCAGCTCACTGCAGCCTCCACCTCCCTGGTTCAAGCAATTCTCCTGCCTCAGCCTCCTAAGTAGCTGGGATTACAGGCACATGCCACCAAGTCTGGCTAAATTTTTTTTATATTTTTAGTAGAGACGGGGTTTCACCATGTTGGCCAGACTGGTCTCGAACTCCTGACCTCAGGCAATCTGCCCACCTCGGCCACCCAAAGTGCTGGGATTACAGGCGTGAGCCACCACCCCCAGCCAAGATGTATTTTATTGTTTTTTAGACAGAATCTTTCTCTGTCACTGAGGCTGGAATGCAGTGATGCAATCTCAGCCCACTGCAACCTACACCTCCCAGATTCAAGCGATTCTCGTGCCTCAGCCTCCTGAGTAGTTGGGATTATAGGTATGTGGTGCCATGTCCAGCTAATTTTAGTATTTTTAGTAGAGACAGGGTTTCACTGTGTTGGCCAGGCTGGTCTTGACCTCCAGGCCTCAAGTGATCCATCCTGGGCTCCTGAAGTGCTGGGATTACAGGTGTGAGCCACCAGGCCTGGCAGAAGATGTCTTATACACTGATGGGTGATAATATAAAATGGTACAACTACTTTGGAAAACAGTTTGGCAGTTACTTAAGAAGTTAAACCTGGCCGGGCGCAGTGGCTCACGCCTGCAATCCCAGCACTTTGGGAGGCTGAGGCGGGCGGATCATGAGGTCAAGAGATCG
This sequence comes from Homo sapiens, assembly GCF_000001405.40. Lineage (NCBI taxonomy): Eukaryota > Metazoa > Chordata > Mammalia > Primates > Hominidae > Homo > Homo sapiens. The sequence goes on along the minus strand of NC_000006.12, from coordinate 109,026,723 downwards.
AGACCATCCTGGCCAACATGGTGAAACCCCGTCGCTACTAAAAATACAAAAATTAGTTGGGCATGGTGGCGCACGCCTGTAGTCCTAGCTACTCGGGAGGCTGAGGCAGGAGAATCGCTTGAACCGAAACTGGGAGGCGGAGAAGGTTGCAGTGAGCCGAGATTGCGCCACTGCACTCCAGCCTGGCGACAGAGCGAGACTCCATCTCAAAAAAAAAAGTTAAACCTACACCTATTATATGATTTAGCCATTCCACTCCAAGCCAAGGGAAATTAAAGCATATGTTCACACAAAGCTATTCAGAATTCGTACAGAATGTACTATTCTGGGTAGGTGAGAATTTTACCCATAAAATGAAAATCTTAAATACAAAGAACTTTTTCTTTGTTGACTGTTCTTTGGTCTTTTTCACACTTCCTTCTGAGATCATTTTGCTTCTTCCTGAACTGACACTCCTTCAGTTGAGGATCTGTTGGTGGTAGATTCTTAGTTTTTGTCTCTTAAAATGTGTTTCTTTCACTTTATGAAAGATAGTTTCATGTGTTAAATACAGTTCAACAATGATATTTTCTCTCAATATTTTGATCCTCTGGCTTCCATTCTTTAAAATTAGGCTGTCAGCTTAGTTTTCCCTTTGTAGGTAATCTGACTTTTCCCTTTCATGGACTTTAAGATCTCTTTCCTTGAAATTTTTCAGTTTTACTGTAGGCCAAGGTATAATTTTTTTAAGTTATTCTGCATGAGATTCATTGTGCTTCCTGAAAAAAAAAAAGAGTATTGGTGTCTTTAATCTGTTCTGGATAATCCTTAACCATCGTGTCTTAGAATATTACCTTTGTCCTATTCTTTCTGTTTTCTCCTTCCAATTATATATGTATTAGACCTTCTATTTCATCTTAACATGTCTTTTATTTTCTCTCTCATAAATTTCATTTCTTTGCTGTATGTGCTATATTCTGGACTCTTCAGATTTACTTTCTAGTTTACTAATAATTTTCAGCTATACTGAGTATGCTGTTTATTGAATTTTAAGTTTTAATTATTATAAAAACTATTTCATTCATTTTCAAATCTGTCTAGTTATTTTTTGATAGTTTCCTGTTTCTCACCCATACTTTCTATTTCCTTTAAAGTTTTAAAAAGCATATTGAACTGGCCTTCTGTATCTAGTATCCAAAGTCTTTGCAGATGATTTCTGGCAGTCAGACTGCATCTGACTTTGCAGTCTTAGGTGATTATTGTTTCCTGTAGTCCTCACTAATGGCATCTTTTTGCATAGTACTTTTTATTATTGTAAGCTTATATTCATTGGAATTGTATCTCCTTCAGAGAAAATCTCTATTTATTTCTAACTGGAACCTGGGGGACATAACCAGCCCACTTTATACTAAATATTTACCTTGCTTTTAAGAGCAGGTAGGTAATAAGGGAATTCATCCCCCACCTCCTTATGTGTGATCCACCTTGTGTTTATGAATATTCAGGGGAGATTTTACCCCTTCCACCAAGAATAAACCTTAAAACAGGCAAATCTTCTGTCTTCTTTTGTAAATGGGGTGTTTTTCCTTGTTCATGCTTTGAGCGTTTAGCCCCTTGGGTTTTGGCTTTATGATGGGGTCTCTGATCTACCTCCCAATTTCCCAAGTCCTAGGATTTGCCTTCTGTTTTCTGTGCTGCTGCTCTAGGTCCCTGGGGATCCACAGCTGCCAGCCTTAGTGCTCACTGTCTCCCTAGACTCCTCCTGTCGGTGGGTTTTGGTTTCTGAGGATTTCTGTTACTTTGCCAGTTCGGCCATTTTAAACAATATTTCTTACACACAGGTCTCCAATTTGTGATAGTTCCACTTAACAATTGTTTGACTTTACTAAGGTGTGTAAGCAACACACATTCAGTAGAAAAATGCTGTGGAAAGTAGTACGATACTCACAATGCTGGGCAGTGGCAGCAAGTGACAGTTCTCAGCCACATAATCACAAAGACAGACAACCAATACTCTACCATGTTGCCAGATGATTTTGCCCAACTGTAGGCTAATGTCAGCATTCTGAGCACATTTATGGTAGTCTAGGCTAGACTATAATGTAGAAGATTTGGTGTATTAAATGCATTTTTTACTTATGATATTTTCAACTTATTGAGTCATAACCCCATTGTAAGTTGAGAAGCATCTGTAGAAATATTTTTAGGTATTTTGTCCAACATGAGTAAGAAGCACTAATATCGAGGTCAGTTTTTAACCTAATCTGGGAGAGGGCGGTGCTGTCAGGGCTTTTTAAGGCTTATAGGACCATTACCCTTATAGAAAATGGCTTCCTGCTACTGTGCTATCCAAGTTCTTATTTCTGCTTTATAGAATTTTTCTGATTCTTCCTTTGTGATTAAGTGCTTCACTATTCCTTTTTTCTCTGCTATCAGTTTAATGGTAGTCCCTATGCCCTAATAAGTTACTATGGACTTAGAAACTAGATAAAGAAGCTTGTTATAATTTTGTACCAAGTAAAAGTAAATTGTCTCTAAGAGAGGCAGGTGAAGGGTTTTCCACTGAATACAGTACATATGCTATGGTATGTAAATTTTGTGACATCTATTTTACATCTTTTTTTTAATTTGTTCTAGATTCATGAGATTGTTTTTTAAAAAGTCAATTGAGATATAATGAAATGTTGCTATATCAATAGTCAACATCTATTTTGGCAAAAATTACTGATTTTCAAATGTGTGGGAAAACATTTTAAGGGTGTGTGTGTGTGATCATTGAATTTCATTCTACAGAAAAAAAAATCACTCATTCTTTGAGTAGGCAGTAACATATTTAGCCACTAAGAACAATCTACAATATTCTCTTATGCTTTAAATATATGAAAGTGACTTTAATAATGATTATTTGACAATGTAAGTCTTCATTTATGTTTTTATATTTTTCCTTTTACATAAAATGTTACATTTTGTTTATGCCAAATGGTAATTTTACTCATTTTATTTTGTTAGATCCAAACCTGTTGCTTTCTCTTTAGTATTCTATGTGCAAAGCCTGTAACATAATGAAAATGCAGTTTAAGTACCTATTTGTATGTGATGTGCCAGTAGTTGTAATTTCAAAGTAAGATAAACATATGTCCCCAAACATACTTCCCCAAATCCTTGCACCTGGGACAGAATGTACTCTTAACATAGACCAAAAGGGACTCATAAATACTCTGTGGTTGTGCCTTAAAACTGAACACAACATAGGCACATCCACTAACATTATTTATAAAAGTATCAAAAAAACATAGTGGATCATATTTTGGAGGTTAACAGTCACTGTTAGCATGGTAAACTGTCAAGTGGTAGAAGATTTTCCTTATTCAGCATGATAACATTTACAAACTTTTGTTCAGAAGATGAAATTTGAGAAGACTTTTGAAGGAAGTTATGATAATGTGTCCTTAATGAAACTCTGAGAGAAGAATGTTTTCAAGTGTCAGGGAGAAATGTATAAAGTTTCAAAGGGGAACCATAAGTAGATAAATGGAATCAAGAAAGTTGGGATAGGATTAACATGTATGAGGAGGGCAGTAATTAGGGAGAAGATATATTGAGAGATGTTATAGAACATTTTTATTTTGTCTCAATGGGGAACCAGTTCAGATTTGCTGGAGAGGGATACTGTTCTACTGATTTGGGTGGTCACAGAGGGTGGAGTGAGCAGTCATACAGAGCAGATTGCAGGGAACATAGTGCAGGGGAAGACAGGAGAAGATGGTAGGAGTTAGGGTCCCTTGGCCTCTTTCTGATGGGCACACAATCACTGGAATATTAACATTAACAAAACTAAAACATTATCAGGCAGCATTATGGTATAGTAGAAAGAATATGCTTGAGTTCTAACCTTTACTCAGGCCCCTTGATGTGTGGCCTTGGGTTAAATACTTAACCTCTCTGAGTTTCCCATTTCTAAAATGAAGATAGCATGTACCTAAGGTGTTATGATAGTTAAATGAGTTAAAATACATAAAATGCTTTAGAACGGCCAGGCATGGTGTTTCATGTCTGTAATCCCAGCACTTTGGGAGGCCGAGGCGGACAGATCACGAGGTCAGGAGATCGAGACCATCCTGGCTATGGTGAAACCCTGTCTCTACTTAAAAAATAAATAATACAAAAAATTAGCCGGGCGTGGTGGTGGGCACCTGTAGGAGGCTGAGGCAGGAGAATGGCATGAACCCGGGAGGTGGAGCTTGCAATGAGCCGAGATCGCGCCACTGCACTCCAGCCTGGGCAACAGAATGAGATTCCATCTCAAAAAAAAAAAAAAAAAAAAAAAAAAAAAGCTTTAGAACAATGCCTGATGCATACATATGTTTTAGATATTCTATTAATATCAAATCGAAACTAGTATAGCATTGCCCTGCTTCTGGAATCATATCTTAGATTAAAAATCTGAGTTACTAGTTTAAAAGCTGTCCATCAATTGGCATTCATTTACCTAACTGCTACAATAACAATTAGCTTTTCAGCATTACATGCCTTTGTAGCTTAAGGCATTCTTCATTCCTCAGTCCAGGTGCCCCGTTAGGAGTAAAAGGACTTCAAATGGGTGCATCTCTATAGGAAATTAAAAGAAGAAAGGAGAAAGGAAGAAGATATGGATGTTGTTCTCAAAAAATATATACTGGGAAGGAAAAAAAAAAATGCCTGGCACATAGTAGGTGCTTAATTAACACTGGTTGACTGAATGATGAATAAATAAGACTAGTATATCCACATATATAAATTTTTATAAATTTAACCAATCCTTTAGATATAGTATATGTGTATTAATGAAACTTTCAGTAATATTTGGATGGATACTGTTCTGAATTATTAGGGTTTAAAAGTCCCCCCAAAAACATGAGATTGATACAGAATTGATGTTTCTTCCCCAAATGATATATTAAACTACCTTTTTTTCTGATTCAACATAGCTTATTTATCTGTGACAACTGAAGATAAAGGAGAAGGATGAGGCCAGGTGTGGTGGCTCATGCCTATAATCCCAGTAGGAGGCCAAGGCGGGCGGATCACTTGAGGTCAGGAGTTCGAGACCAGCCTGGCCAACATAGTGAAACCCCGTCTCCACTAAAAATACAAAAAAAAATTAGCCAGGCTTGGTGGCAGGCATCCGTAGTCCCAGCTAATTGCGAGGCTGAGGCACGAGAATTGCTTGAACCCGGGAGGCAGAGGTTGCAGTGAACTGAGATTGTGCCATTGCACTCCAGTCTGGGAGTGCAAAAAAAAAAAGAAGGATGAGGCAAGATATGACTGATAAATAAAACCTAGAGCTAGTCTCCAAACTTTTCCCCTACTCTAGGGTTGTATGGAAAACAATGAAATATTGGGGGAAATACACATCTATACACTTATTTTACAGCATCCTACAATGTTATTAGCAAACCTCCTTTGTTTTAAAGTACATGGTGGGCTCGGCAAGGTGGCTCACACCTGTAATCCCAACACTTTTGGAGGCTGAGGCGGGAGTTCACTTGAGTCCATGTAGCCTGGGCAACATAACAAGACCCCATCTGTACAAAAATGTCAAAATATTAAGACAGTCATGGTGGCATGCCTGTAGTCCTACCTACTCAGGAGGCTGAGGTGGGAGAACCACTTGAGCCCAAGAGTTCGAGGCTGCTGTGAGCCATGATCACCCCATTACTGCCTGGGTAACAGAGCAAAATCCTATCTCTAAAAAAGAAAATAAAGTGTCTCCTAAAATGGTGGGTGAAGGAGATTATTAATGATAATGACAAAGCAAACTGTTCTACTTTAATTCCTTTTTTAGGGAACTACAACCATCAAATGGTTTAAGTAGTATTTGAAGAGAAAAGAAGTGTTGTTCATGATGATAGTCACAGAAAATATTGGAAACTGCTTTAGAATATAAATTTGGCAAACTGAAGCAAAATGAAGAAAACTGTTAACTATTGTTTCACAGTGTTTTTGTGTCTATATTGCAGGTAATGCTCTGTCAGTTTGAGCAAATCTGAGGTCTGTGCTAAATATAACAGTGATGAAATCTGTAACTCTTGAAAATCCCTTCTAAATCCTCTGAAAACCTTCTTCTCTCCAAGGAGAAGGATATGTATTGAGTGATAGAAATAAAGAGGAAAAAATTGTATAGAATTGCACTGTGCAATTTGTTCAGTTTGCTTGATCCTGCATTTGTTTTGAAAGTTGTATTTGTGGTATGGTTGTTTTTACTAGTATTTTATATTTTTGGATTTGGCCTGTAGCATTTCACTGGATATTTCTACCTTTATTTTCTACCCACAGCAAGAAAGAATATTTCCCACAAAATTTTTTTTAACTAAAAATACACTATTATTTTAATGGTAACTTGATGTATACAGTATCTGGCATAATAAAGATGAAACAAATAATCACTACAATACTAAAATCTAATCTATTTTGCCAAGAGTTGGTGAGAAGATTTTATCAGTTACTTTTAACCTAGGACAATATATCCTGTTTTATAATTTGTTGTTTTCTCTTGTGACAATACATAAAAAAAAGAAAAAAAGAAGAAGCTTAGGCCTCACCGGTATCTGGAGCAGTTGAGTCCTTACCTGTTTGTCTGCTTTGTGATTGGCTAAAAGCTGTTGCTAAGTTTGTGTTTTTGTTCTTAGGGAAAGTTAAAAGTTGAGTGTGACCTATTTGAACTGCATCCTGCTGCTTTTGACTCTGCTTTGCTCTTTCACCTGATCCACATACTTTTTTCTGGCATCTTTTGAAGTTTAGATTTTTTAAAACCCACTTATGTATAAATTTAGTGTGCAATATTTGAAGATTGTGACATTTTAATGCGTATTTATGATCTACAAACTAAAGTACTGTAGTTTAATTTTTAAAATCTAATTGAATACTTGAAAGTTGAATTTATTGACATAAAGCAAGTTCTAATTGTAGAAAGCAAATGCATTATTTTAAAACCTGCCTGTTATACTAAAAATTATCTGGATATCAATAATATCTTTGTTAATAAGAACAAATCCAAACTACTTAATTTTTTTCAATTGAAATGTAATATGAAAATAGTTATTAGGTCAAATTTTTATGATTTAGGATAAAGACTATTCTTGCTCATACTGGCATGTGTGTCACTAAAGGATAAGAGTGACTTTATTTATGTTTTCTTGAAGAGGGCTGAAAGGACTGATAATGCTTTAGGTTATAGACTAGACCCAGGACAGGCTAAATGAAATTTACATTGTGAAGGTGAGTTTGGTCTATAATTCAGTAGAGAAACATGAACTGTTGTAGTTCCAACAGCTTTTTCTCTTTAAGGCTCTATTTGGCATTAATGAGAATAAGACTTTGAACTAGATTCCCCCAGCACTCTGCTGGAACCAGTTGAAATTATTGGAGCATTCTCTGAACCTTAAAGCCTGACCCAAGTCTTGGGTGAGTGATGTAGAGAGCCACAGACTAGCTTGGATCCTCCAAACCTAGTGTGAGTTCCAGGATACAGATCATGAGGGGTGTGTGTCTGTGTGTGTGTTTGTGTGTGTGTGTAAAAAATGTTTTAATTTCTTTGTCAGCTTAGTCTTTAATAAAACAATATTACTAGAATTCTGATGTATATAGTATCTAAAACTGTAAAAGTGTTTTATCAATGAATTATTTAAGTTCAAATAAGAAAATTCATTATCAAATCAATTAGTGAAAACAGTGGGGCTATTTTATATTTTATATTTTCAGAAAATTTGAAATTAAGGGGTTATGAATGATGGTTGCAGTATTTCTATATTTTCTTATATGCATAATATCAAGAAAATCTGATTCACACAGGTAAGTGCTTTTGTGGGTTTTTGAAAATATCTTTATACTTTCATTTTTTATCGTGCTCTACATGTTCAGAGAAACTTCTCTAGTAATGAACTATAGAAGTCATCCCTGAAATTATAGACTTAGATAAATGGTTTTGAGTGAAAACTTTTTAAATAGTTCACCTTGCATTCTCAAGATACGCTGCAGTTAAACTGATCCAGAAGCTTGAACAAAAAAGTGAAAAAAATGATTTCAAACAACTACTTGCATTCTTTATTATAAACATAAAAGTTAAAACAATAAGCACCAAAATGTACAATATCCACTAAAAACTAAGGAATCATGATGGGATGTGCAATCTGTTCCTTCAACATTACAAAATTGACAGTTACACCCTTTCAGGAGCACGTACCAAGCAAATGTGCCTGAGCCTCTCCTGGCATCTTTAAAGCAAAATATCCACTTGCTGTAGCAGTTCACTCACTATTATAGTTTTACTTCAGCTGATGTAGACACGCATTAATTTTTTAAAAGACTAGAACACATAAACTATACCCCTCCTAATCACTGACACATTTATACATTTACAAGAATGTTCAAATGTGCTCACACAGATGGTGGGAGAGACATTATTTAATAACTGAATTATTACTGGTAACAAATTGTTGTTTTGGCAGTCTCCATTGAATTTAATGTTGATATACATTTGTAGGTTACTTTGAAAAACAAAGTTCAAATCTAATATTTTATAATATCTCTAAAGTATGTGTAAGGAATGGATTTTAAGAAATATAATTTGAAAACCACTGATAATATACAAGGAAGTCCAGAGCAGGAAGGGGCCAGGTTCTAGTTAGCTGAAAGCATAGAACTCTGGATAAAATCAGGAATTATATTTTTGCTATTTCTTCTTCTTATTATTGTTCTATAGAAAGAGACAGGGTTCTCGCCATGTTGCCCAGGCTAGTCTCAAACTCCTGGCCTCAAATGATCTTCCCACCTCAGCCTCCCAAAGTGCTGAGATTACAGGCATTGAGCCACTGTGCCTCGCCAGGAATTATATTAAAAGATTAGAACTTTAGAGCTGAAATAAAGTTTGAGAGATCATTAAGTTCAATTGCCCTTCATTTCAAATTTAAAGGGATTACAACTAGAGAGGTTTTCAGGCTTTTTATTTTTTCTTTGCAAAGGTAGTAAACTAGATGACCCTCTATTTAATGCTTCCTAACAGAATCCCAAGCTATCTGCTAATCTGTATGATTTATGTAAGTGGTTAAGTCTAACTTTAAATCCCAATCTCGAATTAAGAGATTTCTGCTTGTTCATATGATTTAAGAAATGCATATATTTGGGCCGGGCGCGGTGGCTCACACCTGCAATCCCAGCACTTTGGGAGGCCAAGGCAGGCGGATCACGAGGTGAGGAGATCGAGACCATCCTGGCTAACATGGTGAAACCCCGTCTCTACTAAAAATACAAAAAATTAGCTGGGTGTGGTGGTGGGTGCCTGTAGTCCCAGCTGCTTGGGAGGCTGAGGCAGGAGAATGGTGTGAACCCGGGCAGTGGAGCTTGCAGTGAGCCAAGATTGCACCACTGCGCTCCAGCCTGGGCGACAGAGTGAGACTCTGTCTAAAAGAAATGCATAAATTTGACATTTAGTAAATATTTACAAATAATGAATGATTGAATGCTAAATGGTTACATAGTATCAAGTTTTCTGTTAATTGGTAAAATAATAGCATTATTTTAAGGCTCAATGCCAAATAGAGCCTTAAAGAGAAAAAGCTGTGGGAACTACAACAGTTCATGTTTGTCTATTGAATTATAGACGAAATTCACCTTCACAATATAACTTTCATTTAGCCTGTCCTGGGTCTGGTCTATAACTGAAAGCATATAAAATATAAAATATATAAAATAATAGCATTATTTTACCAATGTAAACTTATACGAACATATATTTTAAAAATTAGACTCATAACAAATTAAGAGTGTTACCCTCTCCAATTTATATCATCTGAATAAAATACTATTTTAGTATTTCTGAGTTATTTGCCAGAAAATAAAAATGCAAAAATTAAGAAAATCATATTCTCTATTACTACAAGCAAAATGATCTTGAATTCCATTCAAATCTGAATTCCTGTAAAAAGCATACATTTTTAAGTGGTATTATATCTTTTATTGTTTGAGAGTATGTTTTGGCAAAACAGAAAGCTAGAATGGATAAGCAAATATAAACATTTTTATTTGATGAACTATAGTCCCCTAAATGTATCTATACCCTTTGGGTAAAGGGGAAAATGGCCCACAGAGTGAGAATTTGGGAGGGCAGAAGAACAGACAGGAAAGTTCAGTGAACAGCATTTTATTTTTAAAATACATAATAACCTACAAGTAGTCTCCAGATTTGGCCTTGTACTTGTGCTCAGGTTAAGAATCTACAACTTAATACCCTCTTGGAAAGCAAGAGACCTCTGAAGAAGGCAGAAAAAGAAGGTGGTTTAAAGGATTATAGGACCTACAACTAAAGATTATCAAAAAGGAACTGAGTAGGGGTTCTTTGAACTGTGCAAGAAAAGCACATATTGCAGAATTCTATTCACCACTTGGTAGTAATAATCATAGGGTGGGGAGGCATGGATAGGGAAGGCAGGATAGCTGTTATAAACAAAAACAACTGGATTTTAAAACTTTAGAATATTGTCATTGGTTTGTTTCTTTGAATAAAAATTACCGTTAGTATAAACAAAGCATTTAAAATTCTGTCATGATTAAGCTAATGACTCATTAATATGCATTTAGCCCAAACATTTTAACCACGGGTAAAAATCCTATGGTTAAATGGGATTAGTTCAGTTCCATTAAGTCTGTGGGTTCAGGATAAGTTAAAGATATTAGGTTTGGTTTTAATCTATTTTGAATGGATAATTTTTAATATTATGCCTGGCTAATTCCTCGTATTTAAAATTATAGGTTACATACTAAACCAGTTCTTGGCCTGTGCACAAATAGAAGCACTATGAGAATTTCATGTGTTCACATTGTTTAGGTACAAATGAAATCTAGCCCCTCAAAAAACTGTTAGAAAAATTATACAACACAGAGTATATTCAGTCTGAGAAATATTTTCTACTTGCATATATTTAGTATCTTTTGTTGCCTTTTTTGAGTTTGTATATTTCCTTCTCCTTCTTTAAAACCTTCAGTAGCGCCTAGCAACATATGGCTTAAAGTCCTAACCGTCCATTTCCCCCTCACATTCACCTTTTTCATAGACCTCATAGTATTCCAAATTAAACCCATTCCTTCTTATTTAACTCAGTGATGATGCTGAAAAGTAGCCTCTAAACATTGTAATATGTCTGAATGAATTCTCCCACTTAATTTTTATATCTCAACAGACACTTTCTTTTCTATCACTTCACCTTGGATAGACCTAAGGATTATTTAAAGCCAAACTTGGTTACAAAGTGTTTCTGAATCTTGTCAAACAATGGTATCTTGTCAGACACAGGCAGTGTCTGACTTGTAAGTACATGCCTGACTTAACAAGTGATCCATACATGCTCTTGTCAGACCCTGTATAGCTGCTAGCCTGGTAGTGCAGGAGAGCAGTCACAGAAATATCAAAGAAAAAATCAAAGGAGCTTGGGTATCTATGAGTTCCAAGGAGAAGTGGAGAGATTCTGAAAGACAGATTGCTTAGCAGAGCTGAACCCAGTAGAAGCTAATTCCCTCACAGAGTCAGCCTGCCTGCCTATAAACAGGCAGGTTTTGTGGCCCCTAAGCCTCAAAAATGTTTACCTGAATAGTGAACTTGAAATTCATTATTAGGCTTTCAGTTAAGCTTAAACAATTTTTTAATGGAAACATCTCTTCAGAGTTCATTCGATACATAATTTTTGAGGGTCTCCTGTGTGCAGGGCACTAGGACATTGGAAATATAGCAGTAAACCAAAAATACAGACATTCTGATTTTATGAAGCTTATATCCTATTGAGACAAACTAAATAAATAAATAGGAGGTATCAGTAACTTACAAAATTAGTGTGATTTGTTTGAGAAGCCAGCTTTCTTCCTAAAACGTACCACTTTTTGAGAAACGGGGGTCATGTGAGGAACATGTAGGAGGTTGGGTAGATTCAGATGAGATATGTAGTGAACAGGCTTTGGGTGGCATGAGGCCACCAAAGGCCCAGAAAGAGACACTGAGAGGAGTGACAGAAATATGGAGGAGAGAAGCTCTCAAAGCCCAAGATCACCCATTCCATGATTTCTTAAAAACAAAACAAAACAAAACAAACAAACAAAAAAACTCACCCTGAGTAAAAGCAAGGGAGATAAATTTTTCTGTCTTTCTACCCTCTTTTCTTGCCTCCAGAATCAAGAACTTAGGTGAATACACAGTTATCAAAATTGTAAATATATATTCGGTAAATGCAGCAACCTCATATAGTGACTGCTGCTTTGGATTCTGACAGACCTGAGTTCTAATTCCAGGCTGAATTTTACAAGTTTTATAACTTTGGTCAAGTTGCCCATACTTTTAGTTTCTATGTCACAAATTTGTAAAATAAAAATAATTACATCTGCTTTATACATGTAAAGTGTTGTGTCTGATACACAGGAGTTAACAAATTACTGGTCTTATTATTATCAGCCTAGAAAACCTGACCGTTATTTAACACATTGATTTTGGGGTAAAAGCAACTTTTAAATTTAAAACCACTGACACTTCTTGGAATACTACTTATTTACAAATATTGGTGATGCCTCATATTTCTAAACAGCTATGTAGAAAGTTAAAACACTACATTTCTAAAAGAGGAAACTCTAAATGAGAGGAAAATACCAAAGACTTGTCAACATTCTTGCTCCTTTAAAGTGATATAATTCTAAAAATTGAAGAACTGAAAAAAAAAAAAAGTATAGAGCAAATAAGAGGATCAGTTTAAAGTTCAGTGCTAAAAGGATCTTAATGTACCCAAAACATGATGTTGAAAAGGGAAAAAGTGCTTAGCAGACAAGCTATGTAGATAAAAACAGGAAGATATGAGCTGGAGGAGAAAAATCTAGACAAAATTAGTAAGCAGAAGTAGTCTTATAAACCAGCATTTGTTCTAAATGAAACGTTTTAAATGACAATAGGGGATTTTTCAAGAATGCTTAAACCACATAAATGTAACAAATCCCACTCCCACTCTTAAAGGAGTTCTTTGGTTTAATGGCTAAAACCATTACTGTATGTTTTCTAACCAATTACTGCATTAAGTATAATTCTGATTCCAATGAGGAGATGTGCAAATCTATAGTACAGGGTTTAACATGTGGTCCATAAAAGTATGATTATGCCTTTTAACCTAATTACTGCTTTTTCTACTAAAATATATCTATTCCTTGTCATGAATTGATTATACTTTTTAAAGACCTAATGCGCTCAGGGAAGCCACTTGGTCAGGAGAGCAGATAATCTGAGATTTATCTCCTAAATTTCAAAAACAAGAGTTTGAGGCATGATTGCCTCCCTCAAGGAACTTAACTACCATACTGGAGAGACAGAATCCACTGTCATCTTCTACACTTCTCTCCCTTCCCATTGTTCCGAAGACTGCCCTCTTGCCTTGCCAAGATTGCCTCAGCAGCCTAACTCATCTCCTTGCCCCTAGTTTTGCCCCTTGCAATATATTTTTCCAAACCTTAGCTGACATGCAAATCTGATGTCACTCTACAGTTTACAACTTTCAGTAACTCCACAGTACCCTTAAGAATGAAATCCGTATTCTTTAATGAAGCTTAACACTCCCTCATTACTGCTTATCTTTTTTTTTTTTTCCCTGTTGCCAGGCTAGAGTGCAATGGTGCGATCTTGGCTCATCGCAACCTCTGCCTCCCGGGTTCAAGCAATTCTCCTGCCCCAGCCTCCAGAGTAGCTGGGACTACAGGCGCACACCACCACGCCCAGCTAATTTTTTTGTATTTTCAGTAGAGACGGGGTTTCACCATGTTGGCCAGGATGGTTTCGAGCTCCTGACCTTGTGATCCGCCCTGCCTCGGCCTCCCAAAGTGCTGGAATTACAGGCGTAAGCCACCACGCCCGGCCTACTGCTTATCTTTTACCTAAACTCCTTCCGTTACTCTCCTTACCCTCTTTTCCAGACCCATTGAGCTTCCTGTATTCTGCTTCCCTAATGGATCACTCTTTCCTTTTTCTGGGCCTCTGCATATGCTAGATCTTTTACTTAGAACTCTGTGTCTATTCTCCCAAACTCTCCCCCAAATTTTCTTTCCAAGGCCTCTCTACTAATACTCTAAGCTGTAGCTCAGGTGTCTTTTTCCTTCAGGAAGCCTATCTTGAACCACCATTCCAAGTGCAGAGTCCCCTAATATTTCATAGTTCTCTGTTAAAATCAAGTCATTTGACACCACTCTGCTTTTACATAGATTATCAGCTTGCTCTTCAGAAAAATAAGGCTGAGTGCATTACTGCTAAGGACAGATGTAGAGGCAATGAACCTCACTTTGATACAGTTGAGTAAGTTGACCAAAATCTTTTTAAAAGAAAGGAAATATTTCAGAATTACTATTACTTCTTGGATTAAATGTCAGGATTCTTCCTGAGCCAAGTTCGTACCACTGCACTCCAGCCTGGGCGACAGAGCGAGACTCCGTCTCAAAAAAAAAAAAAAAAGAAATATCAAAATTAAATGTTTAAATAGCAGACTTTGTAAGGTAGCTCTGGCCTGTACTGACAACCTGTGGTAAATATCAAAAACACAGCCCTTTGTAATCACTGTTCTGTGTTCAGGATGTTCATCTTTTCAGCAGATGTTTATCGCATGCCTGTATGTGCTCAGCCCTAGAGGTTGAGAGGAGCAGCACCTTCAGAACATCAGGCCTACCTTCGAAATCCTTGGAAAATACTTTTTATTGAATTGTTTGAAACAAAACATTTCAAAAGTTAAATCTGCACAATGATAGATGCAGGTTAATTAATACATTTATTGGGCTGGGTGTGGTGGCTCACACCTGTAATCCCAGCACTTTGGGAGGCAAAGGCGGGAAAATTGCTTGAGTCCAGGAATTTGAGACCAGCCTAGACAACATAATGAGACCCTATCTCTACAAAAAATTTAAAAAGTAGCCGGGTGTGGTGGCCTCTGCCTGTAGTGCCAGCTACTCAGGAGGCTGAGGTGGGAGGATCACTTGAGCCCTGGAGGTCAAGGCTGCAGTGAACTGTGATAATGCCACTGCACTCATCCTGGCTGACAGAGCGAGACTCTGTCTCAAAAAAAAAAAAAAAGAAAAAAAATTTTAAAAATACATTTGTTGGAACTCTTGGTTACTGTAAATTTATTTGGAGGCAACCTTTTTATGTTGGAGAATAGAGTGACTAATTCACTCTAGTGCTCTATAGCAGAGAACAAGAAATTAGTACTCTTTGAGGAATTTAGGTCAGTCTTTATAGAGACCATAAAGGAATCTTGACATTTAATGGCTTGAAGGTTCTCCATAAACCACTAAATTAGAATATTAAATTAAAATTATTTTTCTTTTCACATAAGGCAGCATTAAATAATAATTTGAAACTATCTGGGGGAAAAAGGAATCCTAATTGGAGCTTCCTATACAATTTCAGTATATCTGAAATATTTCTTCAATAAATATTTATCAAGCACTAAGTATCAGCCTACTATATGCATGCAGTTAGCAGTTTTCACTTGCATTTACTTATTTTAAGCCACTTTTGATTTAACTGAATGCATGCTTTTCCCTTGCCTCTCATTAGAAAATGGAAAGATAAGCATTCTTCATTTTACAAATGTCATAACTAAGATTATGCCCTACTAGACAACTAAAACTGTGATTCCTTCAGAAATAAAATCATACCTCAACTCTTCTAGAACCAGAGTCATCATTTTTCACATACTTCTACCTAACTAGCTTTTGCAGCTCACAATCCCATACATCAAGTGCATTTATGTGTCCAACTCATTCATTTACAACCAGTTTATCTTGCAGGGTATGTCATATTGCTGCAAATTGCATGATGTACTGGGTTTGTTTTGTTTTTGTATTTGCTTACGGCTGAGTGGGCATTTGATTGTACTGTTTGTTTTTGTGGCTGTGCTCAGTGGATGAGAGCTTGGAAGCCTCTGTAGCCTTTTCTTCTATATCGACATTAACTCAATATTGCTTCTTTTGACCAGTAAAAAATATTTTGGGTGCATTAGCTATTTTTTAAAAGCAGTATAGAGAACATATATCATTTATCTTATTTATTAGGAGATAAATAAAAAGTAACCATTTTGACATGCCACTTTAAACATGATAGTTGAAGAGCTAAAAGAGTAACTTAGTTTTCACTGAGACACGGTAGCGTCACTTCTAAGACTGAAACTTATTTTCATTTATGAGTCCTGTTCTGTGGCCATAACTACTGCTATAAATTCCACTTGTTTCCTTGTCAGAATGTTCCAACTTTTTTTGTTTTTTAACCTGAGCACTTAAGCTTTGAAAACAGCATAAACATGCAAAAAGAGATCTAATTTAGGAATTTGTTTCTTTTAAAGAGAGAGAATAGAGTTATGTAAAGAAATAGTACTGACACAGGACTGGAGGGATCTGGGTTCTGGGCCCAACAATGTCAGTTGTTTTTCTCCTTTGTAACCTGTATTTTCCCAAGTTCCTCATCCGATTTCAGAGATTGAAATTCTGTCTTTATAACCCAGGGAGGGCGCTTATGAAGGAATATTAGAAATTGTAAAGCCTTCGAATATACTTGAGAGGAAAAAAGACGATTCAGAGATAGGCTACCAAGGTTTATTATCTGTGTAGGGGAGTGATATTTATAGCTTTTACGTAGCTTAGCAAAATGAATTTTGCATTGATTATAGGCCAAAGTCCTGCATTCTGCTGCCGATTCAGCGTCGTTTGGGCATTATGGGAAAGGAAGAAGGGAAATTTCAATAGTTTATCGAATTTAGAGAACTTCATTACTCCTGGTGCTGTCAGAATCAGTCTCGAGGTTGGCTGCTGTTTGGTTCTAGGTAAATGGCCGAGCAGGGGTGTAGGGGGCAGATTCCCCTGTCCCTGAAGCCCGAAGACTCGTGCTGCACCTTCCTGACAGTGCACGCTCACCTCGCGGCCCTCCAGAGCCCATTCCGTACCTGAGAATTAGCTGTTCGTGGGGAACCTGGGCCCCCAAGGTGATTTTTCACCTCGCCGCGTCAGACCGCCAGTTCCCAGCCTCCGCGCCGGAGGGGCGGTGCTTTGCGGGGACGCGAGCCCGCATTGGCTTGCGTGGCCGCCAGGGCGGTGAAATGACGGGCGCGGGGCGGGGCCGCGCGGCTTGTTTGTCGGCGCCGCCCCGCCCCCCCGCCGTCCGTGCTGACTGAGGCGCTGCAGCCAGGAGCCGCGGCCGGCTGCCCAGCGCTCGCCGCCTCCGCGCGTCCGCAGCCGTCCCCGCGCCGACATGCGCTTGGCCGCCGCCGCGAACGAGGCGTACACGGCCCCTTTGGCGGTCTCGGGGCTGCTGGGCTGCAAGCAGTGCGGCGGGGGCCGCGACCAGGACGAGGTACCTGGGCGAGGGGCTGAGCGGGCCGCTGGGTACCTGGGCGGGTGGGCACCCGGCCGAGCTGCCCTGTGCAACACGGAGGTCACGTTGCCTCCTCACAGTCGCTCCCGGTCAGCATCCGAAAACGCTCCCCAGATAGGGCGGGCTCCCGGGGAGCAGCGTCCCGGCCCTCCTGCGCCCCTCGGGGGAAGGGGTTGCCTGCGGTGGGTGGGAGACCTGCGCACCGTGAGTCGTCCCTGGGCAGAAAATGCTAAGCTGGGAGAGACTGCGGCCGCGGTCATGTAAATGAAAGTCTCCAATACGTAAATAACATTGTCGTCTGGACAAGTCTCCACAAGTCAGAAATCCAGCAGACCTCGAGTCTTGAGGGTGAAACAGCCTGTGGATATGCCCCCTCGATTGTCTTGTCTTGTGAAAACAGATTATTTAGCCACCTTCATCCCCTTTGCCTCCTACTTAAAAGAGAGAGAAAGAAAAAAAACACATTTGACTCAGGGAAGAGATGATGTTGCCTGGAATAAGTGTGTCCTGCAAGCTCTATGACGTTATGCACAGCGTTTACTCTTGCGTATTAAGCCATCCCTTTTCTGAATTGTCCTTTAGAAAGAGGTACTTAATTGTAACATTTTGTGTTTTTTTCTAAGTGGTTGCAAATAGGAAACCATTTGAAAGTTACTAATGTAACCTTAGGTAAAACTCGAACCTTAAATTTGGATTGAAATCAGGTGCTGTCAGAGTGTTGCCTTAGTTCAAGAAATCTAAATGTGAATTATTTTTTCTGCAGCTTTACTCACTAAAATGACGTGGTTTCGTGATTTCTTTAATGGAGTCTATTATCAGTATACTATGTATATTCATAGAAACTTAAATGAAGACACTTTGTCATGAAGGTTGTAAAGCACCAAATATTTTTTTGAGATTTTAACATTTATGGACATATTAGATGTTCCTTGTTTACAGATAATAAAACAATCTTTAAAAATCTCTTACAGTATCGCTTTGGAAACTTTACCAAAAAGTGAAAACAGTATGAAAGTATTGAATTAACATTTACAGTTTCTGTTTGCGGGTCATAATAGATCTTTTCTCTTTTTGAGTAGAAGTGAGCCCCAATCATCATGCTTGAATAGATCTGTTATTTCTGCTGATGTTTGTGTGCAGAGTCCTGGTTCTTGCTCAGATCTAGAATTTCTAAAGATAGCTTTGTAAACTAAAAGATAAAGAAATAGATTTTGGCTTGCATATTGTTACAGCGCTTATGGGATTGTGTTGAGGAAACCGGGAAGCTTTGTATAGTTGTATTTCATTTTTAATACATCCCAACATGTGAGAAGATAACTTAGGAAGGAATGCTTTATAGGAAAACTATTCACTTTACAAAAAGAATAACACAATTCTTTCAAATAGCTAGCTTCCATAATGCTTTTAAATTAAACACTTTCAAGAAACGGAACTCCTGAGCAAAGTATAGGGCACAAATATGGCCTAAGTATTACAAATGCAGTAACTTAAAGTCAGTAAGTTTTTTTTCTAAAATATAGTTCATAGAAGGCAAAAAAAAAAAAAAAAAAAAGTACCTGGACTTTCAGTATTTCTGAATTACCTATTAGTATTAATGACAATATTAACATAATTGTTAGTACATTTTGCTATAGTAGGCATATTTCTAACACTTCTAGATCTCTCCATTTCTATTTAAATTTTTTGAATGTCGAAAGGCCAGCACCCAGCTATAGGCAATCTCCCAGAGAAGGGCGAGTGGGATGGGAACTTTCACTTTTTATATAACATATCTTTACCTTGTTGAAATGTTTTTCAAAAAACACATGCTGCTTTTGAATTTAAAAAATAAAATTACTGTGAATGTTGTGATAATCACAACAGTAATAGTGTAGCGAGGAAAACAAAATGATTCAAATTATTTGTGTATTTTTACTTCTCAACTAATTTTGCAGGTGGGTAGATACTGTAAGCCAACAATGCTTTCATTTTGCACTTGTCATTCATTCATTATTTCACTTAAGGATATTGATACAGATGCATAAATGTATCTCACAAATTTGAAACATCTGACTGGAACAGTACTTTTCAGTACACAAACATTGATTCATACAGTGATACAATAAAAACATAGTCTTTCTGTGGTACTACTGTCAACATTCACTACGAATTTTCACTCTGAAAATTAGTGTTTTGCATTATACATTGAGGAAACATCAGAAGTAATATTGTGATGGTGGAAACTTGTTGTCTCTTTCAAAGATGGTTATTAGGTTGTTGAGGGGAAAAGATTGTTCTCATGTTAATCTTCCAGCCACACCTTCACAGAGAGCCTGTGAGGTTAGTGCTGTGATTAGTATCTACATCTGCTTTTCAACAAGGCCATTTGTTGGTGGCAGTTCTGTCTCCTAGAATCTGGATTGGCCAAAATTTGTTCAAAGTCTGTAGTTAAGTTTCTTACAGCTACAGATGAAGGAATAATTGAATTAACCTAAATAGGAAGCTATGAAATGTATTTAGTTTGGCTTATGATCACCCCATTGAACACCCGCAGTGCCTTTTTTGATCAGCATCTACTAGAAAAGAGTTGTAACCAATTTAACATGTGACCAAGAAGTGTTTCAAAAGTGAGTTTTCCAGAAAATGGAAACTTTTTATAAACCAAGACTACTACTGTATAATAACAGTGGTATCTGTAAGAATCTCCAAGGTATCAAGAAGTCTTAAAGAGGCTCAAAAGAATAATAATGAAAGATACCAACTCTAGAACCAGATGTCATTGATTCAGCCCCCGTCTCCACCACTCACTAGTACTGACTGAGCTAGAATACTTGGGTTCAAATCTCAGGGCTTTCCTTGGACACAGGGTGGGGAACATCACACACCGGGGCCTGTCGTGGGGTAGGGGGTGGGGGGAGGGATAGCATTAGGAGATATACCTAATGTAAATGACAAGTTAATGGGTGCAGCAAACCAACATGGCACATGCATACATATGTAACAAACCTGCACATTGTGCACATGTACCCTAGAACTTAAAGTATAATTTTAAAAATTAAAAAAATCTCAGGGCTTTCATCAGTTATGCTAAATGGAGATAATAATAGTACCTGCTTCATAGATTAAGGTAAGGATTAATCTAAGACTCTTGACTTTTTCATGAATATTGTAGAACACCAAATACTCTTTCTAAACTTTAGTATCATAGACTCATGTTCTTTGTTTACAGGTAGTATAATTTAAAACAGTGCTCAGCTCATACTTTGTGTTAGCTGCTGCTGCTGCTATTGCTATTTATTATCATGAGCCCTAGTTGCTTTTTCAGTGTTATTCAAGAAATAAGCCGAAAACTGAAAGGCAATTTGGTTCTCAGATATCATTGACTAGTGTTAGGGTGCCAGCCACAGTCTAGAAACCCCACTTTACCCTCTCTTCCTCTGCTACTTCTGAGAAATTAGACAGCCAAATCTGTTAGACCTTATACCTAAGACTAGAATCTATAACAAAAGACTCACGTTTGTATAATTTGTAAAATTCTATAGTTTATAATATAGATTATAATCCCACATAGTTGGGATTGATGGTATTATTATTTTGTCATCATCCCTATTTTACAGATTAGGACTCTTCAATTTGGAGGCTAAGGAAGAGGGGAGACAGTGTTATTAATATGCCCACTAAATTTGGCAATAGGGATGGACTTACAAAGACAAGAATTACATAGAACCCTTGCCATAAATATAGGAAATACTCTGTTTCTCAAGCATTCATAGCCACCTTCTTGGAATTGTAAACCTATTGTTTTATAATAATTTGGCATATAAACTATATATTTGGTAGAGAAATAAAACCAGAATAATATAATTTGTATACCTCTTTGTTTCTAAACCTATGTGCTGTCAATCTGGCCACATTTTTAAAAAGGTAACTACCTTTCATGATGCTAATGTATTTGTAAGATAAAGGCCTAGAAATTGAATCAGTGAGGTTTTTTTTCCTGCCTACTGATAACATAATATATACATATTCTGCACTTTGCTTCTCCTCCCCTTCCCCATTATTGTAATATAACTTGAAGAGCTTTTAAAGTCAACTCATGTAGAAGTGCTTCATTTTTTCTAAAGACTGCATGCTACTCTATTATATGGTCATGCTGAACTTTATTGAAACAGCCTTCTATTGAACACTGAGATTGTTTTCAACCTCGTACTATTAGAAACAATGTTGCAGTGGTTATCCTTTTACGTATGGCATTTCACAAATGTGAGCACATCTGTAGGTTAACACTTAGGATGGAATTGTTGATTCAAAGGCTATGGGACTTTTTAATTTTGATCACTATTACAAATTGCCCTTCCTAGCGGTTGTAGTAATATATTCTCTATACTCTTTTTTCTCATACTTCAAAACACTCTCATCAGCAATATATAAACAATTAATGACAGTTTCTCTACCCTTTCTCCAATACAGCCTGTGATCAAACTTTTTGATCTTAAGCAATCTTTTTGGAGGAAGACAGTATCTCAGCATAGTTAACTTGCAGTTGTTTTGAGTGTCAAGCATTTTTCAACCATTTGTATTTTCTTTTCCTTGAACTGTGTTGTTTGCTCATTTTTAAAATACGATTGTTGGTCAGGTGCGGTGGCTCACACCTGTAATCCTAGCATTTGGGAGGCCGAGGTGGGCGCATCACGAGGTCAGGAGATTGAGACCATCCTGGCTAACATGGTGAAACCCTGTCTCTACTAAAAATACAAAAAATTAGCCAGGTGTGGCGGCACACGCCTGTGGTCCTAGCTACTCGGGAGACAGGAGAATCACTTGAACCCAGGAGGCAGAGGCTGCAGTGAGCCGAGATCATGCCACTGTACTCCAGCCTGGGTGACACAGCGAGACTCTGTCTCCAAAAAAAAAAAAAAAGATTGTTGGGGATTTTCGTATTGATTTATAGTAATCTTTCTTTAAAATTTAGCCCTTTGTTATTTGAGTGGCAAATATAATTCCTAGCTTTCTGTTTACTTTTGACTTTGTATATATTTATTTTTCCCATGTGAAAGTCTTTATTTTTATGTCATTAAATTTATCAATCTTATATTTTATGACTTTTGGCTTTTGTGGTATTCTTAGGCCTGCTGCACTCCATGAGTGTTTTCTTCTAGTACTATAATGTTTTTTGCTTTTTTTCTAAGTTTTCATTTTTTTCTTACATTTAACTCTGATTTATTGTGGGGTAAAGCATGTTATAGTGTTCCAGCTTCACTTTTTTTCTGAATGGCTATCCAGTTGTCCCAAGATCATTTGTTGAATAATTCATTTTCCCCCATTTGAAATGACACCTTTTCGTATACTAAAGTCCCAAGTCTCTTAGTTATAAAACAGTAATAAACCCTTGAAACAGGCATTTTCCTAAAATACATTTTGTTTAAGTAAGACAGTTTTCAAGATTAAAGAAATTAGAGGGGATAAATGTTAATTTTAGCCTTAGTTTTGTCCAATAGGTATTGTTTCAAATGTATGTAATTGGATGAGAAATTCAGCAGTTAGAAAAGCTAAGAGTCATCATTGTATATAAATGGCTGCTATTGGTGCCAAAATTATATATTGAATAACAGGGATGTCCTCTGGCATTCATTACAGGATGTTAAAATTGAGACACACACGTGGCCAGACCAGTGAATTAAGTGCCTCCTCTAATGAAGGGTATAATGTTAAAGCATTACTATCTTCAGTGTAAGGATGGACTAACCAGGGAGAAGTCACCAACCTCCAGTATAAGATTATTTTATTTAAATATTATTTTATGAATTCTGTTGGCAAATATAAACTACTTTGAATCTTGATGTCTCCTAATAAAGATTACCTTCACTTTTGTCCTTCCTGCTTAATTTTTAAAAGCCTGTTCTGCTTTAAAGACTTTCATTTGCTGGGACCAGATTTCTTGGATTGCTGACACATGTCCTTCTCTCTGTGCACCCACCCCCACCCCATCCCCACTTTTTTTCTTTAAAAGGAAAATATCTGGTTTATATCATGAAGAACTTTAAAAGCAGTAAGGAGAGAGTAGAATTATATGAGTATTTAATTATATATATAATATATATGAGTGAAGGGGTTAATCTTTAATTGTATAAATTCTAAAAAAAATTTTTAAATGACACTAGATAGGACATAGGCCTCAAAACAACAAAAAGTTGAAATATATTATTTTAGTTTTGTTTCTGTAAACACACTATATGGGGAGGGTGAGGGAGGGAAAGGAAACCCTAACAGATTTTCAGTTCTTGTTAACCATACTACACCATCACATAAGGTACAGGATTCTAGAGTCACTGTGTCAAATGTCAGAAAACTATTTCTCAATTATTTGAGCTTCTCTAAAATATAATATGGGCAAGATTGATGACATCCTGTAAATAAAAAAAAACTTAATTTAAGGCAAACTTACAAACAAAATGAGTTTCTCTAAAATTATTTAACTGCAGAGAAAACATGCCCTGTAGTGCTGTCTCTTGTGAATTTAGTTTTTATTTTTCATAAATTTACATTCTAACCGTGAGGTGTTGTTTTAGATGTAATAATAATTACACTTTTTCTAGTTTAAGACACCTAGGTGGAAGTACTGCTTTTTCATTTTCTGACGATGCACAGGGATTGATATTTGGGTTGGTTGAGTTTTAGATGTACAAACACACTGGTCTTATTTTGTATCACTGATGATCCACAGGGTTGGCTGCTATGTGCTGAACTTTCTGTTCTAGACTTTCTGCCAAGTACTTTATGCAAAACTCTGGTTTTAGTGAAACAGGTTTTATTGTTTTTAATCAGAGTTGTATTATAAGCTGTTGTTAGCTATGTAATGCTAACAGAAGAGTTGGTATGTATATACAGCCATGAAAACAAACCATCAAAACAAGCCTGTCTCTGTTCGACTGGTTGTTTTTCCCTCCCATTCCTTTAGCCTCAGTTCATTTTGTTTACTGCCAAAGGCCTGAGATGGTGTAATTTTCTTTTCTAGGAACTTGGCATTAGAATTCCTCGACCACTAGGACAGGGACCAAGCAGATTCATCCCAGAAAAGGAGGTACGTTGTTTGTGAAAGTACATAGTGAACTGTATGCTTTTAAGGAAGAGCTTTCATGACCCACATGTTGGCATCTGAAGAACTGTTGGTCAACAACATGTTTTAGTCAGAGTTGGTTGCAGTTAATCATTCTTTGGCAGTGAATCTGTGGGAATAAAAAGCTGTTGTACTTGTGTTGATTTCTAGTATTTCATGATGTGTTTTTAACACCCATATTTAATCAAGTAAAGCCAAGATTTGTTTTTGACCAGTGATACAACATCTGCTTATATTTAGATGTTGTTTAGGTGTGCCCATAACCTGAGTTACTTAGTCTTGACTGTCTCCACAGGCTGATATCAGTGCTAGATTGGATCTTTAATTCTATATATGTATAAAAGCATCTATGCTTTATTTTCATAAGAAGTGTATGCTATTAGTTAATTTTAGTTCTCCTTAAATTGAGTGAGAGTAGGCGGTTTTGTAAAGAAAGGCTTTAGTGTCTGTTTGCAAGCTCTGCAAATTTGATAATCTAAATCTGCTTCTTTATCTGGATTCTGGCCAACTCTGCAAGCAGCCTATCTAGATGGCCTTTAATGTTCAGCCTTTGTTGTTTATCCCCTACTATATAATATGTAACTGTTTATTCTTCTGTATCTTTCAACCAGTTGAGTTTAAATTTGTAACCCCTCTTTCTTAAGCCAGATTTAATCTGCTTCTAAATGATACTTAGAGTGTAGCGCATGTATATTTTCTTCCCTTAACACCAATTTACCATTTCAGTAACCATGGTTTTTCTCATTTATACAGATCCTCCAAGTGGGGAGTGAAGACGCACAGATGCATGCTTTATTTGCAGATTCTTTTGCTGCTTTGGGCCGTTTGGATAACATTACGTTAGTGATGGTTTTCCACCCACAATATTTAGAAAGTTTCTTAAAAACTCAGCACTATCTACTGCAAATGGATGGGCCGTTACCCCTACATTATCGTCACTACATTGGAATAATG
This sequence comes from Homo sapiens, assembly GCF_000001405.40. Taxonomy (NCBI): domain Eukaryota; kingdom Metazoa; phylum Chordata; class Mammalia; order Primates; family Hominidae; genus Homo; species Homo sapiens. Next base: position 109,001,287 of record NC_000006.12, on the reverse strand, counting down.
GTTTGTAAACATTCAGTGAAAAATTGTTTTTGCCTATTTTTATTAATCTCTTTAAGAGACAGTTAATGCTTTAAACACAGGGATAAATACTTAGATTATGATATATAATATGATTCCTGTTGCACAGTCTCTGTTTTTCCTATTTTTAAATAAGTACGCTCTCAAGTATAACAGAAAAAGAAGCAAGTATTTATACATTGCTGAGAACCATTCTTCATTAAATAAGTAGAACACAAGTTCTGTTTCATTATTATAAATAGTTCACATTGACATAAGTGGTGCTTCCTGTTCAAGATGTAAATAATATTCCATTATTTTATGATTGGCACCTTAATTGAAGTTTCTTCTTAATCTGAAGTTCTGAAAGTATATAGATAAAATGTCTAAAGTTCAAATACTTTTATCAGATATTTTGTTTGTTCTTGGAATATTTCTAAGGTTCTTACAGTATTTGAATTTTTAAAATGTTTATATAAAAACTGCATTTCTGTAGTTTACGGAAAATTTGAAAACATACTAATAAACTTAATTAGCTCTTTTGCATGTTGTAAATAAAAAGGATATGTAGTTCAAGGTTTTAATATTTATAATTAGAATAATCTTTTTGTTTTAAGGCTGCGGCAAGACATCAGTGCTCCTACTTAGTGAACCTGCATGTAAATGATTTCCTTCATGTTGGTGGGGACCCCAAGTGGCTCAATGGTTTAGAGAATGCTCCTCAAAAACTACAGAATTTAGGAGAACTTAACAAAGTGTTAGCCCATAGACCTTGGCTTATTACCAAAGAACACATTGAGGTAAGCAGTGGGGTAATATATCTTGGGAGTCATTTCAGACTTTTTTAGAGCAGTTTTAGGATTACAGAAAAATCGCACAGAAAGTACAGAGAGTTCCTATTTTCTACCCCCTGAATCTCTTCCCACAGATGCACATTTTCTTCTGTTACAGCATTTCTGTGGTACATTTGCTGTAATTGATATATTACTAGTAACTCTATAGTTCACATTAGGGTTCAGTCTTTGCATTGTATCGTTCTACACATTTTGACAAATGCCTAATGTCACGCATCCATTACAATATCATATGGAATAGTTAGTACCCTAAAAATGCCCTGGGTTCCACCTGTTCATCCCTTTCCCCCCCTTTCCCCTTCCCCTAAACCCCTGCAACCACTCATCTTTTTATTGTTTCTATATAGTTTTGCCTTTTCCAGAATGTCATACAGCTGGAATCATACAAAAGTATGTAGCTTTTCAGACTGGCTTCTTTCATCTAGCAACATCCATTTAAGGCTTCTTCATGCTTTTTCACGACTTGATAGTTCATTTCTTTTTATCACTGAATAATTCTCTATTGTATAGTTATGCCATAGTTTGTTTATCCATTCACCTATTGAAGGACATCTTGGTTACTGCCAGTTTGGGGCAATTACGGATAAAGCTGCTGTAAACATTCATGTATAGGTTTTTGTTTCTTGTTTTTTGTCGACAAAAGTTTTCACCTCATTTGGATAAATAATTAGGTGTGCGATTTGTGGATAATACGGTAAGCCTACGTTTACCTTTGTAAGAAACTGTAAAACTCTTCCAAAGGGCAGTATCAGTTTGCATTCCCACCAGCAATGAAGCAGCATTCCTGTTGTCCCACATCTTGGCCAGCATTGGTGTCAGTGTTTTGGATTTCAGCCATTCTGATAAGTGTGAAGTGGCATCTCATTGTTATGCATCTTTATGTTACGTTTTAAATGCCATGTTAAGCTAGTTCTGGTTCTATTTATTAATAGAGATAATAGAGTAAAAGTAGATTGATGTTCTCTAAAATTGTCTACCATGCACTATAAATTCTTAGAGATGCATCTTTTGGTCTTATCTATTTCATAGAATAGATACTATTAGATAATTAAAGATATTATCAAGAAGATACAAGATTTGAATATATTAATACAATGCCTATTATATATTGTCAAGTAAGGAAAAATTATACAAGATTACAAAATAGATAATGAAGCAGAAGTGACACAGAATTGAATAGAAGAATTATAGAAGTTATATATAACTTTTTGATGATTTAGGAATATTTAATCAAGTTGTTCAAGCCACTATCTTAAAAATTCCTTGAGGAGGCCTTATAATAAACAAAGCACAGGCGTTTCACACAGCAGCTTCTACTTTTAAACACAAATTTATTACATTTGCTTTGAGATTTTGAACTAACAACACAGTAATTCATTCATAATCCAGCATCTGAAATACAGCAGCCACTTTTAAGCAAAATGCATTCTCTTACATTTTAAGTCAATATTTCAGAAAATCAAAATAATAGTGAATGTCTTAACAGATTATGTTAAGTTCTATTTGTGAATGCATATTCATAAAAATTAGCAAATTCTGGGTTCTACATGTTTCAAATGATAATTTTATGCTAGGCTTTGTATGATGACTCATGTTTTCAATAAATTAAATACTAAAATGAACTGTATACTTTTACCACACCCCAGTACAAAAATATATTCTTTTTTTTTTTCCCCCTAAGGGACTTTTAAAAGCTGAAGAGCACAGCTGGTCCCTTGCGGAATTGGTACATGCAGTAGTTTTACTCACACACTATCATTCTCTTGCCTCATTCACATTCGGCTGTGGAATCAGTCCAGAAATTCATTGTGATGGTGGCCACACATTCAGACCTCCTTCTGTTAGCAACTACTGCATCTGTGACATTACAAATGGCAATCACAGTGTGGATGAGATGCCGGTCAACTCAGCAGAAAATGTTTCTGTAAGTATTATTTGTCATGAGATTGTCATAAAACTAATCACAATAATTGCTGTTATATTATTTCTTCAGTTGGCTTCTTAGAAAAACCCACCCTGTTAAGACTGTGGAGATATTGGGCCCCTATATCTATTCATTCAGTAGGGTTTTATTGACTGCCTCACATGCTCATCACTAGTCTAGGTGATATACAACATTTTACAAAAGTGATGTACAAAACTCTAAGACCCTGTAGGAGTTTACATTTAGATAATTTTAGGATCAGGAGCCAACAGCATGTGTCCCGTCAGGACCAAATAATATTGATTGGCTACTGCAGTGACATGAGGGAAGGCTGAAAATAGTGTGGCCTGGTGGTGGAGACTTTTTGTGCCAATCACATTCTTCTCTTTTGCACAAAATAAACAGTCTGGCTTCTTAATTTTTTATATTTCAGAAGATTTAATCAACTTTGATCTAGAAATTTCTCTCTTCAGAATTCTTTTTCATGTTTAACTTTGCACCAATATAGAAGGTGATATCAGGTGAATGTAAATGTGTTAAAATGCTTTCACCTCTATTCCTTCTGTTCCTGGCTTTTATATATTCTTAGTTTTGTTACTCCTTTGAAACAGAGCAAGTTCAGTTTTCTATAAGCAAATTTTAATTCCTGTATATGATGAATCAAAATCTCCTTCTGCATTCTTTTGTTGTAGTGAAAAAGCAAGGGTTTATTTTATGCTTCAAAAATAAATTTTAGAAGCAGTACCACAGCCATCTGAATGCTTTACATGCATTTTCTGAGTTATATTATCCCTTTGAAATAGATTTGACAGGTTGAATTGCCTTTAATTTATATATTTGACTTCGGGCAAGTTACTGAATCTCAGTTCTTTTGTATCTAAATAAAAGTAAAACACAAAGTTATTGTGAGGTTTAAATGAAATGTCTCTAAAGAAGTAAAATGCCAAGTACAGCACTTAGCATTTGTCAGGTGCTAAATAAGAGGTAGCATTTACATATGGTGAAATTAGCACAAGAAAGAATAATTTTCCCAAGGTTGATCATAGGACTGCCAAAGACCATCAGTTTCACCCTCCTTTGAGCTGCCTAGATTCATGTTATAGGCCTGCATATGGCCACTGATTATTTTTCAAAGCTTGGCAGTCAGAAGAGGATCCAAGAGAGTATTCAGTTGCTAGAATGCTAGGAGATGGATTCTTCTCCTTGCTACCAATAATTTAGTACAAGGCTAAAGAAAAAAGTACTTGATTGTTTCTAGTTCTCCTTCTATTAAAAGAATGAATAGTGAAAGAAGATAATTTTTATTTCTCTAATAAGCTTCCTATTCCCAGGTAAGTTGGATACTTTTAGAAGGTTTATGGCCTACCCTGATGACACTTTGACAGTGAGCTGATATGGCTTGTTCTTTAGGTACATATCCAGTATCTGACTCAGCTCTTCAGATACAAATGGTAACAAACAAGAATTTTCCCTCCCTCCCAACCCTGGAAACTACTTATTCATTTCTTTACTCTCTCCATAGTTGTCTTTTCCAGAATGTTATATAGTTGGAATCATACAGTACGTAGCCTTTTCAGATTGGCTTCTTTCACTTAGTAATATACATTTAAATTTCTTCCATGTCTGTTCATGGCTTGATACCTAATTTCTTTTTAGCACTGAATAATTTTTCATTTTCTGGATGTAGCAACATTTCTTTATTCCAGTAGCTACTGAAGAACACATTGGTTGCTTCTAAGTGTTGGTGTATTATTCTGTTCTCATGCTGCTAATAAAGACATACCCAAGACTGGGTAATTTATAAAGGGAAAGAAAAAAGAGTTTTCTTACACAATTTTAACATTTTAATATTAAAATGAAATGCCATTTTTTTTTTAATCCCAACTTTAGCAGATCAGTGAAGGAACAAAGAAACCTACTTTGTTTCCTTTCCCTCTTATTTCAATATAATTTATCAAGAATTACCTTTCCTAAGAATACTTAAAATTTGGGCTCTTTAAGAGGAGAATAGGTAAACAAAATAAATTAGTGACAGATAATGTGAGTTGACAGAGATCTTTTTTAAACTTTGAGTCATCCTGTCATGAAACCTAATCCTTTTCAGCTATTTTTTATTTGGTTACTGACTCTATGTCAGGAATAACTGGGGAAAATGCATGCATGCACCACAAGAATCTTCAGTATCGTCATAGAAACACTTCCCATCATGAAAGTCTTAGAGAAAGGGCTTAATACTGGGCATTTCAGTATAACTGTTTGGATCAAAAGAAAATGTAAAGCACAAGTGATATAGATTGTCTCTTAATATAGAATTATCCTGAGAGTCATTCTCCAGCAAGTATTTCTTGAATATCTACTATGTACCAGGTACTATGCTAGGCTTGGGATATATACAAGTAAACCAAACAGATTTCCTACCTTTATGAAGGTTTGGTCTGGGAAGGGAGCCTGCATTAAATCAATATCATGCGAGTAACAATTATAAATTATGATTGGTCCTCTGAAGGAAAGAGGAGAGGGTTGTGTTAGAATAATTGGAGCTTGTGGGGTAAATGACAGTGTTTACAAGGATGTAAGCTGCTACCTGAAGGATCAATGGGTGGAAGCCAGGAAGAATGGAAGATAGAGGTCTTAAAAGCATTCCTGGCAAAATAAATTTATAAGGGGGGAAACATTAATTTTGTATGTATACATTGAGATTTGAGATTAAGACTTTTTTTTCTCTTTTTGAGACAAAGTCTCTCTCTGTTGTCCAGGCTGGAATACAGTGGCACAATCACAGCTCACTGCAGCCTTGAACTCCTCCTGGGCTCAAGTGATTCTCCTGCCTTGGTCTCCCAAAATGCTGGGATTACAGGCATGAGCCACTAGCCCAACCCAGACTTCTTAATATATTCATTTTATAAGAAAGGTATAAATTGCATAGATTTGATCTAGCTTTTGTAGCAAGAATGCAGCAGGGTATAGAAGTATAACCAGTTTGACTAGTGCAAAACCACTTGGCCAGTCCTTTGTCAGCCCCATTACTCTATGTGTGACACTGCTCTAGTCATCCCAGCAAGTGACAGCTGCCAGATCCATTTGCAGAGGTCAGGTGGCCAACTCCAGCCATGTAGACATCTTTCATGTTTAATTGGTAAATTGTAGAAATAAAGCTAATTATTAAAGATGATAGACACATTGACAATATGTATGCCCAGTGTACACAGTTGATGCAAAATCACTTATACTTTGTGTATCTTATTTATTTAAAGATTAAGCAAGTAGAAGTTATCTTACGCAGTTCTGCTTTAAATTGACAAGTAGTTTAAAACAGCATAAATGGTAATGACATTATTGCTAATTTTATAAGGTAAAAGCATTAGAATGTGTTCTTAAAATCATTTTTTTCCTTATATTTTAAAATCTGCATGTCTGTATTCCTAATAGGCCAAAGTAGTTTTTTATTCATTCATGTACATTAAAATTATAGGAATATTTTCCCTATATTCTACTAAGATATAAATTCTGGCCAGGTGCAGTGGCTCACGCCTGTAATCCCAGCACTTTGGAAGGCCGAGGTGGACAGATCACAAGGTCAGGAGATCGAGACCATTCCTGGCTAACACGGTGAAACCCCGTCTCTACTAAAAAACACAAAAAATTAGCCGGGCATGGTGGCAGGCACCTGTAGTCCCAGCTACTCGGGAGGCCGAGGCAGGAGAATGGCGTGAACCTGGGAGGTGGACCTTGCAGTGAGCCGAGATCGCGCCACTGCACTGCAGCCTGGGCAACAGAGCAAGACTCTGTCTCAAAAAAAAAAAAAAAAAAAAAAGATATAAATTCTTATGAGACAGACTTAAAAGATAATTCATATATATTCTATGTCTGCCACATGTAACATTAATTGTATTTTTTCTTCAGGTAAGTGATTCTTTCTTTGAGGTTGAAGCCCTCATGGAAAAGATGAGGCAGTTACAGGAATGTCGAGATGAAGAAGAGGCAAGTCAGGAAGAGATGGCTTCACGTTTTGAAATAGAAAAAAGAGAGAGTATGTTTGTCTTCTCTTCAGGTAAGAACAACCATTATATAGTCAATATAATTATTGCAAACTCAACTTTTTATTTAGAGAATTTAAATAACTTTTAAAGCATCAATCTAAATATGTCCTTCCTTTTAGAGAGACTATTGCATAGGTATTCCTATTTACAAATAATTTTTAAAGCAAGCAACTAAGAAAAGGTCATAAGTGAAAACATCCTAGACTAAGGGGGAGGACATTTAATTTGGATTCTGGCACTAAAATTACTTCTAATAAGCTTTGTGAACTTGGCTTAGTCACTTAACATATGAGTGCCCTCTTTTTTCTCTTTTTTTTTTTTTTTTTTTTTTTAAGAAACAGGGTCTTGCTTTGTTGCCAGGCTGAAGTGCAGTGGCGTGATTGTAGCTCACTGTAACCTGAGACTCTTAGGCTCAAGCGATCATCCTGCCTCAGCTTCCTGAGTAGCTAGGACTACAGACACATGCCACCATGCCTGCTTAATTTTTTAATTTTTTTTGTAGAGATGGGGTCTTGCTATATTGCCCACGCTTCTCTTCCTTAATATGAGGAAATAGTCCCAAGATTGCTTCTAGAGTTAAAATTCTGTGATTTTTTTGGGCACGGCAGTTTGTACCTGTAGTACCGGCTACTCAAGAAGCTGAGGTGGAAGGATCACCTTGAAGCCAGGCATTCCAGACTAGTTGGGGCAACATAGCAAGACTCCTGTCTCTAAAAAAACAACAACAAAAATTATATGATTTGTGAAAAGGAGATATTTATTAAATTACCAACAACCTAAATCCTCTATGTTTAACCTTTATCTATATGCAGGCTACAGGAGATAATATATAAACCAGGTAATTTAAAGGAGAAAAAGTTTATAAAGTGTCTCCAGATGTATTTTGACAATATAATAGAGTGGGAGAAAGAGCACCGAGTTTCTTAATAGCAAAGAAACAATCAAATTTGTTTAAATGGAGGTTGGATGTTCACTTTTTTTTCTTCCAGGAAAAATTTTTGTTTCCATGCCTAAAGATGTAGAGTTGTCATCTAATGATACACTTACATGAAACTATAATCTCATCAACTCCTAAACATGATGATAGTCCAGAAAGTCTTAGTCACAGTGCAGGCAGCACTGTAAAAATGTTAACCCATGGGATTTCTTTCTTTGATCATGTTACATATTATATGTCATTAATATTCAACAAAAATAATCTAAGTGCTAAATTTTGGAGCATAGCTGATTTTTGTAGTTATCTTAAAAATTATCCAAAAGTATGTTCATACTTTGAATAAGTCGAACCTAATACATATAAATTGGAATGGGAGGAGAGAGAAAGGATCTATGAAAGAGGCAATAAAAGGCATAGAGAATTCAACTATGAGTTTTCATTTTATAACAGAAAATCTCCTTTTACTACATTCTGTTTACTAGCAAGTAAACTACTTTGTATAATTGTAAGACTACTTTGGTTGATATTGGTCACTCAGTATCAGAGAAAGAGTTATGCCATTTTTACTCCTTTGGGTAAAATCAATTTTAACTAGCATCCTATTTTTAAAAACCTTTCAATGGCCTTTTTTCCCAGATGATGAAGAAGTTACACCAGCAAGAGCTGTATCTCGTCATTTTGAGGATACTAGTTATGGCTATAAAGATTTCTCTAGACATGGGATGCATGTTCCAACATTTCGTGTCCAGGTAAAATTGCAACTTGTATGCACATGATTGACTAGAAATATCTCAGTCTGACTTAAAATACAAAACAGCCACTTAGATTTGAGAACTATGCTAAGTGCTTTGCAGGCAGTATCTCGTCTTGTTTCAGAATAAAAGGTGAAAGACTGTTTCTAATTCATCCATGGAATCATACTGTAGTTTCAATGTATGTATATCTTAAAAATTTTATTGTGTAAATATTTAAATATGTAAGTATTTAATTCAGATGAGTTGATACTCCCAGCGTTCCCAAATATTGTTAGGGGCCAGTGTTAAATAATAACTATTTTACCAGAATTATGAAAATATTTGAGAACCATAAGATTTTGTTTCTTTGCTCAAAAAACTAAGGGGCCTGGCACAATGGCTCCCGCCTGTGATCCCAGCACCTTGGGAGGCTGAGGCAGGTGGATTGCCTGAGCCGAGGCATTCCACGACCAGCCTGGCCAACAAGGGGAAACCCTGTCTCCACAAAAAAAATAAAAATAAAAAATAAAATAAAATTAGCCAGGTGTGGTGGCATGTACCTGTGGTCCCATCTACTCAGGAGGCTGAGGTGGGAAGATCACTTGAGCCTGGAAGGTTGAGGCTGCGGTGAGTTGTGATGGAGCCACTGCACTCCAGCCTGGGTGACAGAGTGGGATCCTGTCTCAAAAAATAATAAATAAGCTAAGGGGCAAAATTTAGGCACAAGGAAGAGTTATAGAATAATTATGCAATAGATTAGAAATTGAAGACATCATGTGGGCTGGAAATTTTTTATGGAGGGACATTAGGATTTGAAGAATTTGGATGGTGAAAAGGGTATTGTAAGTAGAGGAGACTAGACAATAATTAAGCTTAGGTTGAGGGATAGAGTGAAGGAAGGAATTATAAAGAGATTGGTTGGCTGCTGAGAGCTTCAAGCTAAAGATTCCTACTTCTGATTAGTGGTGTATGTTTAAAATTGGTTAGGTGTGCCTTAAATGTCAAAGTAGTTTACATTAGATTATGTGGGGTTTGTAGGCTTTGACCAGCGTGATGGCATACTATCAAAGAGGTGTTTTTAGGAAAGCAACAAAGAAGTAGGGGCTTATTAAGTTTTGTTTCAGGTGGAAAGAAAGGAGGCAAGGAGATTTAATATAGGAAAACTAATTAGGAGACTCAGTTAATAGGGCTAAAAGGCAGAAGTGCAGGTAGGAGAAGGAATGGGTGATAGATGTGTTTAATTAAAAATTCACAAAATTTGGCCAGATCTGGTGGCTCCCACGTGTAATCCCAGCACTTTGAGAGACCAAGATGGGAAAATCACTGAGGCCAAGCATTCAAGACTAGCATGGGCAGCAAAACAAGACCCTATCTCTACAAATAATTTTAAAAGTAGCCAAGCAAGGTGGCCTGTGCCTATAGTTCCAGTTACTCAGGAGGCTGAGGCAGGGAGGATCGCTTGAGCCCAGCAGTTGGAGACTGCAGTGAGCTGTGATCATACCATTGTACTCTAGCCTGGACAACATAGTGAGACCTTGTCTCTTAAAACACACACACACACACACACACACACTCATAATTTGAAGACCACTTGAATGGCTGCAGCAATGGAAAAGGAGAGGGGACTCCCAAGCTGGTCACATCTGGGGGGCTGAGTGGAGAGAGAGTGAAAGACATAAAGGCCAATGTGTAAGGGGAAGAGACTATTAGTTTTTTTTTGTTGTTGTTTTTTTTTGAGATGAGACTATTAGTTTTTAAACTCACTGAGTTATAAAACACAACCTTTTGCATGTTGCAGTATGGGAATTGAAAAAAAGATTGGAGTGTAAGTGAAGCTGGGAGTTAGGGATAAAAGCCAGTTGGATTGTCAGCCAAATGACAATGATTTTTACCATGCTACAGAGCTATAGATATAGAACTGTACTTGACCACATTTATTCACATTTGTTCTATTCCCTGTATTTAGGACTATTGCTGGGAAGATCATGGTTATTCTTTGGTAAATCGCCTTTATCCAGATGTGGGACAGTTGATTGATGAAAAATTTCACATTGCTTACAATCTTACTTATAATACAATGGCAATGCACAAAGATGTTGATACCTCAATGCTTAGACGGGCAATTTGGAACTATATTCACTGCATGTTTGGAATAAGGTTAGTCTTCTTTCTGTGTTTATAAAGAGATGTTTTCCTCTGGGCCAAATTATTCAAGTGCTTGGAGCGCACATGCACATAGACACACACATAATCAAAACCCATCCCCTCCCCAATAACTTATTTTTATGCTATTTATGCTTCAAAGAACCACTTTATTGCAGCTTAGTTTTTTCTTCTCTTTCCTAGCTAGGCAGGAGGGAGAGTTAGGGACCTTGACAAGAATTGAATGACAGCTGCCTCCAGGAAAGGGAGGACAAGCAAGCTGGTCCTAGAACAAAGTTTGTAACTGAACACCTTTAGTATCTTTTCTCTTCATATAATCTATCTCTTGATACACTTATGTTTCTACCTCCTTGGAAATCAGTACCCTTATATTGCCCCTCTGGCTGTTCTTAGGCTCCTTCTGAGGAGTACTTGCTCTCATAATACGTAATCAAAATGCAAAACTTTCATGTCCTTGCTGTTAGGTTTTCAGCCATGTTACTATGTTACATTGAAAATGCAGTCATTGTATACCACCTTCTCACACATGCACACAAACTCTGAGCTACAGTGCTTACTAGTTAACTATTTTTGCTGTAAAATCAGGCTTTCTATTATCAGAGACTCTGGTCAAAACCTACAAACCCTATTTAATCTACTCTAAACGGATCTGGCATTTGAAGTACAGCTGACCAACTTTAAACTAATTTCCCACTAATCAGTAGCCAGACTATTGACTTTAGCCTCCTCAATGGTGGTAGAACCAGCTTTGCAAGACCTTTGTCCCCTTTCCACTGAAAACTCAATAGGAGACTTCAGTGCCTATGTGATTGGAAATCCATTACCCAGTGGAGCAACGCACACAACTGGTGCATGCAGCCATCTTGGCTTAAAGCAGGATAGGCTCTCCTAAGTATAGACCATCCTTCTCCTCGCAGCCCCTGCCTTTTTTCTCATTTGACCCCAGAAACTCCTAGAAACATGAGTAAAGTAATTCTAATTATTTTTATTTTATTTATTTATACAAGTAAATTTCTCTATATAGAGAGATATCTATCTCTCTCTATCTCTCTCTATATATAGATATCTCTAGATCTAGAGATCTAGATCTAGAGATATCTCTATCTCTATAGATATCTCTCTATATATATATAGATATCTCTAGATCTAGAGATATATATACAGATATTTCTATATCTCTAGATATAGAGATGTATCTAGATCTAGATATATATCTCTAGATCTAGAGATATCTATCTATATATAGAGAGAGAGAAAGTACTAGTACCAATAACAAATGTAATTAATTTGTTTCTTAATTTCGATAATACTCAAAATCTGTTTTCAGAATTTGTTCAGCCAGGCGCGGTGGCTCACGCCCATAATCCCAGCACTTTGGGAAGCCAAGGCGGGCAGATCACTTGAGGTCAGGAGTTTTAGACTAGCCTGGCCAATATGGTGATACCCTGTCTCTACTAAAAATACAAAAATTGGCTGGGCATGGTGGCACACACCTGTAATCCTAGCTTCTCGGGAGGCTGAGGTGAGAGAATCGCTTGAACCCAGGAAGCAGAGGTTGCAATAAGCCAAGATAGCACCACTGCACTCCAGCCTGGGCGACAGGGCAAGACTCCGTCTCAATAATAGTTTGTTCCTCAGTGTGGCTACGTGTTCATGATTGCAGATATACACTATTGCTTGGTACCCAGTGCTATGTTAATATTGTCAGCTTTCAGGAATGATTTACTTGGGTAGTAGAAAAAATGTTATGTTAGTCTCCCTAAGTACTCTGTTTCTTATCCCTTTATACTCACTTATTCATCTGCAGTTATAAAGCTCTATCATTTTTGGGGACAGCTGCCTACACAAAGAGAGAAAAAATACAGTATTAACTATTGATGTGTATACTTTTGTAAGATGAAAACAGGTTATACACTGAAAATATCATAATTCTCATTATGTCTTTCAACAGATATGATGATTATGACTATGGTGAAATTAACCAGCTATTGGATCGTAGCTTTAAAGTTTATATCAAAACTGTTGTTTGCACTCCTGAAAAGGTTACCAAAAGAATGTATGATAGCTTCTGGAGGCAGTTCAAGCACTCTGAGAAGGTATGTGCCTATTGTGGCTTATTTACTTTGTAACTTAGCAATGATTCGTAGTCTCCTTCACCTAACCTAATGGTGCTGAAACCCTTTCCATCACCCCTACCAACCCAAAGAAAAACATTCCAGGACAGCTGTCTCAGGTACCCCTTCAGAAGGGAACCTGATTATGTTGATAGAGTAAAAGAATAAAGACAGGGAACACAGGTGGGCTGGCCCGTCTTCAGAAGTGCTGGCATGGCTGTCAGCACATAGAAGACTGTTTTATAAAAGCTGTGTATAGGTAGAAGTGTCTGTTCTCTTTGAAACATCTTTATAGAAATTACTGAATAATGATTTGGCAGGGGAAGTTGCTATTCTGATAAAACAGTGTCTAGATTTTCTGACATGTAACAAACCTCCAAGAAACATGATAAAATATAAATGAAAGCTCAATCTATCCAAAAAGAATATTAGGCCAGGTATGGTGGCTCACACCTGTAATCCCAGCACTTGGGGAGGCCAAGGCAGGCTGATCACTTAAGATCAGGAGTTCAAGACCAGACTGTCCAACATGGTGATACTAAAAATACCAAAAAATTAGTTGGACATAGTGGCATGCACCTGTATTCCCAGCTACATGGGAAGCTGAGGCATGAGAATCGCTTGAACCCAGGAGGTGGAGGTTGTAGTGAGCCAAGATCGTGCCACTGCACCCGAGCCTGGGAAAGAGTGAAAGTGTGCATCAAAAAAAAAAAAAAAAGATAGCTGCTGTTTTGAGAAATTTATAATCTGTTCAACAAACCCAAGGCTAAGTTATGCTGTACTACATAGGAAGTGTAGGAAGTGTACTTATTTTATGTGTTCATTAGATTCACTGAAAAACTGATTGTGAATGCTTGTAACCCTTCCTTATATGATGTTGTATTTTATATTCAGGTTCATGTTAATCTGCTTCTTATAGAAGCTAGGATGCAAGCAGAACTCCTTTATGCTCTGAGAGCCATTACCCGCTATATGACCTGATGCCTTTCCTTCATTAAAGATGATTCTGGAATGATCAGCAGATATAGTCTACAAGGGGGAAGGTACTAAGCCCCAGGACCAATGGTAGACAAAATAATTCAGAAATCCATTGTGCCATGATTCCTTTAGTTTCTGCTATTTTTCTGTGGAAAACCACTGCTGGCACAAGCAGTGACTGTTTGGCAGCTTCAAGTTTAGAGCTGTGAAGACAGGCTGCCATTCACAGTATTTTGCTTTTTGACAGTACAAGATGCTGTGTAACTGTTTTAATACAGCAAATAGTAACTCTCCAAATCCTGTTGCTTTTATGTTAAATAAGATAACAAGAATTGGAGCATGCAAAGAATGGGACTTGGATAATGACTTAAGCTTTATATGTAAAGAATTTTAGAAGATCTTGGTGCTGCTATTCCTGCTGGAGGAATGAATAGATGGCTGTTTCAGTTAAGCTATTAGTAATAAAAGTGAACATTGCTACTATCTGAGCCTACATACATAACTTGTGTGATTTCAAATTAAACTTGCATTATGTGTTAATTTTCTTGCATCTAAAAAAGCATAGAATTCCTACTCACACAGCTCAGCAACAACCATTTTGATGGTAACAGTTAATTTCTTTCATTAGTTTTTTAAATTCAGGGTTCTGGATATTAAATTAAAATGGCATTCTTAAAGATTTTCTTCAAAAAGCAATCCTAAATGAAAGTGTGTAAATTATAAGAAGCTGGCGATCTTTTGATATGCTGTTTCACAGGATCCTGACACTGGAGGGCAGCTGTCTTGTGCATTACTTGTGTTTCCAGCACCAAAGTTGTGGGACATGTTGCTGTAGACTGCTGCGCAGTCCTGGGTGCATTCAGTCTCTCTGCCTCTGCCTGCCTCCTGGTCCCCACTTTAAAGGCTGTGCAGCTCCTTAAATAATAAAGCTGGAAAATATTTTTAGTCGGGTTATCAAATTTGATTTACAAAAACGCTAACTTTGTTTGAAATGCAAACAGGTTTGAAAATATGTATTAAGTACTTTGTATTCTGGAAGCGTGAATTGCTTTTGAAGTCTGTCAGTATTACTGGTATTTTTAAATAAAGAAGAATTTTTCTCCAATTTTATTTGCTGTCTCAATCTCTTAAAAAATCATGACTTCACTATTAGTAATAATTTTGAGTTTCTATCTACTTTCATAAGCCAAGTACATTCACACTTAAATGGCAAAACAACACTTGAAGCCATTTTGAAACATACAAAGAGGAGTGGACTTTCTTTAGAATCTTATCTGAGACCATTTTTATCTTGGAAATGACTGGTATGGCCCTATGCCTGCTCTCTTTTCAACTGTTTTAGAGTTCCAATAGAATTTTAAGAATTACTAAAAAGAAGGATTCATTAGGGAGAGACTACAGAACAAAAAATGACACTCATCAGACAAGTAGAAATAGCTCTAAGTTTAACTGAAGCTGTTGTGATGATAACTCTGTTAGTTACTCCTCAAAACATTTATTGAGCTCAATCTAGTGCCTGCCTACAAATGTATGGGGTAGTGTGGAAGTAGGGGTTGGGAAGGATCAATTTTGAACAGAGGTGGTACCTGTCCTCAAGGATATTTACTCTCATGAGAAGACAAGACTATAACCTTAGCTAGGAATAGAGTATTATTATCTTCAATATGTTTTATATTTAAAGAAACTTACTTATAAGTGCATTACTCATTGAATATGCATCATGCCTTTGTCCTCTTCTGCCTGCTGCTGAGTTCTCTCACCAGAGCAATACAATTGAACCCAAGAAGATAGTTAAAATTTTACTTATCCCATTTCTGCTCTTTGTTCCTCCTCTTGAAAATACAAAATTTCTAGTAGAGATTCTAATCAGCAGTAGAGTGATCACAAAACAAGATCAACTAGAATGCATTTAGTCCACTGGAACTTATAATCACTTAGAAATTGAAATCAAAATTTTAATGAGTTAAAAAATATGTTTATACCTAAAGTAATAAAAGTGCATGTGATACAAAGTTAATGTTTCAATGCCTTCCATTTAGCAGGTGCTTCCTGTTGGAGTGTTTTCTCAAAACTAAACACACAGGATTTCTAATGTTACTATATAATCTTTGAAACCAGTAGTTTCCAAAATAATTAGGGAAGGTACATTACACTGGGGATATCAAAACCTTCCCCAACCAGAGGAAAATTTTCTTCTAAAATAATCATGAGAAGATTTCTGGTTGAGGGTCCCAGGATTCAAGAGTTAAAATCTTGAGTTGTTTTGGCCGTATTTGGGAAAATTTTTTATTAGGCCAAACTTTATCATCTCTAAGAATGAGATTGATTTTGATACAGACCACCAGGAGATAAGTAGATAAGTAAAACTTGTTGGATAAGCACTTTTTATCAATATACTCTGAAATTTTATTAGCATATTCATATATGTGAATATCATACATGAATCAGAAATGTTACTAGCATATTTGTATATGTGAATATCATATATGAATCATCATACTAGTTTTTTGCTAACACTGGTAGATGGGAGTAATGTCAGCAAGATGATGGACTTGGGAACTCCACGTCCTCATTCTCCCAGAGACGCTGAGTTAACAATATATGGGCCAGAATATCTTTGTGAGAACTCTAGAAACCAATTGGGAAACTGCAGCATTTAGGCAAATGCAAAGCCAGGAAAAGGCCGCACCAAAAGGCTAGGAAAGTTTGTGGATTTTGCTCACCCTAGCTCTTCCCCAGCAGAGGATGGTGTGATCAAGAGGAAGCATAAATTCAGCAAAGTTGTAGGATACAAAGTCAGCACACAAAAATCAGTTGTATTTCTATACACTAACAATGAATGATCCAAAAAAATTTAACAATTCCATTTACAATAGGATCAAAAAGAATAAAATACTTAGGAATAAACCTAACCAAGGGGATATGTGATGGCTGAATGTTTGTGTCTTCCCCTACATTTGTATGTTGATGTATGTTGTATGCTGAAATGTAATCCTCAATGTGGTGATATTAAAAAAGTAGGCCTTTGGGAGGTGATAAGATCAAGAGGGCTCTGCTCTCATGAATGGGATTAGTGCCCTTTAATAGAGGTCTGGGGAGCTCCCCTTCTACCATGAAAGGACACAGCTAGAGTGTGCCATCTGTGAGGAAGAAAACACTCACTAGGCACTAAATCCTTGATATCGGACTTCCCAGCCTCCAAAACTGTGAGCAATAAATTTCTGTTATCTATAAATTACCCAGTCTAAGGTATTTTGTTACAGTAGCCTGAACAGACTAAGACAAAAGACTTACACATTGAAAACTAAAGCAGCAGTCCCCAACCTTTTTGGCACCAGGGACTGGTTTCATGGAAGACAGTTTTTCCATGGACCCAGGGTGGACGGTGCAGTGGGGGATGGTTTCAGGATAAAACTGTTCCACCTCAGATCATCAGGTATTAGATTCTTACAAGGAGTGCACAACCCACATCCCTCACATGCACAGTTCACAATAGGGTCAAGCTCCTATGAAAATCCAGTGCTGCAGCTGATCAGACAGGAGGCAGAGCTCAGGCAGTAATGCTTGCTTGCCCACAACTCACCTCCTGCTGTGCAGCCAGTTCCTAACAGGCCACAGACTAGGACTGGTCCATGGCCCATGGGTTGGGGACCCCTGCTGTAAAGCATTACTAAGAAATTAAAGACACAAATAAATGGAAAGACATCTCATGGTCACCCAGAGTGACCTGTAGATTCAATGCAATCTCTATCAAAATCCCAATGGCATTTTTCACGGAAGTAGAGAATTCCATGCCAAAATTCATCTAGAATCTTCAATGGACCCTGAATAGCCAAAACAATCTTGAAAAAGAACAAAGTTGGAGGTCTCACACTCCCTGATTTCAAAACATATTGCAAAGCAACAGTAATCAAAATAATGTGGAACTGGCACAAAGTCAAACATACAGGCCAATGGAATAGGGTCCAGAAATAAATTCTCACATATATGGCCAAATCATCTTTAGCAAAGGTACCAAGACCACTCAATAAGGACAGGACAGTCTCTTTAACAAATGGTGCTAGGAAAACTAGATATGCACATGCAAAAGAATGAAGTTGGACCCTTATATATTAAAAAACTCAAAGACCTAAATGTAAGACTGACAACTGTAAAACTAGATGAAAACACGGGGAAAGTTTCACAACATTGGATTTGGCAATGATTTCTTAGATATGACACAGAAATTATGGGCAACAAAAGAAAAAAAGACCATTGGAATTACATCAGACTTAAAAATGTCTGTGCATCAAAGGACATAATCAACAGAGTGAAAAGGCAACCTATGGGATAGGAGAAAATATTTACAAATCATATATTTGATAAGAGGTTAATATCCAGAATATATGAAGAATTCCTACAACTCAAAAAACCAAATAACTAAAAAATGGGGCTGGGAGTGGTGGCTCATGCCTGTAATCCCAGCAGTTTGGGAGGCCGAGGCAGGCAGATCATGAGGTCAGGAGATCGAGACCATCCTGGCCAACATAGGAAAACCCCCGTCTCTACACAAAAATTAGCTGGGCATGGTGGTGTGCACCGGTAACCCACTGGGATTACTCTGGAGGCTGAGGCAGGAGAATGGCTTGAACCTGGGAAGCGGAGATTGCAGTGAGCTGAGATCGCGCCACCGTACTCCATGCACTCCAGCATGGTGACAGAGCGAGACTTCATCTCCAAAAAAAAAAAAAAAAAGAAAAGTCCAAAGACTTGAATAGACATTTCTCCAAAGATGATAATACAAATGACCAACAAACAAAAATTATGAAAAGGTGCTCAGCCTGACTAATTATAAAAAATGTAAATCAATATTACAAAGACACATTACCTCACACTCATCAGGGTGGCTACTATTTTTAAAACTCCCAAAATAACAAGTGTTGGTGAGGATGTGGGGAAATTGGAACACTTATGTGGCATTGGTAACAATGTAAAATGATAATCACCACTTAAACACGATGGAGGTTCCTCAAAAAGTTAAAAATAGAATTCCCATATGATACAGCAATTCCACTTGCTGTGGACTGAATATTTGCATTCCCCCAAAATTCACATGTTGAAGCCCTGTGGTCTTTGGGAAGTAATTAGGTCTTGAGGGTGGAGCCCTCATGAGTGGCAGTAAACCCTTATAAGGAGAGACAGGTGAGAGATGATCTCTCTCTCCACCATGTGAGGATAGAGCAAAAAGGCAGCCCTCTGCAAACCAGGAAGAGGGCCTTGACCACAAACTGAACTGGCCAGCACCTTGACTTTGGACTTCCTAGTCTTAAGAACTGTGAGGAATGAACTTTTGTTAAGTCACCCAAACTATATTTTTTGTTATCTCAGCTTGAACTAAGACATCACTTCTGAGTATATACACAAAAGAACTGAAAACAAGATCTCAAAGAGAGATTTGCAAACCTATATTCATGGCAACATTATTCACAATACCCATGATATGGAGGCAACCCAAATGTTCATTGACAGATGAATGGATAAACAAAATGTGGTATACTCATAGAATGGAATATTATTCAGTCTTAAAAAGGAAAGAAATCAGCAGGGCACAGGTGGCTCACACCTGTAATCCCAGCACTTTGGGAGGCTGAGGCAGGTGGATCACTTGAGGCCTGGAGTTCAAGACCAGCCTGGCCAACATGGTGAAACCCCATCTCTACTAAAAATACAAAAATTAGCCAGGCATGGTGGTGCATGCCTGTAATCCCAGCTACTTGGAAGGCTGAGCAGGAGAATCACTTGAACCCGGGAAGCGGAGGTTGCAGTGAGCCGAGATCATGCCATTGCACTCCAGCTTGGGTAACAGAGACTGTTCTAAGACTCTGTCTCAGGGAAGAAAAAAAAAAAAAGTAAGGAAATCCTATCACAGGCAACAACATGGATGAACCTTGATAGTATTATGCTAAGTGAAATAAACCAGTCACACACACACAACTATTGTATGGCTCCACTTATATAAGATATCAAGTAGTCAAATTCATAGAAATGGAAAGTATTAATAGAATGATGGTTGCCAAGAGCTGGTGGGGGTGAAAATGGGGAGTTGTTTGGTGCGTATAGCGTCAGTTTACAAGATGAAAGAGTTCTAGAGATCTGTTGCAGAACAATGTGAATATACTTAAACTACTGAACTGTACACTTAAAATGGTTAAAATGGTAGATTTTACGTGTTTTTTTAATCACAGGTTTTGTTTAAGTAGATGGTTCCAAATGGTCCAGCTTATATGTGGGTCTGAGGGGAGCAGCTAAGTATGGAAGAGAATAGGTATAATGGGATCCCACCATGAGTTACTATATATTAGTCATAAATATGAAGGGGGCTGTTTGGCGAGGGGAGAGTTTGACTTTTTTTTCCACTAAAAGTAGAATAAATAGCTTGCTATGGATGAAATACATTATATCTGTGAATGTTTTAGATAAATTAGCCCCTGTGACTTAAACTGATTTCATCTGTTGGAGTGAATCTACCAGCATATACTTACATTATGGACTACAATAAGGCGAGTGTCCCTAGAGGATTTTGCTGAGCCACATCAGGTATGAACCCTAGACTAGAACCATTCTCAGAAAGTCTATTTGTTCCTGGAAATGTAGGTTTTTTTGTTTTGTTTTGTTTTTTTGAGACAGTCTTGTGCTGCTGCCCAGGCTATAGTGCAGTGGCACAATCTCGGCTTACTGCAACCTCCACCTCCGAGGTTCAAGAGATTTTCATGAAACAAAGCCACTGGGAAGTTTGAACTGGGTGGAGCCCACCACAGCTTAGCAAGGCTGCTGTGGCCAGACTGCCTCTCTAGATTCCTCCTCTCTGGGCAGGGCATCTCTGAAAAAAAGGCAGCAGGCCCAGTCAGGGACTAATAGATAAAACCCCCATCTCCCTGGGACAGAGCACATGGGGGAAGGGGCGGCTGTGGGTGCAGTGTCAGCAAACTTAAACGTCCCTGCCTGCTGGCTCTGAAGAGAGCAGCAGATCTCCCAGCAGGCGTTCTCCTCAGGAGAACTCCTGAGGAGGAGCAGACTGCCTCCTCAAGTGGTTCCCTGGCCACCCGCGTATCCTGACTGGGAGACACCTCCCAGTAGGAACCAACAGATACTTCATACGGGAGAGCTCTGGCTGGCATCTGGCAGGTACCCCTCTGGGACAAAGCTTCCAGAGGAAGGAATAGGCAGCAATATTTGCTGTTCTGCAGCCTCCGCTGATGACACCCAGGCAAACAGGGTCTATAGTGGACCTCCAGCAAACTTCAGCAGAACTGCAGCAGAGGGGCCTGTTAGAAGGAAAACTAACAAACAGAAAGGAATAGTATCAACATCAACAAAAAGGACGTCCACTCAGAGACCTCACCTGAAGGACACCAACATCAAAGACCAAAGGTAGGTAAATCCACGAAGATGGGGAGAAACCAGCACAAAAAGCCTTAAAATTCCAAAAACAAGAATGCCTCTTCTCCTCCAAAAGATCACGACTCCTTGCCAGCAAGGGAACAAAACTGGACGGAGAATGAGTTTGACAAATTGACAGAAATAGGCTTCAGAAGGTGGGTAATAACATACTCCTCCGAGCTAAAGGAGCATGTTCTAATCCAATGCAAGTAAGCTAAGAACCCTGAAAAAAGGTTAGATGAATTGCTAACTAGAATAAGTTTATAGAAGAACATGAACGACCTGATGGAACTGAAAAACACAGCACAAGAACTTCGTGAAGCATACACAAGTATCAATAGCCATATCTATCAAGCAGAAGAAAGGATATCAGAGATTGAAGATCAACTCAATGAAATAAAGCAAGAAAACAAGATTAGAGAAAAAAGAATGAAAAGAAACGAACAAAGCCTGCAAGAAGTAGGGGACTATGTGAAAAGACCAAATCTACGTCTGATTGGTGTATCTGAAAGTGACGGGGAAAATGGAACCGAGTTGGAAAATACTCTTCAGGATATTAACCAGGAGAACTTCCCCAATCTAGCAAGGCAGGCCAACATTCAAATTCAGGAAATACAGAGAGCACCACAAAGATACTCCTCGAAAAGAGCAACCCCAAGACACATAATCGGCAGATTCACCAAGGTTGAAATGAAGGAAAAAATGTTATGGGCAGCCAGAGAGAAAGGTCGGATTACCCACAAAGGGAAGCCCTTCAGACTAACAGCGGATCTCTCGGCAGAAACGCTACAAGCCAGAAGAGAGTGGGGCCAATATTCAACATTCTTAAAGAAAAGAATTTTCAACCCAGAATTTCATATCCAGCCACACTGAGCTTCATAGGTGAAGGAGAAATAAAATCCTTTACAGACAAGCAAATGCTGAGAGATTGTGTCACCACCAGGCCTCCCTTACAAGAACTCCTGAAGGAAGCACTAAACGTGGAAAGGAACAACCGGTACCAGCCACAGCAAAAACATACCAAATTGTAAAGACCATTGATGCTACAAAGAAACTGCAACAACGGGCAAAATAACCAGCTATCATCATAATGACAGGATCAAATTCACACATAACAACATTAACCTTAAATGTAAACAGGTTAAATGTCCCAATTAAAAGACACAGACTGGCAAATTGGATATAGAGTCAAGACCCATTGGTATGCTGTATTCAGGAGACCCATCTGATGTGGAAAGACACACACAGGCTCAAAATAAAGGGATAGAGGAATATTTACCAAGCAAACAGAAAGAAAAAAAAAAAGCAGGGGTTGCAATCCTACCCTCTGATAAAACAGACTTTAAACCAATACAGAACAAAAGAGACAAAGAAGGGCATTACCTAATGGTAAAGGGATCAATGCAACAAGAAGAACTAACTGTCCTAAATATGTACGCATCAATACAGGAGCACCCAGATTCATAAAGCAAGTTCTTAGAGACCTACAAAGAGACTTAGACTCCCACACTATAATAGTCAGAGACTTTAACACCCCACTTTCAGTATTAGAAAGATCAATGAGACAGAAATTTAACAAGGATATCCAGGACTTGAACTTAGCTCTGGACCAAGTGGACCTAATAGACATCTACAGAACTCTCCACCCCAAATCAACAGAATATACATTCTTCTCAGCACCACATTGCACTTATGCTAAAATTGACCACATAGTTGGAAGTAAAACACTCCTCAGCAGATGGAAAAGAACAGAAATCATAACAGTCTCTCAGACCACAGTGCAATCAAATTAGAACTCAGGACTAAGAAACTCACTCAAAACCGCTCAACTACATGGAAACTGAACAACCTGCTCCTGAATGACTACTGGGTAAATAACAAAATGAAGGCAGAAATAAAGACATTCTTTGAAACCAATGAGAACAAAGACACAATGTACCGGAATCTCTGGGACATATTTAAAGCAGTGTGTAGAGGAAAATTTATAGCACTGAATGCCCACAAGAGAAAGCAGGAAAGATCTAAATTCGACACCCTAACATCACAACTAAAAGAACTAGAGAAACAAGAGCAAACATATTCAAAAGCTAGCAGAAGACAAGAAATAACTAACATCAGAGCAGAACTGAAAGTGATAGAGACATAAAAAAACCTTCAAAAGATCAATGAATCCAGGAGCTGGTTTTTTGAAAAGATCAACAAAATAAATAGACCACTAGCCAGACTAATAAAGAAGAATAAAGAGAAGAATCAAATAGACGCAATAAAAAATGATAAAGGGGATATCACCACCGATCCTACAGAAATACAAACTACCATCACAGAATACTATAAACACCTATATGCAAATAAACTAGAAAATCTAGAAGAAATGGATAAATTGCTGGACACATACACCTTCCCAAGGGTAAACCAGGAAGAAGCTAAATCCCAGAATAGACCAATAACAAGTTCTGAAATTGAGGCAGCAATTAATAGCATATCAACCAAAAAAAGCCCAGGACCAGACAGATTCACAGTCTAATTCTACCAGAGGTACAAAAAGGAGCTGGTACCATTCCTTCTGAAACTATTCCAAACAAAAGAAAAAGAGGGAATCCCCTCTAACTCATTTTATGAGGCCAGCATCATCCTGATACCAAAACCTGGCAGAGATACAACAAAAAAAGAAAATTTAAGGCCAATATCCCTGATGAACATCGATGCGAAAATCCTCAATAAAATACTGACAAGCCGAATCCAGCAGCACATCAAAAAGCTTATCCACCATGATCAAGTTGGCTTCACCTCTGGGATGCAAGGCTGGTTCAACATACGCAAATCAATAAACGTAATCCATAACAAACAGAACCAATGACAAAAAACACATGATTATCTCAATAGATGCAGAAAAGGCCTTTGACAAAATTCAACAGCCTTCATGCTAAAAACCCTCAATAAAGTAGGTATTGATGGAGTATCTCAAAATAATAAGAGCTATTTATGACAAACCCACAGGCAATATCATACTGAATGGGCAAAAGCTGGAAGCATTCCCTTTGAAAATCAGCACAAGACAAGGATGTCCTCTCTCACCACTCCTATTCAACATAGTATTGGAAGTTCTGGCCAGGGCAATCAGGCAAGAGAAAGAAATAAAGGGTATTCAGTTAGGAAAAGATGAAGTCAAATTGTCTCTGTTTGCAGATGGTATGACTGTATATTTAGAAAACCACATCGTCTCAGCCCAAAATCTTCTTAAGCTGATGAGCAATTTCAGCAAAGTCTCAAGATACAAAATCAATGTGCAAAAATCACAAGCATTCTTATAAACTAATAGCAGACAAACAGAGAGCCAAATCGTGAGTGAACTCCCATTCGCAATTGCTACAAAGAGAATAAAATACCTAGGAATACAACTTACAAGGGATGTGAAGGACCTCTTCAAGGAGAACTACAAACCACTGCTCAAGGAAGTAAGAGAGGACACAAATTAAAAAAACATTCCATGCTCATGGATAGGAAGAATCAATATCGTCAAAATGGCCATACTGCCCAAAGTATTTTATAGATTCAATGCTATCCCCATCAAGCTACCACTGACTTTCTTCACAGAATTGGAGAAAACTACTTTAAATTTCATACGGAACCAAAAAAGAGCCCACATAGCCAAGAGAATCCTAAGCAAAAAGAACAAAGCTGGAGGCATCATGCTACCTGACTTCAAACTATACTACAAGGCTACAGTAAAAAAAACAGCATGGTACTGGTACCAAAACAGAGATATAGACCAATGGAACAGAACAGAGGCCTCAGAAATAACACCACACATCTACAACAATCTGATCCTTGACAAACCTGACAAAAACAAGAAATGGGGAAAGGATTCCCTATTTAATAAATGGTGTTGGGAAAACTGGCTAGCCATATGCAGAAAGCTGAAACTGGATCCCTTCCTTACACTTTATACAAAAATTAACTGAAGGTAGATAAAAGACTCAAATGTAAGACCTAAAACCATAAAAACCCTAGAAGAAAACCTAGGCAATAATACCATTCAGGACATTGGCATGGGCAAAGACTTCATGACTAAGACATCAAAAGCAATGGCAACAAAAGCCAAAATTGACAAGTGGGATCTAGTTAAACTAAAGAGCTTCTGCACAGCAAAAGAAACTATCATCAGAGTGAACAGGCAACCTACAGAATACGAGAAAATTTTTGCAGTCTATCCATCTGACAAAGGGCTAATATCCAGAATCAACAAAGAACTTAAACAAATTTATAAGAAAAAACAAACAACCCCATCAAAAAGTGGGCAAAGGATATGAACAGACACTTCTCAAAAGAAGACATTTATGCAGCCAACAAACATGAAAAAAAGCTCATCATCACTGGTCATTAGAGAAATGCAAATCAAAACCACAATGAGATACCATGTCACGCCAGTTAGAATGGCAATCATTAAAAGTCAGGAAACAACAGATACTGGAGAGGATGTGGAGAAATAGGAATGCTTTTACACTGTTGGTGGGAGTGTAAATTAGTTCAACCATTGGGAAGACAGTGTGGCAATTCCTCAAGGATCTAGAACTAGAAATACCATTTGACCCAGCAATCCCATTACTGGGTATATACCCAAAGGATTATAAATCATTCTACTATAAAGACACATGCACATGTATGTTTATTGCAGCACTGTTCACAATAGCAAAGACTTGGAATCAACCCAAATGCCCATCAATGATAGACTGGATAAAGAAAATTTGGCACATATATACCATGGAATACTATGAAGCCATAAATCAGGATGAGTTCATGTCCTTTGCAGGGACATGGATGAATTTGGAAACCATCATTCTCAACAAACTAACACAGGAACAGAAAACCAAACACCACATGTTCTCATTCATAAGTGGGAGCTGAACAATAAGAACACATGGACACACAGAGGGGAACATCACACACTGGGGTCCATCAGGGGGTTGGGGGCTAGGGGAGGGACAGCATTAGAAGAAATACCTAATGTAGATGATGGGTTATGGGTGCAACAAACCACTACGGCACATGTATACCCATGTAACAAACCTCCACATTCTGCATATGTACCCCAGAACTTAAAGTATAATAATTAAGAAAAAAAAAAAGAGAGAGAGAAAGATTCTCGTGCCTCAGCCTCGCGAGTAGCTGAGATTACAGGCATGTGCAACCATGCCAGACTAATTTTTGTATTTTTAGTAGAGATGGGGTTTCACCATGTTGGCCAAACTGGTCTCGAACTCACGACCTCAGGTGATATGCCCGCCTCGGCCTCCCAGAGTGTTGGGATTACAGGTGTGAGCCACCATGCCCAGCTGGTTTATTCTAATAGGCTTCAAGAACCCCATTCAGTCTGGGATGCCTGCTCTCATCCCATGAGTCTTGGTGTTTTGTAGGGTGAGAAATGAGCTGTTTATAAAAGCTTTTCTCCAAGCAGAGTAGTAAATTTGCTTTTTGTTGTTGAGATGAGGTCTCACTTTGTTGCCCAGGCTGGTCTTGAAATCCTAGCCTCATGGGATCCTCCCCACTCCGCCTTCTAAAGTACTGAATTACAGGTGTGAGCCAGCAAATTTATTTTTATTTCCAACTCATCTTCATTTGGCTAGTATAGGATAATAATAGTAATCTCAATCTTTTGCTCTTTAATCATTTATTCAAAGGCCAAACTCATCCTACAAAGGATGGCAAGCTAAGAAAGTGCTTGCCATCATAATGTTCTTGAACACCCACTCCACATGATACACTGGACTGGGCCATTTGCCCATTTAATGGTTTGTTCCAAACTACACTACAGTAAAATTGATATGATTCCCATTTTGCAGTTGCAGCTCAAGAAATTAAGTTACTTGCTCCAGGCCCACAAAGCTAGCAGGGGAGAGCATGGATTCAGATTCAGGTATACCATTCACCTAAGCCTGCATTCTTTCTAATACATTACCTCACCTGTCAAACACAGAGAGTTACAATTAGAAGGACTGTCTTAGTCCAGTCATTTTATTTCAAATGAAAATATACTCTCATTTTATCTATTTTACTTATTTAATAAAGAACAGATGGCCCAAAGCAGTTTTCTTTAAGTTTTTCTGCTTACTCCTTCTCTTAATATAAAGACCAAAAAAATACTGGTACCTAATGAGAGCATTTATTATTTGACATAGTAAGAATTAGTACAGATCCTATGTTGTAACGTGTTCCACTCATGTTGCCTACCCTTCTTTCTATATAATCTAACAGCCTTCATTGCACAGTTCATTTAACTTATGAACACTTCAATTCCAAAATTGTTAAATCAAGATTTTAAGACTAGAACTAAATTGTTTAATAGAGAATAGAAGAAAAAGTCATTTACTTGAAAATGCACATATTTTCATCTTACATTTCTCTCAACAGGAAATATAATGTGTATATTCATTTTTCCATAATACCTAACAAGAAGAAATGCTTAATTTTAAAAAATACTTCAGCTACTCACTAAAACCAGTTCTTGAAAAACTTTCCACATTTGTTAATGCTGAAAAAAATGTTCACGTTTGTTACCAGTTCTTAAGAATGAGGGAGACGTGAGTTCTCGTTTCTACTGTTAATCTGCATCATGTTAGAAAGAGGGAATGGGCAGGGGTTCCAGGAAGGTGTGATGTCTCTGAATTCGGTTTAGAAGCTGCTGTGCCACAGGTTTGAATTCTGTTTCCCAATGGAGTTTGTGATAGTTTTTTAGGTCTGGATCAAAACTGCCATCCAGTGCTAGTTCTTCATCTGTATTAGAAAAATTTAAATTACAGCATTATTTAGAAATGTAATCCTATTGAATATAGTTTAATTTTGATGATATGAGTTAAACTCACCCTGGGTCGTCCTTTAATACCAACGTAACACAAGACAGGATTTCAGAGAAGTTCTTTACTCTCTTCTGTTCTTTATGAATACATCATTTTATTTTATTTTATTTGGAGAGGCAGGGTCTCCATGTATTACCCAGACTGGTCTCCAACTCCTGACCTCAAGCAATCCTCCCACCTTGGCCTCCCCAAGTGCCAAAGTGCTGGGATTGCAGGTGTGCGCTACCTCGCCAAGCCCATTAGTTTACAATTAGTCTATTTTGGTATCTTAATTTAAATGGGCAATATTTTTTTCAAAAAAAGTCTGGCCAGTTGTGGTGGCTCATACCTGTAATGCCAACACATTGGGAGCCTGAGGTAGGAGAATTGCTTGAGCCCCAGAGTTCAAGATTAGCTTGGGCAACACAGTGACAGCTCAGAAAAAAAAAAAAAAATCAGAAGATTATCTGGGCATGGGGGCATGTGCCTGTGGTCCCAGTTACTCGAGAGGCTGAGGTCAGGAGAATCACTTGAGCACGGGACATTGAGGCTGCAGTGGGGCACGATCATGCCACCGCCATCCAGCCTAAGAGACACAGAGAGACCCTGTCTCAAAAAATAAAAAATCCAAAATTGAACTGAACCCTTATTTCAACTAATTCCTTAGTTTTTTATATGTAAGTTTGTATCTAAAAGTCAGATCACAATTTCTCAGAATAAACAACGTATTAATATGTTACTTCCTTATGTGTACATAGAAAAATTAATTACTTCAAAGGTTAGGTATAAAAGGAATCAGGAAATCTTTTAGGAAAATAGCTCAGTTAAATTTGACACTTTAAACTTTACTGAAAATCAGAACTTTGCTGGCTTCAAAGCAGCAGGGAAGTAGTACTTTGGAAAGACAACTTTCCACCCCCAAACTCTCTCCATAACTGAAAACTGAGAGACCTTGGGAATCCCAAGGAGTATTAGAATCCCAAGTGAGCCCATGGATAATGCAGAAAAGAACTTGTAAGAATAAAATGCAAAAGTACAACTTCAATTCTTAATCCAAGGAATTCTGGGAACACCATAAATATATTCAATCCAGGTAGGAAGATAAATGACCATAAATATATTCAATCCAAGTAGGAAGATAAATGACCACTGAGGTTTCTGTGCTGATTGCCACAGCAATTTTACATGTTGATGTTGAGCCTCACACTCTGTGTGACAGACTTCAGAAAAGTGCACTGACCTGCCAATCAGATTAGCTCTGCCACTTCCTACATTTGTGACATGAGGCCAACTTCTAAAATGGTAACCACTAAATCCTAAAACAACCACAGATGTTGTTACTTAAATTGCCAACACTTTTTTTTTTTTTTTTTTGAGATGGACTCTCGCTGTGTCACCCAGGCTGGAGTGCAGTGGCGCAGTCTCGGCTCACTGCAACCTCTGCCTCCCGGGTTCAAGCAATTCCTCTGCCTCAGCCTCCTGAGCAGCTGGGATTACAGGCATGTGCCACCACACCCAGCTAATTTTTTCTTTTTAGTAGAGACAGAGTTTTACCATGTTGGCCCGGCTGGTCTCCAACTCCTGACCTCAAGTGATCCGCCTGCCTTGGCCTCCCAAAGTGCTAGGTTACAGGCGTGAGCCACTGCACCCAGCTGCCGATACTTTTTTTTTAAGGGCCAATGAAAATCCTATTACAAAATGCTTCATGACTCTGTTGATATCAGATTTTCTACACTGAATATTTGTGTACATTCACTGTGTACTTTGGCACTATGGGTGTTAGTGTCACCACCCAAAATAAGATAAGGGAGTCTGGAATCCCAGTTTGTACCTTCCTCTCATCACAACCAAGTGGTCAACTATGCAGTTCTGAGATAAGCTCCAGGCAGACACAAACACTTCGGCAAGGAGCTCCATGGAGACCCTGTAAGCAAACCTGGATCTCCCCACCCATGAGATAACTGGGCCCTGAGGGGAGGAGAATGCAGGTGATATGTGGTGCGTTCAGAGCTCTTCCTGTTTGGCTACTTCCAGACAAAAAGAGTCAGGTAGTCTCAGTGATTCAGATTTCATTCCGTTTTTTCGAGACAGAGTCTACTCTGGAGTGCAATGGTGTGATCTCGGCTCACTGCAACCTTCATGTCCCAGATTCAAGTGATCCTTGTGCCTCAGCCTCCCAAGTAGCTGGGACTACAGGCATGTGCCACCAGACCAGGCTAATTTTTTGTGTTTTTAGTAGAGATGGGGTTTTGCCATGTTGCCCAGGCTGGTCTCGAACTCCTGACCTCAGGTGATCCACCCACCTTGGCCTCCCAAAGTGCTGGGATTACAGGTGTGAGCCACAGCGCCCAGCCAGTGATTTCACATTTCTAGGCCATCTTCCTGCTCACTGTTTTCCAGATTTTCTGAACATTAAATTTTGTTGAAAAGTGAATTCTGCTGTATAAAAATAAAATTCTGTTGTATAGAAAATGAATTCTGTTGTATAGAAAATAAATTCTGGGTACGGTGGCTCACGCCTATAATCCCATCACTTTGGGAGGCTGAGGCAGGTGGATCACCTGAGGTCAGGAGTTCAAGATCAACCTGGCCAACATGATGAAACCCCATCTCTACTAAAAATACAAAAAATTAGCCAGGCATGTGGCGGGCTCCTGTAGTCCCAGCTACTTGGGAGGCTGAGGCAGGAGAATCACTTGAACCCAGGAGGCAGAGAGTGCAGTGAGCCATGATCGTGCCATTGCACTCCAGCCTGGGCGACAGTGAGAGACTCTGTCTCAAAAAAAAAAAAAAAAAAAAAGAAAAGAGAAGAAAAAGAAAAGAAAGAAAGAAAATGCATTCTGTTGCAGAAGCCCTTCTTTCCCAAGCTGCTGGCGGCTGAGCAGTGTGGCCTGGGCATGTCATAGTCCCTTCTTTCTCCTAGGGCTTTGGTTAGATTTAGTGGTTTTAGCAAAATCTCTGTTGGGTGAGTGGCTTTTTAAAATCTAATGTCAAGACCATGTTACTTGTCTTGAGGCCCAGCCTATAGTTAATCCACCCTCAAACCATATTAATTCTAAATTGGGTTAGACAAGATAACAAGAATAGCCAAACAGCTACAGGTAAGAGAAATGAGGTCTAAAGTTTCAAAGTAAACACAGCAACATACATTAAAAGTGCCATATCACATGGGGTATTAAATTTTGGAACTTGTACTGCAAAGAGTAGCAGAGGCTGATTGAGTAAAAATTTAGATCTATGATTCAATTTTTTTTTTTAAGAGACAGAGTCTCATTCTGTCACCCAGGCTGGAATGCAGTGGTGCAATCATAGCTCACTGTAGCCTTGAATTCCTGGGCTCAAGTGATTCTCCCACCTCAGTTTCCTGAGTGGCTAAGACTACAAAACACACACACCCAGCTAATTTTTTCACTTTTAGTAGAGATGGGTCTCACTACGTTGCCCAAGCTGGTCTCAAACTCCTAGCCTCAAGTGATTCTCCCACCTCGTCCTCCCAAAGTGCTGGGATTACAGGCATGAGCCATTGCACTCAGCCTTTGATTAATTCTTTTTAAGATTTGAATCATCATAAGTTAGAAACTGTGCTTCACAGTATTTTGCATCATGACTCTGTATACATATACCTACTTATATATGAATAAACAAATGTTTCACATTATAATACTTGTCTTTACTAAATATAATACATTCTGATATTTTCTTTCTTTGCTACTTCATTTTTTAAAGATGCTGGTCACAACCAACTAAATTGTTTTCCTGACCTGCAGTGTGAAAAGTGCTTATTTAGGTAACCAATCATTCTTAAGCTTTCTTTAGGCACAGCATGCTTCCAAATACTAAAATTTGGGGCAAAGTATTAGAAAGAATTAAAAGACCCTAAAATATAAATATGTATCAATGGTCATTACAACACAATCATCATTAGAAGTTTGTGTCCTGCAGCATCTATAAAAGCTTCCTTTACTCACTACACTATTTCCTAGCTAGCTGTTCAGCAGCAGATGGCTGTTTAAGGGATTTATCATCGCCCTGACCATTCTCTTATAAGGCAAAGTTGTCGAATGTTCTAGAAGCACCTGAAAGCTCTTCAACATAGGTTGATGTGATCCTCCAACTTGAACGTGGGGCCCCGCTCTACCCTTGTCACAAAACCTAAGTGCCCACTGCCACAAAACTTAGGATGAACATACAACAGCCTAGTGTACTTCCCATTTGCAACAATAAACTACACACATGGTCATCAGGTGCCAGCTCCCCACAGAGGGGCTCATGGTAGTCTGGAGTGCTCAGCACACCACTAAGAACTTCAGCATCAACACGCTGCTTATGAGCTCATAAGACATGACTGCAGTATAATGGGAAGTTTCAGACCACGTTCTTTTAAAGCCACTTTCCAGAAAGACTGTCAACATTCCAACGATGTTGAGGGTATATTACTTCTCCTTTTTTTCTAGTCACTCAGCAAGAAAAAGTTAGGTAACTTACATTACTATAGAAATTGCCATACCAGTATTTGCAAAAACAGTGTTCATACTTCAACACAGGCCTTGGTAATTCAACAGCTCATCCTGTTTCCAAAATGGCCTGTTTTTGTTTGTTTGTTTGTTTTAGCTATCTTTGTAAAAGAATTGAAATGCAAGTATACTCTCACCCACATGCCCATTTCACTCGCAGCAGTCCCACTGCCCAGACCCAGCCACGACCCGGTCAGAAGTCAGGGTCTGAGTGCTCATTGCCAAGAGAAAAGCCAGGAGGCAGCACAGCCCACCACCCAGCCCACAAGGCACAGTCCCCATGGTTCGTGAAGAGGAGCTCACGTGAGAAACCTGGGATGCATTGCAGTGGCTTGGCTTCCTGAGTGAGCTGTGTTTATTTGCTGTTATCCATGCCACAGTCCCCCTGCACAAGGTGCAGTGGAGTAAGGGTGTTCTAGGTAACGGAGCGGCTGGAAAACACAAGGCTAGTTGTTTGTTTTCGGATGGGAATTCCTGCCTTTGCTACAGTATGACTTCAGGCAAGCCACTTAACTGTCCTAAAACCTACTTTCCGTATCTGTCACCTAGCTGATGGCCTCAGATCTTTCAAAAATAGAATAAACATGCTTTTAAAAGGATATAGCACTATTGAAACAAAGGTACCACCATTGTTAGCCAATCCACATGCAGCTATCAAGTACCTTCTTTGTATGAGGCAATATCCTTTTCCTAAGGTGGTTCAGTTGCAAAGGGGAAATAAGATAAAACTCACAAAATAATAATACAGGATAATTACAGGACAAGTTACACAATTCATGACTGATTGCTATATAAGAAGTATAGATTTCCTATGACTAGCCTACGACTGTGGGCTTGAGAAGCTACGTGGGAAGGGCCTGCACCTGGCTAGGCAGATTGGGATGGGCAGGCAGGAAATGAAACAGAACATGTGCAAAGGCACAGAGGCGGGAGAAGCACAATCAGAAGCCCAGTTAGGCTATGGAAAAGTTGGGAATGGAGCGCAGTCAGCCCTTCGCATCCACGGGCCACGTATCCACAGGTTCAACCAACCACAGACAGAATATTTGAAACAACAACAATAAAAAGAATACAAATAAAAATCACAGCACGACAACCATTTACATAGCGTTCACACTGTAGGTATTATAAGTAGTCTAGAGATGGTTTAACGTGTGCAGGAAGATGTGTGTAGGTGAAATGCCAATTCTATGTCATTTTATATCAGGCACTTGGGCATCTGTGTTGGTATCTGAGGCAGGCCCTGAAACCAATCCCCCCAGATACCAAGGGGTGACTGTAACAGGCAGCAGGGCCCACTAAAATGAAGTGCCTTCCAGGTACACTGCCCCTGCTGAGAAGCCAGCCATGCCCACACCTCCTTCTGATCCATCTTTATGCCACACGGCCCCGGCCCCGCAGCCCCACCATCCTTGTTATTTATGGCTGATTGCCCCAGGCTTGGGTAACAAAGGAAACCACAGATAGCCTGTCACCCGGTAGCTGCTGCCTATGCGGGAAAGCCCTGGGCCATAGGACAGTGACTCACTGAGCCAATCATATCTTCTCCTGGAGTGGGTGACATAGGAAAGTGCCCTGGCAACAGACAGACACAGGGAGGGCAGCAAGTGGAAGCCTGGAGGTAGCTGAAGCCATGATCTAGAAGGAGCCTAGAGAGAGTAAGTGGGGAGAGAATTCTTTCCCTAACAGCAGACACAACACAGCTGGGTCTCCAGAATGGCAGAGCCCAGGGGGCGGAGCTCATGACGCCCACGGCTGAGGGGTCACTTGGGACTCTGGCTCCTGCCTGCCTCTCTGGGAGGCTTTGAGCAGTATCTTGTTTCCTGGCTTCTTTCTTCTCTGTACACTCTTCCCTTAAGCTCCTTTGCTAACGAGAGCAGGGGCTCTCAATCTTAGCTAATAGACTCACCTGTGGAACTTTGAACACAGATTCTCAGCCTCATCCCAGAGCTTCTGAATCAGAATTCCTAGGGCTGGGGCCAGGAAGGTGTTTTTAGTTTTTTTGGGTTTTAACTCCACAGCTGATTTCAATGCTCTACCACCATCGAGAACTGAATTAAGGCAACCTGAACATGCACTTCTGCTCCCTGCAACCTGAGTCAGTTTAATGCTCATGGAGCCGACTGTGAACCTCAATGATTAAAAAAAAATGCTCACTTTTTTTTCCTTATTGTGTTTTAAAACACATGTACAAAATTATATTTACCTGGAAAAACCAAATTTCACATCAACCTAGCAAACCCAATTATTTCAAACAACTCCTGAGTTCCAGTTTCTGTTTAGTAGCACGGTGTTACAACACTTAAAGAGTTTCCAGAGCACGTCAGCCACCTTCTGAGGACTTGCTATGCAGCAGGCACTGTGTTAGGCTCTTTGTACACATCTGCTCATTTATCACCCTGCAATCTGGACATTAATTATCCTCATCTTGGAGATGATAAAATATCATTTCGGAACGGCTGATAATCTGTGTTTTTAAAAGTTCCACGGGTGAGTCTGCTCTGCAGCCAGGATTGGGAGCCTCTGCTCTGGTTAGTGAAGGAGTGTAAAGGAAAGGTGTCTGTTAAGCTTTCTCAGGTTGCAGAGAAGTTGAGCTCAAAATTTAAAAACTCAGCACCTATGGCTTCCAAGTGACCTTGAGCCTTTCCACATGGCCTCCTGGATCTAGTATGGTGGCTGGGCAGTGATGGGTACATCTCCTCTATTTGGGAAAAAGGATTATTAAAAACACTCACTTACTGACCCAAATCATTGTTTTTAGAATTAACCCAGGAAGAAAAAAATTATCCTAAAATTATAAAAATTTTTTAAATGTAAAAAATGATCCTGGCCAGGCAAGGTGGTTCACACCAGTAATCCCAGCACTTTGGGAGGCTGAGGTGGGAGGATCGCTTGAGCCCAGGAGGTTGACACCAGCCTGGGTAACATAGCAAGACCTCATCGCTACAAAAAAAAAAATTTTTTTTTAATTATCTGGGCATGGTGGTGCGTGTCTGTAGTCCCAGCTACTTGAGAGACAGAGGCAGGAGGATCACTTGAGCCCAGGAGTTTAGAGCTGCAGTGAGCAGTGATCGCACCACTGTATTCCATCCTGGATGACAGAGCAAGACCCTGTCCCAAGAAAAGAAAGAAACAATCTTCTTTCCTTTGATTTGTATCAGTGATTTCCTACCTTTCAAGGATATAAACTCCATTGTAATGCCAAATAGTCTCACAGGCCCTCACCCACATGATAATTAACGTAGCTAATTAAAATGTATAGCTTCATTTAAAAGCATGACTTGAGTAGATTTTAGCCGTATTTTCTCAATTACAATAGTGTCTATTTGCTTTTGAACAACAGAAGTACATTTACGCTGAGGTCTTATATTTATGCACTCTAGAGAAAATGCAAAAAAAAAAAAAAAAAGCCATAGAAGAAATCATGAATGTATCTAATGAGTTGAAAGTCCTTCTGTCCCCACTGTAAATAGCATTCAGCCTTTTCAGTTCCAAATTATAGTAATCTTTAACATACTCTTGTTGCTTATAGAAATATAGTCACCTAAATGCATACTAATATTTATCCGAACAGGTCACAGAAAAAAACTATCTCACACTCTGATAAAACTCACAGACTCATCATAGTCAAGAGTCTTACCTAAAAATGATGAGAGCAAGAGTAAGAGTGTGTTGGTGTCTTCATTTCCAAAACATGACGAAGCATTAGTGATGTTTTCACTGAAGTTCCATAAAGTTTTACAAACCAAGCAGGCCAGCTGCCAATCAGTAGGACCCAAATCTCTTAAACAGTCCACTAACCTGAGTTAATAAAATTCAAATTGAGAAGTTATTAGGTCAGAATCTGTCTTTAATTTTAATATTGTTAGCATAATGATTATCCTTCTGTGATATGTAAGTATAATCCAGTGATCACTTAAAATAATTCCTTATCTATAAATTTAAGTGGTTATAAAGTAGCAATAATCTACTTCTACACCTTTTTTTTTTTGAGACAGAGTCTCACTCTGTTGCCCAGGCTGAAGTGCAGTCGCGCGATCTCGGCTCACCGCAACCTCCACTCACTGCAACCTCTGTATCCCGGATTCAAGCGATTCTCCTGCCTCAGCCTCCTGAATAGCTGGGATTACAGGCGTGTGCCACAACGCCTGGCTAATTTTTGTCTTTTTAGTAGAGACAGGGTTTCACCATGTTGGCCAGGCTGCTCTCGAACTCCTGGCCTCAAGTGATCTGCCCACCTCGGCCTCCCAAAATGCTGGGATTACAGGTGCGAGCCACCACACCTGGCCTACTTCTGCACTATTTTAAGTATCCAGTGGAATCTAAACCCCCTCTTTAGCCTCAGCTTAGGGGCTTCCCAATGTTGAAATACCTTTGCCCCACAGGAATGATGAAAGGGCCAAAGCTCCCAAGAAAATGATGTCCTTCAAATCCTGAGAGAGTCAGTACTCTACGCCCTGAAACTTACTTTTTAATGCCACCTCCTTCTTTCAAGATGACACGCTTGTCTTTATCCACAGTGAGATTGAGGAGAACACCACAGGCAGAAAAGCAGATATCCTGATGCTGAGCATCCAGCAGCGCCATCATGAACCTGTGGACTACGAGGGAAGAGAGCAAATGCAGACCAGTAAAAGTTCAGGATTCCCAGCTGTCTCTTGTTTTACAGATGGTATGGGGAAACGGGGAGTGGCTTGCAAACCCAGAACCCCTGTTAAGGGACTTAACTCATTCTTCCTAAGGCTTTATCCATCACACAGCAGTGGGTTCCCCAATACCCACCACTCCCAGAGTTGGCTCCCCCAATCGACAGATACTGCAAAACCTGACCCAGGCAGCAGCTGCTTCTCCACGGCAGTGAAAGAGTCCCAGCTGGTGGAAAGGAGGGAGCACAGGTGACACTCATCTAACTTCCAGTTATTCTCAAGGGTGTTCCTAAACCTCCAGCAGCAACTGTCTGTCTTTAAATACACAGTCCTGGAGAGGGGAGTTGGCTCCTGGTGGGATCATTCCTGAAGTCTCCCAGGGCCATGTGTAAGACTCAGACTGCTAAAAACCAACCTGGGGCAAGGCAGGCCTTCCAGTGTAGGGACATCTCAAGGCAGGACAGGCTCCTGCCTCAGGAGAATCATTTTCCCTTACTCCTAGGAAATGGAACTGGGAACTGTTTGTCCTGTTTTCTCATCCCTCAGCAGACGCTGAGCAAAGGGTTGGGGAAGAGTGAGTAAAGTGTGCATTCTGCCTCCTCCCACAGTACGTGCACCTGAGAGGGGCTGCCCTGTTCTAGCCCCGGCCCTGTTAACTGGGTTGGGCAGTAAGCTTGACAGAGGCAACATCACGTACATATGTGCTCTTAAGAGGCTAAATAGTGCCCAGCAAAATGTGCAGTTATCTGCAGGTAGTGAGAGGATGGGGCATGGTTTGCTGCTGCTGCTTTTTGTATCTGTATTATTGAAATTTTCCATTACGAACATGGAGAGTTATGTTTTTAAAATTATTGTTACATGAAATATTTGAGACATACAAAGAGTCAAAGTATACTAATATTTGAGACATACAAAAATATTTGAGACATACAAAGGGTATAAACATGTGGGTACTTGCCACTCAGTTTAAGAAATAAAACATTACATTCCAAACAATATGTTGTACATAATAAATATAAACAATTCTTATTTGATAATAAATAACATTATAGGTCCAATTATAATCTTTGGACATCCCTTTCTTTCCAAAGGTGAATGCTGTCCTTTTTTAATTTTTAAATTTTTTTTATTTTTTAGAGATAGAGTGTCGCTCTGTCTCCCAGCCTAGAGGGCAGTGGCACAATCATGGCTCACTGTAGCCTCAAACTTCTGGGCTCAAGTGATCCTCCTGCCTCAGCCTCCCAAGTAGCTGGGACTTGTGCCACCACCACGTCTGGCTAATTTTAAATTTTTGTAGAGACAGGTTCTCACTATGTTACCCAGGTTGATCTCAAACTCGTGCCCTCAAGCAATCCTCCCACCTTAGCCTCCCAAAGTGCTGGTATTACAGGCTTGAACCACTGTACCCAGCCTGAACTCTGTCTTAAATTGGAGTTTACTATTTCCAATTACTATTTATACTGTATAGCATCACTACGTGAATACCTGTGCAGAAGCAATACCAATGCAGAAGCAAAAGGTAGTTTTGTATGTTTTAAAACTTATATTCAAGGCATTCCTCTGCATATATCCTCCTATTGCTTTTAAATGCTAGAGAACATTTTATTGCATGAATATACCATAATGAATTTGTCCTCTTCTCTGTTGAGGAACATTTAGGTTGTTTCTACTTTTTGCTATTATAAGCAAAATGTAATAGACATTCTAGTACATAAAAGAGAATGTCTTCTTAAGAATATGCCCCCAGACAGAAGTGATTACTCAAGATTCACTGTTTCCATTAGACATACACACACCCCATCTTGGAGCACAGAAGGCCATTCACAAGGCAGAGGGGAACACTGCCTAGGTCCATCTTGGCATCCTGAGCCAGGAGCCTTAAACACGAAGCTTTACAAATCTCAAAACGGAAACAAGTATAACACTGTAATGACTCAAGCTGCAAAACCACTCAGCTGATTATTGGCAAAAAGTGAATGTTTATGAATTCTAGTGTTATTAACTCACCATTGTTCTGCACAATGAAATCGCAGACATCATGGTCCTGGGAGAGATTTCCGAAAACACGCACAGCCTCCAGGATTCCATCCATGTTGTTACTGACAAGAAGCTTTAAGAGCACTGGATTTGGCGACCAGAGAAATTAAATCAGTGAATTTAAGTTTTAACTTAAAGGTTAATGGAAATCAACATCATACTTAATACTGATGATTTTCAAATGATAATAAATTACAAACTGTAAGGGACTTTAGCAAGAACTAAGAAACTAATTTTTCCCATTTCTAGTTTCCCCATATTCTAATTTCTTAGAATCATCAGGCTCTAAGACATTTCTGTACCAGAAGGCAGAAGATAGTAATGTCTCCTGCTCTGTGTTTAGTTA
Organism: Homo sapiens; assembly: GCF_000001405.40. Taxonomy (NCBI): domain Eukaryota; kingdom Metazoa; phylum Chordata; class Mammalia; order Primates; family Hominidae; genus Homo; species Homo sapiens. Next base: position 108,961,751 of record NC_000006.12, on the reverse strand, counting down.
ATAAAATCGAAACTTCAAATGAGCACTCATTTATCCAAATCCAACTCTGAACCTTACATTCAGCAATATATAGCTTTTTGTCTTGAATTATGGAATTCTTCACTTGGTAGTAAGATAAATTGTTGATTGTCGCTGTAGCATTGATCACCAGCTCCTCACAATCATCAAGTGACTTGTATTCTGAAATGAAGTAAGGATAAGGGAGTCAAAGACCCACTGCAGGAGTAGAACCAACTACGTTGCAACTACAGCAACAGCAGGGCCAGGAGCCGGCTGCGATCACGCAGGGTCCCTACAAAGGCCCTGGAGAGGCACCTTTACCACTTGATTTCCCCCGACTCCTCCTGCACGGAAATGCCCCAAATGCAAGGGCCTGCTCCTGGCCAGAGCAGAGAGGACACTGTCAACTCAATCCTCGCAGCCAGGAGGTCTGGAAAAGTCCAGCTGATCTGGGACCTGTGTCTGAAGTAAAGCAAAGGGGCCAACACGGCAGTGAGCGGAGCCATCTCCAATCCCGCCTGTTTTCTGGGTCTTCAGGCTCTCCCAGGGGCTCCTCCTTGGAGTCTGTGCCCTCCTTCCCACACCGCCTCCCAACAGAACGGCCCCGGGGTCACGATCCGTCTGTGACTACGAACTCTAGAAGACACCTCTGGCCTCCTCTACCTCCCCACTAGTTCATCTCTCAGCACTTGCTGGCTTCTCTTCTTCCACTTTTGCCTCCCTAAATCTATTCTCAACACAGTTATCCTTTAAAAGCAAGTCAGATACTGCCACCCACCTCATAACCCACGAATAGACTGCGTCGTCTGGTTCACAAGACCTACCTGGCAGCTCCAGGCCTTATCTCTCTGGCCTCATTTGCTCCTCCTACTCCCAGACCCCCAAGGCCAACCACACCAGCCTCCTGGCCTCTTGGAATATGCCAGCATGCCCCTGCCTGAGAACCCGTGCACTGCTGAACTTTCTTCTGGAACATACTGTCCTCCCAGTTAGTCACTTGGCTCACTCCTTACGTCCTCCTAGCAGTTGCTTACATGCCGCCTTGTTGGACATACTTTCCGTAACCTCCCTATTTAAAATAGCACCTATTCTCTTTTTTCTCACCCTGCTTTAATTTTCTCCATAGCACATATGACCACCTGATGTTATATATGTGTTTAATGTTTGTCTTTCAGCCCTAAAATGTCAGCTTCCTGAGGCCTAGGGATGTGTCTGTTTTCTTCATGGCTGCATTCCCAGCTTCTAGAACAGTGCCTGGCACATAGTGAGTGCTGGATGCAAGAATAATTGATCCTCTAGCTTAGCACATAAGGCCCTTAGTGGTTTTTGTCCCTGCCTCCCACTCAGTCTCCAGACTCATCTCTTGACATTTCTGGCCACAGTGTGAGGATGAGAAGAGGCAGGGCTGCAGCTGGGAGTGGTCCCAGTGACCTCAGCATAGCGTGGACACGGGTGATGGCGGAGATGTGGCGGAGTGGAGACTGTGCTTGGCAGAGACTGGATGGGGGTGTGAGGGAGAGGAATCACCCGGGGTGTCCCCCGCCGGTGCACATAATTGGGTAGATGTTGACCACATTGTCTGAAATAAGGGCACAGGAAGAGGGCCAAGTTCAGGGACAGGTCATGAATTCAGCTTAAGATATGCTGAGGTGCTTCTGAAGCACCCCCAGGAGAGGAGGGGTAGACAGTTGGATCTAAGAGTTGGGCAATCAGACCGGCCTGGGCAACACGGTGAAACCCTGTCTTTACAAAAAATACAAAAAATTAGCCGGGTGTGGTGTCAGGTGCTTGTAATCCCAGCACTTTGGGAAGCCAAGGCGGGCTGATCACTTGAGGTCAGGAGTATGAGACCAGCCTGGACAACATGGTGAAACCCCGTCTCCACTAAAAATACAAAAATTAGCCAGACTTGATGGCACAAGCCTGTAATCTCAGCTACTTGGGAGGCTGAGGCAGAAGAATTGCTTGAACCCGGGAGGCAGAGGTTGCAGTGAGCCAAGATTGCACCACTGCACTCCAGTCCGGGTGACAGAGGGAGACCCCATCTCAAAAATAAAAATAAAAATAAATAAATAAATAAATAAAAAAGAGCTGGGCAATCAGAGAAAGAATCACGAGCCCGGCAACACTGAGCCAGTGACTGCAGCTTGAACAGGCCACCGCCTCCCCTCCCTCCTGCACAAGTCCACCCACTGTTGGGAGAGCCCCCAGTCCTTCTCCACCTGGTCTCACCTGCTCCAGAGGCCCAGTCCCAGCCTGCGAGGGAGGCCACTCAGCACCTGCACACAACTTGGCTCATGACTTGCCCACTTCCCATTACTGAATAGGAAGTGCCTTTTCTTTCCTGTATGAAACCGAAGTTTTTCTTTGGGGAGCAAGCAGGGGGGCTATGAGCTGAGGAAGAGGACTGTGCTTGTTCTTGAATTCTCCAACTTAAGTATCGCCCCCTTTGGCCATCTTTTCCTGTTCATTAAAGAGAACAGCCTTTTTATAAATTACTATGTTGAAAGGAAAGCTCAGTCATTTGTAGGCTGCAGAAGACATACACTGTTCCTTCCGCCAGTGGCCCCTCCCGCTAGAGCAGCAAGCATAGGCCCAGTACCTGGTAGACACTTAATGGATACTTGGAAAAAGAAAGAATAAATAAAGACCTGACTTCCTCTTTTTTAGTTTAAGTATATAAAAAGGGAATAAGGAACTGAATTATTTTGGTTATCAATATGGATTCTACTGTAAGGAAATATTCTAGTTATGGTAAAAGAAGGGACACAGGACCTCCAAATTATTCCCTCTTGCTTTGGCCAGGACTCTGGAGCCAGAACCCTGTGCTTCCACTCACTGGCCGTGTGACCTTACTCAAATTATTTAACCTCCTTGGGCCTCAGTTTCCTTGATGGTAAAGTAAGCATGATCATTGCACCTACATTATAGAGTTGTTACAAAGTTTAAATGCATTCAAGGGCTTAAATGAGTGCATGGCACATAGTGGGTGCTAAGTAAGTGCTTATTACATGAACAGATGGGCCATCCAGAATGACGGCTCATGGGGAGCAGCTCAGGTGAATGTCTAACTCTTGGGCAAAGGGCCTACAGCCCTAGTTTCCTCCAGCCCCAGACTGATGACACTAGGTCTTGGGCAGTGTTTGGGGATCTGTTTTATTTCTCTTGCCTTGGTAGGAGAATTCGTTAGCTTGTCCAGAAAATGCAGGGTAGCTCTTATTGTCTGACCTCCCGAAGGACCACACATTTGGGCGGCAGGAATGGTGTCTGGTATCTGGAACTAGAGGGTAGGTACTCACAGCTCCTAAGCATTTATCATAAACAGCACTAGGCACTTTACCATGCATGTAACCCTCAAAAGTCAGCTAATAAGTTTTACATGCACTTACAAGAATTCACACCCACAATAATTCATTCTCGAAAGGTGCATCTGTCTCAGTCACCTTGGCCTGTCATAATAAAATACCATAAACTGGGTGGCTTGAACCAACAGGAATTTATTTTCTCACAGTTACGGAGGCTGGAAGTCCAAGATCAGGGAGGCTGCATGGTCAGGCTCTGGTGTCTCTTCTTGTAAGGGCCCTAACTCCAGCATGAGGTCCCCACATCATGGCCTTATCTAAACCTAATTATCTCCCAAAGGCCCCATCTCCAAATACCATCACATGGGGGTTAGGACTTCATAGATGAATTTAGGGGTCAGATGAGAACACTGAGGTTTAGAGAAGTTCAATACCTCACCTCACTTCACAGAGCACACATCTAAATCCAGGTGTACTTGACCCCTACTATCCTACTCTTTCCACAGAACGCTGCGGAAGCCAAGGACTCAGGGTTGCTGAGTTCCCATTGGAGCTAGTTGGGGCAATAGACTGCTTCCAAAAAACCATGACAACCATCCTACCCTCTATAATTCACTCACGGATATGAGACAATCTGGAATTTGGACTTGCCACTAAGTCAGCAAATCTCTGAGTCTGGTGGCATACTGAGAGGGTCAGTTCTTACTAGAAACATTATTGATTTTTAAAAGACCCTCTGCAATGAGGCTGACCTCTCTAGGCAAGTCCTGGGGTACAAGTAACTCCTTGTGAAGGGTGCAGGGCTAGAGGGAGGTAGGAAGAAAAGAGCCTAAGGGATGCCCTTCCCACATGACTAGGGAAGGGGGCCATGCCACAGGAGCCATCAGGCTGGGAGGAGTGCTCAGCTCTGAGGGTAAACAGGACAGCAGCAACTCTGAGTTCAGTGGGCACAACCAAACCACGGGCAGGCCCTTTCTATAGTCACAGTCACAGCCCAGCACTGGCCCTGCGTTGCTCTAAGCTGCCAGGCCTGTCAGAGGGGGCAGGAGGCCTTTCCTGGAATGTGGTCACCACTCCACACCGACACAGACAAAACAGGTAGGAAATCCACAGAGACCAGTGTAGAAAGGGCTTAGCAGGGCTTAGAAACTCACCCAGGAGTCGAGCTGTGTAAGGGGAAGGTGGAGGGGGGTGACCCCCTGTCAGGGGTGACTTTTGCCCTTCTATCAACTTTTATTTGGAGATAAAGTCTTTCAGGAGAGAATAGAGAAGGGATCACCTGCTTGCCCAAACAACTGCCTAAGGCATAGTAGGCAAGAGGCCTGACCCATCACAGGAGAGCAGGGTTTCTTCACTTCTGCTCAACCTCATATGGTACCAGGCTCTAATACAGAGACTAAAACATTTCTCACAGGGAGGCCCTTGACCACCTGTATCAGGAGCAGCCAGGGAGCTTTAGAGAGAGAGTCTCACTCTGTCGCCCATGCTGGAGTGCAACAGTACGATCTTGGCTCACTGCAACCTCCACCTCCTGGGTTCAAGAGATCCTCCTGCCTCAGCCTCCTGAGTAGCTAGGACTACAGGCACGTGCCACCATGCCTGGCTAATGTTTGTATTTTTAGTAGAGATGGGGTTTTGCCATGTTGGCCAGGCTGGTCTTGAACTCCTGACCTCAAGTGATCTGCCCACCTCAGCCTCCCAAAGTGCTGGGATGACAGGTGTGAGCCACTGCGCCCGGACTTTTTCTTGGAGACAGGGTCTCACTCTGTTGCCCAGGCCAGAGTGCAGTGGTGTAAGCATGGCTCACTGCAGCCTTGACTTCCTGGGCTCAGGTAATTCTCCCACCTCAGCCTCCTGAGTAGCTGAGATCACAGGCGTGTCCCACCACACTCAGCTAATTTTTTTTTTTTTTTTTAATAGAGACAGGGTTTTGCCATGTTGCCCAGTCTGGTCCGGAATCCCTGGCCTCAAGCAATCTGCCTGCCTTGGCTTCCCAAAGTGCTGGGATTATAGGCGCGAACCACCGTGCCCAGCCTCTTGCCTCTTTCTCCTACCCCAAAGCATCACTTTCTTTTGAGTCAAAAGCAAGTTATTCACTCTTCCTTTATAGGTAGAAATGTAATTTCTAAGCTCATAAAATATTTATAAGATGAGGAGTTTTTTCACTTTATATGTGAATATTAACAACTGTGGGAAAATGAATCATGCATAACTCTACTCCTTGGCTGTTCACAGCCATGTGCCCCCAGTCCAGGTGTTTGAGGTCTGGTCCTCAGGCCCTTCCTGGGCAGCCACAGTCAGGTAAAGGGATTAATTCTGCAACAGATGAGAATTCGCCCAGTCGGTTTCAGGCTTCTGCTAGATCCTGAGGAGCCAGAAAAGCTAACATGGTTCCCTGAAGCACTGGGTCTCAACACTTAATGGGCAAAAGGCTCACCTGGGGGCAAAGGAGGCATTAAAAGGCAGATTTCAAGACTCTAATGGCATTTTACAGAGGCAGTTTCTGGGCAGGGGCCAGAAACCAAAAAGGGTATTTTAAAGAGTCCCACAGCTGATTCTGCAGCAGTCCCATCCCTGGTCCTGGGCTGAGAAGCCCTGCTCAGTGTGGTGAGTGGATCTCAGGAAGGGGAAAGAGCTTCAGCAGACATGGGCATGCTACAGAGCAAATGCTGAACGTTTTGAGGTTGGAACAGAAACTGAATTTCTCTCACAGCTACGTGCATTTTCTTCCACGTGGCTTAATGTGCAGTCAGCAGCTTGGAAAAGAGTTCAAGCCTAAACACAGAGATTTTTGAGTTATTTACATGGAAGTGGTAAGTCATGGTGCAGATCCCAATCAGAAGTGAAGAGTCGTTTCTCAAGACAGGTGACACGTGATGTGGAGTGCGGGGAAGCACAGGTCAGGGGCCCGGTGACTTTGCCACTTGCTAACTTTGTGACCTGTGAAAGTCACTATATCTCACTGAGCCCGTTTCCTCATCTGTGAAATGATGAAAATAACAAAAACGTGCCCTGACATTGTTGTGAGGTAACAGATATGAAAATGCGTTTTCAACCGTAAAGCTCCATAATGAAGCACGGCCTTGTCACTCACATGCCCGCAGCCGGGCTCTGCCACCCGTCCCTTAGCTGTGTATGCCTAGCTTCTGCCCTTCTCAGAAACTGGGGTTCTTGTCTGTGCACTCAATGTCCCTCCACCATATAGGCCGAATTCCTTGAAAGCACATACCAGCCTCCATTTTTAAAACCTTGTTCTAAACTGAATGTTGGTATCCCCCAGAATGCACATGTAAAAGCCCTATCCCTTCAATGTGACTGTATTTGGAGCTAGGTCCTGTGGGGAAGTGATAAAGGTTAAATGAGGTCAGAAGGGTGGGGCCCTCATCCGGTGGAGCTGGTACCCTTACAAGAAGTAGAAGGGACCCCAGAGTGTGCTCTCTTCAGCACATGAGGACCCAGTGAGAGGGCAATCAACCACATGCCAGGAAGGGGAGCCTGCACCAGACCCTGACCCTGCCGGCATCTCGGTCTCAGACTTCCAGTTTCCAGAACTGTGAGAAAATACATGTCTGTTGTTGAAGCTCCCCAGTTTACGGGATTTTGTTATGGCAGCCTGAGCAGAATAAATGAAACTGAATGTATAGCACAGAACTGGTTACCCAGAAAGAGCTTAGGAAATGGCTCTTGAGTTGACTAGTGGGGGCGAGGGAGGCCAGGGAGTTCACAGATTGCTCCTCCAAAACATCATTTGTGTCAGACATTAGCTTCCTTCCAAAACAACAACATTTTCCACAAGTATGGTTAGTAGTAGCTAATTTTTTTTCTGGAGACAGAGTCTCACTGTGTCACCTAGGCTGGAATGCAGTGGCACGATCTCGGCCCACTGCGGCCCTCCGTCTCCTGAGTTCAAGCGATTCTCCTGCCTCAGCCTCCCGAGTAGCTGGGATTATAGGTGAATGCTACCATGCCTGGCTAATTTTCGTATTTTAGTAGAGAAAGGGGTTTCACCATGTTGGCCAGGCTGGTCTTAAACTCCTGACCTTGTGATCCACCCACCTCAGCCTCTCAAAGTGCTGGGATTACAGGCCTGAGCCACCAGGCCCACCTAATAGTGGCAAGATTAATCAATCTTGGGTTGCAGTTAATTTTCCTACACACTAGCAGGCAGAAGTGCTTGTGGGAGATGACAGACCTAAAAAGTATAGGGGTTGCCATGGACTGAATTGTGTGCCCAACAAAATTCATATGTTGAAGCTCTACTCCCAATATGCTTGTATTTGGAGATAAGACTTTGAAGAGATACAGCAGGTTACAGAGCCCATAAGGGTAGGGTCCTAATATGATAGGATTGGTGACTTTATAAAAAGAGGAGGGGGAGAGACAGACTGTCCCCTACCCCACAAGTGCTTGCACCAAGGAATAGCCATGTGAGCACACAGTGAGTAGGTGGCTGTCTGCAGGCCAGGAGGAAGAGCCCTCACCAGGAGCTGAACAGTCTGGCACCTTGATCTTGAATTTCTCAGCCTCCAGAAGCATAAGAAATAAATTTCTGACAAAGTTGCCCAATCTGTGGTATTTTGTTATGGCAATCTGAGCTAATACAAGGGGAATGAACAGGACTTGAATGACTGGAGACTGTAATTACAAATAATGTAAGAACCTGAAGAGGAAAAAAAAGGAATTAATTTTAATCATGTGGATTGCCCACAATATTTGGGATTTGGGATTTTAAACTCAAATATTTGGAATTTTAAACTCTTTGTGGTTAGTTTAGCCAAGTTTTCTTCATTTGCTGAGTATAATTTTAAAAAATTGCAATGTAATTCACAAACCATAAAATTCACCCTTTTAAAGTGTACGATTTGGTGGGTTTTAGTAATAATCTCTATTACTATGTTTTCTTTTCCTTTTCTAATAATCTGGATTACTTTTAAGACAGTTCTGAACAGAAGAGGGAATTTCCTTCATACAGCTAAGACTTTCTCATAGGGAGCCACTTGTGATAATAAAATCCTCATCACACCACAGACACAGAACTGTCTTTGGGCCGCGGGAAAGTTGGTTGTGTCTGCTGCAGCCAGTGGGCTGCGGTTCTCACCCAGCGTGGTCAGGAGCAGGCCCACTATCCCCGGGTTGGCGGCCAGCACCGGGCCCACGCCCGGGTGGATGGCAATGTTGGCCAGCACACGAGTCAGCTTGATGAGCACGTCCTCTGCCTCTGACGGCGGCCTCTGCGCCCTGTGCTGCTCGCCTCGTTGGCCCACCGGCTTCTGGGAATGCAGATCCAGCTGATGGAACGTCTGGAATAATGACAGCAGAGTTTGGATGCTCCCTTTCTCTTTGGAAAATTGTTCACGAGCCTGGTTATTTTTTGCCGTCAGGTTGCCAAGAATAAAAACAACACGGACGACTAAATCCTGCAATAAACGAAAGACAGAGTCAAAAGTGCAAAGGGGGCTGGAACACATCGTGGGGAAGAAGATAGTATTTAATTTATTCACAATTGCATTAATAGTAAAATGGAACACGTCTGGCTTCGGCTCACTTGTACAGTATTTGATTCTCAAGATCAGTGCAAAGTGACAAAGGAGATTAAAAGCACTTGGCAGCAATGAAAGAATACAAACTGATTGATGTGATCAGCAACGTCTATTACCTTCAGATCCTTCATCTTAAATTCTGGCTCGCCTTTCTTTATCTCCTTCAGAGAACAATTAGTTGAGTGGGACAGCATTACTAAAAATGAGTCATGTAAATCTAAGTTTTGACAATAGCCGGTTTCTTGAAATTCCAAATCTTTCCTTAAAATTTCGTCTCCTGCTGAAGTATGGTGTTTTTGAATTTGGGCAGGATTGACACTTGGGACTGGATAATTCTTTGTTGTGGGGAGGTGTCCTGTGCATTGTAGAGCGTTTGGCAGCACACCTGGCCTCCACGCACTAGATGACAACACCTCTCCAGATGTGACAGCCAAAATTGCCCCCTGTGGAGAAGCGCTGTGTTACGTAGCTACACTACTTTAAGGCAGTACCTACCAATTCTTACCCAGGGTGGTGGTTACATGAGTGACACCTTTATAATTACTTGCTAAATTGTGCATACCCGTTTTATGCACTTTTCTGTATATAGGCTATATTTCACAATTTTAAAATGTTTTTACAAACCCTAAGCTGGGAACATTTTAAAACTAAACAAGATACAAAAATCACTGTGTTTTTAGTTTGACAACAATGTCCACATATGAGTCCAGATCAGCCTTCCCCATGGGTGTCAATGGAGGTGACCTGGGAGGAGGAGATTTTAAAGGAATACTCATTGGAGGGCTACAACTGGCCTGGATGGTATTATATCTATATCTATATATACAGTGCCAGGCACTATGCCATTTTATAGACAAGAAACTAGGGCCTGGAGAAGCTGCCCAGGTCACATGGCTGGTGAAGGGTAAGGTCAGGATTTGATTCCAGGGTGACCCAGACTCTAGTGTCCTTTCTACACCAACATCTGCTTCCCACACAGGGTGTCGTGTACTTTTTCTCCTCCTTTGCCTTCTTGCAGAACAGTTAAAGAATTATCTCCTTTTAAAAGCAAATATGTCACCAGAAGGGACGACCATAAACGTGACTTTGTTGATCAGATCAGTAGTTAGCAGTAGCCTTAAGAAAAGGGGACAAAGGGCCAAGGGCTGGGCACGTTTTCATCGAGGAGCGCATGTCCAGGTGCGACGCCAGGGGCCCCGTGAGGGGCGTCGGGTGTGGCCAGGAAACTGGGGAGGATTGGGGGCAGAGTACAACTTTTGGATTTACCTAGGCCTTCTCTGCCAATACCAACTTGTTCCTGCTTGTTCTTGCTAAAAAATCCAAAAGTTTTCCCTGACACTCACTGGCAGAGAAGAAGCGAGGCTGCTGCTTGCACAACCGGAAACCATTTGCCAAACATTAAGGAAGGACAGCAGCTAATGCTACAGCAAAAACTGGAGATGGTCCAGGAGAGAGTTCATTTTCGGAGACATTTCAACTCACAGCATTCAACCAGCCATAGTGGTCGTCCAATTAGGAGACCCTGCTCCTGACTCCACCCCGGGAAATAGAATGTTAGTCCTCAGGTAAGTTCTTAATGCCAGGGCCTAGGAATACACACACATAACCAAGTCTGAAAGTCAGTGCTATGAAGAGCTTCTCACCTACTGAGAAGACAAGGCTAACATATGTGGGGAAACGGCAAAGACTAAAACGGCAAAGGAAGAAGCGAGACGTGAAAGGGGATTATGAGTCCCAGGTCACAGCCAGGCAGGCTGGACTCACACAGATGCTTGGCCTCTCTGTACATCCATTAACTTGTTTGCAAAATGGAGACAAAATTCTTACTGTGAGATCACATGAGATACAACAGGCAAAGCACAAATTGTACTGAGCAATGATTCGGGCATTTCTGTGAACTCTTTTCATGTCCTATCAATAAAATGCTAACTAATAGCAATAAACTCAGTGGCACAGGCCTAGTAGTCTCACCAGAGTTTTGAAAAGAGGATGCTCTGGGAACAGTGTCAGGTTCAGCAGAGTTATCATGAAAGAATCTGAGTTCAACCTTGGAAGCTGTGAGATGCAGAGATATGTGGAAGGGAGCATGGGGTTGGGCAGGCAGCAGAAGACAAGTCTCTCTCTTTTTTTAACTTTTTAGGCTCAGGGGTACATGAGCACTTTTGTTACATGGGTAATCTTGTGTCATGGGGCTTTGGTATGCAGATTATTTCGTCACCCAGGTACTAAGCTTACTATCCAATAGTTATTTTTCCTGATCCTCTTCCTTCTCCCACCCTCCACCCTCAAGTAGGTCCCAGTGTCTGTTGTCCCCTTCTTTGTGTCCATGAGTTCTCATCGTTTAGCTCCCACTTATAAGTGAGAACTTGTGGTATTTGGTTTTCTGTTCTTGCGTTAGTTTGCTAAGGATAATGGCCTCCTGCTCTATCCATGTTTCTGCAAAGGACATGATCTCACTCTTTTTTATGGCCGCATGGTATTCCATGATGTATATGTACTACATGGTCTTTATCCAATCCACCATTGATAGACATTTACGTTGATTCCATGCCTTTGCTATTGTGAATAGTGCTACAATCAACAAATGTATGCATGTGTCTTTATGATAGAATGATTTATTTATATTCCTTTGGGTATATACCCAATAATGGGATTTCTGGGTCAAATGGTTCTAAGTTTGTTTGTTTTTTTTGTTTTTGTTTTTGAGACAGAGTATTGCTCTGTCGCCCAGGCTAGAGTGTAGTGGTGCAATCTCAGCTCACAGCAACCTCCGCATCCTGTGTTCAAGTGATTCTTCTGTCTCAGCCTCCCAAGTAGCTGGGATTACAGGCATGCACCATCAAACTTGGCTAATTTTTGTACTTTTAGTAGAGACGCGGTTTCACCATGTTGGCTAGGCTGGCCTCAAACTCCTGACCTCAAGTGATCCACCCACCTCGGCCTCTCAAAGTGCTGGAATTACAGGCGTGAGCCACTGTGCCCGGCCTGTTTTTAGTTTGAAGAGGATTAGTTTGAGAGAGCATCTGGGACTATCTCCTTCCTGGGCCAGGGGTCATCTTCTCATTCTTTAATTACCTGACTGTTCCCTAAAGAAGCTATGGGATATTTATGGGCCTTAAGTCTAAAACAAGCACACACAATTTGATTATAATACTTGAATCCCATTTCACATAAAACAGAGGGTTACTTCAAGTAATGCCTGGTGGCAAAGGCCCTGCCCTGGGCTCTGAGTTGGTAGCTTCTCCTCCACCCTGATCAGACCCAACAGAGTAGCAGAAAATCAGTTTTCCAACCAGGACAGAGGGTATTTCCAAGAATTAAGCATCTTAAAGAAGAACTTCATCTGATATTTTCTAAGCTGAGGACTATAAACAGAATTTTTGTGTGAACTTTGATACATGTTTCCTGCTGAAAGACTATATGAATTCTAGTTCTGAAAATCCTAATAATTAATAACAATAACAGCACAGTAACAGCAGCAACTAACACACAGTACTTATTAGTACTCATGATGTGCCAGGCATTGTCCTAAGCATTTATATATACAAATTAACTAATTCACTAAAAATGATAACTTCCATTTCTTTAACCTGAATAAAGCTATTCACAGTATCTTTTACAATCTAAACCGCCATCTCCCTCGCACATTTGATAACAGTGATGTTAATAAGTTTTGGACTTCACCATGTTCCTGGAATTGGGCTCTCTTCTCCCATTTCCATAAAAGCATGTTAAACAAGACAGGAAAGGCATTATGAGTGATTTTAAGTGATTGCTTATTTAATTAATATTTGCATTTTGTACCCTAAATTGTTACCAGGACTAAACAATTTACCTCCTAAAATGTCATGGCATCTTCTAAGGGTGCTGGATTGTTTTTTTTCTTCCTAGGCCTTGCCGTTTCACCTCCATCTACCTGGTCTTGCTTTTCTCTGAGTCCAGCTCAGTAGGCTTCTCCAGCCCTGTCCCACCTCCAGCTATCCGTGTTGATTTGCCAGGATTTAGATCAGATCCTGGTAAAAAATAGATTTCCTTAGTGGTCATCATTCTTCAAAATTCAAATGACCTCTCCCCACTGTCACATGCAGTCTAATCTGGGAAGACTAAGTGCTGCTTTTCTTTTTCTAAAAATTCCCTCAGGCCCCTTCCTCTTCTAAAATTCTTCGATTCTGTCATCTCTGTAGGTCCTAACGTGGCCGAGATTAGTAAGCCTCCAGTGCAGAAGAAGAAGCTCTAGGCTGTAGGGCAGGAAGAGTTAACACTGTTATAATACTGCTTTTCCTGCTTCAGATGGAAAAGGAGGGGGTGGTTCCTGGCAGCCGCGGTGCCAACTGAAGCATGGCATGCGAGATCAACAAATGGGATGGCAGATTGCGCCGTCTGCAGCACCAAACTTCCAGCAACTGCTATCTCTGCTTACTGTTTTTGTCCTGTTTTTCAGGGTTAGCTAAGGCACTTTTTCTTTTCTTTTTTTCCCCTCCCTTCTTAAATATATTCTACATGGACCTAGGGATCCTGGAAGAGGCCAAAATAGAAGCCATCTCACAGGAGGTCAGCAGAGGTAGTGTTTTCTTATCTCCATGCCAGGGCTTGTCTTGACTCATCTGGAATCCTGAAGAAGGCTGAGCAAGTCAGCTTTCTAGGGCCCCTCTCCTCACCATGGGTGGCCTCTGCTCCCAAACCGTGCACTCCAAGGTCCTCCCTACTGAACCAAGGTCTGCGTTGGGCAGGATCATGGAGAGATTATCTACTGTTCCACAGCCCGAGCCATCTCAAGTCTATAAAATATTACTTAATATTCTATAAAGATTTGTAAAAATTAAACCAAGGCCAAAATCATCTATTTAGAGAGAGCACCAATTCCACAGCGGAAAAGGATTTCATCAATATGCAGCTCTCCTTTGAGGCACACATTCTCTCCTTTATTCTTAGACAATATCTGAGAATCATCTATAAATTAACACTCCATTTTTATAGCATTTTTATTAAATTTAACACAATGTTGCATATTCATATCATAACTATGTGATTTTGAAATAGCAAACTGAAGATGAATCAAGAGAGAGCTTTTTTTTTTTTTCCTAAAGAAGGCAGTCTAGTATAACCAGTTCATATCGACTTTCTAATTTTGCTTAAAACAGAATCAGCCTAGCAACAGCTACGGCCAACCAGAGCTTAGACAAACAGATACACTTAGAGGAAGAAGACTGACCTCAACAGAGCTTTCCAGTTAGAGCCTGAGGGATATTGTCATTAGTTTCGCAGATGTTATGCCCCAATGAGCAAACAAGTTACTCAATCTGAATGGGCCCCACAAGCCTGTGAATGAAATTACTTTAACTGGAATAAAACCAGGAACAGGGCACTGCTCACCAGGATGGTCTATGTCCAGTTCCAATGGTGGCAGCATTGGCAGTAGCTGTTGCATGTTACTTTCCATGGGAGAGACATTGGCCTAAAGCCAATGAAAGACATTTTTACCCCTATTTAGAGATGTTGAAACTGAGGCTTCAGGAGACTCATTAAGTAAGCCCAAAGTCAAACACTGGTGAAGAGAAGAGGCAGGACTTGAACAATCATCTCTGTACACACAGATGGTTTCCAAAACCACCTTCAGCCCAACTCCTCATTGCTAATCATCATCATCTTCCCAGTCCCCCAGCCCCAGCATCTCTGATTCCTCTCTATCTCATCCCCTCACCAAGCAGTCACCAAGTCTCCTCGACTCTGTCATCTCAAAATGTTCCCCAGCTCCCTCCTGCCCATGCCGACCTGGGCTAATCTGCCTGTAGACTGTTGTCAGAGGCCCTTTCCAGGCTCCTCCCTCTGCCATCAACCCTAACACCACTTCTTAAAGCACAGCTCTTCCCTTTGCTCAAAAACATCTACTGCCTATTAAATGAATGTCAAAGCCAGCATCTAATGCATCATCTGGCCCCACGCAACCACTTCTTTGCTACCTCACATTACTCTCTGCCCATGGCCAGCCACAGTGAACACATTCCTCCCCGACTCCCACACCCTTCCTCCCGTACCTTAAAATAACTCATGTGCATAATGTTGACTGTGGGGAAGAAACAATATCAAGCTGTCACAGAAAGAATAAACTATGTTCAGCAGACTCCACTTAGGAGGGAACTGCTTCCACTAAGTAAAGGAACACATTTTAGAAAAATTTGTAAGAATGGGTTGAAATGGAAGGGGATGTAAATATACTTAAAATCCGAACTCTCTATTAACCAGAAAATTAATCAAAATACCCTGTTTAAAATATGGTTACAAACTTCTCGTGCCTGAGAGCTGAATCAGGATTTACAATTTGCTTTGTTTATCCAACTTACCACCCTCAAACAAAACTCAAACATTAATTGAGCTTGCAGGTGGCTTGAAGAACAGATAAATTTTAGCAAACTGGAAGACAGACTGTGCACTACTGCAAAAATGCTAACTGACCATAGGGCACTGAAAGTGGGTCAAGAGTTTGCCTACGTGTTTAACTAGATAAAATCGAAGAATCTGAAATGTTGGAGACTCAAAGCCAAGAATCTAAGTAGAAAATCATTTTAAAACCAGAAGAGATTACGCTTGATTCCTCCATCCATCTATCTGTTCTATCAGCAATCATTTATTGAGCACCCACGATATGCCTCTGAATGTCACTCAAAAGTACCAGGCCAATGCTAGAATTTCACTGTGCTAAGTTCTTTTTCAAGCCAGCAGACATAAATCAGGCATTTGGGTTCCGTGCTGAGCGGGGTAAGAGCCAGTTCCACAAGGGCAAAGCCGGCAGGAGCTGGAAAGAATGAACAAGCTAAGGGCGTATTGTACAGCCTGCCCGGTCAGGGGCGCAGACCAAGGCCAAGGCTGAAAAAAGGAGCAAGCTCAGCCAAATGCTCTCAGCACCCGCTGGGAATGTGCCTGCAGAGGGGCTGGGAAGACAGCCATAGGGCGTGCTCCTGTCAGGCAGGAGGCAGAGGACAAGCTGGGAGCCAAGTCGCCCTACAAAGGCACCAGGGGAAGGGGTGGGGGCACCTTCCTAACCAATCCTTGATGGCCCAAAGAGGATAGCGGGGAAGAGAAGGCACCTCTCTGGAATGCTGAAAGGCTGTGGTCACATTCAAGATGAACAGCTAGAAAAATGGAGGTGGTTTTGCTTTCAGCCCACACTGTTCAGACATTCCAGCTCTCATTTCTGATACCACGATGGCTAAGCATTCCAAATCAGTGTTCACTGTGCATACATGGCTGAAGACAGCAGCTTATGCCTATAGAAGTCTAAACAGAATGAGAGAGGTAGGACTTTAAAAGCAGCACAACCAAGAATGAGTCTGGCAGTTCCCAGGGTTTGCAAAGGCTCTGACGACAGTCCTGCTGCATCTGGAAGCTCTGTGGTAAAAGAAACAAGAAATTAACCGTATCTAAACGTGGAGAGAGTTAAATGGTCAATGGACACATGTGATAGGAATGTAGACAAAGGTTGTTCTTTTTGATCATGACCTTTGCAAAATATTGCCAGTCTTTTGAAAGTCTTATTTGAGGCATTTTACCAGATCTCTTGCCTAGTAGATATTTACAGAAGAAATGGGGAAAATCCCTTCATGTTCTTCCAAAAAACAAACCCAAATGTATTTTCCTGAGATGCTAAATGTAGCAACACTGACGTCAGAGGCGCCTCCTGAGGCAGGCTCTGCCTCCCAAAGGCTGATAGCAACCCCACTCCCTCCTTCGTTATTAAGCCCATCTGCTTGCACATTTGTTTTGTACCAAAAGCAGTTTACACCATAAAGCAGACAATATGTGCACATTTCTTAAATGAGATTTGTCATTTAATTGAATTTTGGCCAGCATTTTTAATAGATATTTTACCTAACTCTAAAGTTTAGCTTTCATACGGCATTAAGCCGAACGAGAGGCTGTTTCATCTCAGTTTTTGTGTGTGTGGGAACTGGAGTTACTAGTTGCATCATGGATCTTGGACAAATTAACCACACAGATATGAGCCAAAGAAGTTTCCCTTGCTCTCCCTGCGGAAGTCATTTATGAGAGCTGGGAGGAGTAGATGCCTTTTCATTGAGACTGTTGGTGAGCCAGAAACCCAGGCCATGCACATAACCATCACATACAG
This sequence comes from Homo sapiens, assembly GCF_000001405.40. NCBI lineage: Eukaryota > Metazoa > Chordata > Mammalia > Primates > Hominidae > Homo > Homo sapiens. Next base: position 108,944,784 of record NC_000006.12, on the reverse strand, counting down.
ATGGAAACGGAGGCCCACTTCACTGAGGGCCATTATGCAAACAGAGGGGGTGTAAAGCGGACCATATTCTAAGTGAACTCATCACTCTCAATTTAACTGTTGCAAACTACAACATTTAGATATGGGTATATACTGAACTGTCTCAAAACACGATATCTGCAGGAATTATTTTAAAGATGAAATTTGGTGCTTGTTTCACTAACAAATGAATCAGCAACTCGCAGCTTGTCTAGCCAACTGAACTGAAGGCACCCTCCCTTGGACAGGCGGCTCTAAGGGTCCTGAGGAGTAGAGCCTGTGCCCATCTCTCCTGAGGGAGCCACTCTGGCCAGTGCTTGAAGCCTCATCAGTGTGATGAGCACCTTTTTCAAACTAGATTTGGTCCCAGGACTTATTTTGACACAAGTCTGGCAGCGAAAATTTGTGGAAAAGACTAATGTACCATCCTGTGTTCTCCAGCTAAGAAATCATTCCTCAGCTGCCTGTGCAAAAGGCAAAGGGCCAGTGGTTCTTACCACTTACTGGGAAGCCTACATTAGCACCTGGTGGGTCTTGTCAACTTGGTTCCTACTTTGTCAGGAAGAATCACTGTCAGCTCTGCTCCTGTAGAGAAAGACTGACTCTGTGTGGCTGATTTGATTAATCACTTTAAAATCTTTTGAGGTTTTATGGGAACCCCTCTGCTGTCAATACTGGAGAAAATGGTTTTAAAGAACCACCTTAATAACTTAAACCATAGGGTCTCAAAACCTGCTGTTCATTTGAGTCACTTGAGAAGTCTCTTAAAAATAGGTTCTTGGGCCCCATCCCAGACCTGAATCAGAATCTCTCTGGGTGGGGCCTGAGCACCTGTATTTCTATTTTTAATTTAAAAAAATTTTTAATTAAACTCAAATTTTAAGTTGAAAATAGGTTTAAGGGTTCCTTTTGTTTTGTCTTGTTTTGTTTTTTTGAGACAGGGTTTCACTGTGTAACCAGGCTGGAGTGCAGTGGCTCGATCTCAGCTCACTGCAACCTCCTTCTCTCAGGCTCAAGTGATTCTCCTGCCTCATCCTCCCAAGTAGCTGGGATTACAGGCATGGGCCACCAAACCCAGCTAATTTTTGTGGGTTTTTTTTTAATTGTTGTTGTAGAGACAGAGTTTTACCATGTTGCCCAGGCTGGTCTCGAACTCCTGGCTTCAGACGATCCATCTGCCGCAAAGTGCTGGGATTACAGGCCAATCTGAGCCACCTGTGCCCAGCTAAGCACCTGTATTTTTAAAGCTCCCCAGGCAAATCTGATGATAAGCCAAGTTGGGGAGCCACTCTGATTTAAATCAAGAAAAAATTAGAAATCTCACCACTTGAATACCCATTATTTGTCTTTATAATAATGCTTTTTAAAAAATAATATGAATTCTTGTAAATATAAATCCTTATTCCTCATCAATACCCCTCACAGCACAGTTGTATAGAAAAGTGAAACCACACCACAACCCCTCCTGTCGATGGACTTGATTCAGACTTTATATACTCGAATATATAAAGTATATTCAGACTTCTCATATGTTGAAATCAGACTTTACCTTGACAAGAGAAAAAGAATGTAAAAATAATGGAAAATTTTGTGACTTTTGGTATCTTCTCATGTAATTCTAATTTTTATCCCCTTTAATGGAAAACAACAGCAGATGGGGAGGAAATATTCTACTTCTTCCAACAGCAAACGGCCCTGGTGCTACCTGGTTCAAAACAGGATTTCCCCCTCTGTGGACGGCAGCAGCGACCGGCAGCTTCCTGTGAAGCTCCCCATCCGCTGATAAGATCAGTTCAAGAGGCATGTGTAGGTGACATTTCATTTATCACTATAAAGGGTTTTTTTCTTTTCTTTCTTGTTCATTTTAGATTTCTGTTTCTATGTTTTTTGAAAACGCGATTAGCCATAAACATGATTTGATTTAAAAGTGTGTCTTAGAAAAATGAAACCTATGCTGATCCTAAATGTAGTCCTCAGGCTTTCAAGACAGAAGCAATACTAACCTCCCAGAACAAAAACAGGGAAGGTCTACTGACTCTTTCTGATTGTCTAATCACTTGGCAATGGCTGTGTATATTAAGAGACTACAAAGCTTCCAGAGTATTTCTCTACAACCCAAGTTAGTCTTGCAGGGATGTTTCCAGGAGCTGAAAAAAAAAATAATTATAGGAAGTAATAATTCTGTTTAAATAAGTTGCTGGAAGGCTGATTCAGGTCTCCACAATCAGTTCCAAGCCTCAACATTCAAGTAAATCCCAGTTGCGGCAAAGTGTCTAACCACTGCAGATCAATACACTCACATCAGAACATTAAGAGGAAAAACAAATCATATTTGATCGGCCACCTGGGACATGGGAAACATGAAACTAAGATGCCATGCTGGTCTGAAGGGATTCTGTTTTGCTTTTTATGGCAGCCCACCCATGTGAAAATTGTGGGAAAAAAATTCTTATTATTTCTTCCTCCAAACTAGGAAGAAGAAAGTACATATTTAAGGAAGAAGCACTCGAGTACTAGAAAAAATATTTTTTAACACCTTACAGGTGCCAAAGCATTTCACACACTCAAAATTCTTTCTTCCAGCACTTATGAGCTTACTTTGCCAAGCATCATCTCGGTCTATCAGGACAAAGTCTGTGTTGTTTAGGAACTCGCAGTAGTGGATAGGGCAGCTGCATAATGATAACCATTTGGAGAACCACTAAAGAAATGTTTATGAAGACTTATGGGAATTTCTGGTTAATGATTTTAGGAAGTGGTTGGGACACACAACTACTTCCTTGTAGCCTAAACTCTTTCCCTGCTCTTCTAAAATATTTTGGTTTTGAGGAAAATATAAATTATGTATTTTTCTTACTGGAAAAAAATCAAAGTAATGACTTAAAACTACAACATTTCAATCTTTATTATAAGTAAAAGTATTGAGTCAAAGTATAATTTTTTAAAAGTTAAAAACATGACTCTCATGGGCTCATAAAATGAACACACTTCAAAAGTATTTAACTCATTAATGAGGGGGCCGATACCACGGTAAACTTTGTTCCAAGCACAACTGAAGAACCGGGAATTTACAAGCACTTAAAATTTCTGGGTTATATACAAACCTGACAAATGCCTACAAAGTAATAAAACCATAACTTTTGAGGTGATCCTGTCTACCAGATTGAAACCTACAAATTAACATGTAACTTTATTGTGTCTGGTATCTAACCAAATAGTAAACAGCAAGTTCAAACACCAATATGTTGGCCTAGGGAATTAATCCCTGATTGGGTCATTAAACAATGCCCTGGCATGCCTTTGTCAGGACATGCCTCCACCTATTCCATACCTTATCGCTAAGATTTGTATAGTTTTTCTTAATAATAGTGAAGTGGTTAAGGCCATAGGCATACTGCTTGGGTTCTTAGCTCTGAGTGTACTAGCTGGGGGTATCAGCTATGTTAAAGTCTTAAAAATGTTGCACTGATGAGGGAGAAATTGACTGGTCTTGCTTGGGAGGCCTCACAGGGGAGCAGACAAGAGAGCTACAACTTGAAATATGGAATTGGCTTTGAAGAGGAGAAGTCACAGAGAAATTTCATCAGAGCCCCTTAGGCTCTTCTCATTAAGTCTGTTCATATTCAATTTTATTTTAAAGTTTTTAGTCTAAAATATCTGTCTGTCTGTCTGTCTGTCTGTCTAGCTAGCTAGCTAGTGATCAATGGCTCACTGCAACCTGGGCTCAAGCAATCCTCCCGCCTTAGCCTTCTAAGTAGCTAGGACTACAGACATGTGCCACCACGCACGGCTAATTTTTTGTTTATAGAGATGAGGTCTATGTTGCCAGTCTTCTCTCTCTCTCTGAGATAGGATTTCACCTTGTTGCCAAGCTGGACAACTAGTTTCACTAGAGGCTTGCACCACCACGCCTGGCTTATGTGTTGATACTGGAGTTAAAAAGAAATTATTTAGGCAGATAGTGAGGGTAAGGAGGTCCTCGGTAAGGTTTTCCTTTTAATGAAAAGCAGCCCCCAAATAATTTCTTTTCTAATAAAGAGCAGCCTGTAAAATCAAGCTGCAGACATAGAAAGGCAAGCTAGAAGCTTCCACGGGTGAATGCTGCCAGCTGTGCCAATAGGAAAAAGAATACCTGGGACTAGGCATGTCCACTATGGCAGCTCCATCTTCCCTTCTCTTTGCTAGCCACATGTACAGTAAAGAGCAGGTAACATGGTGCTGGCCAAGCAAAAACACCATTTGTATAATAAGAAGATTAGGTTGGGGTGGCCACCTTCCCTGCGTGCTATGTAAACATCACACCTGGTCCAACCAATCTTTGGGCCCTCTGTAGATCAGATATTGCCTCCTCAAGCCTGTCTATTAATACCTGTGCATGGGCCAGAAGTTCCACTTGGGTGCCTCTCTCACGCGCAGGAGAGAGAGCTGTTCTCCTCTCTCTTTTGCCTATTAAACCTCCGCAGTTAACCTCACTCCATGTGTGTCCATGTCCTTGATTTCCGAGATAGAGTCTTCCTCTGTCACCCAGGCTGGAGTGCAGTGGCACGATCTCGGCTCACTGCAGCCTCTGCCTCCCAGGTTCAAGCGATTCTCCTGCCTCAGCCTCTTGAGTAGCTGGGACTACATGCTAATTTTAATAAGCTTGGTTATGAGGTTCCCTTGCTAATTGCAAACAAATAATTGCAAAAAAGCAGGTAAAGACTACCAAAGGTGGAGGTAGCAACCAATAGAAAAAGAAGAGAGAGAAAATCTACAAAGAAGATGCAGACATTTAAAGAACCTCATCAACAGACTCAGGCTTCACATGTGGGACAAACAGTCTCTACAGCAATAATTAATGCTTATAATAATGACCTTTGGTATCAAGAGGTTAAGTTAGTTTTAATATCTTCTAAGAAGGAAGAGAAACATGCAATATGTTTGAATATGATTTTTGCCACAATGATTAAGTTTAGTGATGAAAGTGATAACATGCATTTCTTTGATGGTTCTGAATAAGCATGTTACTGTACATGGTTTACAAGGTGCTCTCTATTCCTCTTTGGAAATTAAAATAATTTTAATAGGTATTTTAGTCTGTTCTTGCATTGCTACAAATAAATACTTGAGATTAGATAATTTATCAAGAAAAGAGATTGAATTGGCTCATGGTTCCGTAGGCTGTACAGGAAGCATGCTGCTGGCATCTGCTCAGCTTCTGGGGAGGCCTCAGGAAACTTTCAATCATGGCGGAAGGTGAAAGAGAAACAGGCACATCTTACATGCCAGAGCAGGAAGAAGAGAGAGAGCAGGGGGAGGTGCTACACACTTTTAAACAAGCAGATCTCAAGAAAACTCACTCACTACCACGAGAACAGCACCAGGGGGATGGTGCTAACCCATCCGTGAGAACTCCGCCCATGATCCAATCACCTCCCACCAGGCCCCACCTCCAATCCAGGGGATTACAATTCAACAGGAGATTTAGGCTGGGACAGAAATCCAAACCACATCAATAGGAACATAAAATTGTAATATACATCAACAGAGAAAAATGTGGTTTCTTAAACATGAGTTTTGCTTTTCAGATAACCATTGGTCTAACGTGAAAATTAGTTTAGTGAAAAGTATAGTAAAATTTTATGCCAATTTAAACTTTAGGATTTTTAGGCTGGGCGCAGTGGCTCACATCTGTAATCCCAGCACTTTGGGAGGCTGAAGTGGTAGGATTGCTTGAGCCCAAGAGCTCCAGGCCAGCCTGGGCAACATAGTGAGACCTCATCTTTATTTTAAAAAACAAAAAAAAACTTTAGGACATTTAGTTACTCAAACTAGAAAAAGCATACTCTTAGCCATACTGATATCTCTAGTCTCTCATATTGGTGAGGTACCAGGATTTTTGTTGGTTTATTCCATATGGCCATCATCTAAGCTCCAATCAGAGAAACAAAAGTATCTATTAGTAATGCTAGAAAACAATAGCACTATTTGTGAGTACTCAATTAATGAATTTTCTTCCTTAAAAAAATTATAGATTATAACATAACTTGAAATCAAACTGTTAAACAGAAGTATTTTCTTTTGTCCATATTTGAAAATTCTAATGGCAAGGCAAATAAATCTTCTCTAATTAAAGACACCTAAATCACCCAAGATCAAAGCACCAAAGCAAAAAAAAAAAAAAAAAAGGTAGTAATGGGAAAATAAAATTATAATTAAAATTCATAACATTAAATTATAAAATAAAATATATAAATAGATCTCTTTTGAGTATAACATGTAAAAGAATTCTTTTGGGCCAGGCACAGTGGCTCACACCTGTAATCCCAGCACATGGCAAAACCCTGTCTCTACCAAAAAAAAAAAAAAAAATTAGCCAGGTGTGGTGGCACATGCCTGTAATCCCTACTTGGGAGGCTAAAGCTGGGGTTAAATCTGACAAATTTAATAATTCTCAGCAGAAGTCTTTGGCTGGGTAAAGATAAGTTCAATGCTAGTCAGTAACAAACAGAGATTATGTTTTGGGGTGGTCTTAATATGGTTAACAAAACAAACACAAAGCTTCAGATTAAAATACTGTTAGTATATACATAAATTATTTGGTCCATAAACTCGCAAAACTTACTATAGGATGTTGAAAATTTACCACATTTAAAATGAATACTCATTGTATTCATGGACAAAATATCTCACTAAGTTGATGTCACTTTAATAACTTATGAAAGTGAATAAAAGTAGACTTTGCTTTAACGAATATTTAAAAACTTATAATAAAAATTAATGCCTGTGGCCGGGTGCAGTGGCTCACGCCTATAATCCCAGCACTTTGGGAGGGAGGCCAAGGTGGGCGGATCATGAGGTCAGGAGATCAAGACCATCCTGGCTAACACGGTGAAACCTCGTCTCTACTAAAAGTACAAAAACAAAATTAGCCAGGTGTGGTGGCACGCCTGTAGTCCCAGCTACTCGGGAGGCTGAGGGGGCAGAATGGCGTGAACCCAGGAGGTGGAGCTTGCAGTGAGCCAAGATATCGCCACTGCACTCCAGCCTGGGTGACAGAGTGAGACTCGTCTCAAAAAATAAAAAAATAAAAATAAAAATAATGTCTGTATGAAATATTATGATTTGATTAATGAGAAATCGTTTGTAAGTTCTTCCTTTTTTAAACAACTATATACATTTTTGCCTTGATTCATTAAAACTAAATTATTTCATTTAAACACTTTACCTGGAAATGTTACCTTTTAAATATAACAATGGGGTCAAAGAATTAGAGAACTTAAGGGCTAGAAGAATCTTCAGGGACTATCCAGTGCAGGGGAACTGCAAACCTTAATTTGCATCAGAAGTCCCTGTGGTTCTTGTTAAAATGCAGATGGCTAGGTAGGTCCTACCCTACCCATCTGACTCAGTAGACTGGAATGAAACCTGGAAGAAATAACCATTACGGAAATAACCCTTGGGGTGGGGTTATACCCCCTCCCCCACCCCAAGGTGACTCCCAGGTAGGTTTTCTACAGATCACTGGGAGGAAAAATATTGTTATAATCTACCACCTTCCTTCCTACACCAGGAAACTTCCTAGAACATCAACATTTCATTTCTGACTCATATAACTCCTTCAACTCCTATAGGTAACTTACTGCTTCCCAGGACAGCCCATTATACATTTAATGGAAGTTTCTTATAGAAACCTATATACTCAAAACATAAAGACATTTAACATGGGCTTACACAAACACATTAGTGTAAAGACTCATTGAAGAATTAAATGAATGAAGAACTGACCTGCTTCTTCTGGTATTTGTTAATTAGATTCAGAAATAAGGCATAACATCTGGAATAGCTGGCCAAGGCTGTGCAGCAGTCACGGTAAGAAGTAAGTTTGCTGCAGAAATGCCAAATGGGAAAATAAAGGTAAACTTTGTTTTTCTATAAAATTCAAGTACACATAGTATCACTTTAAATGCAGACCTTCAAAACATTGCCCAGTTCAAGAAAAGGAGTCTAAAAATACTCTACACATCAGTTCAGAGAAGCTGCAAGGAGGCTTCCTGCTCTACACTCTAGTGAGATGGATCCGGAAAAATTTAAAAGGTAACTTACATGTAGGTGTACACTACCCACGTAATTCAGAAAACACAAACTTACATGAAATTTATATGAAATCTGGTTGGATACCAGTGAGTCCCCTGAGACCACATCAGAAGCAAATGTAAAACTGCTTTAATAGGCCAGGCGTGGTGCCTCACGCCTGTAATCCCAGCACTTTGGGAGGCAAAGGCAGGTGGGTCACTTGAGGTCAGGAGCTCAAGACGAGCCTGGCCAACATAGTGAAACCCCATCTCTACAAAAATACAAAAATTAGCTGGGTATGGTGGCATGTGCCTGTAATCCCAGCTACTCTGGAGGCCCAGGCAGGAGAACTGCTTGAACTCAGGAGGCAGAGGTTGCAGTGAGCCAAGATTGAACCACTGCACTCCAGACTGGGCAATGGGGCGAGACTCTGCCTCAAAACAAACAAACAAACAAACAAACAAAAAACCTATACATTCAAAACAAACGAACAAAAACCTGCTTTAATATAGTAGATTGGTAGTGCTATACTAATATTAGGCAAAATAAACCAACCTTAAGGCAGAAAGCCTTGAAAACAGCTTCAAAATTTCTAAAGCAAGTAAGCAAGCAAGCAAACAAAACCCGTAAGGCAATATTGACAAACCCACAACAAATCAGGAGATGTTCATATATTTCTTCCTAATTGATGAATCAATAGGTAAAACATCATTAATATGTTAAAAACTTGACCACATACCAGGCCATAAATAAATCTCAGTAAATTTTCAGAGAACTGGTATCTCAAAGACCACATTCTCTGGTCAAAGTGCAATTAAATTAGAAATCATTTAAAAAATAAATTTAAAAAAACCTTTTTTTTGGAAATGTAAGAACACCTAACTTATAGGTCAAAGAAACATGAAAATTACAAAAGAAATACTTAAATACGAGTAATAAAAAATATTACAAATCAAAACTTGTAGGATGGGCCAGGCACAGTGGCTCACGCCTGTAACCCCAGCACTTTGGGAGGCCGAGGCAGGAGGATCACTTGAGGCCAGGAGTTCAAGACCAGCCTGGCTAACATGGCGAAACCCCGTCTCTACTAAAAAATACAAAAATTAGCTGGGTGTGGTGGTGCATGCTTGTAGTCTCAGCTACTCTGCAGGTTGAGGCAGGAGAATCGCTTGAACCTGGGAGGCGAAGGTTGCAGTGAGCCAAGATCACAACACTGCACTCCAGCCTGGGTGACAGAGTGAGACCTTGTCTCAAAAAAACAAAAAACAAAAAAACTTATAAATACTCATTTCCTCTAATTAGTATTTAGAGGAAAATTTATAGGTTTAAGGAGGCTGAAAAGAAAGGAGTCATGTTTTTTACTAAAATAGAAGAAAAATATGATATATTCACAGAGAGTTGAAGAAAAGGATTAATAAGGATAAGAGCAGAAGAAATAAGACAGGAAGCAAACATACAATAAAGTGGATCAATAATATATTTGTTCTTGGTAAAAGCTAATAAAATAGGAAAGATTTTGCAAGACTAAGAAAAAGAGAAACAGCACGAACAATCAAAATTAGGAAAGAAAGTCAATATTAACAATGAAGAGGCAAGGTAACACAGTGGTTCAAAGTATGAATTCTAGAGCCAGGATACGGTTTCAACTGCAGCTCTATGACATACTAGTTGTGTGATCTCGGGAAAATAACTAAACTTCTCTATGTCTCAGTTTCCTCATATGTAAAATGATAATGACAATAATAATACATATCTTAAAAAGTTGTTATGAGGATGAAAGGAATTCGTATTTGGAAAGTATTCTGAATATTGCCTAGCATGTTGTAAGTGCTATACAAATATCTGTTAAATAGGAAAAATAAATAAAAGGGGACATAATTAGAGATAAAACAGAGATTAGAATAATAATAAGAGAATAGTTGGAGCAACTTTTATATTGTTTGAAAACTTAGATAAAATTATCAAATTCCTACAAAAACATAACTTTTTGAAACTGAACCAAGTAGAAATGAGAAACATATAACCATATGGGAAGAAATTGAATCAGTAGTCAACAATATTCACACACACATACACACATATATACCCTGGATAAAAATAGCATTTTGAGCAAGTTTTTAAAACTTTTCAAGAAGCCGATCAGCTTTTTACAAATTCTTCTAGGAAAGAGAAAAAATTGGATTACCTCCCAACCCATTTTATGAGGCTGGTATAAACTTACACTAAACCCAGACAAGGACAATATGAGAAGAGAAAAATACAGGTCAATGTAACTCATGACCACCAATGACAAATCCTAAACAAAATATTAGTTAACCAAACCCAGCAATATATAATGGCTTAACTTGAGAAACTTTATTAGTGTAATTTACTATATTAACAGATTTAAATAAGAAAATGCATAATCAAAAGCAATTCAGGTAAATATGATTTATCACATACACACAACTGAAGACAAAAACCACAAGATTATCTCAATAGACACAGAAAAGGCTTTCAGTAAAATTCAACACTCCTTCATGGTAAAAACTCTCAATAAACTAGGTACTGATGCCAGGCGAGGTGGCTCACGCCTGTAATCCAGCACTTTGGGAGGCTGAGACGGGTGGATCACCTGAGGTCAGGAGTTTGAGACCTGCCTGGACAACATGGTAAAACTCCATCTCTACTAAAAATACAAAAATTAGCTGGGTGTGGTGGCACATGCCTGTAATCCCAGCTACTCTGGAGGCTGAGGCAGGAGAATCGCTTGAACCTGAGAGGCAGAGGTTGTAGTGAGCCAAGATCACGCCACTGCACTCCAGCCTGGGCGACAAAGCAAGACTCCGTCTCAAAAAACAAATCAAAACAAAACAAAAAACTAGGTATTGAAGGAACAGACCTCAAAATAATAAGTGCCATCTATGACAAACCCACAGCCAATATCATACTAAATGGGCAAAAGCTGGAAGCATTCCCCATGAAAACCAGCACAAGACAAGGATGCCCTATCTCACCATTCCTATGCAGCATAGTATTGGAAGTCCTAGCCAGAGCAATCAATCAAGAGGATGAAATAAAGGACATCCAAACAGAAAGGGAGGAAGTCAAACTATCTCTGTTTGCAGAAGGGTACTTATGAAAACCTACAACAAATATTATTTTCAGCTGGTGTAACCATGAAAATATTTCCTTTAGAGTCAGAAGAAAGACAACAGGCCCAACACTCACAGATGATTCTACATCTAGAAAACCCCACAGTCTCAGCCCAAAACCTCCTTCAGCTGAGAAACAACTTCAGCAGTTTCAGGATACAAAATCAATGTACAAAAATCACTAGCATTCCTATACACCAACAACAGCCAAGCAGAGAGCCGAATCAGAAAGGCCATTCCATTCACAATTGCCACAAAAAGAATAAGATACCTGAGAATACAGCTAACCAGGGAGGTGAAAGATCTCTACAATGAGAATTACAAAACACTACTCAAAAAAATCAGAGAAGACACAAACAAATGGGAAAACATCCCATGCTTATGGATAGGAAGAATTTGTACCATTAAAATGGCCATACTGACCAAAGCAATTTACAGATTCAATCCTATTCCTATCAAACTACCAATGACATTCTTCACAGAACTAGAAAAAAAAAAACTATTTTAAAATTTAACACGGAACTGAAAATGAGCTCAAATAGCCAAGGAATCTTATGCAAAAAGAACAAAGCTAGAGGCATCACATTGCCTAATTCAAACTTTACTACAGGGCTATGGTAACCAAAACAGCATGGTACTGGTACAAAAACAGGCACATGGACCAAGGGAACAGAACAGAGAGCCCAGAAATAAGGCTGCATACCTACAACCACATGATCTTCAACAAAGCTGACAAAAACAAGCAATGGAGGCCGGGCGCAGTGGCTCACGCCTGTAATCCCAGCACTTTGGGAGGCCGAGGCGGGCAGATCACGAGGTCAGGAGATCGAGACCATCCTGGCTAACACAGTGAAAACCCATCTCTACTAAAAATACAAAAAATTAGCCGGGCGTGGTGGTGGGCACCTATAGTCCCAGCTACTCGGGAGGCTGAGGCAGGAGAATGGTGTGAACCCGGGAGGCAGAGCTTGCAGTGAGCCGAGACCGCGCCACTGCCCTCCAGCCTGGGCGACAGAGCAAGACTCCGTCTCAACAAAAAAAAAAAAAAAAAAAAAAAAAAAGCAATGGAGAAAAGACTCACTGTTTAATAAATAATCACGGGGTAACAGGCTAGCCATATGCAGAAGACTGAAGCTGGACCCCTTCCTTTCACTATATACAAAAATCAACTCAAGATGGATGATGGATTAAAGACTAAATGTAAAACCCAAAACTATGAAGACCCTGGAAGGTAACCTAGGCAATACTATCCTGGACATAGGAACGGGCAAAGATTTCATGACAAAGACACTAAAAGCAAATGCAACAAAAGCAAAAATTGACAAATGGGATCTAATTAAATTTAAGAGCTCTACACAGCAAAAGAAACTATCAACAGAGTAAACAGACAACCTACAGAATTGGAGAAAATATTTGCAAACTATGCATCTGTCAAAGGTTTAATATCCAGGACATATAAGGAACTTAAACAAATTTACAAGAGAAAAACAACCCCACCAAAAAGTGGGCAAAGGGCCAGGTGCGGTGGCTCACGCCTATAATCCCAGCACTTTGGGAGGCTGAGGCGGGCAGATCACCTGAGGTCGGGAGTTCAAGACCAGCCTGACCAACATGGAGAAACCCCGTCTCTACTAAAAATACAAAGAATTAGCTGGGTATGGTGGTGCATGCCTGTAATCCCAGCTACTTGGGAGGCTGAGGCAGGATAATTGCTTGAACCTGGGAGGCAGAGGTTATGGTGAGCCGAGATCATGCCATTGCACTCCAGCCTTGGCAACAAGAACGAAACTCCATCTCAAAAAAAAAAAAGTGGGCAAAGAACATGAACAAACACTTTTCAAAAGAAGACACACATGTGGCCAATAAGCATATGGAAAAAAAGCTCAGTATCATAGAGAAATACAAATACATTAGAGAAATACAAATCAAAGCCACAATGAGATACCATCTCACACCAGTCAGAATGGCTATTATTAAAAAGTCAAAAAATAACAGATGCTGGCAAGGTTGCAGAAAAAAGAGAACACTCATACACTGTTGGTAGGAGTATAAATTAGTTCAATCATTGTGTAAAGCAGTATAGTGATTCCACAATGAGCTAAAAGCAGAACTACCATTTAACCCAGCAATCCTATTACTGGGTATATACCCAGAGGAAAATAAATCATTCTACAATAAAGATACATGCACGCTAATGTTCATTGCAGCACTACTCACAATAGCAAAGACATGGAATCAACCTAAGTGCCCATCATTGACAGATTGGATAAAGAAAATGTGGTACCTATACACCATGGAATACTATGCAGCTATAAAAAAGAATGAGATCAAGTCTTATGCGTGAACATGGATGGACCTGGAGGCCATTAGCTCAGCAAACTAGCGCAGGAAAATAAAACCAAATACCACATGTTCTCACTTATAAGTGGGAGCTAAATGATGAGAACTTATAAACACAAAGAAGAAAACAACAGATGTTGGGGTCTACTTGAGGGTGGAGGGTGGGAGGAGGGAGGGGAGCAGAAAAGATAACTCTTTTGACTATTGGATACTGGGCTTAATTCCTGGGTGATTAAATAATCTGTACAACAAACTCCCGTGACATGAGTTTACCTATGTAACAAACCTGCACATGTACCTCTGAACCTAAAATAAAAGTTAAAAAAAAAAAAAAGGGGGTGGGGGCCGGGTGCGGTGGCTCACGCCTGTAATCCCAGCACTTTGGGAGGCCAAGGCAGGGGGATCACGAGGTCAGGATATCGAGACCATCCTGGCTAACACAGTGAAACCCCGTCTCTACTAAAAATACAAAAAATTAGCTGGGCGTGGTGTGGGTGCCTGTAGTCCCAGCTACTTGTGAGGCTGAGGCAGGAGAATGGCATGAACCTGGGAGGCGAAGCTTGCAGTGAGCCGAGATCACCCCACTGCACTCCAGCCTGGGCGACAGAGTAAGACTCCAACTCAAAAAAAAAAAAAAAAAAAAAAGATTCAGGGCAAGCATTTGACAAAACTTAATACCCACTAATGAGAAAAAAAATCATTAATCTTCTAAAGGGTAGTTAGGAAAACCTACAACAAATATTATTTTCAACTAGTGAAACCATGAAAATATTTCCTTTAAAGTCAGAAGAAAGACAACAGGCTCAACACTCACAATTTTGTATTGAACTCCTAAACAATGCAATAAAGAAGAGATGAGGACAGGGGAAAGAATTACAATAATTGAAAAAAAAATTATATGTAGATAATATGCATAGAAAATTCAAGAGCATCTATAGACAAACTCCTAGTCCTAATGTTCATCAAGATTCTTGGATATCCTTCCTGTAGGAGACAGCTAAAATACATAAATAAATAAGTAAATATTTTTAAAGAGCTATCAATGCAAGATTAATAAGTTCATAAGGAAGGGAAAAGAACAAGAAGAGTTTGGATTCTTTTTTTTTTTTTTAGATAGGGTCTTGCTCTGTTGCCCAGGCTGGAGTGCAAGTGGCACTATCTTGGCTTACTGCAACCTCCACCTTCCAGACTCAAGCAATCTTTCCACCTCAGCCTCTCAAGTAGCTGGGACTACAGTCACATACCACCATGCCTGGCTAATTTTTTGGCAGGGGTTGGGGGTGGGGGGCAGCGCTAGAGATGGGATTTCGCCATGTTGCCCAGGCTGATCTCAGATTCTTGGGCTTAAGTGATCCACCCACCTTGGCCTCCCAAAGTTCTGGGATTACAGGTGTGAGCCACTGTGCCTGACCAAGAGTTTGGATCTTAAAGGAGAAAAAAAGTGAGAGATTTGAAGGCCAGGCAGAGTGGCTCACACCTCTAATCGCAGCACTTTGGGAAGCTGAGGCAGGAGGATCACTTGAGCCCAAGAGTTTGAGACCAGCCGGGGCAACATAGCAAGACTTCGTTTCCACAAATAATAATGATAAAATTAGCTGAGCATGTTGGCGTGCACCTGTGGTCCCAGCTGCTAGGGAGGCTGAGGTGGGAGGATCGATCGTTTAAGCCTGGGCAGTCGAGGCTGTAGTAAGCCATGTTTGTGCCCACTGCACTCCAGCCTGGGTGACAAAGCGAGACCCCATCTCAACAACAAAAAGTGAAGGATTCATCTTATAGCAAAACTCAAATTAAATCTGTAATAGTAAGTACAGTGTGGTACAGGTCTGAGGATAAACCAAACAGAATGCCCAGAAACAAACCTGAAATTATATGGAACTTTCTGTCTGATTGACAAAATCAGTGAGAAAGGATGGCATAGTCAGTAAAAGGTGCTGGAACAATCAACTATCCACATGGGAAAAATATGAAGTTGGACCCCTACATGACACTATAAACAAAAATAAATTCCTTATGATTCTACAATGCATTAGATAGGTAGTAATTAGGTATCCAGAACAAAGCTCAGGGAAGTGCAGTATAAAAAGATCAGATCTGGAGGGAAGGAGGGGGCTGGGGCTGAAGAACCACCTGTTGGGTACTATGCTTACTGCCTGGGTAACATGATTGTCGAGACCCCAAGCCTCCACGTCATACAATTTACCCACGTAACAAACCTGTGTACCATTTAATCTATAATACAAGTTGACATTCATTTAAAAAAAAATCAGATTTGGACTCACATCCTTATACAGGGGTCCTGGGGTCAAGTACCAATTCAGTCTTCAGGAAATTTTGCATTTCTTTACAACTACAACATTATAGTTCAAGAAAAGCCTCAGGCTCCCGAGAAGAATCATTATGTAAAAATACTGACAAAGAGCAGCGCGGGAGGAAACAGAAATGCATAATTCAAAGACAGTTCTGAAATTTAACAACATCTTGCTTGGAGGCAACCTGGATTCAAATGATCATTATTTCTGGAAGAAATAAAGTAAGTGTAGACTTGACTAGTGAAAGCTTGAGCCAAAGTTCAAATAGCTGAAATAGAATAACCTTCTATTACAAAGTCACATCAGACTTTCTAAGCATTGATCCCCTTTTTTGAGTTAAAACTCTTGTTTATTTCCTAGCAAACTGGAAGGTTTGCTGTGTTTTGTATACAGTTTTTTATCTCAAATAAGCTGAGAGGAAGATTAAACACACACACGTAGCTCACAACTCACCAAAGAACTAAAATGACTTAACAACCAATGAGTTTAGAATCACAATAGAATCATATAGACAATGGGTTCATTTGTTTGAATTGTTCATTTTTAACTTGGGCCACTAGATTTACCCTTTCTGGTAGGCGAAGTAAAAAGAAGGAAAAGGATTCCTTGCCAGTCACACAAGCAAATATTAAAGATAACCCCAAATCTAAGCATTAGCATTTTTGTAAGGCTACTTCACGTCTTAGTCTACCTACCTGAATATTCTGGCAATATTGGTACAGACGTCCTTGTCACCCTTGTACTGTTCCATTGCCGTGCAGAGCTGGGGAAGGGCACTGATGTTTAGGAACTTACTTCTTACTAATGATGAATCAACCAAGTTTCTCAATGTAGCAGTCACCTAGGATAAAAGCATGCTTGTGCCATTTTTTTTGAACTGAAAAAATATAACCACACGAAACAGCATAGTACAATTCATTTCATAAATTTCCTTATATCAGTAGCTAAGCAAAGCTCCCGCTATGCATCTCCCACCAGGGAATGTGAGCCTAGGCACAAGTAGCAACAAATGAAAACAAAGAAAGCCTAATTTGGTTGAAAGGTAAAGAATGAAATATTAATCTTAGTAAGCAATTGGTATACCCCAAACCCAGGGTTAAACAAACCATCATCTAGGTTTGCTAACACTCCTAAGATCTTCAGCTGGCCCTGTGATAGCCACATCAGTTCTGCAGATTAGAAACTTCTTGTTCTATGTTTTTCTTTCTTTTTTTTTTTTAATTTTATAGGTATTCTTGTCTGATTGTTCTATGCTTTTATAAATAGCATCAGATAATGAATGATGTGGCCAAGGAATATTTAAGATCTTTAGTCTCATTCTCTCCCAAGAGACAAGTATTAAGATCTCACAAATTTGTCTTATTTTATTAAAAAAAAAATTCAGGAAAGCTATCTACTTTACCTTCGTCAAAGAGTCAAGAAGAGAAGAGTTTAGTAAATCATAAAACTAATGTTGTTATCTAATAATTTTAATATGCAGTGTGCTCCTTCCTTGTGGGACACTACAGGAAAGCTACTGGTTAAGAGCCAGTTCAGCCTCACCACCCATCAGCCTGGGTTAGTTATTTAACCTCCCAGAGCTCATTTTTCTCATTCAATAAAGTAGAGGTGATGATACTTCCCTAGCAGTTGTGAGGATTCTATGAGATAAGATGTGTGAATGGCATCGCTGCCATCATCTCTTCCTAGTGAAGTGCCCAGGGGCAGCCACTCCTTCCTCCACTTCCCCATTTCCTCATCTGTGAAAAGCAGATGACAAGCACTGCTCACCTCTCGGGGGGTTGTGTGTAGCAAATGGAAACATGTAGCACTGTTTTTATTACTTATCTAATACTGTAAAGCATCATGTAAACATAAAGCATCCTTACAGCCATAGTATATAAACTTTTAAAAACAATTTTTAAGATGACATGATTAGTTTTTCCTTATAACAACAGCAACAAAAAGATACATTAAAATATAACTGACTACCCTGAAAACACAGAAAATGTAAAAAAAAAAAAAAAAGCTTCAAATAAATGTGTACATGTCTTTTGTAATCAATTCAATTATACAATGATTCTGTAAATTCTTCCCTGAAAGTTTCAGTATCCCAAACATTGGAAGTGAAACAAACTACTTGAGTATTCCACTTAACTCCATAGATCTAAACAATGTCACAATGTAGTCTTCTTCTAAGCTAAGGAATGGACTTTTTTTTTTTGGAGACAGAGTCTCTCTTTGTCATCCAGGCTGGAGTTCAGTGACAGGATCTCAGCTCACTGCAACCTCTGCCTCCCCCATTCAAGCAATTGTCGTGCCTCAGCCTCCCAAGTAGCTGGAATTACAGGTGCGTGCCACCATGTCTGGCTAATTTTTGTATTTTTAGTAAAGACAAGGTTTCGCCATGTTGGCCAGGCTGGTCTCAAACTCCTGGCCTCAAGTGATCCAAGCACCTCAGCCTCCCAAAGCGCTGGGATTACAGGGGTGAGCCACTGCGCCCAGCCAGGAATAGATCTTTTGTGAAGACTAATGAACCATTCTAGGAATTCCATTGCTGTCATAAAATGGAAAATTCTCATCATCTGACCCCGTTTCCACCTGTTCTCCTGAGACAGCCCAGGCACCGGAGCACTACTGGTTTACATTAATTCAGAGGATGCCTCAAAACTCTCTTCCATGGAGACGGAAGAGTACAGATGCCTGTGTAACTCCCATGCAGACAGACATCATGGGAAACCATGAAATACCCATTCCAGTCACTGCACACCAACAGTTCCTTTTCCCTGGTCCCCAAGGCATCAAAGATGGGACATCCCAATCCATAGTCATCTTCACGCTCCCCACATCTAAGCTCTGGCAAGGGACATTGCCAGCAGAAAGGACCATAGTTTCCTTAGGAGCTTTTATTTTCTTGTTTCAATCTCAATTTTTTCTCCTTCTCAGGCCTTATTCTCACCTCATTAGCAAAAGTTTAGACAGCTCAAGTTTCTTCTGCCCCACATACATAACTTTCATAAATAACCCAAGTCAGGAGAGAAAGCCCACATTTATATGTGACATGTCATTTGATTGAAATTCCTACCCATTTACTGCACGTGATACACACAGTTGAGTAATATACAATACCTCACGTATTTCCAAATTTGTCATTTGTGGTGCTGGTAGAAATAACATGCATGAAACATATACCATACATTTGAAAAATACACAGCAATAGCTCAATAGATGACACCATCAACCTAGTTGCTCAAGCAGAGATATCCCAGAATCCTGCCTTTCTGCTTTCTGTTACTCCAAGCCATATTGGCTTTTTGTCCATAGCTCCCAGGATAATATTCAGTTCCCTGACCATGGTCTACAAGGCTCAACAGATCTGTTCCTTCTCAACCCGTCAAGCTTCATCTCATACCATATATGCCCCCATAAACTCTACTTAATGCTAGGTTATTTAATATTATGGTTTACTATCTGTCTACTCCTCCAGACTAGACGCTTCAGTGAAGGCATAAACCTTGTTCATCCTTTTCACCATTGTACATCCAGCTCCAAGTCCAGTGCCTGGTACATGGTGGGCGCTCAATAGGCATTTATTAATGGAATGAATGAAGGGGTGGACATCTACAAAGGAAAGACTGGGATATCAGAACACCATGGGCTAAGCAGACAATATCTCTGAGGTAGACAGATTTTAAGATTTTTTTTGAAAGCAGAGGAGTAAAAAATAATGGATGAAAGAAAAATGGACTCTGTAGTTACCCAGCTCAGGCTAACTTGTCTATGTTTAAGACCTTTCAGAGGCCGATCAGTCGCTTCCTCTTCCGTGTTAACAAAGCATCCTGTTCCTGCCTCTATAACCCCCATCCATCACAGAATAAAAAATAACGGATGAAAGAAAAATGAACTCTCTGGAAGGGGACCAGCCTCTGTGTATTTGTTCTCTAGCCTATCTCATTTCTGACAGCAGCTCCTTCCCAAGCTCCTAAACTCCCGGGCCCCACCCCTTTCCCCACCTGACTGGTCACACGTTCACCCCTTCTCTCCATCACCAGCGTCACTGGTTCAGTTTAAGCTCACTTCATCTCTTACCCAAACTCTACAGCCCCCTGGATGGGCTCCTTCCACAGTTTGCCCCCATAGCTGCTCACTGCTGCCAGAGGGGGCATCTCAAAGCTCCGCCTTCCCTGCTCAAAGGCCTCCTGCGACTTCCGGCCCAGCCAGTAGCACCCATAGCCTAAAGGTTCCTCAGTCTCTGAAGTGTGGTTTATCCCTCCAAACTCATCTCCTTTGCCTCGGCACCACCCTGGCCATCTTTCAGACTCTGCACCACATGAGGTCCTCAACCCTTCATGACGCCATGCCTTTGAATAGGCGGCTTCCTCCGCCCAGAGTGCCCTCGATTACACTTTGCCACCCCTTCTCCCCCGGGCCATCTCCTGCTCATTTTTTTCTTTTTTCTTTTTCGAGACAGAGTCTCGATCTCGGCTCACTGCAACCTCCGCCTCCTGGGTTCAAGCGATTCTCCTGCCTCAGCCTCCCGAGTAGCTGGGATTACAGGCAAGCACCACCACACCCTGCTAATTTTTGTATTTTTAGTAGAGACAGGGTTTTGCCATGTTGGCCAGGCTGGTCTTGAACTCCTGACCTCAAGTGATCCGCCCGCCTCGGCCTCCCAAAGTGCTGGGATCACAGACATGATCCACCGCGCCCGGCCTCCTGCTCATTTTTCAAAACCCAGCTCAAGATAACTTCTCTGTGAAGTCCTTTCCGAGGCTGATCAGTCACTTCCTCTCCTTCCTCTTCCGTGTTACCAAAGCATCCTGTTCCTGCCTCTACAACCCCCATCACAGAAGCATTGTCACTTGTCTTCAGGCATCTTCTCTCCCATGGTGAGCTCCTCTAGGGTACAAACCACTTCTTATTCCTCTTTCTATTCAGAGGACAACAAATGTGCTCATAAAAAGCTCTTAAATGTTCAGCTACTGGAGGGCTGGAAGAGTGAATGAGAAGGGGAAGGAGGAGGGGAATGAGGAGGGGGAAGAAAGAAAGAAGGGACAGGAGCGACAAAAGAGAGGTTTTTCCCTTTAAGACACCTCTGGCAAGAAAGTGCGGGAGCTTAGCAGAGGCCTGGGTGAACCAGGGCCTAAAACCCTGAGGGAGAAGGATCAGGAAAAGGCCACCACGCAGATGCAGCTCTGAAGGCCCTGTATCTTGAGAGACTTGTCACCAACCTCTGAGAGCCACCAATCTCACTGTGGGATGATGGTGGGGCCCTGAATGCTCAGACCAGTGGCCTTTTCTGGAAAAAATGCAGGAAAAAAAAAAAAAAAAGGGTGTGGGGAGGAGAGTCTAGCTAAATCATGTGGTCACAGTAAAGGCAAGTTCCAAGTCAACCCATTTAACTGAATTTTGCTCCTACTTTTGAATTCATTATATACAAGTGAAAATTAAAAAAAAGAAAACAAGAACTCTCAGTTGAACAGAGATAAATCTGTGAAAATTATCAATGAGTTCTGTGCTCTACAGCAGGGTCTTTATTTCCCACCCTCAAGAAAAGCCCACCCACTGGGCCCTCCCCCAAAGCAGGAGTTAACCAAAGCCCAAGCTTCATGCTTGGAGGTGTGCATCCATTTCTTTCTTAACTTTCTATTCTAATTTATATTATCTATAAATGCACAAACTTAAACACACATTTTTCTTTTTTATTGTATATAATCTTTCAAACCACCTCAAATCCCTTACTTAAAAAAAGTCTTGTTTAGTCTCTAAAGGACTTAGTAGAGAAATTCTCAACCTCTTAAGTAGCATTTCACCAAGAAATAGCACACTGAAAAACACAAGTTTTAATTCCTATCTTTTCCCCCATCTCTTAACTTGCAATCCTGTGGGACTTGCAATCCTGAAGGCAGCCCATAGGAAGAAGAAAAAAGAGAAGAAAATGACACTGATAATCCACAAAGAGGACTAATACAAATGTAAGTTTCCTTGCTTATTAGCAATTGTTAGGTGATGTTTAGGACAAAAGGGGACCTAAGGTTTTGGTAAATACCCAGGAAGAAACATTCCATTTTGCTTCTGGTTACCAATCTACTACTGAAAAATGACTGAGCTACACTTGACAACTTTCTGGTGCTCACTTTTCTGAGAAAGCTTCTTTCCATGTTCCCCAAATTATTTGATCATAACAGGTACCACCCTCAGTCAGGGAAAACACCTGGAGACTTGGCAAAGCTACCCAGCTCACATTGAATTATGTAAGCCTCAAAGTTTTCATTGTGTAGTCAGTATTGGGAGACCCATTTTAAAGGGAAAAAATGTACTAAGAAGAAATTAGATCATTTATAAATGCACAACTACATTTTAATACAGTAAAATGAGAACTCAAAAGCTTTAGCTTCTGTTTTTTTCAAGTTGACTATAGGTACTTAATTATCAATTTCAAATTGTGTTTTCAACTATTAATTAATTGAGAAACCTTAGCAAACACAGGAAATATTTGTCTTAAAATATGGGGCTGGGCCCAGTGGCTCAGGTCTGTAATCCCAGCGACTCTCATGGCTGAGGCAGGAGAATCGCCTGAACCCCAGAGGCTGAGGCTGCAGTGAGCCATGCCTTTGATCGCACCACCGCACTCCAACCTGAGTGACACAGTGAGACTCTGTCTCAAGAAAAAAAAAAGGGTGGGGGGGCCCTCCGGACTTGGATCACTGGACTTGAGGACACAACACAGGCCCAGCAGCTGTGGTCTCATTCCTGCGTTCTCTACTGCAGTGGGTGGGTGCGAGGTGGGGCAACCTCCACACACACTGATCATGTCCAGAGTGGACGGCCCTCTCTTTTCCCTCTGTGCCCTTCCTCCATCAGAGTACTCTGTCCTCAAGGAACTCACCAGATTCTGCTCTAGAAGGCAACCTGCCATCAGAGCTGCCCCAGATCAGAGGAGCTTGTGACTCATTGAAGCTCAGAAGTCTATCAGCTCCCAGGTAGGCTAGTGCCCTGGCCTCAGTTTCTTGGTCTATTGCCTCCCTACTCTATTTGGCACTGGTCTCTAAAAGCATTTTGCAATCATCTGGAATATCCACAACTGAAATCCCTCGAGCTTTGTCTCAACTTAACTGCCAACTGCAAAATTGTTGACTTCCCACTGATGATGTAAAAGAATAAACGCAGCCGCCAGAGACCACAAACAGTGTGAAATGATTTATGACTAAAGCCACTATTTTCCAACCTCAGCTAAGCCATCTCCCTCTATTAATAAAGGCAGATTCATTTCTTTGAACTTGTGCCCAATTGAGGCCACATATATGCCAAAACCAGAGCCTGTGTGGTAACCCAAGAAGTTTCATATTGTCTCATATATGATTTGTACAGTTCTGGCTGAGACAAAAGAAACCAATGACAAGATGCTGCTAGACATGTGAAATCACTGGTAACATGCATGTCTAAGCTTTTCTTGGAATTTATTAAGATATATGCATATGAAGGTAATATTAATTAATAATCCTTGATAACACTCGGTGCCTGGCTACACAGGCCTACTTGGCACATCCCTACCATGGGTGTCCGACTTAGCAGGAAATGCTTCTGTCCTCCTTAAACCTCCAATGTCCTACTTTGAGACTCTATTTAACATTTGGCTCTGTTTATTGTTGTTTCTCCATTTACTGCCTCTATGCCAGTTACTTCACTAAAATGAGTAGGTAGCTGATTCTTCTAGTTGTGGCTATGTATGTATTCAATACAGGAGAAATTTTGAATATCATACAAACAATCTAGAATGGCAATGCAGCAAAACAAGAAAAAGGAGTCTGAAAAAGATAGTGCATTAAGAACTACCAAGCAATGAAACCACTATTCACAATTATATGCTAAAGCTAGTGACATTTCCTTACTGCCACAACTAATAGATCTACAGTGAAGAGAGGAGGCTGAGCAGACAGAGCACTAATTGAGAGCAAATGGCTCTCCTCAGACACAGTAGGAGCCTCATTTCCACCCTTGATCTGTCTTTTAGCATAACACTCCTGGCCATCCACCGCCCTCACTTCCTGATTGGTGAGCTTGGGACAGGAATCAGACCCTCCCAGTCCAGCCCCTACCTGGTCCCTCTCTTCCCTTCCTCTTTTAGAAGTGAGCTGCCATCAGAACAAAGGTGTTCTGCTCCTCCAGGGACAGACATGGTCTGTGACTGGGTGGGTAAATCTAATTCTAGGACTCAGGATTAGAAAGCATGCCTGCCTCAGCTATCAGC
Source organism: Homo sapiens (assembly GCF_000001405.40). Lineage (NCBI taxonomy): Eukaryota > Metazoa > Chordata > Mammalia > Primates > Hominidae > Homo > Homo sapiens. The sequence goes on along the minus strand of NC_000006.12, from coordinate 108,920,698 downwards.
CACATCCTCCAACCACGGTGATAACTTTATCCCCATCCCCAGCCTCCTTAGCCTCTTATTTCCAAGTAAAAAACCCAAGGCATTACATATTTAGGTTTCTGAGTCTTCTCAGATCTTCAGATCTGCTGTCCCTGGAAAATTGGAGGAGAACATGAGTTGCCTATAGACAGCTCCTTCCTAGGAAAGGGAAGAGAAGGGAAGAGGAAGAACCTGGGCCCCAAATGCCTACTCTCTCGTGGCAACTGGGCACGTGAGTGGTTAGTTATGCTGCTGGCAATTCTTTTATAGGAAGGAAGCCCCATAAGTAGAAAATAGCTGTCTCCTTCCCATTAACAAATACATCATTAAAAAAGTGGCGGCACGTGCCTGTAATCCCATCTACTTGGGAGGCTGAGGCAGGAGAACTGCTTGAACCCGGGAGGTGGAGGTTGCAGTGAGCTGAGATCATGCCACTGCACTCTGGCCTGGGCGACAGAGCAAGACTCCATCTCTAAAAACAAAAACAAAAACAAAACAAAACAAAATAAAAAATTAGCCAGTGTAGTGATCAATACCAAAGACTAACCCCTAAAATAGCTTCATCTAATCTCAAAAACAATATGCTAAGCAAAATAAACCAGATATAGTACTCTAGGTAACTATGGCATATCCATATCAATTCCTATTGATAATGTACAATAGTTATGTAAGATATCACCACTGGGAGGAGCTGGATGATGGGTACACAGGACATCTCGGTACTATTTTTGCAACATCTTGTGAATTTATACTTAGTTCAGAATAAAAGTTTAAAAAGGTGCCAGACACAAAAGGGTACATGCTGTATATTCCGTTTATATAAAGTTTTAGAACAGGCAGAGCTTATCTATGGTGAAAGAGATCAGAAAAATGGTTCCCTCTGGGAGGAGGGTAGAAGAATGAGGATTAATGAGAAGAGGTGGGAGGAAATTTCTGAGGTGACAGAAACCTTCTGTATCTTGATAAGGGTAGGGGCTACGTGGCTTTCTACTTTTGTCAAACTCATCAAACGTATAAGATCTAAGCATTTTATTGGATGTAGATTATACCTTAATTAAAACAAAAAGAAAATTAAAAACCTCATCTACTGCTTGCTATTCAAGCAAAACCTTCAAAATAAATGCTTTAAATTTGGTTTAAATTATCAAATCTCCAAAAAAAAATTATCTGTAAGAACTTAGGAAATACAATCATGGGGCTATTTGCTCCCATTTTATAGGTATGCAGTTTACTTCCTCCAATAATCAGAGCAAAGTTCTACTGGTAGACACTGCTACCTTGGTTCTGATTGCACAGTCTGAAGAGTTAGGCTTCCAATAGGTGGGGTCGCGCAAGATAAAGAATTAACATAATTTCCAGCATAAGTACACATACTTATAATTATCTAAACACCTAAATACAAATGCATTAATCTCTACATTTAAAAACTATGAAACATAACTAAAGCAAGAGTTAAAAGACCCCGGCCAGCCTGGTACAACCTTCATTACTAATAATAACTTAAGTCACTGCTTGATCAAATCCCCAGACTTCAGTTGAAGGCCTCTCTTAAATTCCCCAAATCTTGAAGCAAAGAATAGCTGGCTCTGAGAATTGGGGTCCATCATGTACCCAGAATCCCATACATTACCCTAACACCCTCCTCCAATTTTAGTTTCTCTTTGGTGCTCTTCTCTACATTGCTTATCAAAGCCCGAACAAAAAGATTAAATATTTGAAAGTCATCTTGGACTCTGTCTTCTTAATTTCTTGTGATTACATTTTTATCCCATCAGAAATAATTGCTCTTTGAAGCTTCAGGTTTGGGTAATTCTGATCTTATTTTATTGAATGGCTTTCTGGTGAGTGCCTACTATGTGCCTTGCCCTGTTATGGGCGCTTTACTAGACGATCTCATTTCATTTCCTAGCTGCCCTTTAAGGCAGGCATAGTCAGCACTTTAGAGACAGGAAACTGAGGCTCAGAGGGTAAAGTGGGCTCAGTGTCCCAGCTGAGAGGCCAGCTTATGCTGGGGGCTCCAGTGCGGTGCTATCCTCACTGGACCATGCAGGGTGGCGGCACTGGGCCTGCCCCAGCATTGTCCAGGGTTGAATGAACCATCAGGGTTCCCAACGGCAAACAATGAATACAGGATTGAGCCCAGCTCTGCCAAAGTGGGGAGCTCACTCTAGGGCTCAGAAATTTAAAAAAAAAAAAAATCAAGTATATCAAAACATCTTTTAATTTAAAAATACAGAGCTAAAGAACTATGTAAGATTGAAAGAGAGCAAGAGAGCACACTGTTGCCCTAGGAGATGGCCCCCTCACACCCCTCGCTCGCCTATTCGCACGGCTCCAAACAAAGTGGTGGGATCCCTCTTCTCCTACACGCTCTCTGTAGCATTTGCCAAAGCTGACCCATCCTTGCTGAGAAAATCTCACTCTTGTACATTGCCCTTCATTTCCTAGTCACTTCCTTTTCTCTTCCCATTCCACAAATGAGGCCATTTTCACAGAATCTGTCATCAGTCCCTCTGCTCTTTCTCTACTCTCTCCTTGGGTAATTTCATTGTCTTTCTGCCTTCAACCATCAAATCCATGTAGATGACCCTAAATCTGTATTTTTGATCTTACCTGCTCTTCCAAGCCTCAGCTCATATCTCCTACTTCCTACTTGAGAGGCCTGCTGGCATCTGAAAGTTTTATATTCAAGCTAATTTCGGCCGGGAGCAGTAGCTCATGCCTGTAAACCCAGCACTTTGGGAGGCTGAGGTGGGTGGATCACTTGAGGTCAGGAGTTCGAGACCAGCCTGGCCAACATGGTGAAAACCCATCTCTACTAGAGACCTACTAAAACAATTTTAGTTTTGTACTAAAAATACAAAATGTAGCTGGGTATGGTGGCACACACCTGTAATCCCAGCTACTCTGGAGGCAGAGACAGGAGAATCACTTGAACCCAGGAGGCAGAGGTTGCAGTGGGCCGAGATTGCGCCACTGCATTCCAGCCTGGGCGACAGAGTGAGACTCTATCTCAAAAAAATATATATTAAAATTTAAAAAATAAAAATAAAGCTAATTAACATAATTTTCTTCCCACAATTTTCTTTCCTCCTCTCACCAAATCCAGTTCCTTTCTGTAACTCTCTAATTTCTATTCATGATACCATCATTTATTATTTTCTGAACTATCCAGGCTCAAATTGTCTGAGTCAGCTCTCTTTGTTCCATACACTTTCCTATTCCCTAAACCCTAAAAACAAAAGGAAGGAACCGAGTGAAGGAAGGAAAGGACTGATGAGGTGGGAGGACCGACCTTCCCGAGAGACTTCCATTTAGAAAAAGGAAGAACATGACAGTGGTATGGTACTGAGCAAGGGGGAGAGGATCTGGATTTGCGGGAGCTGCTAGGGAGGTGTCTGCAGGCTTAGGGGCCAGAGAAGCGGGGGTAGGGGGCTGTGGAGAGGAAAAGAAAACCATGTTACCTGGGGTGCTGCAGAACAGTTCTAACTTCAAAAACAGTATATCTAAAGAAGGCAAATAATACATTTCTCTAAGGATTGAATTCAAAATCAACTGGGTCAGGCTGTAAAGAAAAAACAGATTGGAAGTACAAGTGAATCCAAAAAATAGGCATGCAAGTTCAAGTCAATCTGAGCTTTAATAGTTACATTGTACACCTATAAATTACCTAGCTGTTAATGTAAGTACATTGAGATTTCCTTCAATCACAGCAAAGCAGCTTTGTACATGATGTTCTCAAGACACAGAGGACAAAGGAGACACCGGGAGAATTTGGGCTTAGTTGTGATTGTGACATAGACAGAAGACTCTTCTGTTCTCCAGGAAAGGGCACAACAGAGACCAAAACAGACTTTCAGATGGAGGTGACCCCAGGAGTTTCCTTCAGCTCCTGTGTCATGCCTGCCCGACTGTAGCTCTTTAAAGGTCACAGACGAACCCTAACACCTCATGATAATCCATTCTAGAGCAACACTGACAAGTCCCTCTTTCCATCTGTGCCACCTCCTTGGTGGTGCAATTTACTACTGGCATTTAGGGGCCTTGCCTGTTAGTTGGCCTATATTTCTGTTTTTCCAAGTTCCAGGGAGCTCACCCTAAATTCTAGTGTTCTGGAGTTCAGTGAACATGCACAGTTTAACCTGCTTTACTCTTACGACTTTACAGACAAACTCGCATCTCCAGTTTTGCCAGCCTGGGGCTATTCACGCTTTGACTTGATGCACAGGTGGCAGCACCCAGTTTCTCTGAGCATCTTGTCCTTCTCAAAATGCTATTACATTTCTGACATGCAGAACTGAATGCAATGTTGGCCATGTGGAAGTACCATAATTTTGCAGAAGAATAAGCATTGGAATACTATTATCTGGATACAGGGATCACCAAAAAGTAGGTGCCTACTGACAGCTCTCCTGTCTTACTCATCACCCAGAACATGTTTGACACAGAGCAGCCACGCCACAAAACTTGTGAAATGAGTGTCTCTTGATTTCAGCCACCAGGTGATAAACATATATCAATACATACAGCCATACGTATACATATATGTAAGAAACAACACAAAGAAGACCTTCCAAAGTTCAACACTGTGTTTTTTTTTCCTCTAAGCAACATTAGTCCGTCTGCTTTGAAGGAGCTTTTCCTTCATACCCATTCCTTTGTCTCCATTCTAATCAGTCTAAAATCTAACTGCAGCAATGCCTCTTAACTGGGGCTGCTGTGTTTGAGATCTTAGCCCTCCAATCTGTCATGTATCACGGATACGTTCTCCTCCCATCACTTTTCAGCTATTTGGTCTTTATCAGTTTAACATTTTGTGCACATTCATCTTTCTGCCGCTCTGATCTCATCTCGTCCCCCCATGCACTCACCTCCAACTGCTCCTTGTTGCCCCAAGTCCACTCTTGGCAGCTGGTATTCAAGACTCGTGGCTGTACCTTGTGAATCTCACCTTCCAAGATTCCCACACAGAATCTCTACTCTAGACAGCCCTACCTCTTCAGCACCTCCCAAACACACCTTATTTATTTCCCACTTGAGTGTTCAACATCCTTTTCCCTTTGTTCTAGTTTCCCAAATCCTGCACAATCTTCAGGGTCCAGCTTTGGAAGATGTTTTCCACTCTTTCAATGAGCCCAACGGAGCTGCTTTTGGAAAACAAGATGACTCTAACGCTGTGCCAGATGTTAAAGCAAGCGAAGTTCTGTAATATGAGGTCCCCAGAAAGTGGGCCAAAGCTCCTGAGGTTCTTGGGGTTGAAAGTCATAGAAGAAAAGCAGTCACGCCACTAGATGTTGCCTGCTTGTATCTTTTTGGCCCTCGTCATGTTCTCTCTGGCTGGCAGACATTATTTTATTCTTACTACAGCCACAAGTAATTTATTTATTTTTTCAATTGAAAAAAGCTGCTTTTAAAAATGCCTCCTGGCCAGGCACAGTAACTCACACCTATAATCCCAGCACTTTGGGAGGCCGAGGTGGGCAGATCACCTGAGGTCATGAGTTTGAGACTAGCATGGCCAACATGGTGAAACCCTGTCTCTACTAAAAATACAAAAAAAATTAGCCAGGCGTGGTGGCGGGTGCCTGTAATCCCAGCTACTCAGGAGGCTGAGGCAGGAGAATCGCTTGAACCTGGGAGGTGGAGGTTGCAGTGAGCCAAGGTCACACCATTGCACTCCAACCTGGGTGACAAAAGCAAAACTCTGTCTCAAAAAGAAAAAAAAAAAAATGCCTGCTGAGCTGGAGTTACCAGGTTCTCAAAGCTGGTGTAAACAGACACTTCTGCTTGTGGCCAGATCTGTCTGGCTGAATTTGCACATGAACCGGCTGGTGAAAAGTCAGTCAGTGTTACACATTCACAAAAGCAGAGGCTTTCATCTGCTCTTGGAGTGAAGTCTTGTTGCTTACATTTTATCATTTGTATGATACAAAACAGCTTTTGTTTTCATTAAATATGAGGAAATGTCCCATTCAGGGGATTCTGCAAATGACAAAGACTAAAACAATGTCTCCTTCCTTCCCAAATCTGTAAACACACAAACAGTGATACAGTTGATACAAATGGCATTTGGTGACCACAGCTGGAGTAAGTTCGGGTGGATGCCATCATGGGCTCCATTTTCTCCTGCTAGACAGGGGTGTGGGTCACCCATGCCAGGCCTTAGGCTGGTTCCAAGAAAGGCTTTGGAGACAATGACAGAGCCCACTGCCATCAGGTGGTGGCAGGTGGTGGTGGGCAGTGAGGAGGAACTTCTACAGCGCCCCCTAGAGGTGGGGGGACACAAATGTCAGGAAAGGAGGGGGGATCCGACCTGGTGAATCAGTTTGCACCTAAGGATGCTGAATCCAGGGGAAAGGGACATAAAAGAGTAACACAGGGAGTAATATACTATATGTGCACACCAGAGGTCCCCTTTCTTGATTTGATATATTTTTGGTCACAGTAACACTCAACTTCCCTTCATACCCACTGATCATATGTGTGTGGGTGCACACACATACACACACATACACACACACAGACATACACACACAGTGATATAGTTGATGCAAACAGCAAACCACATTTATATATGTATAAGATGGGGTTGGAAAGAGATTAACTAGACAAGAATCCCATAAGCTGTTACATAAAAATTTAAAACAGAGTGAATATCTCAATATGGGAATGGCTGAGAATTTGAGATATATCCTAATCACAGAATATTATGCAGTCATTAAGAAGAATTAAATAAGTCTTTAGGGTTAACTCAAGGGATTTTTACTACATATTGTTAAATGAGGAGAGAGAAGGGCATAGAATATTCCATTTGTTGAATCCTGTGTGTGTACTAAAAGGTGCTGAACACATCAGTGTGAACAATGTTAGCTAAATGGATAAACCAGAAGGAGAAACAGGGAGGGAAGAGAATGATAGCAAACAAACAAAAGTGACTATTAAAAGTAACGGGTTATTTAAAAAGTGAGAATTCTATTAAATTATGTATATGTATATAAATGACCACCAAAATGCTGGAGGTGTTATCTCAGGGTGAAAAAATTGCAGGTGATTTTTATATTCTTCCTTATACTTTTCAGCATTTTAACAGGAAATATAATTATTCTATAATTAGAAATTACTATTTTCATTGAGGGAAAAAATTAAATGATTCGATAACACTGGGAGCATGGAAAATGTTTCTGAAGTCTTCCTAGCCAAAACAGGGCATACAGAAAAACTGTGCATCATTGATGACTAAAAGAGGTTTTCACAATCTTCTTCAAAATGGAGACAGACCACAAAGTCCAAAATTAATAATCATCCTAAATATTTTAAGCATCTTGAAGGCAGGGCCTAAATCTAATTTTTAACACAGTTTCCCAATGGCTTAGTGTGCTCTGAGTGCTCAATCAATCCTCATTAATTGACAAACACATTTCGAATCCTATGAATTATTACATCAAAGATGCTATTATTTGATATATGAATGCTATTAAAAAGTAAAATCTCATCTAAAAGAGTATCCAAGCCAGAGCAGCTCCAGTGAAAATAATTTAACTATGAAATTTAATCTGCTACAACAGAAGTAATAAAACCCTAACATATAACAAAATTGGTCTACCTGCTCTGTTTATATTCCATGCGTCCAGTTTTGTTCCCTGCATTCCTACAGTCTCGGGGCTGCCTGATATCTACATACCCACCTCAGTGACTGTCCACTCAATCCCGTTACCTTCTGTTTCTTACAAGAGTAATGACATTAGCTACCAATCATCATAAATCATCTCCAGGCCAGGCCCATCTTCAACACTCTAAGCAGCTTGTTAAAATTTTGACTCTAACATGCAATTGTTTTGCAGAGAGGTACAACTTTTTCCTTCTTCCAGGCCTGCTTTCTCTGCAGGGCAGTGAAAGCGCATGCTGTGTGGAGAGCTGCTCTTGTAATAGCCATGGAATAGCCTGTCCAGGACAACAGGCACCAGGCCCTCATGGGGTGGAGGTGGGCTATGGCTGCTGCCCTTGGAGGCCAGGCACCCACACCTGGCTGTAGGGGCCTCTTGCATGCCATTCTTTTAAAACTGGCATTAGGCAATGTGAAAACTAATTTTACACATCTAACGTTTTCAAGTAAAATACTTACCTGGACTAGCAAGTGGCCCGAATTAGGCAAAAATGTACCACATTTCTTGATGTTCTCATTTATTTGTTTTATCAAATTTATCAGTATTTCCACAGCACCTTTGCTGATCATTTCATTAAGAAATCCCAGATTTCCAGAAATGAACTTTATAGACCCCATACAGTATAAAAAAGCTTCCATGTTAGTTTGCAGGTCTTCACTTCTTAGTACCTCCAATAATGATTCTGTCAAAAAGATTAATTATTATAAATGTCTGAGTATAACAGCTGGAGAGAAATATATTAAAGCACTTGTGTGTGAACATAAAATACACTTCGTAAAATATATTTATCAAAATCTACATTCAAGTGCTTGTTAAGAGTTATATAGTATAAGAGAAAAGCTTACTTTTAGCTAAGATAAGTCTCTGTAATAGTAATTTCAGCAGAAGGATGGGATTGTTAATAAATAAATGAGAAAGTATTCTTTTAATTAATGTCATTCCTTGCCTCTTACTAATTATTTATTGACCTTTATTTTTTGTTACAAAAATTTTGAGTCATAGAATACTAATAATTTAACACATCTAAGAGTTAAACTTCAACAAGCCTTTAAGAATATATTTGTAACTGTATTCTTAGTGGGAAATCCATGAAGGGGCTTAAAAAAAAATCTCAATCACCCTAGAAAGATAACTTGAATATAACGCCTATCCTTTTCCCAAGACAACTTAAGAACATTTATTCAAATAACATACCACTACTTGGTTTTACGAGTAATCCAGGCAAATCCAATAACGTTAATAATGCATATCTCACATTTAATTATATTAAAGTCAATGTAATAATTTGACATAATTTGTTTTCAGTCGACAATTCTTAATTAGTTGATTCAACATTAGACATTTCTTTCAGTACTGGTTTTGTCCCTATCTGCCAGGGGCAAAGAAAGATGAAAAGATAATTTATCCTATGTTGCAAAAAGAGAACTCAATGTATTTTCCATGTTGCTGCATGGAAAATACTTTGTATTTTCTTTTCTTGTATCAGCAATATTAATTAATAAAAAGATTTCCATTTAGGTAACTAGATATCTTAATTACTTAGAAGTACAACAAAAATTAGGCATTAGCTAGATAAGGTATAATAAAACTTCCTTACCTACAAATTTGAAACATGTTGATGTCAGGTTTCTATAACAGTTATAGATGTCTTTCAACTTTTAGTCATCCCTAGTATATTAAAAGACTAAAATTTTCAACTATGTCAAATACTATTAAATGCATTTTTCTATATATTAAATCCAAGTCCAGGAAATGAATTCTTAAATGGGGAACACTTTGTAAAGTCACATAATGTTACTACAGGTGTTGAAGGAAAAGAGCAAACTACCACAGGATGCATTCAACTGAATGTGGAAAACAGAGAAGGATGAAGTAAAAATGAGCATCACATAACTTCTGCATGTTTCTAGAAAACAAAATATTCTTGCTATCATTGATTATATATTTTCTCTCCAGACTTCTAATTTTTACTCAAGTACAGCATTTGCTCAATAGTAGCACTGAATGACACTCACCCAGAATGCTGTCATTTTGAATCAAAGAATCATTCTTCTCATTCCTGCTAATTTTAAATATAAGTTTGCAGACATTAAGAAGATTCTTTCTACTCACTTTAAGCTGCAGAGAAAGAAACACATCTCTATTGCAGAAGGAAATAAAGACATGCTGTATTAAAAAAAATAAACCACATCTATTTTTAAAGTACAGCAACAGTATTTTTAAACATGAAAAAGTTCTAAAGAAATCAACTTTGAAAAATTTAGACCACATATTTGCCAATTGTGGTATCTAATTAACTCAATTAGAGTAAACACAATATAAATTATCTTTAGAATAAACATTTTAATGACAGATCTTAGCGATTGTGAATACTGTGGAATAAACATAGGAGTGCAGATATATCTTCGATACACTGATTTCCTTTCTTCTGAGTATATACCTGGCAGTGGGGTTGCCAGATCATATGGTAGCTCTCTTTTTAGTTTTTTGAGGAACCTCCAATCTGTTCTCCATATTTCTTACTTCATAAAGTCTCTCTCTCTCTTTTCTTTTTTACAGAGACAGGGTCTTGCTCTTTCGCCCAGGCTGGAGTGCAGTGATGCTGCCATCACAGCTCACTGCAGCCTTGACCACGTGCGCTCAATCAACTCTCTTGCCTCAGCCGCCAGAGCAGCTGGGACTATAGGCTTGTGCCACTGTGCCTGGCTAATTTTTTCAACATTTTTTTTGTAGAGATGTTGCCCAGGCTGGTCTCGAACTAGCAGGCTCAAACAATCCTCCCACCTCAGCCTCCCAGTGTTGAGATTACAAGTGTGAGCCACCACGCCCAGCCAAGTCTCATATTTATATATGCGATTATTAGTTACTTTTAAAGGAGTATATGAGGAAGAAAGGGGTGCAGTACACTGTTAATAAATTTGATTAGAGTAATTGCATTAAAACACAAAAGTAGAGGAAGATGAATACCAAAATTTCACATTAATTTAGAAAAGAACACATAGTAGAGATGAAGGAAAGAAAAGAAAGGGGGAAAGTTTTGGTCTTTTTTATCATTTGTATAAAAGAAAATTTAAAAGTAATACTGCTTAATTTGATAATATACATATATTTCTTTTTAAGGTCTATTTCTGGAATGCTTTGAGATAATCACAAGTAACATCTAAAGTTGAAAATTACCTTCTAGGCTGGGCGCAGTAGCCCACGTCTATAATCCCAGCACTTTGGGAGGCTGAGGCTGGTGGATCATGAGGTCAGGAGTTCGAGACCAGCCTGACCAACGTGGTGAAACCCCATCTCTACTAAAAATACAAAAATTAGCTGGGTGTGGTGGCACGCGCCTGTAATCCCAGCTACTCAGGAGGCTGAGGTAGGAGAATCACTTGAACCCGGGAGGCGGAGGTTGCAGTGAGCCGAGATCGCGCCACTGCACTCCAGCTTGGGTGACAGAGTGAGACCCCGTGTCAAAAAATAAAAAAAGAAAAGAAAATTCTCTTCTAAATCATACAAAAATATCTAAGTAAATTAAACATGGGGTGATAAGGAAATATAGTGTTTTTTTTTTTAAAAAGCAAAGTATAGGATTACTGACGGAATCAAATGGTCTAAGTTAGCTGTGTATTTATCTAAAGTAGTAAAAAAGAAAAATAAAAAACATCCTAAGTATCTAATATTAGGGAATAGTTTATTAAATTGTGGGACATCAATACTATCATATTAAGCAGTCACAAAAAAGCATAACTGTGAACATTATGTCTAAAAAGGGAAACATTTGTAACCTACTGTTAGATGGAAATAATATGTGCCCTCATTACAAAGGTGTAAAAATGTATTTGTAGGAATAAGGTCATCTGAACAAAAAATTATTTCTGTTTGAAAAGGATGGCATATAGGTGATTAGTTTATTATTAAAAACTATCTTTAAAGTTATTTAATTAATTTATTTTTTGAGATGGAGTTTCACTCTTCTTCCCCAGCTTAGAGTGCAAGGGCATGATCTAGGCTCATTGCAATCTCTGCTTCCTGGGCTCAAGTGATTCTCCTGCCCCAGACTCCCAAGTAGCTGGGATTACAGGCACATGCCACCATGACTGGCTAATTTTTGCATTTTTAGTAGAGACAGGGTTTCACCATGTTGGCCAGGCTGGTCTCGAACTCCTGACCTCAAGTGATCCACCCACCTTGGCCTCCCAAAGTGCTAGGACTACAGGTGTGAGCCACCATGCCCGGCTACGACATTTCTCTCTCTCTCTCTTTTCTTTTTTTTCAGAGACAGGGTCTTGCTCTTTCACCCAGGCTGGAGTGCAGTGATGCCGCCATTACAGCTCACTGCAGCCTTGACCTCGTGGGCTCAATCAACTCTCTTGCCTCAGCCGCCAGAGCAGCTGGGACTATAGGCATGTGCCACCATGCCTGGCTAATTTTTTCAACATTTTGTAGAGATGTTGCCCAGGCTGGTCTTGAACTAGCAGGCTCAAACAATCCTCCCACCTCAGCCTCCCACATTTTATTAATGAGTTTTCAGTTACTTTAAAAAAATAATAGAATCTGTCAGGCATATTTGTTAAGTATTTGTTCTGTGCTTGATCCACAAGTATTTACTGGGCACCTGATGTGTACCAGGCGCTATGCTGCTCACTGCAGAAGACACCAAAACGGCCATGGTCAGCCCCCAGCTGGAGGGGCCTGGGGAGGGGAGCACTGCCTGTGGGGCAGCTTCTGCATACCCTCCTGCACTAGGCCACTTACAAAAGTTATTCTGGAAATTTGGTGTTGTCGTTCACACTTTGCACTTGAGGAGTGCGTGCCTCAGATAGGTCACAGAACCATCTCAGCATCACCTGGGCATGTATTAGGAATGCAGAATCTCAGGCCCCCCCCAGCACTACCGACTCAGAATCTGCATTTTACAAGATCCCCAGGGGATGCATGTGCACAGTGAAGTCTGGGAAACACTGTTGTGGAAGCTTCAGAAACTGTAACACATGGCAGAATGGAGATTCCTTCTGTTCCCAGGAGGAAAATAGGAAATGGGAACCTTAATAAATGTTTAATGATTAGGTATTTAAAATAATATTGTTTAAAACCCCCAGAAAATAAGCGGGCTTAAGAAAACAGAAGAACACAGCGGACACCAGGACTCTAAGATAGCGTCAGTTGTACCAGTGAAGGACAAGAAACTTCTGGAGGTCAAACTGGGGGAGCTGCCAAGCTGGATCTTGATGGGGGACTTCAGCCCTAGTGGCATTTTCGGAGCGTTTCAAAGAGGTTACTACTGGTACTACAAGTACATCAATGTGAAGAAGGGGAGCATCTCGGGGGTTACCATGGTGCTGGCATGCTACGTGCTCTTCAGCTACTCCTTTTCCTACAAGCATCTCAAGCACGAGTGGCTCCGCAAATACCACTGAAGAGGACACGCTCTGCACCCCCCCACCCCACGACCTTGGCCCGAGCCCCTCTGTGAGGAACACAATCTCGATCGTTGCTGAATTCTTTCATATCCTAATGGCAATTAACCTCCAAATAAAAGATGACTGGTAAAAAAAAAAAAAAAAAAAGAAAGAAAGAAAACAGAAGAACATTTCTATATTGATGGAAATATATATTATTCCTAATATCTGGAAATATATTTGAATTGGTTGACTACCTTCTACTAGATTGTGAGTCCTTGAGGTCAAAACCACAATTTATTACTCTTTCTATATGTAGTATGTAGGATGTGTTCCATACTTAATAAAACTTCATGAAAAAAATGAATACAACTCACTTTCCTTTTCCCCAACAAATCTTACATTTTTAGTAAAAAGTGGCAAAGGAAAACAAAACAAAACAAAACCTTGTATCAGAGTTTTCATTAAAACAATAAGAAGAAAAAACAAAAATGAAAACAAAGAAAAGAAAAAAGACAACTACAATTTCCAGGCCTGCTATAATGTCAATTTACAGTCAGTGCAAATTTGTACCGCTTCTCCATTGTTAACCGTAAAATTATGACTTTAAGACATAAAAAGATAATAAAATCTTACATTTATGCAAGGGATGTAGACGATCTTATTTTAAAAATTCCCTGTTACTCTCCCTTTCCTTTGCTCTGCTTTATTTTTCTCCCTTAGTTCTCATTATCTCCTTTGGTACCTGCTGTGTTTGCTGTCTGTCTGCCCTGCTACTGTGGCAACCCCAGAGGAAGGAGCTAGTTTATTCACTTGTATTCCCAGTGTCAAGAGGAGTCTCTGGCCAGGTGCAGTGGCTCACACCTGTAATCCCAGCACTTTGGGAGGCCAAAGTGGGAGAACTGCTCAAGGCTAGGAGTCTGAGACCAGCCTGGGCATCATAGCGAGACCCCAATTCTATAAAACATTTTTTAAAAATTAGCCAGGTGTGGTGGTGCATGCCTGTGGTCCTAAGCTCCTCGGGAGGCTGAGGCAGAAGGATCACTTGAGCCCAGAATTTGATACTGCAGTGAGCTGTGATCTCGCCACTGTACTCCAGCCCTGGGTGACAAGAGCGAGATCTTGTCTTTAAGAAAAAGAAAAAAAAAAAATGTTGGCACAAAGTAGGTTCTTGTGGTAGGGTAGTTTTCTTCTTATGTTAAAAACAGTAGTTTATTCTATTTAAAGTAAATTTGGCAAATTAAAGAAAAGTAAGAAAAGTTTAAAATCACTCATACTAGTACCACTATATAGCATCACAGTTGGTAATTGGTATTTCTTTTCTTTTTTTACCCTGTACATAGGGCGCTAGATTTTTTCCCTCCTAAATATAGTCACATTCATACTGTATATATTTGTTTGTACTCCTTTAAAAAATCTTAATATAGTAACATTTAAGCTTATATATTTTTGTATATTATTTTGTAAGAGTTTCTGACACAAAGATTAAAATTAAGATGACTGTCTGGAAAACTTTCATTTGCCAGTATTTGCCAATAAACAGGCAGAGAGAAGTTGTAAAAAACTTCTTAGTCCCATATAGCTTTAGTTTTTGCTGATTTTTTCTTCTTCAACAGTTCTTATGATGTAGTCTTTTAACATTTTACATAGAACCGCATCACCAAGGCCTAAGCTAAACAAGATCTTGTCTGGAATGTTACAGGAGATCCAGGCAGTAGATGGGAAGTTGGCCTTGATGGATTTGAAGGTCCCTTCTGAACTGCTGGTTCTGTAGCTAGTCAGAAGGCAAACCTACCCAGCTCTGCACTCTGGAGTTTAGCCTAGCATCTTGCTCCTGATTCAGCAAGGCCGTCAATGTCACCAAGAGGGCTTTATCTAATCATATGTTTAGTTCAAAACATGTTCACTGCCTGGCAGATCACTTAGCCTTTTGCCCTAAAATAGTTAAATTTGTGTCATATATATAATTAATTTGAATGACACCATTAATAACCGAAATAATATTTACTCTGCAAAGCATTAAAATAATTCATGTTCCTTCCTTCCTCCTTCCTTTCCTTCTTGCTCTTTCTTTCTTTTTTTTTTTTTCCTCACTCTTTCTCTCTTTCTTTGGCTTGGTATGGAACAAAATGTCTAGGATTCAGATTAAAATAGCAAAGGCAATCTTTGGGCAGCTGCTGCACCGCCAGAGCCCTGGAGTGATATCACTATTTCAAAGAAGTATTGCTTTCTTGACCACATATCACAATTTTTAAAAAGAGAGTTAATAGTTTGAGAGCTGAATAAGAATGTAGCCTCCCCCTGATATTACATAGATATATGCTCAGAAAATTCTGCTTTATGAAAGACTTCATTATCAGAATAAGAAAAGGTGGCATTCTTATTAACTAACAGTAAGTACGCCAACACTTACCTTCACTGTGTACTGTAAGATTTTAAATTCTGTAAATTATGGGGTGTTAGCACAAAGCTTGTACTTGTATGAAACCAAGAAAACAAAGCTTCATTCATTTGTTTTAGCGGCTCTCTTAGAACATTCTATAATAATTGTGGCTTATCTTTTGGTTCCAACTGTTTATGGCTGTGACAACAAAGTGCTCCCCTCAAACAGTGATATCATTTTGTTTGAGACAGAGTTTCTACAGACTTTTTTTTTGGTGTCTGGCCTTTTCTTCTCACACCTTGTGAAAGCCTTCTATGACCACTGAGGTACCTTCCTGTGACCACACGCAGCTGTATTTCGGTTTCACACTGGTTCCTAAAGCACCTGATTTATTATGACTGTGGCCTAAATTACTTAGTTATTTATTAAATCATATGACAGAATCAAGCATCCAAGAGAAACCACTGCCTGCACCATCTGCTACTGATCTCCAGTCAAGTTATTTGAGCAACCATTTTGAATGTATTTGCCTACGGTTATTTCTTTTTCTTTCTTGCCTTTCCTTCCTTCCTTCTTCTTCTTCTTTTTTTTTTTTTTAACTTAGTTGCAGTCCAAAAACGTTGAGTTTCTTTTAACATTTTCTATGTACTCAGCCTTAGTTCCTTAGATAATATTTCCTAGTCAAATTCTGAGATGTCAGTTTATTACCTTAATTTTTTTCCAAGATTCTAAACAAATACACTGCATTTCTAATATTCTTTGTAATATTTAAAAATAAAGCATTAAACAAAGCTTTTATGTGATATAGTCTACTAGACCAGAGGAAAGAAAAACTTACTGCTAGAATTATTTTTGCAAGTTTAAGGCTGAGCGAGTCTGAACCAACATCAACTAGTTTACACAGGGTCTTCAGGAGAATACTTCTTCCCTTAAATTTATTTCCAAGCATGTTTCCTTCCTCTAAAGCATGATGAAGTTGTGTGCAAGCAGCACAAACCGTTTCAATGTTTTCTTCTGTCAGAGCAAAGAGAGTAAAGCAACACTTACTAATTAAGGTTAAGTTTCCAAGTGTGTCAAACACAGACAGTGTAAGTAAAAACCCCATAATTATTTCCTTGGATATCTTCAAATTCCTGACCTCTATTTTTTTCTTATCTTATCACTTCCATCTACCTGATTTTTTTCATCCCTTTGATCCATCTCCTACCATGTTGACTTATTGCTTATCAGTCATTAGCTTATCTAGAATACACAGTCTTTCAAAGAGGTATTGAAGAATGGGACTGCTACCTGCTTCAGTTGGCCTCCTTTACTCCAGATGCCCTCCACCTCAGCCCGTGATCTGCTCAGTCTCACAGATGCATGCCACTTGCATCTTGACCTTCAACTCTTTTTTGCATAGCTCTACTGGCCTAAAATGTTCTCCATAACCCTCATTCCTACTGTTTTTGGTCCTTCGAGGCTCTGTTTATGTTGTAGCTGCTTCAGAAAAGATGCACTATTCCACATTCAACAAACATTACCTTAGGTTACTTATTTTTCATGTACGTATGTGTGTGTTGTGTTATATGACCAGTGCCCTCAAATAGATGTCATACTAAGTGAGCCAGTCTTACATTTCTTTCTATCAATAGCACATGGTACAGTGAGAATATTGTATAGAATACTGTATATAGCATAACTTCACACATATTCATTTTCTAATATATCTGTTGACAAAAACAATGATCAGTATTTTCCTATGAGAACAATGCTCATTACCTAAGAAAAGAGGGTTCTAATAGAACAAAAGCCTGAAATGTCACAAAATCCACCATTATCTGGAGGTGGTTATTAAAAAACAGGAGAATAAAAATATTTTTGTAAATCCAGCACTTTGGGAGGCCGAGGTGGGAGGGTTGCTTGATGCCAGGATCAAGGCCAGCCTGGGCAATATAGCAAGATCCTACTTCCAAAATAAAATAAAATAAAAAATAAATTTAAAAAAAGGAGAGTATTTTAGTTAGGAAACAGGGAGATCTTGAACCTTTCATCTTATAATTATGTTTGTGAGGAAAGTAATACCTATATTTTTTTGAGATGGAGTCTCACTCTGTCACCCAGACCGGAGTGTAGTGGTACATTCTTGGCTCACTGCAACCTCCACCTCTCAGGCTCAAGCAATCCTCCTGCCTCAGCCTCCTGAGTAGCTAGGACTCCAGACGCTTGTCACCACACCTGGCTAATTTTTTTATTTTTGGTAGAGATGGGGTTTTGCCATTTTGCCCAGGCTGGTCTCAAACTCCTAATCTCAAGTGATCTGCTTGCCTCAGCCTCCCAAAGTCCTGGGAATGTAATTTTTGGAAGTGGCAGCCACACTAATTGTCATACAAAGAAGAAAAATAGCACAAAAAAATGGAACATGAGGGGAAATAAAATAATCTAATGTATTCTGTCAAATAATATTATCTCTGATAGATTCCTTCATGAAATTTAAAAGTAGGAAACCAATCTTAAATAAATACCATAATGTGCTCTTAGAAGCCCACATAGAGGAAGTGTGTGCCTGCAGAAGGAAGTGACTCAGGCCATTTTTAGCTCTTTTCAACAATAACATCTAAGAAAAAATTTTAAACCTCAATAGCTAAGTAACCTTCAATGTCTTTTGGTTATGCACTTAAATGAATGAATTGATGGGAAATGACTTAGCCTAACTTTAAATAAAGGGAAAAACCTGAACTCCTATTGTATGAAACACTTGTGTTTTGTTGTTTTATTCTTCTGTGACTGGCAGTTTCTTTACAAACCCTAAGTCCAGGCTCTGGGCCACTCATTGGCAGTGGGTGGTCCTCAAAGTATTTTCTAAGACTTCCTTCCACAAACTCTTCAGCCTGGTAGGTTCTACTCAAGAATACTTGTTTTTAGCTTTAAAAAGGGGTTAGAAAGAAAGGCTCAAGGGTCAAATTTTAAACTATTGATCAAATCAATCCTTTATACCAAATAGTTTGTTATAAATGCTCTATAGCTTCAAAAGACAACTTGAATCTACAAACTATCAAGATTTGCAAGGGGCTAAATCTAGTGGGTAAAAGTTTGATTGTAACAGAGAGTAACATAATCTCAGAGTAACTTCTATCCCCAAGATATGTATTCATTACAAAGGAAAGAATAAAAACCTGACAGTGGGTACAGCTGTGGGACACGACCAGCAACAGAATGCATCAGCATCGTGTACTCCTGGCAGGAGGTGCTGAGAGGGACACAGCAGCACTCATGTGCTCTGCCTGCCCAAGATGCTAACCTGGAGCTCATCACGGGAAAACATCAGACAAACCCAATTTGCGGGACAGTCTGTAAAATATTCCTCAAATACATCAAGATCACGAAAGAGACGTGACAAATGATGAGAACTTGTGATCCAGGCTTTTATTTTTTCTACAAAGGAAATTATTGGGACAAATTGGCAAAATTTGAGTAAGATTTTTATAGTATTGTATGGTAATTTCCAGATATATAAGAGAATGTTTTTGTTTCTAAGAAATACATGCCAGCCGGCTCAGTGGCTCACACCTGTAATCCCAAAACTTTGGAAGGCCGAGGCAGGTGGATCACTTGAGGCCACAAGTTTGAGACCAGCCTGGCCAACATAGCAAAATCCCATCTCTACAAAAAATACAAAAAATTAGCAGGGTGTGGTGGTGCGCACCTGTCATCCCAGCCACTGAGGAAGCAGAGGCACAAGAATTGCTTGAACCCAGGAGATGGAGGTTGCAGTGAGCTGAGATCGTGCCACTGCACTCCAGCCTGGGCAACAGAGCAAGACTCTGTCTCAAAAGAAAAAAAAAAATTAGGCCAGGTGCGGTGGCTCATGCCTGTAATCCCAGCACTTTGGGAGGCCAAGGCAGGTGGATCATAAGGTCAGGAGTTTGAGACCAGCCTGGCCAATATGGTGAAACCCCTGTCTCTACTAAAAATACAAAAAAATTAGCCAGGCATGGTGGCGGGTGCCTATAGTCCCAGCTACTCAAGAGGCTGAGGCAGGAGAATAGCTTGAACCTGGGAGGCAGAGGTTGCAGTGAGCCGAGATTGCGCCACTGCACTCCAGCCTGAGTGACAGAGCGACTGTCTCAAAAAAAAAAAAAAAAAAAAAAAAAAAAAAAAAAAAATTCCTTCTTTCCTGTAGGAAGGCTTCCTACAAGAAAGGCCTTCACAATACTGACTCAGTGTCCCCATTCAATGTTGTGCAATATATTTTCTTGTGTAACCCTTATCCAGACTCATTGTTCTTCTCACTAGTGTTTGCACATATCTCCTGAAATAAAGGGCCCAAAGCTAACGTGGCACGCTAAGATGAGGGTGAACATAGTAACTCTAGAGGGGAAAAAGTCATCACATTCATATCCTTAGGACTTTGGGCTGCAGAAGCCTTTGGAGATAACCTAATCTCCACCTCATCTGGCAGGTGAGAACACTATTGCACACAGAGTCTAGGTGACTCCTCATGGCCATACGCTTGGCGAGTAGCAGCACCGGGACCAGAACCCCGTCCAGGGCTCCCACATTAACCATGAACACAGCCAAGCACCAATGGGGAGCAGAGGAGGGGTGAGGTCATTTGAACCTTTCAGTAATCAGGTCTTTTGCAGCACATCTCTGTTTGGTTGCTGGGGAGGGTTCATTTACCCTGCTTCTCTTAGAGCATCTTCCTGTGGCTACCAAGCTGGTTTGCTCATCAACAACTCCTAGCAAAGGCTTACTGTGCACTGTGTGCCAGGCCCTGGGCTCTCCCTAGGGCTATGACCACTGCTCCAGAGGAGCCTGGTTAACTTCAGAAAGAGAATCCTTGAGGAGCTAGCTGCAAAGAGGGAGAAAGTGGAGGGCCATCCCATGACACGCTTTCCCTACCCTTGCAGGGACCCATCGATGGTGGGCCTTCACTTCTGGGGCAGTTCAGAGCGCAAGGGTGGGACACATCCCAGGCCATTTCCCATGCTGTGGGTGGCATTCCTGACGGATGTGCTCCCTTCAAGAGAGTAGGACAGATACCAGTTGGACCAAGGAAACCACGGGCACACCTGTCAAGGACGCCAGTTTATGAGACTCAGCTTCCAAGCCTGAAATCTGTTTTAATCTTTTACTTTCTTGAGTATGAAGAGCCACCTGAGAGAGGTTAAACCAGCATTTCCTTGGACAGAGGAAATGCTAATTAATTTATATTACAAAGGGAAGTTTTAGAAATTGGCTCTCTTGGTGCATTTAAAGCATAATCTTACTAAAAATTATGTGTGCATGTAATATTTAACACACACAGGGTAAATAAATAGATGACTTCATTTGTTTTTGAACATGTTCACAGAAATGATAGTGAAAACTTACTAAAAATATCAGGGCAATGGGGAACACATAAATAACTACAGGTATTTTTTAAAAAAAAAACAAAAACGGTTTTTTGTTTGTTTGTTTGTGTTTTACCCTTTTCTAATTCACGCAAAATCGGTACAATCCTTGTATTCCAAAAGACTTCGTCTACTTCTATTTCTGCGTCCTCTTCTTGCAGGTCAGCTTTTGGGACTGCAAAAGAAATCCAGAGCAGGAGAAAAAGCTATGAAAAAGGAGTTGTCATGAAGCATGGTCAAAAGCCTTTACTATTCATCACTACAATTAATAAACTAGAGAATTAAATTACCCTTTGCTCTCCAAGCCTGACTATTTCTCATTAGAACTACAGGTCTTCTAATCAAATTACCCCAAATTAAACTCAGACTGGATAATGTAAAAAATCAGAACTTTAAAATGTGATCTGGTCACTTCATAAAGTAGTAAGCTTTGTAAATACTGATGACTGTCAGTAAGGCAAACAGTTTTGAGTACATTTTTACTTAAACTTATCCCTCTGTAATGTAGAATAGGTAACTATAGATATATAAAGAATAAGGATTTTAAAAATGTGTAATGAAAAATTTTCTAAAAGGGAGACCTAAAATGGACATTTTCTATAGAAATAAAATGTCTACACTAACATGGGGCCAGTAGCATTAATGCCAAGTGATTTTGTGTGGTGTAGCAGAAAAGCCTGGGCCTTCGGGGCTGACAAATCTCAATTCAAATCCCAACTCCACTATGGACATGGTGAGTGATGGGGTCCAGTTTCTTATCCTTCCTGAGTCTCTGTTTCCTCATCAGCAAAACAGAATATTTGCCTTCAAGGGTATAAGAATTAAAAGACATGGTATAGGTAAAGCTCTGAGCTCAGTGCCAAGCCTTTAGCAATATACAGTATATAATTAATTTCATTTCCCTGATTAAACAAGTATACAAACATGTTATCACCCCTGCAGTATCTCATGCCTGTGTGATACTACCAAGCCATCAAGAGTAGATGCTGCCTGTGAATATGGGTTGTAGGGAATAGCAACCATTGACTGTGTACTCTAGATGCAGGAGGCCTCCATTTCATTTTTGCAGTAACACTATGAGGAGGTTCCCAAACTGTCTCCATTTTGCAAGTGAAGAAAGTGGAGCCCAGGTGTATTAAGTTATCTGCCTGGGGTCATATAACTCCCCAGCCTCTGCATTTGACCTCAAAGCTATGCTGACTTGCAGCAAACTAGCCGACTAAAGGGTAACACTGGGGGGAAATGTAACTCATATTAGAAACTGCAAATTATGATTATATTTCACACAGGCAGTATCTCAAGATCTAAAACACTGACTGTAGCTAGAGGTGGCTTTGCTGTGCTGAGGCATTACTGAATAGTCCTGAGATGTATTCCTCAGTCTCTCTTCTCTGAAGACCACCCCTTAAGTCCTTTATCCGGCACTTGGTCTACATCAAGTCAGGGAGTCCATGCCCTCTCGGGGCAGGGTGGACCTGGTACCAATTAAGTGTCCACACAGAAGATGCCTGGACCCTAAAAATGTCACACAAAGAGTTAGAAATCAGGAAGGATCGGAAGGTGAGAGGTTGGAAGAGAGAGAGAGAGAAGAGACAGAGAAAGACAGAGAGACAGAGACAGACAGAGGAGCAAACGGGTATATGGCCCATGTATTTTCAGGTTACTTTGCACAAAGGACAAGTTGAGCAGGGGGCCTATCAATAGCACAGGTTTGGAGTCACCATCTGGGTTTGAATCCTAGCTCTGCCACCTACTAGCTCGTTGACTATGGGCAAATTGCTTTACCTCTCTTCTGTAAAATGGGGTAACAATGGTTATCTCTAAATATTGGGATTAGGATTATTAATTTCTTTTATGCGCTCTTCTGTATTTTCCAATGCCTCTAATGCATTCTTATTATTCTTGAAGAGAAAAATATATACAACACATATTGAATGTGTGTAATACCTTAGTAAATATCCATATTAATATTTTTTAATATTAATATGGATTAAAATAAAATTCTCTGCATCAAGAAATCCAATAAAGTCCCTTGATGATTATCTGTGAAAATAGCAGAGAAATCCATAGATAACACATAATGGCATATATTTAAGAATTCATTTGAATTCAGAGATGTATTTGAATTCTGACATGAATCCTCAAACCATCAAATGGTGCTGATGTCACCCAGGAGAAGCAGGGACGCTGTGCAATCTACCTATCCCACCCAACACACAGGCCTTCCCATTATACTACATGCTAGAAATGGCCACTCCCAGTTGCAGCAAGTCCAGGCTTGCCTTTTATCAACCCTTCCCACTGCCAAGAGCAGCTGAGCCACACAGGGCATCCAAGATCACCTAAGCAGCAAAAGTAAATAGAGGTTGTCAACAAAGCTATTATTAAACATTTGCAGTGCAGTAAATAGCCTTAATAGCAAGGTTTCAGATAATCTATCTAACCCAATGCAAGACTTCACCATCAGATACTAAATTGAATTGTCTTTAGGACAAATTAGTCCACATCAGTACAGATTCACAATCCCTTATCCAAAACCTTTGGAATCAGATGTGGTGTGGGATGCAGGAACATATGGATTTTAGAAAGTCAATATGGTATACACATTGCATATTACGTACCACCCCTGTAGGGTCTTCTGCGGCAGCACCCTGTAGCAAAATATATGAATATTCACAAAACCAAGACTCTAACTGACTTCCCATCAGGCTCAGGGATTCTGGAACTACAGATAGTTTGTAGACTACCATCTCAATCTTTTGGGTCATTGTTTTTATGAATCTGCCTTAACTTTGATAATTTATGGATATGGATTCTAAAAGTAAACATGAATATTCAAGTAATACAAAAAACATACTTGCTCATATTTGTGGATAACTAACCTATTCAAAGTCCAAAGTATATAAAAAATAAAATAAAATCAACATTATCAAGGTAAGTGAAAGCCAGAAAATAAGTCAGGCGAGTTATTTAATTGATACATATTTATAACACACTTAAATTTACTAGAAACCAGACTTTGAGTCCAATAAGTTCAAGTCTGCATTTTTTACCTCCTATGCAATATGCTGCTTAATAGAGAACTTCTATGAGAAACCATGACTATCAACCTGTTTTTCAGGACAAATAAAATGGATAACTTATTCACCCCAGAAAGAGCTGAATTATAGGGGTGAATCAGAAATCACAGAACAATTTATTTAACCCTTACGGGCCCTTCTGAATGTTTCTGAGATTTGCTTCTTCTCAGAACCAAAGTTACTCAGTCACTGGTATGAGGGTTTCCTTCCAACCCTCTCCCAGGAATTTCAAAGGGCACAGTTGTGTCTGGCTACAGCCTTTCCACCTCTTCATTCACGCTGGGCCTCCTCCTGCCTCCATTTTATACACAATCCCTGAGTTACTCTAGAAAATGAAGCATGGAATCATATAATTGCTTTTTAAGATACACACAAACACACAAATAATAATAAGGTTGTTTCAATCTTGGGCAACAATCTAATATTTTAGAAAGCACTTTCATCTAGGTTCACAGTTTGCTAAATATAAACATTATGATTCAACAGGAAATTGGGTAAGTCAAGCAAAAATTTCAGCATGTTTTTGAAGATTTTGCTGTCTCAGTGGTTATAGTTGTTAACCACAGCTTTGAGTTCTGGACACAAAAACCTGACACAATGTTTGGATTGGCTGATGTTTTTAGCACGTAAATGTAAAATCCTTAGCAACTATGCTGGCTCAGAAATTAGTATATCTAAGATTTTCCTGAGTAAAGAAATTCCCAATGACACAGAAGTCATTTTATTGATAAAAAACTAAATTTTGAAGATAAGAATTTTTAAAATCTACTATTTAGTATTGTAAAATCTCATGGGTACAAAAATATATGAAGAATATAACAGACATCAGTGTACCCCACACTAGTTTGGTCAGATATTAACATTTTGCCATATTTTTATCCTTTCCCTTATTTTAAAGAAATGAAACATTACAGATATGTGGCTCCCTGCATCCATTCCCCTCCTCCTCTCCCTCTAGGGGTTACCACCATCCTAAATCCACTGGTTACTATGACTACACTTGACTTCGCATGCTTACCACATGGCTGTGTATCCATAAACAATATATGTCTTTGCTTTTGCAACTTGTTTCATCTCATATTATGTTTGTACTGAATTTACTCAATATTACAATATTACAAAAGCCCATGAGTTCACTTTTGTGACAACTATATTCTATTGCATGAATACATTTTGTATCATTTCTAGACTGTGGTTTATATTGTTATATATTTTCTCAAACACTTTAAAGGCCCAAAGGACGGTCTTAATAAAGTTAATATAGTTTCATTTAAGTGAGCAATTATCTTTTTTTTTTTTTTTTTTTGAGATGAGTCTCGCTCTGTCGCCCAGGCTGGAGTGCAGCGGCGTGGTCTAGACTCACTGCAAACTCCATCTCCTGGGTTCAAGTGATTCTGCTGCCTCAGCCTCCCAAGTAGTTGGGATTACAGGTGCCCCACTCCCTCCCACCATGCGTAGCTAATTTTTGTATTATTATTATTTTTTTTTGGTAGAGATGGGGTTTCATGATGTTGGCCAGGCTGGTCTTGAACTCCTGACCTCAAGTGATCCGCCTGCCTCAGTCTCCCAAAGTGCTGGGATTACAGGCGTGAGCCACCATGCCCAGCCAAGCAATGCCTTGAACTCAAGCTTTGAACCCAAGAACTATGTTAATGTCAAGTTTTGCAACTTTCCAAATGCTTTTACAAAATGATTTCTATAAAACCATTAAGACTGTCATCTAGGCCGGGCGTGGTGGCTCACCCCTGTAATCCCAGCACTTTGGAAGGCTGAGGCAGGCGGATCACGAGGTCAGGAGATTGAGACCATCCTGGCTAAAACAATGAAAGCTCGTCTCTACTAAAAATACAAAAAATTAGCCAGGCGTGGTGGCGGGCGCCTGTAGTCCCAGCTACTCAGGAGGCTGAGGCAGGAGAATGGCATGAACCTGGGAGGTGGAGCTTGCAGTGAGCCGAGATTGCACCACTGCACTCCAGCCTGGGCGACAGAGCAAGACTCCATCTCAAAAAAAAAAAAAAAAAAAAAAAAGACTGTCATCTATAGATGTTTGAGGCATCAGAGTTGGGTAGTGGTAAGATGGTAACATTGTATGAATATAATAAAAATGTATAAAAATAAATGTTGATTTGTGACCAAATTGGACAAACTTCCTTAAGTTTCCAGTGGCCAACATAGATATCTTCAGTGCAAACATCTTTCCTTCAAGTGGAGATGCTGTAGATGAAGGAGTGTGGGGACCCCTCACCTGCTTTGGTTTGCAGCCTGCTCAGGTCTGAGCTACTGGGGCATGATGAGGCCCTCGCATGTCTCTTCCCCTGGTCCCTAGGAGGAATACATAAAACACTCAGCGCAAACATGAAAACACTTCTAATTTTGTAAATGACAAGAGTCTGCTATATACAGTTTCTTATTTATTATTTTGAGATAGGTCTCACTCTGTCATCCAGGCTAGAGAACAGTGGTGCTGTGATCATAGCTCACTGCAGCCTCAAACTCCTTGGCACAAGTGAGCCTCCCACCCCAGGCTCCCGAGTAGCCAGAACTACAGGCACATGCCACTATGCCTGGTTATTTTTAAAAAATATTTTGTAGAGACAGGGTCTCACTATGTTGTCCAGGCTGGTGATTCCTGGTCTCAAGTGATCCTCCTGCCTCAGCCTCCCAAAATGCTAGTATTATAGGAGTGAGCCACTGTGTCCAGCCGATATACAGTTTCTGAAGAAACCATCGAGAATTGTTTAAAAGATGGGGTTTGGTGCTCTATATGTGGGTTTTTTTTGTTTTTGTTTTTGTGTTTTTGAGACGAAGTCTTGCCCTGTTGCTCAGGCTAGAGTGCAGTGGTGCGATCTCAGCTCACTGCAACCTGCCTGAGCCTCCCCAGTAGCTGGGATTACAGGCACATGCCACCATGCCCGGATAATTTTTGTATTTTTAGTAGAGACGGGGGTTTCGCCATGTTGGCCAGGCTGTTCTCAAACTCCTGACCTCAGGCGATCTGCCCGCCTCAGCCTCCCAAAGTGCTGGGATTACAGGCATGGGCCACCACCCCTGGCCTCTATATGCTGCTTTAATTTACCTTTGATTTCCCGGTAAGATTTATCTTTTTAAAACAAGTCATATTTGCCTAACAACATGAAATACAGTTACTAGAAAGAACAAAAAATCCAGTTTACTTTGCAAATCAAAACAAAATTGGTTAAGGATATATACCACAAGGGGTCACTGTTACAATAAGAAAGAACTCTGGGATGCTTGGATTACAAAAGCTTAGCCTTTGGGAGCTGGGAAAGACCTCTGTCTCTTTTTCTCTCTTCCTCCCTTCCCCGATCCCTGCAGATAAAGAAACTGTCCCAGCTGGCCAGATGTGCCCAAGGTCACACAGTAAAGACAGATTTGGAACTTAGGTCTCATAATTTACAAATTTGCTTCTCTTTCCACTACATAAAAATGTGCCCTGATTCCATTTTTAAAATTAAATTAATATTCTCTGACAATATTTATTTTTAGAAATATTTTAAACATTAAAAAACTGAAAATAAATTTGGACAGTCCCCAGATGATAAATATTTTGTATTCCAAATAAAAGAGCAGTGGCTGGCCAACAGCAGGATTACATGCTCAGGTTTTTAAAAAGTTTTATTTAATGTAGAGAACATCTCTGAAGGATACAGCTTCTCTTTAGCCAGAGCTGACACTTAGAAGTACTTACTTTTAAATATGTGCACAAAATTCCAAGGTAAAAAAACACCAGGAAAAGAAGAGTGCAAGTTTTATATCAAAATTTCTTTTTGTCCATCAAATATAATAGTTGCTCCAAAAAACTCACAAAGAAGGCTTATACATGTGATAGTCCCTGTGAACATCTGTATGTGCCCGTGGCTTCTCCTTCCTGTGTAGTGAGCCCCCCAGTGACTATGCCATGTTGCAGCTTAGCCCTTGGCCTTTCCTACCGCCCTGAAGATTAGCTTCTCCAAATACCATTTTTTACTTCATTAACATGTTCCCCCCACCTTTTTTTTTTTTTTTTTTGAGATGGAGTTTCACTCTTGTTGCCCAGGCTGGAGTGCAATGGCGTGATCTCGGCTCACCCCAACTTCCGCCTCCCAGGTCCAAGGGATTCTCCTGCCTCAGCCTCCCGAGTAGCTGGGATTACAGGCGTGTGCCACCATGCCTGGCTAATTTTGTATTTTTAGTAGAGATGGGGTTTCTCCATGTTGGTCAGGCTGGTCTCAAACTCCCAACCTCAGGTGATCCGCCTGCCTCGGCCTCCCAAAATGCTGGGATAACAGGTGTGAGCCATGGCGCCCACCAGCCACCCCATTTTTTTTTTAAACACTTAACACTTCCTTTAATCATAAAATAGGAAAAAGATGAAGTCAATTTTCCAAAAATTGTCTAATTAATATTCAGAAATAACTGCTTTATTTGTACATAATAAAAATACGATAGCAAATGTCACTAGCCAATCGAAAATGGCTACGGGGACAGGGACCTCTCAAAGAAGGCAGAAATAAAAGAATCAACCTTGCAAAAAGGTAAAATACCAAGTTTGTCAGGGTGTGGAGCCAAGGAAGTTCTCATATTTATCACTCCTAGAAATAACAAGAAGGTTTGAGACTAGGGACAAGGCCTTGCTTTCAATACATACACCTGCCCTACACAACTATTAAAATCAAGCAAGATACTTTTCAACTAATGGGCTTCCAAAGTCACTGGTCCACTCTCCCTCAAGTCATGGTCAGTGATGAGGTTGCCTACATAAATACCACACGCATGTATCCCCACTTCTAGGGGAAAAAATGAAGTGTCCTTCTTATATGCAAATGCTTAGCAGTGCTGGGTCTCCCAGTTCTCAAGCAGAGCACAGAACTAATTAACTCAAGATGGATTAAAGACTTAAACATAAGACCTAAAACCATAAAAACCCTAGAAGAAAACCTAGGCAATACCATTCAGGACATAGGCATGGGCAAAGACTTCATGACTAAAACAACAAAAGCAATGGCAACAAAAGCCAAAATTGACAAATGGGATCTAATTAAACTAAAGAGCTTCTGCACAGCAAAAGAAACTATCATCAGAGTGAACAAGCAACCTACAGAATAGGAGAAAATGTTTGCAGTCTATCCATCTGACAAAGGGCTAATATCCAGAATCTACAAAGAACTAAACAAATTTACAAGAAAAAAAAATTCCATCAAAAAGTGGATGAAGGATATGAACAGACACTTCTCAAAAGAAGACATTTATGCGGCCAACAAATATATTTTAAAAAGCTCATCATCACTGGTCATTAGAGAAATGCAAATCAAAACCACAATGAGATATCATCTCACTCCAGGTAGAATGGCAATCATTAAAAAGTCAGGAAACAGTAAATGCTGGAGAGGATGTGGAGAAATAGGAATGCTTTTACACTGTTGGTGGGAGTGTAAATTAGTTCAACCATTGTGGAAGACAGTGTGGCAATTCCTCAAGGATCTAGAACCAGAAATACCATTTGACCCAGCGATCCCATTACTGGGTATATACCCAAAGGATTATAAATCATTCTACTATAATGACACATGCACACGTATGCATATTGCAGCACTGTTCACAATAGCAAAAACTTGGAACCAACCCAAATGTCCATCAATGATAGGCTGAATAAAGAAAATGTGGCACATATACACCATGGAATAGTATGCGGCCATAAAAAAGGATGAGTTCGTGTACTTTGCAGTGACATGGATGAAGCTGGAAACCATCATTCTCAGCAAACACAAGAACAGAAAACCAAACACTGCATGTTCTCACTCATAAGTGGGAGTTGAACAATGAGAACACATGAACACAGAGAGGGGCACATCACACACTGGGGCCTGTCGGGGGGTGGGGGGCTAGGGGAGGGATAGCATTAGGAGAAATACCTAATGTAGACGATGGGCTGATGGGTGCAGCAAACCACCATGGCACATGTATACCTATGAAACTGCACTTTCTGCACATGCATCCCAGAACTTAAAATATAATTTTAAAAAAGTAACAATAATGTTAGAAATAAAAAAAGAGCACAGGACTGGTATTAAGTGCTGTTCTACGTGATCCTTACGTTGTGGTGGGTATATGTAGGTTCTGAAGCCAAGCTGCCTGAGTTTGGGTCCTGGGTCTAACTTTTATCAGCATTGTGATCTTGGGTGAACTACTTAGCTTTGGTTTCCTCATCATTAATTTTTTTTTTTAAATAGAGATGGGGAGCTTGCTATGTTGACCAGGCTGGTCTAAAATTCCTGGCCTCAAGCAATCCTCCCATCTCGGCCTCCCAAATTGCTAGGATTACAGGTGTGAGCCACTGCGCTGAGCCTGGTTTCCTCATCTTAAATTGAATGCAATGACTCTGCTTAGTACACTGACTGACACTGGAAGAACTTAATAAACAGATTAATTTTCTCTTTCCTTATGAGTCAGTAATCACTTGTCTAAGCAGTCCAGAGTCAAATCTTATTGAGCTAAAGAATGTGCATGGCATTGCCCTGATGAAGTTTAAAATCTACTCTGAGGAACTAAGAAACCACTGTTTTTTTTTTTTTTTTTTTTTTTTTTTTTTTTTTTTTTTTGAGACGGAGTCTCGCTCTGTCACCCAGGCTGGAGTGCAGTGGCGGGATCTCGGCTCACTGCAAGCTCCGCCTCCCGGGTTCACGCCATTCTCCTGCCTCAGCCTCCCAAGTAGCTGGGACTACAGGCGCCCGCCACTACGCCCGGCTAATTTTTTTTGTATTTTTAGTAGAGACGGGGTTTCACCGTTTTAGCCGGGATGGTCTCGATCTCCTGACCTCGTGATCCGCCCGCCTCGGCCTCCCAAAGTGCTGGGATTACAGGCGTGAGCCACCGCGCCCGGCCCGGAACCACTGTTTTTTAATGGAAAAGTCCAATAGAGTTGTTAATAAAGTACTAGAATGTGAAATTCAACAGATTGTAAGAACTAGAGGGTGCTAAGAAGGAAGTGATTAGTGAGTGGGAGAAGTGGACTACAAAATGGGCCTTAAAAGAATAAAAGTTGGCCGGCATGGTGGCTCACGACTGTAATGCCACCACTTTGGGAGGCCTAGGTGAGACGATCACTTGCACCTAGGAGTTCAAGGAGTTCAAGACCAGCCTGGGCAATATGGCAAGACTTTCCCTCTAAAAAAAATTTTAAAACTATCTAGCATGGTGGCACACACCTGTAGTCCCGGCCACTTTGGAGGCTGAGGCAGGAGGATCGCTTGAGCCCAGAAGGTCGAGGCTGCAGTGAGCTGTGATTGTGCCATTGCATTCCAGCTTGGGTGACAGAGTGAGACCCTGTCTCAAAAATAATAACAGGCAGGGCGCAGTGGGTCACACCTGTAATCCCAGCACTTTGGGAGGCCGAGGCAGGCGGATCGCCTGAGGTCAGGAGTTCGAGACCAGTCTGGCCAATATGGTGAAACTCCATCTCTACTAAAAATACAAAAATTAGCCAGGCATGGTGGCGGGCGCCTGTAATTCCAGCTACTCAGGAGGCTGAGGCAGGAGAATCGCTTGAACCCAGGGGGCAGAAGTTGCAATGAGCCGAGATTGCACACTTCACTCCAGCCTGGGTGAAAGAGCAAGACTCTGCCTCAAAAAATAATAATAATAAAAGAATAAAAGTTAAACCAGCAAATGACAACACTACTCTCAGAAGGGGAATAGCATGAGTGAAAATAAAGACAGGCATAAGCAGACTGATACTGAGGGCAGGGGATAAGTGCCCAGGGCAAGTAAGACAGTCATAGAAGGTTTCCATGGGTTTACTCAACCCACACTATGGGCTGAGTAAATGAATCTGATTTGACAGGCAATAAGGAACTGTCATGGGTTCTTATACAAGGAAGTGATGCGATTTGGGGGTGTGCAATGTCAAGAGTATTTAGGAGACTTGGAGAGAAGGAACAAGGACTAATCTGAGGGTGACAGTGGAATTGGAGAAGAAGGAACACATTCAAGAGGTTCCGTAAGTCAAGGGTTGACAGGATTTCAGGCAGAGGAAATAACAGAATGTAGCCATGGAGGAATAGGATAGCAGGGGAAGCCTACCAGGGTTTCCACACAGCCATAGAGCTGAAGTCCCACAGTAAGACTGAATGGGGAAGAGAGGCATCAAGAAAAGAAAATCACTCCGTTAAGGAGAAAAGGAAGAATAGATGGACTTATGTACTCAAAAGAAATCTGTTTCTCTGTAAATTCTGCTCATTGGTCTTCGTTCTACTAATTGGAACTGCATGAAACAAATCTTTATTCTTTTTCTCCTTGATAATCCTGCACATATTTAAAGATGTTGCATTCCCCACATAAAGTCATCTCCTATGGTTTAAATCCCATGGTCCGACCACTTACAGCCGTGTGACCTCGGGTAAGTTTTGGTTTCCTCATCTGTAGAAAGGTGTGGTAAATAACACTATCCCCCAATGTGAGACTGTTGTGAGGACTAAATGATAGGATGTGCGATTGCTTGGCACAGTTCCAGGCACATGGTAACTAATACATGTTTACTATTATGGCTGTGGTCATCACTGATGTCATCAGCAAACTCCTCCAGTCCCTTCTACTGTTCCTCACATGATGCGGTTTCAAATCTCTTCCAGGACAATCAGTTACTCAAAGTGAGTGTTCGCTTGTCTGGATCCCTTTTAAAGTCTGGAACCCAGCACTCAGCCAAAGGTAGTATGGCTTGAGGACAGAGAGGAGATGTTCTACGTAACGCTGCAGCCTAAAATGACATTAGCGGTTTGGTGGTCACGTCACAGTGGTGGGTGTCTCTAATCTTTTCCTGCATGTTCACTAAGGCAGATTTTCCCATCCAGGTTGGGCCTTTGCTTGTTCTTCCTAAATTCCACAGTGCCGCATTTGGCAAAGCATTCCTGCCTATCAGATGTTTTTGGATCTTGATTCAGTCATCCAGCAAAATTGTTCTTCCTAGTTTCCTGTTCCATATTATTAAAGACTGTAATTAAATTTTTTGCAATGATTTTTCATGTACCAAAAATAATTTCAGAAGTTATTTCTTAAAGCTCCTCTGTGAAATTCTTCGTACAGGCAGATTGGCACTGTTTTGTTCTTTATGATATCTTGATCGACAAATAACAAAAACCTAATTTCAATGGATTTAAACAATAAATGCAATTTATTGACTCACATAACCTGAATGTGGACAGGTAGGGTGGGTTTTAGGCATGGTGCAATCAGGCCTTTGGCGGCATCTTTCTGCGATTCTCTCAGCTCTGCCCTTCCCTCAGTTCCAGCTGTAACCAGGTTGGAGTTCTGATTAAAGCAAAATGGGTCTGGCATTCCCAGGCCTCTCCTCAGCCCACATGTTTAAGAGCAAAAGCAAAGTCTTCTCTTGCAATCAGTGAGGAGGGTCCTACATTTCACTCTGAACAGCCAGAACCAATCTGTGGCTATGGCACTGCTACACACGGACTGACTTGAGTTACCACTGCCCATCCATGAGTCAATCATGTGGACAATATCTACTTTTGGACCACATGCACCCCAAAGAAATACAAGTATATTTCTTTAAAAATACTATAAAATTAGCCAGGCATGGTGGCTCACATCTGTAACCACAGCACTTTGGGAGGCTTAGGAAGGCAGATCACTTGAGGTCAGGAGTTCAAGACCAGCCAGCCTGGCCAACATGGCAAAACCACATCTCTACTAAAAATACAAAAATTAGCTGGGGGTGGTGGCGTGTACCTATAATCCCAGCTACTCGGGAGGTTGAGGCAAGAGAATTGCTTGAACCTGGGAGGCGGAGGTTGCAGTGAGCCAAGATCACACCACACACCACTGCACTCTAGCCTGGGCAACAGAGTGAGGCTCTGTCTCAAAAAAAAAAACAAAACAAACAAACAAAAAAAAAACTATAAAATTCAGACTTTGCTATAATTCTGACAGTTCTTCTAATTATTATGACTAAGGTTCTTTAGTCAGAGGTCAGCAAGCTTTTTCCCTAAAGAGCTAGATAATATATATTGCACACTTTGTGGGCCAAGTGGGAAAATCCAGGTACTACATGGTTACATTTGTAACCATTTAAAATGTAATGATTTAAAAAAGTGTATAAACCATTATTAGCTCAAGGGCTGTAAAAAAGAAAAACAAAACAAACAAAAACCAGATGGATGGCCAGATTTGGCTCCTGGGCTGTAGTTATATTGTTTGTTTGTTTGTTTGTGAGACGAGTATCGCTCTGTCGCCCAGGCTGGAGTGCAGTGGTGTGATCTCTGCTCACTGCAACCTCCACCTCCCAGGCTCAAGTGATTCTCCTCCCACAGCCTCCCAAAAGTAGTTGGGATTACAGGCATGTGCCTGTAATTAGCCACCACACCCGGCTAATTTTTGGATTTTTAGTAGAGATGGGGTTTCACCATGTTGGACAAGCGGGTCTCGAACTCCCAACCACAGGTGATTCGCCCACCTTGGCCTCCCAAAGTGCTGGGATTACAGGCGTGAGCCACCGGACCTGGCTGGCTGTAGTTTGTTTATTCCTACTTTGGAGGAATAACTAAACAAATATTAAGAAGTAGATTAAACAGAAGGATTTGGAATGTTTAAAAAGTCAATAAATTTATTTCCATTTTGGAAAAAATGACGTAAGGAAATTGTAAAGGATGCTTATGGATAAGAGAAAATTTAGCAACTTTTGAACTAAACTTATCCTTGCCATAAGAAAAAGACACTTCGTTTTTCAAACTAGATTCAAGTTGTGTAGGATCAAGGCAGGTAGTAAATGTTTTAGGCTTTGTGGCCACACAGTTTCTGTCATAAGTACTCAATTCTTGCTGCAGTGTGAAGATGGCCATGGACAATAGGTAAAAGATGAGTGTGGCTGTGTTCCAATACAGTTTATTTACAAAAACAGGCAATGGGCTGGATTTAGCTCATGGGCCTTAGTTTGCTGATCCTGCTTTATAGTCTCTTCCATACTTCGACTGCAATTTGGTAATGCCAACAGAGGGGTGGACAATGGAGGGAGGGTCCCCTCAGCATGTTTCATAGCCTAAAGCACTAGATATACAGTTTCCAGACAGATTATCACTTTTTCTTTTCTTTTCTTTTCTTTTTTTTTTTGCGACAGAGTCTCACTCTGTCACCCAGGCTGGAGTGCAGGGGTGCAATCTCAGCTTACTGCAACCTCTGCCTCCTGGGTTCAAGCGATTCTCCTGCCCCAGCCTCCCAAGTAGCCGGGACTACACCTGGCTAATTTTTTGTATTTTTGGTAGAAATGTGATTTCACCATGTTGGGCATGCTGGTCTTGAATTCCTGACCTCGGCCTCCCAAAGTGCTGAGATCACAGGTGTGAGTTACCGTGTCCAGCCAGATTATCACTTTTTCTTAATTACTAAACTTAAAGCATTCTACTTAAACAGCTATACACAAACACTTGAAATTAAAGGACATGGTTTTAAAGGGATGTCTGTAAGATCAAAATTTTAAGAAAGTCCTCCAAGGTACTTAATAGTGTTGGCTTGGGCACAAGACTAAAATACATACACACACACACACACACACACACCCCTTGGCACCTTTTTTAATAATCACTAACTGGTTATTATTAAAGTTCTATATATATATACACGATTAGATATATTGCTTTGTAGCTATCCATGTTAGCTTAACTTAGTTAACCTTAAATTCCCTTAGCTTAAAGGCTCATGGTTTCATACTCCCCTTAACATTCAAAGCCCCACAGTTTCAAGGTACTGCATGTGAAAAGCCCTTGTAACTTGTCAGTGCTGTACCTGTGAGGATTTCGTTCAGTACAGGGAGCAGTGGCTGTGACTGGCCTCTTCTGCAGCATGCTACTGTGTTAACCAGTGCCATGCAGGGTTCCATCTCTGCTTTCCATTCTGAATGCCCTGGTGCCGTGCTCCCTTCACACCTTACGCCAGAACTGCTACAACAGCTTCCCAATGGCTTCCTTTGTCCCAGGCTCTCCTCTCCCCATTCGTCCTTCACATAACTGACAGCGAAAGTCACCTCTCAGTGGTGCACCTTTATTTAAACAATGGACCCACATACCTGGGAGTAGCATTGAAGGCCATCTGTCATGTGTCCCTAACTTCCCTTCCAGACATGCTGCTCAGCGCTATGGCTTGCAGCCTCAGGATGCCTCCTGCCACTGCCACGTCAAATCCCACTTCTGGCTTATGCTCCTCCTTTAGCCAAGAACACAGTGCTCCATCCCTCACGAAAATCAACCTTCAAAATGCACCCCCAAATCCCAACTACTCTAGGAATTTTCCCTTGATCCTCAAGTCAGAATTAGCTGCTCTGACCTCTAAATTTTCAGTATACCTTCTTTCAGTTCCCCTTTCTTTCCTCCAGCATTTGAGTTCATCTTTGAACAGTGCTTCTAGACCTTGTGTGTGCATTCAAAGCACTTGGAGATCTTATAAAAATGCAGATTCTAATTTGGTAAGTCTGGGGACTTACATTTCTAACAGGCTCCCAGGGGATGCTGATGCTGCTGGTCCAGGGACCATACTTGAGAAGCAAGGCCTGACACGCTGGTAAGCTCTTCATGGACAGGGTCCACTCTTCTATCTCTCAACCCCTCAGCACAGGGCATTGCTTACCAGGAAACGCTTATCGGACAGAAAGGAGGGTCTCTACAAAATCAGGCCAATGTCTTTGTCTTTTCCAAATGGAAAGTTTCTCAGCCACATTGCTCTTAAAATCTTAAAAGAATAATGACTTCATTGTTTTTGAAAAAATGATATATTTATTATTTTTTAAAAGCCAGGCAATATAATAAAGTACAAAGAAGATTTTAAAAAAATTATCCAGGATCCCACCACCCAGAAATAAACATCATAATATGTGGTCAACATCATTCCAGACATATTTCTGCAGATGTTCAGAGGAAAAGATAGAAGAATGAAAGAACAGAAGGGCAGGAGGGAGGGCAGGTAAATGGATACATATAAATGGAATCATACCATACATGTTATTGTAGTGAAAAAGCATTAAGTATAAACTTTGCTTGAACTTAACAAAGAAACAGAAATTGAGGTGAAACTGAAGGAATTGTAGAACTTCAGATGAATGGGTCTTCACAAAGAGAGAATAGTTTCTAAAAGATCTCTCTAAAGTTAAGAAAAAAGTAATGAAAAACATTAGGATGCTGAAATCATTATTTTTTCAACTATATATTGCAATTTCAGACTTTAGCTACTGACAAATCTATTCCCCATTATGAAAGTAAAGAAATCAGTACTCACACTTCCTCCCAAGTACTGGTTTTG
Source organism: Homo sapiens (assembly GCF_000001405.40). Classification (NCBI taxonomy): domain Eukaryota; kingdom Metazoa; phylum Chordata; class Mammalia; order Primates; family Hominidae; genus Homo; species Homo sapiens. The sequence goes on along the minus strand of NC_000006.12, from coordinate 108,883,495 downwards.
GTTATTTATATTACTACCACATTGTCAAGGTTTCTGTTCCATAAGCAGAGTTGTTTAGTTTTAATCCAATACGAAAACAAAATCATTACTGTACTCACCATGAATGCTTTTACCATAGCTTCTTCATTTCTAGGTTTTGAATTTTGACTCATCATTTTGTTGTCTACAGGTTTTCTGGAAAGTGCATGAGTAGTATATTCCCTCAGTTCATTCATATTGAAAGTGTCTATCTGTTGCTTCTGTACAACTGGACTGGCAATACAATTCTTCAGTTACCCCTTATTACACTTAGGACTTCATAGACATTACTGCCTTCTGGCACTGAGTGATTCTTTAAGAAAACCAGAAGCCAGCCTGTCTTCTTCTCCTTTTATGTGACTTGTTCATTCAGCCGGGAGAGCCATATGAAACTTTCTTCCATTTGCCCGCCCAATCAACAATTATTCACTGAGTGCGTACTATGTACTGGGTAGTGTTCTAGTGCTGAGCACTGGTGGAAATGTCTTAGTATGGATTATTCCATATCAAATTTTTCTTGGAATACCATGTGTCCATTTGAGCTTCAGATTTAAGTATTTGTTTCAGAAAGTTTTCTTCTGTTATGTCTTAATATTTTTCTTCTTTCTGCTCTGATCTCTTCCATTCTTCATGAGTTGTTGTGAATATTAAATGACTTAATATACGCAAAGGACTTAGAAAAGTGTCTGACAATTCACAGTAAGACAGCGTTAGCAGAGGAAGTGAAGGAAGATAATTATCTTCTTCAGGAAAACAAGTTTCATTCTTCCATATCTATCTCAATAATCATTTTCATAGCTTTATTATTCATTTCTTTTTGTAAGATTTCTTCTAGCCTGTCCACCATGTCCTACTGTATTTTCACCTGTTTTATTCTAATTTTTTATTCCTAATGTAGCTTTCCTCTTGATACATTTTTCTTTCATTTCTTTTTTGCGTACTGTAAGCTTATTTTTCATCTCCTTATATGGGCTTAGAATCTCTCATTTAAATTCTTATAACCCAAAGAACAGTGCTTTTTTCCTTTTTTTTTTTTTTTGAGAGGGAGTCTCACTCCATCGCCTAGGCTGGAGTGCAGTGGCATGATCTCGGCTCACTGAAAGCTCTGCCTCCCGGGTTCACGCCATTCTCCTGCCTCAACCTCCCGAGTAGCTGGGACTACAGGTGCCTGTCACTATGCCCAGCTAATTTTTTTTTGTATTTTTAGTAGAGACAGGGTTTCACCATGTTAGCCAGGATGGTCTTGATCTCCTGACCTCATGATCTGCCCGCCTCGGCCTCCCAAAGTGTTGGGATTACAGGCGTGAGCCACCATGCCTGAACCCTTTCTTTTTTTTTTTTAAGAGAATGATCACATTATCTATAATTTCTCTGAGACTATGGAAAATTGTTTGAACTCTTTCCATGTTTTTGGAAGGTAATACCTTCTGTGATCCACTTCCTTCATCTTTTTTTTGCTATGTTCCTTATATATCTAAGCTCAAGTCCCACGTTGGTTCCTATCTTAATAGTATTTATCTTTAAACAGAGCCATTTATTTATTAACGCTGAATAAGGATCCATAGAGAGAGCGAACGGAGGTATTCTGTAGCTTAAATTTTAGTCTGTTTTCTTAAACTTGCAATCACCAAATCCATTACCTTTGCTGACCTGGGAGTATATGTTCCCTTGGTTTGTGTGGAGCAGGTCGCTGTGATGCACACAAAAGCCCTTTCACATGCTGGGTTCCTTAAATTCTAATGTATCAAGCCCCTCCCCCAAAACACACACATACACAAACTAGCTGGCTCACATGTAACCAGGAGTGTGTGTCATCCTCAGCTCCATCTTCCCCCTCACTTCTTGATCTGGATCTTGAATGGAGTCCTTACACAGGGCATACTCCCTGCTCCCGCAGCCTGCCTACATCGTTAGATCTCATATCTTTAATTAAATATTGAGTACATCTTTCTGAATTAAAAGACTCACTTTTAGTGAAATCTGTTTCTTGCTCAAGGTCTGAGAAGGTATGTGTCCACTTTCAAATTACCCCTTGTTATAATCTAGATTTCTTAGGGCCTGGAAGGTTAACTAGATTCTTATGAATGCAATGTTCCAAGTAACAAAACCTAATCTAAAGTACCATAAACCGTCCCTGTTGGAAGGAAGGAAGGAAGGAGTGAAGGAAGGAAGGAAGGAAGGGGAGGGGAGGGGAGGGGAGGGAGAGAAGAAAAGAAAGAAGAAAGAAAAGAAAAAGAAAGAGAAAGACAGAAAGAAAGAAAAGAAAGGAAAGAAAGAAACAAAGAAAGAAAGAAAGAAAAAAAAAAGAAAAAGAAAAGAAAGCAAGCCAGCCACGGTGGCTCACGCCTGTAATCTCAGTACTTTGGGAGGCTGAGGTGGGCAGATCACAAGGTCAGGAGATCAAGACCATCCTGGCCAACATGGTGAAACCCCATCTCTACTAAAAATACAAAAATTAGCTTGGCGTGGTGGCACATGCCTGTAATCCCAGCTACAGGGCAGGCTGAGGCAGGAGAATCGCTTGAACCAGGGAGGCGGAGGTTGCAGTGAGCCAAGATTGTGCCACTGCACTCCATCCTGACAATAGAGCTAGACTCTGTCAAAAAAAGAAAAAAAAGAGAAAAAAAGGAAGGAAGGAAGGAGGGAGAAAAGAGAAAAGGGAACACAGGAAGAAAGAAAGAGAGAGGAAGGAAGGAAGGAGAGGGAAGGGAACGGAAAGGGGGAAGGAAGGAAGGAGAAGAGGGAGAGGGAAGGGGGAAGGAAGGAAGGAGAGAAGAAAAAGAAAGGAAGGAAGGAGAAAGAAAAAGGAACACATTGGTTCACAAAACAGTATTCTACAATGTTGATGTGGTGGCTTCAGGCACAGCTGGATCTAGAGGTTTATATGTCATCCTCGAACTTGATCATTATCTTCGTTCCTTGCTCTTTTTGTTTATGTACCACTTCCCTCTCAGCATCTCTCTCCATAAGGCTGTGAAAAGGCCACTGTCAGCTCCAAGACCACATCATCTTTATAGTTTGTGAACCTGGAGAAAGAGCACTTTCCCCAAAGGCCTTGGTGAAAGTCCCATGAAGGAATGCAACTGGCCTGGCTTGGATCATGTGCCCATCTCTGAATCAACTGCTGTAGCTGGGGTTGGCAAACTCTGATTAGCCAGCCCTGGGCCACATAACCACCCCTGGGAGGGACACAGGGAAGACAGGGCTAACCCTTCTCCAAATACGGACTGAGCAGCATTTATTACACAATGTGAGAAGGCCTGTTTGCTAGACAGACCAACAAAAATCAAGCCTATACTGCAGTGTAAAGTTTGCTTCATGTTGTGTAGTTCAGGGTCGTAGCCATTTTTTTGTTGTTGTTTCATTGATGAAATTTACTTCTCTGTTTTTCATTCTTTGCTGCTTTCATTGGATTACTGGAGAATGCCTTTGTGCCTTTAACCAGAAGCCCTCTTTTCTTATTTTTGATTCCAACAATACTAAGAGCACTCGATAGTTTATTAGTAAGGCTTTCAAGCCTTAGTCATCATTCCACAATCTACAGTGAGGGCTAGAAGGAGATGGGAGTAAAAGAGCAGAGTTATTTCCATTTTATACATTAGAAAACTGAGCCCCTGAAAGTGTTAAGATACTTGCCAAATACAGCTAAATCAAGTGGCTGAGAGAGAACCAAACCTAAATCCAGAGATTCTGGCTCCTCAGGAACAGTCCCTGATTCTCCATAACAACTGGCTGTTCTTGGGCTTTCCTCCTAAAGATCCCATTTCCAAACCATGATAGTTTGAACGTTTACATGGAAAGCCTTAACAGATTTTTTAAGCAGGTAAAGAGATTCATCTGCTTTGAAAGAGATTCCATGGATGGATGGATGGATGGATGGATGGACGAACAGGTGGGTGAATAGATAGATGGATGACTGCGTGGGTGGGTGGGTGGGTGGGTGGATGGATAGATGGGTAGATGGGTGGGTGGATAGGTTAATGAATAGATGGATGAATGGATAAATGGGTGGATGGATGGGGGATGGGTGAATGGGTGCATGGATAGGTGGATGGGTGGATGAATGGGTAGATGGGTATATGGATGGATGAATGGATGGGTGGATAGGTGGATGGGTAGGTGCTAGCTGCATGGGTAGACAGATGGGTAGATATATGGATGGGTGGATGGGTAGATGGATGGATAGATGGATGGATGAATGGATGGGTAGACAGGTGGATGGATGGGTGAATGGGTGGATGGATGGGGAGATATATGGATGGGTGGATGGGTAGACAGATGGATAGGTGGATAGGTGGGTGGATGGGTGAATGGGTGGATAGATGGGTAGATATATAGATGAGCGGATGGATGGATGGATGGATGAATGGATGGGTGGATGACAGATGGGTGGGTAGGTAGACGGATGGGTGGGTGGATGGGCAGATGAGTGGATGAGTAGATGGGTGAATGGGTAGATGGACAGGTGGATGGGTATGTGGATGGATGGATGAATGGACAGTTGGATGGGTGGATGAATGGGTGTCTGGGTGGATGTATGGGTAGATATGTCGATGGCTGGATAGGTAGATGGGTGAATGGGTGGATGGATGGATGGAGAATACACACATTTTGTTAATGGCAGCTGCATTACTTTCAATCCATATAGTAATACAAAGCAAGTGATGGTGAAGTATTCCTGAGGAGCAAGTCTGCCAGACCTTAAATGAATCCCTAAATGGGCATATGGAGACTATCATAACTGACACAAGGTTTGAGGATGACAGTTCCGTAAGTGCTTGACAGTGTGTTCTCTTTTGTAAAGTTAAATAGTCCTCTAAAGCATTGTTTACAATGATACTTTGTTTAGCAAATCCTTTTTCCACCATAACCAGCATAAAGTTGAACTCCATTCCATCCATATTCAGATATTCCATCAATATCTGAATTATCCATATTATAAATGAGGGTATACAATTATTGCAGTTTCATGGAAACAAAATGCTCCTTCCTCTCCCAGCCAGATAAACACACACCACACAGGTGACCGCTGTCACACTGGACAAGCCTGCAAGGCCCCCACACTGGGAGTGTGGCCTCACCCACTCTCTCCCCTTTCCACGGTCTACTTACACACTCCTTCTCAACCCTCCCTGCTCCTGCCAGCCCAGCTCACTGACAATTGCCACTTTATGGTCTAAAGATGAAAAAATGTTAATTGAGGGAAGGGCTCTACCATCAAAACTGGGAATACTCCACTGCATAGCAAAGATCATTTCTTGGAATTAGTCACTTAAATGTTTACAAGAAACAATTATCAAGTGTCCCAGACTGATTCATTAACATCATTAATGAAAGAATTGCTAAGAGTTTCTGTTTTTTGGTTTATTTTAATCCTACTACGTAAACTTTTTTTTGGCACCACTCCAATAAAATTCCACCCAACGATTAAAGGAGGTAAAGATTCATAAAGCAAAAAATGTTACTGAAAGTTAACCTTGCCAGGGTACATTGCAAACCCAACTTAGACACAATCCTTATATGATGCAAAAGCCGTCCTAACAAAACACAAAGAAAACAATTAGTGCTATTGCCAATGCCTCATAATTTTGGACAGTGAGGAAGAAGTGCTAACTGATTTGTCTTTTGCTGTTTGTGGGATAAAATATATAAATGAAAATGCCCCTGCTGTCCCAGAATGAGGAAGACATAATGAACTCTGGCTTTCCAGATTATTCTGCCACATCTGAAGGTTTGCAAATAAACAAATTAAATAGCTCTTGTCTGGTTTTTCTAGTCAACTTTCATTACTGTAAGGATGGATGCAGCAAGATAAATGTTTCCTTTTTACTTCAGTACTGAAAGAAACACAAGTTTTCCTGCTGCCTTTTATGTTTAAGCTCTGAGGTCCACAGCCTATTCTTATTCACCAACTGGAAACGATTTGTCTGCAATGGCCAGTTTGATGTTTTCTACTCAACTCCCAAAGTCCCAATTTGAAGTCGTTCTCTTCCACTTAAGGAGACATTTCATTTTTCCTTTAATTTAAAAAAATGTTCTGAATGTGAAATGACATTACAAGGACTACTAGATTGCTTAATATAAATTCCGTATGTGTGACACTCTTCAGGCTGTGTCAGCAGACAAGGTCGGTTCAGCTAAACAAGCTGGCAAGCAGCCACTTGGGGGAAAAGTTTTAAGCATGCTACATGTGTCCAAGCCAAAGTCAGACCCGAAATCTAACGTGAGTGTAAGAAATACTTGATCTTAAAATGGCCCATGGAATTTAATCTTGTTAAGCAAATCTGAACCGGGCAGTTATCCATGATGACCCAATGGAAAGTCCTAGAAAAAAATATCTTAAACTGAGTGACCTTGTCCAGTTCAAGACATTCTGCCTCTCTTAGCATCATTACTGGCTGGGACTGGAAAACAGAGCCTGTTCTCTCCACTGTTTCCCCCATTCCAGCCACCAAATACTCAAGGTTTCTTCAGTAAAATACCAGGGTAAGAATTCACAGTCCAAACAGCAAGCATTTCTCCACAGATCCTTAATATGGTAGGAAGATTGATTCTCAAGGAAACCCTATCTAGGAACATGGTATGAAATAAAGCAATTCCCAATCATTCATTTATGAGGGGCCAATGGAGGGATCTCACAGATAACTGAAATCTACAGGACTCTTCTGTTTTAGCCATTAGTTTGCAAAATAAATATTTAATCCAAGATCTACTGAAGAATAAAATAAGTGTCCACTCTTGTGGAGTTAAGGACTGTGAACTAACCCAAAGGGAGATAATAGGAGATTCCAGGCCATGCAAGAATCCCAAATAACATACAAACGGAATGATCAGTCATCACTCAAGGGATGGCTGGAATAGTCCAACTAAATCTTATTCTGATAGTCCTACAGAAGCAGCACTTTGACAGTCATGAATAAAAGTGTTCTTGAGTATTATATAAGGAATGATACAAAAATCAACTCCATTTGGCCATGAGAAGTAGTCTCTCCTATTCATGTACCCTTAACATAAAATTTGCTTACATAAAAGAGAAAAAGCAAACCAATCATCTATATAAAATAGAGAAGAAACTGGTAAATGATACCATTATCCTGACCAGAAAATTAAATAAAAAGAATACTGACCCTCCATTCTTGAGATGAGATGGTAAAGATGTTGTTCCTTTGAACATTTCTTGCTCCTTTATTTCACTGAAGCCTCCATCATCAGTTAGCTGAAGTGGGTGACTCTTTAAGTGGCAAATAGCATTTGATTTTGTTAAATAAATCCCATTTATTTTCACCATAGAGTCCCCCATCATAACTGTTTCTTTGGATTCCACTGTCTTCTTTGCTGCAATATAACCAAGAAAATATTTTGTTGAAGTATTCTTATTTTAGGAATCACTACCTTTCAATGTTATTTTTCAATCTAAGAATTTATATGATTTAAAAGTTATACATTGCTTATAATTAAGTCTGGAATTTTATGGCCAAAGCCTTTCTGAGCATACACAAGACCAGTATCTTAAGTCTGGCACCATCAATTCTGCAGGTAAAAATGTATAGAATCTTATCTCTACCAGCTTAGAGTCTACTTGAAGGCAAACACGCAACTTCAGGCTCATAAACTACCTAGTCCACATAAGTACTTCCGTGTCCCATAACAGCAGCTCTTCCTCCTGAATTTGATCACATAATTTTTCATTCAAAAAATATTTACTGAGTGGCTCCCCCATGTCAAACACTGTCCTAGGTACTTGGTGTGCATCAAAATAGATCTCTGATCTCACAGGGCTTACAACCTAATCAACAGAAAATAAGCAATAACCATAATAAATAAGGTATACGACATGTTATAAGATAATAAGTGCTATGGAAAAAAAGCAAAGTATAAAAGTAGGGAAGGCTCAAGGGGATTGGGAATAGGGTGGGTACAGCAGGGTAGGGAGGACAAACCCTTTATGGAGTGAGGCATCCAGCCACCAGGGCCAGTATTTTCAGCACAGAGACCAGCTGGTATGGAGGCTCTAAGGTAGGCTGAAGTGGGGGACTCTTCAGCACCCACTGTGCCTGGGGTGCTCAAGGAATAGCAGGAATGCAGTGTGCAAGGAGGCAAAGAGGAGGAGAGGTGATTAGAGGGGTGAGGGGTGGATTGTGGAGGCCCAGCCTAGTAGACCACACTACTCTGCAATGGAAAGGAGAGGGCATTGAAACATACCTCTAAAGAGGTATAAGACAGAGTTGCAAGAAGATATCCTTTTTGCTCATGACTGCAGATTCTTAGACATATAATAATATAACATTTCCCTTATCAGCAAATTGGTATTAGGAATAGCTTATTGTCCATGCTGCTACAAGGCTGTAGTCTGTGAGAAAACATTTTGTTAAAGGGGAAGAGAGTAAATCTCCCATAATACAGTGTGCGGGGGTGGGGATGAGCTGCATGTAGAAAAATACTTACTGTTTTGCAAGATTTTTCAAAATGACTCAAGGTTTCCTTTCCTTTTCTGTACTTACTAAGAAACCAACAAACCAATAAAAACTAATAATAACAAAACCACCTATTCTACCCCTCTGACCAAACTCCCTGCTTTCAAAACGCTAAATTTTAAAACTGAAAGGAACCTTAGAGATTCTAGGCTTCTTTTTTTTTTTTTTAAGATGAGAAAATTGAGAACCCAAAGATTAAATGTCCTGTCTAAGGTCACAGGGAGAGCCAGGACCACAGGGTGGGAAGAACACAGGCTTTGGCTCAGACTTGGGTTCGAGTGCAGGCCCCCCGGGGCACCCACTCTGTGATGTGGATGCTCAATTCACACCACCTTCCATGGTCCCCACCTCTTGGGGATGTGGTGAGATTTTAAATGATGTGGCCTAGTAAAGTGACTTACATGGTGCTAGCACGCTCAAAACCTAGAAGTTATTGTCATGATTATTGGAACCCAAGAATCCTGACTTCTGGGCTAGGGCTCTCTCCATATCACCACACCACCTTAAATGACTTTACTACTGAATTATGAAGCACACATTCTGTTTCCGATTACAAAGTATTTTTAGCCTACCGTTATCTTTTAGCATTCGTTTCTCTCATTCATTCACTCCCTGAATATTTATTAAGCACCCACGACTATGTGCCAGGTGCTGTTTACTGCACGGGTGAAGCCATGGTGAACAAGTCCCAGCCATCATGGAGCTTCTAGAAGGGAAACCCAACCATACCTATAGGTCAAGGAGCTATACCTGTCTATCTTCAAATCTACTGGAGTAAGCTTGTCAGGTATTACTACAACGAAGAGCTGCCCTGGGGGGCTCACTCTCATTCCTGATGAATGTCCTCGATGAAACTGAGCATGTGTAACTATGGTCTGTATCTTCTCGGTAGACAGTTGCAGCACATTATATGAATTTTGTAATGGATCGTGGGTAAACTTCAAAAGGAGACAGCTCCCAGCAGCCTTACCACACAGGACCAGTTCAGGTTCACAAATATTTATTTGATACCTGTTATATACCACACCCTGTAATAGGCTCTTGGGCAACAAACAGAGAAAAACACTTTTCTTAATGACGTTGCTCTATCTAGCAGGGGAGACAAAGGGGGCAGATGTGTAAAGAGATAAATGAAGCCCAGTGTGACCCCAGCCAGGTAAGGAGGGGGCAGAGAGAGTGGAGAAAGCTTGAGGGGTTGGGAGTTGGTCAGAGAAAGCTTCACAGAGGAGGTGGGGGCTGAGAAGCATTTTGAATGGTTAATAAGACGTAAACAGCTTGAAGAAAAGAGAACAAAAGTCTGGAGTGAAAGCCAGCTTCAAGTGTGTATTGCCAGTACAGTCAGGCAGGGCCCCAGTTTTAGAAGGGCCTATACTTGTTTTAAGGCTCTGCTGTGGCTATCTTGAAACTCTTAATAATTTTTGAACAAAGGGCCCCACATTTCCATTCAGCATTGGGCCCAGCAAATTACATAGGTTCTCCCTGAGGCTTGAAACAGCAGGGTGGGTGTGGTGAACAACAAGGGGTTCCACCCTGCCGGTGCACCCACCGTGAGGGGGCAGGCCCAGGACAGGCGTGAGCAGGGCCTGGAATGTTACGCTGGGGCTGGATCACAACACAGCTGTGCACTTGGAGGTGCTGGGATGTCATCCCCCGCCACCCCCACCAGAGCTCAGCAAACTACAAACCCCACCAAATCTGCCCTATCTCATTTTCGTATAGCCTGCAAACTAAGAACGGTTTTTGTATTTTTAAATGGTTAGAAAAAAAATCAAAGAAAGAACAATATTTTGTGACAAGTGAAAATTACATGAAATTCAAGTTTCAGTGGCCATAAATTGGTGGATGGCTGCTTCCATGCTACAATACAAAACGGAGGAGGCTGAGCAGAGACCATAAGGACCAGGTCTAAAATATTGACTATCTGGCCCTTTACAGAAAAAGTTTGCCAACTTCTACAGTAGGCTAGTGTTTCCCAAATTGTGTTCCCAAAAGACAGATCCCACAGTCCAGCAGGTTTGTGAAATGCTGTGTTGAATTAAAATTAAACAGATTTCTCCACCAACACTTTAATACGCTCATGTGCAGAGACTCTCCAAGAAGATGAGGGGTAGGCAGTGTTTCCCTGACCTATTTGAGCACTGAACCCTTTTTCCAAAGAGAAGCTATTAACATTTTGCCAAAAGTGTTCCCTGGAGTTCCCTGGAACTCAGTTTGGCAAACACTTCTGTAGGCACAACAGGGCCTCTGAAGGGTTTTCAGCAAGAGGGTGGTGCAATCTGATCTTTATTTGCTTCCCGACCTCTTGTGCTTTATGGAACACACAGAAAATGATCATTTTTCATGGTCCCCTGGGATAAAGGGATAAGGCTGCTGCTCACAGCCATGTCGTGTTGGGAGCTCAGCATCCTCAGGCTCCACTGGCTGTTCCTCTGGCTGAGGGCCTCGCATCCACCCACCTGCAGACCATCACAGCACCCCAGTGAGCAGACGGTGGTTTAAGAGCAGCAAAACAGGATGAGGCAAGAGGGATGGAGGCAGCATGGCGGTGGTGAGGGAGAATGCAGACTCGAGAGCTAGTCAGGAAGCACGTGTAGGGCTTGGTGACGGAGAGTGTGACAGGGATGGCTGAGGAGGTGGTACTGCTCTCAGGCCTCTTGTCTGGCTTGAATAACTGGGGAAGCATTCACAGCAGTGCCACCTCCAGCCAAAAACCCTGTGTGAACGCAAAGCAGTTATACTGCTGGCCTTTTGGAGATGACTACACAAATCTCTTCCTCTTTCACTGTCTTGAAGCAGGAATTCCAAACCTGCCACCACACCCCGGCCCTGCCTGTGGGGTAGCATCAGCCACAAATGACTTCACAGCAAACAAAGGGATGCCCTCCATTTCTGCAGCCTCAGTTACTCCACAAAGCCTACCTCTTCTAAACAATAGAGAAGATCTGAAATGAAACCCAGGGAGCTCTTATACAAATGACAATGATTCCAAGGCTGGAGAGCTCAAATATTTTTTATAACTTTATAATTGGATGACATGTGCTTTTAAAATAACAATGACTTTTTGTTGCCAGTATTTCCTGAATGCTGGCCCAGACCTCAGGGATGACCTGAATGGTGAAGAGGGGTGACTGCAAACAGGGTGGATAAAAGAACCACGATGAAAACATGCTTCAGTGCACCTTGGAGGTGTGAAGCTGGCCTCAGTGCTGGGAAATCACAGCTGCAGAGGGCACCTCCCAGAGCATGCAGACAACAGGCAGGTACCCCAGCGGGGAAGGAGCTAAGCCACTGGGGAAGCACTGAGGAGGGGGATGGTGGGCAAAGCATTCATCTCTGTGGTCACTTTCACATCAGTGTGTACCTCAGCAAGCAGCAGGGTTTTCTAGCATGCACTCCCAAAAGTTAAAAATACATGAAACACACAGTATTCAACCTCACAAGCAAGAACACAGAATAAAAAACAAGGTATGAGTCCTTGCACCAATCCTGCCATCCTGTTCATAAGAAGTGCCCTTCACCTCCAGGTCCCAGCCCCTCTCATCTTGGCAAACCCTTTGTTCCTGCAATTACCAACCCTTTCTGATTTACCTGAGCTGACACGGGACTCGGGTTGCGGGGGGAGCGTTTGAAAAGCTCCTCAGGTGATTCTCATGGGCAGCTACAGCTGAGAACTGCTGTTGGTGAAAAAACCTACATCACATTGTCTCTCCCTTTGGTAAACCCTATCTTTTCACTACAAGTAAAACACAGCTGGGTGTGTTTTCCATATTCTGAGGCCCTGGGCAGTTCTGTGGCCTCAGCTCTCTCCAACTTCCCTTGATCAGCCACTTTCCAGCCACTGGACCTCCAGGTCCTCCACCACCAGCACTTGCTCTCGTGCCCGGTCATTGCACTCGCTTTTCCTTCCATGTGGACACTTGGTCCATGGATTTTTACATGGCTGCCTCCTTCTCATGAGGCACCTTCCTATTCAGCTGCCAGCTCCTCAAAGATACCTTTCAGAGCCACCTGAGCTAAAGCAAATTACCCCACCACAGTCACTCTCGAGTCCATTATCTTGTTTATCTTCTTCAGAGCATTCATCAGCACTCAAATTCTCTTACTTATTTGTTCTCCTGTCATTGTCTATCTCCTCTCACTAGATTGTAAGCTCTCTGAGGACAGAACTTTGTTGGCCTAGAATGGTGCCTGGCACTTAGTAGGAGTTTGATAAATATCAGATCGACTGGCAGTGTAAGAAAGGAAACAAATCGGGACATCAAGGTAAAGCAAGTTGCCTGATGATCTACTTGGTCATGGCATCACAGCATGAGGTACACACCCTGCACATCCTCATTGTCTTGTCTTTTCTCTTCTCTTTTCTTCCTTCCTTCCTCCCTCCCTCTCTTCTTTTTCTTTCCTTCTTTCCTTTTTTCTTTCCTTTCCTCCTTCCCTCTCTCCTTCCCTCTCTTCCTTCCTTCCTTCCTACCTTCCTTTCTCTTTCTGTCTCTCTCTTTCTCTCTCTCTTTCTTTCTTTTTCTCCTTTATTCTAACTCTTCAGCCACATCAGGGACCACACAGGCAAGTGAATGGCACAGGCTGGGGACATGGTGACTGCAGATCATATCCTGGCCACAGAATGGAGGTACCACTCAGCTCCGATCATGCCCCATTGTGGCTGCATGGAATGGGGACCCAGTGTTGCCAGATTTTCTGATTTTTCACAAGAAGTCATAAATCTGGATTCTTCCATGAGATTCTTCTACCTTTTAAATGTTGGAAATGAATTAAAAAAAAATACTTGTCTGTCAAGTATGATGCTCAGGTGGGGGCTGTGATCTTTGGTATGTATCTTCCAGGCTCTCCCCAATTCTCTGTGACTGTAAGCCTATCTCTCTTCATCAAATCTTGTTGATGGAGGGAGAACCAGTTCTGTCAGCTCCTGGTAAAGTGGTTTCCACTTTTTTTGACCACACACAGTCAGAAATCAGTTTGTAATATGACCCTGAACACACACTGAAGACCGAAGTAAAGTCTCTTGAAGCAATACTTACCCCTATCGTGTGTCATGTATTCTGACATTTTCTATTATATTCTATTCTACTTCATTTTTTAAAAATGCTGGTGTGATCCACTAAATTGATTGTCATCCCACTTCTGGGTCCTTTTCCACAGTTTGAGAAACCCTTAGTATGCCCTGGATGGGGAGTGATTCCAATTGTTGGTGGGACTCCTCAGGCTGTGATCTTTAGCCTCTCTGTTCCCAGGTTTAGGTGCCTGGCAGCAATTCTCAGGCAGTAGAAGTCCCATTCAAATTTTGCTTACATGCTCACACGGGATCAGAAGGGCATTCTCAAAGAAATAAGCTTAATGTGCATTATAAGAATCTTATCATTTTCATTAATTTCTAATAAAATTAACAACTTTTTGAACTCTAATTTAAAAATCATTTATTTCTAATATACATGAACCATCCACTAGGGAATACTTATCCTAATATTCTTTTTTTTCTTTTTTGTTGAGACAGTCTTGCTCGTCACCCACGCTGGGGTGCAGTGGCACGATCTCAGCTCACTGCAACCTCCACCTCCTGGTTTCAAGCACTTCTCCTGCCTCAGCCTCCCGAGTAGCTGGGATTACAGGCACGTGCCACCACACCCAGCTAAGTTTTGTATTTTTAGTAGAGACAGGGTTTTACCATGTTGGCCAGGCTGGTCTCGAACTCCTCATCTCAGGTGATCTGGCCGCTTTGGCCTCCCAAAGTGCTGGGATTACAGGCATGAGCCACCGCGCCCAGTCACTTATCCTAATTTCCTTTTCCTACCAACTGTAATATTTAGGTATTCCTTATAAGCACCCAGAAAAATATATGAACAATGTTTCTTAGCCAGCTTTTGCCCAATATTAACTAATCTTAGTTAATATAAAAATCATCCAGGGTTAGGAAAAATCATATAAAATTAGCTTTTGTGTGCAAATTCAAGAAGCATGCCTGTCCCCAGAGATTACAGGATGTTACATGGCCTTACAGTCGGAGGGAGGAAGGGATCTGTCCGGCAGAAGGGCCCGCTGGGAGGCAGCCCTGAATAAGCGAGCCCTGGCGTTGCTTACTCTTCTAATCTTCGCAGGGTCCACTGGGGGCTTAGGAAAGGAAAAGCAGGAATCCTCCTCTCTGGTGGGAGATGCTGGAACTTTCGGTTTCTGGAAAGAGATTTTTTTAAATAACTGGAATGACTTTCTGCGTCTCAAATAACACTTACCTCAGAGCTGGCCACAACCCTTCCAGAAGAGCACAAGGCCTATCTGCCTGCCTTCATCTTGGCTTCCTGATTCTACCAACTCACTGGCCCATCTTACATAATGTGATATATGTATACATAAAGCACTTTTTAATTGTTTTTCTTAATCATATTGTATTAACTACTCTGCTGTGCTATTACCATACTTGAGTAAAACAGTTTACCCATGCTAGCAAACAGATATTATCTGTATAAAAGACTACAAAATTGGCCGGGCGCAGTGGCTCATGCCTGCAATCCCAGCACTTTGGGAGGCCGAGGCAGGTGGATCACTTGAGGTCAGGAGTTCAAGACCAGCCTTACCAATATGGTGAAACCCCATCTCCACTAAAAATACAAAAATAGGCTGGGCATGGTGGCGCATGCTTGTAGTCCCAGCTACTCAGTAGGCTGAGGCAGGAGAATTGCTTGAACCCAGGAGTTGGAGGTTGCAGTGAGCCAAGACTGCACCACTGCACTCCAGCCTGGGTGACAGAGCAAGACTCCATCCCGCCCCCCCACCCCCAAATAAAAAAAGACTACAAAATTACATATAGCATATTCAACATGCTTTAAAAATTTCTGAGTTCAATTCAGTTCAGAAAACATTTGTTGAGTACCTACATGTACCAAGAATTATGTGGAATGTAAGTGGTACATTTACATATTTTGGATGCCACAAATGTATTTTTTTAATGATATCAAAATTTTTAAATAAGTTAGGTGGAAAAGTCATAAAACATAAAAGCAAAAAGTTGTCTTGGACTTATGAAAGTGTTTTGTTTCTATTTATTGATTTATTTATTTATTTTGAGATGGAGTTTCACTCTTGTCACCCAGGCTGGAGTGCAATGGTGCGATCTCGGCTCACTGCAACCTCCGCCTTCCGGATTCAAGTGATTCTCCGGCCTCAGCTCCCGAGTAGCTAGGATTAAAGGAGCTTGCCACCACACCCAGCTAACTTTTTTTTTTTTTGAGATGAAGTTTCACTCTTGTTGCCCAGGCTGGAGTGCAATGGCACGATCTTGGCTCACCGCAACCTCCGCCTCCCAGGTTCAAGCGATTCTCCGGTCTCAGCCTCCCAAGTAGTTCGGATTACAGGCATGCACCAGCACACTTGGCTAATTTTTTTTTTTGTATTTAGTAGAGACAGGGTTTCACCCTGTTAGTCAGACTGGTCGCGAACTCCTGACCTCAGGTGAGCCACCTGCCTTGGCCTCCCAAAGTGCTGGGATTACAGCCGTGAGCCACTGTGCCCAGCCGAAAATGTTTTATTTTTTACATCTCAGAAATTCTATGCTGATACTCCCTATTTTTTCCCCCATCTTTTCTTAAGTGTCGATGCTGATACTCTTAGTAGAGGAACATTACTAACAAAATTCTAATTCCTTAAAAACTTTAAAAAAAACACCTGCACCAAGTTCTGTGCCACCCAGAACTCCCTCTAATCTGAGTGGCCTCCGACCTGATGCCAGACCCTCACAGGGTGACTCAGCTCCTAGTTTTACAGTTGCCTGGTGGTCTTATCCTTCCTGCCTCCAATGTCAGCACAGTTATTTGCCTATGAAAGAACAACCTTATGGCAGCAAGTGTTTTTAGCTCTAACCAAAAATAATCAAGTTAACATTCCTAAAGTCACTTCTATAACATGTGAATGAGTGAGTCACTATCCAATAAGTTAATCAACAAATTTTTGAAACATCCAGTGTGAAATTCAAGTCATATAATTTGGAAAATTGGGTGATGTCATTTATCACGTATGACGCATAATCCCAAACACTTGTTTTCCCACATACATGAATAGAACATAGACATCTATATTAGGGTGTTCCTTCCAAGAAGTTGTTCATTTCAATAATGATGACATTCTTCAAAATGTTTATTTCCTCTTGTTCATTTGTATTTAGGATCGATTTATAAACCAGACCAAAAAAATTGTTCTATGATATTAAAGACACATTTTTCTAACACAGTTAGAAAAAAACAGTAAATAAAATAATCATCATAATATGGAAGAAAGCATAAATCACTTTTGGAGACCTGGAGAAGGACCCACTCACTAGTTATGTGAACTTGTGCAGGCCATTTACTTCTCTGAAACTGCCCAGCTATAACACAGAGACAGTAGTCTCCTTCTTACAGGGCCATTCCCATAAACACAATTCCTATTATGGAAGCTCAAGAAATGCCAGTTCCCTTCCCCATGTAAGTTGCTCACCCCTTATTTATCAGGTTTGGTTCCAAGTTACTTTTAACTCCTCTCATAGTCAAGGCCCTAGCCTCTGACGCAGGCTTGTTAGAATTAAGATATTGGATTCTGAGGGGTCTGTTCTGAAGGAGGTAACACTTGTTTGTCTGCATAAGTTGCACTATATTTGTTTAACAAGTAATCACTTTACTTTTTAGCCTCCCCACTTTGTTGCAAAATAATCATAGGAATGTTACTTAGGCCATGAAGCTAATAGGAACAGAAAAGCTAAGACTGTAATACAGGAAAATAGGTGTTTTCTGTGCAATTATGAAAAATGAAATATAGAGGGTAATCTCAATTTTGAAGATAGACGTGTGGTTTTCTTAACTCAAAATGTCTGTATTCTGCAGGTACCCTGAAACTGAAACAAAGATCAAGAAATCTGTCAACTAACAATCATGCAGACAAAGTAAACAGCTCCTTCTACAGACACCCAAACTGTACTAAATGAGAGATCTTTTTTTTTTTTTTTTTTTTTTAAGACAGGGTCTCATTCTGTCACCCAGGCTGGAGTGCAGTGGTACGATCATGGCTCACCACAGCCTTGACTTCCTGGTCTCATGCAATTCTCCAGCCTCAGCCTCCTGAGTAGCTGGGACTACAAGCATGCACCACCACACCCAGCTAATTTTTTATTTTTTGTAGAGACAGGGTCTCCCTATGTGGCCCAGGCTGGTCTCAAACTCCTGAGCTCAAAAGCTCTCCTGCCTTGGCCTCCCAAAGTGCTGGAATTACAGGCATGAGCTACCACACTCAGCCAAAAGATTTTATAAAGAGTGAAAATATGGTTTGGAAAGCAAATTTCCCCAAAAGAGAGTCACCGAATTTTCTCTGCAGGGCAAGAGCAAAGTCCCACAAATGCTCCTCAATAAAAGGCATTATTTTCTTAGTGCAAAATTAGTAACTGTATATAATAAAAATTCGGTTCCATTTTACTACTGACATTTAATAAATTATGTGTCCCATTTAAACACGCATCTCATGGGACTACTTAGAATATAAAGTGACATATGTAAAGCATTTTTAATTCTTTAAGAGAAAACAACTAAATGACTCAGCAATTTCTTTTATGCCAAGTTCTACAAAATGTTCTTTCACGCTGTGGAGTAAAATGACTTTTATAAAGAAAAACAGCAAACATGTTTCTCTTATAAAATTTGAATAATTTTAGAAATCAGAAAATGTTGCAAGTAAGTTTAAATTTTCACCTGAGGGCTAGGTGCGGTGGCTCATGCCTGTAATCCCAGCACTTTGGGAGGCTGAGGCGGGGGGATCACCTGAGGTCAGGAGTTCAAGACCAGCCTAGCCAACATGATGAAACCCCATCTCTACTAAAAATACAAAAATTACCCAGGCATGGTTGTGCATGCCTGTAGTCCCAACTACTCAAGAGGCTGAGGCAGGAGAATTGCTTGAACCTGGGAGGTGGAGGTTGCACCACTGCACTCCAGCCCAGGTGACAGAGGGAGACTCTGTCTCAAAAAAAAAAAAAAAAAAATTCACTTGAGAATATTAACTACCTCACATTTTGTTTCCTGACACTAACCCATGACTTGAGTATAATCAAGGACACAGACACAGTCATATTTTAAGGTCTGTTCTGGCTGGTGGACCTGTTAGAGTCCATTGAGGACACACAGTCTATTTCCATAGGACAACCCCGTCAAAGAAGACACAATACATAGAACGTTTAAGGTATCCATCAGGCTGACCACAATTCTTCCAAGCACCGTCACCTTGGCCAATTTCTGCCCTGGCTCTTCCAGATCACCCAACAGGGTCTCCCCCGATCCTATGTGACAACTGGAAAAGGGAGTTCAGGACATCTCACCCCAGAAAGGTGCTCACAATTTAATCTGTAAAGCAGCAGAACACACACACACAAACACACACACGCAACAAAAGACACCTTGAAAGTCAGAAAGCAAATATTAAACATTCTCGCAAGCCGCCAGGCGTGGTGGCTCATGCCTGTAATCCCAGCACTTTGGGAGGCCAAGGCAGGTGGATCACAAGGTCAAGAGATCGAGACCATTCTGGCCAACATGGTGAAACCCCGTCTCTACTAAAAATATAAAAATTAGCTGGGCATGGTGGTGGGCGCCTGTAGTCCCAGCTACTTGGGAGGCTGAGGCAGGAGAATCACTTGAACCCGGGAGGCAATGGTTGCAGTGAGCTGAGATCATGCCACTGCACTCCAGCCTGGTGACAGAGCAAGACTCCATCTCAAAAAAAAAAAAAAGAAAAGAAAAAAAAATCACACAAGCACAGAACCTTTGTGACGCGGCAGTTCTGTGTGCATTTCTATTAACTATGATTTTCTCCACAGGTACACTGGGGTCCTCTGTCACTCTTGGCATGTGACTCACTGTTGTAATGTCACTGTTTGCTTCAGCAATTGTGAAAGAAAAAACACTGCTTTGGCTCTACTCTACTTGTCTTACCCTGGATCGCCCATCCCCAAGGTTTATATGAGTTCCTAGGTCCCTTTCTTTTAAAAATATTAAATTTTGTTTCACTTATCAATTACCTGGAGCTCAGTTATGTGGCTCAAACTAATCCACGCTGTTAGAAGTGGGGCTGGTAGTTGCCCAGAGGAGGCAGTGGCTGAGAGGGGCCATGGTGGCGGATTCTGAGCCCAGAAATGATCAATTTGATGATGTTGGCAGTGATCTATTTTTTCCTTTTGAATGCTGGTTACTGAGTGTGTTTAGTTTGTGTAAATGTATCAAGCTGAATTCTTCTGTGTCAATAAAAAGTTGAACGAAAACATTTGGGGTTTACATCACTGGACTCGGTAAGTTTAGGAAACCAAGAAAATTCTATTTTGTTGACTAAAATAATGATGAAAGACAACACTTCCTGTGTATTCACATGGTCACACCTCTTTTCTGACTTTATACAATTCAAAGCAAGAGAGCAGTTATCTCTGTGTGAACGAAATTTGAACACCATCTAACTAGAGTAGAAGAAAAATGGAGTAACTATCACCCAACTGCCCCAGGTCTCAGTGCTCTTGTGGAGCAGCTGGGAGCTGCTAAGAAGGAAAAAAGACGTAAACTGGCACACCTATATAGCAGGTAGATATAAACGTTAATGAAAGACAACAAATCAGGCGGACATGGTGGTTCATGCCTGTAGTCCCAGCACTCTAGGAGGCCAAGGTGGGGGGATCACTTGAGGCTAGGGGTTTGAGACCAGCCTGGCCAACATGATGAAACCCAATCTCTACTAAAATTACAAAAATTAGCCAGGTGTGGTGGTGCACACCTGTACTGAGCCAAGATCATGTCATTGAACTCCAGCCTGGGTGACAGAGCGAGACTCTGTCTCAGAAAAAACAAAACAAACAAACAAACAAAACCCTACAAATCAGAGTGTTTCTGCTAACAGGAACCCCCTGGGCAAGTCGGGCTGGAGGGCAGGGCCTGAGCAATCAGGAACCACAAGCGTCAGCTCTTCCTCTTCTCAGAAGCACTGGGCAGTCCTGAGTGTGGGCAGCCCATTGCCCGCTGGAGGGTGAGTGGGGAGCACATGCCAGATAGGATGGGGAGAAAGAGAGAGGGCAGCTGTACAAAAGCAGCATTGAGCTAATCTGCTCAATGTAGGAGCTGAAAGGCTGCTGTCTGAGTCCCTGTTCCCTGACTGACTGCTGGTGGAGGACTTGTTAAAAGGCAAACTGGTCTGAAAAGTGTCCTAGATCCAAAAAGCACTGAGATTCAACTGGTTAGGTCCTCACAAACTCTTTCAGCAAATGTGTCCCTTAACTGTGAGACACTCCTCTGCCACTCTCTCTCCCTCTCTCTCCAGTTATCTCCTTCTCTCCACTCCCTCTCCCTTCCCCTATCTCTGCCCTTTGCCAATTTAGTGGTTATCAGAGGCAAAGAGTTCTTTAAAAAAATGAAGTGATAAAGAAGAAAAAAGGTGGAAGGTCAGGTAGCATGGGGACATTTTCAGAATTTTTTGACTGGGGGCCCCAAATTTTAATTACTATTTAAAATGAAATGTACTTAAGACCCTCACATAATCCACAATAACATCAACGACCACAATCTCAAATTAAGCAGTCACTTTCCTTAAAATGGGAACTTCTTAGACTACTTTTACTTTGCTTTTTGGTTTTGTTTGTTTTTTTTGTTTTTTTTTTTTTTTTGAGATGAGTCTCACTCTATTACCCAGGTTGGAGTGCAGTGGCACAATCTTGGCTCACTGCAACCTCTGCCTGCTGGGTTAAAGTGATTCTCCTGCCTCAGCCTCCAGAGTAGCTGGGGTTAGAGGCATGCGCCACCACACCTGGCTAATGTTTATATTTTTAGTAGAGACGGGGTTTCACCATGTTGGCCAGGCTGGTCTCGAACTCATGATCTCAGGTGATCTGCCCACTTCAGCCTCCCAAAATGCTGGGATCACATGCATGAGCCACTGAGCCTAGCCGTCTACTTTTACTGTGAACATAGCACCCAACCATTCAGAGGTATGGAAATTTAAGTTCAATGACCCTAAACAGATAAATGCCTATCTTGTCTTAGCCCAATAGCTAATTCTGCAGTCCAAGAACTGTACCAGTTTGACAAGGACCAGGTTATCTCTAGAAAATGAGATTCTTTTTAAGGGAAGGGTAAACCCAAACTGAGTCCCAAACTGAGTGAGTCCCCAAAAAACTACAGTAATATTAAAAGCAATTTACAGGAGTCAAACAACAGAATCATAGAATAAAGAGCCACTCTACAATAAGGTAGAGCCACCGAGCTGCCGAACTGGGTCCTCAGGCTGTAGCTGGCTCAAAACCCAAGTGGTTCCCAAGGTTGTAGACGTTAACAAGCCATGTGTCAACAATAGCTGGCAAATTATTTCTTGCAATATTGGTTCGTGCTTGCTATCTTGGGATCTTGTTTTTGTCATCTGCAATACATGAACAAGTATAATCTTCCTCACAGAGGCATTCTGATAAATACTTTAAAAATATAAGATACATTTTGAGGCAATTGGGGTCATTTGGACATGGACTATACATTAAATGATATTACTGAGTAATGTTAATTTTCTGAGCTATGATGATGGTATCATGGTTATGTAGGAGACTGTCCTTGTTCATATGAGATGCACACTTAAATTTTTGTGGATGAAGTATCACAATGTCTGCAACTTACTTTCAAATGGTTCATCCAAAACAAACATACATACAAGCACATGCGTGTGCACGCACACACACATACAAACACACATACACACAAACACAGAGTAACAGAAATTGAGAAGCGCTTGACTAACATACCAATCTCATAAAGCCTAGGGAACTGGTATCACCAAGTACTTTTGGTAGCAGAGGTAGAAGGGAAGGAGTGGCTAAAGTAAGGAGGATTAGCTGAAATTCTGTGTAATTCCATCCTTCCCAGCTCCATGCAGTCAGGCTACCAAAGCCAGAAGAAGATGGGTTTATTCTCTAAAGAAGGTAAAACAGAGGGTCTTCCTTAATTGAGGTCAATAAGTAAGGGTACTATTACTGTAAGTACCCTTATTGTTGAGGTCAGAGTACTTATTATAAACATGGATGTTAATTGAATATTTATATCCTAAATGCTGGGCATTCTCACCTTCTTCCTGCACCTGGAAGCTAGCAACCAGACTTTAACATCCAGGAAACAGCGTGGAAGATACTTCTTTACAGAGAATATAACTAGCCCATAAGAAAAGTCCTAAAGATACTGCCACTGGGGTGTCATCAACAACACAGCCCAGTCAGATCCCCCTAACTACAGGTGTGGGTAGATACCACCTATAGGTTGACCAACCTCAATCCACATGCCACTACTCTTTTTTTTTTTTTTTTTTTTGAGATGGAGTCTTGCTCTGTCGCCCAGGCTGGAGTGCAGTGGCGCGAACTCGGCTCACTGCAAGCTCCGCCTCCCCAGTTCAAGCCATTCTCCTGCCTCAGTCTCCTGAGTAGCTGGGACTACAGGCACCTGCCACCACACTCGGCTAATTTTTTGTATTTTTAGTAGAGACTGGGTTTCACCGTGTTAGGCAGGATGGTCTCGGTCTCCTGACCTCGTGACCCACCCGCCTCAACCTCCCAAAGTGCTGGGATTACAGGCATGAGCCACCGCGCCTGGCTGCCACTACTCTTAAGAACAGCCAAACAAACAGCATGAGGCATCAGAGGAAGTCTCTAGTGTAAAAAGCAGAGACAAAAATGCAACAGAGACTATAAAGGGAGAAGAAAACTTAGTTAAAAAATCAAAACTACCACTAATATACTCAGATAACATGCTACAACCATGAAATAAGAACAGACTACTATACAAAGAGATAATGTAGAGGGAAAAAAACTTTTGAAAATTAAAAATATGACAGCAGAAATGAAAAAAAAACTCAATAAAGGGATCAGAATACAGTCTCTTCCACAAAAAGATGTAAAACAGAAAAGAGAGAAAATAAGAAAACTGAAGTGTCAGTCCAGAAAGTCCTACATCTTTTTTTTTTTTTTTTTTAAGACAGAGTTTCACTCTTGTCGCCCAGGCTGGAGTGCAATGGTGCAATCTCAACTCACTACAACCTCCATCTCCCGAGTTCAAGCAATTCTCTTGTCTCAGCTTCCCTAGTGGCTGGGATTGCAAACATGCACCACCATGCCCAGCTAATTTTGTATTTTTAGTAGAGACAGGGTTTCACCATGTTGGTCAGGATGGTCTCGAACTCCGGACCCCAGGTGATCTGCCTGCCTGGGTCCGCCAAAGCACTGGGATTACAGGCGTGAGCCACCACGCCCAGCCAGGAAGTCCTACATCTGAATAATAAATTCTAGAAAGAGCAAACAGAACAAAAAAGTGGGTAAGACACTATGATGATATTAAATATTCAATTAATATCCATGTTTACTGAAAGGCATGAAATTCCACATTGAAAGGGCCCTTCAAGTACCCAGCATGATTGATAAAAATAGACTCACACAAAGGACCATTGTTATTAAATTTCAGAACACTAGAAACAAAGAGAAACATCCTACAAACTTCCAGAGAAGAAAAAACAGGAATCAAGGTTTCAAATAATTTACTTCCCATGTACCCTTTCTCAAGAAACTATAGGAGGGAATGCTCTACCAAATCCACAGTAAATCAAGAAAGAGGACTTGAGACATAAGAACCACGAAAAAGCCAGCACAAGGAGAAGCCGTCTCCCCAGGAGGATGGTGAGGGGCACCCCAGGAGAGCTGTGCACCAGGTGCTCAGGGAAAGTGGTTGGGCAGGACGTGTGAAGAGTTCTCCAAGGAGGTAAATCCATAGAATGCCTCATGTGCCTGAACATAGAAGGTGATTAAGGCCACTGGGGAAGAGTTTGGGGTTGAAATACTAATAATACAAAACTTTAAAAGTAAGGCAATTATTAATGCCAGGGAAAACAAAAAGTGGTACAGGAAAGGAGAATTTATCATTAATTCAAGTCTCAGCTATGAACAGGGTTTATGTAATCACAGTCAGAGAAAACAGATCTAACCAAAGTTATATCTATATGGGAGTAATAGTGGGGATAGAAAAGGTGAACGCATTGTGATAAGAGGCAAAAAGACAGACAGAAACTAAATCTTCATCTTCCTTAGAAGTCATTAGATAATTCCTCAAGCTCATAAGTCAGAAAGCAGCAAGACAGTGTGGCATTGGGAAGTCTGGATGTAAATCCTAAAAGGATGTGTCGAAAGAGCTTAAAGTGAAAGCCACTGAGGAGGGAACAATGAAGAACAAGGGGACAGGAGACCATTGGATTTTTGTTAGTTTTTTTGTAATAAATCTTTGAATACATATATTTATATGTAAATGTATATATAGAGAGACTACATATAAATATATATGATTTTTATATATGTATAAGATATATAACTTTAATATAAATTATACATCTAATTTTTGTATATATAACTGTTAAGAAAATAATACATATGTATAACTAAGAAAGCAAAAATATTGTGAAATATTGCTTACCAAGTTATTATATATTTTAAAAATTCTTCTTTATTATCAAACTATAGGTAAATTATAGAAGTATTTCATTAGATATTACCCATTACATTTGAACAATATAAAAGAATCTGTTTTCATATTAAATTATTAGTCTATTTAGGTGTACATGATAATTATCATAGCATATATAAGTACTGATTCCAAGTGTTTTTGGCCAATTTCATTTCACAACATAATATAAATTACTGGTGGTTATACAAAGTACTCACCAGCTCTAGTGGACTAAGACGTGTGCCAGAGATAGGCCTGGAATCAGATGACTCAAAACTGGATGCATGGAGGCTAGCATAAAAGATGGTGCAGAGTGTTAGTTTGTGAAGAATTATTTCTTTATTTATAGTATATATTAGTTAACCCTAGCTAAAAAACAAGTAAAAGGATGCAATGCATAAACCATGAGGAAAAACATTTTTTCATGTTATTGTACTTAAAACAGTTGATTAACAAGTCTTTTGATTACTTTTAGGAAGTTTAAAAAATACTGAATAATGAAAAGAAGAAGTGTATAGAGTAATTTTTTAAAAAGCTTTGTTCATATCACTTTATAAAGCTGGTATGGGACAACTGCTAGTAACCATTTCATTCCAAAGTAACTTCCTGAACCAATGTTTGTAATTACTTTTAGGAATTTTGAACAAAAGTCAAATTTAAAAAGACAACTACCTTGAAAATCAATCAATGTAATCTATCACACCACAAGCTAAAGAAGATACATAAAATACAAGCTAAAGAGAATACATATCAGCAGATACAGAAAAAGCATTTGGCAAAATCCAACACTCATTCATAATAAAAATTCTTAGCAAACTGGGAATAGAAGAAAACTTCTAAGAATATCTACAAGAAACCTACAGCTAACATCATATTTTATGATAAGAGTTTTCCCACTAAGATGAGGAAGAAGGCAAGGATGTCCCCTCTTACTACTGCTTTTCAGTATCATACAGAACATCCCAGCTAATGCAATAAGACAAGAAAAAGAAATTAAAAGCATACAGATTGGGACGGAAGAAACAACTCTTTCCAGATAACAGGATTATCTATGTAGAAAATCCTAAAGAGCTGACAAAAAGCTCCAGGAACTAATAAGTGATTATAGTAGGGTTGCAAGATACAAGGTTGGAAACTGAAATGAAAACACATTATCATTTATATTAGCACTCCAAAAACTAAATATTTAGTTATAAATCTAACAAGATATGGATAAAATCTAGATGAGGAAAGCTATAAAACTCAGTGAAAGAAATCAAAAAACTAAATAAATGAAGAGATCGTCCATTTTCATGGCTAGGAAGACTCAATATTGTCAATATGTCAGTTCTTCCCAACTTGATCTATAGATTCAATGCAATCGCAGTCAAAATCCTGGCAAGTCATTTTGTAGACATTGACAAACTGATTCTAAAGTTTCTATGGAGAGACAAAAGACCCAGACTAGCCAACACAATGTTGAACAAGAAGAACAAATTAAAAGGGCTGACACTCCCTGACTTTAAGACATATTATAAAGCTACAATAATAAAGACAGTATAGTACTGGTGAAAGAAAAGACAAACAGATCAATGGAACAGAATAGAGGGCACAAAACTAGACTGACATAAATACAGTCAACTGATATTTGACAAAGGAGCAAAGGCAATACAATGGAGAAAACATAGCTTCTTCAAAAAATGGTGCTGGGCTCTTTCGCTGAGGTGGAGGCTCAGTGTATTCAAGATCCACCTTCCCTCATAACCCATTGCCATGGCTGAGGAAGACACTGCTGCTGGAGGTGCAGTGGATGTTAATACTGCTTTAAAAGAGGTGCTGAAGACCACTCTCATCCAGGTCAGCCTAGCACAAGGAATTTGCGAAGCTGTCAAAGCGTCAGACAAGAGCCAAGCCCATCTTTGTGGCTTTCATCTAACTGTGATGAGCCTGTGTATGTCAAATTGATGGAGGCCCTTTGAGCTGAACACCAAATCCACCTAATTAAGGTTGATGACAAGAAACTAGGGTAATGGGTAGGTCTCTGTAAAACTGACAGAGAGGGAAACCCCATAAAATGGTTGGTTGTAGTTGTGTGGTAGGACTATGGGAAAAGTCTCAAGCCAAGGATGTTATCAAAGAGTACTTCAAATGCAAGAAATTAACAAGTAAAACTTTGGCTCATATTCCTAGAAAAAAAAAACAGTGCTGGGACAACTGGACATCTAGCATCTACATGCAAAAACAAAAACAAAAACAAACAAAAAACAAACCTAACACCCTTTACAAAAATTAACTCAAAATGGATCACAGACCTAAATGTAAAACACAAAACTATAAAATCTCTAAAATATAACATAGGACAAAGTCTAGAAAACCTTGCGTATTGCGATGACTTTTAATATACAACACCAAAAGCAAGATCCATGAAAGAAAGAATTGATAAGCTTGACTTCATTAAAATTAAAATTTTCTGCTCTGCAAAAGACACTATCAAGAGAAGAAGAAGAAAAGCTGCAGAGCAGGAGACAACATTTGCAAAAGACATGTAAGATAATGAATTGTTATCCAAAATACATAAATAATTCTTAAAATTCAACAACACAAACAACCCATTTAAAAAATGGGCCACAGACCTTAACAGACACCTGACCAAAGAAGACATACATATGTAAAATAAGTATATAAAAAGATGCTCCACATCACATGTCCAGGGAAAGTAACTTAAAACAATGAGATACCACTACACACTTATTCGAATGGCCAAAATCTAGAACACTGACAATGTCAATGCTGGCTAGGATGTGGAGGAACAGGATCTCTCATTCATTGCTGGTGGGAAGGCAAAATGATATAGCCCCTTTGGAAGACAGTTTGGCAGTTTCTTACAAAGCTAAACGCAATCTTCCCATATGATCCAGCAATCATGCTCCTTGGTGTTTACCCAAAGGAGTTGAAAACTTGGCCGGGCGAGGTCGCTCACGCCTGTAATCCCAGCACTTTGGGAGGCAGAGGCGGGTGGATCATGAGGTCAGGAGATCAAGACCATCCTGGCAAACATGGTGAAACCCCGTCTCTACTAAAAACACACAAAAAAATTAGCTGGGTTTGGTGGCGGGCGCCTGTAGTCCCAGCTACTTGGGAGGCTGAGGCAGGAGAATGGCGTGAACCCGGGAGGCAGAGCTTGCAGTGAGCTGAGATCGTGCCACTGCACTCCAGCCTGGGCAACAGAGCAAGACACCATCTCAAAAAAAAAAAAAAAAGAAAAACAAAAAGAAAGAAAACTTATGTCCACACAGAAACTTACACATGGATGTTTATAGCAGCTTTATTTGTAGTTGCCAAAACATGGAAGCAAATGAGATGTCCTTCAGTAGGTGAATGGATAGATAAACTGTGGTACATCCAGACAATGGAATATTATTCAGCACTAAAAAGAAATGAGCTATTCAAGCCATGAGAAATCATGGAGGAAACTTAAATGCATATTACTAAGTCAAAGAAGCCAATCTGAAAAGGTGACATACTGTATATTCCAACTATATGACATTCTGGCAAAGGCAAAATCATGGAGACAGTAAAAAGATCAGTGGTTGCTAGGGGATGAGGGAAGGAAGTGAAAAATAAGCAGAGTGAAGAATTTGTAGGGCAGTGAAACTACTCTGTATAATACTATAATAGTGGTTACATGTCATCAGAAATTTGTCCAAACACATAAAATGTACAACACCAAGAGTGAACGCCAATGTGAACTACAGCCTTTGAGTGATAATGGTGTGTCAAAGTATGTTCGTCGATGGTAACCAATGTACCACTCTGGTGGGGGATGGTCATAATGAGATGCTGCAGATGTGTTGTGGTAGGGGGTACATGGGAAATCTCTGTACCTTCCACTCAATTTTGCTGTGAACTTAAAACTGTTCTAAAAAATAAGTCTATTTTTAAAAGCTAACCTTAAGTAGAATTAAGGGAAGGTATAACCTGGTGCTTAAATATCTGAATGAACATGAATGTGAAATGCCATATACCTGAAGGAGGAAGGAGGTCTATTTTCTGATGTTCTTGAGGATGCAGGTCCGAATAGTTTTCTTTGAGCCTCCTGTGGTGTAAATGGTCTTTGGGTTCTAACTGTTCTTAATGCATTTCTTGCTTCACTTATGATTTCTGCACTGGTCTTCTGCTTGGACACTGAAGGTTGATAAAATGGATCCAGTTTTCCTAACATTTTATCATTTGGAGACAGCATCTTTCCTTTGAAAGTAAAATATTCTTCAGATAGACACCACACCCTGCAAATACATGGTACAAAAACCATCATTATTTTTGTCCAGGACTTTATAAAAACGAATGCTTAAGCCCATCCATATACTAAATCATTCCTCTATATTAAGCTTTTAAAAATCCACCAAGCAGTTAGAAGGTTAGGATCTGAGAACAGCTCTCAAAAATGTAGAGAGGAAAATTTCCTCAAAAATATACAACTGAGGACAAAGATGTGCAGGAAAGAAAACCAGGATGAAAGCTAAACCCAGAGAGAAAGACTAATCATGAAAGAAGACAGAATAGGAAGAGCGAATCATCTCATGGTCTTCAGCCTACAAAAAACACTGAGGGTTCTGTTAAAATGTTTACAGTTTCCTTTTCTTCCCCACTGCCCTCCACACTAGTGATACTATAAGGTTACATTTTAGACAGAAATGTTGTATTTCTAAAGGACACTTGATTTTGCAACAAACCTCAGAGAATAGTTCAGCCCCACATTTGTCCATGATATAACTGAATGAATTGATTCAACTCACCTATAATTTGAGGTAATGACCTAAGTAAATAAATACCAAATATCAATACCAACTGATCCTTTCCCAACACCCCTTCCTGAAAGAGTTAAAGTCATTACAAGGGCCATGAGAATGCAGATCCTTCTCAAATGTTGGTGTGTTCCATGGAGACAAATCTGAACTTTAAAATAGGACAGATTTTTAAAATGTAATTCTAATGAGTATATAGCATTAGGTGTTTCTTAAAAAAAAACTCAAAGTCCATAAAATGTCATATCTCTAAAGAGACAGAGATCTATGAATTTTTCACCTATTTCAGCTACCCAATTTTAGAATAACTTCTGCACAACAGAAAACTGCTTTGTGACACATGCCCCAGGAAACTAAAAAGATTCCATTTCTATAAGTAGAATCAACAGGTGATTCCTTAGACAAATAAAGATTTACTATATTATGATTCTAAACATTGTTACATAACAACAGACAATAAGAACATTTGTTTCCTTCTACACAGGCCCCACCCCAAGAGTTTCTGATGAAAACTATAAACAATATGTCATACTTTTCATATGGAAATGCCAGGTGTTGAGTTAAAACAGTAAAAAAATTACTTGATAAGCAATACTATTTTAGGAATTTTTGATACAGGATTTTGAATTTAAGCACAGTCTCTACAATTACATTCATTAATATAACTATCAAAAATGATGAGAGGCCTAGTACATTTTATTTCCAATACTTTTGAAATGATTGGCTTTTACTTTAGAATATTCAATCATAATTATTTAAAATATATACACAATTTTTTATATCTACATATTGTATATTATTTTTGGATGCATAATACAAATTCAGTCCCGTAACATCTAACTTAAGCAGCCATGACAGGTTTGTTGGTCTGTTTCTAAAAGACCTATTGCAGTAAGAAATTATGCCACTAAGTGAGAAGAGGTTTCTGTATAATAAACAGGCTTCTTCCAGAGCCTAAATCAGGTTTGCCACCCCTTTGGCCTCACATGGCACTAATAAGTCTAACAATGTCCAAAAGTAATCTGGCAAATCTAATAAAGATTAGAGAAAGTTCTGTGGGGAGTAATAATAGACTCTCACTCCTGACCTAAGGTTCTCTCTGGCTATCTTTGAGTTTGCATTAAAAACTATACTCTTTCAGAGAGTGATGAAGCAGGAACATTTACTCAGGTCAAACTCTAAAAATTCTGTGAATTACCTGGGGGCATATAGGAATTTAGACTGACCAAATACTATACTGATAGAAACAATGTAGATACAGGGCTAAAAATATTTTTGTCTACAAATTTTTACCAAAAATTCTAACACAATTTTCTCTATCCTTCTTCTTTTTTCCACCAAATCTCACTTTAACAATTATATTGTGAGAAACTTGTACAATAATGTAAAATCTGCACAATGTTATGATCATATATTAATATTCACTAAATCAATCATGGAAATATTTAATAATACATGTGAACTGACTTAGAAGAATTAGAAGTGGGGCTTTGGGGGGAGGATTTTTAAATTGATATTTGTTAAACTACAAATTATTATAGATGGTTTTTGCCAACTTGAAAAATTAATCACTCAGGACCTGAAAGCTTATCTACTTAAAGTATACCTGAACCATAACACAATAGTCCTACAGAAATTCTAACTTTACAAAATTTTCCTTCCAAGTAGAGCAAATCCACTCAGCTAGAAGTACTGATTAACTGTTTCCTATGTGCAAAGCCCTCTGCTTAGATCTCTGGGAAACACAGAAGAGGAAACACAAAGAGGAATAAAAGACCGTCTTCACTCTCAAGCAAGAAGAACCACTAATGTGAGATAAACATTTACTTTAACACCAAGCACTGTGCTAAGTACTCTTGACTGCATTATCTCAATTAACCCCACAACAATTTTGCAAGGTGGATAGAATCTTTTAAAAAATAATAATAATAACTAGAGATGAGGTCTCACTATGTTGTCCAGGCTGGTCTCAAACTCCTGGGCTCAAGCTATCCTCCTTGGCTTCTTGAAGTGCTGGGATTACAGGTGTGAGCCACCATGTAATCCATGGTCTGGACAGGGTCTTAAGCAATACAAAAAAAAAAGCTATGATATATGCCCACAGATAATATTCAAACTCTTACCCACTAGATGGCTGGTAGGAGGTGGGGCACTTAGAGGCATTGGGGCTGCAACTATTAACCCATTCACACAGAGACCCCAATATTTTCCCAACAGGAGCAGCCTTCCTGGTACGTACCCAGTGAGTATTTACCCTGCTTATACTCAAATGATTTAAATACAAGGTAGAAACTGATGGCAGCAATAAAAACAATAGAGACAAATTACTTATGTGATCACAAAGGAAGAAGAGATTTCTGATTGGGGGAAGACATCAGGTAGACTTCCTGGAAGAGGTGGTGCTTGAGCTCGGTTGTGAAAGAAGGGCTGAATTTGAGCAAGTGGCAGTGGCTGGCACTGGAGCTGGAGTAGAGAAGGAAGTTCCAACAAAGTCGGCAAGTGAGCCAGCGCAGAGCATCAAGACATACAGGGTGTGTGTGGACAAGAGGGAACTCTGAAAATGGCCATTGGGGCTGAACCAAATAAATTAAATGGCGAGAAATCAAAAGTTGATGAGCAGATCAAATACAACATTTTGAGGGATGATGTGATCTGGCAGAGATGGGCAGGAAGGAAAGGAGGGCAAAGATCAGAAGTAGTGAAATCAGACAGTTTTTATGTAATCACCCAGCTAACTCTCAAAGGTCATTTCCTCAAGGAAGCTTTCCTGGACATGCCTCTCCCACCCTGCTAGCCTGAGTTAAGTGCCCCTCGTCCAGACTCCAAAAGGCCCCGGGCTGGTCTCTGCCACTCCACTCTCCCACTGTGTTAGAATTCCCTGTACATGTGGTGTTGGCCCGAGACTCTCTGCCCCAACCGTCCACGTGAGGCACAGCTGAAGGTCAACACTTACGTAATCACTAGACTCCATTTTTAAATATAGACTTGAGCTAAGACATTTTCAGATGAAGGCTGCATAGTTTCTCTAACTGGAGATATTTGTTACAGTGAATTATGAAATCTGGACCTTATTTCAAATCTGATTTTTGATGTTATGTGGTCAGATGAGTTCAGATTTAGCCTCCTTTCCCTGTCTTGCCTTTATTTCAAGTTGCCTGGCACAGAGTAGGACTCAATGTTGTGACGAATGAGTGAAGTACGGAAAGCCTGAGATACAGGAGTCAAGGTGAAGCAGAGGTTAGAGGAGAGATGAGAACAAGTGAGGTGCACTGAGAACAGAATTAACAGGATTTGGCATCCATGATTCCAGGAAGAGGCCAGAAACAACACTAGGTATGCAAACCTAGGGGAGCCAGAGGGCAAGGGACCTTTTAAAAGAAACAGGAGGAGAAGCTGATTTCAAGAGGAAAGAAGAAAGAGGCTGAGTTCTGTCTTGCATCACACTATCCTGAGTCCATGGTATCCACAGGACCTCTAGAGGGTGAACACCACCAGCAGTAGGAAATTTGAAAGTGAAGAACTTTTTTTTCAACAAGATATTTCCTACTGGTCTGGGTGAAAGCTCAGAGTCATAATTTATAGAAGTTTATAACTAATTATAAAGACCTGTCTTTATCGTTGCTGCTAATAGCCACTGGAACCAGAGCCTTCTTGCTAAATGCAACACTGCACTACCAGGATGTCTGCAACAGGGGAAAAGCAGGCCAGCTTCACAGTCTTCCCTGCAAATCAAATACTCAGGACCCTTCCATAACTCTGAATCATTTTTGTATTAATATGAGCATCCAAAGAGGCAGTGGTTAAGTGCTTAGATGCTGGACTAAGGGTTTAAATGCTGACAATTCACAGCCATGTGACCTTAGGCAATGCCTCTAATATCTCTAAGCATCAGTTTCCTCATCTATAAAAGGTGGATAGTAATAATAATTGCCCCATAGGATTGTTTGAAGAATTAAATGATATAATACATGTAAAGTGCGTTAGCACAGTGCTTTAAAAATGTTAACATTTTAAAATATGGCCCTTAAAGATGTTAACAATTATTGCCCAAGTGCTACATGATAAAAGGATACAGCAAAATCATTTCCACGAATGAAAAACTACATTTAAAAAAAGAAATTGCAAAAGAGAGAATGACGTTTGTTCAGTGTTTCTATACATAAGTTTTTTTTTATTATTATACTTTAAGTTCTAGGGTACATGTGCACAATGTACAGGTTTGATACATAGGTATACATGTGCCATGTTGGTTTGCTGCACCCATCAACTCGTCATTTACATTACGTACTTCTCCTTTTAAAAGGTGGGTGGTGGTACTTGCCTTTATGAAAACAGATAATTTTTATTAAGCATTTTATTGAATATCAGCTATGCCAAATCAACATCAACAACCAGAATCCCATAGATTAAGAAACCAGGATAAATATAATAAATGGTGCTTGCTTTTCAACCAAATTAAAGTATAATTATTATAAATCAGGGTGGGACGTAAGATCTGTTGTGTTACTTGTGGGAATGGATCACAAAAGGCATTATGTATACACTCCATGATTTTAAAGTATGTTAAATATTGTTACACATACGTTTTTATTTATTGAGGCCCTGTTGCCTGGAAGTGCCCAGATATAAACTGTATGACTCTGGCCCGGTCACCGCCTGCCTAGACAAAGCCCCTTAGTCTACCACTCTCATTCAACAAATATTACTGGGCTTCTTATTAAGCACCACGCACTTGGCTAAGTGCGACAGTACATAAATAAAAGACAACCGCTCCGGACCCCTGACAGCATGCACAGGGCACTCATCGTCTCTCTACCCCATCCGAGGACACACAGGCGGACGACGGCAGGAAGGGTCCCTGGGGAGCCGCTGGGGACACCTCACCTCCCGCTCGGACAGCGGCTCCCCC
Source organism: Homo sapiens (assembly GCF_000001405.40). Taxonomy (NCBI): domain Eukaryota; kingdom Metazoa; phylum Chordata; class Mammalia; order Primates; family Hominidae; genus Homo; species Homo sapiens. The sequence goes on along the minus strand of NC_000006.12, from coordinate 108,848,796 downwards.
ACCCACGGCAGTGCCCGCTCCTCCACGGTCCCGGCCAGGGCAGGGCGCAGCAGCATCCTCACCCCGCCCGGCCACCCTCCCACTTCGCCCCGCAGCCAGCGTCTCCATGGTAACCGTACACAAACTACCTCCCGCCGCCGCCCCGGCAGCCAGACCGCAGGGCCAGGCCGCTGCAGGGCGGGAGAGGCGGGCCGGGGAATGAGCTTGGCGAGGGCTCAGGGAAGGAGGCTTCCGACCTGACCCAAAGCACCTGTGATGAGCACTGGAGATAGCAGCGGCTGCGAGGTTCAATTCATCCTCCGGCTCTCCCCGGGTAGCGGCCAGGGATGCAGCGCTGGCGCGGGCGGGGTAACCCCACGACGCCGCTCGGCCACTGGGCCTGCGCGGGTCCCGCCAACGCATGCGTAGAAGCTCCGAGGCGTGGCGACGGCCGGAGCGGGTGGGAGGAGCCTGGAGAGGGCTGTAGGCCGGGAGGTCAGATCAGAGCAGGCGTCGTGGGCGGGTGTCCGCTTTTCGTTTAGCAATTTGCCGAACCACATTTGTTGCTCCCCTGCCGGATCCCAGCACCTCTGTTAAATAACAGCAGGCAGGACGGAAGCTTAATGCTTGTGGGTAAGAAGGATTTACTGGCTCAGGTTAGGGCTCTGTATAACCTGGAGCCACTTGCTGAGCTTCTGTTTCCTCCGATGTCAAGTGGCAGGAAATATTAATAATAGTACCTAGGTAGGTCTTGGGCTGTTATGAAGACTGCATGAGAAAATAGATGTAAAGCGCTATGCACGTGGCAATCAACGAATATTAAACTGTTGGCTGTTATTAAGCCCTTGCATTTGTACAGCCCTTCAGTTCGCAGAGTGTATGCACGTAATCGTACCTTCTGAGTCTGAGGTAGGCAGCCTGGCGTCCCCATCCACAGGAGAGGAACTGGGGGCCTGAGGTGTAGTGAGCAGGAGAAGGAGATTCCAGTCTAGGTCTCCCGTGGCCAATCGTTTTTTGTTCGTGCATCATCACAGTTGAACGGCAAAAAGCACTCCATTTATGTGTTTCTAGTTTAAATTCCCTTTTCTCCTGTTAGACCATTTAGCAACACTGTACAGTGTTAAATAAAAGTGAGATCATAAGCACTCTCCATTCAGGTTTGCACCACGTTTTATAAATATGGAGATTTTCCAGCTGAAGTGCTATTTGTCATCAACACTGGGAAAATGCCACTTCCCTTGGTGCTAAGCATCTTGTAAAGAATAATTAAATTGAAAATATTTTTGAGCACATACTATGTGTAAGGCATCGTGCCAGGTGGGAAATTATACTAACCTGAACTAAAGGAATGTAAATATTCTTCAAAATACTCAAGAGGATTTCAAACATAACAGAAAATAAATACCTATTCGTTGATTGGATAATTTTAGGACCCGAAACAGCCCTGGATTTTTCTGCTCATTCTTAGATAACTGACAGTCTTGTTGTAACTAAATCTCAACCACAGCTTCATTTCAAAACTATAATGTTGGGTGCAAGATATAAACAAATGCATCAAACTTCAAAAAGTCTTCCTCCCCCATTCCAGCCCCAGGCTTAAGGTCTCTAGCTGGCCTTCCCTGAAGGGGTGCACTAGGCTTAGGCTTGTCCCCGACCCCCACCCGCCCCTCTATTCACTAGAGGTTGTTTAAGGCCCAGCTTGGATCAAACTGGCAGTGAGGAGGAGGAGGAGAAGGAAGGAGATGGAGCATTTCTTCCTGGAGTTGAGCAGCTTCAAGCTTGCTGTGCTGGCTTATGGTTAAAGCAGCTCATGTAGGTCTTTCCTGGTCCTTTGTAGTCTCCCACTGATGGGGACCTCCCTCCTGGGGGCTTCTGGAAATCCTAAAAACCCAGGGTTTATTCCACCTTTCAGTGCCCCTTTAGATAGGTCCCAAGGGAAACCCTACACATCTGTTACCCTAGTGATTCTGAGAGCTCAGGCTTGTCTGGGTGCAGCCCCTTCTAGGCTGCCATAGGAGGGAGCTTTAGCTTACCCAGGAGTGAGTCAGGCTCCAGTTCTCCAGGCCACCTAACTACAGTCTCTGGCAGTCCCAGGCCCCTGGGGAAGCCCCTCTCGCTGGCTTGAGATGAAGGGCATAGCACCCCACACTCCTTTCTCCAAAGAAGTTTCCCCACACATCTTCCCTTTCCACTCTCTGACCCCTTATTTTTAGCCTCAGCCTGGGTGAGAGGCTGAGGGGGTTTTAGGTTTCTTTGTAACCTGCCCTATGGAGACTCTGCCTCACCTCACTTGGAACTGATGATTACATAATTACCATCTCAGTGGAAACATCAACCTAAAAACCTCTGGTACAGCCAATTACTAGCTGTGGTCTTGCACCCTAGGATCTTGGTCTAAAATAGACCATAAGCAAGCTACTGGAACCCGATGCTACCCAACTCAGCTGGCCAGGAAATATCTGCCGGGCAAATTAGCACAATTGAAAAGAATGACATGGGCAGAATTAGAGGAAGCAGTTATTTGAAGCAATGAAGCTCCCCAACTTACCTCACTGAAGGACGCTATATGAGAAAATACTTAGGCTGTCAACAGCAGTGGCGTATTATACTGACCTGGCTGTTTCTCCACAGCTACCTGATGGCTATTTCACATCGGTTTTGTAAGTGGCATTGCTTTAGAAACAAAACTGTTGACATGTTTCACACACTTTAGAGAGATTAAAGAGGAAGACAAAGTATTATAAGTATCTGACATTTATAAAGCACTTTATGGTTCCCAAATTGCTTTTATTTGGAACACTTCACTTCTTTTGTCTAATTTGGAGTTTACAATAAGCCTGGAAAGTAGGTATCTCAATTTGAGATGGAAGAAAACTGAGGTTCAGGGAGGTGAAGTGATCAGCCCACAGGCACATAGCTAGTAAAAGGACCTTCAGATCTGGGATTCTTGATGCCCAAGTTCAGTACGCCATGCTGCTATTATACATGCATTTTGCCCCCAGCATGGAAAGGTACTTTCTAGGCTACTGAAGGTGTCAAGCTATGCTCTTTATTTCCTCCTCTCACTTATCCCAGAGCTGCATGGGGCTATAGGGATCAAGAGGAACTGAAGAATCTTTACATTCACTTGAAAATGGCTTCTGAATTTCTGGATTTTGAATTAAAGCAAGAATTATATAGGCAGGAGATTGGGTAATGATACAATCTTATGCAGTCTCAGATGCAAAAATTGTAACAGAATGATGAACTCATAGATGCTTTTTATCCACAGACTCTACTAGTAGATTTTACAGTTTATATCATAGTTTCTATCACATACACCTCTGTTTAATATCTATAGCTCATCCTAATTTACCTATTAGATATATTCTTGAAAAGATACAGGTTAAATAAATACTTCTTTAATGTTCACAATTCCCCCCACTCCCCCCCACCACCCAGTGATTTTTATGACTACAACTGAGCTGTGACTCACAGGGGGAAGAAATACTTCTGGCATGGAATGAAAATTGCCAATTTAGAATGCTAATATTCACTTCAAGACACTTTCTGCTTTTGTCAATATAGAATCTTGGTGCTTTAATTATATATATCACACAATATAGTGTGAGGAGTTCATCAAATTGACAGCCTATGCAATCTTTGCATACAAATTTAAAGGCACAAATACATTAAAATGCAACTCGCTGGAAATTTACAATTCAATGAAAATTAACTAACTTCATGGAACTGGATAGACATGAGACTGTGGAATTGTCCTAAAACTTATCAGCTAAAATGTTTATGTAAATCCTGTCTTTATTAGGCCTCAGCTGTGACCTGTACACCTAAGTATTACTTTACCTTTAAGTACATTATCCCGTACCACCCCTGCCACCCCAGGCCACGTGCTCCACCAAGCTGCCAAGTTGTTGACAGGAGTGCTAATTAATGAGGGTCCATTTAATTACCAGTAGATTACAGAGTCTCTAAGGACCCTGCATTTCACTGGAAGGGAGGAGGTTCTAGTTTTCAGGGAGTATGTCAGTGTCAGTAGGATTGTAACTATGAATTACTTCATCCTGAACAACTCTTGGATGTTAAAAGGGACCAATTAAGACAATCAGAAACCCAATATTCTTTGTCCAACTCACCTATGAGACATTACTAAGTGAGCATGCCTGTATCTTTTGGAAGCTTTTGCCTGCAAATAACAGAATATTCCACCAAAAGTAGCTTACACGCCAAGGACATTTATTGTTTTGTTTAACAATCACTGGAACTGGGCTGCTTCAGGATTGGCCCTGCAGCTCAGGGACCAAGGAAGATCAGTCAAGTCTCCCCACATGGTCACAAGATGGTGGTGGCTGCACTGAGCTGGGAAAGGGCAAGGGCCCTCTCTATGTATATCTCTACACTGAGAAGGAAAACATTTCCCAGAAGCCCCTTGGTCACTTTGTCCTTACATCTTATTGGCCAGGCTGTGTCACATGGCCACATACCAGGCCCTGGCAGAGATGGATGGGGCTACCACTACTGTGACTGATTTCAATCCATCAAGGCTCATCCCTCGGGTTTTGGGGGGAGGAGACCACTTTGAGCCCTTTGCTGCCACAACCTGAAGCAAACTGGATCTCTGTTCAGCAGGAAGGAGGGGCAGCGGCTATTGGATAGATCTGGAAGACCGCCACAGTGGTCTGGTGACAGGTCTCTCCAGTCTGAATGGGCAACTGTCACAATCTCTTGATACTGTAATAGAGAGTAGTCCTGAGAATCAAGAGATTGTGGCAGTTGCTTGTCCCACCTGGAGAGAGCTGGAGGTGTAACACAAGGCAGGGTGCTCTATCTTGGTACTAACTCTCAGGTGACGCCTGGTCCCTGGTCTCACTGTGGCTCCATCCTGGCTGCACAGCGGAGTCACCTGGAGAGCTTCAGCACCATCTCGGCCCAGAACCCACCCAGATGAACTGATTCGCTGCCTGGGATAGGTGGGAGTATGGGAGAGTGGAGCCAGCCTTTTAGAGCTGCTGAGGTGACTGTGGTGTGCACAGCCAGCCTGGAGAACCTCAGCCCTGGTGAAGCCAGAGCTCCCCTGCCTGAGAACCTCAGCCACAACCCAGCAAGAGGCAGAGCTGCCTGAAGAAACCCTGGCTTTCAGAACACAAGGGATGGAGAGGAGCCTAATTTATGCATGACCCAGAGATGAAAAACCCCATGTCGCAGACTCATGGTGCTCTCCAAGACGTGTACCCCCCCATGTCCACCCCCACCAACCCCCACCATCACCGGGCCATCTTGGGCACTTTTTGCATCTCGTCTCCAACTGGCCCCTCTGACCCCACTCCACTCCCTTCCTGCTCCAAGAGTGTTGTTCACTCTACACTCAGCAACCAAAGTGAGTGTCATAAACCACAGTTCTGGATATGCCCTCCCACCCCCTCTGCCCAGGAGCTCTCAATGTCTGCCCACTGACCACCAAGTCAAGTCTCAGATCCTCCGTGATATGCATGATAGTCTGTAGTTCTCTGTTATTCTAAGAACTAGGACTTATTTGGGGGTTAGATGTCATAGGCTCTGTGCTAAGTGCTTTGATCACTTTAAATCAGTTCCCTTCCAACCCTAAAGTACTATTATTATCCTCATTCTACAAGCATAGAAATTGAGGTTTTGTTTCTTCCCTTAACCAGGTCGACATACAGGTGGTGAAAGTGGTGAATCTAGGATTCAAGCCCAGCTTGTTGGGTGTATTATGGTTCTCTAGAGGGACAGAACTAATAGAATATATATGTATATATACATATATGAATATATGTATATATGCATATACATATATGAATATATGCGTATACATATATGAATATATGTATATATGCGTATACATATATGAATATATGTATATATGCGTATACATATATGAATATATGTATATATGCGTATACATATATGAATATATGTATATATGCGTATACATATGTATATATTCATATATTCATATACATATATACATGTGCATGTACAGATATTCATATATATACATATAATACATAAGAATTCATACATACATGAATATGAATACATATATACATATATACAGGAATACATATATACATATATTCATATACATATATATGAATATATGTACATATATGAATATATGTACATATATGAATATATGTATACATATATGAATATATGTATATATATGAATATGTGTATATATACATATATATGTGTATATATATTCATATATATATATATATATAAAGGAGAGTTTATTAAGTGTTAACTCACATGATCACAAGGTCCCACCATAGGCTGTCTGCAGGCTGAGGAGCAAGGAGAGCCAATCCGAGTTCCAAAACTGAAGAACCTGGAGTCCGATGTTCCAGGGCAGGAAGCACCCAGCACAGGAGAAAGATGTAGGCTAAGAGCCTAGGCCGGTCTCTCCTTTTCACATTTTTCTGCCTGCTTGTATTCTAGCCACGCTGGCAGCTGATTAGATTGTGCCCACCCAGATTAATGGTGGGTCTGCCTTTCCCAGCCCACTGACTCAAATGTTAATCTCCTTTGGCAACACCCTCACAGACACACCCAGGATCAATATTTTGCATCCTTCAATCCAATCAAGTTGACGCTCAGTATTAACCATCACATTGGACTTAGGAGGCCATGTTCCTATAGACACTACACGTTCAGCCAAACCAGACTGCTGCCATTCCCTGATCACCCGCTGTATCTCTCCGCCTCTGTGCCTTGGTTTTGAATGGTCCCTGCCATGGGATACTCAGCAAGCATGTCTACTCAGCACTGGGCACCCATCGGAAAGGACTGCAAAGAGGAATTCACCTTGAAGTAGTCCACAGGAGAGAGAAAGATCAATTGGTCAAATTCATAGTGGATCCAGTCAGCACCCACCCTTTACGGCTTTATATAGCAATGCCCCATAGCCCAGGAGGAGGAGCAGAAATTGTGTGTATGGGGATGACCAGGGCTGGGGATGGCCAGAGAACAAAGTCTGAAGGGGCAGGCGACAGGCCTAGGCTGGATGGGGAAGTAAAGGGAGAAGGAGGAATGGTCTGCAGGGTTAGGGAGAGGCTGGAGGACTGAGGTCACTGACGGGAACAGAGCAGATGAGGCAGTTTGAGGAAGGAAAGTCAGGAGATCTTATTAATTCAAATGCTGCCTCTCACTAAAGTGCTTTGCTCACTTTAAATCAGTTCCTCTTCCAACCCTAAAGTACTGCTATTATCCTCATTCTACATGCGTAGAAATTGAGGTTTTGTTTCTTCGCTTACCCAGGTCATACAGGCACACACCCTCAGCTGTGTGTCTGTGGTCACGTCACTTAATAGCTGCAGCTGTCTTTTCTTTGAGATGTGGAAGTTGAACCAAATGACCCTTAAGATACTGCTGAGCTCTGGGATTCCACAGGAGGAGGTTGTTGTCAGGGGGCTGAGGGTTAGAGATTTTGGAGGTGGCTCAGATGGGAGAGCCAGATGATAAAGTTCAAGAAGTGGCCTGGCTGGTTACTGTCCTGGAGAAAGTCGGGGTGGTCAGAGGTCCCAAGAGGCCAGATGAGGCACTCACAGAGAGGGGATAGGAGGAGAGAAAGCCTGAACTGTCAGTAGTTGGTACCTCAAGCCCCTTGTGCTGTGCTAACAACACCTGTGTACAGAAAGACCTGCATGCGCCACCCCACAGAGAAGGCAGTGACCCCCAGGGATTGCGACTCTGGGAGAGACATGCCTCCTGGTTCTCTTGGGTGTTGACAGAAGTGAGTTTCCTTTAGAAGGAACCCCCTAGGCAGTCTGGGGACCCATGGGCTAAAAGGAGGTCCCCCAGGACACTTATTTTTTTTTCCTCTCCTTAGTGCACTCAAATTCAGTTAAAAAAAACAACAACCAACAACGATGTACTTATGTGCTATTGAGTTACTAGCCCAAGAATATATTATTTTGGCAATATGACAAGAAGGACAATTTAAATAGAGAAAAAGAAAAATTTGATTTAACTGTGATCATTCAAGGAAATGTGGAGTCCGGCTTCAGGTTTAAATATTTAAATATTCAAGGAATCCTAGCAGGTTCCAAATCTAGCTGAATGTATCTTGCTTCTAATAGCAAGATCTTTAAAAGCTAAAGATGTTAAGCACACATCTTCATTGACATGAGAACAGTCACACAAGTCTTTATGTTATTAGATAGAAGATATTACATAAATAGGGTCTACAAATTTATCTACCAAGAATGTAGAAGTAGGCAGGGCGCGGTGGCTCACGCCTGTAATCCCAGCACTTTGGGAGGCCGAGGCGGGTGGATCACGAGGTCAGGAGATCGAGACCATCCTGGCTAACACGGTGAAACCCCATCTCTACTAAAAATACAAAAAATTAGCCAGGTGTGGTGGCGGGCACCTGTAGTCCCAGCTACTTGGGAGGCTGAGGCAGGAGAATGGCGTGAACCCGGGAGGCAGAGCTTACAGTGAGCCGAGATCGCACCACTGCACTCTAGCCTGGGCTACAGAGCGAGACTCTGTCTCAAAACAAAAACAAAACAAAAACAAAAACAAAAACAAAAATGCGGAAGTAATAACCACAAAGAAAATGTCCTGATAATCATTGTGTACTTGGAAAGCACTTTTCCTTATCAGAGCACAAAACGTTTCATATTTCATAGAACTAAACACACACACACACCCCTATACACACACAACACGTATCAAACAAGGGAAATGTGAATCTGGTGATGGATTCTATCGATCAATATCCTGGCTATGATATTGCACTATAGTTTGGCAAGATGTTGCCATTGGAGAAACTGGGCAAATGGTACATAGGACCTCTTAGAATTTCTCTATATTATTTCTTACAACTGCACGTGCCTCTGCAATTATCTCAAAATAAAAAGTTTAAAATAAACCTCTTCACTCTCTTGCTTACTATCTCATCTCTGTAAGGCTTATAGGTGAAAAGTTAAAATGCAGAGGAAATATCATTCTGGAAATAAATAGGATGATTATTCCACAATGCAGTGTGGATAAAACAATTTCCCTCTGAAACTTGAAAACCAATAGCTTGGCTTAACTGCCCAGGAAAAGTGAATTTCAGTGCTGAAAGTCATTTGGTGAAATTATTCTTTCTGGTTGTTTTTTTTTTTGTTTGTTTGTTTTTTTTTAAAGTTCACACCCAGAGAGTGTTAAAATGAAGGGTGGTGTGTCAATCACCATTCTTATTAGGTTATAGAAAGCAACAAATGTTTCTGTTTTCATTTTGATTTTGAGAGCTCAAACTCAAAGGCAGGAGTTCTTGGCCTCGCTGGCAGTATCCACAGCAGCTCATTTTCTATCGGGAGTGGAGAGCCCTGGCTCTGCTAGGACCCTGCTGCACTCTGTCCACTGGCTGCCGCTGCTCATGCCTTCCACTGATCCTACCTTCCCCGGCCCTCTAATTAGGCGGCAGGGTCCCACCCCCCACCCCCACCACTTCCCCACCACGTGATGCGCCACCTCCCACTGCAGCCTTGCACCCAACCAGGCTTTGCACTAAAAAACATTGTGATTGCCTCTTGTACCAGCTGGTCTCCTACAGCAGCTTCAGACAGAGCCCCCTGTGGGTCTCCCGCCAGGAGCCACCCTGAGGTCATGTCTGCAAGGAGGAAAGCCCATCCCAAATGGAACAGCATCATTTCATGTTCGCCAAGCACTTGGTAAAGGAGGTCCTTTGCAGACATACAGGCCTTGCTTTCAAGAACCTTACCAAGAAAAAAGATTAATGATGCCTCTGCAGGAAGTTTTCAAAGCTATCCCAAACTCTTTTTCAGTTATTGGTGTGTGTTTTTTTTTTCCACTGTGTATTACACTTCTTGTCCATCTGGGTCACGGAGTGGGGAACTCCAAGAAGAGAATGGAGATGCTAAACTGTATGGAGGCGAGCACCCAGAGAGCAGAGATCTTGTCCCTCTTGCACACCTTTGGGTGCCCTCCACACAAGAATGGAAGCTGGAACATATGGATGTTCTGTGGAATAAGCGACCAAACGAACGTGAACTTGAGTATATGCTATGCAGGGTGAGAGTGTCCTCAAGTGTAACGCTTATGTGCCGGGATGCAGTTCCACCGCCAGTCACCTCCCCAGACCCCTCTCGCCTCCGCCTCCCCAGGCTGCCAGTCATTTCTGGGAGTGCTTGTGGCGGTGCCACCTCACCTGTGCACAGGAACAAGCCCGCTTCTCCCTCCCATTCCCGCCTTCTCAAGGGCCCCTCACTACCGCAGCTGCAAGTGCCTTTTCTTGAGGAGGGCGTGGCTCTGCTGTCCTTCCCCTAGGGCACTCTGAGGTGGGAGTGGCGGGGTGGGCTCTCTGGATCCAAGCCTCCCTTGTCTCTGGGCACAGCCGCACCGCGTCCGCCCAGACTCTCACAGGGCCGGTCACAAACAGAGCGCCCTCAGCCTCCCTCGCACACCTCCCTCACTCAGGCCTGGCCAAGCGACAGACCTCTGCTAGCACTCTCACTTCTAGTCTCTCCATTTCTTCCTCTGGCACCAAGAAACTCCTTCCTTTTGCAGGCACCTGTAGGGGTCACCAGCCTCCCAGATGTAAAGGCAGCAAGGCCCGGTGTGAACGATTGGGAAGGAGCTCCCGGCTAAGGACCCGCAGTCTGGTGAAGTCTCACACGTCCGCTCACACCAGTGCTCACACGGCTGCTGCTCCTAACCACTTGTGATGGGGGGAGAAATCGTGGGAGCTCGTGGCCCCAGTTTCTGGGTCTGTGAAATAAGTGGATCTATGTGGTACCGAGAGATATTTGAGAGAAGAAAGTGAAGACAAGGGGTGCAGGAAGGAAGCAGAGGGGTGGGGAAATCAGTTTAGCCAAGAAAGCCTTGCCAGGGAGTGATACCCTGGCATGGGGAGGACACAGCCCACCCTCAACACCAAAGAGGGCAGCCTTTGTGTAAGTACAGAGGTAAAAGGCTCCTCTCCTCTCTGGGGCTGGTCACACTCCTAGCCCAGGTTGTAGAGAGAAAAGGTGCTAGCATTACTCATTATCTTCTACTGGCATTAATGCTGTAATAAAATGCAACATGTGGGTTTCTGCGTTTTTTTCAAGCTTTAACCACAGAATTGGGACTTAGATGCACTTGCATTGTGGGGAAATGAAACTGAATTTGGAGTCATCCTTCACAGCAGGACAGATGCCACAGGCAAAGTTGTCAGGGTCTCAAAGTTAGAAAAGGGATCTTGAGTTCTCTTCTTTTGGCTCCTCCTTTTCTCTCTCTTTTCCTTGTTCCTTCCTGCCTTCCTGTCTGCCTTCCTGTCTCCTTTTTCTGTTTCTCTGTTTCTTCTTTCTTTCTCCCCTCCCCCAGTCCTCTCCTCCCCTCTCCCTGCCCTTCCTTAACCACAAATGTAACCAACCCCAAACCACTGACTTGCTGTTCTGCTCATTCATCCTTACGGGTTTTCTTGGTTACATAAGCTCTCCAGTTTTGGCATATTTGGGAATCATTTATTTCATTATATAGTAAGACCTCGGTGGCCCAAGGGACATTTTTTTCCTGCCCCTTCCCAGTTCCATTTACGTGAGGCCCCAGTGAGATTTCTGAAAGAAAATGATAGACGGCCCCAGGACTGATGTTCCGGCCTCGGGAGACCTGACACAGAAGGTTTCTGTTCTGGGGAATACGCATCAGTGTTGGAGGAGACCTTTTAACAAATTGTAAACTTTTCATCTCTTTATTAAGATGGAATTAACATAACATAAAATTAACCATTTTAAAGTACACAGTTCTGTGGCATTTTGTACATTCACAATGCTGTAAAACCACTATCCCTATTTAGTTCCGAAACACTTTCATCACCCCTAAAGGACTCATTAAGCAGCCATTTCCAATTTCTCCTTCCCCTCAGCCCCTGGCAAGCATTAACCTGCTTTCTGTCTGCCTGGATTTACCTATTCTGAACATTCTGTATAAATGGAATCATATAATACATGGCCTTTCGGGTCTGGCTTCTTTTATTAGGTATAATGTTTTCAAGGCTTATCCATGTTACAGCATGTATCAGTACTCCCTTTGTCTTTTTAGGGCTGAGTAATGCTCTTTTCCACAGATATACCACATTTTGTTTATCCATTCATCAGCTGATGGAGCATTCAGATTGTTTCACCTTTTAGCTATTATGAATAGTGCTGCTATTTGTGTACAGGTTTTTGTGTAGACAAAGTTTTTATTCCATCCAAGAGTTACTGGGTCATATAGTAATTCTGTTTAAAATTCTGAGGAACCATCAAACTGTCTTCCACAGTTGCTGCACCATTTTACATTCCCATCAGCAGTGTATGAAGATTCCAATTTCTACCCATTCTAGCTAATACTTGCTATTGTCTGTGTTTTTAATTATAGTCCTAGTCCTTCTAGTGAGTGTTAAGTATTTCAAGGTGGTTTCAGTTTGCATTTCACTAGTGACTATTAATATTGAGTATCTTTTTTTTTTTTTTTTTTTTTTTGAGACCAGGTCTCCGTGTGTTGCTCAGGCTGGAATGTAGTGGTGAGATCATAGTTTACTCCAGGCTTGAACTCCTAGGCTCAAGTGATCCTCCTGCCTCAGCTCCTGAGTAACTGGGACCACAGGAACATACCACCATGTCCAGCTCTGGGCATCTTTTCAAGTGTGTGTTGGTCATTTGCGTATCTTCTTGGAAAAATATCAATTCGAGTCCTTTGGCCATTTTTAAATTGGGTTGTCTTTTTGTTGGGGAGTCATAGACTTCTTAAATATTCTGGATATTAGATCCTTTCGTATATGGTTTGTAAATGTTTTCTCCCATTCTGTAGTTTTTCTTTTTATTTTCTTGATAGTGTCCTTAGATGCACAAAAGAGTTTTTAATTTTGATGAAGTCTAATGTATCTCTTTTTTTCCATGTGTTGCTTGTGCTTTTGGCATCTTATCTAAGAATCCATTGCCAAATCCATGGTTGTGAAGATTTTCTCCTGTTTGTTCTAAGTTTTAGCTCTTACATTTAAGTCTTTGATTCATTTTGAGTTAATTTGTATGTATGGTGTGGTTAGTGGCCAAACATCATTCTCTTGCATGTGGTTATCCAGTTGTCCCAGCTGTTGAAGAGGGAAAAAACTTTTTTGAGGCAACAATATGTTATATCACTTAAATGTCCTTCAATGATGCAGGGCCAGGGTTGCCGGAGTGGAGATTTTTGGGAAAAGGGGCAGTAAGATCCTGAGGGTGTGAGCTGATAAGACAGTGGTTGCTGTGATGTTCTGAAGAAACAAAGCCCACTGCTCTTCTGCCAGCAGCCACCTGAGGCATGGCAGGAGAGTGGGGACAGTGATGAGAGGAGAGGTGGCTCTTGGCAGCAACAAGGTCAAACTGTGCTGAGGCAGCAGCAATGGTGTCTGTGGCCACCAGGGGGCAGAGCAGAGGTGGGTACCAAGCAGGAGTACATTAAATGGCCACCACGGTGCCCCATGTAGGCAGAGGGCCCTCTGCTAGGAGAAGAAAAGGACTTAAAGGACATGGGTTTCAGCATTTCCATTGTTGGGTGCTTGAAGCCAAAAATTATTTTTGTTACTTTTTTCTTGTCCTCCCCGGGGATGGCACGGCCTGGAAAAGCAAAAATTACGATTAATTTCCCTTTTCAAAATGCAGTTCAGAAAAGAACATTCTGTTTTTCAGGACCCTGGCTTTCTGTGAGAAAGCCTATCCTAGCATTCAAAATTAAGTTATGTTTGCCAAAATGTAAATTTCTTTCAATCGCTATTTGTTTTAAAGTCACTGCTTATATTTGTGGCAGATAAAATAATAGGGAAAAGGAGGAATAATTTATCTAAAAAATAGCAATTCTATTTTTGGGAAGGGATGTCACAGAGAACTGCTATAGTTCTGTAATATTAATCTATGTCAGATTTTTCAAATGTCAAGAATACAGTTTACATTTACTGCCACAAATTTGGTGAACATTCTTCATTATGCACTAAGCAGAAAATTTGAAAGTAAATGTTCAGCAATGCTCAGACAAATGAAGAAATCCCCTCCCCCAGGCCATCTTTTGACATAACTAGGACAATCCAATATAATAACCCTCTAAAAGGATTAATTCTGCCTAAAACCAGCTCCTGAAGAAACCACATGGCACTTTCTGAAACGTTCTTGATAATGTTCACATCTTTATCACAGTTACAACCCATGAGCCTGGTGCTCACTCAGTGTCTTTGAAGATTCTATGACAATGCTGAATGAGGGCATCTTTACAATCACAAGAAACCATCAATAACATTAAAATCTACAGAATAAAACAGCGTAAGTTTCCATTTTGCTTCTATTAAATATTAGAAAATACCCATTGCTGGTGATGGTGTAGTGGAACTCGTCCACACCTACATTGCCAATAGCAATGCAAAGCCATTAGAAATATTTATATGATTTAGTGATTTGCATTATCCAAAAGAAGAATAATCTTTTACACCTGTTTAATACAAAATTAATATAAGAGCATTTGCAAGCCAGAAGCCTCTTAACCATCTAGTGAGGGTGGTAGTGGTTAGGTAAAATATACTGTAACCATTTAATGCATATAAGGGTAAAGTAGAGGCATTGAGATATACAAATGACACAATGTTCAGAGGCACAAATAGTTCTGTTGAGGCAGGGGGAGAAGCAGAATTTTAAGTGCAGTTTTTCCTTCTGTTATTTAAAGTATCATTCATAGTTGCCATAATATTTTTTGTTTGATAAAAATGTTAAATTAATTGCAGGGTAGGTACATTACCTTTTGGTTATATGTAAGAGGATACAAAGTTAAGCATACATAGCATTTCATGTTTTAAAATTTTTTTTTATTTCAGTAGTTTTTAGAGTACAAGTGGTTTTTGGTTACATGGATGAATTGTATAGTGGTGAAGTCTGAGATTTTGGCGCACCCATCACGTCACCTGAGTAGTGTACGTTCTACCCAATATATCATTTTTTTTAATTATTTTATTTTTTGAGACAGAGTCTCGCTCAGTCGCCCAGGCTGGAGTGCAGTGGCGCGATCTCGGCTCACTGCAAGTTCCGCCTCCCGGGTTCACGCCATTCTCCTGCCTCAGCCTCCCGAGTAGCTGGGACTACAGGCGCCCACCACCACGCCCGGCTAATTTTTTGTATTTTTAGTAGAGACGGTTTCACCGTGTTAGCCAGGATGGTCTCGATCTCCTGACCTCGTGATCCACCCGCCTCGGCCTCCGAAAGTGCTGGGATTACAGGCGCGATCCCTCAGCACCCCCCACCCACCCCGTAGCCCATTATATCACTCTGTAGCATTTTGTTTTTAAAAACGTTTACATTTATGCTTTGCTTGGCTTGGTTGGACTGGTCTATGATTACTTCCACACTGTATTAAGTTATATACCTACCCATTAGGCCGGGGTAGGGAGGAACCCTCAGGGGTCAAGCCATTCAGTGGCAAGTCTCAAGGGAGAGCCTGGGCAGACTTCCAGGGAAAGCTTGGTGAGTGGGCATCACAAGGAAGACAGTGGCAGAAAGGAAGCCGACTTTGGCGTCGGGGTATAACTTCTGCGGCATCTTCATACTTTATCGTCTGTGAATGCTACACTGCGGTGCTCCACAGAGCGTACGGCACCCTGGTGTTCTGCAGTGCCCAGTATCTACTGATCCCCTACTGTAGTGGACACAGTTTTGCCTACTTCTTCCTTGCAGAATTCCTGGTAATGAACGACAAAACCCACTCAAGTTAGTTTAGGCCAGAAAGGAATTTTTTGAGAAACATAGGGAGCTCATAGAATTTCCAGGAGGGCTGGAAAATAAAGGCTTGAAGGCTACATAACCTGGAACAATACCCAAATTATCCTACCAAGCTGCTCCAGCGGAGGCCTGCATCCGCTGCCGCCTACAGCGCAGATGCTATGCACAGGATGCTACCACTCAGCTGTCTCCGAAAACTTGACTGTCTTTCTGCAATGCTCCTCCACCTTCACCGAAACACGGATTCTGCCTGGCACCTGATTCCACACTTTTCTCAGTTCTGAATTCAGGCATTATGCAGGTGTGTCTGATTGGAGGAGTCCAGGTGACATACCTGTACCCACACATGCCTGCTGACTGGGAAGATGAATTCTGTTTTCCTCTTTGGTGGGCAGGACTCATAAAGTGGGAAATTTCTCAAATATAGTCAGCCACGAATGTGACAAATGTCCACTATTTGCTAACAAAATCTTACCTAACTTTGTCCAGCTGTCTATTTTACTCTTTGTGGCCATGAGCTTTGGGGAAGGTTGCCCCCTTCCCAGCTACTCTGATTAAGCCAGTTGTGGACATTCCATTTCCTTGATGTTACCTCACGGAAGAGGCATGTGACTCAGTGTGACCAATGATTCATGAAGACACATCTGCTGAGGGATTTCCAGGAAAAGTTTCTTAGTTCTTCAAAAGGTACACATGTAATCCCAGCACTTTGGGAGGCCGAGGCAGGCGGATCATGAGGTCAGATCAAGACCATCCTGGCTAACATGGTGAAACCCCGTCTCTACTAAAAATACAAAAAATTAGCTGGGCGTGGTGGCGGGCGCCTGTAGTCCCAGCTACTCGGGAGGCTGAGGCAGGAGAATGGTGTGAACCCAGAAGGTGGAGCTTGCAGTGAGCCGAGATTGCGCCACTGCACTCCAGCCTGGGCGACAGAGTGAGACTCTGTCTCAAAAAATAAAAAAAAGGGACACAAAGACACAGTACTTCCCTTGTTCTGCCTCTGGAGAGTGGTGTGTGAGGATTTGAAGCCCAGAGCTGCTGCAGCCATCCAGTGACTGACACGCTTAGAATGGCAGAGCAGAAAGACGGAATCAATCTGGATCCTTGATAACATTACTTGGCCACTGAATCAACCACCCTGTGTTTGTTCCATCTCAGAATTCCATCTCAGAATTACTCCTCCACCTTCACCAGAACATAGATTACATTTCTGTGATGATTAGGCCAGTTAAGTTGAAGTTTTCCTGTTACTTGCCGCCCAAAGCATCGTGATCTACTTCCGTGTCCAGCCCTGTAAAAATGATTGTGATAGATAGGAACATAAGGCGTGGCCATCTCCTTGGACCTGAGCAGCCTGTGGATGTGTATCCATGAAAATAAAATGGATGTAAAGCGTGGCCATATTCAGAAAGTCCCTTCTGGACAACTGTCCCTCTCAGAAGTGGACTCAGCATTCATTCTTCCTCTACAATAGCAGCCGATTTCATTTTGTGGAATTTCCTTTCCTCCATTATGTTCAGTAAATGGAAACAATCTGACCTGCCACCAAGAAGGCTGAAGGGGTTCCTGAAGGTTCTTTCTGGCAGATACTTCCTGTCACCCCGAGCAGCCAAAAGCAGGCTCACACCTAAGCTCAGTCAATCAGACCCTTTCTCTCAAGACTTTTCGTCTCCAACCAAGTGATTCAAGGATAGAAAACAGTGGGGGCTGTTCATTCATCCCAGAAACTCCCGCTCTAGCCCTGGTATCTGGCCAAGACTGCCAAGTTGTTCCAGCTGCCTGCTTGCCCAAAGCTGCCCTGGAGGAATATCTGTTCTGTTTCTAAAACCACCATGTTCTCGGAAAACAGATTACAAAACCTCCCCAATAGCTCAGCTAGAGACATTGCAGCACAAAAGCGTATACACTTGAAGAAAATCCAAATCAGAACCTTATGAAAGTCCAGTTTTACAATTCTACCTCTTTCTCTAAAGACTGTTTTAGTGAATTTATACTGTAGTGTTCTTTATACGTGTAACCCATCCTATTTATTCTTCTTGTTCCCCTATCAAAATTGGGGTGTTTAAGTTATGAAATAAAAAGGCTGATATAAAGCAAGCCGCTAAAATTAAACTCATGAAGAAGTTTACAGATGAATCAACTGTTCATGGAACATTTGTTTTAAAATTTAAGGGAATATTGGCATCCCAGATCTTTGCTTCTTGGGAACTTGAGGACAATTATATGAAATATTTTTCCAAGTATTTTATTTCTAGGAACTGTAATAGTGAATACTGTGTGACCTCAAAAAGCAAGAAAAATAAATATTGGGGATGTGGAAGAAAAAAATCATTTCATCCTTCACTTGGATTTTTTTAAACTTACATAATTTTTTAAAACTGTGATAAAATACACATAAAATTTCCATCTTAAACACTTTTTTTTTTTTTTTTTCCAAGACAGGGTCTCACTCCAGTTGCCTAGGCTGGAGTGCAGTGGCACAATCTTGGCTCACTGCAGCCTTGACCTCCTGGGCTCAGGTGATTCTCGCACCTCAGCCTCCTGAGTTGCTGGGACTGCAGGCATGCGCCCCCACATCCAGCTAATTTTTTGTATTTTTAGTAGAGATGGGGTTTCGCTATGTTGCCCAGACTGGTCTCAAATTCCTAGACTCAAGCAATCTGCCCACCTTGGCCTCCCAGAGTGCTGGAATTACAGGCATGAGCCACTGCAACCAGCCATCCGTCTTAAACTTTTAAGTATTATATTTAGTAGAACTTTTTTAAGTTAGACAGTTTAATATTTTGAGTTTACTAAACATATTCTCATACAATTTGCTAAAGTGAATTCACAATTTGCTTGTGAATTTTCAAGTAAAACCAAAATTCTTTTGTCTATTCTCTGAAGAAATGTTAGTTGTAAAGCTCAAGACCACATTGCAGTAATGACTTCTATTCTGTTTTTGAACATTGAAACAAATGAAAATGATCAAAGAAGAGAGACACATTCATGGTGTAAGCCATTTAATTTCTCATTTTAAACCTCCAGCTAATTAGAAATACTAGATAATGTTCAGTGGGTCTTATAGTAGTCAAAAGGAATTATACATAAATTTTTTTTTTTTTTGAGAGAGAGTCTCGCTGTGTCGCCCAGGCTGGAGTGCAGTGGCACGATCTCGGCTCACTGCAGCCTCCACCTCCTGGGTTCAAGTGATTCTCCTGCCTCAGCCTCCTGAGTAGCTGGGACTACAGGCATGCATAGGGACAGGGTTTCACCATGTTGGCCAGGATGGTCTCGATCTCCTGACCTTGTGATCTGCCCGCCTTGGCCTCCCAAAATGCTGAGATTACAGGCGTGAGCCACTGCGCCCGGCCTACATCACTATTAAAACAAATTTATTAGGAAAAATTTTCAGTGCATACAAAGTGGACAAGGGTAGAATAAGCTCCTATTAGCCAACCCTCAGTCTCAACAATTATCAATATTCTGCCATTCTTGTTTGATCTATATCTCTCCCCTTTCCCCTCCCACATTTACATCCAGTTATTATAATTTTTACTTAGACAAGGCACGGTGGCTCATGCCTGTAATCCCAGCACTTTGGGAGGTGGAGGCGGGTGGATCACCTGAGGTAAGGAGTTCAAGACCAGCCTGACCAACATGGTAAAACCTGGTCTCTACTTAAAATACAAAAATTAGCCGGTATGTTGGCACACGCCTGTAGTCCCAGCTACTCAGGAGGCTGAGACAGGAGAATTGCTTGAACCCAGGAGGCGGAGGTTGCAGTAAGCTGAGATTGTGCCACTGTACTCCAGTCTGGGTGACTGAGTGAGACTCCATCTCAAAAAACTAAATAGGCTGGGTGCGGTGGCTCACACCTGTAATCCCAGCATTTTGGGAGCCTGAGGCAGGTGGATCATGAGGTCGGGAGTTGGAGACCAGCCTGGCCAAGATGGTGAAACCCCGTCTCTACTAAAAATACAAAAATTAGCCAGGTGCGGTGGTGGGTGCCTGTAATCCCAGCTACTTGGGAGGCTGAGGCAGGAGAATCACTTGAACCTAGGGGGCAGAGGTTGCAGTGAGCTGAGATCGCACCACTGCACTCTAGCCTGGGCGACAGAGCAAGACTCCGTCTCAAATAAATAATTTTTACTTAGTCCTTTTGGTAAAATTTCTACCCAAGAGGGTGCACAAATCTTAACTGTACAATTCTGACAAATGAATACTGACATGTAACCTACACCCCATTACAATAGAGTACATTTCTGTTTCCCCAGAAAGTCTCTTCATGTCTTCTCCGTGTCGTCCCCCATTCAGAGGAAGTCACTGCTTTCATTTTCTCACCTTGATTATTTTTGCCTGTTCTAGAACTTCACCAAAATGGAACTCTCTGTGTACTTTTTGAATCTAATTTCACTTAGCATAATATTTGTGAGGTTTGTCGGTGCTGTTGAGTAGTTCCTCCTTTATCACTGCTGAGTTGTATTCCGTTATAGAATACAATGGACTAGATAAGCAAATATTGCATTTTGCTTATCTATCCTCTGGTTGATGGATATTGAGTTGCTTCCAGCTTTTGGTTGTTGTGAAGAAAAGCTGCTATGAACATTTCTGTACAAGCCTTTTTGAGGACACGTTTTCATTTCTTTTCAATAAATACTTAGGAATGGAATTTCTAAGTCAAAGTGTAACTCTGTGCTCTGCATAAGGCACTGTCAGACCATTTTCCAAAGTGGTTGAACCATTTTATAGTCCAACATATACCTTCCACATTATACATCAACATATGAAAATCCCAGTTACTCCACATCCTTGCTAACATGCTTTATCTGCCTTTTAGATTTTAGCCACCCTGGTGGATATATAGTAGCATCTCATTGCTCTTTTCATTTGCATATCCCTGGTGAGTAATGAGGCTGATTGCCTTGTCATATGCTATTAGTTATGTGTGTATATTTTCATTTGTGAAGTGTCCGTTCAAACATTTTTCCCTTTTAAAAGATTGGGCTGTTCTTTTTTTATTATTGCGTTTTAGGAGTTCTTTTATATATTCTGATACAAGATCTTTGTCAGATACATGTTTTATGAATATTTTTTAGTCTGTGGTTTGTCTATTTGTTTTCTTAATCGTGTCTTTTGACAGGCAGAATATCTTAATTTTGGTGAAGACTAATTTGTTAATTTTTTTGTGGTTTTCACTTTCTTTATCCTGTCTGAGTAATTTTTTGCCAACTCCAAAGATGTAAAGATATTTTCCTGTGTTTTCTTGTACATACTTCGTAGTTTTTGCCTTTATGTTTATATCTATAATTCATCTCAAAATAATTTTTGTGTATTATCTGAGGTCAGGGTTTATTTCTTAAATGTGGATATCCAGTTGTCCCACCATCATTTTGAAAATACTTTTTTCCCCATTAATTTCTTTGGCACCTTTGTGAAACGTCAATAGACCGTACTTGTGAGGCTCTATTTCTGGATTCTATTATTTTTCATTGATTGATATGACTATCTCTATGCCAATACCACACTGTCTATATTACTATTAGAGTATATGTCTTATATGGTAGATAAGTTAGTTTCTGTATTAGTCTGTTCTCACACTGCTATAAAGAAATACCTGAGACTGGGTCATTTATAAAGAGAAGAGGTTTAATTGGCTCACAATTCTGTGGGCTGTACAGGAAGCATGACTGGGGAGGCCTCAGGAAACTTACAATCATGGCAGAAGGGGCAACAAGCACATCTTACATGGCTGGAGCAAGAGGAAGAGAAGAGATGGGGGGAAGGTGCCACACACTTTTAAACAACCAGATCTCGTGAGAACTCTATCATGAGACAGCACTGGGGCATGATGCCCAACCACTGGAAATCCACCACCATGGTCCAGTCAGCAGGCCCCTCCTCCAGCACTGGGGATTACAATTCAACATAGGATTTGGGTGGGGACACAAATCAAAGCCATATCAATATTCTAACTTGCTAGTACAAATTACTACAAACTTTGTGACTTAAAACAATACCAATATATTCACTTAAGGTTCTGGAGGTCAGAAGTCTGAGATGAGTGTTAGGGGCAAAAACCAAGGTGTTGGCAGGACTAGTTCCTTCTTGAGGCTCCAGAAGGAATCCTTTACTTGCCTCTTTCAGTTTCTAAAGTTTGCCTGCACTCCTTGGCTTGTGACTACATCATTCCAAGCTCTGCTTCTGTCATCTTATTTCCATCTCTGACTCTAATCTTAGTGCTTCTCTCTTATAAAGACCCTTGAATTTGTCCTACCCAAGTAATCTAGCATGTTCCCAGGGTATTCTTGTATCTTAAGCTTCTTAATGCATCTGCAAAATGTCTTTTGCCTATTAATGTAACATATTCACAGGTTCTGGGTATTAGGACATGAACATCTTTAGGGAGCCATTATTCAGCCTGCCACAGTAGGTAAGCCCTTTGTTCTTATTCAGTAATGTTTTGGCTATTTTAGGTCTTTTGCATTTTTATGTGCATTTGAGAATGTGGGAGAATTAACATCTTAAAAGTATTAAGTCACCCTGTATATAAACATAGTATAACTCACCATTCATTTAGGAGTTCCTTAATTTCCTTCAGCAATATTTTATAGTTTTCTTTTTTCTTTTCTTTTTTTTTTTTTTCCTGAGACGGAGTCTTGCTCTGTCGCCCAGGCTGGAGTGCAGTGGCGTGATCTCAGCTCACTGCAAGCTCTGCCTCCTGGGTTGACGACATCCTCCTGCCTCAGCCTCCCGAGTAGCTGAGACTACAGGTGCCTGCCACCATGCCCGGCTAATTTTTTTGTATTTTTAGTAGAGATGGGGTTTCACTGTGTTAGCCAGGATGGTCTTGATCTCCTGACCTCGTGATCTGCCTGCGTCGGCCTCCCAAAGTGCTGGGATTACAGGCTTGAGCCACTGTGCCTGGCCTATTTTATAGTTTTCAGTGTAGAGGTTTTACATTCATGTAGAGATCTTTCATTAAATTTAGTCCTAAGTAGTTTATAATTTGTTGCTGTTATAAATAAAATTATTTGGGGCTATTATGTTATTTTCTAATTATTTCCTGCTAGTATACAGAAATATACATTTTTATGCTTATATATCTTTATAGATTTTGTATCTTGAGGTCTTGCTGAATTCATTTGCTAGTTTTAGATTTTTGCTGTTATTATTGTTGATTCCCTGGGTTTTTCTAAGTAAACAATCATGACATCTGCAAATAGGGAGAGTTTTACTTCGTTTCTAATTTTTCTAATTTTTATTTTGTTTTTCTTGCCTTACAACAATTATAACAATGGCTAACACCTCCAGTATATATTGACTAAAAATGGTGAGAGCAGATATTCCCTAATCTTAAGGTATTTATCTTTACAACAATAGATATAGGTATTAGTTGTAAATTTTTTATAAGTGCCCTTTATCGGATTGAGGAAGTTCTCTTCTGTTCCAAGTTTTCAGAGGTTATTTTTTTTTAACTATGAATGAGTGTCAAGTTCTGTCAAATGCTTTTTCTGCGTCTACTGTGATAATCTGTGTTGTTATTCTGTTATTTGGGAGGAATGCATTTGTTTGATTTTTAAATATTAAACCAACCTTGCATTCTTGGAGCAAACCTGCTTTATCATGATGTATCATTTTGTTCAGAATTATTGTGTCATGTTCATGACATATAGTGATCTTTAATTTTCTTTTCATTTAATGCTTTTGTCTGATTTTGGTATCAGGGTTTTACTGGCCTGCTAATAGATGTGAAATATTTCTCCTTTCTCTATTTTCTAAAGGATTTTGTCTAAAGCTGGTATTATTACTTTGTTAAATGTTGGATAGAATTCTCCAGTGAATGAATTATTTTTTTCCTTTCTGTTCTTTAAATATGTTATTCCATTTTATTCTGGCCTGTACTATTATTATTATTTTGATATGGAGTCTCACTCTGTCACCCAGGCTGGAGTCCAGTGGCACCATCTTGGTTCACTGCAACCTCTGCCTCCCAGGTTCAAGTGATTCTCATGCCTCAGCCTCCCAAGTAGCTGGGATTACAGGCACACACCACCACACCCAGATAATTTTTGTATTTTTAGTAGAGACAGGGTTTCGCCATTTTGGCCAGGCTGGTCTTAAACTCCTGACCTCAGGTAATCCACCTGTCTTGGCCTCCCAAAATGCTGGGATTACAGGCATTAGCCACCATGCCCAGCATGGCCTTTGCTATTATTAGAAGGTGTTATATGTATTGTTCTTCTCCTGCATAAAATGTGTTGTTTGCATCTGACTAGTCAACCCAGTGACGGTGTGAATTTCTGCTGTCCTTAAACTGTGCACAGATTGGGAAGTGAGCGAAAGCAAAAAGCTGCTGCAAATGAGTGAGTCTTACCACAGCAGATTCCTATCTAATTTCTCAAAGCTTTTGGTTATTTTTCACAACTTTCTCATAATCATTTTTATAAAAAATGTTTCCCAGATATCATAATTATTGTTTGGGAGGGTTTGTCCAACCAAAGCACTCTGTCACTATTGTATATTATTTTAAAATATATTCAAAATTTGGAAATTATTTATTGAGAAGCTCAAAATTACCCAAATGCTCAACTCTGAAACCCAACTGTACATAAGAGAAAGTAAAGCATAATTTGGGCCTTAATACACAAAGTATATAGAACCGATTTAAATAATCACAAGGTGTTTCCCCTTGATGAATGCTGCTGACAATTCTATTCCCATTGGCAAGGTGATGTAGGACAAAGCAGTATGGAGCAGGTGGCACGTGCCATGTATTAAGTTGGTGCAAAAGTAATTGTGGTTTTGCCATTACTTTTAATGGCACCAACCTAATAACTCTTGAGCAATAAGCAGTGAGTACCCCACATCTAACTTCTTGGCAAAACCAGCCTACCAGCAGGCTGATAGCCTTAATTATGAGACAACACCAATGGGAAAGATTTGTATGGAAGGTGGACAGTAGAGTAATATATGAGACAATGCTCTATACTGTCCAGAAACAGAGCAACTGCAGGCAGGGTGGGACGAAAAGTGCTTTTAAGGAGGTTCAATTTCTCTTTTTTTTTTTTTTTGAGATGGAGTCTCACTCTGTCACCTAGGCTGGAGTGCAATGGCACAATCTTGGCTCACTGCAAGCTCCATCCCCCGGGTTCACGCCATTCTCCTGCCTCAGCCTCCCGAGTAGCTGGGACTACAGGCGCCCACCACCACGCCCAGCTAATTTTTGTATTTTTAGTAGAGACGAGGTTTCACCGTGTTAGCCAGGATGGTCTCGATCTCCTGACCTTGTGATCCGCCTGCCTTGGCCTCCCAAAGGGCTGGGATTATAGGCGTGAGCCACCGCGCCTGGCCAAGGAGGTTCGATTTCAAGCATGAAACCGGTTGTTACATTTAACAAGAGTGTAAAGGAAGGAGGATGAATGATAGAAAAAAGGGAAGAGAAAGTATATGCCAATGACTTTCATATCCAAATTTCCTCAAGTAACTTCTATTGTTACTCCCCTTAATGAATTAAGGTTGAGGTTTAGAGAGATAACTGGTTTAAGTGACTCCAGTCTGTTGCACATACCATCAGGGCAATGGTTGTAAATTTTTAGAAGTTCAATGTCAAATTGCTAGATCCTTGGCCTTTGATGGATGACAAAGTGGTCGTTAAAGGCATTCAAGAGACACCAGAGGAAGTGCCATTGTTAAAAAGTCTCTGGCTCTGTGCTACCCACACCCACAATCTATTACTCAATCAATCCTCTAGTCAGTTAATTAGAGTTTTAAGTGGGTTAAAAAGCTATTCTCAAAAAATAAAATCCATTCCTGGGAGGCTTATATATCGGTCATGCACATGATTGTATTAATGATTTTACTTACATGGGTTTCCTCCCAATAGCTATCTGAGAGAGAAATGTGTCATCTTCTTTGGGAAGATGTGGGGAAGAAGAAAAGCAATGTGGAGCCAGGGCCACTAGGCAGAGGATTCTGGGGGAAGCAGGGTGGGGCTTTCAGTACCAGAGAGTATCATGGTTTCTTGGGGGGCAGAAACAAGGAAGATGTCAATTGCCAAGAAGAGGTTAAAGACTGTTTTTCCACTTTTGACTTTTCTAAGGTCATTGTTGGTGGCAACTCTCACTACCATGACCACTGCTGAAGATCTTGCATGTGATGCTGCCCTGGGGAATGAGTTCTTTCTTGAAGCCAGCCTTGCTAGGTTGACTTATGTCAAGAATAGGCATTGTGCTTAAAGGCAGATGGACCACAGGCTTAACTGAGGGTTCCCCTGCTACTCTACGGTTTCAAACACATGTGGCCCACCTCGGCAGGCACCAGATAACCGACCCTAAATAAAGAGAACCGCCGCTGAGAGGTGGGGTGCAGTCTCTGGCACACAGGTGCTAGGGAACTAGGTTTTGATTTTAAACACTCTGTGAAATGTGTAGCCAATGTGTTCCCTTCTTTGACTTGGTGCCCAGGAGGCTCAGAGCCAAATTTAGAAGCTCCATGAACTTCTTCATTTCCATGAACTAACTTCACTGTTGTCTTTATCTTACTATTCCACTTTTATCTTCCCCTTGCCCTCTTTGTCTGTTTTAGTTTGATATATTGTGTGCATTTGTATAAAGCCAACTCAAATCCTTTTGGGAGTAAGGTAGGGGAAATAAATAAGGAAGACCTCCTCAAATGGTCTTTTAACAGCCTGAGTATGCATCTTTATCTGACAAGAAGAACTGAAGCTGTTTGGTAGCTTTGTCAAATGAGTTGTGGAGTAAACCATGAGCTTGCTTTAATTTTTTTATTTTTTATTTTAGAGACGGAGTCTTGCTCTGTTGCCCAGGCTGGAGTGCAATGGCACGATCTTGGCTCACTGCAACCTCCACCTCCCAGGTTCAAGCAATTCTCCTACCTCAGCCTCCCAAGCTGGGATTACAGGCACCTGCCACCACACCTGGCTAATTTTTATATTTTTAGAAGAGACGGGGTTTCACCATGTCGGCCAGGCTGGTCTCCAACTCCTGGCCTCAGGTGATCCGCCCGCCTTGGCCTCCCAAAGTGCTGGGATTACAGGCGTGAGCCACTGCACCCGGCCTACGAGCTTGCTTTTAAGTAGAAAAACAAGGTTGACCCAGGGATGTCCTGCCTGCCCCAAAACCGAGTCTCCTTTGTTTTCTTTGGATTCTTTCCTATCCAGACCAAATTGTTCTACTAGCCTTTTATATTCTAATTTAATTGTTCAACTAGCTTCTAACTTTATTAAAGCTAAAATTAGAGAAAAGGAGTAATATTGCAGAAAAATCAACTTTGGTTTGCCAAAATAATGAAAGTTTTGTCCTGAAACACGGTTAAATTAAAAAGTAGGCTCACTTGGTTAGGCTACAGAATTCCTATCCCTAACAGCTTAAACAATTTGCACAGACAACTTCCACGAATGGTTTGAGCACAAATCTCTTAATAATATCCTTATAAAAATATTTTTTGTGACCTGCCGTCAATCAACATACATTTACTGAGTGTTATATCTGCTCAAGCACTCAGGGGATTACAAAGATAAGTAAACCCCGCCAGGTGTGGTGGCTCATGCCTGTAATCCCAGTGCTTTGGGAGGCCAAGGCAGGCAGATCACTTGAGGCCAGGAGTTCGAGACCAGCCTGGCCAACATGGCAAAACTCCGTCTCTACTAAAAATACAAAAATTAGCTGGGTGTGGTGGCAGGTGCCTGGAATCCCAGTTACGAGAGAGACTGAGGCAGGAGAATTGCTTGAACCTGGAAGGCAGAGGTTGCAGTGAGCCGAGATGGCGCCACTGCATTCCAGCCTAGGTGACAGAGAAAGACTCTGTCTCAAAAAAAAAAAAAAAAAAGTAAAGTAACATCAGTTCTCATGCTCCAAGGGCCTAGACTGTGAGGGTTGGAAGGTGGATTGAAAGATAAGTAAATGCATATATTGCAAGACAAAATGAGAGGGATGCCCGGAAGGCAGACGAACTCTTGTGAATGCAGAAGAGGAGAGGGTCTGGTTTGGGAGCTGAGATTGGTGCAGTCTTCTTGGGAGAAGCAGCGTTTGGCAAGGTTGTTATTTTCAAAAGGAGAACAGTGAGACAGAACAATGAAGCTGTTGAGACCCAACATAGAGATCCTTGAATTCAGGACAAAGGCACTGGTTCTCAATTTTGCAGTAAGGGGAAGCCACTGCAGGATTATCTGCTGGAGAGTGGTGTGTTTAATCTGACAGCAATGGCATTTTTATTTAATTTTATTTAGACACCACGTGGTTCCAGATTAGGATTTGAACTAATCATTACACTCTTTTTTAAAAAAGAAATGAAATGAA